>NC_000015.10:79526874-80776874 GCF_000001405.40 Homo sapiens
CCTTCAAGTCAGGCAGTGGCACCAGGGCTACTGGGGTCTCTCAGTCAGATCCAGCTGAAGGGCTGGGAGGAAGACACAAATTCCAGGACTCCGTTAGTTTCCCGGGGCTACCATAACAAAGTGCCCCAATCTGGGTGGTCTAAACCACAGATATTTATTGCCTCACCATTCGAGAAGCTAGAAATCTGAAACCAAGGTGTTGACAGGTTGGTTCCTTCTGAGGCTGAGAGCAAGGCTCTGTTCCAGCCCTTGCTCCTAACTTCTAGTAGCTTGCCGGCAATCTTCAGCATTCCTAGGCTTATGGCTGCATCAGCGTGATCTCAGCCTCCATCTTCCCATGGCGCTCCCCCTGTGTGTGGGTGTCTCCCTATTTGTATCTACCCCTGTGTCTAAATTTCTCCTTTTTATAAAAGGACACAGCCATATTGGATTAGGGCCCACCCTAATGACCTCATCTTAACTTGATCATTTGCAAAGACACTACTTCCAAATAAGGTGATCTTCACAGGTAGTGGAGTTTAGGTTCTCAATATCTTTTGGGAGGGGGACACAGTTCAGTCTGTAACACCTGGGATGACTGCTGTTCCCTCGAAGAACAATTATGTCCCTAAACAAGGGTCTGCCAATGGGCAAGAGTCATTCATTGGCCTAATGGTTCCCTGCCATAGACCTGGCTTTCTCCTGGGCCCCCAGGGACGTGTTGTGGGGTAGTAGACAGTGGGCTTGGGAAGGCAGTGCCCTTTTCTCTCCTAAGACCCTCGCCCTGGATCCTGTGGGGGAAGTTCTAAGGCCATGGATGCTGTCTTGCTCTGCTAGGGCTCAGGCACCAGGGTGAGGCAGAGCATGTGCTGATCTCTGTCCATCTTCTTCATCTGTACCTGTAGCAGGTGGTGCCTCACCCAGACCTGCATTGAAGTCTAGACTTTGTCATTTACCAGCCATGCGACTTTAGACATGCTCCTTGACCTCTTCTAGCCTTACTTTTCTCATCTATAAATGGGGGTTAGGATGCTCACTTCTTTTCACATGTTGTGGTGAGAATGCAGGAGGTGAGCCTGTGTCTGGTACAGTGTTGCTACATAATAAGTGGTGGCCTTTGTCACTGAGGCCTTGCTTAGTCAGAGCCTGACTTGGACAAACCAGTTCCCCCTCTCTGAGAAGCCACACAGCAGGCGGCATTCTGAGACCAGCATTGCCAGGGACCACTTCTTCTGGCCAATGACATTCACACCTGGCTTCAAACCCTCTGGAGGAGCTCTCCTTGCACATCCCTGTAGGCATTTGCCTTTCAGAGGCAACTGTGGATGTGGCAGCCCTGAAGTTGGGACCAGATAAGCAGGAAGGGAGAGGAAATGCATATTAATGCAGAGATTTGAACCCCCATAAAGAACCCAGTTCGTAAGAATCTACCAGAAAAACAAATGGCTATCTGCCCAACCTCCCAGGATCCCTTGTAGGGGGAAGCCAGCTGCCCTGTTGTGAAGACACTCAAGCAATCCTATAGAGAGGTTCACATGGTAAAGAAAAGAGGCCTCTAGCAATTGCCAACAAATTTCAGTAACTTGCCAGGTATGTGAGTGAGCTACTTTGGAAGTAGGTCCTTTAGCCTGAGTTAAGACTTCACTTGAACGTAGCCTCAGATGACATCTTGACTGCAACCTCATGAGAGACCTTGAGCCAGAACCACCTAGCTAATCCATTTCTAGAATCCATTCCCTCACACGGAAGCTGTGCAAGATTATTGTTTTAAGCCACTGAGTTTTAGGGTAATTTTTATGCTGCAAGAGATTACTAATATACTCTCCACCCCCAAAGAAAAGCTGATTAAGGAAAAAGGAGAGAAGGCACAAGACCAGAATCAGGAATTAAAAGGGAGCCATCACAGAAGATCCCACAAACATTAACAAAATTATAAAAGGCTAGTTGAAGAATTTATGGCAATAGATTTAAAAATTAGAAATGGACAAATTTCTAGAAAAACACAATTCACTAAACCTGACCCAAAGAAAATAAAGGACTTGCAGAAAGAAAATTCCAAGCCCAGGTGTAAAGGGCTTTTATAAGGCCAGGAAAAATGTGATAAGAAACCAAGAAGGGCATCGCAAGAGATACCAAATATCAGCCAATATCTTTATGAATATAAATGCAAAAATCTTAAGTAAAATATGGTAGTCCAAATCCAGTGATGTATAAAAATAATATTTTTTATTTCAGCAATGCATGGTTAATTTGACATTCAAAAATCAATTATTATAATTGACCAATTTAATAGATTAAAGAATAAAGATAATATTTCAATATATGCAGAAAAGGCATTTGATGAAATTTATTATGTTTGTGTTTAAAAATATTTAGAAAACTAAGAATAGAAGAGAACTTTCTTAATCTGATAAAAGGAATCTACAAAAAGCCTACGGGAGGCTTAATGGATCTCTCCCCTGAGATTGGGAATGCATTAGAGTTGCCTGCTACCATTATTGTTATTTGACACTGCCCTGGAGCTTTTAAATCACTTCTAAATAGTCACTAAAGCAAGAAGATAAAGGAATTAGAATGGAAGGAAAAAACTTGTCTTTAGTCACAGATGACATGATCACATAAGAAAATCCAAAAAAACACCAGACATCTTACTAGAATTAATCAGTGCACTTAGCGCATAAGCTCCCCGCTATCTGCACTCCGGACCTAGATTCCCAGAGCTGCTTCTCTCTGGAACCCTGACAGTCACCAGGGTAAGGAGGAAGAGTCGATGACCCGTGCCCTGGCTCTGCAAGCTTTTGCCCAGATGTTACCCTCATCCCCTGCAGCCACGTGTCATGGGCCAAAGCATGTCACAAAGCTACTCCTGCGTTAAACAGAATGGGGATATTCCAACCTCCTGGAGGAAGAGGCACCTCCCTACAGAGAGGGAAACAGATTATTTCACAAACAATGATCTAACCTATTCCAAGAGTAAGGAGACAAACATCTAGTGAACTAAGAAAGAGCAGAGCATCATGGCAGGAGACGGGAAACCAGGATTGTGGGAGAAAAGTTGCCAATGAAAACTCCCCAGTGTGGAGTCACCAGAAGAAAAGGCATCCTCATTTTTCTTTTCCTGCAAACATTCTAGTGACTTATCCTCATTTAAACTTGTTTACTTTGCTGTAACATGAACCCCTTCTGTTTCCCAAACATCTGATAAAGTCCACCCACACAAAAATGGCCTTGTGTGAATTTTTGTTGGAAATAAGGAACAGGAGATAGATTTCCTATCTGGATCTGTGCAGAGCAGGGAAGATGCCAGCCATGGGAAGTTAAGAAGCTCATGAGAACAAAAGTTCAGCTAAAGTAGATTACTAGTATACAGCCAGAAGTGATGAGAATTTATGTCCCTGGGAATGTTCAGAAATCTGAAGAAGTTCATTGGAATTCCCACAAATACAGGATAAGAGGGTTGAGCTAATTTTCTCTAAATCTTGGCATTCTCAACTAAGATCTAGGTTACATCTACAACAGCATGCATTTTTTAAAATTGGAAACTAATTAGCAAATATTATGGTTGTTTAAAAAATTCCAGCCATATCTGCCAGTAATGAGGTAGCTGAAGTGAGGTCGATAAGTAGAGGTAGAGTATTCTGATGATTTCTTCTTGGGTTTGGCATGAAGTTACGCAAGGGAATCATTAAAGACTTCTTGGATATCACACCAAAATCAGGTAACAAAAGCAAAAATAAACAAGTGGGACTATATCAACCTAAAAAGCTTCTGCACAACAAAAGAAACAGTCAACAAAATGAAAAGGCAACCAACAGATTGGGAGAAAATATTTGTGGATCATATACCTGATAGGGGTTAATATTTAAATATATAAGGAATGCACACAATTCAATAATGAGAAAACAAATAACCTGATTAAAAATGGGCAAAGACCCGAATAAATATTTCTCCAAAGGGAACATAAAAATGGATAATAGGTATATGAAAAGGTGGTCAACATCATTACATTTCAGGGAAATGCAAATTAAAATCAAATGAGATATCTATCGGCCAGGCGCGGTGGCTCACACCTGTAATCCCGGCACTTTGGGAGGCCGAGGTGGGTGGATCACAAGGTCAGGAGTCCGAGACCAGCCTTACCAACATGGTGAAACCTTGTCTCTACTAAAAATACAAAAATTAGCCGGGCGTGGTGGCACGTGTCTGTAACCCCAGCTACTCAGGAGGCTGAGGGAGGAGAATCGCTTGAACCTGGGAGTCAGAGGTTGCAGTGAGCCGATCATGCCATTGCACTCCAGCCTGGGTGACAGAGTGAGACTCCATCTCAAAAAAAAAAAAATCGAATGAGATATTATCATCTCACACTTGTTAGGATGACAGTTATCAAAGACAAGAGATAACATGTGTTGGGAAAGGTGTGGAGAAAAGGAAATCATTGTACACTGCTGGTGCCAATGTAAATTGGTACAGCCATTATGGAAAGCAGTATGGAGGTTCTTCAAAAAATTAAAAATAGAACAATCATATGATTCAGCAATCTCTCTATCTTGGTATATACCCACAGGAAAGGAAATTAGAAATACCACATGGAGATCTCTGCACTTCTATATCCATTGAAGGATTATTCACAATAGCCAAGATAGGCAAATAATCTGTGTCCATCGAGGGATAAATGAATAAAGGAATTGTGGAATACATAATGGAATATTGTAGAGCCTTAAAAAAGGTGATTCTGCCATTTATGACAACATGGATGAAGGTAAAGGATGTTATGCTAAGTGAAATAAGCCAGATACAGAAAGAAAAATATTGCATATCTCACTTATATGTGGAATCTAAAAAAGTCAAATACATGGAAACAAAGAACAGAAAGGTGGTTACCAGGGGTGAGGAGAAGTAAGGAATCGGGGAGATGTTGGTCAAAAGGTACAAAGCTACAGTTATGTACTATGAACAACTAGAGTACTAGTGTACAGTGTGGTGACTAGAGCTAATAACATGGTACTGTATACTGGAAAATTGCCAAAAGAGTAGATTTCAGGTGTTCTTAACCACACACATACACAAAGTAACTAGGTAAAGTCATGAATATGTTAATTGTATTGACTACAGTAATTATTTCATTATGTATATTAAAACATCATGTTATACAGCTTAAATATATATAACAAATAAAATAAAAATTTTTTAAAAAATTGAATCATTAAAAAACCTTAACCCTTGTGTATTGCAAAGGATGCATTATAGGGGTTTTTTGGCTAATAAAGAGAAATAGAGCTAATAAATGTTACTCAAAGCTTTTAATAATCTCAATTTTCTAAGATATAAATATAAGGGTTCTAATGCTGATAAATCCAAGCACTTCTCAAAAAAGCAGGGATCTAGATAAAGATTTAGCCCAAAGTCAACCCTTCTGTTTGTGTCAACCCTAAAACAAGAGATTGTATTAGCTCCATTATGTCAGTCTTCACTGCAGCAGCAAGAATTGTATGCCAGTATAAATTGAAATGAACACATTTAAAATTTGTTTTAAAATATAAGGCCAATCCAAATGAGAATGCACAGATCTACAGAAATTCCTTATAATCTAGAGCCTATATTTACATTAGCTATGAGAAATCAGGCCAACCTATCTCAAAATCAAACTCAAGGAAATTAAATTTTCCATGAGACCGGTAAGATGGCCATCCAATGACTGTGATAGTTCAACATGTGTTGTGTGGCAGTGATGTCCTTGACATTGTATTGTGCACCCCTCTATGTGCGTGACACATCCATGGAACAAGTAAGCACCAGGGTGTCATGTAATAGCATTCTGTCCATGTGTTTGTTTGTGTTTCCTCAAAATCAGACCTTAAATTGAGGGTTTGAGTACAGACAGTTAATTTAAGAAGTGATTCCAGGAAATGCCATTAAGAGAGTGAGGAACCGAAACAAGGAGAAGAAAAGGCAGCCAATAAAGAGTGTATTCTCAAGCAAAACACTACTGTGGATAATTGGAGCGTAATGCTAATGAAGAACCACAGAAGCCAGTGTAGACTACTCCCGTTAGAGTTATGCCACCAAAGGGGCAAGAGAGCTGAGGTATTTATACCCCAACTGACTTCAGTCATTAGGTAAGGGCTCCTGGAGGCAGATACTAATTCGCCAGGACTTGTGGCTTGCCATGGGCCCTGCCACCCTCAGGCAGAGCAATGCAGATGCTGCCAGTGGGAAGCCAGCTGTGGTGAACCACAGTGGCAAAAGCTGAGGAGACATGGGTGGGGCTCTGACGGCCGCTGTTCCCATCTCATTCCCTATCTTCCCAACAGGGCACATGCTTGATCCTTTATGCTCTAGTGTATCTTGCTGACTTTAGCACAGATTTTGATGCTGGGTAAGAAATCCTCACTATGGGGGTCTTTTGCTCCCCTTGTTTCTGCCTCCTTTCCTCTGTTCTGCATTGTCTAGCATTTGCCCACCAAGATGGTCTGAAGAAGATGCAACAAAACGATCAGGACAAAGGCCCACAACGATCAAAGTGTTCTCCATCTTGAGCCATAAGGAATAAGAGGCTTGCATTCATTAGCCCTGTGGTAGAATGCAGCTGCGAGCCAGCCAGCTGCTCTGTTCCACCCATGTGGTCTCCACTCTTATTCTGAGACACTCGCTACCTCCAGGAGAACAGCCCCCATCTGCTCTCTAGCAAAGCCTCACCAGGGACCTGAAGATGTAAATAGAGCCTTGGCTGAACCAAGCCCTTCTCAGAGTAGCAAGCATCTAAGCAGATCTGCATGGCACCATCTTCCCAACAGGGAAACGCTGCAGCTTTGCTCACCAGGCCATTCCCTAATTACCTCAGTGCAGCACAGAAGCCAGAAAGCCCCAATGATTAGCTTTTATGAAAGACATTTTCCAAGAGGCTGCCCATGTCCCGCCCTGCTCCTCAGAGCTGGAAAGCGATATACTCAAAGCTCACACAGAGTTTGAGAAGGTAAAGGTGGCCACGATCAATCTACGACTGATCCTCAGCCGGGGGAGATTTTGCTCCCAGGGAGATAGTTGTCATGTCTGGAGAAGTTTTCGATCATCACAACTGGTATGAGGGTGTTCCACTGGCATCTAGTGGGTAGAGGCCATGGATGCTGCTAATGCACAGGACAGCTCCCTCAAGCAGAGAATTATCTGACCCCGAATGCCAATAGTGCTGAGGTTGAGCGATCCTGGTCTAAAGAGATATTTCTGCTGGCAATAGAGTGAGCTAGACCCTCAGACAGCCTCCCCTGGAATTCTGACTTCGCTTTTTCAACCCTGACTCTGCTCTTCGCAGGCTACCAGTTTTGCTAATTAAGCTCTAGACAATACCTCTTTCCACTCTCCAACCCTGTTATAGTCTCAGAATTCTCTTCTCCACTCCCCAGTTCCTTTGATTGCTCTGTTCTCAGAATTTACCTCTCAACATCCCTTCCCCAAATCCAAGTTACATTTCAAAATTCCTCTTCCAACTTCTGCCCACCTTCGTTCCTTTTGCACCCAGAATTTCCCCAATCTTTGAGCTTTCCACGCCTCTGCTGTGAGCTCATCAACCCCAGAACAGGTCTTTCCTTGCTGCCAAATCCCAGAGCAAAGTGGCATCTCAGAAACCTTCCCAGCCTTGAACCAACAGCTCTGGAGCTGATCATCCCCATAGAGCTGATGTTCCAGAGAGCTGCCTTGAGCTGCACTCCAAGTACGAGCAATGGAATTCCAGGCTGCAGGCTCTCTGTCCCCAGCTCTGACAGCGGCAGCCCCTGTTTCTGATGCCCATGTCATCCTGTAGTAGTGAGACTGAGGCTTCCTGTGTCCTGGTTCGGCAGACAGACAAACTGACTGCAAGAGCAGCTGGACTCCCAGCCGGGTTGTCTTTGGACCTGGGGTTTGGGTGCACAACTTGTCCCAGTTGACACTGAAAGTTTTGGTACTGAATGTTCAGGGATGGTAAGCTTGGAACTGTCCAAGTTTTAAAATGGAAAGTCCTGCTTCACAGGAATGCCCCCAGGATGGGGGCCCACCCTACCTGAAGTGATCTAAGTGGGAGCACCTCGCTGAATGGAGCAGAGCTGAGCTACTGCTTCCACTGGCCTTATTTCAGTTCAACGTGGTTTTCCCTGATGCAGCATAATTGTTTCTTGGGTTTAGGTTTAAAGTTTGTCTCAGGAACTCAGACTTGAGGGTTTCACGCAATGTAGTTCAGTTCCATAAATGTCCTTGAAGCATTGCAATATATGTCTTATTCCTTGTCAGGACAGAAGAGACTAGGCCATGCCCCCTGCCCTGGGAGATCTCTAGGTCTAGTTAATGTGTGAAAATGCAGACACAACACAGTGTAGCAGGTGCTATGACTATGGCCAGGGGTGGGGAAGTCAGAGAAGGCTTCCTGAAGGAGGCAGTGCCTGAAAATGGAGGCTTAAAAAACTGAGAAGGTTTGCCAGATAGAAAGGTAGATTTGGGGGAAATTTTTCCAGGTCAATGAAAGAGCAAGAATATAGATACCCTGAAAAGCCTTGGTAATACTTAAAAACTTAGATGGAATAGAGAGAAATGTAATTCCCTTTGATTGTTAAATGAAAGTACCTCTTTATGCTTATAATGTAGGCTTATAATTTTTCAAAATGCATCTATATCTATCTCCCACTTTTTAATTTTCAGAACTTCCATGGAAGGGAGAGACCAGGATTCCAATTTACATTTTGGGGAAGCTGGCCCCAAAGAGTTAAGCAATTTATGCAAATCACATGTCCACTTAAGGTCTCTAGGCTTTGAATTTGAGGCAAGCTGTTGAATACAGCGAGGATTGGGATCATCTAGGCTCTGGAACTGGATAGACTGTAGTAGGATCCTAGATTTTTTTACATACCAATTCCATGACTTTAAGCAAATTCCTGAGTCACAGTTTTCTCTTGTGTGAAATGGGGAAAATAATGCCTCCATGCAAGGGCTGTTGTGAGAATGAAATGAGACAGCTAATTTAAAGGATGTGGAAAGAGCTAGCACTCGGTGGGCCATCCAGAAACGGTCTTCACAAATTGGGGCTCCTCATTTAGAAAATCAAAGAGTAAGTTTTATCAAAGAGTGAGTTTGCTGTTACACTGAAGGAGTTCCTACCATGTAGATCTCCCAATTGTGGGATTGCTTTCTTGTACTTCTAACAACTTGATTCTCAGTATGTTCAAATTAATTAAATAACCTTTCTTCAAGGATGAGAAAGCTGATGTGCTTTTGAGGGGATGCTAATTACAAGATATCTCCTTTAATAATATGAGATTAAAAAGACTTGGAAGTAAGAATTTTTTTTTTTTTTTTGAGATGGAATCTCACTCTGTCACCCAGGCTGGAGTGCAGTGGCACAATCTCGGCTCACTGCAACCTCCGCCCCCCAGGTTCAAGTGATTCTCCTGCCTCAGCCTCCCGAGTTGCTGGCATTACAGGCATGCTGTAATTTTTGTACTTTTAGTAGAGACGGGGTTTCACCATCTTGGCCAGGCTGGTCTTGAACTCCTGACTTCATGATCCACCCGCCTCAGCCTCTCAAAGTGCTGGGATTACAGCTGTGAGCCACCACGTCCGGCAGGAAGTAAGATTTTTAAATGCACAAGACGACCATGGGACGACAAGCTGATCTAGGTTGGAGCCGTACACTTGTTTACTTGCATTCTTTTCCTGGCATTGTTTTTATGTATATTTAAACCAAGGACCAGCTAAGCCACTTGAAAGGATGACAAATTCCAGCTTTCTATGTTTTATTACAAGTAGCTGAGGAGAGTGGATCTACGCAGCTTGGTTGTACCTGCTTTCCTCCAACTCACTCATAGGGTTCACCTTCCTCCACATCTTCCTGGCGTAGGCCTTGCCCACCAGTGTGGCTTCAATTTCAGTTTTATTTATTTTATAGCATTCTCTTCTTCTTCATTATCTACATAGAGGGAACAGCTACAGTTTGTTTGGATATGGTGGACCATAGGCAGCAGACACCTCTTCCTCACTGAATGTGACAGGGGAACATTCTGCTCATGGGCCCCATGTCTGCCCCCAGTGGCTCCCTCTGCTCAGTCATGGAAACAGCAGTATAGATGGAAAAAAACACAGGCTGCTCAGATGGTCCTGGGTTCAAATCTCAACTCTGCCTCTTATACTGTAACAATGACTGTGTTTCTAACTTTTGTTGAGTCTCCTTTGTCTCATCTCTAAGATGCAGGTGAGAATACTTGCTTGTAGGATTGCTATGAGGATTGAACCCAGCAGAGTATGTAAAGCACCTAGAATACAGCCTATATACAGTAAGTGTTCAATAAATGATATTTCCCCTACTACATCATCACTGTCTTAAAATTCAGCCAAATTGGTTTGAATCTTGCAGAGTCTATTATAAGAGCCTAGAAGCAGGGCCTAAAACCCAAAGTAATTCTATCCAGTATTGTTTGTTAAGGCATTTTTCTAGATAAGACCTCCAAGGATTCACCATATTAGTAAATTTACTCATCAGAGTCTACCATGAGCCTGCTGTGTGCCAGGAACCAAAGTCGTGTCTACAGCAGGACATACACAGTCTCTGCTTTCCTGGAGCTTATAAAGAATGAATAAGTGTCCACTTTTTTTTTCAAGTAGCATAGATAGGTCCTGGGTGGCTGGGGGCAGGTGGGGGCAGAGAGTGTTACCACTGAGGAAGACAGACATTGTCTCCCCGAGGTGATGCCACCCAAAGCTCAGAAGAGCAGGCCCAAGGGGTCATTAGCAAGAGGAAGCTCCACCAGGGAGATGTTCATGATTCCAATCAGGACAATAGTAATCCCAGGGTGGGGGCAACAAGCCATGACAAGGAGATTCTTGTAAGTGGCTTCTTTTTGGGAGGACCAGAAGGAAGAAGAACCACTTTCTGGTCCTCCCAGAAAAGCACCACTTACAAGTATTTCCTAAGGATAAAAAAGCAATAAAGGGGCAGTCCCCGTCTGGGGAAGTGTAAACCCTTTGATCCAGCTCCATCATTGCTATAAGAATGCTCACAGGAAAGACCATAACACATCTTAAATAAAAAGGTTTGTGGTGCAGGGAAAGAGCTTTTCTGTTAGGCCTTTCTCCAGGAGCCCAAAAGCTCCTAAGATTTAAAAAAAAAAAAGGCTGGTAAATAGCTCAGTTCAGGCAATCCTTGGCTCAGCAATCTGATCTGGGAGGGGCTTTGGCACCCCATGGTTTTGTGCAATTTTTAGAGAAAGAGAAGCAAAGTCACTCTGGTCTATGATTGAGAAGAGAAAAATCATTGGGGTCCAAGTCAAGTTAGGTTAGAAATGCAGCAGGAGACTGAAGGGTCCCATATGTTGTGGCGGGTACAACAGGATGAGAGTGGAACCCGAGAAGACGCAACCAGGGACAATGCAACACAGTGGTTCACAGGAGTTCAATCAGACAGATGATGTCCTGAACCAAGGCCAGGACAGAATAATTGGCCACCTCTCCTGGTACCCACAGCACTGACAGCAATTCGTAACCAATGCACATGATTGCCACTACTATATCTTGCTTACATATGCCAAAGGAAGTTATTTAATAAGTTGTGTACACATTTAAAAATTTTTTTTTTGTAATCCACTTGTTTTTTCAAGTCCTAAAGGTCTTTTGAATTAGAAATTTTAGGCCCAACCAGCTATACCCAACTAGTCATTCTAGGGCAGTGGTTCTCAACTGGTAGTTATTTTGCCTCCTCTGACTCCCCAGTCCGGAGGACATTTGAAAATGTCTGGAAACATTTTAAATTGTTGTGATGGGGGTGGGTAGCATTACCGGCATCTGGTGGGTAGAGGCCAGGGATGATGCTGATCATTCTACAACGCACAGGAGAGCCTCTTACAATAAGGGATTATTCAGCCCCAAATGTCAATATTGCCAAAGAGGAGAAGCCCTGCTCTAGGGCACGCCTATCCTTAACATTTGCAAGGTCCAGAACAAGCACACTAATGGAGGTCCTGGGCTCATGCTCACCCTCCTCGACCTCTACCCTGGGCTTCTTTCCACACTGAGATAAGCCTTGCACACACATGTGTGCACACCCCTGTCTGCACATGTAACCTGTTCATGCCCCCCAAAAACTTAGGGGTACACAGATCAGGAGGACAGAACCAGGGAAGAACCACACAGTCCCTAGATGCAGACTCTGAGGCCCTGAATATTTAGCCCACGATCTAGGAGGGGGACTCAGTTTCCTTGCCCTTTGGAAAGAGGTATAGCCAGATGAGAGCCAGAGTGGGGTCCTTTAAAGCCTGGGGCCCAAACCAAGGGGCTTTTGGTCAGAATCCTAAATCCTGAAGAAACATCTAAGCAGGTATGAACCATGAGTCTATGTCATGTCACATTGCTAGAGTAGGGTGGTGTGGGATGGGTAAGAATAAGGCAACTGGAGTTAGGACTGAACATGACCATCAGAAGACCTGGAGTGTGTATTTGACCCCCGCCCCCTCTGTCAGCTGTGTGGACCCCAGAATGTAGGAGAAACCCAAGCTTCAGAGAAAGGGCACATAAGACAGCAGGGGCCTGGTGGACAGGAAATCCCAGGATGAGAAGAGCAGATGGGACGAAGAATTGTTAGTCACAGTTAACGTGAAAACAGCCTAGGAAAATTCCAACAGTTTGCCAATCCTCCTTGCTTTTATTCCTATTACTTTGAAATAGAAACATTTCGAATCCTTTCTCTAATTTGACTGCACTGTTATGCTTTGGGAAGTGAGCCTGTTAAAATAATGTGCCCAGATGCAGAAACTGGAGAATTCATGACTCACCCCTCCCTGTCATGTGACATTCCATGTAGGCATGTCCTGGCATTCTACCACCTGGATGTTTTTCAAATCATTCCCTCTTCTCCACCCACCCCATCACCATCTTAGTCCAGGTGCTCATCTCTCACATGAACCATGGCAATGGTGTCCTAATTGGTCCCCTGATACCTATCTCCTCTATTCCATCTTCCACACGAGCTGCTGAAAAACCCTTCTCATAACACACCTCCAGACATGTCACTCCAGATTTCCAAACCCTTTAGTGGCTCCATCGTGCCCACAGATCACTGCCCGAACTCCTGACCCTTACTATGTCCTTATTGTATGGTTTCTGCTCCAATCCCAAGGCTCAAGTTTTCATGCCAGACCAGCGAAAGGGAGAGTTTTCCAGGTTTATCTCCAAGAACGCAAAGTCCTGAAATGTCTGCAATTTCTCCAACCATGACTCTGAAACCTTTGAGGCCCTGGGCATTCTGTACATTTCTAGCACAATGACAATTCTAGGGGAATGGCTAATATAGGCATTATTAGCATATCCCAGGGGGCTTGTGAAACATCATCAAGGACAAAGACTAGGAGACACAGAGATGCACTGCTCAGCTCCCCATTCCAGGAAGGATCCACCCACCTGCAGGGAGAGTGGTCAGCACACAGCCTGCATGATCAGCTCCTTCGGGGTCTACCTCTGCTGCGGAGTCCCCATTGACCCAAACATGCTTTCCTGTGAAGCTCTCACCTGGTGACTAAGTGAGTGGGGGTACAAAGGCCTGGCCTTTCTGGTCCAAAAGGATGCAACTCTAATAGCCACTACTTGCTCCAGAGCACCCCATAAGATTGGCAAAATTTTTTTGAGGCTGCATTACAATTTTATCACTCCTTCTGCCCCCATTTCACTGGAACACCCAGTAGAGGATTAGATTCCATAGGAAGACCAAGTGAACACAGTATTTACCAAATCCATAAGGATTATGCCCCACGTCACCAAGTCCATCTGCAGGCTGGAGGTGATGGCAGAAGAGGCTGCTACAGAACTTGGCTTGCTGACTGCAATGGGGATGATTAGATCCTGAAACAATAGAGGAAGTGGGGCAAGACTGCCCAAAGCCAAGGAATTGCAATTATTGTAATGACCAGCAGGGACAGAGTGGCAGTTAAGGGACTATGACCCATAATAGACTGTGGAGTTCTGAGGGATCTAATAGATGGGCAGCCGATAAGGGCACTGCCCAGCTTATAGCAGCAGAAGAAATTGAGACTAGGTGACCAGTAGGCTGATAGAAGTTGCCCCAATAAAATGTCATAGCCCTTTGCTTAGTTTCTGGACCCAAGTCAAATTTCAGACTGAAAATTCATTGACTGAACAGGTGGCTAGGTCCCCAAAAGGAAGGACCTTACAACATTCTGGCAAGTGTACACACCCAAGAATCATCCAGTCCTTTCACAAAAGGATTTATAGACATTTACTGTGGTAGCTGTATAAAGGAAGGGGAAGGATCAGAGAGTTCCAGGATTGTTAGTCACAGCTGACATTGATACCCAGAGACCCAAAACACCATCAAGGCTCTGCTGTTAGAATGGGGAGAAAGGGGGTTATGAAATAAGAGGTTCTCTGCCCCAGGTCCAGCTTACAGCAGGTCCACTGGATCCATGGACCCACACTGTGACCATTTCCCCAGTGCCCAAGGGTATGATTGGGATCGACACGCTTGGCAGTACATGTAACAGCCCCATTGGGACCTTGGCTTGTGGAGTGACAGTCAAATGGAAAGGCCATTTGTGGAAAGGCCAAATGGAATCCTCTGCAATTACCTCACTCTAGCTTAGACAGTAAATCGAAAACACTAATGTATCCCTGGAAAGATAGCAAAGATAACTGCTGCCCTCAGGGTTCTGAAGGAGGCAGAGGTGGTCCCTTTCATGTCTCCATGTAACTCAAGGGGATAGCCCCTGCAGAAAGCACTTGGCTCCTAGAGCAGACTAGAGACTACTGCAGGCTCAGCCCAGTTATAACCCTGACTGACTGTAGCTGTCGTTTCTTTGTTAGAACATACGAAGACAGCTTCACGTATATAGTATGTGGTCATTTATTTGGCAAATGTGTTATTTCTATCCCTCTCAGAAAAGAGGATCATAAATAGTTTGCATTCACGTGGAATAGACAACAATATCCATTTACAATTTTGTCCCAGAGATACGTTAACTCTCCCAACCTGTCATGACATAATCGCAAGAGACCTGGACCATCTGGACATCCTATATAATATCACCCTGGTTCTCATTACGTCAGTGGTGTTATATTGGGACAGATAAGGAAGAGGAGGGCAACCACGCATACACTCCAGAGGACTGGAGATGAACAATACAAGGACTCAGGGGCTGCCATGCTCTTACTATTTTTAGGGCCCAGTGGACAGAGGTATGCTGGGACATTTCCTCCAAAGTGAATGAATTATTGTAACTTGTACCTCCCATTGTGAAAACAGAAACCTGACACCTGATAGGTTCCCTTTAGGTTCTGTTCTGCAAATAAGTCAGGGGAGTGGGCCCATGACCATGAGACGCCCTAGTTCTATGTACCTTGCCATCACGAAGCTGCCAGCTAATAGAGAACTGGAATGACCTGCTGAGCCCTGCTGAGTGCAATACTGCAAGGATAGTGTACCGTCCTCCAGAGTGTAATATATGCACAAATCAAATGTTATTATATGGAGCTGTGTCCCCAAGAGGAAGAATACAGGAACCAAGGTGTGAAAGCAGGGGTGGCCCCACTTACCACTGACTCCTAATGACACACTAGTGGACTCTGTACGTCCCACCCCTACAACTCTGGGCCCTGCAGGGCTAGAGGTCCTGGTCCCCAGAGGGTGCATGCTTTCTCGGGGAGACACCGTAGAAGTCCCATTGAATAATATGATGTGGTTGCTACCTGGGCACTTTCATTTCTTTGTGTTGAGAGACCAGTAGGCAAGAAGAACAGTCACTTTGTTGGCAGGGTTAGATGACCCTGATCATCAGGAGGAGGTGGCTGGTATTAAAAATGAGGGTATGAGGAGTGAGTGTGGAATCCAGGTGATCCACTGGGTCCATCTTCATCATTATGATTGTACATGTACAAGTGCAACAACCGCAGCTGGAGAGCATGTGACTAGGGAGCGCAGACTCTCTGGGGATGAGGGTCTAGTTCCACCACCAGGAAAGCCACCAAGACCAGTAGCGAGGGTAAGTGAAGGTGAGGGGATTCTAGATTGTACAGTGGAGAAGGGAAGCTGCATATCGTTTTGTGGCCTGGAGCCCAACTGCTGAGGCTGGGGCTGTATCTTATCCTGCTCACGTGCCTCTTCTAGGTTTCTGAGCAAGAGAGGCCACCAGAATCCTGGACAAGCCACTTCCTGAGTGAGTACGGAGCAGGGGTCCTGAGAAGCACAAGAAGTAGGCTGGTGGACATGGGGGTGCACTGCCCAGACCCTCTTCAAAAAAGGGCTGCCTGCCAATCATAGGGAGAATGGCAGGCAGACAGCCTGCTGCCCCCAGCATCTTCAGGGTTTTCCCCAGCTGTGGAAGGTGACTTGTCTTTCCCAGAACAATCCACATCTGGGGACCAGGTGTGATGAGAGTCAACAGGCCTGGCCATTTCTGCCCAGCAGGGCACAACTCTGATGGACCCTCCTCCACCCACAGCCCCCTGCTGGGTTGACCAGGCATTGCTGAGCCTGCAGTGGGTTCAGTTTCTCCCTCTCCTCATCCAGGCTTCATCTCCTTCCTTCCATAGGTGTTCTCCCTAATATGAGTTTGTACCTCAAATTCTGTTTCAAGGTTTGCCTCTACAGAACCCAACTTGTAACCAGATTTATACTGAAAATTGAGTGGGGAAGTTTAGCCTTGGGCCCTACCTTAGTCTGCTTGGGCTGCTATAACAAATATACCATGGACTGGATGGCTTAAACAGCCCATGCTGATTTCTCACAGTTGTGGGGCAGGAAGTCTGAGACTAAGGCACCAACAGATTAGGTGTCTGATGAGGGTGCGCCTTCCTGGTCCATGGGTGGTGACTTCTAGCCATGTCCTCACACGGTGAAAGGGGTGAGCTCTCTGGGTCCTCTTTTATAGGGGCACTACTCCCACTCATGAGGGTTCCCCCTCATGATGTAATCACTTACAGAAGGCCCCGCCTTCTAATACCATCACCTTGTAGGTTAGGATTTCAACAAATGAATTTTGTGGGGACACCAAGAGTCAGCCCATAACAGGCACTGTATGGCTGTACTGATAAGGGGAGCAGGCCTGAGGAAAGCCAATAAGAGACTTTTCCCCCATCCTCCCTCACTAAAACCAATACATGCTGAGACCAAGAAACATCAAAGGAGGAAATTAAATTTTGGGAGTAAGGGGGGTATTCACATTGGAGTATTAAGCAGGAGACCACACCCTCAGCAGGGCATGATGTCACTTCTTTTGCTTCCCATCAAAGTTCTGGAAATAATTTGTGGTAGTGGGGAATGGCTAAGGACGAGATGCCTGTGAACTTTCTGGAACTGGGCAGAGGAAGCAATCACAGACGTAAGATTGCCTCTGCCTCCTGCATCACCCTGGAGCTGGCTCTTCCATTGCCCCTGTGTGGGCTCCGCACAGGCCACGGGAAAAAGCAGCAGCCCCAACCTCTGGCCACTTTGGCCACCACCCCCTCTTTGAAGCAAATATTTGTGAAAAAAAAAATGTTGTCTATTCCGACCTTGAAGGGTGACTCAATCAATTCAGCGGACCAAGAAATCAACTAATTTCACTCTTTTTGTTAGTTTTTTAAAACCCACTTAATAGCTATTGCTTGACTCTGATGGAGAAGCAGTCTAAGAGCTTCCTGTGTCTCTAGCGAAAATTGCCGTAACTTTCTGAAAATAATTTATGAAAAATTGACTATATCAGTTATGCATAAGCTTTCCTATGATTCTACATTTACCCAAACTTGCACAAACATTCTTTCTTTATCTTCACAACTCTCTTACAGAAGGGGAGAAAATTATCCTTTAAAGATCTAGAAGCTCACAGGGCTTAAGTGACTTTTAAGATCAGGAAAGCCAAGAGTAACAGAGCACAACTAATTTCACCATGGCCAGAGACGAGAAATGGAGAATGTCATAATCCCAGCTACCAGCAAGGTTCCCTAAGGATCTTCTTGTAAAGTTTGTTTCATTTTTATCTTGCCTGCAAATGAAAAATTATCCACACAGCATAGTAATCTGAAAAGAGACACTGAAATAATAGAATATTTTAGTTGTATGCATGCTGACATTTGGTAACTGTTAATTAGCTAAAGCTATAAATAAATGAGATGTCATCAAGGTGTCAGAATGCAAGAAGGATCATTCTTACATGTGTAGTCTTTAGCATAAAAAAAAAACATTATTGGCACCTCAGCCCATCACTACCTTTTAGCAGCTAAAATGAAGCTTGCCTGTAGCCCTGCATAACCTGGGAGCTGGGACAGCCAGGATCCAGTTTGACACGTGGCTCATGGGAACAGAGAGGAGAGGGAGAGGCTGTTTGCTGAGCAGCTACTATATGCCAGGTGCTGGGCACCCTGCAGTGTGCATTATACACATTTTTGACAATCTTGACAATGACCCTGCCACCAAAATCCTGTGTTTCTCGAATTACAGAGCTGAACCTCAGAGAGGAAGGAGGTAGCTAAAGATCACTGTTGCCAGTTTCTCCTCCATAAACTCACCTTGAACTCCACTGATGGGCATATGTTTCTAAGACAGAGTTCTGTTCATCAAACCACTCATTTCATAGCACCATACTCATCAATGAACACCTTCCGATTTTCCGTGGCACTGGCCTGGCATTAATCTGCTATTCAGGGCCTTAGTGCTGATTTCCTGTAAACCTCCACTATTTTGCGCCTACTCCAATTTTTGCATGCTTTTCCTCCCCACTGGGATGTCCTTTCCTCCTCATTTTTGCTTGGTCAAAGTGTTTACACCCTTCAAGGCCAAATTCAAAGACTACCCCCCTCCTTCACCTGTCCCAGTAGCATTTATCTATCCCACAGGTTTTTTTCTCCTTCAAGTGTTGGCCCCAGGGTTCCTTCCTTGGTGAGACCCACCCTGACTCTCCCAGGAAAATTCAGATATTCCTTCCTCTGGGCTCTCACACACTTCACCCCTAGTTCCATTGTGGCACACCATGTAACCTGCCCAGATACAAATGGAAGCAAATGGCAACATGATAGTATCTTGCAATGGTGAGCCTTAACTCTTGCTTTCTTTTTCCACCAGGTACCACAATCTTAATTCTAAGCATATGTTCAGGCAAGCCATCTGTTTACAACACCATTTGGGTCATGTTTTACAGTCAGAACTTAATGAAAAAGACAACAAAATGTGTGAACATCCTACAAAAAAATAGGCATAGCATAGATATTAAAACAGGAAGAAAGCTGCTAAGGATGGTCTGTTAGAGAGCATGAGCTGTAGCATTATGCTGCTATTCCCATGGTATACAAACAGGGATCAAATGCTCAGTCTGACTTGGTTATGGTGGGAGCCCAGAGTCAGCTTAGCTGGAGACATCCCTAGGCCGGGCCAGTCTGATTCTCTTGTGAGCCCCGCAGTGTTCTCCTCCCATGCGATCTCACCTGCACTCGTGCTTCTGATTTTTGCCCTAGAACTCTGATTTTTTTTTTTCCAGTATTAAGACTTCTTCACCTAAATCCAGTTAGGTTTACTACTATTATAAATAAGCTTCACATTAAGGCATCTGCCATTACCTATGAAAAAGATTTGGATTCAAAACAAAGGAATATACACTGTACAACTTTTTTTCTTTCATTCTGATGTCATTACAGATATTATCGGTTTTAAATGTTAAGTTTCGTATGGCAATATATATCTTTAAACATATTTCCTGATTATAGTTCAAATGTTTCTCTATGATATTTTGATATCTTAAGGTATATATTTAAAGTATATACTTCAATAATGAGGAAACAGACAAAAGCAAATCAACATGGATAGCAAAGGACTAAATATGAGACATTACAAGCTCTGAAAAAAAATACTCGCGACTATGAGCAGATCTTGGTCAAGTCATTTAACTTCCCTGAGGCTCATTCTTCCCATGTGTAATATTTCAATAGCAGTTGCTCTGTCAAGCTGTTTGAGATCAAATGAGATGATGTAAAAACACATGGCAAACTGTGAAGCAATGCAAAAAATAAATGGTATTATCATAGGCCAAAAGATCTCAAGTTTCTGATGGTCTCTATAACAAATAAAGTTATGGCCTGCTCCTTTTGCATTCACTTGAGAACTCCCAGTTTTGGTCAATTAGATTGTTATGGACAGAATGGAGCCAAAATTTATGCAAAGAGAATATCCCTAAGTTTTAGCATCCAGAATTGTATAGTTTGTTGTGAGTGGGAAACAACTGCTTGAAGGGGTATACAGAATACCAAATAATGAACTAGTATATTAAAAATCCAGTATTTCAGTAATAAGACTTCTTTATCCAAAGACAGGTTTAACTCTAACTAGGCTTAGGCTACCTCTTGATATTTACTAAAAATAAATAGGGGCAGACTTCTCAAAAACCCTGGTTCCCGGCCTTTCCTCAGTCTCTTCTAGAGAGACTTCCATTCCCTCACCATTGGCTATCACATAGCATAGTAACATTAAAAGGACTATCTCTTATAACAGCTCAAAAGAGTTTTAAAAGCATAAAGAAGCATGATATTTAAGCCTTAGTCTGTATTCACGCTTTGCTCCAAATGCAAACAGTATCTCGCATCTTTCTTTATAAAGTCCTAAAACAGCTACATAATGCTGCAGCACGCATTCTCTGTGGCCAGGCAACCTTTTGCAGCTGTTTTAATAGCCTGCTAAACCAATGAGAAGGCTCTTTCAGCCCCTTAATAGGAAAAGTCATTTCTTGCTTACGGTCAGCACTAACATTGATTCCCAATTGCTCAGCCCAAGGCCTACCTATAGAACACCATTAACCATTCTTCAGACTAGAGTGGTCAGGACACTAAAGTTTAACCATTTCATATCCATGTTCTCTGGGTAACTGTAGCAATCACTTTGTATTTCAGTCCATCTGTGTACATGTCTATCTCCCCCTAGAGATGGTAAGCTCTTAAGAACACTCAGTGAGGACTTTCCATCTTCATATTCTCAGCACCGGCACACAGCCTGGCACAGAATAGATGCTTACAGATTGTTGTGTAAATGAAGAGATTATTTGTATCCAACATACTTCATCAGATTTCATCTTTAGATCTCACTTCCAGCTCAGTACCTGCACAGGTAGACTAGAGAACTCAAATCCAAATGCCTGCTGGGACCAAGGAGGCGGCCTCAATGAAAGAAGACAACCTAGAGTCGTGGGATGCAGAGATCAGGAGATCACCTGCCCATCTAAAGAGAGCAGCTCCTTAGGCCCTCATGATTACTGGCATGTAAGAACACAGGCCAATTGTGGCTAGACCCTCTGATTGTTCAAAAGAATCTAGAAAATGTGATTCTCAGCTGGGCGTGGTAGCTCATGCCTGTAATCCCAGCACTTTGGGAAGCCAAGGCAGGCGGATTACCTGAGGTCAGGAGTCAGAGACCAGCCTGGCCAACATGGTGAAACCCTGTCTCTACTAAAAATACAAAAGTAGCTGCGTGTGGTGGCGTGCGCCTGTAATCCCAGCTAATCAGGACTCTGAGGCAGGAGAATCATTTGAACCTGGGACACGGAGGTTACAATGAGCTGAGATCATGCCATTGCACTCCAGCCTGGGTGACAAGAGTGAAACTCCATCTAAAAAAAAAAAAGATAGAAAATGGGATTCTCACTTGAAGTTTCCCTGCACAGGTCAAACAATACAGACCTGTAGCTTAAATCCTCTTACCGGTCTGCTCTGTGCATCGCTTCTACTAGATATTCAGTGACCGGTTAAGTAGCTAAGAGGTAAGTCAGGACTTACTCAGATAAGTTCCATTCTGGTGGAAAGTGTGACTTGGCCCTGGGACCCCCATAACACATTGTCGCATTTCCAAAGAGTTAGCCCTGATTTTAGAAACAGGGATCCTAGGGTCTTCACATTCCTCTTTTTGTCTGTTGTGGTCTATAAAGGGTTTCAAATTATTGCTCTACAGGCTCTAAGACCTGGGCTCCTGTTCCCTTTAAGACTAGCTTTGGCTTTACAAACTAGCAAGCTGTATTTTAAAGCTGGTCCCTGAAGTTAAGTGTATACTGCATTAGAACATATGTCTTATTGATTTGTGGAGCCTTCATTCCAGTGAATTATCTCTTGCTCATTATCAACCAACGACCTTGTTTGTGCATTTGGCAAAAGCAAGGGGAAGAGGAGGATGTGGACTCATTCTTGGCAAGCAGATGCCTTAAAGGACCCCACCCGGCACCCCCTTGCTCTGAGACATAAAATACCTTTTGTATTAAAGCACAGAGCAGACCTCTTCATCTCGAGACCATTCCCAAGGAATCAGAAGCCATTGATGTGTATCAGGACTTTAAATTGTTTTTTCAATGTGCCTTAAATTGCAATTATCTGCATGAAATTCATTAGCCATTGTATGACCTAATTATCCCATGTTGGCAGAGATTTCAGAATTTACGAAGCTTCCCTTCCTGAGCAACATAATTTTGCAGGAGCCACACCTCTGTCTCCATGCTCTTGCCAATGCTTCAAGGTGGCAGGCGTGCTGAGTCACAGCAGGATAGTCTTTGAAGCCCAGGGACACACTTGGCCTGGACAGGGGAGGTGATGATGAAGAAAAGAAAGCCTGTTGCCCAATAAACATCAAAGGGTGGGTTGCACCATCCTGCTCTTGCCTACAGATTTGACCCAGGCTTCAGGATCCTCCTTCCCTGGACTTCTGACTCAATGAAGCCCAGCTACTGCTCCAGTGGCCCCATGTGCTCTGAGGAACCCAGAGGTCCCAGTCTACCATCTGTGTTCCGTAATTATCTGAAGATGGGATGAGTCCTCTTAGAATTCCTAATCCCCCATTGTAACAGGAGGGGCTGTGCCCAATGATGGCACAGAATCACAGAATGTGTGGACCTCTAGAACCATGGGGAACACCTGGTCCAACTCATTTCTTTTCTACATGGAAAGACTGAGGGCCAGAGAATTTAAGTTTCTCACCCATCTGGGAAGAGAGAGTGCTATGTCTCAAGTTGAGGCCCAGGACTCCAGGTTTGGTACTTGTCCTCCACCTTCTAGGTGCAACACTTGGAGATCTGTCTCTGGGTAATTCAGGAGGGCACTTCCTGCAGTGAGATTGAGGCATATCTTCCAAATAAGGCTGGTTGGGAGAAGGAGGCTCCTAGAGTCATTTGTTCCTTTGCTGCTGTATTCTACAGATGTCTATGCATGCCTGCTGCAGGTCAGGCTGTGTGTTCCCAGTGATCAGGAAAACAGAGTCCATATTCCCATGGAGTTTACAGATCAGTGGGGGAGACAGTATTAAAATAATTACATAAATGAACACACAATTATCCACTTGTGAAAGGAAGGGAGGAAGGAAGGAGAAGGAAGAAAGGGAACACAAAGTGTTATGAGTATAATATAGAATAATGGGAATCAGGAATGACTCCATCGCACAGATGGAGCAAAAATTGTGATCTGAAGAAAGCTAGCAGCAACTAGACCTAGAGGAGGGAAAGAAAACATCTACACAGAGGCACGGGGGTGGGGTTCATGCTCTGTGGATGCTCAGAGTGAGTGGATTTCCAGGATTGATGCCAACTGATGTGAGGAACAGCGTGAACAACTGAAATAACGTTTCACACTCTGCAAAGAAGCAAGACCAGATTCCACTTAAAGGAACTAGAATCTGAATTTACTAGGAGGCAGTGACAGAAGGAAAAGCACGTGATTTGGAATCAGAAAGATTTTGGTTTCAATTCTAGCTTCATCAATTACAAGCTGTTGACCTGAGCAAGCCACTTCAAGGTTCAATTTCCTCATTCACGACACTACAGTAAAAATACCACATAGGGTTGTTGTCAGGGATTAAACATTTTGTACAGCTCTTGGCACAGAGTAAGTGCTTGAATTCGTTTTCTAGGGCTGCCATGGCAAAATATCACTTACTGGGTGGCTTAAGCAACAGAAATTTATTTTCTCCTGGTTCTGGAGGTTGGAAGGCCAAGATCAAGGTGACAGCAGGGTGGTTTCTGGTGAGCCTCTCTTCCTGGCTTAATAGACAGTGCCCTTCTTGCTGTGGGTCTTTCTCAGTCCACACACACTCCTGGCGTCTCTTCTTCTTCTTATATGGACAGCAGTCATGCTGGATTAGGGCCCACTCTTAGGACCTCACTGCACCTCTATTACATCTTTAAGGCCCTATCCCCAAATACAGTTACACTGGGGGTTAGGGATTCAGCCTGTGAATTTTAAGGCGACATGATCCAGTCGGTAACAGTGCTGAATAGAAGTCATCATTTCTTTCTTCAATTTTTCTCTACCAAATGTAAAAGCAATGATAGAAGAAAATGGAGTGATGCTTTTACAATACTTTAAGAATTAGGATGTTCTCCGAGAGTGCTTCTTAGTGAGTTACTTCTTAGTGAGGTCTACAGTATTTCACTTTACAACCATCCACCCTTAAGTGATAAACCTCACAGGAACCCACTCTGTGGTGAACACTCTCAAAAATAAAGAGGAAAGCGGGAAATTGGAAATGGAAAAACACCTGGGGATGCCTATGTGACCATCTGCTCACTTTAAAAAGTCATCAATGTCAAGAAGAATGTCAAGGATAAGGTAATAATAGAACAGGAGAAAATAGAATTAACTGTTGAGAATTGATTTTATTAACTAAAGCTGTGGCTCAAAAACAAGCTACAAATAACCAGAACTAAAAAGGATGGGAAAAGATAAAGTGGGATCAAAACTCAAATTGTATCAATGAAGAATGGGAGGGGAAAGAAGGAAGAAGGAAAAGTAGCAAAACCTCTAATATCTCTCAGCAGTTATGAAGGAGGGTTAAAAGTTGTCTTTGTCTGGAAAGTTTAAAAATGAGGATTATAGCTTTAAGAATGTTAGTGGAGTGTCTCATAAATTGATCATAAATATTTTTATTTTAAAATTAGAGAGTAACCTCTTAAAAATACGTCTTTAGGCCGGGCGCAGTGGCTCACACCTGTAATCCCAGCACTTTGGGAGGCCGAGGCGGGCAGATTACGAGGTCAGGAGATCAAGACCATCCTGGTCAACATGGTAAAACTCTGTCTCTAATAAAAATACAAAAATTAGCTGGGCGTGGTGGCACATACCTGTAGTCCCAGCTACTCAGGAGGTTGAGGCAGGAGAATCACTTGAACGCGGGAGGTGGAGGTTGAAGTGAGCCAAGATCGCACCACTGCACTCCAGCCTGGGAGACAGAACGAGACTCAGTCTCAAAAAAAAAAAAAAAAAAATCTTTAGACAGAAAACAAAGTAAAACATAGTCATTTATTGAACTATACATCAAAAATCAAAAGAGACGACAGAGGACAAGAAGACATAAAGTGAAGTGACAGCATGGTGGTTATGAAAATGGATATAAGTGGCCTGTCCCAAGCTATGTAAAGATTATAATTTTTAAAAGTTAGTGTTAAGTTGTCCATAAGATCTGCTTCTGCTTCAGTGGCAGAAGGGTAATAAAAGTTTAGAAATGAATTATTGGACCCAAATATGCCAGCTGAATTCAAATCAAAGAACAGCAGGATTAATTCTGGACAGCATAGTGCTTAAAAGTAAAAACTTTACATAAGATTTGCAAGTGTATAAAGCAAAAACTGTAAAAATACATAAGAAATCAAACAAAAACATGCTTGGGTATAAGAATATAATTTACTGTTATCAGGCTATTACAGACCCAAGTATTTAGAAATGAGGAGCTAGAAAAAAATAGATGACACAATAAAAACAGTACATCTACTAGACTTATTTCAAATCTTGTAATGCAAAAATATGGATTACTTTTTCTTTTAAAGTATATGTAGTCGGTCTGTAAGCAAAAAATCATCATATGCTAAATCATAAAGAAAACACTGGTGAGTACCTTATGGCAGAATTTTTACAGCTAATATTTTCAGATCAAAATGCAATGAACTAAACATTCATAATATATGTTAAAGAGAAAAAAACTCAAATATATAGAAACTAAAAATAACATCCTACACGCTACTGTGTGTAAAACACGAGAGCAAGAGAGTGAGGCAATGAAAGCAAGAAGTGAGAATGAACTGAAAACAAATCCCATCTGGAGAAAATAGAAGAAATGAAATAATACCAGCAAAAAATGGAAACGAGAAATAATGGAATGAGAAGGGGAAAAAAAGAAGAAGGCAGTAGAATGCAGGGACTACAAGCCCTATATCTCAGGTCAGGTGAACCTGGGTTTGCAGCTCCATTTCAACACACACAGCTCTGCAACTTTGGAACATTTAGTTCACTTCTCTGTGCCCTACTTTCTTATGTTTCCCATCTGTAAAATATAACAACTTTGTATAAGATTGTTGTAAAAATTAAATGAAAGTAAATGCCTGGTAAAGCTCACAGCACAGTGTCTGGTAAATAATGGATAAGGGCTCACTAAATCTTGAGAGGCAGAATGTGGTCACGGCTGTTGTTGTAAAAGTAGTGGTAATAGTAGTGTTACTAAAAACTAGAACTTTGAGAGGAAAACAAAACAATAAAACAGACAAGCTCCTGGTCGATCTTTTAACAATATCTGAATCACAAAACAGACCATTAGAAAGGAGAATGAGAATCTAGCACTAAGTGGAAAGGAAAAGTGTAAGGTATGTGGCAATATTACATATAGTTATATGATAAAGAATTTACAAATTTCAAGAATAGATATTTACACATCTGTGTGTGTGTGTGCGCGCGCACGTGTACATGTTTGTGTGGGTGTAAGCATGAGGATCACATAGCACACGTTCATATACCCCCAAAACAGGCAGAGCTAAAAGCAAAAAGAAAGCAAGGATATATGTCATTGTAATTTCTCAGTGATCCTTATGGATTTGTTGATAAACCTATCCAAATATTTAGAATACTCATAATCTCTATCCAATACCACTAATTCTTAACCAATAAAGAAAAATTTAATGCATCCTATTAATTTCAAATTTCCACACTTGCTGAAGAGATCATAAGGTCCCCAAACAAATTTCATATTGATTAAAATCTACCTTAGAAAAAAAGTTTGAAACAAATTAGAAGAATATATCTGATAATATTTTTATGGGCTGAGGGTAGGGGATAATTTCTTAAAGATAACAAGCATAGATCATAATGAAAAATATTTTTAAATCTGACTACATCAAAATTAAAATCTTTGGTATGATAAAAAACAAAGTTAAATGAAAAGACTAGAAAATGTACTTGTGATATCTGTAGGGACAAATAATTAATTTCCAAAATATCTAATAAATTTCAAGTCAGTAAAGAGAAAAACACTTTGGGAAGCCAAGGCGGGCAGATCGTCTGAGGTCAGGAGCTCGAGACCAGCCAGACCAACATGGTGAAACCCCCTCTCTACTAAAAATACAAAAATTAGCTGGGTGTGGTAGTGCATGCCTGTAATCCCAGCTACTTGGGAGGCTGAGGCAGGAGAATGTCTTGAACCAGAGAAGCAGAGGTTGCAGTGAGCCAAGATTGCGCCACTGCACTCCAGCCAGGGCGACAGAGTGAGACTTCGTGTCGGAAAAAAAAAAAAAAAAAAAAAAAAAAAAGCAAAGACAATGACCAGGTGATTCTGAGATGAGAAAATTGGTGGTTCATAAACATGTGAAAAGATATTCAAGCTCACCAGTACTCAAGGAAAGGCAAATTAAACAAGGAGATAACACTTCCCACCTGACAGATTGGCAAAAAATAAATTTTAATTGTCAATATTGGTTTTGCTGAAGCTAGGGGGAAACAGGTACTCTCATCCTCTGCTGGCTGGTATTTAAATTTGAATAATAACGTTCAGAGCAAATTGACATTATCCAGGATCATTGAAAACATTCATGCTGTGACCCAGCCATTCAGTTCCAGGTCTGCACCTTGGATAATCGTGGGCACATATTCTGTAAAAAGACACACTCACTATGGGATTGTTTAAAACAGCAAAAAGAATTGAACTGCATTTAAATAACAATAAAGAAATACATAAATAAAATGTAGTGATAAAAGTCCAATTGTTGAATGTTCCATGCAGCATATTACTTTCAATGGAAATGTTAGGAAACACAAAAGAATGCTATAAATCTTTCATAGATTTGTATGTTTGTTTGTAAAACCATAAAAGATAGACTGGAAGATACTATAATCAATTCATGACAATGATTCCCTCTGGACACCTGAGACAAGAATGACACTGGGGATGTAAAATAAGGGGGACTTCTTTTTTATTTAACTGTGAAAAAATACACATAAATGTTACCATCTTAACCACTTCTACATGCACAGTTCAGTGGCATTTAGTACCTATACGTTGTTGTGCAACCACCATCCATCTCCAGAATGCTTTCGTCTGGCAAAACTGAAACTCTGAACATATTAAGTGCTAACTTCCCATTTCACTCTCCCTCACTCCCTGGCAACCTTCATTCTTTCCGTCTCTGTGAATTTGACCAGTCTGGGTAGCTTATATGAGTGAAATTATAAATATTTATTTTTTTGTGACTGGTTTACTTCACTTAGCATAATGTTTTCAAGGTTCATCCATGTTGTAGCATGTGTCAGAATTTGCTTCCCTTTTAAGGCTAAATAATATTCCATGGCATCGATATGCCACATTTCATTTATCCATTCATCTGTTAGTAGACACCTGGGGTTGCTTCCACCTTTTGGCTCCTGTGAGTAATGCTGCCATAAGCATGATGTACAAATATCTTCTGAGCCCCTGTTTTTAATTCTTCTGGGTATATATCAAGAAGTAGAATTAAGGGGAACATTTTTTATCTTGAAATTTTCATATATTTTAGGAAACACGAAACGAGCCTTGAAGGAAATATACCAAGATGTTGACAACTTTCCAATTCAAGGCGTTGTACTACTTTTTTGCAGTTTTCTCCACTTTGCAGATTTCTCAAAATAAACAAATTATAATAAAAAAGAAACTCTTTTAAAAGAAATCACATAACCAGAAAGACTAGAAACTAAACCAGTCACTCTTATGTATATTAAAAAAAACCTTAAACTACAAACTAAAGAAAATCAATAATAAATAAAAGAATGTTCTACGGACCCAATGAGGCTTATCCTGTGAATGAGAGAATGAAGCCTTAGTAGGGAGAAATCTATTAGAAGTCACTACCAGACCAAGGAAGAAAAGTCTCATGGTCGTTTTAATAGACGTGAAAATCTTATTTGCTCCAGTTAGTTTGATCAATTCTAATAAAATATGCTTTGTAACATGGATAAACGCATGTTCTTTAGAAGCAGCTAAATGCATGGTCTTTGGAGCCAGATGCCTGGATTCATGTCCTTTTTCTGTTATTGACATGGGCAGTTACCAATCTCCTTGTGCCCCATGACCCCTCTGTAGCATGGAAATAATGATTTCATGTGAGGATTATATGAAGTCACATATGTAGAAAGAGCCTAGAACAGTGCCTGGCACACAATACCACACAGTAGACACCAATATCAGTGTTTGTGCTGCTGGCGCTGTTAACAATAAAAATAATATCTTTAGCTCAATATCCTCAGGATTATGCTCAAAGGTGACACTGTACCAAAAAATTTCCACTTACCTCAGGAACAAAGACTGCTGTCTACCACCATTTTTATTACAGAGTCTTGAAACAACATAAGAAAGAAAAGACAGTTAACAGTGATATAGATTAATTAGAAAGAGACAAAGTGCCATTATATGCTGATGCTATGACTCCATATCTACAAAAGCAGGGTTTTTGTTTTTGTTTTTGTTTGTTTTTTAAATGCCCATGACCGTTTTATTAATAAAAACTAACAGTGCCAAGTTAAACAAGTCAAACAATTAAAGTCTCTTTATATTCCATAAAATATTACAGAAAAGTTGGTGTTTCAATAAAAAGACTATCATTTTAGAACAGGCAGCTAATAGCAACTGCGCAGTTAATGGGTTTTGTGAATAAATTTTAAAAGAGACTATGGCCTGTCCTTAAATTCCTTTTTCTTTTTATAAAAAAAGAACTATTAAAAATTATTGACAAATTTTGAGTTAAAAAATTGTTAAAACATTCTCTATATTTAATTTCAATTTTATAATAGATTACAGGAAGATGCTTATGAAACAAATACATTTGTTTCAGTACATGTCTTTAAGTGATAGAATTATAAGTATGTAAACAACTATATAATAAAAGGTTTCCGAACACTGCCTGTAAGAAATCAGGCAAATTTTACCATAAGCAATAAACCATTCCAAGCCTTCCAGATAGTCTCCATAGCCGCATCAGCATGGCAATAAGCTTTAACCAAACAAAACCAAACAAAAGCACTTTGCAATTTGTTGCTGCAAAATAGGGAGAGAAAAGAGTGTATAAACTTGATGGAATCACAACAGCCAATATAATTTAAGGGACAATAAAGTCAATAAGGTTGATGGTGTTTATTGTTTAGAAAGTCGAATTCTGCTGTTTGCTTGGGGCTGTTTAGAAAGTCGAATTCTGTTCACTCTGATGGTAGTTTCTTTTGCTGTGCAGAAGCTCTTTAGTTTAATTAGATCCCATTTGTCAATTTTGGCTTTTGTTGCCACTGCTTTTTGTGTTTTAGACATGAAGTCCTTGCCTGTGCCTATGTCCTGAATGGTACTGCCTAGGTTTTCTTCTAGGGTTTTTATGGTTTTAGGTCTAACATTTAAGTCTTTAATCCATCTTGAATTAATTTTTGTATAAGGTGTAAGGAAGGGATCCAGTTTCAGCTTTCTACATATGGCTAGCCAGTTCTCCCAGCACCATTTATTAAATAGGGAATCCTTTCCCCATTTCTTGTCTTTGTCAGGTTTGTCAAAGATCAGATGGTTGTAGATGTGTGGTATTATTTCTGAGGGCTCTGTTCTGTTCCATTGGTCTATATCTCTGTTTTGGTACCAGTACCATGCTGTTTTGGTTACTGTAGCCTTGTAGTATAGTTTGAAGTCAGGTAGCGTGATGCCTCCAGCTTTGTTCTTTTGGTTCGGGATTGACTTGGCAATGCAGGCTCTTTTTTGGTTCCATATGAACTTTAACAAATTTACAAGAAAAAAACAACCCCATCAAAAAGTAGGTGAAGTATATGAACAGACACTTCTCAAAAGAAGACATTTATGCAGCCAAAAGACACATGAAAAAATGCTCATCATCACTGGCCATCAGAGAAATGCAAATCAAAATCACAATGAGATACCATCTCACACCAGTTAGAATGGCAATCATTAAAAAGTCAGGAAACAACAGGTGCTGGAGAGGATGTGGAGAAATAGGAACACTTTTACACTGTTGGTGGGACTGTAAACTAGTTCAACCTTTGTGGAAGTCAGTGTGGCGATTCCTCAAGGATCTAGAACTAGAAATACCATTTGACCCAGCCATCCCATTACTGGGTATATACCCAAAGGACTATAAATCATGCTGCTATAAAGACACATGCACACGTATGTTTATTGCGGCACTATTCACAATAGCAAAGACTTGGAACCAACCCAAATGTCCATCAATGATAGACTGGATTAAGAAAATGTGGCACATATACACCATGGAATACTATGCAGCCGTAAAAAAGGATGAGTTCATGTCATTTGTAGGGACATGGATGAAGCTGGAAACCATCATTCTCAGCAAACTATCGCAAGGACAAAAAAACCAAACACCACATGTTCTCACTCATAGGTGGGAATTGAACAATGAGAACACTTGGACACAGGAAAGGGAACATCACACACCGGGGCCTGTCATGGAGTGGGGGGAGCGGGGGATAGCATTAGGAGATATACCTAATGTAAATGACGAGTTAATGGGTGCAGCACACCAACATGGCACATGCATACATATGTAAAACATATGTAACATACCTGCACGGTGTGCACATGTACCCCAGAACTTAAAAGTATAATAATAATAATAATAATAATAATAAAAAGCCGAATTCTGCTGTTTGCTTGGGGCTGTTTAGAAAGTCGAATTATGCTGTTTGCTTGGACACCATACCACTGAACAAACTCCACAGAGTCTCGCCATCTGCCAGCGGGGGCGCCGTCCAAACTCACGGCAAATAAAAGGCATCAGGTGCTCACCATCCACAACAGGAGGGCGTTTCATTTTCATGGATGTGGATGAAATACAATTTCTTCAGCAAACTCAGCAAAAACTGTTCAGGGGCAAAAATGAACTCCGCACTTAAAGAAAAATAGAAAATGAAAACACAAAATCCTAAAAACTAAATAAACACTCTGCATCTGCACACTGGTATCAAAACACACATCCACAGCACATCCTAATCCTACGGGAAACAATCCTTGCTTATCAGAGGTGCATATCTAAATTCAATAGCTTACCAATATTTTCTTGGGAGTAGGCCAAAAGGAAACAGAAAACCCACATTAAAAAAAAAAATCTTTTCCCTCAACGTTTTCCTGAAGCTGAATTTGAAGTGGGGAGGATGTCAGTCGTCCTCCTCATTCTCGTTGAAGTCATTATCCTCCTCGTCGTCCTCCCCGACGTAAGACACCGGGGTCTCCACCCTGGAGCTGCTGTACTGAGACCCATTGGAACTTTGTGGCCAGCGTCTCATCTGCACCATTGGTCAGGTCACTGGCAGAGAACCTCGTGCCGTTAGACGTGGAACCTGCCATCGTGATGAACACGCCTCCCACAGTTCCCTGAGCCATTTCTGTCACTTACCGCTCCAGAGTCTTTGGGACCAGACTTTTGGCCATTTTAAGGTCCTCAGCAGAGAAGCTCCCGGACTCCACCCGCTTCAGCACTTCTATGTCATCGTGGATTTGAAATGTGTTGTCAAAATTAAACAGATAGTCGAATTTGTCGTTGGAGATGCTGCAGTCGATGACCGTCTTCTTGCTGGTGTTGATGATGATGAAGGGCAGGTGGATGACCGAGTTGGCTGGCGGCGGCTGGCTGGCCTGCCGCTCCGCGTGCCGGTTTCTCTGCACCAGGTTCTTGAAGGCAATTTGCTGTAGAATAAGTTTTGAAGTTGAGACTGTTTCTGTTTTATTCTTTCAAGTCTCCTCTGTCTTTCCACCTCTAAGTTCTGACATTCCTAAGCCGAGTTGGTGGGCAGACCAATCCACTTGATCTCCTTTTTCTCCTTGGAGATGATGCTCACGGCCCTCAGCACATTTAAGGCATCGCAGACGCGCCGTCTTATGTTCTTCTGGTCACAAGCTGACTCGTTTGGTAAGATGTGGTTGTCGGCAGCACTGAACTTCGCGACCAGCTCATCCGCCACTTGGTTGTAGGAAGTGGTCCCTTTCCTCTGCACCTTCTCGCAGACCTTCATGGAGAAATGCCGCAGGCCCCTGCCATTCTCCTCTCCTTTTCTGTTGCGCTTCCCGGCAGACCAAGGTGAGGAGTCGGAAGGCTGGTTCTGAGAGGCAAAGTGAGTGCTGGGGTGTGTGGGCTTCCTACCCCCAGGGCGTTTGACGCTGCCGGTCTCTGAGGTGTACCAACTACCACTTGCTGGGCAATGTTGACATTGGACTGTCCAGAGGTTTTTGCCAAGAGCTGCTCCCCGAGCGGGTTGACGGTGGAGGGGTGAACGGCCACGAGGGACACCACGCCTTTTCCAGGACTAAGGTTCTGGTCTATGAAGACCTTGAGGTCTCCATTGGCTTCAATTAGACCGGCATCTTTTGCCATGTTACCAGATCCGGGAAATCAATGCTACAAATGTTCACCTTCCCAGAGAAGAAAAATGATTTTTCTGGCTGCCCGGTCCGGCCGCGCGGGCGGGGGTGCGGAGAGAGTGCTGTGCGGGGCACGGGGTGGCGCGGGGAGGCGCGGGCCGGGGCCAGGCCGGGCGGTCCCGGCCCTGGCGAGGTCCCTGCCCTGGGCCGAGCGGCGCCAAAAGCAAGTTTTAACTGAAAACCTCCAGAATTAATTTTTTAAGTGTAGTAAATTAATCAGATACAAGATATACATATAAATAAAATAATAATTTCCTTGCACATTACTAAAATGTAAATAAATCTCATCTAAATTATAGCAAAATGTACAAATTATTATACTAAACATATATTTCATGTAAGTGGCTTTATAAACAAAGCATCAAACTTTGGGACAAATTACAAGAAATTTGAATGAAAGTAAAATATAATTCATTCCTGGATGGTGCTATTCATGTTATTGTGGGATATGATGAGGTTTCTCTTCAAATAATCTGATCAATCTTTTATTATTTAATTCGTAGTACCCCCTCCCTTTTTCTTCTTTTTTCCTTTTTGCTTTTGTTAGATGCCCAGGCACGCCACGGTACCAGGCGTTATCAGTACCAGCTCACAACCTTTCCTCATTTGGAAAGAGGACTAACTTTCTAGCTCATTACAGACACCTCTTCCCCTTCCTCTCCATTTTCTTTTCCGTGCCCACCTTACCTAAAAAAAATCAAATGTTTAGACAATCGGGATTAGTTTAGATTGTACAACCCGACCCCGGCCAATGGGGAAAGTGTACAGGGGCAGGACTTGTGTCAGGAATAAAGGCTCTAGTGTCCCTTTGTTCAGGTGTGCTTTCATGGTGACTGGCCAAGGAGGCACCCCTCTGCGCAGAAGTAAAAGTGCTTTGCTAAGAATCCTTTGTTCGAGTGTTCAATTTCCTTAGGATTTTGAGCATTATTCCTAACATCATATTATAAACATATTGGTTTACCTAAATAAATCTATAGATTGAATATAAGGTCAAAACTAATTTCTCTGGATGTTTTCTTGGAACTGGAAAAAAATCCCTAATAGTTAAAAGAAAGAATAAATAAGATAGACTACAAAAAAATTCTGGGATGTGCTAGCTCTGCCAGATACTGAAATGTATTGAAAATCAACAACAATAAAGAGTAGCATACTGGCACAAAGGAAACAAATATTATAATCTCTGTGTGTGTATGTGTGGGAATTTTATGTATAACCAATGAAAGAGCTATCAAAAAAAACACAGAAAAGGGAAGAATTAGTCAATATAATGTTTGCAAAATCAAAGTAATTCAGAAAAAGAAGGAACACCTATAACTCATACAAATCTAACATGGAAATAAATTTCAGCCAGATTTGGGATTTTAAAAAAAAAAATTGAGCACAGAAAGTTAAAATGAAACAGAAATGAGTATTTAAAAAGTGATGGAAGTAATCACAAAAAGATAGGTAATTTATAATATTAAAAGAATAGAAACATCTCTATGTTCTCCAAAAATTTTTTTGAAAAAAGCAAATAAAACCAGGGAAAACATTCTGGAAGCATCCTTATCAGCCACATTGCAGCAAAGTGAAGTGACATTCTGTTTCCCTTTCTCCCTCCTACTCTCTCTCTCTCCCCCGTACTGTGTTAGGAAATGGGACATACATAACTCACCTCCATGTATCACTGAATGTGCTAGACCCACAATAAATGCGGAACTGCTGAACTGAATCGTTAATTATATTAGAGGCAGAAGGAAAATGGCTATTTACAAAAGATGGAATCCAACTAGAAAACTGACGTATGGAAAAAGGTTTCAGCTCCCCAGTGATCAAAGAACCCCAAATTAAAACAACCAGGCATTTCTATTTTTCACCTATGTCATTAACAAAAAGCCAAACAAGATCACAGCCCCGTGGCCTTAAGCAACAGGACAGCCAGGTTGTGGCCACTCCTGCCCCTCACTGGAGCAGGAAGCTGCTTAAGATTTACCGCGATGGTTTCAGCATTGCTATTTCTTTGATTTGCTTATAAAAAACGCAGTAAAATCCAAGCGTAAGCAGCTTGGCGGCCAGAGACCGTGAATGCCCCGTCTTTCTCTAGCAGCAGTTACTGAAAAACCTCCAAGGGCGGTTTTAATTTCCTCTCCTTGTTCATCTGGGGTCTGGTTTCCCAGGCAGCCAAGGTACTGGGTGAACGCGGGGAAACTCATCTATCAATTTTGTGGCTGCCATAGCATGGCGATTTTGAATCTTGCAATAAAACAAGATTAATGGGCTCGACTTCAGTGGGTCTGACATTTCAGCGACAAGGGCTGTATTCGCCAGGTTTCTACACCTCTCTCCTCTTTCTCAGCCATTTTGTAGTCTCAAGCCAGGTCCCTTATGTTCCCTGGGATTCCTGAGAGAATCGTGTAAAAGGGACACGTAGTGTGAGGTAGGAAAAGACAAATCACCCTGATCTCCTCTCTTCAAAGACCAATGGGAATTTCAGTGGGAAACGGGCTCTCACAGTCATGGTGTTGGGATAAAGCATTAGTCATTTAACGGTTTTGGTAATCATTTTATCCATCAACATGCACTTACCACGTGCCCAGCACTGTGCAGCCACCTGGGAGCAGGGAGAGGGGAGACACAGAGGCGTGGTCACAGCACGAGCGAATCAGAGCGAGTCAGAGTGAGTCGGATGCTGGGCACAGGACTCTTGGAGAAAGTAGGACTTGAGCAGGACTTCAGAAGGAGAAGGGACATTTCCTCAGGGAGGCAAACAACATGGGGAGATGTTCCCAAGTGGAGGACAAGAAGCCGCATGCAGAGATGGGTGTGGGAATGCCATGTTGTTTTAGGTCACCATGCCTTCCTGCCTGCTGTTTCCTCACCTAAGACTCCAGCTCAGACCCAGCTCAAGATCCATTCCTGGGCTCCCTTCTTCTTCAGAGCCTTCCCTGTCCCTACCACAGACAGAAGCAACTGCCCCTTCTCTATGCCTCCTCTGCCCCCAACTTATCTTCCCACTGTTACACTCTACACTGACTTATTACTATTATTTTATTGTTTGAAGTTTTTATTAAATTACTATTTACACTGCCTTATCATTATTATATTTATACATCTGTCTCCTGTGATAGATATTGCACTTCCTACAAGTAGCAGCACAGTGTCTGAAACACAGTAGGTACTCTGAAAATATTTCTTGTACTTAATCAAATTAATGAAAACTAATTGGTATACAAGTGAAGAGTAGCTTGGACAGTGCTGACGGAGAAGGGGAGGAGAGCAGAGCATGAGTAATAGCTGCTAACAGCTCACCTGTTTACCTAGCATTCACGACTGGCCAGGTATTTAAGTGCTTTACATGTATTCATTCATTTCATCTTCACAACACAACTATGAGAAAGTTGCTGTTAATATCCCCATTTCACAGATAAGAGTGTGGAGGTGGGGAGGTCAAGGAACTTATCTGAGCTCTCTTGGCCAGCTAGGGAGCAGGCGGGGGTGGAGCTGGGACCTGGAGGTGGTGGGCTGGCTGCGGAGCTCGCTTTAACCACGATGCCTGATGCCTGGCTGCCCCTTGTCACTGCAGGTCACTGTGGGCTTAGAATCCCAAAGTCTGAGAGGGAAATCTTGCCCCATTCCCTGTTCAGTACAAGAATGGCCATAATTAAACTTAACAAATAGCTGTTTATTTTCTGTTTGTTTAAAATCAAGCTTTATTAGTTAACAAGGCAACCTATGGTTTAAAGTATAATTGAAGAAAACTTAATTTACGAAAAAAAAAAAAAAAAAAAACAATGGGCTGGGAGCAGTGGCTCACACCTGTAATCCCAGCACTTTGAGAGGCCAAGGCGGGTGGGTCACCTGAGGTCAGGAGTTCGAGACCAGTCTGGCCAACATGGTGAAACCCCATCTCTACTAAAAATACAAAAATTAGCTGGGCATGGTGGTGGCCACCTGTAATCCCAGCTACTCGGGAGGCTGAGGCAGGAGAATCACTTGAACCCAGGAGGTGGAAGTTGCAGTGAGCTGAGATGGCACTATTGCACTCTAGCCTTGGTGACAAGGGCAAAACTTGAGAGAGAGAGAGAAAGAGAGAGAGAAAATGCATGACTTTTATCACTCTGGGATTAATAATAATAACAAGACTGTGCTTAGCACTTGCCGTGCATGATCTTACTTAGTCCTTCCAACAACCCTTTGAGACAGGTACTACTATTATCATCTCCATTAAAAAATAAGAAGACTGAGGGTTTGTTACACTAGCAACAACAACAAGATAAACTTCCAAGAGCTAGGGAATAATGATAATTTTTAAAAGAGATGCTGAGATGCTAAAGTTAAGGTTGTACAAAGATATATCTGAAAAACATGAAGAAAAACAGGTGTTGCAATATCAATATCAGCAAACGCAGACTTCATGGGTAAAACATAGAGAAAGAAGAAATTGTAATTTTCTGTTGTGAAGTCTAATTCATAAAGGCATGAATATTTAATAGATTGCATTGTTAACAAATAAGATTGCATCAAAATATATTTTTGAATAGAAAGAAATGAAAGGCATAGCAATGAGAGAGGTCAATACTTCTTTAATGCTTCAAAAATGAGGAAAGTATATAACAAGAATATAAAAGGTTTAAATAATAAAGTTAGTAAGACAGACTTAACACATTTACATTATAATCTGGGCCCTGTAAAGCTTACACTTTGTTTTGGTACCAATATATGGCCTATATTGGATGACAAAGAAAATTTTAGTTAAAAATCTCTCCAAAATAGAAACTACATGGACTCCTTTTTTAAGTCAAATAAAATTTTTATTTTAAAAATCCAACCACTTGAAAATATGAAAAAAACAGTATCCCAAATAATTCTAGGGTAAAAGAAAAAATCAAAAGAGTAATTATTAAATGGTTACAAAAATGAAGATGAGGAGGCTACGTATCAATACCTCTGCAGTAATCAAAAACTGAGTTATTGCATTAAGGGTATTTATTACCAAATAAGAAAAAATAAATATAAATTAAGTAAATTACATATATTACAGAGAAAAAATGAAGGAAAAGAGGAGGAAAAATAATGATATAAACAAAAATTAATGATTAGTTTAAAAAAATGTAAAATTGATAATTCATCCAGAGGCTGCTTTTTTCATTAAACCCATAAACTATGCAAAACTTCAGGAAAAGCAAGTGACTATTCAAAATTAGGACTAAGAATAGATATCTAGCTACAGATGAGGAAGAAAATAAAGAATAACACTTTAAACTCTATTCTAATAGATCTGAATATCTGTATTAAAAATCCTTTAAGATTGTATGCCATGGACACCCAACTCCTGCTACTGCAGGAGAAGAAAGAAGCTCTGCCAGATATTAAAAGATATTATCATGCTATAGTAAATAAAAATGTATGGTACTGAGGCATGAATCCACAGACAGGTCAAAGGAAATGAATAGAGTACATAAATTGACACAAATTTATTCAAAAATTTAGCATATAATAAAAGCAGTGTTTAGAAGAAGTGCAGAAAAGACAGATTATTTGCCAAGCAGATCAAATATAAATATATAGTATAATTATTAAACACCACAAAAATGAGAGTTTAAAAATAATTTCAGAAAGCAGATATCTTTCTAACTGTAACACAAAACCTAAAACTTATCAAAGGAAAATATGGGATCAATGTAATAAATTAGATATAAAAAGTTTTCTGCATGACAAGAACATTAAAAAAGACAAGCAATAAACTATGAAGAAATATTTTCAATTTATATCACAACTGGGTAAATTCACCAATATAGGTAAAGAGCTATACAAATCAATAAGAAGTGGAATGCTTTAATAGGAAAATGGACAAAGTATATGAAGACGTATTTTCCCAAAACAGAAAAAGAAATGGATTTTCTTCACATGAAAAAAAAGTCAACCTTTTTTATAACAAGAACAGTGTAATTAGAACTTATGCTGAGTTTTAAAAATTTACATATCAGGTTGATAAGAATCAAAAAGTTTGATGAAATTCAACTTTGGAAACACTGTAGAGAAAGAGATACTCTTAAACACTTCTGATAAGAACAGATACTACACTTGATCTTAGCCAAAAGGCCAAGAAGCGATACTCTTAAACACTTCTGTAGGGAGTGTAAGTTCATATCACCTCCATAAAAGGTAATCTTATCATATCTATCAAACTTTAACTTAATTATTTCACTTCCAGATTATATATTCCACAGATAAACCCATGTATTATAAATATATTCATTGCAGCCGTGTTGTGATAGAAAATATTAGAAACAATTTAAATGTTCATCGATATTTGATGGTTAAATATAGTCCAAACATAGGATGGAAAAGTATACAGTCATTATAAATAATAAAGCAGCTCTATAAAAATTTATATAAAATGGTCTGCTAGATATTAAGTGAAAAAGCTAGATGTAAACAAATTTATATAAATTACCATATATATAAATATGGTAATATATAGACTCCTACATATATATGTATATTCTTACAATCTGTATATGCATGCAATATATCAGGCAGGATACACAAGATTCTGATATTAAGTACAAGCATACCTTGTTTTGCTGCTTTTTATTGTGCTTCTCAAATACTGCATCTTTACAGATTGAAAGTTTGTGTCAACCCTGTGTCAAGCAAGTCTATCAGCATTATTTTTCCTACAGCATGTGCTCACTCATGTCTCTGTGTCATATTTTGGTAATTCTCATAATATTTCAAACTTTTTTATTATTATTATATCTGCTATGGTGACTGGTGACCTGTAATCTTTTAAATGTTACTATTGTAATTGTTTTCTGGCACCACAAGCCATGCCCATCTAAGAGAGCAAACTTAATCAATAAATGTTGTGTGTGTGTTCTTACAGCTCCACCAACAACCTGTTTGTTCTCTGTCTCTTTCCCTTTCCCGGGACCTCACCGTTCTCTGAGACATGACAATATTGAAATTAGTCCACTTAACAGCTCTACAGTGGCCTCTAAGTGTTCAAGTAAAAAGGAAGAGTTGCACATCTCCCACACTAAATCAAAAGCTAGAAATGATTAAGCTTAGTGAGGAAGGCATGTCAAAAGCCAAGACAGGCCATAAACTACACCTCTTGTGTCTAACAGTTAATCAAATTGTGAATGCAAAGGAAAAGGTTTTAAAGGAAATTAAAAGTGCTACTCCAGTGAACACTTACACAATAAGAAAGTGAAACAGCCTTATTGCTGCTATGGAGAAGCTTCTAATAGTTTAGATAGATAAAACTGGCCACAATATTCCCTCAAGTCAAAGCCTAATCCAGAGTAAAGCACTAACTCTCTTCAATTCTGTGGAGGCTGAGATAGGTAAGGAAGCTGCAGAAGAAAAGTTGGAAGCTACCAGAGGTTAGCCCGTGAGGTTTAAGGAAAGAAGCTGTCTTCATAAAAGTACAAGATGAAGCAGCAAGTGCTGATGTAGAAGCTACAGAAAGTTATCCAGAAAATCTAGCCAATATCATTGATGAAGGTGGCCACACTAAACAGCAGATTTTCAATGTATATGAAATAGCCTTATATTGGAAGAAGATGCCATCTAGGATGACATTCATAGCTAGAAGGAGAACGCAATGCCTAGTTTTAAAGCTTCAAAGGACAGGCTGCCTTTCTTGTTAGGGGTATGCAGCTGGTGACTGTAAGTTGAAGTCAATGCTCATTTACCATCCTGAAAATCCCAGGGCCCTTTAGAATCAGGCTGAACCTGCTCTGTCTGTGCTATATAAATGGAAGAACACAGCCTGGCTGATGGCACAGCTGTTTACAGCATGGTTGACTGAATATTTTTAGCCCACTGTTGAGACCTACTGCCTACAAAAAAAAAAAATTTCTTTCAAAATATTACTGCTCATTGACAATGCACTTGGTCACCCAAGAGCTCTGATGGAGATGTGCAAGGAGAGCAATGTTGTTTTCATGCCTGCTAACACGATATCCATTCTACAATCCATGGGTCAAAAAGTAATTTCAAGTCCTACTATTTAAGAAACATATTTTGTAAGGCTATATAGCTGCCACTGATAGATTAATTAATGCCATAGATGCCATTAAGAACATTTGTAATTCAAGGGAGGAGACCAAAATATCAATATTAACAGGAGTTTTGAAAAAGTTTATTCCAGTCCTCATGAATGACTTTGAAGGGTTCAAGACTTCAGTGGAGGTAATAACTGCACATGTGGTAGAAATAGCAAGAAAACTAGAATTAAAAGTAAAGCCCAAAGATGTAACTGAATTGCTAAAATCTCATGATACAACTTAAATGAATGAAGAGTTTCCTCTTATGAATGAATGAATGAGCAAAGAAAGTGGTTTCTTGAGATGGAACCTATTCCTGGTGAAGATGCTGTGAACATTGTTGAAATGACAGCAAAGGATTTAGTTGATAAAGCTGCAGCAGGGGTTGAGAGGAATGAGTCTAATTTTGAAAGTTCTACTTTGGGTAAAATGCTGTCAAACAGCATTGCATGCTACAGAGAGCTCTTTCATAAAAGAAGAGCCAATTGATGTAGCAAACATCCATGTTATCTTTTTTTTTTTTTTTTTTTAAGGTAGAGTCTCACTCTTGTTGCCCAGGCTGGAGTTCAATGGCGCAATCTTGGCTCACTGCAACCTCTGCCTCCATCGTTCAAACTTCCCAAGTAGCTCGGATTACAGGCACCTGCCACCATGCCCAGCTAATTTTTGTGTTTTCAGTAGAGACCGGGTTTCATCATGCTGGCCAGGTTGGTCTCGAACTCTCAACCTCAGGCAATCCACCCGCCTCGGCCTCCCAAAGGGCTGGGATTACAGGCGTGAGCCACCACACCTGGCCAGTGTTATCTTATTTTAAGATATTGCCACAGACACCTCAAACTTCAGCAACCACCAACCTGATCAGTCAGTAGTCATCAATGTCAAGGCAAAACCCTCTGCCAACAAGAGATTACGACTTGCCAAAGGCTCAGATGATCATTAGCATATTTTAGTAATAAGGTATTTCTTAAGTAATATATGTACATTTTTAGATATAATGTTATTGCACACTTGATAGACTACATTATAGTGTAAACATAACTTTTACATGCACTAGGAAACCACAAAATTCATGTGACTTGCTTTATTATGACATTCACTTTATTGCGGTGTTGGGAAGCAAATCTGTAATATCTGTGAGGTGTGCCTGTAGCAGCTTCTGGAAAGGGACAATGGGTGATGGGGCCAGGGGATGGAGAGAGCCTTTTATCTCACTATGAAGCCTTTTGAATATTTTGCATTTTGTACATGTTTGTATTGCCCATTTAAAAGCAAACAGGGACAAGTTTTGAAAAACATGCCAGAAAATATTCTTACTAAAACAACTACAAAATGATTACCAAGAAAAAACTAACATCCTAAATAGCAAGTCAATTGGGCAAAAGACAAGACCAAAGAATTCACCAAAGAAGCATGGTCAGTCAATCATCAATTGTTCAGTCTCAAAAAGAAACAGTAAAAAAAAAAAAAAAGCAATGTTTCTCAACTGAACATGCACAATGGGTCAGTGATTTGCCTACATTCTCTGTAACAGATACCTGAAAGGGAGATGGTGTAGGAGAAAGGGAAAAGAGGAAGGAGGGAGAGGGAGAAGTGGGGAGGAAGGGAGGATGCCTAATCTCTAGGTCCCTGGGTGGGGCAGAGGGGAAGGTGCAGCCAACAGGAAACTGTGACACTTCTCCTTCCTGAGCAGGAAACAGGAGCCCAGGCTACATGTTCACTTTAAAAACTTGTCCAAGGCTTATTATCCCTTATAGTATTTATAATCACAGCCCCACGCAAATGTATGTGGGTTTCCCTCCCTCCTCCCTGTTGCAAAGTAAAAGCCTAAAGTCACAGAACAGGGCGCCTCAGGAAGATACTGGTAATGAGATCAACTGCCTCCTTCAAAAGTTAACTATTCCTAGAACAGTAATAATGACAATACCAGCAATTGCAAGCTACTGTTGCCCTACTTTTAATATCTCACCTCATTTAATCCCCCCAATAGTCCTATGAGTTAGGATTTATCTCCGCTTCATAGATGAAGATGTGGTGGTTTGGTAACTTGCCAAACATACCATGTGCCAAAGGTCGGATGGCAAGGATTTAAAACCAAACTGCACTGCCCTCTTAGATGATGTCTAGATAGAGACTATTTTCTCTCTACTCTGCAGAACCACACATAGTATAGAAGAGATGGCTAACTTCACAGTCAGGGATGGCCAGGTTCCCCCAATAGCTGCATCCTAATCCATATGGATCAGGGCTAGAGTGAGGAGACAGGGTGAGAACCGGTCACTTGCTGACATTAGCACGGAGAGAAATGATTAACAAATCAAAGAGATTAGTTTCCATGGAAACCGTTCACCTAAAGCGATATCAGTGTGTTCCTGGATGGATGGAGGAGCTTCTGAAATCTTAATAACGGGCCTGAAGGAAGATAAGCTGTCAGGCTGGAAATGGTAAGATCTCAGTGTTCAATCTTTGTTGAAACATCTATCAGGCCAAGCAAAGGAGCTATATTGTAGTCAACAAAACTTGTGTTGACTAATAAGGAATTTTAGAAAAGTAAAGTCGGATGAGTCACTAGTACTTGTTCGTATCTATCCAGGACGCGGGCTTGTCTGAAAGCACCCCAGACACCAAACGTCGCCCCTTTTTAGTCTTCATTCCACTTGCCCTTTTGTGCTCCTGGGCACAGGTGATCACACCTGTCCTCTTGTCCCCCTTCCCTCCCTCTCTACATCAACCCTTCCTTAGACTCCTAGCCGGGATTCTCTTCTTTTTGAACAACCCACTTGTTTGTCTGCCATCTACCTTCTCTGTACATTTCCTCAAGTGACCAGGACTTCCAGTAGCCCCTACTGACAAGCCCCCAGGCAGTGTCTCCAATCCTCACCCCATCTCCACCTGGATGTCCCACAAGCACCGGCACCCTTGTCCAAACTGAAACCATCCCCTCCTCCTATGCTTCTTCCTCCTCTCTCACTGCCTAGCTTGGGCTAGTGAGACCATCATGCATCCAAATACCCTAAGAATATACTCAACCATTCCTTTTTCCTTCCCCTCCAGAATTCAATCAGTAATCACTTTCCTACAATTCTACTCTTCAGTATCTCACCAATCTAGTCTGTTTTCCATCTTCTTAATGCAACCTTGGAGAAGGTCCTCCTCTTCTCACACCTTGCCCTATCAAAAGGGCCCCAAATGAGACTTTTTACAATTTATCTAATCCATGCTCTGTACTATCATCACTGCTAACTTTCCAAAAATCCAGTCATGCTTTCCCGGTTTAAAAACCTCCATTGTTCCTTCAGCATCCAGGCTATCACTTTACAATTTGACCCTGTATTATCTTATTCCTGTCCTGTACCCCTTTCCCTCCTCTACCTCGATGTCCCTTGTCATTCACTGAACACGGTATCAAGCATCTGGCCTCCTGGCTGGGACCCTCGTGTCCCTTCTCCACCCAGGGAAGGCCCACTCATCCTCCCATGCTCCTGGATGGGAAGCCTTCACTGATTTCCTGGAGCATTCACCTCTCCTCTGCTGTGTGTTCACCAGCACTAAGGAGATGAGGAATAAACATAACAGTATTATTTATTTATTGAGTGCTATGAGCCATGCACCATGCTATCACTAACCTGATGGATGTTGTCTCAGTGAGCCCTCATTGTAGCCCTCTGAGCCCACCTGCTTTACAAGTGAAGACACAACTGCTAACAGCTATGCTCTGTATTCTCTGTTGACTTTCTGGCTCCCTATTAGATTGTACATAAGCTTCCGGGGATAGAAATGGTTATCTGTATATTCCCAGAGCCCGGCAAGGACCAGGCACATGATAAAAAGGCTCACTAATTTCTGAACGGAGAGAGGAGGGAAGGAAGAAAGAAAGGAAGAAGGGATGGAGGGATGGAAGAAGGAAGGACAAACAATTTCACAAGAAGATCCTGCTTTCTTTGCTCTTTGCTCTAACTTTGCACTCACTAAGCATCCTTCTGATTTGTAATTTACCTTCTGAACACACCTACCCCCATCACTGGCCCTGGACCTCCAATAACAAATTAATAAGCATAGTTGACCTATACTTGGCCTCCCATGGGTTAACATGACTTGTTTCCTCAGGATCTGACTCCTCTGGGTGACCAAAGGCAAAGTTAAGAGAATCCAAGCTGGCTTCAGATCCATACCTGTGCAGCCTCCAGGAAGGTGTAAAATTACCTTGCCCCACTCGAGCATCCCCCAAGCTACACCTAAACACTTTCTCTGCCTCTCAAGCTACCTTAAGTACTATAGGAGAGTAATGCACGATGATTTGACTTCCCCATTGTTTCTGCCAACAGGCAGCTCTTGGGGCCCAAAATTGATCTCCTGCTGGGATCTGTATATGTCTTGTTGCCAGCTGCATGCAAGGCTGGCTGGCTCACCAAGTTTAGTCTTCCTTGCATCAAAGCAACAAAGAAGCTGGCTTCTGATGAACAAATAAATGACTGGTTGGGAGAAATTTTCCAGACTCCCATCCAACAATATGTGGACAGGAGAGAGTCCTGTTTAGATGGCAATATCCACAGTATTGACTTTCTGAGATAAAATATCAGAGTGAGATAAAGGGCTCAAGGAAATCAATCTCAGCGAGCTTGGCTGCACAGAACTGGTTTTTGTAGTGTGATGTGGCCGAGAAAGCTCAGTTACTTCCTAATGCGTGTGAGTTTGCATCTCGCTTTCATTAAAGCTGCTACTTGACAAATGCAGGCTTCACCACAGCCAGCCCTGGGGGCAGCTGGCTGGGAGGAGGCCTATCTGAAAACAGCCATTTGGGAATCCAAGGAAAATCAAAGGGCTCCAAGGCTCCAGAAGATGCCTGGGCATTGTGCAGCTGTGGGTAGGTGTATGGGGTCAGGCCTAGCTGCTGACCTACATCAGGGAAGCCTGAAATCTGGGGCCCATGCCTGACCAAGAACATAGGGTGTAAGTTCTATTGCAGTCCTGCCTTTAGCTGATATGGTTGTTTTTCTCCAACTAAGTGAAAGGAACAGAAAGGGAATCAGCATTTATTAAGCACTTACTGTGTGCCAGCCCCTGGACTACATATTCTACATACATCATCTCATTTGGTCCTTACCTCAGCACTGTGATCAGGACATCCCCACTTTTTAGATGATGAAACTGAGGCTCAGAGAAGGTAAAAGCTTGCCCAAAACCACATAGCTAGGAAAAGATGTTGCTGGGATTTGAAGTCAGGTTCCTTTGGCTCCAAAGCCTGTTTGCTGTGCTCCTGGATAACTTTGGACAAAGAATGGCAAACGGTCTTAGAGGAAGGTCTCTCAGATCTCTAGATTCTTCAATCTCAGAGTAGACCCTGTCATAGAATGAAACTCTTCAGTGGAAGGTGATTCTGGAGATGCCCTTTATTCCAGTTTGACAAAGAGGAAAAACCTAGATTCTCTCTAGACACCTGTTATTCTTTATGCCACAGAATTGTCCTTCATGCAGACCTGGGCCATCCAGCCAGTGGAGACACATGGGGAAATGGTAGAAGCGTGCACACTCCATGGCAGCCTTCAGCTTAACCCCAGGACCGCAGCCCCCTCTGAAGACCTCCTGCCACATACAGTGTGTTTGTGGGTCCCTGGCGGGGTAGATGGAGGGGCCTCCTTGTGTTCAAGATCAGCCTCTTCCTGCTCAGTGCTCCGACATTCTCCCACCAGTTTTCTGCCCTAGCTACCATCTTTACTCTTTCAGAAAAATGCTGGGCCACCTGGAACACAAAACCTCCACGATGCCAAAGTGGCACACCCTGTACCTCAACTTCCAGAACATTTCTGAGGAGAATGCTTTCCATACTCACCACTAGGAGCCCCCATCCCAAAGTGGCCAGATGGGAAGCCAAGCATTATCCTTCTTCTCCCATGTCTTTATCTGTTGAAACCCCAGGCTTTACTTATGGCCTGCTGCCCTTCTTCAGCCAAAGAAAAATGTCTTATAAAGAAATTCACATAGGTAAACCACTTTTAGGCTCCAAACCTTGGCAGACACAGGCAGGAATCCCAAGGAACAAACTCCTGCAAGACTGCCTTAACACCGTCTTCCCCACCTTGAGTCAATATTTATAGTCTGTACATAGGTTTCCACACTCATCCAAGAGTGCTTTCTTGCAGGATAGACAAATCAGAGAATTATTTTCCTGCTTTCTCTCTCTCAACGGGTAATAGTTTGTAACTTCTTGAGACTCAGCTAGAGCCACCCCTATCATAGAATCTTAGAACTAGAAGGGGCTGAGCTGGCTAGCTGGATTGTGGCAGCTCCACTAGATAGTGAGATTTTTGCCTCAAAGGATCCAAGTGTTGCTCACATATGAGCATGGGGCCTGCAGTTGGTAGGTGCTGTATAATGTTGACTGCCACCTGCAGTTGGTAGGTGCTGTATAATGTTGACTGCCACCTGCAGTTGGTAGGTGCTGTATAATGTTGACTGCCACCTGCAGTTGGTAGGTGCTGTATAATGTTGACTGCCACCTGCAGTTGGTAGGTGCTGTATAATGTTGACTGCCACCTGCAGTTGGTAGGTGCTGTATAATGTTGACTGCCACCTGCAGTTGGTAGGTGCTGTATAATGTTGACTGCCACCTGCAGTTGGTAGGTGCTGTATAATGTTGACTGCCACCTGCAGTTGGTAGGTGCTGTATAATGTTGACTGCCACCTTGAAAGTCATCTGTCCAACACCCTCCCCACTGTGGGAGATTTCTCCGTGGACATTTCCTGACTAAATGCCACAAAATGGCAGCCAACTCTGTGGCCGCCAATCTGGCATGGTCTAAAAAGTGGCAAAGAGGCTGCTGCTCCCAGTTCTCTTCCCCTTCATCTGTTAGAGCTTTGCCTCCACCTATGACCTCTCCAGCATCAGTCAACATATATTAGGTGAAAATAGTGAGGCCAATTCTCCATAACCACCAGGCTTAAGCCCCTTAGCCTATCAAGCATAGCTGTTTGTAAGGTATCACCTGCTTCCCTCTTCAGGCTTTCATCCTTCCCCAACCATTCTTGCCCCCTAGGAACTGAGAAATTTAGAGAAGCAATACAAAAGTACACATAGTAAAGGCTCAATAAATAGTTATCAAGTGAACTCTCAGACAGGTCTTCATCCACAGACCTTGTCTGGGGCAGAACAACTCTGTTCAGATCTCAGTCTAACTTCCAGGGGAAATCTTTGACCCTTAGCGTGCATCGCTACCTCACAGATCCCCCTGACCATACATAGAAGCAAGACATCCCACTTCATCAGCTGGAGCTGCAAAATCAGGTCACTTAAAAAAAAAAGATTTAAAGAGCTCAGCTTAGCTAATGTGAAAATGTCCTTCTCGCTTCACTGGGGTCCCTTCCTCCTGTAATAAGCCTTAAACCCTATGGACTTAGCCTAAAGGCCATCCATACAGAGAGAGAGACACAGAGAATGCAGCCTGGTCACCAGCAAGCCTTCCCAGCTGCTGGCCTGGCCTCACAGTGCCCCTCTAGAAAATGGCAGTGTCCATGGGTGCGAGGTGTGGTGGGGAACTACCATGGCTGGTCCGGAAGCAGTTCCTCCAGGGGTATTGGGAGAAGGAAGAAAGGACCTCTCTCTCCAGTGTGATGGCCACAGCTGTGGCCACGAAAATGGTCCTCTTGCATCTCTCTTGATATGTACACTGAGTTTGGGGCATTGGTTCTGACTCTTCCACCCCATTCTTCTCGCATTTCTGACATGTTCTCCAGGAATGAGGTTGGAGACATAAAGAGAAGGGTCTTACTAGTGTCCTTCAAGTTGCCCTTAATACAAACAACCACAATCCACCAGAGAAATCTTGAATTTATAAGGAGAAAGGAGTCAGGTCTGCTGTTCTTTGTTTCCCCCCAGGAGGCTTCTGTGGCCAAGATCCACAATTTCACACCTCCTCCGTAAAGATTTTTTAAATTAAGAAATTTCAATGTAAAATAATTTAAACATAAGAAAAAGAATAGAAAATCAAGTTATATTTAAGAATTCACCACCCAGATTTAACCAATATTAATCCATTGGCAGATTTGCTCTGATTTTGTTTCTGAAAGGAATAAAAATTACAGCTACCTCTATCCCTCTCCTGCCCTCACCCTATATCCAGAAGTAATCCCCTAATTTAATCCTAAAGTAGGTAGGTAACATTCTAATATGTGAGTTTAATAGAGTCTGATAGCAGGACTCTGGGGCCAGAAATAAATGTTTGAATCCCAGCTCCTCTACTTACTGGGCCTGTGCCTCAGTTTCAGCATCTGTCAAATAAAGTTGGGAGGATTAAATGAGATAATGCATTTAAGTCCCTTAAATAACACTTGGCACAAAGAGACACCGTCTTAGTTCATTTTCTGTTGCTTATAAAATAATACCTGAAACTAAATAACTTGTAAGGAACAAAATTTATTTGTTACAGTCTGGAGGCTGGAAAATCCAAGATTGAGGAGGTGCATCTGGAGAGCACCTTCTTGCTCATGGGGACTCTTTGCAGAATCCCAAGGCAGTGCAGTGCACCACATGGTGAGGGGCTGGGCGTGCTAGCTTGGGTTACTCTCCTCCTTCTTATAAAGCTACCAGTCCCACTCCCATGATAATCCAGTATTGCATTAACCCATTAATTCATGGTAATCCACTCATTAGGGTAGAGCCCTCATGACCCAATTGCCTCTTAAACGCCCCTCTCAACAAACACTACCATGTTTCAAATTAACGTTCAACAGGCACTTATACATTTTAGCTATTATTAGTAATGCATATGTTTATGTATTTTCTAACATATGTGTGTATCCATAAACAATTTATGCGATTGTTTTAAAGTATTTTATAAATATACATAAAGTGTCATCTGCACATATCCTTTTAACTTGTTTTTTTTTTTAACTCAACTGTATGTTCTGAGACTTGAGTATGTTGACTTATATAGATTCGGTTCATTGTTAATGAGGTATAATATCTCACTGTATGAATATACTTCAATTTAATTATGCATCCCTCTGTTGATAGACCCTTGAGTTCCTTCTGATTTTTCACAGTTACTGCAATAAATCAGTGCACAGTTCCATGTGTGCGTGCAAGAATTAGATGCCTACCGGTGGAGCTGCTGGCTGTTCACAACTGCGACTTCAGTAGATATTTTTACTTCCTATAAATATTCTTGAGCTCTGTCCTGGGATGCAATTAAGGTACTTGGAAACATTTTATCCTTTTGAGACTCACTTTTAAGCTTTATTAGATGGAACCAGAGCAGCCTTCAGTCCGGGGCTAATTTTTTCCCATCATTGATTACTTCTGATTACTCTCCCTGATACTCTGTGAATTACGAGATTTTCCCACTCTGGCTGGTGACACAAACCATTCCTAGTCTTGTGTGAGTTCCAGAGATTGCACCCACTAATTATTTCCATTGTTTTCTCCAATGCAAATACTTGAGTAGTTTCCTTAAGTAAATGCACTGAGCAGCTTCAGCTGAAGACTCAAGGGGAAACCTCTCCAGATCCCTCAAGCTCTCTTGCTGTCTGTAGCTTTCCCCTCCTATGCTATTTCCTGTCAACTGTAGCCCTCTTGCTCTCTGTAGACTCCCAACTCCATCTGTTTGACACAACTCAGGAGTGCCCCAGACTGTGCATGAGTGGGATCTGCAAATTCTCAAGGTAGTAAGCTGGAGTGATTGTAGGACTTGCCTTGTTTGTTTTCTGTCTCTCAGAGGTCATGGTCTTGGTCTTGGTCTTGTGCTGCCTAATGTCTGTGTGCCTTATGGTTTCCCATATTTTGTTTCTTGTTTTCAGTCATTTCAGCCCAGAGGTAAATCCAGTCCCTGTGACTTCATCAAGACCAGAATGATATTGTTAATCTGTTCTTTGAGGTGATCAAAACATTTTACAATCATATCAATGGTATGGGAAAGTTCTAGATTCTACACAAATTTCCCCATTATCAGTTTTCTAAAATTTTAAACAATCTAATGGCTAAAAATGGTACAGACGAGTATCTCACAGTTTAATTTTGCATTTCCTTGATTACTAGTGGGATTGTGCATCTTTTTATGTATCGGCCATTTGGGTATCTTCTGTGAATGTCCTATCCACTGCTTTGCTCATTTCTATATCGGCTTGTTTATATTTTTATATATTGATTTGTGTAGGTTAATTCCTTACATATTCCGGATATTGATCTTTTGTTAGGTAAAGGTATAAGATGCTACTTGGGAGAATATTTTCCCAGTCTATGGTTTGTGTTTTCACCTTGTTTATAGTTTCTTTTATCATATAAAACTTTCTATTTTTTATGTATTCAAATTCATCAATCTTTTCCTTTATGGTTTGTGCTTCTGTGTATTATTTAAGAAATCTTTCCCTATCCTGACACAATGAAGATGTCTCTTATATTTTCTTGTAAAACTTTTAAAATTTAGCCCTTCATATTGTACCATTAGTCTATCTGGAGTTTATAGCATGAGTTAGGACTTGTTTTTCCCTATGGGGATGACCAATTGTTTGAGCACTATTAATTAAATAAACCCATCCTCTCCCTTCAGATTTGAATGACAATTCTATCATATACCAAGTGGGGTCTTTATTTTCTGCATTCCTGGAAACAATACCAAATTGTTATATCTGTAGAACAGGTTTGATACCTGGTAGGACAAGATACTCCTCCTATATCTCTTCAAAATTTTCTTAGCTATTCTTCACCTCTAAGTCTACTTTTTGAATCAGATACTTAAGTTTAATTAAAAAGTCCATAATAATTTCATTGAAATTTCAATACAAGTTAGTTGAAGGACAATTTAAAATATTCACCCTTCTCATTTATCTTCTCATTTATCTTTCTATTTGAGTTTTCCTTGACATCCTTCAATAAAACTTTATAATTTCCTTTATTAATGTCTTGCAAATATTTTATATTTATTCCTACAATAAATTATAAATATATAAGTCTTATGGCTATTCAGCATGAGTTTTTAGATTACATTTTAATATATTATTTATTATCAGGTTTTCTGAATCTCCTGACACTTCTGAACAGACTTCTGTTATCTGGAGGAATTATCAACCTTCTGAGCTCTTTCTAACCAAGTATCATCCTGGGTTCTCCCAAGTAGCACCTTCTAAGTAGCATCCTGGGTTCTTCCCTCCACTCCTGCCTGGCCTCCTTTATGGACCATGCTCTGATCATCAAATGTGCCCACTAGACTTCACTTAGAAAGTGAGGGATGTAAAACAATAGTGGAGCTAGATATCCATTTTTCTAGAAATTATGCAGTAGAACAGTGGAAGACTTTCTCTTATCTGGTCCAGAATTTCAATGGCTTGAACTGTACAGGGTTGTCATGGCTTCCAATATAATTGAGTGCTGTTCCTGACTGCTTAGTGTATAAGCTTAACTCTCTGGCCTCCTGTAGATTCCATGAGCTGCTAATATCCTCTAATGAATATGCTTTTGCCTAAATAACTAGAAAGGCTTCTATTGCTCACAGCCAAGAACCCTGATACAGAGATATTGCTATACTGGCTTTTGTTTGATTAATATTTGTCTAGAAAATTTCTTGAACTTCTCTCTGTCCTTACACTTTATAGGTGTGTCTCTTGTAAACAGCACATTGCTGCATTTAAAAATTTATTTTTAATCTAGTCTGAGAATCTGTATCGTCTAACAGATAAATGTAACCGTTCTGTATTTGTTACAATTAGTGATATATTTGGAACTATTTATGCTTTCCTATTTTGTATTTTCTATCAGGCTCTTCCTTAGTTTTTTATATTTTCCTTTTCTCTCTTCCGTTTGGGCTGTTTGAGCTTTATTTTTCTTTCTTTTTTGTATCTTGAATTGAGCTTATTGAGTTTTCATTATTCTACCAGTGTCCTCTCTGGACACAGTGTCACAAAAGAATACATAATGTCTTTATTCTACTTGTGTTCTCACAGAGGGGACTGAAGTAGAATAAAGACATTATGTAGTCTTTCTGAAATTATATATTCAACTTTTAATTTTGAAATTATATATTCAACTTTTAGGATGGATATAAAGCTAAGAGATATTTAAAGTTAATTAATACCTCTTCCCCCGTCTCAAACATTGCAAAACTCTTACAATACTTTAATTTCTATCACTTTTATCTCATCTTCCAGTCAACTGTTCTTTGAAATTATCTGACAGATGAGGGGATGGATACCTCATTCTCCCTAATGTGCTTATTTCACATTGCATGCTGGTATCAAAACATCTCATGTACCCCATAAATATACACACCTACTATGTAACCACAAAAATTTAGAAAGAAGAAAGAAAAACAATAGTCTGACAGAAATATACTGGAAGCCACATATATACTTTTATATTTTTTGACAGTCATATATACAAAAATAAAAACAGTTGAAATTATTTTTAATAATGTATTTTAACTAACCTAATATATCCAAAATATCATTACTTTAACATGTAACCAATATAAAAATAATTAATGTGATATTATACATACTTTTAAATACTTTCTGAAATCTCATGTGGATGTTATAGCATACCTCATTTCAGACAATAAATATTTTATCAGAGCCAGGTGCTGTGGCTCATGCCTGTAATCCCAGTACTTTGGGAGGCTGATGCAGGAGGCTCGCTTGAGCTCAGGAGTTCAGAATCAGCCTGGGCAACATGGTGAAACTCTGTCTCTACAAATAATAAAAAAAAAAAAATTAGGCAAGCATGGTGGCGTGCACCTGTAATCCCAGCTATTCAATTGGCTGAGGTGGGTGGATGGCTTAAGCCTGAAAGATGGAGGTTGCAGTGAGCTAAGATCGTGTCACTGCACTCCAACCTGGGCAAAAGTCAGATCCAGTCGCAAAAAAAAAAAAAAAAAAAAAAAAAAGAAAGAAAGAAAGAAAAAAAAATTATCAGAAATACTTGATCTGTATTTAGATTTTATAAAATTTACAATTGTAACACAACAAAATTCATCATCTTAACTATTTTTAAGTGTATAGTTCAGTAGTGCTAAATATATTCACGTTGTTGTACAACCAATCTCAAAAATTTTTTCATCTTGCAAAACTGAAACTCTATACCCATTAAACAACTGCCTAGTCCCCTCCCCTCAGCCCTTGGCAACTACCATTCTACTTTCTATTTCTATGAGTTTGACTATTCTAGATACCTCATATAAGTGAAAAATACAGTATTTGTCTTTTTGTGACTGTTATTTCATTTAGCATAATGTCTTCAAGGTTCACCTATGTTGTAACATGTATCAGAATGTCCTTTTTAAGGCTAAATAATATTCCATTGTCACAATTTGCATATATATCACCATTTGTCCATTTTTCTGTTGATGAACATCATTGAGTTGCTTCCACCTTTTGGCTATTGTGAATAATGCTGCTATGAAAAATGGGTGTACAAATATTTCTTTACCTGCTTTCAATTCTTTTGGATGCATACACAGAAGTGGGATTACTGGATCATATGGAAGTTCTATTTTAAATTTTGTGAGGACCTGTTTTTCATAGCCGCTGCATCATTTTACATTCTCATCAGCAGAGTACAAGGGCTCCAATTTCTCCACATCCTTACCAACACTTGTGATTTTCTGGCTTTTATCATCCTAATGGGTATGAGGTGATATCTTATTGTGGTTTTGATTTGCATTTCCCTAATTATTAGTGACATTGAGTATCTTTTCATATTCATATTTCATCTTTTCACTTTTTGGCCATTTGTATATCACCTTTGGAGGAATATTCATTCAAGTTCTTTACCCATTTTTAAATTGGGTTGTTTTCTATCATTGAGTTGTAAAACTTCTTTACATATCAACTGGATGTTAGCCCCTAATCAGATTTATGATTTGCAAATACTTTCTCCCATTCCATAGGTTGCCTTTTCACTCTGTCGATTATATCCTTTGATGCACAGAATTTTAAAATTTTGATTTAGCACAATTTATCTTTTTACTTTTGTTGCCTGTGCTTCTAGTGTTGTATCAAGAAATCATTTCCAAATCCAATATCATTAAACTCGTCCTCTGCATTTTCTTCTGAGAACTATAGAGTTTTATCTCTTACGGTTAGGCCATTGCTCAATTTTTATTAATAGTTAATTTTTATATAGTGTAAGGTAAGGATCCAACTTCATTTTTTTGCATGTGGATATCCAGTTTTCCCAGCACCATTTGTTGCAGAGACTGCTTTTTCTCTGTTAAGTAAAAAAAAATTGGCAAATATACAAGAGTTTATTTCTGAGCTCTCTGTTCTGTTTCATTTGTCTAAACATCTGTCTTTATGCCAGTACCTCATTGTCTCAATTACTGTTGCTTTGTGGTATGTTTTGAAACCAGAAATTGTGAGGCCTCCAACTTTGTTCTTTTTCAAAATTGTTTTGGCTATTTGAGGTCCCTTGAGATTCTGTATGAATTTCAGCATTTTTTTCCCTTTGTGAAAAAAAAAATGCCATTAGGATTTTGATAGAGATTGGATTAAATATGTAGATGGCTTTGGGTAATATGGACATTTTAATGACATTGAGTCTTCCAGTCCATTAGCATGAGATGTCTTTTAATTTATTTGTATCTTCCTTGATTTGTTTCTTAGCAGTGTTTTGTAGTTTTCAGTACAAAGGTCTTTCATCACCTTGATTAGGTTATTCCTGATGCTATACTGAGTATGATTGTTTTCATATTTTCCTCTCTGGACTGATAATTGTTAGTGTATGGAATTGCAACTAATTTTTGTGTGTTGATATTGTATCCTGAAACTTTGCTAAAATTGTTTATTAGTTGTTAACAATTTTTGTAGATTCTTTATAGAGTTTTCTGCATATACAACTATGTCATCTGCAAACATAGATAATTTTTCTTCTTTTCAAATTTGGATGGCTTTTATTTCCGTTTCTTGTTGATTATGTCATCTGCAAACCTAGATAATTTTACTTCTTTTCAAATTTGGATGGCTTTTGTCTCTGTTTCTTGTTTATACACTCTGCTTAGGATTTCCAGTACTCTATTGAATAGTAGTGGTGAGAGTGGGCATCCTTGCCTTGTTCCTGGTCTTCTAAGAAACATTTTAAATTCTTCACCTTGAGTATGTTAACTGTGGGCTTTTCATATATGACTTTCATCATGCTGAGCTAGTTTCCTTTTGTTGTTGGTTTGTTGAGTGTTTTTCTGATGAAAGGGTGTTTTGTCAAATTTTTTTTCGACATCAGTTGAGATGATCTTGTGGTTTTTTTTCCCTTCATTCTGTTAATTAGGTGCATTACTTGATTGATTTTTCTATGTTGAACCACTCTTTCATTCCATGATCAAATCCCACTTGGTCATGGTGTGTAATCATTCTAACGTGTCAAATTCTGTTTGCTGGTATTTTGTTGAGGGTTTTTACATCACTATTCATCAGGGAGATTGGTCTGCGGTTTTATTTTCTTGTAGTCTCTGTCTGGCTTTGGTATCAGAATAATCCTAGCCTTGTAGAATGAGCTTGAAAACGTTCTCTTCAATTTTTGGAAGAGTTTGTGGAGAATTGGTTTTAATTCTTTTCATGTTTGGTAAAAATCTCCAGTGATGCCACCTGGTCCTGAGCTATTCTTTTTTGGAAAGTTTTTTATTACTGACTCAATCTCTTTACTACTTATAGTTCTGTTCAGATTTTCCATTTCTTCATGATTCAGTCTTGATAGGTGTGTGTTTCTAGAAATTTATTCATTTGATTTAGGTTATGCAATTTTTTGGCAAACAGTTGTTCATAGTATTCTCTTATATTCCTTTTATTTCCGTGAAACTGGTTGTAATGTCCCGTTTTATTTCTGATTTTAGTTATTAGAATCTTCCATCTTTTTTCCTTAATCTAGCTAATGATTTGTCAATTTTGTTGATCTTTTTAAAAAATCAACTCTTGGTTTTGAGGATTTTCTCTACTGTTTGTGTAGTGTCTAATTTGTTTATCTTTGCTTTATTTTAAATTATTTCCTTCTCTATTCCAGCTTTCGGTTTAGTTTGTTTTCCTTTTCCTAGTTTTTTAGGGTGTAAAATTAGGTTGTTGATTTGAGATTTTCTTTTTCTTTTTTAATGTAAGTGTTTACACTGATGAATTTCCCCTTGGCCACTTTTTACTGCATTCTATAAGTTTTGGTATGTTGTGTTTTTGTTTTCATTTGTATCAAGATATTTTTAGATTTTCCTTGCAATTTCCTCTTTGACACACCAGTTGTTTCGAAAGATAACTTTTGTAACATTTGCATCCACATTGACAAAAGTTGTTCAATGTTTTCTAGAATAGTTTGTATTTGAAGTAAAAGCATATCTGTTCCCAAACTACATCTGTTCAGTTTAAATAAACTCACTAACTCTTGTTTTAACACACTATTGTTAGCATGTAATTCAAAGAGGGTACTGCATAAATTAAAAGCCAATTATAAATTTATTAATATTAATAAAATATTCTTACAATTTATCTTGTAGTTTTGCAGCCAATTTATATAATGCTGGCATGTGTATTGATACATGTTAGAAAAATGTGTAAAATTATTATTATTGGTTTGTATTGTAAAAAGTTTCTATTTCAACATGAATCCCCATATCTCTCTAATTTGTATAGATTTTCCTTTCTTTGGAACTTCAAATTTATCTCATTTATATATAGTGTGATATCAGTGAAAAAGTATAAATTACTGCCATTTTTGTCTTTGATTATTAAATATTTAGAAAGCACTCCTTCTGTTTTAAGAAAATCTTGAATTGGAGTTAAATATTTGTAAATTCTGCCATGTTTTAACCAACGAAAATTGGCAAAAAATAAACTATCATTAAATTCATTTCCATTTGTTACAGCAGTTTTAAAAAATAGTGATAATTCATAGCATTCACAATGCTTTTGGCAACCGTATGCATGATACTTTTTATAGAGTCTGCATCAGGAAACCAGGCGCAAATATTTGCAATAACATGTCATACATTATAATGAAGCAGTACCGAAAACATGGTCTCATTTTGAAATTTCAATGCATTTTTATTTTACGTAGCTAGAGCAACTTATGTCTATGTAAAATTCTTTGACAAATTAAAATGCTCAAATATATCTATGCCACAAGTTTGATATTTTAGGCCATGTATTGACCTTTCTTTATAAATTTGGAAGTTCTTTGAGATCAAACTCACACAAAGTATTAATTGGATAATATCTCCTATTGCACAATTCACCTAAAGCTAAAAAAAAAAACTTGCAATTTTCAAGCTTTGATTCAATTGATCTTTGCTATTATTATAAAAGCCTTGTGTCCTATGGAAAATTGGTAGCTTAATTGAAAATCTTTCGCTTTTTGTAAAGAAATCATTTTCAGTCTTTTTTCATAATTTTCTACCAATATTACCATAACAATAAGCAATAATTTATTTCACTATCTCTCCATCCAAAAATGGCTTTAGTTGTCATGGAAGAATCCAAGACATTTTATAGGTGGCCAAAGTTATAAACTCAAATGCTATAACTCAAGTAATTTGTACAATACAATCAAGCATGTTACAAGATTGTATCCATGCAGAGAAAACAGCTTAGTCAAACTGAATCAGCTCATTGATACTGACTAGATAAATGATGGGTTTAAGTGATTGATACTGACTAGGTCAATTTGTGTGGTTTGTGTTTATATTGGAAATAAGGCATGTACTCAACATGCCCACTGTAATAAAAAATAGTGTCTTACATAATATAGTCACTAATATGAAATGTAATCCTATTAAAACAATAAAATTGTGTTTAATAAAAAAATTATACTGGTTTAAAGCTAAGTTTAAATTAATCAAAATTAAGTAAAATAAAAAATTTGGTTCATCAGATGTACTAGCTATGTTTCAAGTGCTCAGTAATCACATGTAGCTAGTGGCTACCACACTATATACCACAATTTTATATTATTTTAGTTCCAGCTTGGTTTTGGCCTTCCAAAAATTTGTCTTTATTGTTAAGATTGTTTTGACAATAAATGGTTGTTTACATTTACTATTACTTATTTGCTTACTACAGCTTCTTGTATTCCAAACATTCTTTTATATCCAGTGTGTTTCTTACTGAATTATATTATATTATTATCAGTTGTTGCAGTAATTATCTATAAGTAATGAACTCTTATTCTGTGCCTGGAAGTTTTTTCTTATCCTCTCTCTCTAAAATAATAGTTTACCTAGGTTAGTTATTTTTCCTCAGTACTTTGAAGCTAATATTTAATCTTTTGGTCTTTAATATTGCTGAAAAAACAGTCATTCTAATTACATCAGTGTAATTGGAATTACATTCTAATTTACTTTGCTTTGTTTCATTTTATGATTTTTAAAAAAGATGTTGTCTTTGTTGTTATTACTCTGTCATCTCATTATGCTATGTCTACTTATGAAATTAGTCTTGCTCTATACTCAATATACTTCCTCAATTAACAGAATTATGGCCTTAACAATACTGGAAACTTCTCACCTACTATTTTTCAAATATGCCCTCTACTCTGCCCTCCCTTCCTGAAACTCCTGTTAGATACATGTAAATCTTCTCCTTCTTTCACATCTGATATTTTCCATTTCTAAATCCTGTGTTATACTGTGGGTGGGTTACTCAGCTCTACCTTCCAGTTTACTAATTCTCTTTAAATATGTTTAAACTGCTATTTAACCCATTCACTGTGTTTTTCATTTTAAATACTGTATTTTGTAATCTAAGTAGTTTCTATTTATATATACATATATGTATTTATTCTTTTATGTATTGCTCAGTTTTTTCATTACTTCAACCGTTTTAAACAAATTCTTTTTGTGGTCCCAAATGGTTTTAATATTTCTGTTTGTGTGTGAATTCTCTTATTTATTGTATCTGCTTTACCTCATGGTGGTTCAATTCCTTGTGTGGTTTGTAATTTATTATTGTGAATACATATTAATTAGATTTTTTTTTTCTGAGAAGTCCCACATGCCATAGTTTTTTAAAGTATCTCACAGAGATACTTTGCTGAAGTCCCAAGAATTCTATTGATCCTTTATGTCTGCAATTTGCACACTTGGTGGCTAGTAAAAACTCACAGCCTACATCATGTAAGGCATAGGCTTGGAGCTTCAGTTTCTACCCAGAGCCTCAGATATGCAGCAAGCTGCCTCCCACTTACCTGGGTTAGTGGGGAACTTCTGTAGCCTCTTTTCATAGGTGTATGTTTCAAATGGCATATCATGTTCAAAGTCGTCATACAATTCACTGCCTCACATATGTTCAAACCACAGGTTTTGCCCCAGTATAAGTATTGGAACTCCTATCCACTAGCATCTATATCTTGTTTCCATACCTGTTTGGGCTTCCATTTCATCTGTTTAAAAAACCTTTGTGTTATTTCTAACACCTAGGGATTTCAGTCCTTTCTTTAAAAAGTTTGGTTATGTAGTTCAGAAAAATGTTATCTTATAAATCAAACCAGTGTCTGTGTGTTGTAGAAGGATAGTACACATCCAGATAGCCAGCCTTTCCCTTGGATTTTTCCCCAGCAACATTTGAATTACACGTGAAAGGACCATAAAGAGAAACAGCATTTATCCAGCCAAGGAAAAAGAAAGTTCATTTAAAATGGAAAAATACTACTCAAGTTATTTCTTCCCAGAGCAAAAATGACCTTTCAGATCTCCTGTTCTCTCTACACTAAACCCAGATGTGGATGGAACCTGTTAACTGCCAGTTGTTCTCATGAACAAAACCATTAAGGCACTCCTTACCTGTTCTGCCTGCTCCAAAAGACCAGAGGAAACTTGCCTGCATTCTTAGACAGAAGAAGAAGAAACCAAGGAGAGTGATTTCTTTCTGAAACTCAGAAGCCCTCCTACATATAAACCCCTGCTTCTCTTATTCCTAGGGCCAAACTCCTGAGGGAAATGATAGCCTGAAGAAAGAGAGAGTGATGTGAGAGTCAGTTTCAAGAAGGAGTTGATGCATGAGGACTCTCAGGGATGCTTCTGTTTGTTCTTTTAAGACTGCAGTGAGGTGGATGGATGGCCTGGCCTGTTGGCAAGGGCAGAAATCGATTACACCTCTTGTATAAGCAGAGTCCAAACACACACAGCAGCTGCTTCCCCGTCTGGTTCTGGGACATACTTTTGCCCTAAGATTTTAGTTGCCTCCTTTTGTGTTATCCACAGCGCGTTAAGATAAAGGAACAGAGAAGAATCCATTTGCTCCTTTAGGAAATAGAGCTTGATAAAAACCTCTATCACCAGTTTGTGTACTTATTCAGACTTATCTGTCAGGGTTCTTTAGCTTCAAGTAACAGAAACGCATTCAAACTTAAAAGAGTGAAGGCATTTTTTACAGGGATGCTGGCAGTCTAACTTTCCTGTATCAATCTTCAGTTCCCAGGTGAGAGTCTAATTGGCATCACTTGGGTCACACAACTAGCTCTTGGTGATGGTTGGGGCGTGGGGTAAAGAGATGGGGCATCATAAGGGACAGAATCAACAGTTTCACAAAGGAAGCAGAATTGACATGGGAGTGCAACAATAAACAAATGTCCAAGTCCTCATGGGAACCAGTTACAGCTGCTAGGGCTGGAGCTTCAATACTTCCACTGAGACAAGAAAATGTGCTTAAGTAACTTAGCTCAAGTCCCGGGAAACAGTAGATACTCAAAAAATTTTTAGTTCTCTTCTACTCTTTCTTAATCTGATACCTTCCCAACTTCTCTCATCTTTTCAAATATAATAACTTGTAACCTAGATGCATAATGAAATAGAATGCTAAATTTAATTTGGAGTTTAGTGACAATAGAGATATAATTGTTTCCCAACTAAGTTTACAGATCCCTTGAGTTCTGTCCACAGATTTTCAGGTTATATTATCATGTGCTCATTCATTCATCAGTTATTCATTGAGCAACTTAGCTTCAGGTGCTGTGCATAGTGCAATGACCAGCTGCACACTGAGTAAGTCATGGCCCTGACCCTGAGGAGCAGAGAACCTGGAATGGAAGAGTGTCAGAGGTAGAAGAGACCTCAGAAACCATCAAATCAGACTTCCTCTTTTTCTTTTTTATTTTATTTTATTTTATTTCTTTTGAGACAGAGTCTTGCTCTGTTGCCTAGGCTGGAGTGCAGTGGTGTGATCTCGACTCACTGCAACCTCCTCTTCCCAGGTTCAAGTGATCCTCCTGCCTCAGCCTCCCAAGTAGCTGGGACTACAGGTGTGTGCCACCACACACAACTAATTTTTGTATTTTTAGTAGAGGTGGGGTTTCAACATATTGCCCAGGCTGGTCTCGAACTCCTGACTTCAAGTGATCCTCCTCGGCCTCCCAAAGTGCTGGGATTACAGGTGTGAACCAATGCCCCAGCCAGACTTTCTCTTTTTCAAATGGGAAAAAAAAAAAAACTAAGACCCAGAAGTCACTGGCCCACGGTCAAGAGGACAATGAGTGATGTATCCCAGAGTTGGACCCAGGTTTTGTAACTCAAAGAGATACCATACGTAAAGCACCCAATGCTGCACCTGATATGGAAGATATTTCAGGACGCGGAGGCTCCTTCTCTTCTTCCCAACTCAGAAATAAGAGATTACAAACTAACATGCCCATAGGAACCAGACAAATAAAATAAATGAGTAAACGGAGGCAAGTATTAAAAAATAATCACAGTGAAAGAAGGATGGGTAATGATAACTGATCTTTGGTTCAGTGCTACGGACATAAAAGGAAGTTGTAGGGATTGTGGCGCATTGGCCCTCCCACCCCGATCTGCATATATGACTGGCCTTTACTCAGCTCCAGCTGTTGTTGCCCTGCTGTGATGGAAGCCCAGTGGCACAGAAGCTCGAGTTTTTCAAAAGAAGTTGAAATTTGAATAATTACATGAAACCCTCACATTTTAAAAAAGTTGACTCTAATTATTTTTAACTGTAGCTTTCAAACGTATTTTGAATTCATTCCAAGATAGGGGCTCCCTAATTTATAAACTTCCAGGAGTTCCATGATTATAACCTGGAACTCGATGGACAGAATTCAAGGGATCTGTAAACTTAGTTGGAAAATAAATATATCTTTATTTTCACTAACATTCAACTTAAATTTAGCGTTTCATTTCATTATGAATATAGCCTACAAATCATATTATCAATATCTGTAACTTTTGTCCCCCAGGAGAAATCACAGATATTTCTTCAGGCAGTTCAGTTGTTGCAGACATTTAGAAATATAATTTACACTTGCTGAAATTAGGGTGGTTATTAAATCCCTCACTGGATCTCAATCTTCCTGCCTAGAGAAGGCTGTGCAATATGGCTGAGCAATTATTAAGCAGCTCCACACGTGGCAGAAGTTCAGCCACCAAACTGTGAGGTCAGGTAACTTGGTCACTCTCACAGGGTGACCCAGACACCTCTGTTGCCTTCCAGTATTCCCTATCTCCCATTGCCCATTGATTCATACAGAAAAGAAATGAGTCAAAAACCACTCCAAGTTTATGGCTCAGCTCAAGTTAAGCCACAGCCAATTTTACATTGTCTTTAAAAAATAAAACTTAACTTTCACTCCCTTCTATTTTACATGTATATTCTTCTTTTTAATGGATTAATAGACATACAAATGACTAATCACATATTCTTCATATTATTTTTAGTATTTCTGTAATTATCTTTTAATTTGGTTCACTTTGTAGTTTCTTGTATTTTGCTTTCTGCATTTAAAAACTTTATTCCACTAAATGCAATATGGAATCCTGGATCGGATCCACACTGGAACATTCAGAAATGGAAAAGGATTGGTGGAAAACTGATAAGATGTGGGTAAAGTCTGGAGTCTAGTTCTTAGTAATGTAACAATGTTAATTTCTTAGTTTTGATAAATACGCTATGGTTATGTAAAGTGTTAACACAGTAGGGGAAGCTGGTGAAGAGTACACATGAACTTTTTAACTATTTTTGCAACTCTTGTAAATCAAAAATTATTTCAAAGTAAGAAGTTTTAAAAACACACACCCCTTTCCAAGAAGGGGTCTATAGACTTCATGAGACTCCCAGAGAAGCCCATGGCATAGAAAAATTTAAAAATCTGTGCAAGTTAAGATAGTCTTTTGGAGAGACAGGGCTGTGTTGATGGAAATCTGGTCCAAGCTAGAGAGGCAGGCACCTGTTCAAGCCCAGCCAGATCTCAGCAGGGAGAAATGGACCCTACTTCTTTCAGTGTAACATCCAGGACCTTAATCAGGCTCACTAATTACCTTTCAATCAGGACCTGGACTCAATTCCATCAGTCTCCAGAACACACACCAAATTCCAGCTGTTATGAACTACTACGTCCCTCTCACTTTTGTGTCTTTGCTTCTCTGACTTCTTTTCTGGGTCAACTCATGCTCATATTTTTCCCAGACTCAGTTCAGCTACCTACCTAGGGAATGTTCCACGTTCTTGCCTGCTTCCAAATTGGGACACATACCTTCCTTGAGGATCCCAAAGAACCCTGAGCTCACTCATCATGCCTATTGTATTATTCTTTCCTCGCTATTTCTCTCACTGGGCTGTGGGCTCCTGTAGGGCAAGCACTGTCTCCTGCTTGTCTCTGTATTCCAGGAATAGACACAGGCCCTGAGATGAAGTAAGCACTCGGTAATTGCTTATTGAATGAGTGGGACGGGCAATGGCTCTGTGTGGAGAGAGAAATAAAGAAATGACAACTTGAAGCACAATAACAGTCCTATAGGGGCTTCCTGAGACCCAGAACTCGTCTTTGATTTGAGTCCAGGCCTGGGAGCTTCTAAATGTCGCTCCCAGGACCCCAGCAACATCAGAGGTGGTGTTATTAACCTTAGCAAGACCGCTAAACCCTGGAACCATCCACTGAGATCCAGGTATGTTCCCCGGACTAGCAATCTCCTGGTCACAGAACTGCTGGAGCTTAGGAAGTAGAAGGAAGGTCTTCCTCCCCTAGCCCAACCAAGAAGAATGAGAGGGCCTCCTTCATCTCAGCTTCACAGAATCTATATCTCCAGCTCTTATGTACACACCACTCCACCATCACCCCACAAGGTTTCCAGTCCTGGCCCGTTACTTGTGTGCCTATTAGCTCCTAAATATTTTCCCTCTGTGGCTTCTGAGGGCCTCCAGAAGGGGTATAGCTTCTTGGCAAAGAAAACAGGTTTTGCGCTCCAAAGAACATGGATTTGAAACTTGGCTCCATCCCTTGCCAGCACTATGCACTCAAGCAAGGTGCTTACTCTCTCTATGCCTCAGCTTCTCTATCTGTAGGGCAGGAGTAGGTATGGGATTGGGTTGAGCCTAAGTGAGACACTACACATAAAGGGCTTAGCATACCCAAAGAGAGTGCCCAATAAATGGTGGTTGCAACAACAACAAAAATCATTCTTTGCTAGCAGTAAGAACAGAGTCTAATAGGAAGACAGAAAAATTAAAAAACAGAACAATTATCATGCAGTATGGTAAGTGGTAGAATAGAAATAGAAAGAAGCTCTGGGAGCCATGGTAACCCAAACAGAATTGGTGATATCTACCTGTAATGTAAAAGCTGTGTCAGGCAAGTGTCAGGAGTGGGGTTGGGGCTGCACGTTGATAATCTAGAGACAGAAGCAAAGCCTTTATGGAAAATTACAACAGTTCAATAGAGTCAAGAGAGGGCCAGAGCAGTGGGTACTGCCTGAAACATGAAGCCAGAGGCCAGAATGCTTAGTTTTGGTCTTCCCTAACCTGCTGGGATTTGCTCCAGCTGCAGGACTAGGCTTCTGCCTCAGTGCCCTGACTGCACTGCAGCTCCACCGTGTGTTGAATTTGCCAGAGACCATCTTGCAATTTCTTCTTTAGAGCCTACAGTAGGTAATTTTCAGAGGAGTCTTCTTTCCTCTTTGTCTGTCTGGTGCTGTTCTCCATCTTTTATTTTGCAAGATTTTTGTTAGAACCCCTTTCCCACCCCTGCTCTTCTTCACTCTTCCTTAACCAGGCAAGATATGTTTAAAGAAGGGAATTGTCAAAAGACAAGGTGAGCAGATTGCTCTTGACCTGACTTTCTGTCTCCTTGTGAAATAACCAAATACTTTTCTCTGATTACAGCAGAACGTAAATTGACATGCACACATCCCAGTGTAGTTCCCAATTCCAGGCGACTTCCACCTACTGGAAGTACTTTGAAATTACTGTTCCCAGCATACATTACTTTCAGAGGGTTCTGGGTCTTTCAGGAATTGCACCTTCTGGAATTCACGGGTCACTTCCTTTTCTACTTACCTTGGAGCTGTTTTGGGGGAGTTTGCAATCAATAAGGAAAAATAGTGGGTGGCCCATCAGAAAACAACAGCCAGGCAATTTCATATATCAGGCTAACAGATCAGCAATTTTCTAGGTCGCACATCCTTGGTCTCTGAATCAAGGGACAGATAAAGGAGGCAGCTATGAACCATTTTGCCAGCAGTATTCAGGTGGCCTTGGTACCCAACTCCTTTCCAGCCTGCAGAGCAGAATGAGTAGAAATGTTCCCAATCCACCAGGTATGACAATCCCCCCAGAGGCAGCATAGAAAGGGGCCACGTGGATGAGAATAAAAGATGCCTTTGCTCTGACCTGTGTGGATTCATCATCAAGAACCTTGTCCACCTCCCAACAGCTACATACATGCAAAAGCCTTGACACCCCAACTGACGGAAGTTAAGTTTCCTCTGCTCTCGTACCACATGAGCTAAAATAGAACTAAGTTGGATCATGAACACAAAGGTGCATTTCTTGCACACCTGAGTTTGCAGTGTGAGATTTATTGACTCTATGCTGCTTACCAGCTAGACTGGGACACCTAACATAGGGGTCTACGTCTCATTCTCCTTTATGTCTCTGGTGTTTCTCATAATATTAGGCACATATAAGTGCTCAATGGATGTGTATTAAATAATCATTTTAAATTTTAAAATATTCTCAAGTATCTTAGCATATTTAATTGACATTCTCAACTCACCATCTGACTGGGAACTCCTCAAGAATAAATCCTGTGCTTTTGCCTCTGTATTTCTGATGTTGTGCTCAAGTCTGGGAACATGGGAAACAGACACTCAGATGCTAGCTGATCAAAGTAATGGGCAAATAAGCGAATGAGATAGTGTACTGGGCTAAGAGAGGGAACGGTCTGCCAGAGAGTTGAGTTTGAAACCCATTTCTGAAACTTACTGGTTGCGTGATGTAGGTGAGTTACATAAGCCTGATTTCCTCATCCGTAAAGTGGAGATAATAATATCTATTACACAAAAATGTTTTGAAAGTAAAGTTTAAAACGACAGCATTTGTGAAAGAACTTTGCAAGTCAAGGCATGCAGAAGGCATTTTAAAAATATGAAAAACAAACCATCAAAAATCTTACTCATTGATTACTTACGAATATGCCTTTTGAAACATTCATTTTTCCCAGATACAAAACAAGAATAATAGTCCCTGTCTCTGTAGAATGAGATCAGCTTGGGATTTCTTAAATGTGCATACAGTAAAACTGTAATCTTTGTTTAAAAAAAAGCAAAATAAATTCTTATTATCCCCCAATATTAATACTAACATTAAGGTTTCTCTAATGGTATTCCATAATATTATCTTTTATACAGAAACCCAAAGTCGGCATCTAAAATGTTTATTTAAAAAATTGAAAATGTTAAGACCTGTAGCAAGCACATTATCATTAGATTTTCTGACATTTTGATTAATAAAATATCACCAGTCTGCTCAGATACATACTATAAATCATCTTCCAGACACCTGGACAGGCAGCATCCCTGACAGCTGTTCCCACAGCCAGGAGTGGTGTCAGAGTTGGTGGGTGCCTCACCTCGGAAGCTATGACACATATAAACACATTGAAAAATGCAATAATTAGAAGCAGTGCAGTCAGGTTGCAAAATGGCAGGACGAGGGGTCTCCTTGAAGGCCCCTCTGTGCTTCCCAGGAGGAGTCAAGTGCATTCGGCGACATTTGAGGTGACACCGGCCAGGTCGAGAATTGCACAGATGGCTTCCCAGACTGTGTGCTTCCTTTTCTCCACTGCAGCCTCCAGGGGAGGATTGATTACTTTGTTCAAAAGGCAGAATCAGCAGATGTTATTGATATGGAACTCTATGGGACTGGAATTCTGTACTATGGATAGCACATGAGGCTTTTTTTTTTTTTTTTAAGCCAAAGCAGCATTAGTGGAGGCTTTAAAAATAAGCCACAGTTCCCGTTTTAATGGATTCAGTGTTAGGTCATGTGCACAATCTGTTATTTAAAATGTGCATTTACAGGCCGCTGTTGAAAATACCTGCTTTTAAAATGCCTTGGGCTTCAGACTTGCTACGTAGGGCAAGACTCTGTCACAAGAGTTGTCTCTTTCATCAGCGTCTGTCTTTCCTGCTCAACTGGAGACACTGAACTCCCTACCACAGACATCTTTTCTGGGACAAGTATATTTGTCTCCTTTTTGTCTCTGATGATGAAGGAGAAAGAGTGTAAGAATATGAGACACTGGCCAATGACAGTAAAACGATCTAAAAAGAAATAAGCCAAGAAATTACAGTTTAAACCTCTTTCTTGTGCACACTCTGCCTCCTAAGAGTGCGATCCAATCACATGACCTCTCTGCCCCATCAGCTTTACTCCCCCGGTCCACCCTGTGAGGTTCTTCAGCTCCCCCTAGAGGCTGGAGTATGTTATGAGCAGGAACCACAGCTTCACCTGTGGGTAGGAGCCCATGGTCCACCCTGTGAGGTTCTTGAGCTCCTCCTAGAGGCTGGAGTATGTTATGATCAGGAACCACAGCTTCACCTAGACTTCTGTGGCCAAAGATTTAGTATCCAGGAAGAGCATCAGACACTCCTATGTCCATCGGGTCAGAGTCTTTCCTTGACCTTCTCCTTCTTTTCTGCATCCAACAAAGTTGATGCTTCAATTCTCTTTCCTGGCATTCTTGGCTCATATCTGTTAGGCTGGGTATGGGGGAAAGATGCTAGACCCTGAGTCCAGTAGTTCCAACAGCTAGGTCCTGCTCTGAGTTGCTCACTCACTCAGAAACAAAATTTTCATGATCAAACTGCACCTTCTGTCCTTATGCCCCACTCATCAGAGCAGCCCTCCGGTGCCAGCCAGAACTAAGTCTAAATCAAGCCCTAATTATTATCTAATAAGCCTTGATCTCCCTCCCAGGGTCCCTTGCAGTAGGCACCATACTCCCAGGCCACAGTCCTGCCTGACCCCCACTCATCATCCCTTTCTATTGTTAGCTTTGGCTGCTGAGGTATCCATCCACCCAGGTGTCAAGATGACCAAAGACCCTCATTCAACAGATACTCACTCAACCCCTACCACAAGCCAGGACCTGTGCCCAGCATCCAGTCCCCAAAAGGAACATGATTCCTAGCCCCCACAAGCTCACAGTCTGGTACAGGTGAGGCACCGGTGAGTATTTTCTGTGAAGGGAGTTAAGTGCCAGCTCTGTTAGAGGGTAGCAGGAGGTCCTATGGGAGTATCACTGGAGGCTGACCAGCAGGACTGGGTTTCCCAAGAGGCAGACTGGGCAGACAGGCAAGGCAAGAACATAAAAGAATGGAGGAAAAAAATAAAAGAATATCGATCTATCCAAAAAGAAGCCTTGAATTATCATTATGGGAAAATCAGAATTTTTTGGACATTCTTACATAGATTTCATGGTTCGGTAGCATTTTAATTATATATGGCACAGGAGTATTAGCATAGCTCTTCTTGCTAGGCCTCTGAAGGTTGAATCTATCTCTTCCAGAAGGGTTCGAGAAAAGCTTCCTTGACCACCACTTTCTGGAGTCATTTTGAAGGAGGGACTTCCTCTTCTGCTTTATACCATGTTTTATTTCTATCTTGCTTTACAGGAAAAATAAGCTGGTTGGCTGGGTAGGTTTGGATGTCTCTAGGTGCAGTTAGGGATAATGAGTAATATATTTTCTTACCAAATAAATAACCACATTTCACACCACTCTGGGGAGGGGCCATTTGCTGGTGCCAGTGGCTGGCTCTTTATCTACAGAAGAAATCGATGGCCCTCAGCCTCATTTTAATGCTAAAGACATGAGACATCAGTGGAAAATGAAGATGTGGGTATTGTATTTGCAACCTGAATTCGTATTCTAGGAAGAGAAGCTTGAGATAGTGAACAAACAACCAAAAAATAGTTTTATGTAATTACTGTCCCTAAACGAATCTTCCAATCTGCGTTACAGCTGAGATTCTAAGAGGCACCATGCCCCTGGGATGGGATGTTAAAATGTCTCCTTTCTCTGGCCTGCTGCCTTGCCACTAGCTGCACCCTTGATATGGGGTTTAAAAGGACCCCTCCAGCCCTGACTGCCCCTACATATCACTCTGTACCATACAGAACCTTCATTTGGGTTGTTTCTATTCACAGAACTTTCCTATCTCTGCACTTTCCTTCTCTCCATTGCCTATAGTGATTTGTCATTTGCAATTTGTACATTTCAGATGGCAAGCTTGCAGAAGGCAGGAACATCTTACACCTTTTTTTGTTACCCATTTCCTACCAAGGGTTGGGCTCAGCACGTGGTACAGAGAGGGCACTTCATGAATGTTTGTTGAATTGAATTGAGTGCCATAAATTATAAAATAGATTCATGAAGATTCAGTTCCTGGATTTAAATATATCAGAAAGATTTCCTCAGAATTAACACAATTTAGCAATTTTACCAGCCTAAATCTGCCACAGTGAACCCTCCCAGAAGAATTGGAGCAAGCTAAAAATAGTGCATGAGTTTGGGAGCTTTTTAAGGAAAATAGATGTGTCATATTTGTTAGCAATGCTCATGAATGGTGGGCATATATCTGAGTAAGTGGCAAACAGAGAGTCTTCCTGTTTAAAGGGGTTTAAAGGGGTCTCAATTTGGGTCAATTTGTGGCAAATATTCAAATTCTCTAGGCTCAGTGAAAACAGCATCCCTTTCCCCATGTAAAATGCAAAACACCAGATTTTATAAAATGAAAGTCAGGCATCTGAAAGACAAATGGAAGCCTCCAAGGAAGTCGTTGATGTAATAACACCGTGCCATATTAGAGAAGCCAACAAGTGTCATTTGCTGAGCTCCTAGTAAGTGTCAGCATGAAGTCTACAAAGGTAATTGAGACATGGTTCCTGATCTCCAGGGACTCAAAGTCTAGTTGGGGACAAAAATGAGTAATGTGGAAGGATCACTTGAGGCCAGGAGTTCAAGGCTGCAATGTGCTATGATCACACCTGTGAACAGTCACTGCATGCCAGCCTGGCCAACACAGTGAGATACTATCTCTAAAATAAATAAAGCTATGTGGTCATTATTGTGTAGAGTTAGCAGCAAGGACAAGTACAGAGGAAGGACAGCTAGACCTGACCAGGGTTAGATAGCCACCAGCAAGGACTTACTAGAGCCTTGAGCTGCATTTTGAGAGACAGGAAGGAATCAGATGGATGAATAAAGAGTCCAAGGATGAATGAAGAGCAGTGAGACCTCGTGTGGGAGGAAACCGCATGTAATTCAGTGTAGCTGCAGCATCTATGTGAAGAGAGGAGAGGCTGGAGGGGTCCTCAGGCTGTGACATGGGACCCATAGACACCATGCTAAGGACTGTGAGCATCAGTGTAGACCAGAGACAACATGGAGTTGTGGAAGGGTCTCAAGCAATGGAGACTTCCTCTGCATGACACAGGTATGGCAAATAGATTTGAGAAGGGTGAGTCTAGAGTCAGGACAATCACTTAGAAAGCCACCATATTTGTTCAGGTGAGATTCCTGCCCCCCTCCCCAAAAAAAGAGCTGGGCTAATGCACTAACCCAGGAGAGAGGATAGAAAATTGAAAACTATTCATGAGATTAAATTAGTGAAGATGGTGATTAGATTTGACACGGAGAGAAAGTGGAAGAAGGGGGTCAAGGAAAATGGTTCCAGATTCCTGAAACCTAGGAGATGACAAACCTGTGTACTGCGATTAGAAGCACAGAGGGGCCGGGCGCGGTGGCTCACGCCTGTAATCCCAGCACTTTGGGAGGCCGAGGCGGGCGGATCACGAGGTCAGGAGATCGAGACCATTCTGGCTAACACGGTGAAACCCCGTCTCTACTAAAAATACAAAAAATTAGCCGGGCGTGGTAGCGGGCGCCTGTAGTCCCAGCTACTCGGGAGGCTGAGGCAGGAGAATGGCGTGAACCCGGGAGGCGGAGCTTGCAGTGAGCCGAGATCGCGCCACTGCACTCCAGCCTGGGCGACAGAGCGAGACTCCGTCTCAAAAAAAAAAAAAAAAAAAAAAAAAAAAGAAGCACAGAGGACAGGAAGGTTGGAGGGAAGAAGACAAGCTTGGTTTTCAATATGTGGACTTGGAAATTCCTGCAAAACATTGTAGGGGAGAAATTAAAAAGAATCACAGAAGAGACATCTGGGCTGACCTAAGAACTTCAGGAAAAAATCTGTTTTTTCCCAAATATGTTTAGGGAATTACACTTTTTCACAAACTACACTTTCTTGTGCCTTAAAAAGGAAGGCCTCTGATCCAATGGGTTTAAGAAATACCATATTCTATCTCTGAAACTATTGCTCCATCTTGGAGAGCCTCAATGTACTGTAGCATATAAAAGACTCCAAGAAATCCTGCAAGCGAGACATCTGTTTAAGCTCATGCTGCCCAAATTTATTCTACCAGGGAATCCTTTTTCTAATGGCCCAACAGACACTGACATTGGGAGCCACGGTTTGGGAAATGAGAGTCGTAGATAGTGGGTGAAGCCACAACGGTAGGTACATAGATTGGCCCAGGTGTGTGCATTGACAAGAGGACAGTCAAGGAGAGAACCCTGGTGATACCCGCTCTTCATACCTCTTTAAGCCACCTGAACCTACACTTATACTATACTGCACATGGCCACCAAAGCAGAGTGTAGCCTTTATGCCTCATTTTTGGTCATGACTAAGGACCTGCCTCACCTTCTTGTTGACCTTGTTTAACAAGCAAGATGCATTAATTGAACAATTACTTAGTGAATGGCACTGTGGCTACAGAAAGACAAAGAAATCATTGGCTTTGGGACCTTGGAGTTGGATAATTCCACCTAGCTCCCATCCTTGTCTCTCCTCTTCTGCCCCACGCCTGCCCTTCAGACTGGCTTCTAAGGACTTATATGATGTAGGCTTGTTTCACTTGTCTTTTCCCTCTCCTGGCCATCTTGGTTAAGACCCCAACCCTGATTCAGAGCCCCAGAATCTAAATGTGTGAGTTGCTCTGTCTAGCTGTTGGAGGACTTTTAGAGAGATCGTAAAATGTATTTATGTTGTGAGTAGAAGAAAAGAAATGTGAAAACCTGCCCCCCCCCCAAAAAAAAAAAGTACTCTGAGAGATAGGAGGAAAACCAAGAGTCCATATAAGTCAAAATAGAAAAGCACTTCAAGGAGATTAATCAGTGAGATCCAGTGTCTCATGAGGTCCAGGAAGGCAGCCACAGGATCCGGCCATCCAGGACGTCATTGTCTTCTGGAAGATGTGATGAGCACAAAAGCTGCATTCAAGCGACTCAAGAAGCAAATAGGTGAACTAAAGGACCCATGTATAAACATCTCCTCCTAGAAGTACCATGCTGAAATAAAGGGTAAAAGAAGACCACGGATAAAGGGAAGGCGGCAAAAGAAAACTTTCCAGATGAGGGAAGTGGGAGCATATTGTGCTCAAGAGGAATAGTCAAGAGAAAGGTTAAGTTGAAAACACAGAAGGTGTGAGGGAGTGAGGTCTCTGAGAAGGCAGGAGGGATGGAATCCAGAGCCCAGGTGAGTCCCTGAGCAAGAGCAACGGCACCGAGGCTGGAAGGGAAGGAAAGGGGGATGGTGTATCCATTTCCTACAGCTGCTGTAATAAAGTGCCACAAATTAGGTAGCTTCAAACAGCAGAGATTTATTGTCTCACAGTTCTGGAGGCCAGAAATCAAGGTGTCAGCTGGGCCATGCCCTCCCCAGGCTGCAGAGGAGAATCTGTTCCATGCTCTTCTCTCAGCCTCTGGTGTCACTGCCAATCCTGGGTGGCTTGTCATTGCCTATTTCCAATCTCTACCTGCATTATCACATGGTCTCCTCTCCTCCTGTGTTCAGATCTCTCCTTTGCGTAAGGACAGCCGTCATATTGGATTAAGAGGCCACCCTACTCCTGCATGACTTCATTTTAATTTAGTTAATTACATCTGCAGTAATCCTACTTCCAAATGAGGTCACATTGGAAGGTATTGAGGGTTAGGATTTCAACATCTCTTTTTTTTTGTCGGGGGAGAGGGACACGATTCAATCCATTACAGATGGTATGTTTACTTTTCAGGGAAATCAGTGGCTGCAGTTGGGAGGGATGGTGATACACAGAGAAGTGATTTCATTCCAAGGGCAATGGCTATTTCTTTGTCACTGTCTTCCCAGCCCCTGGCCTGTGGGCGCGTGCTGGAGTACTATTCTGATAGTAACCTACATGCGGGTCATTTCCTATAATTCCCTTTTGCCCCATGACCCTCCCTGTAATTCCAGGCAGAGCTCATCAGTCTGCCCTTGCTGTATCCAGAAGCTGAGCAACAGAGAGAAAAAACGTCAATTCTCAGTTTTGACTTTCAAATTAGACTTTTGAAATTCCCAATGGAGGCAATATTGGTGAGAACGGGATTGTGAGTTCCACAGAATCACTAGAGTTTATGCCATAAACAAGAATGGGAAGGATAAATCATTTGTTAATCAAAGAACCCATATTCCAGCTGTAGACTTGATTAAGATTACACCACAGGCTGGAAAGGAGAAGATGGTTGGAGAGGAATTGAGAGAGACAGTGAGGAGGAGGAGCTGTGCACCTGCTCCCAAGGCCAGCTCAGTCTCCGGGCTCTGGAGCCGCCACCTCCCCCAGAGCATCTCCACTGTCATCAGATGTACAGATTGGGCAGCCATGTATGATCAGGACGGAAGCAACCTCCTACTGCTACAAATAATAACAATAATTATAATGAAGGTTGAAAACCACTGACCAAGGCTAGATGGGGTTTCTAAGGTCCATAGAGGGGTGGATATTTGTTGACAGAAGAGCCAGGACAAGCAGGTTTTCTGATTTCTGAGAATGGTGACTGCCTCCTTAACAGGGGCAGCAAGAATGGGGAATATTGGGTTAGAGCACATTCCAATGGCAAAAAATTAACTTGTTTCTTTTGTATCCAGATTTGAAAAAAAAGCTCTAAGGAAGCCAAAATCTTTAATGCAATCTTCCCTCTCTTTTGACTGGCCTACTGACCAAAGACAGGAAAGAATTCCACTGGGAAGACTAATGTTTATTTTTAGTAACAGATAATATGTGTTGAATGCCTAGTGTGTGACAGGTGCTGTGCTAAGCATTTCATATACATTAGCACTTTTAACACTCAAATACTCCAATAATGAAGGCATCATTCCCCTTTTAGAAATGAGCATGCAGAGTCAGAGTAGAAAACCAACTTGCTGAAGGTCACATAGCAGTGAACAGCTGTACAGCAGCATTTAAACCCAGGAATCTGTTGGAAACTCAAGTGGCACTTCTAATCACTATACCATACTGCCTCTCTATATAACACACATTTGTTTTTCCTTGAAAGTTTCCTTGTGATAACTAGAAAGAAACGTGGAGAAATGAATTGCCATTGAAGACCTACTATGTGCCAGGCATTGTGCATTTTGCATATATTATCTCCTTTGCAGTGCTCAGAAATTCCATCTGTCACTAACTTCAATCTTCCTGGAAGAGAGCTTAGGTTTCAGAAAAAGCACCAGATTGGTCTACGGCTCAGTGATTTCCCTCAATTTACACCTAATGAAACTCATATAACTAATTCTGCCACTCCAATGCTCAGAAAATTACACTGGTTCCCCCTTTCAAGTTATAAAATAAAGTCCAAGTTCCTAATCTGGCTTTCAAGGCTCCCGCGACCTGTGTAGTCTATTTCTCCAACATTATTTTAGTACATGTTCCTGACCCCTGATAACCTGAATTAAGATCTCTCTTCTGACCTGCACACATTTATCTGTGTTTCCCATGACATTATCATGTTCAAACTTGCCTATAGCTAGTTCTGTGTAGGAGTCACCTTTCCACCAGCTGTGGGACATCTTGAGGGCCAGTTCTGTGTTTCACCTCGCAGTGTCTAGCATGTGGCAAAAGCTCAGTGAATTTTAAAAAATAAATAAATAAAAGATACTGTTCTTGATTCATGGGAAGAGGGCAAAGTAGAATAAAAGATCCCTGGGCTAGGGACACTTTCACTATAAGTAAGCCCCAACGATGGAGAGATCATGTAGCTTACCTGAAGCAATGTAAAGGCAGTGCTGGAAGGGTGCAGTGGGGAGGAGGTTAGCTGTCAGGTTCATTGGTCATAAGCAACAGAAACCAACGCTAGCTGGTGTAAAAATGCAAGGGAGTTTGTTGGAAAGATACCTGCATGCTCACAAAACTGTCAGGAAGACTGACCACATAGGACAAAAACCACTTGACTATTGGGGCCTGGAATTAATGAATTCCTAACTATCCTCTCATTTTTGTGTCCCTCCATTCAAAAGTCAAAGTTCTGAGACACTGTGCAATTAGCCTAACTCAGGTCACATGCTCAGCCCTTGGCTGAGACCATGTGTCTAGCATAATTAACCTCCATATATCCCTTTCTTCCATAACGACAGGGCTGGACAGCTAGCTGTTACTTTAGAGCAATTTGGAGGTTATAAGTGCTTGGCATCTTATAAACCCACCCAGAACGTCCCTGTTTCAATTGTCAGGGCCCCACTCTTTGCTTCCACTTTTACAGGAGCCTTGACACAGCCATATATTCCACAGATAACGTCATTCAGCAATTCATGGGCTCAAACTCTGACTTTGGTCTTTGGCTATTTCCGTTCTGAAATTGTAAGAATTATGAGATTATTTTGGCAATGCCACAAGGCATCCCTGAGTTTCATTCTATTCCTTGAATTTAGCATCCAGGAATTTGAGTTTTGTTATTGTGGCTGAAGTTATTTGTTGCTATTAGAGACAGCTACCTCTGCTTACTGTATCAGGCAGTGTTTCTGGTCATGCACAGTAGAAATACATCTGGTTTACTTAATGTACTTATTCAAAAGGTATTAAGGAACTCACAGGATTAATTAATTGGAAGGCTGGACAACCAGATTTTGAGACAGGATGAAAACCAGATCAGGAACAAGTGAACCCTCAGGAATGGACTAGTGCCATCTACTTTGTATCATTTTGCTCTAGGTCCAACAACCCAGGACAAGGAATCTGGAGGGCAGGCTTAGATGAGTGCCCTCCCTTGGCTGGATAGGGCAGTGAGGGAGAGGATCTGGCAGCAGGGACATCCAGGGATTCCTTTAGCTTCTGGGAAGGCAGGATACCCTGATTTACTCCAAGGAATTGCAGTGTTACTAGGAAGGCAAAGTAGATGTGAGGTGGCTAATAATATTAAATAGCAGCTGTCACTGGCCCTTTGAGAGAGGGCATCTCCCAGAGACGGCATTTCCATTTGATACCACCTTGTACCAGGCTCCAGCAATCTCAAGCCAAGACTGGCTGTCCATTCCTGATGGGAAAGGAGAGTCAAGGAATGCGTCAATATCCCTTTTCTAAGTTTGATCTTGCCTGAAATCAAATCAGCAGGAATCTGTAGGCTAAGATCTGTTACTATGACTCCTTGTAAAAATGTTTGGACTTAACTGTCTAACTTTGGTTTTTATCATGAACCCATGGACAGGAGACCTCTTTTGTAAAACTGTTTTGGAGGTATCATCTCCTCTGTTGTTTGATGTTCCTTATATAAAGAACTACATAATTTCTTGAAGTTCAGCACTAGAAAATGCTTCTGAAAATGAATGGATAATTCTTTCTTTAGTCAGGCGGTGGTTGCCCCTTAAGCCATCTGTTTCCCTGTTGCCTTATGCATGAGTGTTTGTTAGGTTTTAGGCAGCTGGACTCCATTTCCCCTTCCAAACAACATCCAAATGAATACCTTTTGAACAATTACCTTCCCAAACTGGTAGGAGTGTAATCAGTACACACACACGTGTGTGTGGCCAGGGGAAGAGTTGGATACTCCCTCTCTGTAATTTGAATTTTGAAAGGAGATACAAAGAGACTGAGAATGGCTGGAATTCCCTTCCGTCCCCAAGGTGGGTCCTTACCAGACCATCCCTGCCACGGGCCTGCTGTTGTCACTCTGCCTCTTCAATTCAGGAGCTGCCTACCCCCTGGCCCATTTCCACATCAGCGTCTGCAGCTTTCCATCAGTTTTGTGGTCCCCATCATTATTCCAACAACGAACTCCCCTCTTTTTTACATTAGCCTGAGCTAATAGCTGTAGCTAGCAATCAAATACAACTAACCGAGAAAGCGAGGTTATCAGGAAACTCAGAGCAGTATTTCGGTTTGGGGATTTTATTTTGTTGTTATTGTTTTGTTTTGCTTAATTGCTTAATTGTTTTCTCAGAGCTCAGCTAACAAACAGATGTAGTACAAAGTGCGTGGATTCTGGGATCAAATTCACCCAGGTTTGAGTTCCTGCTCTACCACTTACTAGATGTATGACTTGGGAAAACCGACCTCTTTTAGCCTCAGGCTTCTCACATGTAAAATGGGCTATTTCCAGTTACCTTGAGGAATTTGGCTAACATTAAGTAAGAAAACATGTAAAATACCTGAAATAATGGAAACTCATTATTGAGAATATTATTATTGTTGGTCTTTTCCCCTTTTCTTCCCCATTATTGCTGACAGCAGGCAATATAGAAAAGTTCACAGTTATACCCAGACCAGTGATTTTAAACTGGGTTTTGAAAGTCTTTGGGGTTCCTCAGCAGCCCGTAGAATGCTGCTTAGGATAAGAGAGTGAAGGGGAGGTGCAGAGTTCACAAATATGTAGCTCTCCCGTAAATGTGTCATGGTTTAAAATAGTGGGAAACAGGAGCTTCACATGATGACCCATGGGCCAAAATGGGCCTGCTGCCTATTTTTGCAAATAAAGTTTTATTGGAACACAGCTATGCTCATTTGTTTTTGTATTTTTTATGGCTGTTTTTTATGTTACAGCAGCAGCCGTGAGTAGCTGTGGCAGAGACGGAATAGCCTGTAAAGTCTGAAATATTCACTCTCTGGACTTTTACAGCAAAGCCTGTTGGTCCCTGTTGCTGAGTGTGTTCAAAGTAGGCTGAGTAGAGATTTGATAGTGAGCGGCATGCCAAAACTTCAGGCTGCCTTCTGTCCATGGAAGGTGTGTGTTTCCAACCAGAGCTGCCTCCTCTGAGTAGCCCATGCAGAACCCACACAAGAGGGGCTCTACAGGATTTAAATTCTGTTCACTCATGAGCTTCAAACCACTCCCCACAACTTCCTCTCCACACCTCCCCTGTCCTGCTCTTGAGTGTCCCCCTCTGACCACCAGCTTCACTGCTTGTTGGCTGCTTTCCCATATCACCCCCGCTCTAGCCTTAATGCTATCTGCTTTCTCCTCCGTCTTCTTCCTGATGAGGCCAAGCCTCTGACCCAGCTCACCTGTGAAGTACCTTCCTCCTTGGACCTGGCCCTGGGGACTCTCCAACTGTAGCAGAGGCTGTCAGTGCCTCATCCACCTTTCTCAGCACCTGCCAACCCAACCCCAACTCAACCTCATGGCTTCCTTCTTCCAGGGTTGGCTTTAAATCCAGGGGAGAGAGAACCCCCAGAAGTAGCCGTTATCAATTATTGGTGGGAGTCGGTGTATGAGTGCCCCAAATTTCCCACCCCTCGGTAGAGACAACTAACTCTGAGGTGTGTTCTTTGCCATCTCCCTGGCAGGATGAGCCTGAGCTGCCCACAGTGGTGACTGCTCAGGGCCATGCTTCCTTCACTTTCCTGTCTCACTTCCCCAGTTTTCTATATTTCTGGGATCATCTCCCAAATAAACCACCTGTGCTCTCATCCTTGTCTCAAAGTGTGCCTCCAGGAGACCCAGCCTAAGGAAACTACACTGGCTTTCATCAGACTCACCCCGATTCCCACTGGGTCGGGTCCACTCTCAGGTAAGAACTACATACAGAAGTTTTCTAAAGGCAAGAGTCTCAAAAATCAGAAGAGAGCACATATTGAATGATTCCATTCATACAAGATACTCAGAATAGGTAAGTCAATAGATAGAAAGCAGATTTCCAGGGGCTAGGGAGAAGAGGGAATGGCTCAATGGGCACAGAGTTTCTGCTTGGAGTGATGAAAAAGTTCTGGGAATGGTGGGGATGGTTGCACACACTGTGAATATAATTAATGCTACTCAACTCTATACTCTAAGATGGTTATAATGGTACATTTTATGTGTATTTTACCATAATTTTGAAAAACACAATGAGAAAGGTGGCAGATTCTCAGAACATTTCAAGAGTCTCCACATTTATTGTTTTTGTCTAGAGGTCACCTACAATAGCCCTTGTGATTCCTTCCATTACCCAGACGTCATTTGCCCATCCTCAGCCTGCTGTTCCTGTGCTGGGGATTGCAGCCTCATTCATTGGGTCTGTGGATGCCATATAGAGCCTTCTGAGTCAAGCTGGTCTGCCTGTGTCATGCCCAGAGCCAGTTGCACAGAGCTGTGTCCACACAGATGGGAGCTTCCTCTCAGTTTAGCCCCTGTGGATGCCTCCACACTGCTTGGCTGCCCTCTTCCACATCCAGACCCTGAGGTCAATTAGGAGGCTAATGACACCCATATGGATGATGCTTGAACTGAAAGTGCATGCAGCTGTTGGGTCTGCCAGACCCAGATGTTTGGCTGATGATCTTCGTTGGCTGAAGATGAACTTGTCTGGAGTGGTGTTCACAGGAGACTGCTTGCTGAGAAATTACTTTTCAGTCTTAGAAAATGGTTGTCTCTCATAAGCCTAAAATAGAGGGCCTGAGTTTTAGGGAACTTAGGAACCAAGAGAGGCTGTAGTTTTAAAAAGCAGAGGTCACCCACTGGGAGCTGTGTGGTTTGCAGATACATTTTGCTTGGCTCTCACAGCATCTTTTTAAATTAATTGCCATCACTTACAAATTGCTCACCCAGGCACCACCTCCTACCTCTCATGCCTGGCTTGCTTTGCCTATTTCATATCACCCGCCTGGCCAGAGCACAGATTCACATTTATTTTTCTCAGTTTAATAACTCTGAGGCATGACATGATTAAATGGCTTCTGAGCTGCTGTTCCCGTGTAGGTGTTGAAGAGTGCTACACAGACAGAATAATCATGTCTTGGCTTTGTTTCTCTAAAACAAAGCTCCCACTCAAAGCACACAATGATTCTTTTTACAAAAAGGAGTTTTGGAACCCTCACTCATCACCCTATGGCAATGTGGTGCAGAGAATGCAGCCACAGTGGAGAACCCAAAGACGCACAAGGGACTCAGCTGAAGGATCCCGGGTTCTGAGATCTCAGCCATGACCATCATCTGCCATCTGTGGGAAGGAAGCAAAACCCTCATTCATCTCAACTGAGTAACCTTGTCCCTCAAGATGGGCCTTTGAGTAAGGACGTGCAGCAGATGCTAGTACCTCACCAAACCAAGATTCCTTTTCCTCCTGATCATTAAGCCAACCCACATTCCCTAGCCTCCTTTACACTTTGGCAGGACCATGTGGCTGGGTTCTAGCCAGAGGAGTAGAAGTGAGGTCCTTCCCATGCATAATGCTCCATCCTTTTTTTCTTTCCATAGGTGGAATGGAGAGGAGCTGAGGCATTGATGGAGGGAAGAGCCACAAAATGGAAGAAGGACCCTGGGTTCCTGAGTCACTTCTTGGAGGAGAGGCTCTAACAAGAAAACACCTACATCGGACTGTTGGATGAATGATCAATCAACATGTATTTGGTTAAATCACTGAAATTCTAAGGTCATCTATTACAGCAATTGGCCTATCATGGTGAATAGTGCGTAAGACAAGATGCTTAAAGTAAGAAGGAGACATACTTGCATAAATTACATTGTAGGGGCCATGAAAAATGCAGGGCACAGAGGAAAGCCCCTGAATAGGATACGAATAAGCTCTTGGCCTCAGTGGTTACTAATTCTCACCAGTCTCAGCTGACACTTATCAAAGACTACACATAGCCACCATGTCTGCCCTGCATGCCTCAAACGCCACTGGATCGCTGGGCCATGTAGTTCAGGCAGAAGGGCAAATTCCCCATAGCCTGTATCTACTGCAGAGCCCTTTCTCCTTCTTAGCCCTACTAGAAGCTGGCAGGCTTCAGAGTCACCTGACAAATGGATCACCACCACATTCCCAAGCGTGGTATATGCTGCCTCCAAAATCAAAGAGACCCATCAATTCTGTGTCTCTTCTTGGTGGTAGGGGGGAGTGAAGTGCAAAAATCTATCCCTTAGCATGGAAGAGATATCCTGGCATGCCTCACAATTCTGAACTCTAAGAGTCTTCATATTAGGCATTTGAATCTTCATGACATTTAGGGTCTCCCACCCTTTGGCAGACATAATTTACTGAGGCATTAGGGTTCTTAATCAATTACTTCTCTCCCAGGTCCAATTAGCATAATGTCATCAACATTGTGGAGTAGCTTTATGTTCTGTGAAATGTCAAGATGACCGAGATCTCTTCAAACTATGATGTCACAGATGGGGGGCATTAACCAAGCCCTGGGTCAAGAGCGTGAATGTGTACTTCTGTCCTTCTCATGTAAATGCAAACTGCTGTTTATCCTCCTTACCAATAGGGAATTGAGGACACATTCACCAGATCAGAGGCTGTGTGTGTTCATTTCCAGTGAAGAAAACATACTGAGCACAGCAGGTGTGACTCGGGCTACTCCTGGCTAAGTGTATAGTAGTAGTCTGCCATCACCTATTATGAACCATCTGGTTTTTTAATGAACTAAACAGGTGAATTGAATGAGCAATTTTGGCAAACATGGCCTGAAAGGGCCCACCACCATCCTTTAAGGCAACAGTTCTCAAACTTTAAAGCTCATCAGAATCACCTGGAGGGCTCATTTAAAAACAGATTGCTGTGCCCCACCCCAGAGTTTTTTAATACAGTAGGCCAGGAGTGGGGCCTATGAACTCGCTTTTTTTAGAAAATTCCCAGGTGATGCTGATTCTACTGGCCCAGGAGCCATCCTTTGAAAAACCCTGCTTTAAGTCTTCATTAAAAACCCTACTCTCTTCAATTTCTTCAAAGATACAGTATTTTTTCTGATTTACTAACTTGGCTTGAGAGTTGAGAGACAGTTTCAGAAGATTTTATTTGGCCCTTTCTATCATGATGGCTCTTATTCCAAGCTCAGGAAGCCAAGGCGAGAGCTCTACCAGCTGCTAAATATACCCTTCCTAATTATACACTCAAGGACCGGGGATATAATGACCCAATAACCCAGTCTGAGCAGATGTGGGCCACGACTCCATTCATCATCTGATTTCTCTAAGCTCCTATTCTGATAAATGGATACAGATCCTTTTGGAAAAGACTTGGAGGAATATTTATTGGAAATGCTTACAGCAGAATCCTGAAGGAGACCTGGTCTCAACTTCAATCAATAAACTCTGGGTTTGTGATACGGCTTGAATCAGAAACTGGGTGAAAGATCATGACTTTCCATCATGACAACTGTTATAAGTCTTCTGCTAAGATCCTAGGTTTTGTTCATGTGTTTGTTTTTATTAATCAAGTCAAGCCACAGCTTAATCAGTTGCCCATGTATCTTTCCCTTCAATCCACAGTGATCCCATCAGGTCAAGGTACTGCTTCTCTGCCCTGATACCCATCACAGAAATCACACCCCCTCACCTCTGATGGCAAAGTGCTGTCACCCGGCCCCTGCTATTCTAGAACTGTACTGTCACCAATGACACGAAGGAGCCAGCGCCACGGCAGCATCCTCTGCCGTTTATCCACCTGGCCAAGGACAGCCATCACAGAGGTTCTCAGAGAATCTGGTGGCCCCCTCACAAATGCATCTTTATTTTCTTAATGAAGGGAATGTCCTCTGGGGCCTCTTAGGGGACCCTGTCAGGTGGTGAACTCTTCATGTTACATAATAACTATTTTAATATACCCATCCTTTCTGGGCCTTCTGATCCCTTCCTCAATATTTTGCCCAGGCAATTTCCTATGTCGCCACCTAACTTACTACAAGTCATTGTCATGTCGAGTTTCAAGGTGCCTCTCATCAGCAATTTGAATTACTCCAGTTGTTCTTTCTAGGATGTTAAATTCTGAGTCATGGGAGAGGGCCCCCATGTCAATAAATTTTCCCCAGTTTAGCCAGCATATATCCAAGTCCAGCAATTTTTTTATTAGTGGGCAAAAAAAATCATATGGGTGTTTGTGAACTTATTAATTCATTAGGAAGCATGGCCATAGAGGAGAAACACTTGACAACTAAGTGGACAGGATCACTCATTCATGAGGGTCAGCCAGAGCCTCTTGTGAGCTCCTGGAAAGCTTGTGCAATAGGCGTGTGAAATGGAGGGACTGTGGTGGTGAAAAGAGAGTTAGTCATGGGCCCAAGGGCAAGGGCTTTACCTCACCAAACTATCTAGATAGTGTCCCTGATGAACGTCTGGCCCCCCAGGCACAGAAATCTTGACAGAACACCAGACCTCAAGGAGACCAGCCATTTGGTAGGAAGTTGATTACATTGAATCCTTCCATCTGAAAGGGGCAGCTATGCATCCTATTCTGAAGATGCATTTGCCTTCTCTGCCCACATTGCTTCAGCCAGCACCAGCATTCAAGGGTTTGCCAAGTTATATTTCTATAGCTATGAGTTTATCTTAGACCTAAAGACCCTGTTTTGGCTGAAGAGAAGAGACAGCAAGCTCATAACCATGGAATCTACCTGTCTTATTGCATCGCCTCAAAGCAGACAGCCTAAGGAATGATGAAATTGATTATTAAAGGCTCAGCTAAGGTACCACTTTGGGGACCACTTACTGCAGAGTTGGAGTACTGTCCTCCAAGATGTAGTATTAGCAAGGAACCAACAGTTAATATACTGCGTTGGGTCCCCAGTGGCTAGAATGTGCAGATCTGGGAGCCAAGGGATAGAGGCTAAAATAAACTTTTCTAATCATCACTTTCCTTTATGAAATCTGTGCTTCCTGTCCTCACAATCCCAGGCTCTGCCAGATTAGAAGCCGTGGTTCCCAGGGTCAGAGTGGAGAATGCCTCAAACAGAGGGCACAGTATGGGTTTTGCCTAATTTGAAGCTACAACCATCACCTGGTTACTTTGGACTCCTCATGCTGGCCGACAAGCAAGCAGAGAAAGCAGGTGCTATACCAGTGAGAGTGTTCAACCCTGACTACCATAAAGAGCTATACTTGCTGTTATACAGTGAGGCAAGGAAGAGTATGCCTGGAATTTAGGGGATTCACTGGGGAATCTCTTTTTATTGCCTGTTGATTGAACAACAGTCTACAAACGGCAAGGCAACTAAGGGCTCACCACTTCAGGGATGAAAGTTTTGGTCACTCCACCAGGCAAGCTACCCAGAAAAGCTGAAGTGCTGGCCAAAAGCAATGAAAATCTAGAATGAGTGATGAAGGAGGGAAAGGATGAATACCAATTACAGCTTTAAGACTAGTTGCAGCAGTGGGAACTACCATTAATTCCACTAATCCTCCTCTACTCTGTATTTGAAAGAAAATATGTCTGGCCACTAATGTGAAGATTCAGCAACAAATTGGGCTTAATGGAGGACATAAGTAGATCTGAGTGGCACAATGGTGGGCCATATCGCATACCCCTCGCTACCACTTCACATCCACTCGGCCTCAATGCATTGGCCTCACCTCCTGTCTGTGCTGTGGGTCTTTTACTTCTTGTGCTTGAATTTCTCTGACAAGGTGTGAAATGCCTTAGGGACCCACTCAGATCTGCATATGTGCAACTTGAGGTTTGAGGAAGGTAACACCCCCCAGAGACAACCTTCAAGCAGTGGTTAAATGGTAACAGATTCATTTTTTTGTCCTCCTGATCCAATGATGTACAACTGTGACAAGTAGTCTATGCTCCATAAAAAGTCCCAGTGGGATGGAACTTTAGTTCTTGCCATGGTGACCAGCAGGATAATGCATCTTTATTTTAGCTTTATCTAATTACATATTTTAATTTCATTTGTTCCCCACTTCTGCTCCCTGGAAACATTTTCCAAATAAACTACCTGTTTGCAAGCCCTCAACTCAAGGCAGGTGTCAGCAGCACATAAGCAGCATGTTTAATCAGGGAGTGTAAGAAGAAAAGAAGGACAAGGATAGAATTCCTGAGACCCACCAATTATAACAGTGGAGTGGAGGAATAAAAGCAGGTGAAAAAGTAGCCAGAGAAATAAAAGGAAAATCAAGAGAGACATTTCCCAGAAGCCAAGGGAGGAGACAGAGTCACGAAAGAGAAAATGCACAGTGAACCCCATTAATTATCAAAGAGAAACCAAATAAGACAGGGCTGGAGAAAAAAGTACTGGTCCTTGCTGAACTTGTTGCAAGCAAAGCCCATGAAGTGATGGAGGAAGAACTCAGATTACAGTTAGCAAAGCACTTAATGGGAGATGAGGAAAAATAGATAGAGAGCAGATTATCTTTTAAAAACATTAATTAGAAATGAGATGCATAGAGTAGTAGGAGGGAAAGAGGAACTTGGAGTTAAAATAGAAATTTGATTTTTTCTTTCTTTTTCCTTTTTTTTGAGGCAGGGTCTTGCTCTGTCACCCAGGTTGGAGTGCAGTGGCATAATCACAGTTCACTGCAGCCTCAATCTCCTGGGCTCGAGCAATCCTCCCACCTCAGCCTCCCAAGTAGCTGGGACCACAGGTGCATGCCACCATGCCCAGCTAATATATTTTATTATTATTTGTAGAAACGAAGTCTCACTATGTTGCCCAGGCTGGTCTTGAACTCCTGGACTCGAATGATCCTCCCACCTCAGCATCCAAAGTGCTGAGATTACAGGTGTGAGCCATGGTGCTTGGCCTTGATTTTGCCTTAAAAAGAAGAAAGTTGGTCATGTCTATACACTGATGTGAGGGTCAACAGAGGGAGAGAGACAAGGTAGAACAGAGCTAGTGAGTGGTTGATGTGGTATGGACACTGTGTCTAGACTGTGGGAAGGGAATGAGGCCTAGGGTATAAACGGAGGGAGATCTTTGGATAAGAGGGGGTGTACTTCATCCACTGGTGAGAAAAACGTAAAGAGGAGGACACAGGTATGTTTCTAGGTGAAGGAAGCAAGAAATGGGCCAGTAGCTCAGAACACCCAGATATAACATATGAAAGTCAGAGAGAAGGCGGCTGAGGATGGGATCCCAAGGAACACCAGCATGCAAGATATAGCAGAGGAAGAGGCACCAATAAAAGGGACTGGGAAGAAGCCTAGAGAGGCAGCAGAAAAACTGGCCCAATCCTTTAGAAGCCAGGAAGTTTGTAAGCACGCATGCTCCATAGAATTGAATGAGAATTGTTAGCACTGGAAGAGGGAAAGAAAAACAAACTGGATAGAAGGTTACTAAGACCTTCACAAAAAGCCAGATGGGTTAAGGGGTGTCCTACTTCTCAGAGGCAGCACTGGCCCACCACCCCTTCCGGGAATGCTTTCTCTCCTTATTTCAGGGCAGCACTTTCTTCTCGGCCATCCCTCAGCTCAATGATTGCTCTTCCTTTTCCTCTTCCCTTGCTCTTCTTCCTCATCTCACACCACAAATGTCTGTTTCCCAGGATGATATTTTCAGTCCTTCCTTCTCCTTATGATACACACTCTTTTTATGAGACCTCACCTACACCCATGGACTAACTCTGAATACCAAATACCAGCCCAGATCCCCTCTCAACTGCAGACCCATGCACCCAAATGCCTGCCAGACATCCCCATCTCAGGGGAAGAGGAATGGAGAATTAACAAATGTATATATTAAAAAGGGATAAAATTCTAGACAGTGATAAGGCTTTGAACAAAAAGAAAAAAGCGATGGAGAGAATGAAGTTGATAGTTTAGATAATGTGCTTGGCTGCATGAATCATCTGAATCATGAGGGATGAACCTTGGGCAGCTGTATGGGAAGGAACATTTTAGGAACTGCCTAAGTCGAAGCCTACAGGCTGAACAAAGCTTCGTGAATTCAAGAGACAGAAAGGAGGCCAGAGTAGCCAGAGCCCAGGGAGAAGGTGGAGAGAGGAGTGAGGAGTAGCCAGAGAGTGGGACAGGGGCCAAGTCATCCTAGCCTTGCTAGAAACTCGCATTTTATTACATGTATTAATAAGCCATTGGAGGATTTCAAACATAGGGCTGTTACAATCTGATGTGTGTTTTTAAAAGATGACTCTTGCTGCCATGTGAAGAATGAAGTGGCCAGGCCAAGGCCCAGTAAGGCATCAGTGCAGTCATCCAGGGCAGGGTGCCAGAGCTTGGCAGCAATGGAGGAAAAGAAAAGTGCCATGCAAGCAAAATGCCAGGGCTTGCGGCAGGATGGATGTGAGGGTTGAAGAAAACGGGATCAAGCTCCCTGGGTTTATCAGTGGGGCAGGTGAAGTAGGACCATTTAATATGATGGGGAAGACTGAGGGAGGACCAGGTTTGGGAGAATAATGAATTTCGTTCTGGTTAGTGGCAATAGTGTTGGTGGTGGTAGTGGTAGAAGCAGAAGAAAACAAGAATAATGTACAGGAAAACTTCATTGCTTCCATGGAGTCTTTAGGGAGATAAATTATTTAAAATCATGTTTCATCAGCACCATAAGAAAGGGAAAAACAAGAAGAAAATCATGTTTCAATTTAGAGTATATTTATGGAGTTATTGAGGAAAACGTTTTGTTTTGATTCCTAATAGTATAACTGAAATGGAGCATAAGAGACGGGAGTTAGCTTGTATATTGAACAAGGTCATCAAAACCTTGTCATCGTTACTATCTTCCCAATCACTGATTTGTTTTTAAATTGCTCCATCCTAAGTTGTTACATCACTGTCCAATAGAGCAGCAACAAGCCTCACAGGCTACTAGGCACTTGAAATGCAACTAGGCTACATTGAGATGTGCTGAAAGTATAAAATACCCATCAGGTTTGAAGACTTAAAGGACAAAAGAACAGAAACTATATCATTAACATGTTTCATATCGATTATATTTTAAACAATTTTAAAATATAATGAGTTAAATAAAATATTAAAATTAATTGCACCTGTTTATTTTTACTTTTAGAATATAGTTACTAGCAAATTTAAAATTATGTGTGTGGCTTTCTTTTTGTTTCTATAGGATAGCACTGCTGAATATGCTGAAATTATTTAAAAGAATAGTGTGTTGCTTTCAAACTATTCTTATTATACTCCCATGGAATTTACTAATACCTCACCTAAGTTTTGTTTTGATCAATAAAATTCCAGAATGTAGAAGGAGTACATGGATACAAAATTATTGATTTTTTAACCCGTAGAAGATGTATAGAAGGTTGGAATTTGCATAATTTTTATAGGCATGCCACTTGAGTTTGTGCTCTGATACACATAACATAAAACCTATATAATGATGAATCAACCAAATGAGGGTTTATTTTTCTGCAGTGACAAGTGCAGAGTTGCTGGTCTTAGTTCAGCAGCTCCAGGATGCAGGGATGAAGCCTCTGTGAGTCTCTGGGGCTTTGACTTAACATTCCCCAGAAGGTGGCTGCAGCTCCAGCTATCACACATCACCTGACTTTGTTCCTCATTGAAAAAGTTCTCCCAGAAGTTTTACCAAATGACTTCCCTTCACAGCTCATTGGCTTAGAAAAATGTCATATGAAGGCTAAGAAATGTAAGTTTCTAGTTAGGCAAACAGAAATCCTACCACAAGGGCTGGAAATAATCCATTATCCTGCCAAAGCTGTGTCACACTGAGAAATACTCATTGACTGATTAAAATTTTTTTTAACTTTTATTTTGGAATAGGGTTCCATGCGCAGGATTGTTACTAGGTAAACTGTGTGTCACGGGGGGGTTGGGGTACAGATTATTTAGTCACCCAGGTAATTAGCATAGTACCCGACAGATTTTTTTTATCCTCTCCCTCCTTCCACCCTCTATCCTCAAGTAGGCCTCCGTGTCTGTTGTTACCCTCTTTGTGTCCATGTGTTCTTGTTCTTTAGTTCCCATTTATAAGTGAGAACATACTGTATTTGGTTTTCTGTTTCTGTGTTAGTTTGCTTAATATAATGGTCTCCAGCTCCATTTGTGTTACTACAAAGGGCATGATCTCATTCATTTTAATGACTGCATAGTATTCCATGTTGTATATGTACCACCTTTTCTTTATCCAGTCTACTGTTGATGGACATTTAGGTTGATTTCATGTCTTTGCTATTGGGAATAGTGATACAATAAATATATATGTGCACGTGTCTTTATGGTAGAACCAATCGTATTCCCTTCTGAGCTGAATGGTAATTCTGTTTTAAGTTCTTAGAGAAATCACCAGACTGCTTTCCACAATGGCTGAAATAATTTACACTCCCACCAGCAGTATATAAGTGTTCCCTTTTCTCTGCAACCTTGTCAGCATCTGTTATTTTTTGACTTTTTAATAATGACCATTTTGACTGGTGTGAGTTATCTCATTGTGATGCAAATTTTGATTTGCATTTCTCTAATGATTAGTGATGTTGAGCATTTTTTTCATATGATTGTGGTTGCATATATGCCTTCTTTTGAGAAGTGTCTGTTCACGTCCTCTGCTCACTTTTTTTTTTGTAGCCCCAGTTCATATTCTGAGAACTGTATGACTTCAATCAATTTATTTCATCATCTTACATTTAAAATTTATATCATGGAAAGGAAAATTAAAATCAAAATACTCTTAGGGAAATAACTGAGAGAAAAGACATTAAAACAATTGACAATTTATCTGAAAATGTAATATTTGGAAAGGTAATATATTCCTGCTACATGTTCATGAATATCAGTCAAGATCTAAATAAAAGTTTTATAGCTATGAGTTTCTCCTCTAAATATCTTTTCCAAAAATAATGTAGAATTCATTCATGGTATCTCTATTTTAAAATTAATAATCATCCTCTTCCCCAACCTCTATTTTCACTCTGTCTTCTTCTCTGCTAGTAATAAAGTTTGAAATTGAGAAACCAATACAATGAAAATGTACTTAAGTCTCCAGCTTCTGGAAAGCAAAATTATTTTACTACATTTGTTGTAATACTTAGGGTGAGACAATTTCACCATTCATGGTTCATATTTCTGGTCCAAACTTCTTCCTAAAAATTTGGTCTGTTCATGTCCTCTGCCCACTTTTAATGAGGTTGTTTGTTTTTTTTCTTGCAAATTTAAGTTCCTTAGAGACACTGGGTATTAAACCTTGTAGGAGGCATAGTTTGCAAAGATTTTACCCCATTCTGTATGTTGTCTGTTTACCCTGTTGATAGTTTATTTTGCTGTGCAGAAGCTGTTTAGTTTAATTAGGTCCCATTTGTCAACTTTTGCTTTTGTTGCAGTTGCTTTTGGTGTCTTCATCATGAAATCGTTGCCAGTTTCTATGGTGTTGAATGGTGTTGCCTAGGTTTTCTTCCAGGATTTTTATAGTTTTAGGATTTATATTTAAGTCTTTAATCCAACTTGAGTTGATTTTTGAATATGGTGTAAGTGAGATGTCTAGTTTCAATCTTCTGCATATAGCTAGCCAGTTATCCCAGCACCATTTATTGAATACAATGTGCTTTTCTTGTTGCTTTTTTTTTTTTTTTTTTTTTTTGAGACGGAGTCTCGCTCTGTCGCCCAGGCTGGAGTGCAGTGGCGGGATCTCGGCTCACTGCAAGCTCCGCCTCCCGGGTTCACGCCATTCTCCTGCCTCAGCCTCCCAAGTAGCTGGGACTACAGGCGCCCGCCACTACGCCCGGCTAATTTTTTGTATTTTTAGTAGAGACGGGGTTTCACCTTGTTAGCCAGGATGGTCTCGATCTCCTGACCTCGTGATCCGCCCGCCTCGGCCTCCCAAAGTGCTGGGATTACAGGCGTGAGCCACCGCGCCCGGCCCTTGTTGCTTTTTTTTGCCAGTTTTGTCGAAGATCAGATGGTTGTAGGTGTGCAGCATTATTTCTGGGCTCTCTATTCTGTTTCTGTTTTTGTACTAGTACCATGCTATTTTCGTTAGTATAGCCTTGTAGTATAGTTTGAAGCCTAGAAATGCGATTCCTCAGCTTTGTTCTTTTTGCTTAGGATTACCTTGGTAATTTGGGCTCTTTTTGGTCCCATATGAATCTTAAAATAGTTTTTTTTCCTAATTCTGTGAATTATTTTATTAGTAGTTTGATAGGAATAGCATTAAATCTATAAATTGTTTTGGGAAGTATGGCCATTTTAACGATATTGATTCTTACTATTCATGAGCATGGAATGTTGTTCTATTCGTGTCATCTCTAATTTCTTTGAGCAGTGTTTTGTAATTCTCATCACAGAGACCTTTCACCTCTCTGGTTAGCTGTATTCCTATGGGTTTTATTCTTTTTGTGGCAATTATAAGTGAGATTGCATTCCTGATTTGACTCTCAGCTTGGATGTTGTTGGTGTATAGGAATGCTGCTGATTTTCGTATGTTGATTTTGTATCCTAAAACTTTGCTGGAGTTGTTTATGAGATTGAGGAGCTTTTGGGCAGAGACTCTGAGGTTTTCTAGGTGTAGAATCATGTTGTCTGCAAACAGGGATAGTTTGACTTCCTGTCTTCCTATTTGTATGCCTTTTACTTCTTTCTCTTGCCTAATTGCTGTGGCCAGGACTTCCAGCACTATGTTGAATAGGAGTGGAAAGAGAAGGCATCCTTGTTATGTTCTGGTTTTCGAGAGGAATGCTTCCAAATTTTGACCATTCAATATGATGGTGGCTGTGGGTGTGTCATGGGTGGCCCTTATTATTTTGAAGTACGTTCCTTCAATGCCTAGTTTGTTGATGGTTTTTAACATGAAGATATGTTTAATTTTATCAAAAGCCTTTTCTGCATGTATTGAGATAATCATGTGGGTTTTGTTTTTAGTTCTGTTTATGTGATGAATCACATTTATTGATTTGCATATGTTGAACCAATCTTGCATCCCAGGGATGAAGCCTACTTAATCATTGTGAAATAGCTTTTTGATGTGCTGCCAGATTCAGTTCGCAAGTATTTGGTTGAGGATTTTTGCATCTATGTTCATCAAGGATCTTGGCCTGAAGTTTTCTGTTTTTGTATGTTTCTGCCAGGTTTTTGTATCAAGATGATGCTGGCCTCATACAATGAGTGAGAGAGGAGTCCCTCCACCTCAATTTTTTGGAATCGTTTCAGTGGAGTTAGTACCACTTCTTCCTTATATAGCTGGTAGAATCAGCTATGAATCTGTCTGGTCCTGGGTTTTTTTTGGTTGATACGCTTTTTATTACTGATTCAATTTTGGAACTCATTATTGGTCTGTTTAGTGATTCAATTTCTTCCTGGTTTAGTCTTTAGAGGGTATATGTGTCCAGAAATTTATTCATTTCTTCTAGGTTTTCTAGTTTGTATGCATAGAGGTGTTCATAGTAGTGTCTGAGGGCTTTCTGTATTTCTGTATGGTAGATGGTAATGCCCCCTTTGTCATTTCTGATTGTGTTTAGTTGGATTTTCTTTTTTTCTTTATTAGGCTAGCTAGTGGTCTATTTTATTAATTTTTTCGAAAAGCTAATTCCTGAATTCAGTCATCTTTTGTAGGATTTTATGTGACTCAATTTCCTTCTGTTCAGTTCTAATTTTGGTTATTTCTTGTCTTCTGCTTGCTTTGGGGTTGGTTTGCTCTTGTTTCTCTACTTCAACGGGTGATGTTAGGTTGTTAAATTGAGATCTTTCTAACTTTTTGATATGGGTGTGTAGTGCTATAATCTTCCCTCTTAACATTGCCTTAGCTGTGTCCCAGAGATTCTGGTATGTTCTATCTTTGTTCTCATTAGTTTCAAAGAACTTCTTGATTCTACTTTAATTATATTATTTACCCAAAGGTCATTTGGGAACAGGTTAATTTCCACGTAATTGTTTGGTTTTGAGCAATTTTCTTAGTCTTGCTTTCTAATTGTATTTTACTGTGGCCCAAGAGAGTGGTTGCTATGATTTCTGTTCCTTTTTTTTGCTGAGGATTGTTTTATTTCTGATTGTGTGGTCAATTTTAGAATATGTGCCATGTGGCAATGAGAAGAATGTATAGCCTGTTGTTTGGGGCTGGAGAGTTCTGTAGATGTCTATGAGGTACATATGATCCAGTGCTGAATTAAGGTCCTGAATATCTTTGTTAATTTTCTGCCTCAATGATCTGTCTAATACTGTCAGTGGGGTGTTAAAGTCTCCCACTATTATTGTGTGGGACTCTAAGTCTCTTTGAAGGTCTATAAGAACTGCTTTATGAATCTGGATGCTCCTGTGTTGGGTGCATATATATTTAGGATAGTTAGGAATTGAATCCACAAGATTCGATTCTTGTGGAATTGAATCTTTTACTATTACGTAATGTCCTTCTTTGTCTTTTTTTATCTTTGTCGGTTTAAAGTCTGCTTTATCTAAAATTAGGATAGCAATACTGCTTTTTTTCTGTTTTCCATTTGCTTGGTAGATTTTTCTCCATCCTTTTATTTTGAGCCTATTTGTGTCATTGAGCCTAGGTGAGAGGGTTCTCTTGAAGATAGCATACCACTGAGTCTTGCTTCTTTGTTTAGCTTGCCAATCTGTGCCTTTTAATTGGGGCATTTAGCCCATTAATGTTCAAGGTTAATATTAATATGTGTGAATTTGATCCTGTCATCATGCTGTTAGCTGGTTATTATGCAGACTTGTTTGTGTGGTTGCTTTATAGTGTCACTGGTCTGTGTACTTCAGTGGGTTTTTGTAGTGGCTGGTAATGATCTTTCCCTATCATATTTAGTGCACCTTTTAGGACCTCCTGTAAGGCAGGTCTGGTGATAATGCATTTTCTCAGCATTTGCTTGTCTGAAAAGGATTTTTATTTCTCTCTCACTTATGAAGATTGGTTTGGCTGGATATGAAATTCTTGGTTGAAAATTATTTTCTTTAACAATGTTGAATACAGGCCCCCATTCTCTTCTGGTTTGTAGGCTTCCTGCTGAAAGGTCTGCTGTTAGCCTGATGGGGTTCCCTGTGCAGGTGACCTGTGCCTTTTCTCTAGCTGCCTGTAATATTTTTCTTTCATTTTGACCTTGGAGAATCTGATGATTATGTGTCTTGGGGATGGTCTTCTTGTGTAGTATCTTTCTGGGGTTCTCTGTAGTTCCTGAATTTGAATGTTGGCTTCTTTAGCAAGATTGGGGAAGTTTTCATAGATGATATCCTGAAGGCTTATTGGCACTCTTATTCCATCACTCCCCGTTTTCCTGTGTGCAGAGCTGACTATGTTGAGGAAAAAGAATCCAGATCATAAAACATTTGTTCTACCAGATTCCAACCACTACTGTGTTAATATCTCTTAAACCTGCCAGGTAGATTTGCTTCCAATAATACTCCTTTCATCAGATAATTCTTTCAAAGTAAAATTATAATGTGTTTTTAAAGGTACACTATAGCCATATGTATTTGCAACTTCACTGGAGATGAAATGCTTCACCTAATGCCAAGAGAATATCAGGTCACTTTCACTCAAAAATATCTTCCAACCTCTTACAACATGGCTCTCTGTTATGCACTCAAGATTACAAATGGAAAATAGAGCCTTGCCCTCAGAGAACCCATAGGCTAGTGAGAAGGGTCAGGAGGAACAGACATATAACATGCACAAATATTTGACATAATATTTAGCACGCTTATTGCAATAAATTTTGAAGTTCTAACTATCATTGGGTTGGTTTCAGGGAGCAAAAAGAGCTTATCATATACATAGTTATATGTCCTTGACAATAATATATAACACATTGCAGTGTACTTGGTGTGCATGGGCATTTCACTGCAGGTAGTGCACACATTGCCACATTTGCTCCTCACAATCACCTTTGAGATAGGGGCAGGTATTATGCCCATTTTAAAGATGAGAAGACTAAGACTCTCTGGTACCTTGTATTGCTCCTTTCCAGCCCTTTTCACAATCATGACGAAATACATAATTGCATGATTATGTACTCACCATCCATTCTCCCTGCTAGAGAGTTAGCTCCATGAGGGCTGAAGCCACATCTGCCTCATTCTCCACTGTGCCTCAGGCCTGGCTCAGTGCCAGGCATGGAGTGGACACTAACATTTTTCTGTCCAGTGTATGTATTAATAATTAGATCTAACACACAAATGTGTTTCATGGACCATTCCAACACTATTTTATTGATAAAGCCTGCCTGCAGAGCTAGGTTGAGACTATTTCTGGGGCTGCAACCAGATGAAACTAGGAAAAGGACTGTGATTTATCAGTGAAGTCTGTTTGAGGCATGAGAGCAGGAAATCATAGCACACCTGCTCTAGAGTTTCCAGCTCTGAATTAGATTTCATGAATTCAGTCATGAAGCTCATATATTATGCTGCTTCTATATTAATCGTACCAAGTGCCCAGTACTAAACAACGAGTAAATAAACACTTGCTTCAGTTAACTGACTTTATCAGGTGGCTAATGGTCAGGCACCAAAAGCTAGTTTGGTTCAATAAAGCTCATCCTCCAAATGTGCCCATCCAAAGTATTAAAAAATCCTCTGATAGTGTCTCATTGCCACCAAACTATTCGAATAGCCAATCTGGAATTTATAGATGGGACTCGTGGACCCCCCAAAAGTCTCAGACAAAATTGATCAAATTCTGCATCAGCCTGGCAAGAGGCATTTGCCAACTTTTCATTTATTTCTTCATCTTCAAATGGAAACAAAGCTGTCTTCCAGCCTCCTGAAATGTTGTGAAGAATAAGTAATAAACAAGTATTTGTAAAGCAGTTGACACAAGCTGAAGAGCTCGCTGGCCGTGAGCAAGTGAGAATTCATAAATCCCATTCCCATCAGTCCATTCATCTTGGCTTCTCCCTGTCCATTTACTTACTATCATTTATTTTTAATCAGAAAATACGTTACTTCAGCTCAGAGGGTTTTTTAAAGATCTCATAGAAAATCTGACCAAAAGAGATCAGGTGTGGGCTATGAAAAATGCATTTACTGCCAGCTGACTTGGCATCCAAATTACTCAAGCCCAAGCTATTTTCACTTATCCTTGGCTCCTCACTTGCTACCTGTATTCAATCAAGGCATTTGAGAGCAAGTTGATGATATTCTTTCCCTTCAAGGCCTTGTATATGGTTGCAGTCAGCCCCTTGCACCCAAGAAGGAAGAAAAATGACACAAAGGAAAAAAAAAAAGCAAATCAATAAATGAAATGAAAAGACAGAGCTCATAAGCTTGGGTATATGAGTGCCCCCACGTGCATTGACACATATGTCTTTACATGGCTGTTCTTGCTTACCTGAGCCACTGTGGACACTCGCAAGGATGGTTTATATGTTGATTGTGTCTGGGTTAGTGCCTGGTGTTGAGTAAGCATTCAATAAACTATTGTTGGCAAGTGGAATTTGTTTCAAATGAAACAGCAGTTAAAACTAGATCTTTACCTAGAACTGACACATTCTAAAATAGTGACTATTTTATATGAATCCTTAGCATTTCTGTTAGTTTACAAACAGAAAAATCCTCTGCCCCCAACCCCTTACCCTACGACCTGTCATAAAAGGTTTGTTAATTGTTAATTTCCCAGTAGGCACTGAGAAGGTCCAAAGAGGCAAAGGAAAGGTAAAGCTTTGAATGCCACGAGAAAGGGGTTGGACTTTACTCTGTATCCCCTGAGGAGCCATCAGAATGTTTTGAACGTGAAAAATAAAATGATTGGATCTATGATGAATGAAAATTTTACTGATGATATGGAGGATGAATTAGAGAGAAGAAGCTGGACTTAGGGACACTCATTAGAAAGGAGGTTGATGGCAGTAGTTAAGGAATGTGGCTGAAGTTAGGTGAGCAGAGCAGAGGAGATGGTGAGGATGGGGTCAAGAGACCAGCATGGTTGATGAATACATAGATACGGTAGACAATCAAGATAGAAACTAAAGAATAAGAAGAACGACTGGCATGCAGCAGGAAGAGGCAGGAGGGCTGGCAAATGCTGGCAACATGAGGGAATCAATGGGCAAATCACTTTTTATGTAAGAACAACCCAAATGGTAACCTTGCATTCTCCCATAGTATAAAATTAAACTTCTACTTTGAATCAATAGCACATCTTAAATTTTATCACGTGCTGGAGGAAGCATGAATACACAGGTAGACGAAGCAAACTGCAACTGCACATTCCGATTTGATCCATAGCCCAAACACAGACCTGATGAAATTTTTTAGGCACTGGCTACCTTGGTTAACCAGAGCCAAGGAGCAGGAACCCTCAACTTGGGTACACAGGAGAATTTGTAACAGGGCAAGAAAATCTGCTGTCAGTGAAGTGCCTTATGAAGCAATTTCATGGCATATCCAGCATATCCTACAGTTGGTTCAAAGAGCAGAGAAAAGGAGAAGCTAATACTTATCTTAAAATGTTAATCCATTTATTTTCACATAGGACCCATCATAGAATTCATTATGATTCAAATTGAATTTTCTCCTAAAATAATTAACCATGTATATTAAAAAATTTATTGAATTTTCAATTATTATCTTGTCAATTTGAAATTCTATTTTTGTCATTTGTGCAATTTTGTATAATTAGCTTATATCTCTACTTTGTTCTATATCATTATACTATATTAATGATTCTGGTCTTAAAAGTAATAACCAAGAAGGAAATAGAAACCTCTCTTGACTCTGGGTAAATAAAATGAGAAATCTCAATCTCTCTTTTAAGTACAGTGACCAGTTTCTACGTGCCTGCCAGAAAGCTTAAGAGTTAGGGGGAAAAATGCATTTTAATATGAATATGTTTCTACAGCACCTTCAATAGATGTTTCAAGCAAACTGTCACTGACTTAGCAACAATATTTTCTTGAATAAAAAGAATATTTCTATGTCAATAGATTTAATATTTTATTTTTCTGTGGAAGATCCTAAATCTATTTTGTTATTTAGTTGGCATAAATGCTTTTGAAATATTATTTGGATAATCGCATAAGTTAAAATAGAAAGTTAGTATGAAAATTCATAATTAACTGAAAATTGTATCAGCTGGGGTAAAAGCATTATCAATAACCTTATGAAGAATTTTTTAAGGTTGCACTATGCTAAAAGAAAAAGGAAGATAGAGAGAGAGAAAGGGCGGGAGGGAGGGAAGAAGGAAGGAAGGAAGGGGAGGGAGGGAGGGAGGGAAAGGAAGGGAAGGAAGGAGAAAGAAAGACTATACAAGCTTAAATTGTCCTGAGGTATTAAGGTGAATAATTCACTTGTTCATCTTACTATTGCATTAATCTCTATAATAAAATTATTCCTAACAGTTTATTTTCTAAATATCCAAATTCAAAATGATTTATTCTGGATTTTTTAACTTTATTTTCTATAAATATCTTACAATAGACTCCCTTTGTTCCAGACTATTTTTTCAAGGATGTCTGTATAGTGAACACCTTTGGAAGATAGAAAGGAAGTTTTTCTCCAGAGGACAGAACAAGTTTGGTTACTGCTGGCATAATACAATGTCTCTCTTTCTCTGGGGAAAAGTTCAGGCAGGTTTATATACTGTGTATAATACAAGAGCTGGATTCCCTAGGTTCAGGTCTCCTCATCTGTGTTTGTCCTTAGGGAACCCAGCTCACTATATGCATAGTGAGCCTGTGGACTCCTCCACATTGGCCATGCGGGTCTTGGCAGCACTTGCCCACGAGGGACTTGGCAACATAAACTTCATACTGTTTGCAATGTGGTGAATTAAAAAATTATTTGTCTCTGACCCAGGAGTCTCATGTCTTCTGCTACTTTTCTGAAACTGTGGCAGGCTTACTTGCTAGCTTGCAAATAAGTTAAAATCTCAGATCATGGACAGCTTTTGGCAGTAAGGATGAGATGCAGATAGAGACATGGCTTTCTAGGAGAGAAGAGATAAGGGGCTCATGGGACAGGTTAGGGGAGGTAAAAAGACATCCTGCGATATAGTTGTCATTGCTTGTACCCAAGTGGTGGATGACAGAGGAAGGAGGAATAAGGATCTCTGATTGTCCTACCTGTAAATGAATGATATAGGCTGAGTGACAAGAGGTAACACTGAAACAAGCTATCTGAGTGATACTATGGTTGTTTCTTACTCTCCTTTGGGCAAAAGGAAGAAGGAATGTTTTCATGACAATGGGGCAGCAAGCCCCAGACCTGAGCAAAAAGGCAAAATGGCTGTAGCAGGGAATCAGGGAGCCTCCAAAGATGAAATAGATGGTGTCAGCAATAAGGAGAGAGGGCTTTGGGTGGGTCAAAAGCTTTGGAAGTTTGTTGGTTGATACGGTTACAGCCACCACAACACTCAAAAATTGAAGTAAGTGTGCCGTGTTTACTGGCACAAGGCAGCTCTCTCCCTCTGCACCCCCTCGCCCCTCCCTTACCCTCTACCCTGGCCTCAGCTACTTCAAGGAAAAAGATGATTGAGAGTGGGGCCAAGGTCTCCCTGTCCCCAAGAAGGACAGAAGGGCACATGCACCTATCTGAATACACTAGAGAACTTTGGGGGACTCAAACTTGCATGGCTCTGTTGGACACAAGAACCTTGGTCATCATCTTACCCTGTCCTGTGAGGCACAGGGGCTACCAAATTCATCTGACAAGGTTTGGGCAGGGCTTGTGACCTTGTGCGGAGGATCCTTTGGGATGATTCCCTCTACTGCTGTTGTAGTTTCCACCACAGAACGTAAATTTGGATTGATGTTTCCCATGCCTGTACTACTCATGCTCATAAATGCCAGATGATATTATCTGGATTGGGAAGAGCCAGATATAGAAAAGTGCTAGTACTTGTAGGGCCCCACAATCCTAATATGATGCCTTTGAGCTATAAGTCTCTGTGACTAAGAGTTTCAACAATTAGAATCTCTGCCAAAGGAAGGCAACCTCCACCTGGAAATGCCTCTTGGGGTTTAGGGAGAAATTAAACTTTTTAAAAAAATGTTAATTTTTAAAAATAATTTTTATTAATAGATAATAATTGTATGTATTTATGGGATGCATGTGATATTTTGATACATGCATACAATGTGTAATGACCAAATCAGAGCAATTAGGATATCCATCACTCAGACATTTGTCATGTCTTTGTATAGGGAACATTCGAAATCTTAGAGCTATTTTGAAATATGCAATAAGTTGTTGGTAACTGTAGTCACCCTACTCTGCTAGTGAACACTAGAACTTATTCCCTCTAACTGTATGTTTGTACCCATTAATTAACCTCTTTGTCTCACTGCCTGCCCCCACCCTGCCCCTACCATCCAACCCTTCCCAACCTCTGGTAGCTACGATTCATTCTACTTTCTACCTCCATGAGATCAACTTTTTAAAAACTTTTAATTTTGAGATAATTTTAAATTCACCACAGTTACAAGAAACAGTACAGAGAGATCTAGTGTACCCTTTACCTAGTTTTCCTTTTGGTAATAACTTGCAAAACTGTAGCACAATAACCACATCATAAACCTCTTTTTCAAAGCAGCTGTTAGCTTGCTAATGGGCTCCTCGTCAAAGTGAATGCTTGACCCATAGAGGCTTCGTGAATCTCTGACTTGATAGTCCACTTTGAGTGGGTCAACTCAGACTCAATGACTAACAAGGGAAATAGAATATTCCAAAATGCAGCTAGCTTGGCTTCAGCAACATCTAAGTTTACAATTTAAAAAGAGGCACCTATCTCTTTGGGGAAACTTTATCTTCCTCTCCACTGACTGAAGCAAAGCTGCTGGCTCAACAGGGCCCTCAATTCACAGAGATTTTCCTAAATGCCTGGGCCTTGTTCACATATGGTTCAGTTAAGCTGAAACCCAGTGGTGACCATGGGGCTGTTTAGCCTCAGCATCAGCTACATAGAACTGAAGATGGTGTAGTCACTGCTCATGGGCAAAATTCAAGCCTGTTCTCATGGAAAACACTCATCTTGATGAACCTTGCCATATTTTTACTAACTCTTGGACAGTGCCAATGGCCTAGCTGTTTGGTCTGCCACTTGGAAAACTACAAACTGGCAGATTGAAGACACCTCACACAAACAGTGGGCACAAATCACAGCTGCTGATTGAACTATCTCGGTCACTTATGTAGATCCCATGGCAAAGGCTCATTCTCTGATGAGACCAGCTGGAAGGGAGCTGCTGATGGAGCCTGTGCTGCTCATATTTCCACAAGGGCTGCCTGGATCTATCATCGCACTGGAAATGACAGCACAGCCCCCACACAGACCACAAACAGGCCACAGAGCCAAGAACTTGGTGCTTCTGGTGCAGACTTAGGGCTGCACGCCAGACTGTGACTCCCAGACTTGACCTCTTCATCTTTCAGTGAGGGAAGCCACATTGCATGAAGCGTGGCCCTGCATGTTCCTGGCAGATTGATGACAGTGGACCTTTCCTCCTGGAGCTATCAGTGGCGCCTCACTGCTGTTGACACTTTTCTAGGCTTTGGTGTTGCTGTTCCTGTCCAATCAGCTGACTCCAGTCACGAACCTTTCCAGCCTTTGAAATTAATCTGTATTATGTGTTCAGCTTTTGAGACCATTTACAATCAGACAGTGGTGCCCTTTTTATTGCAAAAGCTACTAAAAAATGGGACTGAGAATTAAGGCATCCAACTTTCCATGCTCCTACCATCCACAGGCATCTGCAATTGCTGAGCAGTGGACTAACTTCCTCAAAAGTCAACTCAAAAAGATTTTTGACTCCACTACCCTCATCTTCTCCTGGTGTACATACCTTCATAAGTCTGGTCACCAAATGCAATTGCCTCCTGAAAGAGATCATCCTTTCTCAGCCATTTCCTGGATAATGGTTAGGACAAAAAGGGTGGGAAATATAGAGACCTACTTTGGAAATCCAGGATTCTACCCTGACCATTCCTGGATATGATATGTCTTTCTTCTCCTAACAGCAATCTCAGGCCAGCCCCAAAGTGGCAACACAGCCAAGAGGGGTTCTGGGGAATTCTAAGTTAATTCTGGCTCAGTTCCTTGGATTGTCTTCCTAGACTGACATGATCAATCAGGTTGGCCTCAATTCACTTGCCAGGGTTGTTATGGATGATAGAATTTCCCTAGACTTCCTCTTTGTGTGCCAAGACAGAATCTCTGCAATCACTAATACATTTGCCCATAGCTAGATTAATGTCTTAGGCCAAATGGAAAGATTAATACAGAAACTTAAGGAGAGAGTAAATTACTTTTGTAAGGTCTATGCCGAAGGTCTCTGGGATTTGTTCAGTTGGTTGGGTCTGGGACCCTGGGGGACATGGTTAATGTCAATCCTGCAGGTTGGCCTCTTCCTGATGCTTGGAGTCCTATTGATAGTATCCTTAATTAAATGCTATCTGGGACAAATTGACTGGGTTTGGTCCCAGGCTCAGTTGTTCATATTAATCAGAGTGGTGGAAGGAAAGGCATATTCATTGGAAAATTCACCAGAAACCAAGACAGTATAGAAACAAGGGGTAGATTTTGTTGGAGACAATTCTCCATGGGTCTCTCATGTTTCTGCATGTCTGTCAGCAGGGGCATTGGCCACCTATTCAAGGATGTGAAGATAGCGAAGGGCCTTTGAAGAGACAGTGTCTCCATCCAGGGCAAGGGGCAGGTTTTCTGCACTCTAATATAATAAAGATTATATCCTCCTTGGGGCAAAGCTTGGGCAGATTTGCTTACTGTCCACTATAAAAGATTCTGGTTCTCTAACCTCAGGGCTCCTCAGCTGTGATGAAAGCCACCTAACTATCCAGCAACTTTCTGGACCCCTCTGCATTGCCCTGATGGCACTTGGAAGACCAGGGGACCAACAGAAGCATGATGTGCATGCCGCGTCTGTGTCATGAGTGACAAACTTCATGTCTCAGCCCAGGAATCTGTGATTTCTGCCAGCATCCACAAACTTTGGCAGGTTAATTTGCAATCTTGACAAAAAATTCTCAGATGATCTACAGTTTTTGACCGCAGATTTTAACATTTGCCAATGCAAGAGCCCTAGATTTTCATTTTTTCTTATTTTAAAAACTCTTCTTGTCTGTTCTCATTGGTCTACTCTTTCAAATGAATTTTAGAATCAAATTCTTCCCCTTCCCAAACTCTTTGGGATTTATACTAGAAACACATTCAATTTCTAAATCAATTTAGTAAGAATTAGTATCTTTTAATAAAGTTTTATCCCCTGGGAATATGGTATGTCTATCTCTCTGTTTAAATATTATTTTATGTTCCCTAGTGATATTTTGCCATTTTCTTTACACAGATCCTATACATTTTGTGTTAAATGTATTTATAGCTTGTGTGTTGTTTTTTTTCCTAAGGAAAATTGAATAGTTTTATATTATATTTGTTTAATTAGTTGGTGCTAGCTTAGGGGGAAAACATTTTGCACATCTATTTTATAGCAACCTCACTAAGGTCGGATAGCTCTCTAGTTGCTTAGATTGGGATTCTAGTTGCTTAGACTGGCATTATGGTTTTGTCTAGAATGTCTAGAAAATTACTAAATTAATAATAGCAGCCATCCTTATTCCTGATTTTTCATGGTCTTTTACTATTATTTATAAAATTGGTTATATGTTTGAAATAGGTTTTTTCACGTTAATAAAGCATCTTTTTGTTTTTTAAAATTATTTTAGAAGCTTTTATTCAGAATGAATCTTGAATTGTATTAAAGGTCTTCCTAGCACCTGTCTAAATCATGTCCGTAACTATAATCCATAGAATACTCTTTTGGCCAACATTAATAGATGTAGGCTTTTTAAAAAAAAGGATTACGTTGTCAAATAAGTTTAGGAAATGCTGTCTGTGGCCACTTTTAAAACTTACAATGTATATGATCATATTAAAGTTTCAGAGTAATGCTTGAGCAAAGAAATATGTTTAACTTCGTTAACCCTCAATTTCCCAAAGTTATTTAAACATGGATTAGTAAGCTATCTCAGATCTTGCCTTTCTCAAATGTCTTATTGTACATCCATATATAAATGTCAGCTCAGCACATAATGGAATTATCTTCCTACAAATTATGTTTGTTGCCCTGCCTCATGGTGCTATAGGCTGAATGTGTGTGTCCTCCGCCTCCAAATTCACATGTTGAAGCCCAATCCCCAATGTAATGGCATCTGGGGGAGGGGCTTTGGGAGTTAAATGAGGTCATGAGGATGGAGCCCTCATGAATGGAATTAGTGCCCTTATAAGAACAGGCATGAGAAAGATGGTATCTCTCTCTGCCATGTGAGCATGCAGCAAGGTGTCCGCCTGCAAACCAGGAAGAGGGCCTTCACCAGGAACTGAATTGGCCAGCACTTTGATCTTGGACTTCCCAGCCTCCGGAACTGTAATAAGTAAATTTCTATTGTTTAAGCCACCTGGTCTACGGTATTTTTGTTATAGCAGTCTGAACTAACGAAGACATATGGTACTCCATACTGGTGAGAAAGGTTCTTCTCAGCAAGCCTCATTCTTTTTCGCTTTTTGAAAACCTATTTTTTTCTTTTTAAAAAAATCCCATGGCAGCATATTAATTTTTTTTTCTACCTGGCAGCAGATCAGATTCTTTTGCCATGGCTGAAATTCAGGATTTAACCGGGATATGCCTATGTATTAGTCTCTTTTTATTAATGTTGTCTGGAACTTAGAGGGCCCTTTCAATATGATGTCTTTGAATATTCTGTTGCTCTCACCTGCTGTCTTTCAAAACTGTCAAATATTTCTATATTGCTATCTATTGTCTGTGTTCCCTTGTCATTATTTTCTTTCTGGTTACTTTTAAGTGTCTTTTCTGCTACCTTTGAGAAATGTTCCTCAAGCTTTCCCTTCACATTATGAATTTAGTTTTCTATAATCTGCTCATTATTCCATCTCATTTCATCTTTATAGCAAGGCTTTTATTTTGCATTCTTTCCCTAGCTTTGCCAGCTCTTTTCACATCTCTGTTCCTTGTCATCTTATCACCTCAGCTTCCCAGCTTGTGTCATAGACTTATGTGATGGTTAAATGGCATGTAGTACCTGGGCTTCAATATCAAAGATCTGGTATGGAGTGGAAGACACTGTGGAAAATTGGAGGGCACATCCCATCTGAAGTACCAGTCAGACCAGCCAACTGCTGCCACCGGGCCCTGATGTTGCCAGATCTGCTACTTTTCCAAGAGAATCCAGAAATACGGATTTTAAAATGTAAACTCTATTGACTTTAACACATGATAATATTCCACTTTTTAAGGAAGACTACTTGAGCCATTTCTGTGAGCCAGATGCAGCCCACAGGCCACCTGTTTGCAAATCCTAATGCTTAGGAATATAAAGCTCTGCAGAACTCTAAGCTGAAGACATCAGGTTTTAGAGAAAACAATATGAATTCAGTTTTGGACATGCTCAGTTAGAAATAAAATGGTGAAATCTCCCAGTCAGCAGTTGAAGATATGTGCCCAGAAAATGCCTTTGCCTTGTTCTGAAAATCCAACCCCACCCCCTGCCCCGCTGGGGACATCCAAAGCTCACGTCCCTGACATCTCTGATGATTTTGACACTGCTGATATCCCTCCCCTGACAGCAGCATGGTCTAGGTTCCAGGCTCTGTGCTCAATGATTTACATGCAATATCTCATTTAAACTCACACACACCAAACTTAGGACTTAACTACCATTACTATTTATGAAGAGTAAAATAAACAATAAAAGCTATTGGCCTGTTTGGCCAGGCACAGTGGCTCACGCCTATAATTCCAACATTTGGGAGGGCAGGGTGGGTGGATCACTTGAGGTCAGGAGTTTGAGACCAGCCTGGCCAACATGGTGAAACCCTGTCTCTACTAAAAATACAAAAGTTAGCCAGGCATGGTGGCATGCACCTACTGTCCCAGCTACTTGGAAGGATGAGACAGGAGAATCGCTTGAACCCAGGAGGCACAGGTTGCAGTGAGCCGAGATTGTACCACTGCACTCCACCCTGGGAAACAGAGCGAGACTCTGTCTCAGAAAAAAAAAAAAAAAAAAAAAAAAAAAAAAGCTATTAGCACGTTCAAGGTCAATTTATATTTTAGAAATGTGTGGATTAGACTGCAGAAATAGGGTTACACTAAAACACAGCTCAGAAGGCACATAGGTGCACACACACTCACACAATTCTTCAAGGACTAACAGAATGTAAATATCTGGCGTTGTTTTCATAGCAGCGCATGGTGTAGTCACCATCAAGGAAAGACAGGGAAGGCCCCAAATTGTTGAGAACACGATAACCCTCCACACAGGATGGTGATAGGAAATGGGGGTGTGGATCTTATGAACCTGGGTCAGCAGCACTGTGAGACTCCCCAGGAAAGACACTATTGGGGTACCCCGGAGATTGTAATAGAACAAAGAAAAGAGCATGTGTCTTCTGGTGTAGAAATGCCAATCTATTCAGACTCTCTTAGAACTCCTGGAAACTGCAGGTTCACTGGGGGTAGTAAACAGGCAAGTACAGAGCCCCAGTGCCTTCCCTGTTCACTAAGCAGCATCTTGACCAGAAGACAGAAAACAGCTAAGCTTCACCTCCTTTGTGTCCTGTGTGAGTGTCCTGGCCTAGGAGCAGTCAGTCTGTAGAGCCTTGTTGCTTGGACTCTCTTCTGACCCTTGTACACATCCAGGAATTTGAGGCCTATGATCCAGAAAGAGAGTCAATAATTATCAGAATAGTACACAGAAGCTCAGAGGGGAAGCTACCTGACGTCACACAGCTCATTCGTAGAGGGCTGGGATTTCAACCCCTCACTGCCTAACCTCTGCTCCTCCAAATCCCCCAGCTTCCTGAGGCTGCAGCATCCAGATCTCCATGTATCAGTCCTGTCCCATCACCTGACAAGGCAGATCCATTTGGCATTTTACAGGTACCAGCAGGTGTGGAGGGAAGTCTTATCCCAGAAGTCTCCTGAGTCTGTGCCCTGGTTCCTGCAGTGAGACGAAGCCAGATGGGTTGGGGATGGGAAGCAATATGTCCTGAATGTCAATACACTGGGAGACTCATAATGAGCCATTGTCAGGTTGCCTCCCAGGAGACTTGAAACTATAAAGAAAACAGATCCAAGAGCCCTCTAGGAAAGGAGAATGTTTAAAGGATGCAAGGCCTCCGTTTTTCTCTTTCCCTCCTGTCAAACATCATTTACTAAACTCTGATTTTTAGCAAAAGCAAGTGTTTTATACCCAAAGTCTCTTTTTTTTTTATTAAATACATCCCTGGTTCTTATATTTACAGCCTGAGATGATTTCGACATGGTATTGAAATTGTCAAGGGAAATCAGTAAAGGAGACAATGTTAGAAACAGATTGTCTGAGCTGATGGCTTGAAGAAGTTACTTCAAAGCAAAACAGCAGCAATAAAGAGGAGATGGGCAGCTGTGTGTGAGGAAGGGGAAGACAGAGGAGGAGGCATGACATTTCCTAGCAGCAGGGTGCAAACACATCACAAGGAGGTGGCAGACAGCCCACACTGAAGAATTCTGAGCTTCAGACCAGCAGACATCACCAGACTCCAGACATCAAATGAGATCATTTATGTATAAGCCCTTTGAAGATATAAAGCATTCAGAAGCTTTAAGGTGTCATAATTGTTGCTACCATTGTTACTTAATCAGTGGTGCTGGGTGTCTGTCTTTGGGAGGACACTTTCAGACCAGAGGTGGATGACAAATGTCTTTAATACACAGTTGGCCTCTTTTCTCTCTTAGTTGTCATCCCCAGCACATGAGTCAGACTGTGAGACTGAACAAGACCGAAGCTCTATATTAATGATCACTATCCATCAGGGGTACCCAGTGATTCATAGTTTGCAAAGCATTTTCACTCGCATCATCTACCATCACCCCACAGCAAGGGAGTCAAGGCTGAGATTGACCAGCCCCAAGGGCAGCCCAGCCAAGACAGCATGAGCTTCAGAGTCCTCTCCCCAAGGGCAACGACAGAATTGTCGGCCTCTCCGCTTCCACCTCGCCAAAACAAGGACTCTGCTCTCTTGGTTGCTCTGAGATAATCCATCTCTGGAAAGCAGAAGACAAAGCAGTTGAAGAGTGGGCAAGTTCATCACATCTTCGTACTTTGGAGGTCCCTTTAGCAATCAAAGAAAATGCGTGCCAGTGCCTTCTTCCTTCCTCCCACAATCTCACACACGGTCATCCTTGCATCTTAAAAACACAAAGGCCATTCCCCCTTTCTTGTTTTTATTTGTCTGCCTACCCCACTATACTGTTTGCAGCTTGAGGGGGCTTATTTACTGCAGTTAGCACAGTATCTTGCCTTAGGAAGTATTTGATAGAAGATACTGAATCAGTGAATGGTTTTTGGCATTGCTAAGTTGTTCCACTGGCCATTGGATTTCAGTATCTGGGTCCTTGATGGTTGACCTTTTCCATACTCCTATAGGGGGTACTGTTTTTGTCATTCCCACCTTTTTGGCTGAACCTGATTTTATTCTGGCATTTCCCACGCCCACACTCTTCTGTGCTTGCGGGTCAACCTCGTACCCCGCTCCAGAGATGGCTCCTGATTAGTCCAAGCTCAGTATTTCTGTTTGCATCAAAATCATCTGGCATGCACATTGAAATGCCTATGTCTGGGCCCTGTCCCTAGCAATCAGACTCACTAGGCCCGGGAAACTATATTTTATGAGCTCTGCAAGTAGTTTATTTATTTGGTCAACTTTAGGGTTCCTGGTCTAGGCTAAGTGATCCGTCAGCCCCTCAGCAGATGTCACTGGTTCAGGACAGCACCTAGCCCTTGCTGGTCTCATTAGACTGAAGGGAAATATGAATGTTCCATAGTCCAGGGAGAGGTTTTCTCTCAAACTCTCCAGCTGGATATGAACAAGGAAGAATCTACATTGTCCTTAATGCTACTGCCACCACCTTATACTCATGAGGGGAAGCAGCCTGAAGATCAAGCCACCCCCTGAGGTTAGTGGAGAGAAGAGAGAGAACCTGTGTCCTTGATGACAACAATGGGACACTGAGTCAACCTACCCTGGAGCTTCTCCTAAGTTAACCTTCTCATTGTGTGAAATAACCAATGCCCTTAGTGCATAAGCCACTGTGAGCCAAGTTTCCTATTACTTGCTAAAATCATCCTGATTAATCCAGCTCCTGGCAAGCAGCGGCTGTAGCACATCTAGATGTCCACCTAAGCAGGCAAAATCCAAATAGCAATCAAAATAGTTAATACTCACTGAGTGTTTGCCATGCCAGGCACTGTGCTGAGTGGCTTGTGTTGATTGTTCCATTATTCTTCATAGCCATCCTTGTTAGGACAAACTGCACCACTTTGTAAGCTCCCCACTATTTCACAGACCTTGGTCAAAGTGAAACATTTCATGGGGGTTCAGGCCATGAGAAACATCCTGCCCAACCACCTGACCACAAGGCGGACAAAGGCCCAACTAAAAAAACTTTTCTATCATATCTTGCTGGACAAAGGTCCAAGGAACACAACGATGACATCCTGCCAGAACAAGGGCCAGAACCACCTCATCACGGGAGCATCTTATCAATATCCTGCCAGGCAGCAAGCCATACTGCCAAGATGCCTCCCGCCCATACCTATAAGTACCCCCAGCCTGTAAGCAGTGGTGGGCTCTGGCGTTAGGCTGGTCCCCCACTTCGGTAGGTTTTATGCTGGACATAAAGCCTGCATTATCTGTTGAGTTGCCCTCTTTCTGTGTGTGTGTCTTTCTTCAACCCTCGCCTTCCCTTCAAAACCTAACTGAGGAAACTGAGGAAGGGAGCTTTTAAATAACACCCCAACCCCCACCCCTGCAAAGCAAGTAGCAAAGCCAGGATTTGGATCCAAGAGATCTGACTTCAGTGCTTAGCCTATTAACCACTGATCCAAACTGAGTTGCCGCCTGTTGAAGCCCACTTGTGTTCAAATCATTACTTTTCCAAGAACGGCAGGACTAAATTTCATCCATAGGATTTTACTGTCCAGGAAAATTTGCTGAAGTCCACCAACCTCAGTGCTAATCCATTCCAAAAGAGAGAAAATGCAGCTTCCCATTAGAAAAACATCAGCAGGGCTAGAAGGCTTGGGTGGGGGTTCAAGTCAGTCCCACAGAGCTTGAGTATGTCACGTCCAGTCCTTGGATACTAGAGGATAGAGGGGTTGGGGAAGGAGCAATTGGTGATCTTTTCTGTTCAGATCCTCATCCCGTGTAGATGGTCTATCAGTAACTAAGTAACCTCAGCTGCAATTCAGGACCCAGCTACAGATTTCAAATTCACCTACATGGATGAGCAGAAGTAGGGAATTTGAATGATAAGTAAACATGTTCCAATCACTGTAAAAGGCTCACCTCTGTCTCCCTTACTTCTTGAAGTGAATTAACTTTGAATCCATTTTAGAGGAGACCGCACTTTAAAAATTGAACAGAGATGAAACATGTATCTGTCTCCAAACAGATACCAGTATATCCAAATACCAGTCCCCAACACAAAAAGATAAAGCCAATTCAATCAGCTCGTGGAAAAAAAAAAAAAGAAAAATCAGCCAAACAGTTTTTGTTTCCCATACATTCATTACTTTTTAAAAATCCATGCAGATAACCGATCTGTGACTTTTACTTTTCAACTGGCTACTCTGGTAGCTGAAAAATGGTAGCAGATCTATTTAAAAAAAAAAAAAAGTAGCTACATCTGCTGCTAACATGCTCATAAATGTTTTACAGTTCTCAAGGTACTTTGATGTGTGATACTCTGGTTGAGCTCAGAACATTTGTGCTTCTGACACCTACTTTAGCCTGGGCACTGTTAGGCATTAAGGCTTTGCTCGCTACCCAGAGTGGTCCCTGGACCAGCAGCTTTGGTATCACCTGGGAGCTCATTAGGGAAGCAGCATCTTACCCACCCCAGACCTGCTGAATCAGACTCCGAATTTCAGCAAGATCCTCTGGTGGCTCCATTGCTCATTACAGTTTAAGAAGTAACACTGTAGAGGATAAAGTGACAAATAAGACATGTCGCTTGTCCTCAAGAAGCTAGGAAACTTGAAAAAGAGAGGATCACAGAATTGGATAATCACAATACACTGTGTTAGATGATGTGATGGAATAAAGCTCAGAGGGCCCTGGGAGCCCTAAGGAGGGTCATGCTGGCCCCTGGCAAAAAGTGATCTTAAGCTGACCCCGTGAAGTAGAAGATCACCTTTTGAGAAGGTGCAGGAGATAGTTTCCACAGACAAGAGGCCCTGCCAAATGAGTGTGCATGTCTGGGGATGTACTCCATGCCCAAAGCCTTATCAGGAAGCATTAGTGATGCTCCTCTTTAGGCACCAGCGGCGTCCCCATACCACAGATAAGGAGGGGACTTTGTGTGTCAGAATCTGGGCAGCATGGAGGGGTAGAAGTGGAAGCAGAGGCTATTTGTTTAGCAATAACTCTGTGATCCCTATTATATGCCATTATGTTTCACTTAGCTTTCACTTAATAATAATTTAGTTTGCATGTGCTTCTGGGCTAATGCTTTGTCTAGCCATAATAGAATGCAGGGACACCTAAATTACCCATAGAATAATCAAATTAAGTAAAAATGCCTCTCTCTTTGCTCACCGCATGGAAGAGGTCACTGACACCAAACAATGTCATTTCTGGTGCCCCCATAAATGACTGAAGTCAGACCTTTCTGAGCTGATGAACCCAGCCTAAGATTCCACAGGCTCTGAGTCATGGTGGTGACACAGCAACAGCTCTAAGATAGGAATTGGAAGTAGGAAAAGAGCTACCCCAGGGAGGGCCTGCAGTATGCCACGAGTGGTGCTGGCCACCTTCCCAGAAGGATTTTCTTTTGTCCTACAGTGGACCTGCCCCAGTTGACAAACAGCAAAGCAGAGGTGGGAAAGGCCTCTGCTGCTGAGGCATATCAGGCTCCAAACTCCTCCTACTCCCCGTGTGACTATTTCCCATATAAAGTACTATCTCCCAAAATACTTCATTCTTTTCTGCCATCCTTCCCACCTCCATTCCTCTCCTTCCTTCCCTCAATCTTCCATCACCCCAGACTCAGTGTCTCAGGCATTTGCCAGCAGCACTCATCACCATGATGCCTACAGGTCCTGCTGACATCCTCTTAGTGTGTGCTCCAAAATGCATTTATATCTGCATTTCTGCTTCTGATTGTTTTCTGCCTTTTAACAGCATTGATCCTAGTCTCCACTTCAGCTCTCTTCCATCATGCAACCCCCATTCCCAGTGATCAATAGGTGCTTTCACCTGTAGCATCTCATATCTTATATTCTATTTATTCCTGGCTTTCAGGACAGATGGTAAGCATCATAGAGGCTGCTGATCCAGTGATTGTAGTGATGTTGAGGCAGGATGAGAGTAGAGGGTAAATAGGCAGGGTGCTTAAACAACATAACCTGAAAAAGAAAAGCTAGCAAGAGCTTGAACTGTGAAGGAGGGAGCAAGGTTGATGGTCAAAGACAGTGCTCAACATCAAATGCAAAAAGCAAATTTGCAATATGAATGACCCAAAAAGCTTAATGTCAGAAACTGGGAGAATCCTAAGAAGTGAAGAGTAGCTTAAAGTAAGTCTCTTATATAGATCCCATGGCAAAGGCTCATTCTCTGATGAGACCAGCTGGAAGAAACCTGCTGATCTAGTCATACGTGGCTTTAAAAGCTCTTTCGTGAGGAACTGAAGGCTGAATGGCCTACCGACTGGGCAATACCATCTTTGGTTTGGAGCTTATTTTTGGTCTGTGCAATCCCTTCTTAGGTGGTTTAATCAAATCAGCAAAAGTGGAAGGCTGCCCTTCTCCCATGGGTCCTAGTGACTATTTTCTGAAACTCCTTTGGGTGTACCTGTATTGAGTTTAGTGGAACAAGGGGAAACATATTCAGACTTCACAGCTCATAGTAGGATGACCTATTTTCAGCTACAAAGTAAGGAAGAATGCCTCTCACCCTACACATGTGTACACACCCATTTGCAGAAGTTACCCAAACAACCACTGTAAAGTCAGTGGCAAGAGTAAGAACTGGTTTAGAACAAGACCAGTAAAAGAGCAGAGAGTAAATATTTTAAGCCTTGTGGGTCACTCAGTCCCTGTCACTCCTACTCAGTTCCTCCACTAGCAAAAATGCAGTCCTAAATAATACATAAATAAATGAGTGTGCTGTGTTCTAATATAATCTTATGTACAGACAATAAAATTTAAATTTCATGTAATTTTAATACATCATGAAGTATCATTATTCTTTTGCTTTTTTAAAAACAATTTCAAAATGTAAAATATATTTCCTAGCTCACAGGCCAACAAATCAGGCAAGCAGGCTAAATTTGCTCTGTGAGCTGGAGTTTAGCAACCTCTAGGTTAAGAGATCTCTGTATAAAACATAATCCTAGAATTAAAATTAATCCATTTTCCAGAATATTAGTCACCCTCATAGCTGTGGTTCTCAATCCTGTAGGCAAATCAGAATCATCTGTGGATTTAAAAAAAAAAAAAAAAAAAGTATTTAAAAAAACCTTTCCAAACCTACCCAGTTAGAGTCTCTGGGATTGGTAGGGTTATTCTATTGAACTGCTATACCATAAGTTATTAACATAAATTATTAAATCCCTTGTGATCTAATTGTGTTCTTCAGATAAGGTCTTAAATTTTTAATTGCTGAGCTACCAAGTCAAAGGGCAAAATATTTCTAAGTTTTCAGCTATGTTCATGATGGTGCTGAGTTTAGATTTTTAGAAAAAAAAAAACACATCCTCTTGCTCTAAATCAAAGCAGTAATTAATCTTAAACATAACCATACTTTTAAAAAAAGGTTAACAGGCCAATGCATGGGCATCTGCCCTGCCATCACTACCGCAGCACTCTTCACAATAACAAAGACATGGAATCAACCTAAATGCCCATCAGCAGTAGACTAGATACAGAAAATGTGGTACATATATACCATGGAATACTACACAGCCATAAAAAAGAATAAGATCATTTCTTTTGCAGGAATGTGGATAGAACTGGAGGCCATTATCCCAAGTGAACTAATGCAGGAACAGAAATCCAAATACTGCATGTTCTCACTTGTAAGTGAAAGCTAAACATTGAGTACACATGGACACAATGAAGGGAGCAATAGACACCAGGGCCTACTTGAGGGTGGAGGATGGGAGGAGAGTGAAGAGTGAAGAGTGAAATACTACATATCGGGTGCTATGCTCATTACCAGAGCATAATAATCTGTATACCAAATACAGAAATAATCTGTACACCAAACCCCCATGACATGCAATCTATCTATGTTAGAAACTTGCAAATGTACCCCTAAAATTAAAGTTAAAAATGAATTTTAAAATAAATGACAACATAGGGGACTGGCAATAAAAAACAAAGTAAACATCTCAATGAATCGGAAATAGGAGAGCAACACTTAGTCTTGGGCAGGGGTAAGACTGTGGACCTACTGGGACCCAGAGCCTTTAATAGACCTGCTATGGTTTCACTGTGTCCTCTCCAAAATTCAGGTGTTACCAATGTGATTGTATTAAGAGGAGATTAGGCCATGAAGGTGCCTCCTTCATGTTGGAATTAGGTACCTTTACAAAGGGGCTTGATGGGGGAAACTGATCCTAGCTTGCTCTTATGTTATGCTCTTCCACCTTCCACCATGTGGAGATATGACAAGAAGTTCCTCCCCAGATTCTAGTGCCTTGGTCTTGAATTCCCCAGCCTCTAGGACTGTGAGAATATAAGTTTCTGTTCTTTATAAAGTATCTAGTCTTAGGTGTTCTGTTACAGCAGCACAACATAGACTAAGACAAGATGGAAGCAGCCCATGTTCATCTTCTGCAAGACAACACAAACAAGCTCCTAACACCTGGCAGGGGATGTGTGTCAGGCCTTCCACATGAAACCAGGGACAGTGATAGGGCTGAGGTGGGGATCCCTGACTCACAAACAGCAGTTTAAAGAAGCTAGGGCCACCTCCTGGCTATTTACATTAAACTGTTGTCCAAGGTCACAGGAGGGATTACAGACACCTACACATCTAGTATGTTGGCCAGGCTACCCACTGGCTCAGTAATCTTATCTGAAATGTCCCTGTGGGATAGGAGCCTCAAGCCTCTAACCTAAGATCTAATTCTGAACTGAATGAGCCAGGGGGAGATGACTTAAAACTTCTAAACACAGAGAAATAAGAGTTGGAGAAGAAGAAGAAGAAGAAAAAAAAAAAAAAGCCAGGAATGGCTTCTCTGCACACTAGAATTACATGGCATTTGAGGACAGTGAATGCTGCAGGAGACAGACAATGAGCATAGCTTACAGAATAATTGAGTCCAGAAAGTTGTAAGACAAGAAAGTAATCATCTTCTTTAAAAAAAAAAAAAGGGACTCTAAGGAAAGGATGATCAATACTATCAAAATGCTGTAAAAGGTATAAATTTATATATTTTAAACACTGAGAAACAATCTATGTATTTGTCCAAATCACCAGGAAGAGACTTCCAACTAACATTAAACATGATAGATTGAACATACTGTTAACTTCAATTTCTTCAATCTCAAAAATAACAATGAAGTGACAAAAAGGCATAAATCAGTCTCTTAAGGCTTGAGCCTGGAAACCAGCCCAGCATCACGTTCACTGCATCCTGTTGGTGAATCAGCGACAGCACTCAGATTCAAATGGAGAACACAGACTCCACCTCTCAGTGGAAAATGTGTCACAGAATTTGGGGGTTATCTTTTAAAACTACCTCAGATATGAATGATAGAAAAAAAATGTCAACAACCATATAATAGGAGCCTGAAAAGAAAAAAAAAAAGGACAAATGAAAAGACAGAAACATTTGAAGATCTAATGACTAAAAATTTCCCCAAACTGTAAAACTATGTAAATTCTCAAATATAAATGGCTGTTAGAGTGTCAAACAGAACAGATGAGGGGCAAAAACAGACATATTGTGGTGGTGAAATTAAATAAAATACACACAAACAAAGAGGCTATCCTAGACATTTCCAGAGAGAAAAGGCATATCTCCTAAAGGAATAAGCCTCAGAATAACAAAAACCAATAATAGGTAATATTTTCATGTAAAAATAAAGAGTTTAAACCTAGAATTTTAAATGTAGAAAATAAAAAGCATCCTCAGATTTACAAAACCTCATAATGTTTATCATCCTACGACTGAAATCATCCTTAGAAAGATGTCTTAGCAGTAACAAAAATATCCGGACAATTCAACAATATCTACAAAATAAATGACTTAGTAAAATTTAATGTTGACTAAATAAACAAAAACAAAAAAAGGATACCCGTTACATTTCAGAACTAAAATTCTAGATGATACCAAAATACAGGGGTGGAGGGCAGGGAGGAAAGAAGTAAAGAAGGGGAAACCAGAGGAAGTCAATGGCACACTAAAGCATTTGTCTAGTCTGGAGCATGACATAATTATAGATAAGGGTAAGAAAGTGACAGAGAAAATGGACATAGCTGTGGGGATGAATAATCAAGGGTAATCTGGAAAAGACTGAAAAGAGAATATATAACTTTGAAGTCAGCAGAAGAAAATATTAAGTAGAAAATAGAATAAATAAATAAAAATAAATAGAACAAAATAAGATGGCAGAAAATGCCCCATCATTACATTAATTACAATAAATGCAAATGAAGTGAACTTACCCAAGGAAGCTCTTCTATTAAATTTAAGAGGGAATAAAAGAAAGAGGAGCAATAAAAATCTAACCACATTCAGCAATGCATTGCCTACAAGAAACTTTTTTTTAAATGATACCAATAAAGTGGGAAGAACATATACCAGACAAATATGAACCACACCAAAAAAGCAAGTTTAATATCAGACAAAAGATAATCTTTTGGGTAAAATATAAAAGACAAAGCTATATATTATACACCAATAAAAGGAAAAATAAAGATGATGTATATCTAATAAGATATCAAAAATGTATAAAGCAACATAACAGATATAAATACAAAGAGAAAGAGAAATAAGTTAACCATTCTAATAGGAGATACAACATTTCTTTCTTAGAAACTGATCATATGATTAAAAATATGCAGATATAAAATATTGCATAGCATAATTAATATGTTTGACATTTTAAAACATGTGGGGACTTTATATGTTCAATATAAATGTAGCATTCTTTTGAACATACATAGAACTTTGTAGGTGGTATTTATTAGGCTGCACAGAAAGCCTCAATTAATTCCAAAAAAATTGAGGTCACATTAAGAATGTTCTCTGGTAATGAAAGTAGGAATAAAAAATAAAAGCTATCTGTTAATTTTTAAAAGGCTGAATTGCTGAAAGTTTAGAAGCATACCATTAAAATAAAGGAAATCACAGGACAAATTGTGGAATACTTATTGCTGAATGACAAAACGTTACAAGTCAAAATATGTGAGATATAACTAAAGCAAAAGGATATTTTTAGTTCTAAGTATTGCATTCATAAGCAAACAAGAAATGTTGACATAATAGACAAACTATTTAATCCAAGAAGCAAGAAAAAAGAACAAATAAAAGAAGCAGGAAGTAAATATCAAAGATAAGTACAATTAGGGAACTAGAAAATAATAGTTCCCTATCAATCAAGCTACTGAAAATGAAAGACTTCTGGTGAGACTGACTATAGACAGAGGGAAAGAGAAAGGATGAAGTAAACAGGACAAGAATAAGAAGGGAGAAATAATTACATACACACAAGTATTTAAAATATGATGAGTAAAATAAACTTGAAAACCAAGATGAAATTAAAAATTTCTGAAAAAATACAAAAACACCAAAATTGACACAAGAAGAAATAGAATGCTAGTTAGACCAATACATACAAAAGGATTTTAAATGCAATTGAAGACCTCATCTGCTGGCAAAATGTGGCTTAAACATAGGGTCCTCCCAATCCTTTCACAAAAACAAAAAAGAAAAACCATACGCAATGTCTTAAATCAAACTAGCCAATAAAATATTCCCAAGAACCTCAGAACATGGACTGCAAACAACGGCAGCAAGAGTCTCACAACTGTATGGGCACAACCAGGGGGCATACAATTGGACTCCTGGACTCTAAGAGCTAAGAAATCTGGAAATCACCTGCAAGCACTCACCCCCTCAAAGGAATGGATCCCTCAGACCAGAGGACCCAACTGTCCAATATGATAACAACAGTCAAAAAGAAAGTGGGTTTTTCAAGTTCTAATTTGTAGGTAAGTTACCCAAAGATTATGATGGAAGGTTTGAAGGGGTGGGACTGGTCAGAAATCTCAGGGAAAGGACAGAGCCCTGTACTAAGGAGAAACTACTAGGAGTAGTTTTACTAGGAGTAAAACACAAATTGGTCAGGATGGAAATGCTTGGAGTGAAAGGAGAAAAAGGGTCAGATATTACCAGGGAAGACAGATCTCAGTTTGATATTAGAAAAGCCATTAATATAATTCATCACAGGGCTAATAATAAAAATCATATCATCTCCATAGATACTGAAAAGAAAAATCAAAACAGTCATAAAAAATTGAAGAATATTTCCCAAGCATGATAGAATACACATACTATAGCTCCAACCCGGCATCTTACTTAATGGGAAATCACTAGCAAATATTTTTTTTTAAGTTTTTTTTTTCCTTTATTATTATACTTTAAGTTTTAGGGTACATGTGCACATTGTGCAGGTTAGTTACATATGTATACATGTGCCATGCTGGTGCGCTGCACCCACTAACTCGTCATCTAGCATTAGGTATATCTCCCAATGCTATCCCTCCCCCCTGCCCCCACCCTACAACAGTCCCCAGAGTGTGATGTTCCCCTTCCTGTGTCCATGTGTTCTCATTGTTCAGTTCCCACCTATGAGTGAGAATATGCAGTGTTTGGTTTTTTGTTCTTGTGACAGTTTACTGAGAATGATGATTTCCAATTTCATCCATGTCCCACAAAGGACATGAACTCATCATTTTTTATGGCTGCATAGTATTCCATGGTGTATATGTGCCACATTTTCTTAATCCAGTCTATCATTGTTGGACATTTGGGTTGGTTCCAAGTCTTTGCTATTGTGAATAATGCCGCAATAAACATACGTGTGCATGTGTCTTTATAGCTGCATGATTTATAGTCCTTTGGGCATATACCCAGTAATGGGATGGCTGGGTCAAATGGTATTTCTAGTTCTAGATCCCTGAGGAATCGCCACACTGTCTTCCACAATGGTTGAACTAGTTTACAGTCCCACCAACAGTGTAAAAGTGTTCCTATTTCTCCACATCCTCTCCAGCACCTGTTGTTTCCTGCCTTTTTAATGATTGCCATTCTAACTGGTGTGAGATGGTATCTCCTTGTGGTTTTGATTTGCATTTCTCTGATGGCCAGTGATGGTGAGCCTTTTTTCATGTGTTTTTTGGCTGCATAAGTGTCTTCTTTTGAGAAGTGTCTGTTCATGTCCTTCACCCACTTTTTGATGGGGTTGTTTGTTTTTTTCTTGTAAATTTGTTTGAGTTCATTGTAGATTCTGGATATTAGCCCTTTGTCAGATGAGTAGGTTGCGAAAATTTTCTCCCATTTTGTAGGCTGCCTGTTCACTCTGATGGTAGTTTCTTTTGCTGTGCAGAAGCTCTTTAGTTTAATTAGATCCCATTTGTCAATTTTGTCTTTTGTTGCTATTGCTTTTGGTGTTTTAGACATGAAGTCCTTGCCCATGCCTATGTCCTGAATGGTAATGCCTAGGTTTTCTTCTAGGGTTTTTATGGTTTTAGGTCTAACGTTTAAGTCTTTAATCCATCTTGAATTGATTGGCTTCATCCCTGGGATGCAAGGCTGCTTCAATATACCCAAATCAATAAATGTAATCCAGCATATAAACAGAACCAAAGACAAAAACCACATCATTATCTCAATAGATGCAGAAAAGGCCTTTGACAAAATTCAACAACGCTTCATGCTAAAATCTCTCAATAAATTAGGTATTGATGGGACGTATTTCAAAATAATAAGAGCTATCTATGACAAACCCACAGCCAATATCATACTGAATGGGCAAAAACTGGAAGCATTCCCTTTGAAAACTGGCACAAGACAGGGATGCCCTCTCTCACCACTCCTATTCAACATAGTGTTGGAAGTTCTGGCCAGGGCAATTAGGCAGGAGAAGGAAATAAAGGGTGTTCAATTAGGAAAAGAGGAAGTCAAATTGTCCCTGTTTGCAGATGACATGATTGTATATCTAGAAAACCCCATTGTCTCAGCCCAAAATCTCCTTAAGCTGATAAGCAACTTCAGCAAAGTCTCAGGATACAAAATCAATGTGCAAAAATCACAAGCATTCTTATACACCAACAACAGACAAACAGAGAGCCAAATCATGAGTGAACTCCCATTCACAATTGCTTCAAAGAGAATAAAATACCTAGGAATCCAACTTACAAGGGATGTGAAGGACCTCTTCAAGGAGAACTACAAACCACTGCTCAAGGAAATAAAAGAGGATACAAACAAATGGAAGAACATTCCATGCTCATGGGTAGGAAGAATCAATATCATGAAAATGGCCATACTGCCCAAGGTAATTTACAGATTCAATGCCATCCCCATCAAGCTACCAATGACTTTCTTCACAGAATTGGAAAAACTACTTTAAAGTTCATAGGGAACCAAAAAAGAGCCCGCATTGCCAAGTCAATCCTAAGCCAAAAGAACAAAGCTGGAGGCATCACACTACCTGACTTCAAACTATACTACAAGGCTACAGTAACCAAAACAGCATGGTACTGGTACCAAAACAGAGATATAGATCAATGGAACAGAACAGAGCCCTCAGAAATAATGTCGCATATCTACAACTATCTGATCTTTGACAAACCTGAGAAAAACAAGCAATGGGGAAAGGATTCCCTATTTAATAAATGGTGCTGGGAAAACTGGCTAGCCATATGTAGAAAGCTGAAACTGGATCCCTTCCTTACACCTTATGCAAATATTCTTAATCATGTTTATTAATCTATATATTAAATAGGTAAAAAATACAACTTTGTTTTCACTAACCTTTTAGCTTTTCCTTCAATTATGAATAAACCACAGTGGTAGTAGAATTACCTACGGCTTTGCCACTAATAAAAGCCATAGACATTTTCATAACACATTATAGTTGTTTCAAGTACTTAAGAATATTGTTTAGGCCTCTCATTGCTTTGAAGTTCCTAGTATTTATTAGACCTGCCACTATACCTTGTTATTTAATGCAATAGTTTTATTCAATAACTATTTTGGTACTTGATTTCTTTCTTTTATAATTCTATATACTTTTATTTAAAATCTCAATTTATAAAAGGGGTCCATGAACTTCAACTGATTGTCAGAAGGGTCCAGGGCACACACACAAAAAAGGTTAAAACTCCTGCATTCATTACTTTCTCAATAAAATCAGGATAAACAAGAATGTCTGCTATCTCCACTGGTGAAAAGGATTCTCAGGCCAGAAGTCTAGCAAGTCCATAAGTAATAACTGAGCACATTGCTACCCTGCCACACCTGATTATCCTCCACTTTTCACACACACACACACACACACACACACACACACACACACACACACACACACTGAATTGTGGTTTCTTCCCAGGTGAGAGGCAAGGGAAAGAAAATAAAGAACAGGAAAGAAAAAAATTAATCTATAGCACAGTGCAATCCTTCTGTCCCCAACATTCTGCAAACCTCTAGGCCTCTCAACTAAAAGTACAGCTTCAACATTGCTGAGTTCCTACACTAATCCAGGCCAGGCCTAGCAAGAGGCAGCAGGTTGGCTCTAGGAGCAGGTGGGCCTTGGAAGAATGGTCCTGCCCTGGTCCAGTGCCCAGTGTGTCTTGAGGGCTAGCTGTGGGCCCACCAAAAAGACACTCACACTCACCTCTCATCTTGTGGCTCTTCCCACCTATTTGTGATCCTCGACTTCCTGAACACACTCTGGTTCCACTGCAGATATTACAGCCCTGCCAGAATCCCGACTCATTTATTTAGAGTCCTGAATCCTTATCTTCCTTTTAACAAACTTTCCTTCAAAGAATGGGAAGAGAAGGGGCTGAGTTACCTGCCCTGTGCTTGCAGCAGCTCACTGGAACTGAAGTGGCCATGACGTTGTATTCAACTTGACAACAAAGACCACTCTCGCTTAATGAAGTGTTGCAAACCCACATTATTCAGGAGGTCAAGCAGCTATATACACGTATTAGAGGGTTATTAGGACAGAAGCGGAGCTGGAACAAGCTCCTTTACCTGAAGACCTTCAAAGAATATATAAAAATATACACACCCCATAAAGTAAGCCAAACAAAGCAAATCTACAGCCTTTATTTGGCCCCAGGGCTACCAGTTTGCAACCTCCAACAGTTCCTCTAGAAATCACTCAGTCTTGTGGGGAGAAGATGTACCCTAAATTAAGCCTATATACATGACATTTCTTTGTACCCCACAATCTGGACTATTTGTTCCACTCAACTCCTGGGGAAACATGGAGGCTGCCCGTTGCCATCTGAGATTTTCTGTTTTTTTTTTTTTTTTCATACTTTAAGTTTTAGGGTACATGTGCACAACGTGCAGGTTTGTTACATATGTATACATGTGCCATGTTGGTGTGCTGCACCCATCAAGTCGTCATTTAACGTTAGGTATATCTCCTAATGCTATCCCTCCCCCCTTCCCCCACCCCACAACAGTCCCCAGAGTGTGATGTACCCCTTCCTGTGTCCATGTGTTCTCATTGTTCAATTCCCATCTATGAGTGAGACCATGCGGTGTTTGGTTTTTTGTCCTTGCGATAGTTTGCTGAGAATGATGGTTTCCAGCTTCATCCATGTCCCTACAAAGGACATGAACTCATCATTTTTTATGGCTGCATAGTATTCCATGGTGTATATGTGCCACATTTTCTTAATCCAGTCTATCATTGTTGGACATTTGGGTTGGTTCCAAGTCTTTGTTATTGTGAATAGTGCCACAATAAACATACGTGTGCATGTGTCTTTATAGCAGCATGATTTATAATCCTTTGGGTATATACCCAGTAATGGGATGGCTGAGTCAAATGGTATTTCTAGTTCTAGATCCCTGAGGAATCGCCACACTGTCTTCCACAATGGTTGAACTAGTTTACAGTCCCACCAACAGTGTAAAAGTGTTCCTATTTCTCCACATCCTCTCCAGCACCTGTTGTTTCCTGACTTGTTAATGATCGCCATTCTAACTGGTGTGAGATGGCATCTCATTGTGGTTTTGATTTGCATTACTCTGATGGCCAGTGATGATAAGCATTTTTTCATGTGTCTGTTAGCTACATAAATGTCTTTTTTTGAGAAGTGTCTGTTCATGTCCTTCGCCCACTTTTTGATGGGGTTGTTTTTTTCTTGTAAATTTGTTTGAGTTCATTGTAGATTCTGGATATTAGCCCTTTGTCAGATGAGTAGGTTGCGAAAATTTTCTCCCATTTTGTAGGTTGCCTGTTCACTCTGATGGTAATTTCTTTTGCTGTGCAGAAGCTCTTTAGTTTAATTAGATCCCATTGGTCAATTTTGTCTTTTGTTGCCATTGCTTTTGGTGTTTTAGACATGAAGTCCTTGCCCATGCCTATGTCCTGAATGGTAATGTCTAGGTTTTCTTCTAGGGTTTTTATGGTTTTAGGTCTAACATTTAAGTCTTTAATCCATCTTGAATTAATTTTTGTATAAGGTGTAAGGAAGGGATCCAGTTTCAGCTTTCTACATATGGCTAGCCAGTTTTCCCAGCACCATTTATTAAATAGGGAATCCTTTCCCCATTGCTTGTTTTTCTCAGGTTTGTCAAAGATCAGATAGTTGTAGATATGCGGCATTATTTCTGAGGGCTCTGTTCTGTTCCATTGGTCTGTATCTCTGTTTTGGTACCGGTACCACACTGTTTTGGTTACTGTAGCCTTGTAGTATAGTTTGAAGTCAGCTAGCATGATGCCTCCAGCTTTGTTCTTTTGGCTTAGGATTGACTTGGCAATGCAGGCTGTTTTTTGGTTCCCTATGAACTTTAAAGTAGTTTTTTTCAATTCTGTGAAGAAAGTCATTGGTAGCTTGATGGGGATGGCATTGAATCTGTAAATTACTTTGGGCAGTATGGCCATTTTCACAATATTGATTCTTCCTACCCATGAGCATGGAATGTTCTTCCATTTGTTTGTATCCTCTTTTATTTCATTGAGAAGTGGTTTGTAGTTCTCCTTGAAGAGGTCCTTCACGTCCCTTGTAAGTTGGATTCCTAGGTATTTTATTCTCTTTGAAGCAATTGTGAATGGGAGTTCACTCATGATTTGGCTGTTTGTCTGTTATTGGTGTATAAGAATGCTTGTGATTTTTGCACATTGATTTTGTATCATGAGACTTTGCTGAAGTTGCCTATCAGCTTAAGGAGACTTTGGGCTGAGATGATGGGGTGAGATTTTCTGTTTCTTATCCTCACCAGCTCAGCTACTGAGCAGCCAGCATGCCTAGTGTCTGAGTAATAACCCAGGTCAACATACCCTCCTGTGAAACCTCAGAGCCTCTCTTCCTAAATGCATGCACAAAATTACTGCTATAATGAAATGGAATATTTGACCCAAGAAAGTGGCATGGAGAATCTAAATATAGTTACTAGTCAGTTGCAATTTCTTCATTGAACAGAGAATATATAAACTGAAATTTTTCTAACTCTTGGAGTAAAATATATGATTGTGGGCTTCATTCATGAACCGATTCTTTTACATAATACATGCTTATTTTAAAATATCCTTGTCGTTTGACAGACTACAGGAAGGTAGGTTGACTAGAAAATTAGCATTAACTCTGCTTACAAATTGCAGGTTTTAATAGCTCTAGTCACAGTCACAGAAATAACCAAAGAGAATCAAATTAAGGAGCTGGAGCAATCCAAAAGGCTCAAAGGAAAGGAAGAAATGGTAATTTCTAACATTTATGCAGCAGTCTGCACTTTATAAAGGGCTTTCATATTTATTATCCACTGCAATCTCCGTAAGCCATGTGCAGGGGGGTTATTATCCCTGCTCCATAGGTGAAGAAACTAAAGTCCAGAGTGCCAGAGACAGGATTTGAAGCCAAATGTGCTGGCTCCAACTCCACATTCCTCTACTACATAAATAAGCAAACTTTGTCTGTAAAAGGTGATACAGATAGTAAATATTTTAGGTTTTACCAGGCATAGGGTCTTGGTTAGAACTATTCAACTGTGCCATTGTAGGAAGAAAGCAGCCACAGACAAGATGTAAAGAAAAAGGCATAGCTGTGTTTCAATAAAACTTTATTTACAAAAACAGACCGAGGGACAGATTTGGCCCACACACTATAGTTTGCTGGCTCCTGCTCCATCACCTTTTACTGCCACTCTGCCACTGTTGTCTTATGAACTACCTCATAATTGAGCTGGCATAGAAGAAGGAAGGATGCTGAAAGAACAGAAAGTAAAGAGGCTAAGGGAAGAGCCATGATAAGAGAGTCCCGAGAAAGGATATTATTGAAAAGGGGAGTTTGGTCAAAGAGCCCTGGGTCTTTGGACGATAGGGAAGAGGTAAGACAGACTCCTCCCTACCTTCCTCATGAGCTAAAGGGCACTACCAGCCACAAAAATTCTTGTGTTTCCCAAAAAATAAATGAGAAGGAATTTCAAGAGTACAAAGCTGATAATCAGTTGAGTAACAGGAATTTCATGATAAAATAAAATTAGAAACAAAATCCTGGACTACTTGGTCCATATCATTCCCCATTCACACCCATAGAAGACCTGTAGGCTCAGCCATGTCCTAGGTTGCATGATCCAGCCTGCTCTAAGATTAAAGGAGCCCTAGGTGTGCTCTCCAATTACTGAGCACCATGCCCCCTTGCTCCAGATCTGCCTAGGGGGCCCTGTTCAGGCAGCTGAGCTTCTGCTTTATTCCTTGGTCAACATGCTCATCTGGTGCACCATATGGAAGCTGGATCCCTCTCTTGGTTCTGTAGATGCCTCTTACTCCAGTCCCTGTATGACTTTCATTGGTCATGGTGTTGCCAGTCTCCCCACCTTTGTGATTGTGTTGAATGAAGGTCAGGCTGTGCCCTCTTCCAGGCTCACATGTCCAAATGCAGTAAACTCTTCCATGCCTGGACATTTCATATACATTTGCAACCCCTCCTCCTTGTGGCCATGCATTCCTCCTTCCCATAGGAAGACAAGCCACACACAGAATAAGCTTCGTCTTTCATGTAATATGGGCTACCTGCTTCTATTCAAGGACCCAAGAACCATTTACAGACATCATTAACTTTGTATAAGCAGATCTCCCTTTGGCAGACTTAGATTCCTTAATGGTCAGTGGCAGGCCCAAAAATAAAGGGTGCCCCTCATCATCCCCCATAAGAGAGAAACCTGAGGGTCAAGCCACAAGGAATTGGGGGCTGGGATAATATGGAGGAGCCGCCACACCCAAGAGACAAAGAAGCAGTCCTGAGAAGGTGTAAACCCTCGATCACATATAGATTGGGGAACTGGGAGGTCTTGGGTGTGACAGTCTGTGTGACAAAAGGGTTGCGTTCGGTCTCCATGGAAAGTTCAGCCAGAGGCTTTAAGCCCTAAGCTCAGGGTGTGGGATGGGGAGGAGACAGCCCTCAGGTACCTGCAATCCAGCTCTCCTCTCACTGCCATGATGGGGAGAGCAGCCCTCTTCCCAGCTTGCCATTAGGAGCCTGGAGAACACTCAGGCTGATGTGGGAAACAGTGCACAGGCACTCAGTCAATTCTGTCTATCCTAATGAGTGGGACCAAGGACAGATCTCAGATTCAGTGACAGCCATAGAACAGATCATTACAATGGAGTGTGATTAAGGTGGGCAGAAAGGAGATGCCTAACCCAGGCAGGGTCAGGGACTTTCCCCGGGGATGGTGACCAGGTTGTGAGCCAGTGGAGGGCAGGACTCCTGAATGACTTGCTTCTTCATGCCAGAGTCACAGACTGGCAGCATCTGACCCAGAGACCTTTTTTTTTTCCTGCTAACATTTTGAAGTCTGGAAATTTCACATAAAAAGCTGGACTCTTGATTTCTCTCTAAATAAAAAGTGCTACAAATGTAAGCCACATTTTTTACATGTTACCAATCAGATAGATCTGAATGGCTAATGGACGCTTTCAAAAGGGTGTGTACTCCCCAGTTTGCCCCAGTCTCCACTCTTCCCTACAGTCTTTGCAACCCTGAAGCTATGGGTCACATAAAGTTTAGGGTCTTATGTCCCGTCCACTCATTTATTTTACTGGCTGTCCCCGAGAAGTGTATTTATTTCTGACTTCTGTATTAACCCTTTCATTTCTTGTGTCCTCCTTCTCCCTCCCATCAAGGTGCCTGATCTATAATATACACTCAATAAGTGAATTGAATTGAAAATACCCTATTCTGCTATAGAAGCAGAGGAGCAGGAATGTGGAAGAAAAAGCACAGGCCTAAAAATGAGGAGAACTTCCCTCTTCTAATTTACTTTGTGCCAATACATGTCTAAAACTAAATCTCCTTTTTCTCTAAAAGCAGTGGTTGGATTTGATGAACTATCAGGTCCCTTCCAGCTAGAAAACGTGCCCTTTCACATTCCCCAATCAACAGTATTGAGAGATTACCCAACAATTACTACACTAAAGTTCAAATTCCAAGTTCTGGGACCTCATAGCCCAGTCACAGGCCACTTTCTAAACCTGCTTCCCATTGGTGCCACTCAGTCATCCATTTTTCTCTCCAGTTAAATTAGTCTCCCATGCTTTCTGCAGAAACCTCGTGTTCTCCCTCATGCAGGATCCCTGTTCTGCATACAACAGAAATCACTCTTAGTTACCTGCACAACAGGTATTTCTCCCTTTCCTGGCCCTCAAACCAAGAATCCCAATTTTGTTTGCAGTGGCAGTGTCCCAGCCCTGTGGATGGTGATTTGGCCCAATCCCATTATTTCACTCCTATCCTATTTTGCCCAACTCATGACTTCCCAGCATGCTTATCGTTTGGAGTTGCTATGTCTCCCAGCTCTAGGCAATGACACTTAAAGGGCAACTGCTAGAAGTACATGGGGAAGCTTTGGTTTTTCTGATTAACTGGGCAGATGCAGCTGGCACTATTCCTTTGTGTGTCTTCCCGCCTTGAACATAGCCATGATGCCTGGAGCTACAGGAGCCATCTGGTACCCATAAGCAGACGAGCCACCATCCTAAAGACAGCAGGGTAACCAGACAGCAAGAACAGAAAGGGAGATCAAGTCCTAGTAGATTACTGAGTACCTACACTATCCTTCAACAGCCTCTCTTTGAACTCCTTATAATGTGGAAGAATTAAAAATCTTTATGGCTTAATGTATAATTAGCGGTTTTTCTGGGTTTCTCCACTAAGATAATTCCACCTTCCTCCTACCTTTTCTCTGGCTTTCCAAGTCTTTCTTGTTATATAAAAGAGAATTCACATATTACACCCAGAGTAACATCTGGCCCATAGTAGGCTCTCTATAAGCCATTTCTATTGGTGCTTCTGCAGCTTAGTATCCTTAAGATTCAGACCAAAGCTCTCTTCCACCTCCACAATTCCAGCCACATAATCCAGACCAATGACTTAGTAACGGACCATATAAAGTTGCCTAAAATGCATATTGAAATATCACTTTTTTTTCTGGATGTCTTCTCTCCCTCACTATAGTATAAAATCTTCAGAAGTGGAAATGTAGTTATTTCCCTACAATATTGTATTTCATCAAATCTAAGATGCCATTAAACTTTAAGTGCACCATTATTTTTTGAACTACAAAGGAAAAAAAATTGTCAACTAAATGATGACCTGTGGAAGAAGATAAAATCATCAATTTGAGGTTAAATTGTTAAAATGTTGGAGGTGGGAAACATGCCTTTTAGAATTGAGAGACTGTATATACAAACAGACAATGGCCAGACTATTTACTAAAATAACTCTGATCTGCAACTTACAGCTACCAGACTGGGAAGCCAGACCTCCACCTCTGTAATGAGCAGCTCCAAATCATCAGGACTCATCAATAACTGACAGCTTCCCTATTTTTGCCCTCCATTTGCAACTTAGAGCCAATCAGGGAAGGCCAAATGTGCTCCCCTAACCCATAACATAAGATGCCCCACTTCTGGTTAGCCTGCTTGTAACAGCCTCCAATCAGGGCAGACCTGCAGTCTTCCTTTTGTCCTCTATAAAGTTTTCCACTTTGAGTCTCTGCCAATTGCAGGTGACGCTGGTTGACTCCTTTGCTTACTCAGAACAAATAGCCTTCACTTGTTCTCGTTTGGGTCATCTTTGTTTATTTTTGCAGAACCAATGATTTCACATGGTAGTCTTTCACACAGTAGCATTCAGCAGTTACCTTCTGGGTAGTAGAAATCATATATGATATCAGCTTGGGGGATATTTAAAGGGAGGGGCTTGGTAAGGAAATCACTGATTGCAATAGCCTAGCAGCAAGACCCCTTGGACATGCACTGAGGGGATAGCCGTGGAGAGCTAAAGGAAGGATGGATTTGGGCACAGTCTAAAAAAGAAATGGCAAATGTGAGGTTGAATCAAAAGCAGATGGAAAAGCCAATCAGGCTGAGGATAGAAAAGAACTCCCAGGGAGCCCAAAGTGTCAATCCTGTTTAGGTCAGGGACTCTGAGGAGACCAAACTATAACCATGAGAAGTCAGAACAAGAAGCAGGTTCTGGAGAGAAAGTCTGAGGCACAGATGCTAAAAGAACATCCTCCTTACCATGATGGGAGAGCTCAAGGTGAACAGAAGGGCACAGTCAGTGACACTCTGTGTCAATGTGTCACCTTTAAAGGGACAAAGGAGAGATACAGAGGGCCACTGATTGATACAGATGAATACAACCCTCCCTGGAAGGCTTCATCCACTTCTGGGCTGCATTTTGTTAACTATATCCCATGGGCATCACTAATGAGATATAACTGAATTAAGTTTAATTCAGAGGAGTTCGGAATATAACACCCCAAATATGCCATTCTAGAGTATTGACTATTTTGATTTAAAAGCACTTAGAAAACAGCAAGTACAAAAAGAACACTCTAACCCTCCTTCTTCTTTAAAGCAAGAGATGAAATTCCGATGTGAAAGATGTCCTCCCTATAACAGAAGGAAATCGTAAGGAGAGTTGAGGCTGAGGGATGTCTGTACAAACAAACCTTGTTGTCTTAGTCCTTTTGTGATGCTATAAAGGAGCACCTGAGGCTGGGTAATTTATAAAGAAAAGGGATTTATTTGGCTCACAGTTCTGCAAGCTGCATAAGAAGTATGGCATCAGTATCTGCTTCTGGTGAGGGCCTCAGGCTGCTTCCTCTCATGGAGGAAGGGTAAGGGGAACTGGTGTGTGCAGATCACATGGCAAAAGAGAAAGCAAGAGAGAGAGGAGGCGATGCCAGGCTCTTTTCAACAACCAGCTCTCATGGGAACTAAGAGAATAAGAACTCACTCATTAGCATGAAGACAGCACCAATAAATTCATAAGGGATCTGCCGCTATGACCCAAACACCTCCCATTAGGCTCTATTCCCAACATCGGAAATCAAATTTCAAGGTGAAATATGCAGGAGTCAAACAAACCAAACTATAGCACCTGTGAAACTAACCCTTATCTGTTTGGTCACTTGTCCACTCAGTTAACTACCCTAGCTAGCCCCTTTGCCTCACCACATTTTCACAACTTACTGATCTTTGTCCAATTCAATACACAAGTGTTCAACTCTAACTGCATCTTTGGGTCTTCATTTCCCTATGAAGCCTCCCTTGCTACATAAAACTTGCATTAAATAAATTTGTATGTTTTTATCTTGCTCGTTTGTTTTATGTCAATTTAATTCTCAGACCCAGCCAAAAAAAAATATAAGAGGGTATAGGTAAAATGCTGCTTCTCCTATAATACCAATCATATAATGACCTCATCCTATAGGCTGGGACCATGGAATAAAAAGTAGTCATTTGTCAGGCCTCTTTTCTTCCTAAACATCCCATTGTCCCTCCCTTTGGCATTATTGATGTGTTGGAAATAATTGGGTGTGCCCCTGGGTGAGAAGCTCTTGATAACAAGTGTGCAAAAGACTGGAGAATTTATTCATTCAGTCTTTCCCATTGAATTCACCCCTCAAAAATCCTCAGGGGGCCAAGTATAATTAAACAACATTAATTAAAATACTAAAGAACAGAAAAGGGCAACCGCAGGAGGGACAATGGAGCAGCATCAGAGAGATGGAAAATAACAAAAATAGCAGCAATCACTATGCATTAAAGCCCAGGAAGTTGACAGCTCAGCTGGAGTGCCTTTAGAGGAAAACTTCATGGACATCACCCTGAAGGGAAATGAGGAAACATGGCGGCAGGAAGGAAGAGTCCCAGTGGGTGCACAAAGAGTCTCCTTTCAGTCTCCACAGACATCCGAGAGGTTCATGGCCTTTGTAGATCATAATTGAACATTTTCATATGATTGCCTTCAGAAATTTCCATTAATGCGGAACAATACCTCTGCTCTTGTGATTAACGTGCTGCTGCATGGTCTCGGTGTTTTGGTTTTTAATTAAAAAGAAAGAATTCTAGCATCTTGCTAAATTACAGAAGGATTCTTTTACACTTATTTTTCTAGCTCAGCCTCCACTGGATTTAAAAATTAAGCACTTAAAGCCACCATTAGTGGTAATGTGGTTCCAGTTTAAGTGGCTGAGATACACTGGGGATGGATGACCCCAAGATAGGAGTGTAGGGTCCTGTCAGATCACCAGGGTGATGACCAAGGTAACCTGACTCAGTAACTCTCCCCAGAGATAACAAGTGTTGTCTACTTGTTATAGTGTATATCCTTCCAAAGATAATCTATGCACAGATTTGCAAATACATGCACAAATATTTTATATAAATAGGAATATATTATACATACCATCTGTACAACTTGGTTGCTTTTTTTCACTTAAAAATGTGTCTTGGAGACCTTTCCAGACCAATCACATTTTATTTCATAGATTCACTATAGTTTGTTTAGCCAATCCTCTAGTTAAGTTTCCACTCATTGTTATAATCAGTGCTGAACTGACCAACCTTGTATACCCTTTTACATGGGCCAGTTTCGTATGTGCAAATATATTTATAGGATAAATTCTTATAAATAGAATTGCTAGGTCAAAGAACATGGAAAATGGAGATAAAAATAGCGTCTATTTTCTTGAGTTGTTTTGAAGATTACATGAGTGTTTGCATCTAAAATCATACCAAAATCCTCAATAAAATGGCTGCTGCTTCTGAAGGCACTGTGTTGGGCCTTGGAGGGAGAGGGGCTGGGGGAGGGCAGAAATTCATAAATATAGGTCAACCCACAGTCCCTCCTTCAAACACTTAAAGTCCAGTAAGGGTAATTCTTGATCACAGGGCAAATTAGCAAATGCTCTCTTGAGCATATACACAAAGTTCTAACAAACACAAAGAATAAATCAATAAATTTCTAGTGGAAAAGTTTTCACAAAAATATGGAGTTTATGAGCTTGGTTTGAGCATGGAAAGGATCTAAATAAGCAGTGAGAGGGCAAAGGCAACATATCAAATGAAGGAAATCAAGGGAGCAAAGACCAGAGGCAGCCAGGACTGACCATCTAAAGCACATGGGGTCCTTGGAAATCAAGTGAGTCAGGAAGACCAATATCTATCTATTATAAACCTCAAGCATGTGCTTCATTGATAGGCATTTTGACATTTTGCTAAAAACAGATAAGGACTGAGAAGATGAGACTTAAGCATGGTAAATTTTGGTGCAGAGCCTTGGTTGATTTCTCATCTTGGAAGGATGCTCTGAAGACTTAGGGACTCCAGGAGCTGAGAAGTCCTTAAAGTTTCAACATGGAACACACACTCCCCCATGCCATGTTCCCTAAGAAATTACAGCAGAGCTGAATCACCGCAATCATTGGTTCCAGAATCAAAAGGAATAGTGATTACCAGCTGGCCTTTTAGAAGTCATCAATATTTCATCTAAATGTTGCAACCACCACATCTGTTTTTACTGATAACTGTTTCTTCCTGGGGAATAGAGACTGACAACTCACATTTCACAATTTGGCTTAAAAAACCTTATGAGTACCTAGTGGCTTAGCTGAATCTCAATGGTGTCACTAGAAAAGTTTGCCAAGGAAACCTGTACATTGCAAGTTTCTTTGAAATGTTCAGAAAGATTGTCATACCTGCCCTGATGTTCTGTGGATGTTTCCTAAAGCATCTTTCCTCATTGGGGCTGTGGAGTGGCACCTGGTACAAGACCATATTATCCAGCTAGGGCATGATCCCAGGCCTGGCATCACATCTGCATGTTAGAAATAGTAAGTCACCAAATGGTGAAACTTTTCATGAACAAGAACACATACAGATTTTATAAACCAGAAACTCATTCTCAATATGGTAACTTGGTTCATTTTATAAAATTCTTAGGTCAGCCCCAGTGACCTGCTATTCAAGTAAATCTGAGAGCCATCTTTTGATTCCTTCGTCTCCAATCTCCTCCCAGTTCCTGCCATATCAAATCAGTCATCAAACCCAATCATTTCTACTTTACAATCTTGCATCGGTATGCCTCCTATGTCTTTCTCTCTGGTCCTCATTCTCTCTTCCCTCCATCCTCACGACAGCCTCTGAACAAGTTTGCCTTGCATCTGGTCTCACCCTGGCCTTATCCCTCCTCCATGCAGTCACCAGAGTCATCTTTCAAAAATACAGATCAGAAACACAGCTCTTACATCTGTGTTTGGGATCTTATGTCTATGTGCTCTTACTTCTCTCTCTGGGGTGTGCTCCTGGCCTCCAGAATCAAACCTAAACTCTTTGGTTTGGCATTCAGGGCCCCTCCTAGCTTGGCCCCTCTACCTTTCCAGCTTCCTCTCCTTCTGCTTTCTCCCATTCCCCACATTGTCCAGCCACACAGAGATTGTGTGGCATTCCTGGGATAGACCATTAGCTTGCATAACTCATTCCTTCATCCCCAGTTACTTCTGGGATTCTCTTCCTTTCCTTCTCCTCTTCCCATTTTTCAATACCCAGCTCCTGCTGAAGCTTCCCAAGCGACCACCAAGCAGAGACAGTCACTTTCCTTTCCTTTCCGTTAACAAGTTTCCTTTCCTTTCCATTAACGTGTGTCCTTCAGATGATCTCTCTCCAAGGAGACTATGTTTGAGAGAAAGCCAAATCTGGTCCATCTCTGGGAGCAAAATTCTAAAAGGCAGATTTAAAATGTCTTTGGAAATACATGAGATTTGAATTCACAGAGTTCTAGGATACTTTTTTCTACTTCTTAATGTTATAGTCCTATGCACCGAATTGCCAAACTATCTCAGTTTGCTTAGCTGTGAAATATCAGTCTGAATGAATAAAAAGTAATTTCTGATTCTCCTACATCCTTTGAAATTAAGGCATAACTCAAGTTTTCTCTTAAGACATCAGCTTGTGTCAAACATAAACCTTGGTTTTTTTATATTTTAATTTTGCTATATTCTGTCATTAAAACCTTATTTGAGAGGTTTTTAAAAAGAATAATGGGAGTATATTTTATATGAAAGACATACACTAGCTATAAACATTCAACTGATACCTAAGAGTACAAAAAAGAAAACAAACAAAAATCTCCTCCAAATCCAACCCCCTCCCTACTGGGGGACTATCATTGCAGACATTGCTCTTTGCATTTATACAGCAACTGGGACTATGTTTCTCATGTTATTTAAATAAAAGATTTTTAATATTAATTGTATTTAACAGAAGAAAGAAGAATTGCCAAGAAACTGAAGAAATTGCTAAACTTCAGATAAATGTTTCTTCACCACAGAGATATTCATTTGTAAAAGTTCTGTCAAAACCAGGAAAACTTTAATTAAAAATGAAAGAGGTGGAAGTCATTTTTTTAACTTTATATTTGAATTTTGGACAAATGCTGGAATTCATTCATTCATTTGCTATCTACCACATGCATGACTCTGCAAAGGCACTGGCAATTTAATAGTGCAATCAATAAATATGAAAATTTCAGATGGGGACGTGTGCTAGGAAGAGAAATAAAGCAGAGAAAAGTGTTAGAAGGGCCGATTAAGATCAGGTAGGCATAGAGAGCTTCTCTGGGGATAAGAGAAGGAGCCTTAATGAGAAGGAGAACTAAGGCATGAATACATGTGGGGAAAGAGCATCCTAGACAGAGAGAATTGCAAATGCAGATGCCCTAAGGCTGGTGTCAGTCCATTTTTGTGTTGTTATAAAGGAATACTTGAGGCAGTGTTATTTACAAAGAAAAGAGGTTTGTTTGGTTCAGGGTTCTGCAACCTGTACAAGAAGTATGACGCCAGCATCTGCTTCTGGTGAGGGCCTCAGGAAGTTTCCACTCAAGGCAGAAGGCGAAGGGGAACTGGTGTGTGCAGATCACATGATGAGAGTGGAAGCAAGAGAGAGGAGGTGCCAGGTTCTTTTCAACAATCAGTTCTGGAGGAACTAACTGCATGAGAACTCACTTATTACCGTGGGGACTGCAACAAACCATTCATGAGGGATCCACCCCCATGACCCAAACACCTCCCACCAGGCCCCACCTCCAAGATTGAGGATCAAGTTTCAACATGAGATTTTAGGAGGACAAATATCTAAACCATATCAGCTGGACCAGCTCAGCATGTCACAGCAACAGCAAGAAGGTCAATGTGCTGAGACTTGAGTGAGCAAGGGATAGGAGATGAGAGGAGGCTGGAGGCCAGGATATGCAGAGACCGATAAGCCTGGGAAAGACATTTAAGGTTTATTCTGTTTGTAATGAGAAGCCATTCGAAGGTCTTGAGCAAGGAAATGGCATGACCTGGTTTACATTTTGAAAAGATTGCTTGAACTGAGCCATAGAAAATAGCTCTGGTGGGCCAGGGCAAGAGTAGAAGCAGGGAGATAAATTGACAGGTTATTGCTATCTTTCCAAAGCCAGAGCCAAGAATACTTGCTAGTGAGTGGAATATGGGACATACATTCACTTCCTAGGGCTTCTGTACCCAAGTAAAATAAGCTGAGTGGCTTAAGACAATGGAAATGTATTGTCTTACAGTTCTGGAGGTTAGACATCTGAAAACAAGGTGTCAGCACGGTCATGCTCCCTCTGAAACCTGCAGGGCAATAGTTCCTTGCCTCTTCCTAGCTTCTGGTGGTTTGCTGTCAGTCTTTGTCATTCCTTAGTGGGCAGCTGCTGTAAATTCAATCTTTGCCTTCACTGTCACACAGGGCATTTCCTGTACATCTCTGTCTTTACATGGCCATCTTCTTACAAGGACACCCATCATATTGGGCCAGGGGCCCTTGCTATTCCAGTATGGCCTCATCTTGACTAATCACACCATTTCCAAATAAGGTCACATTGTGAGGTACTGGTTGCTAGGATTTCAAAGTATCATGTTTTTGTTTTGTTTTGGTGTTTGTTGTGGGGGGTTAGGGGGCAATATTCAATCCATAACAGGGTGTGAAAGAAAGAGGGAAGTTGAGAAAGATGCCTTGGCTTTGGGCCTAAGCAAAGTGCCCTATATGGGAATGGGGGAGAATGAACAGGAGAGGTGTGATCAGATTTGTGGGAAGAAGTAAATAAAGAATTGCTTTGAACATGCTATGTTTGAGGTATCTATGAGAGAGTTGAGCTGGGAGAATAGAGAAGCCAGTTGTATTTCCAAATTTGGAGGTCAGAATTGGGAAATGGGCTGGGTAAATTTGGAAATCATAAGTGTATTAGGGATTTTGATGCCATGAAGCTAGATGAGATTGCCTAGGAAGCAAATGCAGGCAGAAGAAAATGATCTAAGAGTTGCACCTTGGGACACTCCAACATTTAGAGGTAGTGAATAAAAGAAGGATTGAACTAAGAATAAGAAGACAGTGACAGAGCTGGCAGTGGGATAGGAGGAAAGGCAGAAGAGTACAGAGTCTCAGAAACCAAATATGAAAGTATTTCAAGAAAGAGGGAGTAACCTAACGCATTAAATAAGCTGAAGGATCTACCAAGATGAGCATTTGGAATTGACCATTAGACTTAACATGGAAGTCATTGGTGACCTTGACAAAAGTTTCAGTTGAGTGGTGGTAATTAGATCTGTTTCAAGAACATGGGACATGAAGAAGTATATAAAGTATATAAAACACTTTAAAGATGGTTTTGCCTTTAGAGAAGATAAATAAGGTTATAATTGGAGGGGCATGTGGATTCCAGGGATAGTTATTTTTTATATGGGAGATATTGGGGTATGTTTAATTGGTGATGGAAATGATTCAGTTGAAGTGAAAATTGTTCTTGAAGGAGAGAAATGATCATTAACAAAGCAAAGTATGAGTAGGACAGAGGGATTGGAATCCAGGGCACAAGAATGAAACTTGGCCTTGGGCAGAAGCAGAGAGAGTTTATCCTTTATAAGAGAAGGGAAGACAAAGGACGTGAGTACTGTAGATATAGGTAGGTATGCAGCCCTAGTTATGGAAAATAAGGAGGTTATATTCTGATTACTTCTGTTTTCTTATTTAAAAAAAAAAAAGCTAGATCATTAGCTTAGACTGAAAAGGGGATGAGGGTGAGGTGGGAGGTTGGGAAGAAGGTTGAAGTGGTTATTCAGGAGAATGGACAAAGGAACTGACCAGAAAAATGGATAAGGCTTGCTGAGTTACATGGTCCTAAATTAAAGCAAGACTATTGAGTATGGTTATGGTTTTTTCTAGTCATATTTAAACAGGTGAAAAGTAAACAGAATACTGCCTTTAGCCAAATTAGGCAAGTATGACAGAGGGAGACAGGGGTGAGAGAGTTAAGTGGTTAAGCAAATGAGTGGTTATAATGATAAACCGTGGAATTCATAGATAAAAATGAAAGTAAAGAAATGTAGTGGACTTAATTGATGACTGGGAGGTCTTTATAGGTCAAATAATTGGTAGAATTTAAACTAGAAGAAGTGTGGCAGAAAGACCATAGAATGGGAAACTTGAGTCAAGGTTTTGGAGGTGGTGCCATTATTAATAATTGGTGGCTGAACTGTGACAGAGGAAAAGACAAAGAAAAAGGGGAATCAAGAAGCTGAGAGGTCAGACTTTTGGATGAGCAATCTACATGGATGTTGAAGTCTCCCATGATGATTATAGAGATAGGCAGTAAACCAATTGCTAACTTTCAATGAATAAATGATCAAAAGAGAATAGCCACAAAGATTCGGCATAAGTGCTACAAAAAGGGTAAATAGGTAGTGTAACTGATGACATTTGCTAAGGAAGCTGGAAGGTTTAGGGAAAAAGAAAAAGCGACGGTCAGCTAGCAGCAATGAAAAATCAAGGACACCTACCCCTTTGCTAGGTCCTATAACATTGGGGTATCATGTTAATGGGGAATTTCTTCTCTCCTTCCTAGCACTGTTCTTCTACCCTTCTCCCCTGCTCACTCATCTTCCCAGACGACCTGTTCACAGCTGAGCACAGGAGGAAAGGGAATTTAGGGAAAGATCTTACTTTGCTGGTACCTTTGAGACATCTGGAGACTCTTTTAGGGGTTTTTTGCAGTTTGGGAAACTGGGAAACTCCAATGGAAATTTTTATGATGTGGGTGATGCCTTTCCTCTGGCCTGGCCATATATGACTCCAACTCCTGAAACCTTGCATCCAGAGACAGGTCTTGTATACATTCCTGTTAGAGCCCCTACTGCCCTCCCAATGGCCCTCGTGGACAAAGTCCCTTGGGCGAAGTCTACATTCCATGCTGGTTTTCCCAATGCCCATATCTGCTGTATGGGAAACATTCCTGAAAGCTTGCCCCTGCCAGTGGTGGAAGTGGCACCTACCCCCAAAGCAATTATCTTCCTCTTTGTTCTGCTTCCTGGGGTCGAAAGCTTGCTGCAACTTCCTGCCTTTAGATCTCATATTCCTGAGTCTACTAGTAGTCCATTTTGTCCCTTCAACCCTCAGAACACATATCAAGTTCTAAAGGTGAAGACCTTCACACCAAGCCTGAAGTAATCTCAAAGCATCATCCCTCTCATTCTCCAGAGATATTTTTTTCTTTCTCCTTGAGTGTTCACTCTTTCAAACACTCCAGGAGAGTGATGGACTAAGGGATCAAAATATAATCCCTTAATATTCTTATACTCGTTGTTCTTTTTGTCTTTGTTTTTCTTTGCTTTTCTTTGCAGAGACAAGTGAACATTTATTTTTGGTCCTTTCTTCCTATGTGTATTTCAAATCTTTTTCAAAACAAGGCCCCAGGAATCTCCAGATTCAATTATGTCCCTGGGCTTGGTCAACCACTGCAGGAGTCTTAGGGAGCCTTGTACAAATGCTAGAGTTACTCATTTACCAACATTAAACCCTAGGGTAGAAGATGCACCAAAGCAGGACTCCTTCTTCCATGGAATGTGCTGATTTCAGACGAGATGGCAGCCAATGTAGAAAATGCTGGAATTTTTCCTTGGAACTGGATTGTGATGAGAGGTGCTTGCCATGAACATAAACTACTATCTTTTCTTTGACCCTTCCTTTCCAGTTTTTGAAGATAAAGCAGGAAATAATCTTCTCTGAAGATACTCAATAAAAATTCCAAAAAAAAACAGAAACACGTGCTTCCACTTCACTGATAAAAATTTACTGCAGTTTGGCACCTGGGTCTAGTTAAGCAGGCAGATGAGCTGATTGATGCATTCACCCCAATAGCCAGGTGTGCCCATCTCCTTGAGGAAGCCCACTCTATTTTTGGTACCATGACGGGCCACTGAGAGAGCACAAGAACCATGAGATCTCCTAGAAATGCTTCCCTGGGAAGGCAATTTCATGAATGAGATCTTCCAAGCAAATGACACCAAACTTCCCCAGATGCTCCTCAATAACTGTGTTGGCTGTCAGAGGGAGGGTCTTATTCTTGACCTTGGCTTGTCCATGTTTCAAAATGAGTTCCAGGACAGACATCAGATTTGGAAATCCCCAGGTCACATAAGGTTCCACCATACGCAGCATTTTTAGGTTCTGGGGAGTGACTTTTACAAAGACACCACTAAAAATTTTCTTTAGGCAAAGTCTTGCAATGGTTCTCTGCACCAGTAAACTCACACCATCAATCCTTTCCATGCGTACAACAAAGCCAAGGAATGTTTATCGGGCAATTCCAAGGCATGAGATTTCACTTCTAGTCATCTGAGACACACCTTGTCATGTTTCTGCTGCCAGAAATCATGTAGGAATGATTCCAGTCGCTTAAACCTGAATCCTTTTCCTTTCCTCTGCTCCTTCTTTGCCAAAAGTGCCTCCTTTGCCTGGGTGGCTTTGAGAGCTTGATAAACCTTCCCCTTTTTCAGGAGATTTTCTGGAACCAAAGAGATTTTTCTTTGCTCTTGCTCCGCCATCTTTCTAGTGCTGCAGCTACTGCTTTTTGAGATGGAGTCTCGCTCTGCTGCCCAGGCTGGAGTGCACTGGCACAATCTCAGCTCACTGCAACTTCTGCCTCCTGGGTTCAAGCAATTCTCTTGTCTCAGCCTCCCGAGTAGCTGGGACTACAGGTACGAGCCACCATGCCCAGCTAATTTTTGTATTTTTAGTAGAGATGGGGTTTCACCATATTGGTCAGGCTGGTCTTGAATTCCTGACCTCAGGTGTTCCACCTGCCGCCTCCCAAAGTGCTGGGACTACAGATGTGAGCCACCATGGCCAGCCTCTTATATTCTTACTATGAGAATATTTTTGGCCATTCCCTCCAAGAGTTCTGCAAATGGAGTCCAGCACCAAACTTTGAAACACGGGGAAAGGTGGCACCTAGTGTTTTATCCTTAGCCTTAGGAACCTCTCCAGATACACAGAGAGGAAGAGTTCGGTATTAATACGCTGCTACATTAGTAACTAATATTCTCATCCTTCTTCACTCCTAACAAAATTTAGATCTTGTTAATAATTTAGGCCGGGCGCGGGGGCTCACGCCTGTAATCCCAGCACTTTGGGAGGCCGAGGCGGGCGGATCACGAGGTCAGGAGATCGAGACCATCCCGGCTAAAACGGTGAAACCCGTCTCTACTAAAAATACAAAAAATTAGCCGGGCGTAGTGGCGGGCGCCTGTAGTCCCAGCTACTTGGGAGGCTGAGGCAGGAGAATGGCGTGAACCCGGGAGGCGGAGCTTGCAGTGAGCGGAGATCCCGCCACTGCACTCCAGCCTGGGCGGCAGAGCGAGACTCCGTCTCAAAAAAAAAAAATAATAATAATTTTTACTTCCCAAGGTTTATAAATCTTGGATTTGGTTCTATAACTCCCACAATAAAAGGACTACCAGTGCTTTTTCTTTTTTAAGCTTTTTAATTCCTCAGGAGGGAGGGGTGTTTAATTTCTTGGTTGGCTGGATTTCATTGTCAGTTAGGTTGTTTTGTTCACATATGCTTTACTCACATTATGTCTGAGAAAGACCTTTGCTCAGATACTCAAAAGATATCTTGACTACATGCACTACTCACATGTCATATTTTCTTCTGCTCAACACCTTACAGATATTGCTCCATTGGCTTCCAACTCTAAATGATCCTCTAGTCCTTATATAGTGGACTCTCCTTTTATGAATTGGAGAAATCAATGACCGCCTTGATTTTACAGCTGAACAGTAGGTATTCATGTTCTTGTTTTCTCCCAAGTAAAGCTCATATGTGCTATAATTCTCATTGGAGTATTTCCCACATATGGTCTTCATATGCAAGAGATGATTATATTGGTAGAAAATCATTGGGTCAAACCCTCTTTTCCCTTGAACTTTAGACATTGTTCCATTGTATTCTGGCATTGAATATTGCTATGAAAAAGTATTAGGTCAGCAAGATTTTGTTCATTTGTAGGTATCCTGATTTTTCTGCCTAGGTACTTGAAGAGATCTTTCTTCTTTTCAAAAAGGTTTATAAGACATACATGCCACCAAAAATCATATGAAAAAAAGCTCAACATCACTGATCATTAGAGAAATGCAAATCAAAACCGCAATAAGATTCCACCTTACACCAGTCAGAATGGCTACTATTAAAAAGTCAAAAAATAACAGATGCTGGCGAGGTTAGGGAGAAAAAGGAATGCTCACACACTGTTGGTGGGAGTGTAAATTAGTTCAGCCATCGTGAAGGACAGTGTAGTGATTCCTCAAAGACCTAAAGACAGAAATACCATTCAACCCAGCAATCCCATTGCTGGGTATATACACAAAGGAATATAAATTGTTCTATTATAAAGACACATGGATGCCAATGTTCACTGCAACACTATTCACAATAGCAAAGACATGGAATCAACCTAAATGCCTATCAACGATAGACTGGATAAGAAAATGTAGTACATATACACCATGGAATACTATGCAGCCATAAAAAGAATGGGATCATGCCCTTTGCAAAGACATGGATGGGGCTGGAGGCCATTATCCTTAGCAAACTAACACAGGAACCATAAACCAAATGCTGAATGTTCTCACTTACAAGTGGCAGCTAAATGATGAGAACACATGGACACATACAGGGGAACAACACACACTGGGGCCTATTGAAGAGTGGAGGGTAGGAGGAGGGAGAAGATCAGGAAAAACAACTAATGGGTACTAGGCTTAATATCTGGATGATGAAATAATCTGTACAACAAACCCCCATGACACAAGTTTACCTGTGTAACAAACCTGCACATGTACCCCTGAACTTAAAATAAAAGGTAAAAAATAATTATTTAACAACGTATGTTCAGTAAATTCTAATGTTCTGCATCCGCATTCTATATCATTTTGTCAATATTTCCTGAAACATGGTGGGTTCTTTCAATATGCATATTAGATTTTTACTTATTTCAAGGAAAATTTTATTCTATCACAACTTTGGCTATATTTTTTGGTGTCACTTGTTTCTATGTCATTTATTCTATAGTTTCTTGGACATAATTTATTTTGTTGGATGATGTTGGATCATCTTTATTAATCACTTATATCTATTAGTCCTTCTTGAACTGCTATTCTCTCTTGATTATTCTCTGCATTCAATCGAGCCTTTCTTCTATGTTAGCAATTCAATTTTCAGCTATGGCCATTCTAATCCTTGAAAATTCTAATTTAGTTATAAATTATGTAATGCAGTTGGGTGTTTTTGTTTCTCTGCATTCCTCTTTTTTATCTTATACTGTTTTTCTTTTTAAATCTGTTGTCAAACACTTATTTAATAAAATTCATAGTTTTATTAAGCTCTTCAGAGTAAAATACTCTCGGGTAATCTTTCCCATAAGTTGTCCTCTTTTGCAGACTGTTTATCAGTCTTTAGTGTGCTAGATTGATTTTACCTTTTCCTGTACTATTTTAATAAAACCATTATTTTTATTGTTAATAGTTACTGAATGGTTCTCTGTGTGCCAGACCCTGTTCTCTGCAATTTCCATATATTAATCCTCTAATTATTATAACACAACCCTGTCAGGCAGATACAATTATTTGCTCCATTTTAAAGGTGATGAAACTGTACGTTTGAATAATTACTATGATGTTTCTTTTCATTTTGCTCAGGCTTATGTGGGCACTTTCATCCACACCTTTTCCTTGCTATAGTTTAGTACAGATGAGTTTTCTTTGGTACCATGTTCACCTTAATATTATACCTGCTTATCTTCCCTTTCCAACTATAGTCTGGGGACTCAGAGTAATGTGTCCTATTATTTCTATAACCATAGAATTTGGAAAGAGGGGGAGAAAGACAGAACTCCCCCTTCAAAGGTTATATAAAATGTCCTGGGTTTGTTACCCTTAACTAAAAATGCTCTATTAGGTCTCTAAGTTCAGGAAAAAGCCTTGAAAAAATGAATATTCCTACATTTTTTCTCTGCATTAGATGCCATCCTAGGATGCTGCAGTGACTGGAACTGAAGCTTTTTCTCTTGAGGATTTTCCTTTATGTTTCCTCCAAGTAGCTCACTTACCTCCTTAGTGTATTTCTTCTGAAATTTGGGATTTAAGGGGAAATTCTCAAGACGTGTTAACAAGTCCATCTTCCTTCCCCCATGCAGCTTTGAGGTGGGGTAGAGGCTATGTTAAGACCCACAAGGAATCTTTCCAGTAAGGTTGATTTCTTTCTTAGGACCCCATTTTTAAAGTTAGGACACTAAATGGTATCCCTTCCTGCTTTCCTTTTTTATTATTTTCTATTTTTAATTTATGTGATCAGGTAATAGGGAGTTTCTATGACCTGGATTCATCCTGCTATCTTTACCGAAAACTTGACTGGTACTTTATGACATTAAATAAATATATCTGGTAACCAATGTTTGCTTTTCCCCAGAATAGAATATTTCCATTTTATCATAAAACACTTGTACATGTATGGCATTAAAGTACTGAGATTCAACTACAAGACAAGTCTTATGTTTTGTTTCATTTTTTATGTCTATTCTATGGACTAAGTATCACCTGAAAAAACACAGTCTTCAGAAGCTTTTAGCAGTTTTCAGACTAGGGGACTTCTAGAATTTTCCTCCTTTTTGTATGGTTACATTGGTAAAGATGTTTTAGTCATAGAATAGTTTCTGGACATAGTCTTCCTACAATCTAAGAATAGAAGTTGATCCTTTAAAATCAGACTTAGAAAAATAAACAAAAATTTACAAAAATAAAATCACACACAGGAACTTTAACTTTTACATTTTTGTGTAAAATGAATACGCAAAAAGTCTCAAAAGAAAAATGTTCCCATTACATATGTTTTAAGTGGATTTCTCCCCTTGGAAGCCACCTCTGAGGAGATATTTTTAAAATATTTTAAAATATAGCTTCTACAGTGTTTTTCCCAACTGCTAAGTTGAGACCTGATTCATACTTCTGATTTTTCTCTTTGGGACGGGAGAAGGGGGGATAGAAATGATGATTAATTACAAAAGAACCACTTCCGCAAAGCCACAGCAGGGGGAGGGCAAAAGCAGATGCCTTCTGATTCACTTTGAAAAGGAGATTTGCTCATCTTCCTTCTTTGGCTTGTGTTTTTGGCTTGTGTCTGTCATTCGGCCCCCAACTGGGATGTGTTTTTACATTCATTTTGTCTTTAGAAAAGATATATCCAATCAAAAAGTTTAAGCTGCTCTTGACATTAATAAAGCTGATGAAGATAAAAAAGGAAAACCTACTGTCTTAGTCTGTTTCCTGCGGCAATAACAGCACAGGGCTCACTGTATTACCAGGGTCAGGGCTCAGTGTGTGACCAGGATTGGGGTTCAGTATGGACCAGGGTCAGGGCTCAGTGTGTGACAAGGGTTGGAGCTCAGCCTGTGATTATGACCAGAGTTCCATCTGGAGCTGCTCTCATAAGCTAATGTTTTCAGGGCCTTGGCTTCCCCTTAGAGCAAGATCACAAGGGCTCAGGGACTGCCTGCTGAGAGCAAGGTAAGGTAATCCTTAAGAGAATGGGCTGTGGAATAAGACAGGCTGGTTCAAATCCTGACTCACTACTTGCCAGCTCTCACCTTGGGCGATGTCCTGAGCCTCTAAACCTTGCATTGCTCACCTGTAAATGAAAATAAGAGGATGCACATGTGTTAGTTCATTTGTGCTGCCATAGCAGAATACCTGAGACTGAGTAACTCACAAAGAACAGGAATTTATTCTCTCAGAGTTCTGGAGGGCTGGGAAGTTCAAGATCAAGGTGCTGGCATCTGGTGTAGGCTTTCTTACTGCATCCTCACGTGGCAGAAAGCAGAAGGGCAAGAGAGAGCTAACTCCCTTCCTCAAGGGCATCTAGTAAACTCATTTATGGGGGAGAAACACTCATGGGCTAATCACCTCCTAAAGCCTCTCATCATTTAATACTGTCACATTAGTAACACCTGAATGTGAGAGGGAATGTAGTCAAACCACAGCATCTAGGTATGTCGACTTATCCATTCCTAAGGCTTCAATGCCAGGGACTTGTTGCGTCTTTAAGCTACATCTCTCTCCTGAGCTCCAATGCCTATTCAACTTCTCCATGCAAAGGGGTCTCAAACTCAGCATGTCACAAACCAACCTCAGCTTTGGCCACACTCACACTCATCAAACTGCCCCAGATCTCTCCTTTTCTCAGTGGATAGCGTCACTTATGCCAATCACGAACTCAAGAATCAATCTTCACCCTTCCATCCCCTTCCGCAAGTCCAGTCAGGAAGCAGGTTATGTAATTCTACTTCTAAAACATCTCCCATGGGCATCCCTTTCTATCACTGTTGCTACTGCCATGCGTCAGGTCTCTTTATCTCTTGTCTAAGAGATCACAATATTCCAGTTAGTCCTGCGGTAGATGGTGTTTACCAAGGTAGCTGTGCCAATGTCTCCATCCCCCATGTCTTATGCAGTATGACCTTGCCTCCCCCACATCAAGAGGTGGAGTCTATTTCCCTTCTTCTTAAGTCTGAGCTGGCCCTGTGACCTATTTGACCTATTTCAACCCATAAAAGCAGCACGGTTGTAATGTGGAAGTAACTTCCAAGGTTGACCTTAAGAGATCTGCCTTTGCCACTTGGAATGCTCCCTCCTGGAAGTCAGGCCCTGTATAAGAAGTTCAACTGCCCCTAAACCACCATTCCATGAAGAATCCTAAGCAACTCTCTTCCCACTAGAGAGAGAGAGAGGCCATGCAGAGGAGCACTGGGGTGCCAGGCAGAAGGATGGAGCTTCCTCAGACCTTCCAGTCCAGCCCAGCCCAACCACCAGCTGAGCCACAGCCAAACCATGAAGAGCAGAACTTCCCAGTCCTGCTCTGCCTGGATCCCTGACCCAAAGCAAGTGAGGAGCAAATAAAATGTTATTGTATAAAGCCACTACATTTTGGAGTAATTTATTATACAGCAATTGATAACTAAGACAGTTCCTCTGCCTCTAGTCCTGCTACTCTAGATCCTTGCCATCTTGCCACCAGCACTGTGTTCCTGAACTCTGCTGGGATCATGCCACTGTCTTCCCTATAGAATCCATGCCAAGCTTCTTAACTCTTTGCTAAATATCCTTCTTAGTCAGCCCCCTTCTCTCCTGCCCAACTTCAGCTTTTGTGACTCCTTTTTTCACGCTTGCCTTTCCCAGTTCCCTCAAGGCCCCAGACATTCATCACCCCATGAGTTGTACCATGTGATCCTATATCCCTGAAATAGTCTTCCTTCATCCAAACTATACCTGGTATAAACCTAATGCCTCTGAAGTCTTAGAGGACCAATAGCTCTCAACTATGCAGCCCCTCTGCTAGCACCACTTGTCTACCGTCCCCTTCCTAGACCTGACCATATGCTGGAATCACTAGGATACACTGTTAACAACATACATTTCTCAACTTCTTCTCAACCTACTGAATCATCGCCTGTGGCTGAGGCCTACAAATATGGATTTTTGAGGCACTTCAAGAGTTACAGACACAGCACAGCAGAAACTGGTATTAGGGCTGATTTTGTATTGTAATTATTTGCCGAGTTGCCTCTTCTCACCACTAGGCTGCCGTTCCCATAGGGCAGTAACCACCCACTCATCTCTGTGTCCGTGGGTTTAGCCTCCTCCCCTATTGAGTACAGGAATGAAGGAGCGGCTTTCAGGAGGTCTGAAATGCAAGTCAGAAAGGCCAGGAAGTCAATGTCCTTCTTGAAGGAAGAAAGAAACCAAAGAAGCCAGGAACTGGACCTCAGTTCTTGTGCTCATCACCTGCAGCTCAGCACAGTACTTCCCACACTTGTCCCCTTAGTAAGCCCCCAGAGTACAGAGACCGCATCTGATTCATCTCTCTATCCCAGAGCCTGGTCTAGTGCTTGGAATATAATAACTGCCATAAAAATTGATGGAATGAATGTTTCTTGTAAGCCAAGAGGAAACAGACCAGTTCTGATGGAGGCTTCTCCTATGGTTGGTTTCAGGCCATGTCCCTCAGGCTTGGTCTTGGTAACACTGATCCTAGCTGTTCATAGACATTCCCTCCCACACTTCATCCAGTTCTGAAAGGGCTGGATGCCAGTTAAGTGTCTGCCCTGCATAAAAGATCTGCCTACAGCTACCTATGAACTCTTGTTTAATTTTCACTCACAAAATGCTTCCGTACATCTCTGTGTCTGAGGGTGCTGCGTCATTATATCAAATCCCATGACTATATCCAGAAAGGTTAATGTTTATTTCTTCTGTGGGGTTCCACCCTGAGTAGGCAACCTCTAGCTAAGTGTTCAAGAGAACAGTTACTGATTTATTAAGGATGGAATGAGACAAATAGAGGCATTAATGACACAAAATCTGCTGAAAGGGAAATCAAGTGATGTAGTGTTTTCCTGAACAAGACATACTCTCTTTGGCACTAAATATTCAAAAGGCAGTTAAGGAGCTATCAATTCACCGTAACTATTTATTTATTGAAATCAGATTTTGTATATTCTTACCCATCTTTACAGATTTTCTGTTAAAAAAATGTTTTTCTCAGAGATGTGTTTCTGGAGAACAATGAGAAAGATAGAGGTTTTGATTATGCAAAATCATTTTCATACTTTAACAAAGAGATCCAGAATTTAAATCGGAGTCAGCCCTACAGGGAGCTACATCAATAAACAAATAGTCCCTGATGCCTTTGAGGGCCCTGAAAATGTTTCATGCACTAGCTGGCAAGCAAACATGACCAGCCCTTTTCCTTTAATTTAAAGCCGTTTATCCGCTGGTGGGTTTGATATTTGTGTTGAGAGTGAACCGAAAGGCTGCCAGCCAGTGATGCTCATTAATTCAGAGCTTTCCTGCAGAGCTTCATTCCTGCTTTTCTGTAGCATGGGCTCCCAGGATTTCCTGCCAAATGGGACATGGCCTTGTCCCTGCACCCGCAGGCTTCTCAAAGAAGCTTGTTTTTCCCAGTGACGTCTCACACCTCAATCAGCCCATGGGACATGGCCTTGTCCCTGCACCCGCAGGCTTCTCAAAGAAGCTTGTTTTTCCCAGTGACGTCTCACACCTCAATCAGCCCAACTGTAGCATAACTGACTTTAATCGTGTAAAGTTTTTACTTTTCTTGAATCAGAGGTTCAACTCTCAGATTTAGTCCTTGAATTGAATAGCTGTGCAAGAAAGAAGCTGATGTGAATATCATGCACTTAGTTTCTATCTAATTGCATTTATTTAAAATATGTGTTTGTGAACCTGTCATATGCCAGGCACAGTTCTAAATGGTGAGGATACAGAAAGTAAGCAAAACAGACCATGTGCCTGCCTTCATAAAGTTTACATCATTTGTGAAGACAGACTATAAGTAGACAAAGAAATAAGATCACTTCATATGGTGAACTGTGCTATGAAGAAGATAAAACAGAGTAATGAGATAAAGAGAAGGAAGCGTCTCTGAAGATGTGATATTTGAGCTGGGATCTGAGTGTTGAAGAGAAGCCAGCTGTGCAGGAGTCTGGGGGAAGAACACTCCATGCAGAGGGAATGGAAAATGCAAAGGTGCTGTGGCTAGAACAAACTTGGAAGATTTGAGTGTTTGTGAAATAGAAAATAATAATAATTAATTATTATTATGTAAATATATTATGTGAGTATATTATTTATATTATTTAAATGATATATATTACATAATGTATAATTAATGTCATAATATAATAAATATGTTATTGTAATATAAACATAGTATTACATATATGTAATGTGTGAGCAGCATCATGCAATGCAGAGGGCATGGGGGGTATTCCCCCTGGAGCAGGTAAAATTATGAGGTTAAGTAACCATACATTGATAAGCTATATACAATGTCTTTATCTCTCCACTCAATTTAGAATCTCCAGTACATGTGTATTACTTGGAATGCCAGGTATAAGACAACAGCTATTTATTCATTTCACATTTATTCAATACTTACTTTGTGCCAGATGGAAGGCTAGAATAGGGATAAACAAACTTTTTCTGTAAAGATTGTGAGAGTGAATATTTTAGGCATTGTAGGCCACATAGGCTGTCTCTCACATACTGTTTTGTTCTTACCATGCTCTAAAAATGTAGAAACTGCTCTTAGCGTTAGGGCTGTACACAAAGAGCCTGCCGGTTAAGTTTCACCTGTGGGCTATAATTTGCCAACTCCTGGACTTAAGGTGAACAAGACATGTCCCTACCTTAAAAATGCTCTAAATCTAGTAGGGAAGAAGATAAGAAATTATAATACAGAGTGACAGAGAAGACTTCACAGCAGAATGAGAGGAAGGGAACTTCCTGCATTGTTATAAGGAAGGGCACTTAACTCTATATTGGAAAACCAAAGCATGCTTCCTACAGGAAGTGCCATCTAAGGTAATGAGTAGAAGCTGACCAGGTGAAGAGGGGAAGGTGAATATTCCAGGTTGAAAGCCAGCATTGGCAAAGGCCTGGAAATGAAAGAGACCACAGGACAAATTCTGGGAACTGCAGATCTCTTCATTATCTTTAAAATCAAGGGCTATAAACTCAAATTTCTATAGAGGCCAGGTGGGTACAAATCACAGAGTACATAAAGCAGGCTATGGAAGGAGCCACAGCTCAGCAAGAACACTGCTAATCTTGGTGCCAGTGGCAAGGACACAGTAGGAGGTGATGGAGACGGTGCCCTGTCTAAGGGGCAGCTGGTGCTTAGCTTCTGCCTACTGGGGATGTGGCCCAATGTTAGCAAATCTGATTTTTCAGAAGACAAAAGAAGATGTTGATAGCTTTGATAGTTTCGAAGTTTAAATATCTTTGAAATATTCCATATTGGCACTTGCCTGTAGTCCCAGATAGTTGGGAGAATTAAGTGGGAGGATTACTTGAGCCCAGGAGTTTGAGCAGTGAGCTGTGATCATGCCACTGCACTCCAGTCTGGGTGACAGAATGAGACCGTCTCAAAAAATGTATATATACATATATTAAATATATACAATTTTTTCAAAGATTGGTGATGCATTTTTATTCATTTTAACCACTGTGAAGAAACATGTCTGCACGCCAACTTTGTCCCGCTGGCCTCTGGTTTGCAGGCTCTGGGCTTCATCAAAAAGGACCAGAGATGAGACTAAAAGGGTCAGTCAGGGTCATGTATACTGGCTGATAAACAAAAAAAAGAAGAAGAAGCGGAAGAGGAAAAAGAAGGAGGAGGAAGAGGAGGAAGACCAGAGGAGGAGGAGAGAAGAAAAAGGAAAGGCTGGCCACTTCTCAGAGCTCAGGTGTAATTTGATGCTATGGTGCGTTGCATATTTTTTAAGGGAGAGGTCATGTGGATCAGCTAAGCTGTGAAAGTTGAACTTGTTTTTTTCACCAAATGAGTCTGTTCATTTATTCCTTCATTAGCAAATGTCTACTGCACACCAACCATGTGCCAGCTCCCTTCTAGGCATTTAGTGTACATCAGTGAACAAAGCAGACTGATCCTTGCCCTCAAAGAATTTCTGTTCCAGGGAGTGAGAGGTGGTAGAGGAAGACAAAAACATTAAACGTAAATACATAAATCAATGTTTTAGGAGATGATAGGTTTCATAGAGGAAATAAGGGAAGGCATGAGGGATAGAGAGGAGGTGGAGAGGAACATGTAGTTGCAACTTGAAATAGACGAGTCAGGGCAGGCCTCCTGGAGAACAGAATTACAGATGAGGGAGTTGGCCATGCAGATATCTGGATCAGCATTACAGCAGAGGGAACAGCCAGTGCAAAGGCCCTGAGGACCGAGTGTGCCTGGTGTGTTGGAAGACCTACTAGGAGACCATGTAGCTAGAGGATAAACAGGGGGAGAGCAGTAATAGCAGCAGTAACAGTGGAAGGTAGAAAAAATAGTATTGGCTAACTCCTGCAGCTGTGTGCATATCTGTCAGAAGAAGAAAACCTCCATCACCCACAAAAGCCTCTCTATAAAGATACCGTCTCCAGCAACTGTTCCAAGGAGGCTATCAGCTTCCAGGCAGGCCCCAGGGCACTCTAGCCTAAGCCTGACACCTCGGAATCCTAGATTCCTAGACCAGTCAGTGGTCCTCAAACTAGGGAAGGCACATCTCTAGGGGTTGTTGGAGACTTTCTAAGGGATACCTGGACATGGACGGGCTAAAAGGAATCATCGCCCAAGCACTCAGCCTCTGTGTAATCTGTACTAAAGCTGATCTGCCAAAGAATGACCCCCTTGCTCACCAACCCTTTGTCCACTTGACAAAAGAAAAGTAAAAGCACGCCCATCCTCAGTCTCACTACGAGGCATTGTCGAAGGTTTAAAAGCCTCCAGAGCACCCAGCAGGGGAAAGCCCCTCAGTGAGTCACTGCAGCATCAGATCCTTGGGGCTTCCGGCTTTCCTGCTTACTTATTTTCCTGTTGGGGTGCAGGAGTGTTAGGCATGCAGCCTCCTTGGGATGTTTTGAATTAGGTAAGAGTAGAGAGCAGTAGTGGGAGTAATAACAATTTTTGTTTAAAGACTTTGCCTCTCCTGTCCCCAGGCTATTGTCAAAGAACACATTGCTCTTAAGGGAGAATCTTGTTAGAGCAAAACAGACAATGCCGGCAGAGAGAGGGAATTTTACAATCTGCCTCTTTCACATATTTAAACATAGGCAATCGCCTGGCAAGGTGGCTACAACTCCACCTGCCAGCCGCCATGCTTTCCATGAACTCCACCGTGTTACTTGGTCCAGATTAAGGAATAAGCTTTTGTGGAGAGGAGAATATTCACAAGGCCTGAGCCAATAAGGGAAGAGGGGCCAGGCTCCCAGGCTCCTGTGGGCCAAGGCCTGGGGATTCACTGGTCAGACAGCCCATGTCTACCTTCCAGGGGAGGAGTTGTGTCTGGGACTGGGTCATTTTATAGAGCATCCGTAAGAAAGCAGCCTTGCCCATGGGGGACAGGTTGTTTGGGGCTTGGCATTTGGCTCTGATGTGCCAGCTGTTTACTGGGGTTGTCTGGCCTGCAAGCCGGCCAGCACCTGGGGCCTTGTAAAGTCCAGCTCTGTCTATCCGGGAAGGAAGCCACCAATCCCTATACCTCCCCAGGAACTAAATAGCAGGGACAGGGAACCCCCGTTCTCTTTCTTTGCTCATTTCAGATTTCTCCTTCCCAATAAAGCTCCTAAACCCATACCACGGGACACTGTGGAATTTGTTTAGAGCCCTGAACATTGGAAGTGGTGACCCCTAAGGGACCCAACAGCCCCTTGCAGATGAACACTGCAGAGAGAAACCCTGCATGCTGAGGTTATGGCCTTTTGGAAAGAGCAGAAAAGATGAAGTAGGTTATTCCAGGGATGGGACATGTGCCCCATGGAGTAAAAGATGTCACTGGGATAGCAATCAGGCTTAGTTGGACCACTTCAAATGGAGCATGACATTGGAAGAATAAATGATCAGGTGGCTTTCGTGTCTAAAAGTCAACACAGCCCTGGAGGGGAAGTCATCCAGCACTGGGGGATGGTGGCTGGGGGCTGCGTGGTCTGCCAAAGGCACCAATATCCTCCCACCTCACTATGGGTCATGGGTGTCTAGGAATCCCCTCCGAGATTGCTAGCAGGGTTGCAGCAGCCTAACACCTTAGAAATCACCCAGGAGTTTGGAGAGGTCTGGTATAGATAGGGATGTAACAACACTTAAAAAAATTAGGGTTCCCTGTCCTTCAGTCAAACCACCACCACAGGAGCAATGGCTGGATGCAGATATGAGTTTGCATCCAAAGAGTCAAGTAAATCTGCAGGCAGGCAGGCAATAGGGAGGGGTGACCCAGGGCCCTGCTGCAGAGCACATGGCTGGACTGATCCCAGGAGGGGTGGGGGACACTCGTGCCTTCTGGAAATAGGTGTCTGGGAGCAAAGAGTTCTCCAAAATGCTGAGTCCTCTGGGACACAGCCTGCCAAGTAGGATGAATCTCTGTCTGGAATGGAGGGGTGGGAGGAAGAATGGGTTCTGGGCTTTGGGCCAAGTTCGTGGGGAGCTGGCCAGCCACTGAGTCCCAAACGGGACTCAGAAAGTTCAGACTGAAGTGAACAGAGTTAGATGAGATAGGAAAATTAAAGCAATTGTTAAGGAAAGAAAACATTCAGAATTTTAAATATTCAAGGAGCAGGAGGAAATCATGTAATGAATTGGGTGAGGAGCTTCTGGAGGGGAGGACCCAGCTCTCCCTAGAGGTCAGGGTCCATCCTCCACAACCCCCTTACTCAGAGCTGCTCACAGATATTGTTGACAGCATCTGGCGCCACCCCCATCAGGTACCAAGGGTCCCTCTCCCCTGCTGAGTCTGTTCAGACATGGGGCACTGGGGCTTCCGAGTCCCTCTCCCCTGCTCTGAGTCCGTTCAGACATGGGGCACTGGGGCTTCCCCGCCACCTTCATCCAAGTGAGGCATTACACCAAAAATCAGAGGAACCTCAGATATTCAAATGTTCAGCATTTTTCACCTCCTATTAGCCAAAGAGAAAATTATAGCATAACTTCCAGACTGATTCATTTTTTAGCAATTGGATATTGTTCTCTTTCACTTACCATATAAGGAAAGTTTGATCATGCTGTTTCATAACATTGATGGAGTTATTACTCATCTTTATATTTGACTCTTAATTATTCTCCAAAGCAGAAGAACAATGTTTGATACATGCACGCATCCATATTTAGCAGATCTAGTTTACAGAAGTCCTTTGACATACATATAACAGTGACCTATACAAATTCAGAACAGAGGAGCTACATATGGATTTATGATCTTGTTCTTATTAATATTGTGAAATGGATAAATCACATTAGTGCTGCATCATTTTAACCTTGACTTGACTGATTTTATTATCTATCCTACAAGATGGGTTCCATAATTTTTTGCCAGTAGTATTTATAATAGTCCTTGAAATGCTTATTAACGTGTTTGGTTGAATTGAAAAAACAATGTCAGATTTTTATCTTAAGGGAAAATAAGAATTATTTGTCTGATTGGTTTTACAGTAAGGATTGACTTTGCCAAGTAGATTATATGGAAGTTACTTTTCACATATTTAATAAACCAAACCTATAGTTCCAGGATTTTGATGAGAATACATTCAAAGCACATGATAACAGAAAAGCACTATATAAAAGTAGAAGGAAATTAATAACATTGATCTTTTCCAACAATTTAAAAAATACGTCTGATTAAACAAGGTGCCTCTAAGAAAAAGAATAGCTGGGATTATTAACAGTTAATTGACAGTATTGTAAAAGCCTTTTCTGTATACCTCCCAGGAATTGAAATAGGGAATCAGGCTCTAATGAATGAACAACAAGTCAGGCGGTTCCCAACTCTTTGTTCTTAACAAAATTAAAAATAATCTTGATTATAAATCTGTGTATAATTTTTGACAAATAACTCAAAAGGTAGTCAAACAATCAAGTGATGGTGATATAGCAAATTTCCATTTCTGTGTACTTTTTTATGTGAACATATTTTCTCAGTGCTAACATCTATTAAAAAAAGAGTAGTGATAATACAGATGTTGAAATCTGCTTCATTGCATAAATGTCATATTCATACAGAGACATATGAAATAATTAGGATAATGCCTCATCATCTCATTAACAAATGTATTTCCAATAAAAATTACTTATGTTTAATACAGTCATGTATCACTTAACGCCAAGGATATGTTCTGAGAAAGGCATCGTTGGTTGATTTTGTTGTATGAACATCACAGAGTGTAGTTACACAAACCTAGATGTATAGCCTACTTCACACCTAGGCTATATGGTAAAGCCTATTACTCCTAGGCTACAAACCTGTACTGCATGTTAGTGTACTGAATACTACTGCAGGTGATTGTAACATAATGGTAAATTTTTGTATATCTAAACATTGAAAAGGTACAGTAAAAATACAGTATAAAAGGTTTTTAAATAGTACACTTGTCTAGAGCACTTCCCATGAGCGGAGTTTGCAGGACTAGCAGTTGCTCTGGGTCAATCAATGAGTCGTTAGTGAATGTGAAGGTCTAGGACATTTCTGTACACTGTTGCAGAATTTATAAACATAGTACATTTAGGCTTTATTTTAAAATATGTTTTTTCTTCAATAATAAGTTAACCTAAGCACACTATAACATTTTTACTTTATGAACTTTTAAATTTTTTCAACTTTTTGACTCTTTTGTGATAACACTTAGCTTAAAACACACATTGTACAGCTGTACAAAACATTTTCTTTTTTTTTTTTTTTTAGACAGTCTCACTCTGTCACCCAGGCTGGAGAGTACAGTGTCATGATCTCATCTCACTACAACCTCTGCCTCCTGGGTTCAAGCGATTCTCCTGCCTCAGCCTCCTGAGTAGCTGGGATTACAGGTGCCCGCCACCACGCCCAGCTAAGTTTTGCATTTTTAGTAGAGATGGGGTTTTGCCAAGTTGGCCAGGCTGGTCTCGAACTCCTGACCTCAAGTGATCCACCCACCTCGGCCTCCCAAAGTGCTGGGATTACAGGCGGGAGCCACCGACCCAGCCAAAACATTTTCTTTCTTCACATTCTTATTCTATAAGCTTTTTTTAATTTTTAAAAATATTTTTAAGTTTTTTTACTTTTTAAACTTTTTCTTATTAGAAACTGAGACACAAACACATGTTAGTTTAGGCCTACACTGGGCCAGGATCATCAATATCACTGTCTCCCACCTCTATATTTTGTCCCACTGGAAGGTCTTCAGGGGCAATAACATGCATGGTGCTGTGTCATCTCCTGTGATAACAATGATTTCTTCTGGAATCCCTCCTGAAGGATCTGCCTAAGGCTGTTTTACATTTAACTTTTTTTTAATTCTACTTATTACTCATTCTACTTAAAAGTGCACTCCAAAATAGCAATAAAAAGTATAGTATAATACATACATAAACCAGTAACATAGTTGTTTATTACCATTATCAAGTATTATGTACTGTACATAACTGTATGCGCTTTACTTTTCTTTTTTGGAGACAGAGTCTTGCTCTATTGCCCAGCCTGGAGTGCAGTGGCATAATCTCAGCTCATTGCAACCTCCACCTCCCGGGTTCAAGCAATTCTCCTGCCTCACTCTCCTGAGTAGCTGGGACTACAGGTGCACGCTGCCATACCCGAATAATTTTTTTGTATTTTTAGTAGAGATGGGATTTCACCATGTTGTCCAGGCTGGTCTCAAACTCCTGAGCTCAGGCAATCCGTCCGCCTCGGCCTCCCAAAGTGCTAGGATTACAGGTGTGAGCCACTGCGCCCGGCCTGTGCTTTAGTTTTATACATCTGGCAGTGCAGTGGATTTGTCAAAACCAGCATCATCACAAACATGTGAGTAATGCATTAGGCTACAACATCAAGATGGCTGTGTCCCTAGGTGACAGGAACTTTCTGGCTCCATTCTAATTCTATGAGACCACAGTTGTATATGCAGTCTGTCAATGACTAAAATGTCATTATACAATGCATGATTCTAAAAATTCAATATATGTTTTTATTTTTGATCAACTATGTGCCAATAATAATTATAATTACAACCTATTACAGAAGACTATTTTTAGCCCTTAAAGCCTTATGGTCACAGAAAAGAAAACAAATTTTAAAATTTGAATTTATAAGCCATAATCTTATTATGATAAGTATGATAGAGTGATCAATAAAAAGTTTTCAAGCATAAAACATATGTGCATTAATATAAAATCCTGTGGGAAAGTGGAATATAATATCATGGATAAAGGGAAATATAAAATTTTAAAATGTTGAATAAAAAGAGTTTGTAGAGTTCTTAAGTGGATGAAGGGGGTCTCATATGAGTATGGCATTTAAATTCCAATGGATACTTTTTTAAATTTTAAATTCTCTCTTTAAAACTACCATTTTTTATGACATATACCATATATATATATACCATATATACCATAATTTTTATGAAATATTAGAAATCATATCCTTTGCAACTATTTAAATAGAAGATTCAAACTTTTAGATATCAACTTTAAAATGTGCATTGAATCATAGTTTTTCAAAAAGTTGTTTAGAGGTACATGAGCAAAAAATGTTCGAAGAACACTATCCTACTTAGACCATTAGAACTTGAAAGACCGTAAGAATCAAGTAATCCAGCTCCAGCACATTTTCCCCAGCACCATTTTACAAATGAGAAAACTGAGCCCAGGGAGAAACAGAGTGAGTCTCTCACTACCACAACTCCAAGGCAGGCAGCTGGTCAAATCCAGTGTCAGCTGAAAATTCCGGCTTTGACCTCCCCTCCAGTGATCATTCCTACACTATGCTGAAGAGCAACAAATACTCTCACAAGTGGTCAGTACCTATGGCAAATGCCACCCTTGCCACACTTGACTGCCCCCACTCTCTTTTCCATTCCCTCAGCATTTCATGCGGCTCCCTATCCAACTATCACAGATGGGCGACAGCTTTCGGCTCTTGCTGACATTATCAAAATCACTGGGGCTGCTATGACAGAAAGGACAGCCAGGAGCCTGGAAAGACAATAGGAACAGACAGAGAGGAAGATAGGCGTCCGTGAGAGCGGCACCAAATGAAGATACAACCGAGACGAGACAGAGAGGAGGACATTGACTACACCTGCTCCATGCCCAGCCTCACACAGAGCTGATTACAGCTTAGCCAAGTGTGGGGCTGGAGGCAGCTAGAGTTTCCTTAGTCATTCAGTCTCTGTCCCATTCAATAACAGTTCTTTGGGTTCAGGAACAGGCATGGAAGCATTTACTGGGGCATGACACTTGGGACCACAAAGACGGTAGGGCAGGAGAAAATGTCCAAGCCTGAATAACTAGAGATCAGTGCCTTTAAACTTGCAAAGGGGTATAAATTACATGCACTGATAGCCAAGTCATGATGTTTCAGTCCTTATTAAACTTGATTTTAGAATCTCAGTTGATTGGTCACCATAAAAAGTATGTTGCCCTTGGGCATTAATAGCGTGCTACAGTTGTATCCTGAATTTTAAGGCTTAAGTCTTAAATTGTAAAGGAGATTAATACACTTGGTATTTTTAAGTCAAAAACAACGTAAATATAAAATAAAACTTTTTCATAAACTATTTAATAAGTCAAACCAAGCATGATATTTTAGAATAATATATTGCTGCTATTTTATTTAAAACATTTATATTCATCAAAGATAAATTCAAAGACCGAAACAAAAAATGACAGCATCCAAATAACTTTCGCTGACATTTTAAAAGTAACCGTAATATAAATAAGAGATGGAAAAGATAAAGTATAGACTGGGAGAAAAGACTTGCAAATCATACATCTGACAAAAGACTTCTATCCAGAATACACAAATAATCCTCAAAACGCAACACTAAGAAATCTAGAGTAAGTCGGGAGTTTAGTGAATCACAATGAACTGATGTTGATTTCTTAAGTTTTAACAGATATGCCAAGGCAATGAAATATGTTACCAATAGTAGAAACTGGGTGAGAGTTACGTGGCAACCCTCTGGAGTATTTCTGCAACTTTTCTATAAATGTAAAATTGTTCCAAAATAAAATGTATTTAAAAACTCAACAAAAATAAAATAAACAACCAAATTTTAAAAATAGACAAAAAACTTGAATGGACACTTCACCAAAGAAGAGCTGTGGATGACAGGCACGTCAAACAATGTTCAGGATATCAGTGAAAATAGAGTAAGGACCTCTGAAAATTATTTTCTCCCTAAAAGCCACAAGACCACAGGCAAAATTTGTCTACATCAAAATTTTAGGACTTGGGTTATTAACTAGAGGCTTGCAACAATCTGAAGAGTATTTATTTTATTTAAAAAAAAAGAGATGGATCTCATTAAAAACAGTGAACTTTATGGTATTTAACTTGCCTTCTATCGAACCACCACCACACTATCCCAGTTCCATAGTTCCCTTGAAAACCATCAGCCTGAAACCACAGCTTTGAGGATTAAACAACACACTTTTAAATAAAGCATGGGTCAAAGAAGTCTCAAAATAAATTTTAAAATATGTTTCGTTAAATGAAGATGAAAATAGAACTTACCGAAATGTGTGTGATGCAGTGAAAGCAGTGCTTCGGATAACATTCATAGCATTGAATGCACATACTGGAAAGGAAGAAAAATCTAAAATCAGTAATCTGAGCTTCCACTTTAAAACTAGAGAAAGAAGAGCAATGTGATCCTAAAGCAAGCAGAAGAAAGTAAATGATAGAAATTAGAGCAGGAATCAATGAAATTAGAAACCGTGATCACAGATCATGCAGAAAATGCCAATAGAAAAATTAATAAAACCAAGTCTGATTCTTCAAAAGATCAATAAAATTGACAAACCTCTAGCTAGGCTAACCAACATAAAATGAGAGAACACATAAATTGTTAATATCAAAAATGAAAGAGAACTCATTGCTTCTTATCCCAGGGATATTAAAAGGATAATAAAAGAATATTATGAGCAACCCTATACCCACACATTTAATAGCAAAGATGAAATGCAACAATTCCTTGAAATAGGCAAACATACAAAAAGAAATATATGATCTTAATGGGCTTATATCTATTTTTAAAACACAATCAATAATTAACCTTCCAAGCTAGAAAGCACCAGGCCAATATCGTTTCACTGCTGAGTCATACTAAATATTTAGGGAGGAAATAGTACTATTTATCTACAATCACTTCCAGAAGCAGAGGGAAACTTTCTAATACCCTAATAGCAAACCAGACAAAAACATTACAAGAAGAAATCATGCAATTGGTTATCTCTCATGAACACAGATGCAAAAACCCTCAACAAAATATAGCAAATTGAAACAACAATGTATAAAAGTAGTTATATGCCATGACCAAGGAGATTTATTTGAAGTATGCAAGGCTAGTTCAACATTCAAAAATTTATTACTGTAACCCATCACATCAATGGATGGGGAGAAGAAAAATCTAAGGAAGAAAAATCACATGATCAAATCAATACATGCAGGAAAAGAAATTGACAAAATCCAACACCCTTTTATGATTTAAAACTCTCAGCAAACTCGGAATAAAGGGGAACTTTCTCAACTTCATTAAAAAATCTACAGAAAACTTATAGCTAACATATTCAATGATGAGAAACTAGATGTTTTTCCCCTAAGTGCGGAAATAGAACAAGCAGTCCTCCCTTACTCCTATTCAAGATCATACTGGAAGTCCTAGCTAATAAAATAAGGCAAGAAAAGACAAGAAAGTATATGAACATTGGAAAGGAAAAAACAAAACTGTATATCACTTATGACATGATCATGTAGAAATTGCCAAAGAATTGATGGAAAAAAAACCCTCCTAAAACTAATAAGCAATAATAACAGGTTTACAGGCTATAAGGTAAGCATAATAGCGTCCATCACTTTCCCATATATCAGTAAAAAACAACTGGGATTTGAAATTAAAAACACAATACTATTTATATTAACATCAAAAAAAGTGTGCACACACAAAATCTTAGGTATAAAAGGCATCCTCAAAAAAACCCGCAGTTAATATCATACATACTTAATGGTAACAGACTGGATGCTTTCCCTCCTAAGATCAGGAAAAAGGTAAGGATGTCCACCCCACATCACTTCTATTCAACACTGTACTAGGGGTTCCACCCAGAACAAATAAGCAAGAAAAAGAAATAAAAGGCATTCAGACTGAAAAAGAAGAAGTAAAACTATTGTTATTTGCATATGACAAATTATATATTAAAAATTCTAGAGAATTCATACAAAAAAACTAACAAATAAGTTCAGTGAAGTTGTAGGATACAAGATCAATATACAAAAATTAGTTGTTTTTTCATATACTTGCAATGAACAATGCAAATGAAGTGATTTTGCAATGAAAAAATGCAAAAATTAAGAAAGCAACTCTGTTTACAATAGCATCAAAAAGAAGAAAATACTTAGGCATAAATTTAACAAAAGTGAAAAACTTACATTCTAAAACTATAATACATTATTGAAAAACATCAAAGAAAACATAAAGAAATGAAGAGGCATTCAGTATAACACTATCAAATTGATCTCCAGATTCAAGGCAATTCCTATCAGAATCCCAGCTGACTTCGTAATAGAAATTGGCAAGCTCGTTCTAAATGTCTTATGGAACTGTGAATAACCTGGAATATCCAGAACAATTTTGAGAAAGAATAACACTGTAGGAGGACTGACAATTTCCAATTTCAAAACTTACTAAAAAGCAATAATAATCAAGAGAATGTGGTACACAAATAGACATATGGCTCAATGAAGTAGAATTTAGAGTCCAGAAATAAATATCTTCATCGATAGTCAATGGATATTTGACAAGGGTTCCAGGAGTGTTCATTGGGGAAAGAATGGTCTTTCTTTCTTACCATGGTAAGTCGGACCTGAGCTAAAACTCCATTAATTACTTGGCCTCCATAAGCCCCTACTTTAACTGGAGGACCACAATGACATTTTGTGTTCCCTGAAATCAGCATCAGCTCAGAGCCAGTGTCCAGTAGTCCCTGGAATGTCTGATCACTTCCCTTTCCCCAGTGCACAGTTACCCTGGTAAAAGGTCGGAGGTCTCCTTGGGGAAGGATGGGTGGAAGATTCACTGCACAAATTGTTGGTAATGTAGTGGGGTCCTTCCTCAAGGGGACCCAGCCTCCCCTTCATTCAAGGGGTTATGGGTCTGTAAACTGGCTCAAGTCTGGAAATTGATTGAGGGGCCGTCATTCTCTGTTTTTGTTTTTGTTTTTGTTTTTTTGAGATGGAGTCTCACTCTGTCGCCCAGGCTGGAGTGCAGTGGCGTGATCTCGGCTCACTGTAAGTTCCGCCTCCCAGGTTCACGCCATTCTCCTGCCTCAGCCTTCCAAGTAGCTGGGACATCAGGCACCCGCCACCACGCCTGGCTAATTTTTTTGTATTTTTAGTAGAGACAGGGTTTCACCGTGTTATCCAGGATGGTCTCAATCTCCTGACCTAGTGATCTGCCCACCTCGGCCTCCCAAAGTGCTGGAATTACAAGCGTGAGCCACCGCGCCTGGCCGATTCTGTTTTTATAATTCAAATTCGTCTTGTCCATTCAAACTAGAAGTTTTCTTCTTATATAAATTAAGTAGGAATGCAGTAGGCTTCCTATCAGTTTCACTTCTAGGAACACCGTGATTAATTAGCCAATGCCAGAGCTCTACACAAATCAGACTATCCTGATCGTCGCTTTGTTTCTACTGTCCATTGGGATAGCTACGCCCACCTTCCCTTTGATGGTTGAGTGCCACCACTTGGCCCCTGCCACCTCAGTATCCAATTATTCCCATTGTATTTAAATTTTGTAGTTGAGTGACTGTGGTTCCCACTGTTAGATCTGACATACAGAGAAAAGCAATTACAGGGCTCTTCAAAGATGCAGGTGCTGCCCTCACAAATCTTTTTTGCAAGGCATTGGTAAAGGGTATATTTTCTAGACCCTCTCAGATGGGATGAGTAGGTCTAAAGTGACTAATCCATTCCACCATACCAATCTCACTAAGTCTTTGGATCCCTTCCTCTACATTAAACCAAGGGAGATCAGGCATTTCCAGCTCACTCACGGCAGGCCATCTTTTAATCCGCATTTCAGCTAACCAAGCAAATAAACTATTATAACCTTTTTTAACTCCCTGAGCTGCAATATTAAATGCAGAGTCCCTACTTAGTGGGTCCAAATCAATAAATTCAGCCTGATCCAACTCTATGTTCCTTCCACCATTATCTCATGCCCTTAATATCCATTCCCATGCCTGTTCTCCAGATTTCTGTTTATAGAAATTAGAGAATTCAAGCAGTTATTTTCAAGTATAGGGCACCTTCTCATGGGTCACATTCTCAACCTCACCTCTAGGGGCCTACCAGGACTTAGTCTAGTTATAGGTCTAGAAGCAAACAGAGGTGTTGGGGGTGGCTTCTGAGGAGAATCAACATTATTTCACCCGGCAACTGCCTCAGGGGAGGCCATCACTGTTGCCTCAGGTAGTGCAGGGTTTATCTCCTGAGACAGAGATGGAAAGGCTGATGGCAGCATGGGTCGGGGAGGAGATGTTGTCACTACTGGGGATGGGAAAGCCGTTCCTTCTGGCAAAAAATGGTTCATCAGAGTTTACAAACTCAGGGTCCCCAGCCTCACCAGGGTCCTCCCACACATCCTCATTCCAAGTTGCAGGGTCCCATTCTTTTCCAATCCATGCCCTCACTTTAACAGTAGACACCTAGCGAGGCTGTGCATGCATCTTTCATTGCAGGTCAGCCTCTCACATGATAAGAGCTTGTGTCTGTTTTTCCACAATTTCAGTTCTTTCTCCACAAGGGATAAGACTCTCAGGGCAATCTCAGCAGATCTGGGACTCAGTATCTGCTTCTGAAGCTGGGAGACAGAATCCCTGAGTTCATCATTTTCTTTCATCACTTCGTCCACTGAATTTTGGAGCAACCAACCAACTAACTTCATTATGTTTCTTGGTTCTCCACATATGGTCAAAGGTATTATGTAGAGAGTCACTCAACTCCTTGCCTCTCACAAACAGGGAATCAGGAATGCCAAATGCATTTATTTTGCATAACTCTCTAAACAGTTCACTCCAATGACGATCGGTGTTCTCCATACTATTAGAAGTAGAGTCCTTAGCATTTTGGGGTCTAATCATATTAAGAAGCCAACTCCAAAAACCCCAAAACCAATGAAAGAACTCCATCTTTAATATTCTGTTCCTCTGGAACCACTCCTGGTACCAAAATCTGTATTAGGGTTCTCTTAGAGGGACAGAACAAATAGGATATATATATGCCTATTAAGTATTAACTTACGTGATCACAAGGTCCCAAAATAGCCTGTCTGCTAGCTGAGGAGCAAGAAGAGCCAGTCTGAGTCCCAAAAAACTAAGAACTTGGAGTCCAATGTTCAAGGGCAGGAAGCATCCAGCATGGGAGAAAGATGTAGGCTGGGAAGCTACCCCCATCTCTTCTTTTCACATTTTTCTGCCTGATTTATATTCACTGGTGGCTGATTAAATTGTGCCCACCAGATTAAGGATGGATCTGCCTTCCCCAGCCCACTGACTCAAATGTTAATCTCTTTTGGCAACACCCTCACAGACACACCCAGGATCAATACTTTGTATCCTTCTATCCAATCAAGTTGACAGTATTAATTAACCATCACATACTGTCATGTTCTTCAGTAATTTTTATTTATCTATTAAGTGCTTTAAACATATTTTATAATCTCTTTCAGATAGCTTATTACATTTCCATTTATTAGATGTTTATTCTACTATTAGTTTTGTCTGCTGATACTCTCGTGTTAATTCATTTTCTTATGCAGGCCTGTGATATTTTAATTGTGAGCTTAACTCCTATGGGAATACTGTGAAAAATTTTCTTATAAGGCAGTTTCATATTTGCTTCTGCCACGGCCCTAGGAGTTTCAATATCTCCATGTCAGTTTGTATAATTTCTCCCCTTACGTTTTCTGCACCATATGTGTTATACATATATTTAGATATTTAGATTCAATACCCACACAAGCTATTGGCTTGGATTTCAACTTCTTATGAGTGAATTGTCCTCCCCACTCCACCCCATGCCCAGCCCTGAGCATAACATTTCATCTTTCATATGTCCCTGTCATAGTACAGTGCCTGAAACTGAAGAGACTATTTCTAATAGAGTTAGCCAATGAAGAAAAAGACTAAATAATCACCTCCCAAACTGATACCATACCCCCATTAGTTAAGCCTAATATACAACCTAATAAAAAGCAAGTGGTTTCTCGCTGCAATTATTCCAGAGAGTAATCATTTTTTAATAAAAATTATGCAGCAAATCTTGTAATTTTGGAAACTAGAAAGGACCAAAAGTTATCAGATAATCTCTGCTGTTTACAGCTAAAGAATTAAGCAATTTGCTGAAAGACACACAACTATTGCAATCGGAAAGAATAGTCTAGTCAGGTTTCCTACCTCACAATCCTGGGTCCCTTCCATTTAATGAGTTTCCTCTCTAAATTGTGTCTCTTCCATGGAGATATAAAGAGAAATGCTGAAAACACACACACACAAGCACGCATGCGCGTGTGCACACACACACACACACACACACACACACTCACACACACACACACACACCTCTCAGTGTTCTCCTTTAACTAGCCTGGAAATTTATGAGAAAATTCCTCTTCTTGTTTAAAGCATGTACAAATATGGAAAGAAGATTTAAGAAAAGCACTAATGGTCTCATTGAGAAAAGAGAATTGATTCTTGATTCAAAACAAAACTCAATATTCCATTTAAGTTAATGCCTGGATTTTGTGTCAGCTGCCTAGACTTGATTTTTCCATTCATCATAAAGATTATTTGGACCATATGTTTTGGACTACCCGTTTCTATTTCTTTCCTTCTTCCCTCCAGATGCTGTGCCCCATGATGTATTTCTAAGACTAGGTATGGTATGTCAGAAAGGGAGGGGGCAGTACCCCTGCCACAGTGGGTGTTTGTGTTTTCATGCTATGAATCTTATCCTATATGGACAGCAGAGCATGTTAAAAACATTTTCCTTCTCTCTCTCCCTTCTCCCTTCTTCCTTTGCTTTTGTCCTTCCTTCCTTCCTTGCTTCCTTCCTTCCTTTCCTTCCTTCCTTCCCTTTCCTTTTCTTCCTTCCTTTCTTCCTTCTTCCTTTTGTTCTTAACACAGTGTGTAACTTCATTCTCTTTATAAAAGACTGAAGTAATAGAAAATTACTGTATCTAGTGTGAAATGTGATATTCCCTTCTAAACACTCCTACTGTCTTCCAGAAATAGCAACCATTCACAGTTTGGTGGGTTTCTTGTTCTATAGTCTTCTTTTCTATTCATTTTCATGCATGCATATGTAAATACAAATAAATTTTTATAAAATGGAATCAGACTCTAAACATTGTCCTGAAATCTGTTTTCTTAATAGTATGTCTGAAATTGTACTGAATCATTTCACATTAGCCTACCTCTTTTTCAAGTGCTATTTTGTTACAATAGCTAATACTTTTGTGGAAGTAACTATGTTAAGGATCTATTCTAAGTGATTTACATTATTAAATCACTTAATTCTCCAATAACCCTAGGAGGTTAATAAAACTATTATGCTTATTTTATTGAGGAAGAAATTAAGGAAATTTGGTAATATTGTTAATTTTCTCAAAAACACAGCAAATTACTGGTGGAGATGAGATCCAATCCCAGATAGTCTGACATCAGAATGCATGCTTTTAACTACTAGGCTTCATTACTCCTTTGTGATGTAAATGTTCAATAATGTATCTAAATAGTTCCCTATTAAAGAAACTTTAGATTGCTTCTCATTTTTCACCATTATGAACAATGCTGTAATTAGCATCCTCATACATGGCATCAAGTCTATCAATCTTTTCGTTTACAGCTTCTGAGTTTGTGTCTTGTGTGGGAAGGCCTCTCGAGTCCTAGGTTATAAATAATCCTTCTTCATTTTGTTTCTGTAACTTTTATGGTTTGACTTTATTCATTTCGCACTTGAGTCCCTCTGGAATTTATTTTGATATATGGCATTAGTTAGATGTCTAATTTGATTGTCTTCCATATGGATAGCCAATTGTCCCAACATCATTTCTGATATCTTTTTTTTTTTTTTTGGTTGAGAAAACATTTCCCGAGAAAATCTTTTAAGATTTTAAAACAGCTTACGTTGGCACATTAAAATCTACCCATACTTAATCAACTGTAGAGAAATATAAATACAAAATGGCTCATTAAACATACAGGAAAAATCTAGTTTACAGGATGGGGAAAACAAGGAGAGAAACCAGGGAACCAGGGATTTTTCCCCATGACAAATGCATTGAATAAATAATTCATAATGGAAACATTTTGGACTCAGTTCAGATCCTGGCTCTGCCCCTCAACAATAGTTGGTCTTGAATAAATTCTCTAACTTCTGTCTCTCTTTCCTCACCTGTAAAGGTGATGGTGGTAATACCCATCTTAGAAAGCTGCTGTGATGATTGCAGCACCTGATGCTCAGTAGATGCATCATTATAAAAGGTCTAATTTTCCATCTGCTGCTAAAGAACTCAAGTGTCCCCAAAAGACTGCCCTATTCTTATACCCAAACCTCCATAGATGGTACAATTATTATTATTTGAGAAAATTTACTTTCATGCGACACTGTACAATGTTATCAGTTGGTTCCTGGCTTCCAGGGAAAGATTTCCAGAAGTAGCTGGAAAGGTAATTTTTTTTTCTTGAAAGCATGAAGAGAACCCAATTTATTTATTTTTATGGGCCCAAAAACGCTCAGAAAAAAGAGAAATTGTTGAAAGGCAAATTATGTCTCTCTTTTTGTCCTATATTCCTCCTCCATAGTTGTTTACTTCAGGTCTTATCCTTTTTCAGTCTTTCTGTTCCACTGCCACCATTGACAACGAACCTAACCTCACCTCCAACATTGGGGAAAATAAAACTCGGCTTTCCTCGGCTTCCTGCTACCAACTAGCGCCTGCACCTACACTCGGTCCATTCTCCTTCCCACCTATCCCTCCCACACTTGCCTGTACTCTGTACCCCTCTCCTGACTGCATTCCTGTATCCATAATCTCCTCCCTCTCTATCTCTTCAGCCTCTTCCTCTCTATGTTGGCTTCCTTTATTTGAAAAACGATCCAAAGCAGCCCTCATGTTCACTACCACCACCAGAACCACCACCAAATCCTCCCTGCACTCCACATGTCCCTCCAGCTTTTGCCCTCTTTCCTTCCCTTTACGGCCAACCTTCTTAATAAAGGAGATGCACCCTTGCTATATCCACTTCCTCTCCTCCCTGGAAATCTCAGCCTACTGTGATCTGGCTACTGCCCCCTCTCCCAATCTGCTTCACAAGATTAACAAGAACCTCCCTGTGCTGAAACCAGTGGGAACTCCTCAGTCCTTATCTGGCTTGATCTCTTGGAAGTCTGGACACTTCTGACTGCTTCTTCCTTCTTGAAATACCCTCTTTTCCTGGATTTCATGACAATATAACTTTTCATTTTTCCTCCAACCACTCTGTTTACTTCTTCCTAGTCTTCTTCCTGAGCCTGTCTTCTACCCATACCTTACATATCCCCAGAGTCCTGGGCTACGTCCTCTTCCCTTTTTCTTTACATACATTCCTTGGGTGCTCCAGTTAACATTCATATGCTGTTGACTTCCAAAACACAAATCCATTGTTACCCAACAGACCCATATGCCCAACTTCCAAATAGTTCCTTTTGACCACCCACCTTAAGCCCCTTAAACACAATGTAACCCAATTAAACTTCATTGTCATCTTAACCTCTGCCTTCATCATCTTTGAAAATGACTCAATACCCAAGTCATCTTTCTCTCCACTTTTTCCCTCATGCCAAGGATGTCCATGTGATGAATGTCTTTGAATCAGTCCACTTCTCTCCAACTCCACAGGCACCACTGGCTAAACAATCATCACATCTCAACTGGATTTCTGCAGCCACCTTCTAAGTGGTCTCCTCACCACCATGCTTTCCTCTTTCCTGTCTAGTCTGATGCCGCAATCAGGAAAACCTTTCAAATCTCAAATCTGATCTTTTTATGTCTTTGTGGACACCAACCAATGCTTCCTTGTTCCTGTTATAATCAACTTCAGAGTTTTTAATATGGCTTGTGACCTTGCATGACCTTGCTTCAGTATTTCTCTGCAGCATTATCTCCCGCCACCACCATTCCCTCCTCCTCAGACACACATGCACACACACAAACACACACACATACACCATGTCCTATACTGAACATGTTTTATTTCTCCAAATGCTCTTTTGACCGGCTCTTTTGCTGCTCTCTCTGCCTGGAATGTTCTCTATCCAGCCCCACCAGAAACCCTAACACCTTCTGCCCAACTCATACTTCAGATTTCAGTGTATAACTCACCTCCCCTGGGAAGCCCTTCCTAGATCCTCTCTTATGAGCCCCTGTAGCAACCTAGACCATCCTTTATCAGGACTTACTCTACCATAGTAAGTTACAAGTACTGGTTATCTGTATGTCCCCTTAACCAGTTTGTGAGCGCGGGGACTGGGGCTTTTTGCTACTATTTTCCATCACTTAGCACAATGCTGGATCAGGGTGGACACTAACAAATTATTTTTGAATGAGTGGATGAGACCTGTTTTTATGATACTCACTACTGTATCAGAAAATAATACTACATCCATGGTATCTGTATTAGGGTTTCCTAGAGGAACAGAATAGGATGGATGGATGGATAGATAGATAGATAGATAGATAGATAGATAGATAGATACATAGATACATAGATACATAGATACATAGACAGATAGATAGATACATAGATATATTTAGATAGATAGATAGATAGATAGATACATAGATACATAGATACATAGATAGATAGGAGTTTACTAAGTTTACACTTATATGATGACAGGGTCCCACAATAGGCTGTCCGCAAGCTTAAGGAGCAAGGACAGCCAGTCCGAGTCCCAAGGGAGTCCAATATTTGAGGGCAGGAAGCGTCCAGCAGGGGAGAAAGATGTAGGCTGGGAGGCTAGGCCAGTCCCCACTTTTCACGTTTTTCTGCCTGCTTTATGTTGGCTGGCAGCTGATTAAATTATGCCCACCAGATGAAGGGTGGGTCTGCCCTCCCCAGCCCACTGACTCAACACCCTCACAGACACACCAAGGATCAATACTCTGCATCCTTCAATCCAATCAAATTGACACTCAGTATTAACCATCACAGTATCCCAACTAGACAGTTTTGTCAGGGTTAAGAGAAATGTATAATTAATATGGTTTCGTTTAAAAAAAATCACTATGAGCATTTACTAAAATAAATTATATGTAAAAATTATAATAGATGAGATGCCAGTTATAGCAACATTTGTCTTTTAAAAGAACATCACTGAGCACTTGGAGGTGCATTTCACCTCCCACTACTTCATAGATGAACAGTTCCAACCTAACTCCATCCACGACTCTTGTTCCTCCTCATTGTCCTCACTCACAGAGCCCAGGAGCCTCTCCATGTTTTTAGGAGACCTGGGCCATCTTGCTGCAACCACTGGGCCAGAGGCATCAGGGATGAGTAAAAAAGTGGCTCCTTCAGGATTCAATCCCTCTGTTTTTTTGTTTTTGTTTTTTTTTAGCTGCAACACACAGCACCACACTTCTTTATATCCCAGTTGTTTTCTTTGACATACTAACCAGCAAAATCATACTTTCCTAATGTGATTTACTTGAACTGAGGCTAATGCTTAAATAAAGAGCGTCCACATGACCACCTCTTTTTATGTCCAAAAAGGAAAATCCACCATTCACCACAGTACCTCTCGATGCTTTTCGCCTAACTAGGAGCAGTCAGAAAAGTTACTTTAAAATCAATGGGTGATTACTAATTTATCTTTCCACTACCTCATCAAAATCTCTGGATATTCACAGTTTCCCTCTTCAACTTGTCTGTATTAAGCACTGAAAATAGAAACATTGTGCAGACAACATGGAATTATAATCGTATAAACCTGAGTTTGAGCTTTAAAATTTACTCAACCTCTCTGAGATTCAGTTTACTTTGCTGGAAAAAAAATATCAACTTCATGAAGTTGATACAGAGGATTATCACATATATAAAGCACCTAGCACTCAATAAATATTGGTACCATACTTCTTCCCCCACATACACTGGGGATTCAGTAAGGTCAGTCCCAAAGAAAGGCACCCAAACTCAAGTGCAAATAAACAGGAGACACCTCCTGATTCTAAAGGCTCAAAGCCATGCTTAAAATCTTTATAAAAGACCATGAGAAAATCCCTTTTCATGAAAATTAGATGGTTGAGCAGAGGAACCAGAGTGAGCGGACAGTCTGTGTGTCCATAACATCAAATGGTGGAAGGGCCTCAGATGAGCTCAGAATTTCAGGTGGACATAAACCAACAGCTGAAGTTCAGAAGACAGAGTCATGACAGTCCCATTTCAATCTACAGGACGCAAACCAGCTTATGTTGATCCACAAATAGGGTAACCAATTCACCCTAGTTCACTGGAACTCTCCTGGTTTTTGTACTAAAAATCCCATGTCCCAGAAAACTCCTTAGTCCTGGGAAAACTAGGATGATTGGTGACCCCACGCAAGACAGTGAAGCACCTGGTTGGTGAACATCTATGGGCAGTTTCTGTCTGATGAGAAACCAATGGTGAGGATATGGAGAAAAACAGAACCTTTGAACACTGCTGGTGGGAATGTAAATTAGTGCAACCATTAGGGAAAACTGTATGAAGTTTCTCCAAAAAATTAAAAATAACACTACCATATAATCCAGCAATCCCATTTCTGGGCATATACCCAAAGGATATAGTATGTCAAAGAGATGTCTGCAGTCCCCTGTTTATTGAAGCACTATCACAGTAGCCAAGATAGAATCAACCTAAGAGGTCACCACCAGAGGAATGGATAAAGAAATGTGGTATATACACAAGATAAAATACTTTTCAGCCTTTAGGAAGAAGAAAATCCGGTCATTTGTGATAACATGGATGAACCTGGAGGACCTTATGTTAAGTGAAATAAGCCAGACACAGAAAGACAGATACTACATAATCTCACTCATATGTGGAATCTAAAAACGCTGATCTCATAGAGGCAGAGATTAGAATGGTGGTTACCACAGGCTGGCAGTTGGGGAGATATGGAGAAACAGGAGATGATGGTCAAAGGGTACAAAGTTTCAGTTAGACAGGGGGAATAAATTCAAGAGCTCCATTTACAATATGCTGACCCGATTCTGTTAATCACAAGGTATTGTATTCTTGAAAATCGCCAAGGGAGTAAATTTAAGTGTTCTCACCACAAATAAATGACAAGCATGTGAAGTGATGTATATGTTAATAGCTTGATTTAGCCATTCCACAATGTACACTTATTTCAAAACATCATATTGCACACAATAAATATATATAATTTTTAATCTGTCAACTTTTTAAATTAATCAAAATTTTTTAAAAAGAAGAAAACAATGGCTACTGGTTGATCATCCCCTCTAATACCTAGAAGAGCTAATACCCTTCTAACTGAGTCTTATAATTCAATGGTTTACATCCATGGCTGTACATTGGAATCCCCTAGGAAACTATCTCCAGAGATTCTGACTTAATTTTTCTCAGGTGGGACCTGGGTAGTTATTTTTAAAACATCTCTAGGTGATTTTAATGTGTAGCCAGGGTTGAGAACCACTGTGCACATTTTTCTCAATAGTATTGTCTCCATATTCACCCTTCAGAAACTTTTAAATGACTTTTGAATATTAAAAGGGAGATTTAAGAATATAAAACACCCTCTTTTCACATGTGTAAGCAAAAATAGAATGCTTAGGAATGGAAAATGCTAACATTCATAATAAAACTGCCCAACAAGTAAATTAAGAATGAATATACAAAAATGAGTTTTTGAGGAAAGCTGTCATAAACAAAGATCCTAGGAGTTATAAATTTGAATTATTATGTCCTTTAAAAGTTGTTATTTCATGAAGATAAGCTGTAAACCTATTTTAATGATGCTGTCATTGTAAAAAATTAAATTTATTAGAGAGAAATTGCCCCTTGTATCTGAGACAGATTCATTAAAATGTATCGAGTGTTCGAAAAGTTTTATCTTTGGTTGAGGATTTAACCTCCAGAATCAATAACATACCACTTTAAAGCATGTCAGGTGAGTTGGTAGTTAACCAAGTGGGTGCTCTCATTGTGGGATTAGGCCCAGTGTCTCCAAGGGGGTCCTGCTAAATACCATAGCCCCTCAGGAAGCGGCATTCTGCCTGGCATGAGGCACAAACTAGTGCTTGAATTTAAATCAAGTATTAACATCATAGCAGATTACCGTACACGGTCTTGAAGGTCATCACCAAAGAAGAGATGAGGAACGGTTGGAGCAATGACGGCCTCACTGGAGTAACGGCACACCTTCCTAGACGGGCAGTGTTTGTGCAATATGTTTGTTACAAAGGTCATTTCAGTTTTTTTCTAAAGATGTTTGAATCAAAAGGGAGTGACTTATAGCAAAGGTATGATGGCACTACAAGAAGATGATGGTGAAGTCTTTGGAGTCTTCACGGGGAAGCATCCATTACAGTGAACTGCCAAAATGTAGGTCTGACTTGTGGCTATGCAGGCTCAAAACCACAATTGCCAGCATGCTGAGAATGGGTCTGAGTCTCAAGGCTGGACTCCCATTAGCCAAGATTATGAGAATGATATACAACACTGGAATGCCAAGTAGTTACATTACAAAGAGAAGCATAACCATGGTAGGGCCCAGAGGCCTCTGGTAGTTAGGACCAGCACACTTTCTCCCAGAAAGCAAACCTAGGTGGGAAATTGAATCACCATCAGAAGACAGCTTGCTAAGCAGGAACTCAAGATCAGGTGGATGAGTTAAGGCCTCAGTGGCACTCAGTTGGGATAGCCTAAAGACTTCTCACCATAGAGAGAGCCCTTCAGTGGGAATGCAACAAAGTCCAAAAGCCAGGATTCTCCCTTCTCCCCTGTTTTGGGGTGGAAATGGCCTCTCTGCCTGTCTTTTAATTTGTATTTCCATGACTGACCAGCCTTTTTTCTAACTGACATATTCTTTCTTTATCTATGTTAATACATTCGATCATATTATACAGAGTCTTTAAAGCCTTAAATCCAGTCGTTCTTTTTCAAATGATTTTGCACTGCTTTGTTCTGGACCATTATGAATTGACCTTATTGTTTAAGTTTTACTTCCCTGTTTTTCAAGTTTATGAAGTTCTGGAGATGTACCTAGCCCATTATGTTCTGACAACACTTTAGTATTCCATGTAATAAAAAATTCTGAAGGAAAATTTATTCATTCATTTATTCAACAAATATTAATTGTGCCAGGTACTTTTCTTAATGCTCTCAATTTCAGTGGTAAACAAAACACATAAGGTCCCAAACTTCATGTGGTTTGCATTCTAGCTGAAAGACAGAAAACAAATGAGGGAATAAATAGTTACATAAAATAATTTCGTATAGTAATAAAGAGAAAAGAAAATGAGTAAAATTAGGAAAACTCCTATTAAAATGTTCATTTGTAAATAAGAGAAGATCGTCACCTCTGGGAGACTTTAAAGTATATCTTACATGGCCCCAAAATGACTCAAAATATCATTGTCAAAATAGAAAAATGAAAGGGAAGGTCCCCCTCAAAAGAATACAGAGTAATATGAGATCAGGGTCTTTGGAAATTCATGTACTCATGATGATGAGAAAAAGACCTGTGTGGTTCTGCAGTCCCAAAAATCTATGCCAGTGAATTTCTGCCAGTGCTGCTTGTATTTCTGACAGTTTCCTCAGGATCTATGGCCTTAAATGTTGCATGGAGAAGGAGGAAAATGGAATTACTTCTTTCTGCCATACCTGCATTTAATATCTAGCAGCAATGTCCCAGATTTTTACTTTGGGTTTTGCAAAAGTAATATCTCACTGTAAGGGGTGAACAAGAATGAAGGCAAGAACTACCTGAGTGCCTGAAAATAGACCTACCATATTTAGCCTAAAACATTGGAAAGTAGCAGCCAGAAGTAATTATAATCATTATAGCATGTATCATTTATTGAATATCCACTATATCTTACATACTGAAGAGGCATTTTGCATATTTTACCCAAATAAATTCTAAGGTTCAGTAGGACCTGATCTCCAGACAAAGTCACATTCAAAGAAATAAAATCCAGTAGTCAAAAGAAATTAAAAAATAGTTCTTTACTTTCATTTTGAAATAAGCCTCTTTAAAATTCTCTTTTTTCACCTCTTTATTCTCATATATCTTCTGCAGATCTAGAGCCTCTCACCCATGCTTCGCCCTCCGTTTCTACCCAGAATGCACTGAAAACCTACCACCACCACTGGGATAGACTGTTTTCTTACCCCCTTCTTCCTTTTTTTTTCTGGTCCTCTCTAATCATTCTCCTAATTCTAAATCACAAACATCCATAGAGTCAGATGAGCAAATCCAGCAGTCATCTTATAAGACGGGGAATGGGTGAAATTGGAAAGACAAAGACAATATTATCTTTACTTGGTTGGGATGAGAGAAAGTAGCAGGAAGGAGAAAGGCTGAGAACATCCACATGTTAACGGACATGATAGATGACTACAGTAATAGCCCAAATAAACGCCTTCCCTGTTTCCAGCCTCATTGCAATAGGACATGCCTGTCTTTGCATCTGGGCTGGGCTTGTGATTTCTCTGGATCACAGAAATAATATTGTGGCAGAAATAATGTGCAAATTCTGAAACCTTGCCCCAAGCAGCTTCTGTTTTTGCTTCTTGGGAAACTGGGACCATCGTGTTGTGAAGATATATAATCTAGTCTGTTGGCGGATGAGAGACCATGTGGAGGAGAACGAAGGCATCCCAACCATCAGCCAGCACCTGTGACCCAATATGAGGGTGGGGTCATCTTGGACTCTCCAGCCTCTGTTGAGCCATCAGAAGATGCAGTCACATGAAGGATGCCAGGCAAGACCTGAAGAAAAAATTGACTAGATTGCCAAACCCCAAAATTGAAATTATTGTTTTGGGTGGTTTATAATGAAGCAAATATCTTTCATATATAAATCATCAGCTCATATAATTCTTACAACACAAAGTAGGTTATCCTTACTTTATAAATGAGAAACTAAAGTTCTAGAAAATTAAGTATTTTGTTCAAGGCCAAAGAATTTCCAAGTAGTAAAACCAGCACTGCTGTCCTGGTCTGATTTAAAATCTCATTTTTACTTGGTCCTTTGGCTCCATCTCTGTGAAATTCATGAGTAATATCTATGGAGAATCATTTTTTCTGTTAACCTCATAGGAACTGTTCATTCAAAACAGTATCTTCCCCTACATCTTGCACTTCCCAGTGTCTTTTTAAATTTACTATTATTTATTATTACTTTATTTATATTTTTTCTTTTTTATTGATACATAATAGTTGTACATATTTATAGGGTACATGTGATTATTTTGATACATGCAGACAACGTGTAATGATGTAATCAGGGTAATTAGGATTTCTGTCATTCAAACATTGATTATTTCTTTATCTTGGGAACATTTCAAATCTTCTCTTCTAGCTACTTTAAAATAAACAATAAATCATTGTTAACTACAGTCACCCTACTGTGCTATCAAATACTAGAACTTATTTCTTCTATTCAACTGTATATTTGTACCTATTAACCAACATCTCTTCATCTCCCTGCTTCCCAGCCTCTGATAACTATCATTCTACTCCCTGCCTCCATGAGATCAACTTTTTTAGCTCCCACATACGAGCAAGAACATGTGGTATTTGTCCTTCTGTGCCTGGCTTGTTTCACTTAACATAAGGACCCCCAGTTCTACCCATGTTCCTGCAAGTGACAGAATTTCATTCCTTTTATTGAATGAATAATATTCCATTGTGAATATATACCACATTTTCTTTGTCTATTATATATTGATAGACACTTGATTTTATATCTTGCCTATTGTGAATAGTGCTACAATAAATATGGGGGTGCCAAATATTCCTTCAATATACTAATTTCCTTTCCTTTTGATAAATACCCAGTAGTGGGGCTGCTGGATCATATGGTAGTTCTATTTGCAGTTTTCTGAGAAACCCCTTTACTAGTATTCACAGTGGCTGTACTAATTTACATTCCCATCAACGGTGTATAAGAGTTTCCTTTTCTCTGCATCCTTGCCATCTTTTGTTATTTTTTTATCTTTGGATAGTAGCCATTGTAACTGAGGTGAGATGATATCTCATTGCGGTTTCAATTTGCATTTCCCTAGTGATTTGTGATGTCAAGCATTTGTTCATATACTTGTTGGCCATTTGTATATCTTCTTTTGAGAAATGTGTATTCAGATCCTTTGCTCACTTTTTAATGAAATTATTTGTTGGGTTTTTATTTATTTATTCACTTTTTGCTGTTGAGTTGTTTGAATTCCTTATGTAGTCTGGACATTAGTACTGTGTTGAATGAATAGTTTGCAAATTTTTTTTCCATCTTACAGGTTGTCTCTTCACTTTTTAATTGTTTTCTTTGCTGTGCAGAAGCTTTTCAGCTTGATGTAATCTCATTTGTCTATTTTTGCTTTGGTTGCCTATGCTTTTGCAGTCCTACAGAAAAAAATCTCGACCCAGACCAATGTCCTGGAGTATTTACCCAATGTTTTCTTTAGTATTTTTATTATCAGATCTTAAATTTCAGCTTTCAATCCATTTTGATTTGATTTTTGGTGTGGTCTAGTTTTATTCTTCTGCAGGTGGGTATCAAGTTTTCCCAGCACCATTTATGGAAGAGCATGTCCTTTCCCCAGTGTATGTTCTAGGTGCCTTTGTCAAATGTCAGTTTTCTATAAATACATGGATTTATTTCTGAGTTCTCTATTCAGTGTATGTTGTAGGCACCCTTGTCAAATATCAGTTTCCTGTAAATACATGGATTTATTTCTGAGTTCTCTATTCTGTTCTATTGGTCTATGCATCTTTTTATACTGTTTTGGTTACTATAGCTTTGTAATATATTTTGAAGTCAAATAACGTGATGCTCCTAACTTTGTTCTTTTTGCTCAGTATTGCTTTGGCTATTCAGGGACTTTTGTGGTTCCAGACAAATTTCAGGACAGTTTTTTTCTGTTTCTTTGAAGAATGTCTTTGCTATTTTGATAGAGATTGCACTGAATTTGTAGATTGCTTTGGGGAATATGGTCATTTGAACAATTTTAATTCTTCTGATCCATAAGCATCTAGTCTTTCCATTTGTTTGTATCCTCTTCCATTTCTTCAATCAGTGTTCTGTAGTTTTCCTTGTAGAGGTCTTTCACCTCCTTGCTTATATTTATTTCTAGGTATTTTACTTTCGCAGTTATTATAAATTGGACTTTTTTCTTGATTTCTTTTTCAGCTGGTTCATTATTGGTATACGGAAATCCTATTGCTTTTTGAATGTTGATTTTGTATACTGTAACTTTGCTAAATTTGTTTACCATTTCTAAGAGTTTTGGTGGAGTCTTTAGGTTTTCTATATTTAAGATAGTGTCATCTGCAAAGAGAGACAATTTGACTTTCTCTTTTCTAATTTGGATGCCTTATATTTCTTTCTCTTGTCTGATTGCTCTGGTTAGGACTTCCGGTACTATGTTGAGCAGGAGTAGTAAAAGTGGGCATTCTCATCTTAAAAAAAAAAAAAAAAGACAAGCTCTTAGACAAAGCTCTTAGAAAAAAAGACTTTCAGCTTTGCCTCATTCAGTATGATTCTAGCTGTGGATTTTTCATACATGGTTTTCATAATGTTGAGGCATGCTCCTTCTATGCCTAATTTGTTGAGATTTTTTTAATCACAAAAAGATGTTGAATTTTATCATATGATTTTTCTGCATCTATTGAGATGATCATATGGTTTTTGTCCCTCATTCTGTTGATGTGATGTATCACATTTATGGATTTGCATATGTTGAACCATCCTTGCATCCCTGGGATGAATTCCACTTGATCATAGTGTAATTATCTTTTTGATGGGTGTTGGATTCAGTTTGCTAGCATTTTGTTGAGGATTTTTGCATCAGGGATATTGGCCTGTAGTTTTCTTTTTTGTTGTCTTTTTGTCTGGTTTTAGTATTACAGTAGTACTGGCCTTGTAGAATGAGTGAGGAAGAACTCCCACCTCTTCAATTTTTTGGAATAGTTTGAGAAGAATTGATATTAGTTCTTTGTAAGTTTGATAGAATTCAGCAGTAAAGCCATCTAGTCATGAGATTGGGAGATTTTATTACTAATTCAATCTTGTTACTGGTTCTTGGTCTGTTCAGGTTTTCTATTTCTTCCTGGCTCACTCTTTGGAGGTTGTATATGTTCAGCAATTTATCTATTTCCTCTAAGTTTTTCAATTTGTTACCATATAGTTGCTCATAATAGTCTCTAAAGACCCTTTGAGTTTCTGTGCTATCAGTTGTAATGTCACCTTTTTCATTTCTGACTTTATTTATTTGAGCCTTCTCTCTTTTTTTCTTGGTTAGTCTAGCTGGTGGTTTAAATTTTTTTCCCAAAAAGCCAACTTTTCATTTCAGTGATTTTTTTTTTACCGCTTTTTATCTCTATGTCTTTTATTTCTTCTCTAATCTTTATTATTTGTTTCCTCCTACCAGTTTTGGGTTTGATATACATTTTTAGGTGGTTTATTTGAAATCTTTCTACAGTTTTGATGTAGGCATTATTGCTACAAACTTCCCTCTTAGAACTGTGTTTTCTGTATCCCATAGGTTTTGGTTTGTTGTGTTTTCATTTTTGCTTCAATAAATATTTTTTTTCTTAATTTCTTTATTGACCCAGTGGTCATTCAGGAGCCTGTTATTTAATTTCCAAGTATTTGTTCAGTTTCCAAAGTTTCTCTTATTAGTGATTTCAAGTTTTATTCCATGTGGTCTGAGAAGATACTTGATATAATTTTTATTTTTGAAAGTTTGTTGAAATTTGTTTTGTGGCCTAACATGTAGTCAATCCTGGAGAAAGTTTCACATACTGATGAGAAGAATGTGTTTTCTGCAGCTGTTGGATAAAATGTTCTATAATTGTCTGTTAGGTCCATTTGGTCTAAAGTTCAATTTAAATCCACTTTTTGTTGATTTGTTGGTAAACAGCTTCAGCACAATCCAGAAAATTGAACTCACATTCAGATGTTCCAGGGATGTTTCTGCTTTCTTGTGATGCCCTATTTATTGGCCATTGTTATGGCAGACCATGTTCCAGGAAGCACCATTCACATCACCTCATCCAGAGCTAGAAGGAATCCCAAAAGGCCTCTACTCCAACTTCCTTCTCTAAATAAGCCTCTCTCTCCTGACGGCCCATGGAGGGTGACCCGGATAGAGTGCTGGCATCATGGCTCTGGTGTTGCAAAGCAGCTCAAATTAAGAATGGATTTCTACCTGGGTCAGCTCAGGGCAGGGCCCCCCAGGGGAGGGCAAGCCAAATCGGGAAGGAGAACAAGTATGGCCCAAAGGCCAAAAGCATGGGTTCCAGCATCAAGTACGCTGGGTGTGATTCCCAGCCCTACCCAGCACAAGTCATACCACCTTGGATAATCTTCATAATCTTCCTGTGCCTCACTTTCCTCATCTACGTTTCCTCATCTAGGTAATCTTTCCATGCCAGTTTTCTCATCTAAATATAATGTGTCCTCGAAGAGTTGTAAGAAACACATATGTTAATGTAGATAAAACTCTTAGCACAGTGCCCAGCACATTAAAATGTTCAACGAAGAGAAGCTTTGGCTTAGCTTAGCATAATTACCTACTACTCTCTAGGAAATGCCAAAGTTCAGATACCAAGAAGATGAAATATAAATGCTGAATCTGGATGACAAGGGGAGAATGGATGTCAGGATAGTGAAATCTCCAAGAGGGGATTTTCAGCAAAAAACCCGATCTCAGTTTTGTGTTTTAAATAAAACACTCAGCAAGCTATAAGAGTAGATTAGATGAGAGAAAAGGAGACCGAGTGCATCCAATTGAGTGACAGGGAAGGCTTGAAGCAGAAATAGAGATGAAAGGAGAGTTTAGAGAGTGGAGTAAGGGATGGATTGGCCTGGTGATGATGACAGGCAGGTTAGGGAAAAGGAGGAATTTCCATTTCTGGTGTGGGCAGCTAGACAGTGAGGCTGTGGGAGGCACAGGAAAGTTGAAGGTGGGTATGATGAGGAAAGTTCAGGACATGGTAGGAGAGGATGCATGGTAGGTGGTTGGGGAGGTGAGTCTGGAGCGCTGGAGGCAGAATCAGGAGTCACCATGCCCCCAAATTTTTGGGCACCAGGGACTGGATTCATGGAAAACATGCCCTTGTGCTACCTGGCACATCCAGGGGCACATCCCTCTGACAACCAGCCATCATGCTTCCTCCTTCAGAAGCGAAAGCTTTCACCAGCCAATCTCAATCACAATAGAGCGCTGAGTTCTGAAAAACTGGCAAAAGGTAAAAGAGGTTTTTTGCAGTAAATGAGGAGGTGACAAACAGCAGCTGCTGGAAAGATAATAGCTTTCTGTGGCACTGAATGGAATCTCATAGAAATTAAAAGTAGGCAAGTATTTCAGAACCACAGCAGGGCCTCTCAAGATAGCAGTAAATATGATAGACAGTCAAAAAAATTACAAAAGCAAGACTCCATTTTAGGATGAACTTTTTTTCCTGTAAAATAAATTAGTTTCCATTATTGTGTATATGAGAAGATTTATTAAATGACCAAAAAATGAGAAGACAGAGAGAACTGTAAAACACAGTTTCATACAAACACTAAAATTATTAACATTTTAGGTTTTTCTATGCCAAATTGTAAAGACCATCGATGCTAGGAAGAAACTGCATAAACTAATGAGCAAAATAACAAGCTAACATCATAATGACAGGATCAAATTCACACATAACAATATTAACCATAAAGTAAATGGGCTAAATGCTCCAATTAAAAGACACAGACTGGCAAAATGGATAAAGAGTCAAGACCCATCAGTGTGCTGTATTCAGGAGACCCATCTCACATGCAGAGACACACATAGGCTCAAAATAAAGGGATGGAGGAAGATCTACCAAGCAAATGGAAAACAAAAAAAGGCAGGGGTTGCAATCCTAGTCTCTGATAAAACAGACTTTAAACCAACAAAGATCAAAAGAGACAAAGAAGGCCATTACATAATGGTAAAGGGATCAATTCAACAAGAAGAGCTAACTATCCTAAATGTATATACACCCAATACAGGAGCACCCAGATTCATAAAGCAAGTCCTTAGAGACCTACAAAGAGACTTAGACTCCCACACATTAATAATGGGAGACTTTAACACCCCACTGTCAACATTAAACAGATCAACGAGAGAGAAAGTTAACAAGGATATCCAGGAATTGAACTCAGCTCTGCACCAAGCAGACCTAATAGACATCCACAGAACTCTCCACCCCAAATCAACAGAATATACATTCTTCTCAGCACCACATCACACTTATTCCAAAATTGACCACATAGTTGGAAGTAAAGCACTCTTCAACAAATGTAAAAGAACAGAAATTATAACAAACTGTCTCTCAGACCACAGTGCAATCAAACTAGAACTCAGGATTAAGAAACTCACTCAAAACCGCTCAACTACCTGGAAACTGAACAACCTGCTCCTGAATGACTACTGGGTACATAACGAAATGAAGGCAGAAATAAAGATGTTCTTTGAAACCAATGAGAACAAAGACACAACATACCAGAATCTCTGGGACACATTTAAAGCAGTGTGCAGAGGGAAATTTATAGCACTAAATGCCCACAAGACAAAGCAGGAAAGATCTAAAATTGACACCCTAACATCACAACTAAAAGAACTAGAGAAGCAAGAGCAAACACATTCAAAAGCTAGCAGAAGGCAAGAAATAACTAAGATCAGAGCAGAACTGAAGGAGACAGAGATACAAAAAACCCTTCAAAAAAATCAATGAATCCAGGAGGTGGTTTTTTGAAAAGATCAACAAAATTGATGGACTGCTAGCAAGACTAATAAAGAAGAAAAGAGAGAAGAATCAAATAGACACAATAAAAAATGATAAAGGGGATATCACCACTGATCCCACAGAAATACAAACTACCATCAGAGAATACTATAAACACCTCTACGCAAATAAACTAGAAAATCTAGAAGAAATGGATAAATTCCTTGACACACACACCCTCCCAAGACTAAACCAGGAAGAAGTTGAATCTCTGAATAGACCAATAACAGGCTCTGAAATTGAGGCAATAATTAATAGCTTACCAACCAAAAAAAGTCCAGGACCAGACGGACTCACAGCTGAATTCTACTGGAGGTACAAGGAGAAGCTGGTACCATTCCTTCTGAAACTATTCCAATCAACAGAAAAAGAGGGAATCATCCCTAACTCATTTTATGAGGCCAGCATCATCCTGATACCAAAGCCAGGCAGAGACACAACCAAAAAAGAGAATTTTAGACTAATATCCTTGATGAACATCGATGCAAAAATCCTCAATAAAATACTGGCAAACCAAATCCAACACATCAAAAAGCTTATCCACCATGATCAAGTGGGCTTCATCCCTGGGATGCAAGGCTGGTTCAACATATGCAAATCAATAAACGCAATCCAGCATAAAAACAGAACCAAAGACAAAAACCACATGATTATCTCAATAGATGCAGAAAATGCCTTTGACAAAATTCAACAGCCCTTCATGCTAAAAACTCTCAATAAATTAGGTATTGATGGGACATATCTCAAAATAGTAAGAGCTATTTATGACAAACCCACAGCCAACATCATACTGAATGGGCAAAAACTGGAAGCATTCCCTTTGAAAACTGGCACAAGACAGGGATGCCCTCTCTCACCACTCCTATTCAACATAGTGTTGGAAGTTCTGGCCAGGGCAATCAGGCAGGAGAAAGAAATAAAGGGTATTCAATTAGGAAAAGAGGAAGTCAAATTGTCCCTGTTTGCAGATGACATGATTGTATATCTAGAAAACCCCATTGTCTCAGCCCAAAATCACCTTAAGCTAATAAGCAACTTCAGCAAAGTCTCAGGATACAAAATTAATGTGCAAAAATCACAAGCATTCTTATACGCCAATAACAGACAAACAGAGAGCCAAATCATGAGTGAACTCCCATTCACAATTGATTCAAACAGAATAAAATACCTAGGAACCCAACTTACAAGGGATGTGAAGGACCTCTTCAAGGAAAACTACAAACCACTGCTCAATGAAATAAAAGAGTATACAAACAAATGGAAGAACATTCCATGCTCATGGATAGGAAGAATCAAAATCATGAAAATGGCCATACTGCCCAAGGTAATTTATAGATTCAATGCCATTCCCATCAAGCTACCAATGACTTTCTTCACAGAATTGGAAAAAACTACTTTAAAGTTCATATGGAACCAAAAAAATCCTGCATTGCCAAGTCAATCCTAAGCCAAAAGAACAAAGCTGGAGGCATCACGCTACCTGACTTCAAACTATACTACAAGGCTACAGTAACCAAAACAGCATGGTACTGGTACCAAAACAGAGATATAGATCAATGGAACAGAACAGAGCCCTCAGAAATAATGCCGCATATCTACAACTATCTGATCTTTGACAAACCTGACAAAAACAAGAAATGGGGAAAGGATTCCCTATTTAACAAATGGTGGATAAGCTTTTTGATGTGCTGCTGCAAAGAAACTACCATCAGAGTGAACAGGCAACCTACAAAATGGGAGAAAATTTTCGCAACCTACTCATCTGACAAAGGGCTAATATCCAGAATCTACAATGAACTCAAACAAATTTACAAGAAAAAAACAAACAACCCCATCAAAAAGTGGGCGAAGCATATGAACAGACACTTCTCCAAAGAAAACATTTATGCAGCCAAAAGACACATGAAAAAATTCTCATCATCACTGGCCATCAGAGAAATGCAAATCAAAACCACAATGAGATACCATCTCACACTAGTTAGAATGGCAATCATTAAAAAGTCAGGAAACAACAGGTGCTGGAGAGGATGTGGAGAAATAGGAACACTTTTACACTGTTGGTGGGACTGTAAACTAGTTCAACCATTGTGGAAGTCAGTGTGGCGATTCCTCAGGGATCTACAACTAAAAATACCATTTGACCCAGCCATCCCATTACTGGGTATATACCCAAAGGACTATAAATCATGCTGCTATAAAGACACATGCACATGTATGTTTATTGCGGCACTATTCACAATAGCAAAGACTTGGAACCAACCCAAATGTCCAACAATGATAGACTGGATTAAGAAAATGTGGCACATATACACCATGGAATACTATGCAGCCATAAAAAATGATGAGTTCATGTCCTTTGTAGGGACATGGATGAAATTGGAAATCATCATTCTCAGTAAACTATCGCAAGAACAAAAAACCAAACACCACATATTCTCACTCATAGGTGGGAACTGAACAATGAGAACACATGGACACAGGAAGGGGAACATCACACTCTGGGGACTGTTGTGGGGTGGGGGGAGGCGGGAGGGATAGCTTTAGGAGATATGCCTAATGCTAAATGATGAGTTAATGGGTGCAGCACACCAACATGGCACATGTATACATATGTAACTAACCTGCACATTGTGCACATGTACCCTAAAACTTAAAGTATAATAATAATAAAATAAAATAATAATAATAATAATAATAATAATAATAATAATATTAGATTTGATCCAAAAAAAAAATGGTGCTGGGAAAACTGGCTAGCCATATGTAGAAAGCTGAAACTGGATCCCTTCCTTACACCTTATACAAAAATTAATTCAAGATGGATTAAAGACTTAAATGTTAGAGCTAAAACCATAAAAACCCTAGAAGAAAACCTAGGCAATACCATTCAGGACATAGGCATGGGCAAGGACTTCATGTCTAAAACACCAAAAGCAATGGCAACAAAAGCCAAAATTGACAAATGGGATCTAATTGAACTAAAGAGCTTCTGCACAGCAAAACAAACTACCATCAGAGTGAACAGGCAACCTACAGAATGGGAGAAAATTTTTGCAATCTACTCATCTGACAAAGGGCTAATATCCAGAATCTACAAAGAACTCAAACGAATTTACAAGAAAAAAACAAACGGCCGGGCGCGGTGGCTCACGCCTGTAATCCCAGCACTTTGGGAGGCCGAGGTGGGTGGATCACAAGGTCAGGAGATCGAGACCATACTGGCTAACACAGTGAAACCCCATCTCTACTAAAAATACCAAAAAAATTAGCTGGGTGTGGCGGCAGATGTCTGTAGTCCCAGCTACTCAGGAGGCTGAGACAGGAGAATGGTTTGAACCTGGGGGGCGGAGCTTGCAGTGAGCCGAGATCGTGCCACTGCACTCCAGCCTGGGCGACAGAGCAAGACTCCGTCTCACAAAAAAAAAACAAAAAAACAAAAAAACAAAAAAAAACACAACTCCATCAAAAAGTGGGCAAAGGATATGAACAGACACTTCTCAAAAGAAGACATTTATGCAGCCAAAAGACACATGAAAAAATGCTCATCATCACTGGCCATCAGAGAAATGCAAATCAAAACCACAATGAGATGCCATCTCACACTAGTTAGAATGGTGATCATTAAAAAGTCAGGAAACAACAGGTGCTGGAGAGGATGTGGAGAAATAGGAACACTTCTACACTTTTGGTGGGACTGTAAACTAGTTCAACCATTGTGGAAGACAGTGTGGCGATTCCTCAGGGATCTAGAACTAGAAATAGCATTTGACCCAGCCATCCTATTACTGGGTATATACCCAAAGGATTATAAATCATGCTGCTATAAAGACACATGCACACGTATCTTTATTGCAGCACTATTCACAATAGCAAAGACTTGGAACCAACCCAAATGTCCATCAATGATAGACTGGATTAAGAAAATGTGGCACATATACACCATGGAATACTATGCAGCCATAAAAAACGATGAGTTCATGTCCTTTGTAGGGACATGGATGAAGCTGGAAACCATCATTCTCAGCAAACTATCGCCAGGACAAAAAACGAAACACCACATGTTCTCACTCATAGGTGGGAATTGAACAATGAGAACACTTGGACACAGGAAGGGGAACATCACACACCAGGGCCTGTTGTGGGGTGGAGGGAGGGGTAAGGGATAGCATTAGGAGATATACCTAATGTAAATGACGAGTTAATGGGTGCAGCACACCAACATGGCACATGTATACATATGTAACAAACCTGCACATTGTGCACATGTGCCCTAGAACTTAAAGTATAATATATATATTATACTTTATATATATATATATAAAGTATATATATATATATAAAGTATAATATATATATATAAAGTATATATATATATATAAAGTGTGTATATATATATATATATATATATATATATATATGTAAAACATTTTAGGTTTTTCTTCCAGGCTATTTTTACTGTGTATATATATGTGTGTATATATATACATACACACACATAAATATATACACACATATATATAGAAACTTTGTATTTGATTTTTTCTCTTAACATTATAACAAAAGCATTTTTTGCAAGAATATATAAGATCATCCTTTCAACATAAAAACTAGCCTTATAATGGACCATTTAACACCAGGCATGGTAGCACGTGCCTGTAATCCCAACTACTCAGGAGACTGATAGAGAAGCACCACTTGAGCCTAGGGGTTCAAGTCCAGCCTGGGCAACATAGTGAGACATCGCCTCTTTTTTTAAAAAGTTGGGGGCATTTCATACAGAACAATTTATCAAATTGTAAGAGAAGCATTAAAAAAACACAATGGGAAAGGGGAGGTTTATCAATAAGTGGTATTGGAAAATTAGCAACTTCAAAACAAAAACCAGACATTCATTTAAAGGTCTTTGTCTTACCCCTTGCACTAAAACAAATTCCAGATAAGTTAAAATATTTTTTTTTAAAAAAATCAAACACAAAAACTAAAGAAAATATAATTATTTACTAAACTTCTGGAAAGGACTGTTTTAAGTTAAGACTTGATAGAACTAATCAAATATAAACCACAGAAGACTGACATCTTCTCTCCTCTGAGAACTGACTCAAATCAATCAGGAAATCACTAAAACCCCTAATGATAAAATGACAAAGGACACAAACAGATCAAAAGAGAAATACAACTAGTCAACAAACAGAAAACTGTGTGACTCCAGTAATAAAGAAGTAAAAACTAAAAATAATGTTATTCTTTTTTAAAAAACCCCATTTAATTAGCAAGTTTTAAACATTGTACTCAGTAAAGCAGTCAGGAATGGCTGTAATAACAAATAAGCACAAAGAGTCGATGGCTGGAAAGAAGGAGTGATAAGTTTTTCTGTTAAGGGACAAATAGTAAATATTTTAGGCTTTGTGGGTTTTCTGTTACAACTACTTAACTCTACCACTGTGGCAAAGGCAACGATAGATTATTTGTAAATGAATAGGCGTGACTGTGTTCTAATAAAACTTAAAAAGACAAGAGGTGGGCCAGCCTGGCCTGCAGGTCATAGCATACCAACCCCTGGCTTAAAATAAGTTTTATTTCTCCTTCATGCTTCATGTCCATTGCAGGTCAGCAGGAATGTTCTGTTCATTATCGACACTCAGGGATTCAGGCTGCTGGAGGCTCCAAATTGACTTTGGCTTCTACAATGACCTCATCAAAGGAATTCTAGAAACTCTCACCCAAGCAATTAAATGTTTCAACCACTCTCCTCTATTCACGTATTATTAATCAGTCACATGGTCTTGCCAAAATGCAAGGGGCCAGAAAGTTCAGTTTCCCCTCTACCCAGAGCTGGATATCAGTGAAAAGCATGAATGTGATAACCACACATAGTGCTAGTGAGGATGAGGAGAAACACATTCTTATGCTTGGCTGACTTTTGACATTCATGCAAGGACGGTAGGTTGCCAAATATAAAAATACAGGATGCCAGTAAAATATGAATTTCAAATAAACCACAAATAACTTTTTAGTATAAGTGTGTCCCATTCACACCTTCCTGCCAGCCTGCATGGCGTGCACTTGTCAGACCTGTGGTGACCGTGAGGGGACCAGCCATCATGGTAAGGATTTCAGAGTCCAGGTCTTTAAAGCTGTTTATACTGAGTGCTGACTATATACTCGACACATGCATGTATATGAGATAAGTTATTTTCATATTATAGGAAACAGGCTAAAAGAGTTTTAAGTACAAATGTATAATATCACAAATGTGGTTAATGGTGGAGCAAGGACAAGACTGTTCATCTCCATGCTGTATTGGTCCTATCATGCCATAAAAGAGGTCTGGGAGGTGCAGAGTTCTCCTCCCTCAGTTTCCCATCAGTAGAATGATGGAGTTGGACCCAGAGGTCTCTAAGGATCCCTGGTTCTGAGAGCCTTTGAGTCAGGGATGCTTTGAAATCAACCATTCCAACAAATGTGTATTGTGGGCCCAGGGACATGCATTTTGAGAACAATTCCAGTTTAATGAATATCAGTGCCAGTTTTGATTGTTTCAAATAAAATTATGAACTGTGACAAATTCAGTGATTCACTCACTTCAAAGAAAGTGCCTGATGGGTGGAGGAGGTTAGGAACTTCAACCTTAGAGGCCTGAAGAAAGAGCCTGTGTTTGTCGTAACTGCGCTGGTCTAACCTGGGTGCCAGAACACTCGGGACAGAAATGAGTTCAACCTTTTACTAACCATGAGCACTTAGGCAAGTTACTTCTCCCTTCTGTGCCTCAATTTTCTTATCAGCAAAATGGACAGCAATAATAGACAAAGTTTTTGTAAGCAATAAAATGCACTTGAAACATTGCCTGGCACATAAATAATAAACAAACAAAAACACATAAATGCTATGTTTTATTATTATTACCCTTCCCCAGAGTCCAGTCCCTTTGGTTATTCCTTTCAGGCTTTGACTCCAGAATGACCCAACAAATGTAAATATCATACTTGCCTTGCAAAGATTTTGTTATCTACCATACTTAGCTTGATCCTGTAAATAAAGATTCCCATCCTTCCAAAAATTATTTTCATTCATTTATTCATTCACTCATTTACTACATATTTACCGAAAGCTTCCCTTGAGGCAGGCAAAGATTCACAGATTCACAGAGTGGAGGTTACAGCAGTGAAAACAAGGGGCAAACCTCCTGCCCTCAGAGAGTGAGCAGGCCAGTGCAGAAGACAGATAATAAACAGATCAACAGACAGACACATGCCAGGTGGATGAGTACAGATGAGTATACTGTTTTAGACAATGTGGTCAGAGTTGACAGAAAGAGTTCATTTTGTTCTGCAAAGTAGAGCGAAGAACCAGCCTTTGGTTGCTACTTTGAAGAAGACAGCAGTGTGTACCTCACTTGGGGGACATTCCACATTATGGAAAGTCTTTCTAGGAAGACTGGGGGCCTTTCAGCCTTTCCAGTGGGGATACCTGGCCCAGGGAGGTTACAACTCTCCTAAGTATCAGAGTTTGGATTCTAATGAAAGTCCAGCTGCTGCTAAAGCTGCAGAGGTTTCCATGGGATCTGTCACCTCTTGTGCTTCCTGGGTTCACTGATATGTGACTCAGTGGCCACATCATAGGAGAGAGTGTGAGACTCTTGGCTTAAGAAGTGATCTCAGGGCACTGAGGCCAGCTCCCAATGCAACCTGGGTATCATCTCCATAGAGTCCTGGGAATATCTGAGCAACCCCCTCTTGATTCTCCCAAGGACTTCTGCAAGGAGTCCCCGTGAACCTAAACCACAGTGAGGGAGTCACCTTTCTACTTCTCTTCTTCACAGTTTTTCACCTTCCCCACATACACACTCAGAGCACTCAGAAAGAAGATATCTGTTCTCTGAGAATCTCAGGTTAGAGGATGATTTCCGATGATCCACTGGGAGCGCTTCATCTCCCCCAGAGAAATTACCAGTCATCACCTGTGGTCTCAGCCTGTTGACCCCCATCCACCAATGCTGGAAGATGCTGCCTGCTCCTGGAGAAGAAACCTAGGGAAGGTCCTCTGTGGGGGATCCTTCTCCACAAAGCCCAAAAAGGTCCATCTTAACTGCCCCCATGGCCTTTCTCTGAACCACACAGACCCATGTCCCTCAAAAAGACAAACCGTATAGGAAAACATCTTAGCATATCTCATCTTATTCTAAGCAGAGCATCTTCATCTTGAACTGGCAAACCAAATAGATTTGTGAGGGAAGTCAGGCACAGCTGGGCACACCTAAAATGCCCAAGGGCTTACAGGTATGGGTTTAGTGATGGCTTCAGAACAAAATATAAACAGTTGCACACTCAAATAAAAATGCATTTCATTCATAACCAAATTGAAAGGCTTCAGGCTCTGTGAGTAATCTTGGGCTGGTCTTTTTATATTCTCAGTCTCCTAATTTAACCATCTGGAATTCTTTCTAAAGTACCATCCTATTCAGCATTTAGAAATGAAAGACTTGATTTTAAATGGAAAATCTACATTTCATTGTAAAGAGAGAACTTGACATCTGTGGCCCATTCTGCACAAATCACAAATATGTATGCTTAGCAGATGATGAAGGTAACTCCAGAAATGTATTTCACACATGGCAGGAGATACGCAAATGGATGAATGCACTGAAGAACCTGTCAGTGCACCCCTGTCCAGCGTCCTAGTGTCCTACAGTATCTTTTCTGAGCTTCTGGAATGTTAGCGTAACACATGTTGACATCATATCCAGATGGAGAGTAACCTGTAGACTGCAGCGTGATCCTCGGCTAAACAACACACCACGGTCCTGCCACACAGTTCAAAATCAGTCTCAGTTGCTTGATCTCTAAAATGGAACTGAAAACCAAACCTCACAGTATTTTTATGAGTCTCAAAAGTTAAAATAAAAAAAATATGTGTATGTTCTTGGGAAAAGTTAAGCACTATTTAAAAGTTACTTTCCAAATAAGAATAATTCAGGATGGGGGCGGGGAGTAGGTTCTAAGAGTTGCAGATCCCAAAGAACCCTGGGAGTGGGATGGGGGGCTTGAGGTCCTCACCATTGTCATGGCTATCATTGGGCAAGAGAAAACCCTAAAGAGCCCAGTGTGCCCTCATAAACAGCATGGGCTTTATCCGGTCAGGGTGAGGAGCTTCCAGAGGTTTTCTCACAGGGAAATGACATGGGCAGATCTGAGTTTTTTTTCTGCTGCTTCATCTCCAGTTTAGGCTACTCTGACATTCCCACTTCCTGCATATTACAACAGCCTCCTAATGTGTTATCCTTTTCTCAATGGTTGTGCAAGAAGAAATTAGGAGGAGGATAACAAATTAGGAGGCTGTTGTAATATGCAGGAAGTGGAAATGTCAGAGAAGCCTAAACTGGAGCAGAAGCAGAAGAAAGAAAAGGAGGAGAGATGCTCATAAGTATTTAGAAAGAGTTGGCAGAGGTGGGGTGGGATGCAGGAAAGAAAGAAATCTGGAATGACTCCTAGGTGCCTGCTTGGGAAAACTAAGTGGAAGGTATTGATTGAAGTCATAAATCCAAGCAGAAGAGCAGGATTTTCCCAATTTCTTCTGGCACCACCCCTTGCAAGGTTTTTGCACCACTATTGGTGATCACTAATATGTTGAGCCTTGGAAATGTTGTGTCTGAAGATGTCCAGTTGGGGATAGATCTCCAGCAGGCAATTGGATATCCTGGTCCTGAATTCAAGATGGATGTCAAGGCAAAGGAATTCAGTTTGGAAATTGTTGGCACTCTATTGCTAATAGTTGAAGTGATAAATCCAGGTGAGATCACCTATATGGAAGACATACTGCTTTACTTGATGTGGAAGTATCAAACGCGATTGCTGGGGATGTCAGTCATAAAGCTGCCACAACCCCAGGCGAAACATGGCCAATCATAGCAACCAAGGCCCTTGCATTACACCATGGATGGGCACTTAAGCCAAGAAAGACCAATGCAGAATCTTCTCTGAGGTAGATACATGGAACTGAGGAAGCCTAACTGCAGACTCAAGCCCTCACACCGAGGAAGACAGAACAAGAGATGGAAAGAAAGACAAAATCCAGACAACAACCCTTGCATCCTAATTTAGCTAAGCCTGAAGCTGGATTCTCCCCTGGACTTGCCAATTGTGAGCCAACAAATTACCTTTTATTATTATTGTTGTTGTGTTAATTTGAGTTTCTTGCAAACCAAATAGTCTTCAGCAACACACAAATTGGTACCAGAAGTGAGGTGCTGCCAAAAATAAAAAATAAAAAAAATAAACAGCCTAAAGAACAGAATTGGCTGAGTCAAGGCAAAAGTGGAAAGTTATGGAAATCCCTCTGCTTTCTGAGAAGCTGGTGTTGCATATTGTATAGCAATAAAGTAAGTAGCTGAATCCTCATCTATCTCAGGACTCAGATCATCTGTCCATTAAGGCTGGAATCTTAGGGAACTTAGTTGGAAAATATGCGTCTAGGGGAGAGGGGTAATAGAACTTGGCTGGTGCAGCTACGTGAAACAGGTCCAGAACTGAGAGATGGGTTACATAAAAGAGATTGAGTATATAAGGAAACATATTGCAGGTAATTGGAGCCAGATTTCTCACTGTCACCAAAGAGAGGTAGCATATGAAGAGCGGAAAAGTATGAACAAATCCTGGGGTGGTGGACTGGAACTGGAAATATCAATGTGGATCTATGGTTTTTAATAAACAAAGGGAGATACATACAGAAATAGATAGAGAGACATGTGAATGTGTGTATGTACTTAAATGTATTTAGATACACATATTTCCTGACTCTTTCCACTAAGAGGGCTGAGAAGCTATGACCTCCCAGAAACACACAAGATCTTTTGAATTTTGGCTTTTAGATCTTATTCTTCATTAAAAGGAGCAGGACTCCATGAAGAAATGCCTGAGTGTAGGGAAAATGCAAGATGAACCTGGAATACCTTGATATGCCAAAAAGAAAGAGAACACTCAAACATGAATAGAAACATGGACACAGGACACAGGAGCCAGCTTGGAAGGTCTCCCACTAGCCAAATGTGGAAAGCTTTGGGCATCAAAATAAATAATGATAATCATGGATTGTAATCCATTTAATAAAATAAGAATCCATGAATCTGTATGGATTTAACTAAATAAATGGATAAATACACAAAGGAGTTCTACCTCATAGTAGAATACCAACTAATAAATGTAGAAGAAAGAATGGAATTAGAAAAATCACCATATGGCCAACACTACAGTCATAATTGACTAAGGCACGAATTATTAGTAGATGCAAAAATTAGTAAGTGAAAGTTTGATGAGAAAGAGAATGCTTCATAGAAAACTACAAAGCAGGAAACATGGTTGAGAATAAGACTAAGACCCAGGTGGAGCTCCTCTCAAACTGCTCCTGCTGGCAGATACAGGAGCCAGCAGGAGAACCTGATGCAGGGTAGGCACACCTCAAAACCCGGACTTAGCCTGGGAGGGTTCTTGGCTTCACCTGGGAAGGAATTCAAGGGCAAGCCAGTGGTGTTAAACAGGAACTCTGATTGAAGCAGCAGTGTACAGCAGCAGCAGAGGTGCTGCCCCTTGCAGAGCAAGGCTACCCCATAGGCAGTGTGCTCAGGGTAGCAGGTCAGAGCCAGTTCTGCGGTCATGTTTATACCCATTTTTAATCATATGAAAATTAAGGGGCAAACTGCAGAAATTTCTAGAAAAACGGTGGTAACTTCTAGGTTATCAGTCATTGACATGGAAAAGGGTGGTAACTTCTGGGTATTGCCATGGCAATGGTAACCTGACATGGCACATTTGTGGGCATGTCTTATGGAAAGGTACGTCCACCCTGTCCTTGTTTTAGCTTGTCCTCAATTTGGTCCAGTGTCTGAGTGCTGCCTCTGGAGTCAAACCTATCCACGGTGATGCTACCTGGGCAAGGGCCTTACCTCCCAGTTCTGTTGTTTCATGTTGCCACAAAGCCATGTCTGAAGAAAACTACAAAGCAAAACATCTAGGCCTGTAGCTAACACAGATATATTAAAAAGCTGAAGCCTAGATTCAAAGAGCACTTAAAATTTTTCTGTGCAACAAGAAAGCTAGAAGTAGGTGGTTACTGACATCGATCCAGTAGATTTAGGGCTAACATCTCTGAGATTTTCTTGGCTTTTCCCTCATATTCCTCCCCCAAACTGCTGCAACTCCAGCCACCATATCTGCATTCCAAGCAAAAAGGAAAAGGCATATCAGCTGAATCTGTTCCTCAATGGACAAGAGAAATTTTCTTAAAGAGCAAAATGAAGGGTAGCCAAATTGACTGATGATGAGTCACCCCACTGCCAGAGAAGGGAATTGTTCCTTTTCCACTACAGCAGAACATGTGACCACAGCATGTTATTTCTCCTCTCTTTTTCTATAAGGGGAGACTTTATTGTGGTTATACAGTATAGGAGTTATCTGTTTCCTTCAAGTAGCAATGCAAAGCAGAGACTTAAGCAATGAAGACATTTAATTACCTCACATTGAGGGATGTCTGGAGGAAATGAGTTCCAGTTTTCGAAAGTAGTTCAAGGATATGATCAAGAGCAAAGCCCTTCCTACCTGTCTGCTCTGGCATTCTCAGTAGATTCGCTTTTTGTCTTTAGTTGTATAGGATTGATATGTAGTCTTAGGAGAGATATTCTCTCTCTGCTGGGGTTTCCATGCTGGCAAGATGTGAATCTGAGGCCTTTGGAGAAAACTTTCTTACCACATGGAAGACAGTTTCTGCAGGGCCAGGTCAGCAGTCAGGAAAAAGTCAAGACTCAAAAAGAGGAACTGTACCATGACAGCACCATCTGAGCTCCTACGTCCAAGCGGCCCAGAGTCCACCTCCACATGTCCCAGTTACTGTGCCCACAGCTCTCCCTTTTTATTCTTTCTTCTCCCATTTCTCTTTTTATGGGTGTGTGGGGGAGTTTAGAAATAGAGTGGTCCAGCAACGCCACTTTTGGATATATATCCAAAAGAATTGAAAGCAGGGTCTTGAAGAGACATTTGCACACCCATGTTCATAGCAGTACTATTCAAAATAGGCAAAAGAAAGAAGTAACCCAAGTGTCCATTGACAGATAAATGAATAAACAAAATGAGGTGTATACATATGATGGAATATTTTTCAGCCTTAAAAAGGAAGAACATTCTGATATGCGCTACAACATGGATGAATTTGAAGACATTATGCTAAGTGAAAGAAGCCATTTACAAAAGGACAAATATTGTAGGATTCCACCTACATGAGGTACCCAGAGTGGTCAAGTTTACAGAGGCAGAAAGAAGAATGGTGGTTGCCAGGGCTGGGATGAGGGGGAATGGGGAGCTGTTTAATGGGTACAGAGGTTCTGTTTTACAAGATGAAAACATACTGGAGAGGAGCTGCACAACAATGTGAAGGCACTCAACACCACTGAACTGCACACTTAAACCTGATTACGATGGTACATTTTATGTTACATGTATTTTGCCACAATTAAAAATTTTGAGACAAGAATTGAGTGGAGTTTTCGTCACATTCAACTAAAAGTGTCCTGACTTGAAGAAGAAGAGAAGGCGAAAAAGAATGAAGCATATTGTGGAGAAAGAAGAAAAAAAGATAATGAACTGAGCACCAGAGAACCCCAACTTTTAAGGAAAATCTGGGCAAAAAGTAACCATGTAGATGGCTGGGATGAAGCTTCCTAGAAGTGAAGGTGGATGGTGATGCCCCTTCATTTATGAGACCAGGAAAGGGTCGCAAGGAAGCGAGGGCTGAAGAGTTTCGGGTTGGAGGGATTAGTCAACAAATTCAAGTGACTTTCAAGAGGCCAAATAATATAAATAGTGAAAAGTGTCTATTGGATTGGACAGTTAGAAAGTTTTTCCAGGGGGTGGATTCAATAGAACCAATAGAGAATACTTTGATGTAGTGGGTTCAAGAGCAGATGAAAAGGGAAGAGACAGAAAGCATGCATAGCTTTTCTATCACTTAAAATTAATTACACGAGTATAGTTTCCAGGTGATTAATAGTGAGGCCAAAGTTAAGAAGTAGCTCCCATTATCCACCTTGGTGGGAAAGAGCAGAAAGGCTTGTCCTTGGCACAGTCCAGGTGCCCCGTCTAGTAGACTTCCTGCCAACAGCCTGCTTTGGAGACTCAGGCTGGCCTGCTCCCTGCCTCGGTCTCTTTTCTCTCTCAGATTCTTTGCAAAATGAGGGGTAGCCATGTTTAATATTTTACTACATGTGTCTTATCACTCTCTCTCTCTCAATCTCTCTCCTCCATATATGTGTGTATGTAAGTATATTTGTGTGTGCACATGTATGTGTATATATGTAGATAGCTTTCTCTGAACTACTTGTATTTCATGGCCATAACAATGTTTTAATTTGAAGTTTTATTTTAGACTCAGGGGATTCGTGTGCAGTTTTGTGACATGGGTATATTGTGTGATGCTGAGGTTTGGGGTAAGGATGATCCCGTCACTCAGGCAGTGAGTGCAATACCTAATAGTTTTTCAGCCCTTGCACACCTCCCTCCCTCCCTTTGGAGTCCCCAGTGTCTATCATTCCTGTCTTTGTGTCCATGTGTACCCCAACGTTTAGCTCCCACTTACAAGTGAGAACATGCGGTATTTGGTTTTCTGTTCTTGTGTTAATTCACTTAGGATAATGGCCTCCAACTCCATCCATGTTGCTGCAAAGGACATGATTTCATTCTTCTTTATGACTGCACAGTATTCCATGGTGTATATTTACCACATTTTCTTCATCCAGTCCACCATGGATGGGTACCTAGGTTGATTCTATTGCCAACAGTGCTGTGATGAACATACACAGTGAGTGCGAGTGCATTTTCATAGAAAAAATTATTTTCCTTTGTATATGTACTCAGTAATAACATTACTCGGTCAAAAGGTAGTCCTGTTTTAAGTTCGAGAAATCTCCAAACTACTTTCCACAATGGCTGAACTAATTTACATTCCCACCAGAAGTATATACATATTCCCTTTTCCCTGCAGCCTCGCCAGCGTTTGTTATTTTTTGACTTTTTAGTAATAGCCATTCTAACCGGTGTGAGATGGTATCTCATGTGGTTTCAGTTGGCATTTTTCTGATGACTAGTGATGCTGAGCATTTTTTCATATATTTGTTGGCTGTGTATATGTCTTCTTTTGAGAAGTGTCTGTTGATGTCCTTTGCCCACTTTTCAATAGCATCATTTATTTTTTTGTTTGTTAAATTGTTTAAGTTCCTTATAGATCCTGGATGTTAGATCTTTTTTGGATGCATAGCTTGTGACCATTTTCTCCCATTCCATAGAGTGCCTGTTTACTCTGTTGATATTTTCTTTTGCTGTGCAGAAGCTCTTTAATTTAATTAGGTCCCACTTGTCGATTTCTGATTTTGTTGCGATTGCCTTTGAGATCTCAGCCATAAATTCTTTGCCAAGGCCAATGTCCAGAATAGTATTTCCTAGATTTTCTTCTAGGATTCTTATAGTTTTAAGTCTTACATTTAAATCTTTGATCCATCTTGAGTTAATTTTTGTTTATGGTGAAAGGCAGTGGTTGTTTCATTCTTCTGCATATGACTAGCCAGTTATCCGAGCACCATTTATTAAACAGGGAATCCTTTCCTCATTGCTTATTTTTGTTGACTTTGTCAAAGATCAGATGGTTGTAGGTGTGCAGTTTTATTCCCAGGCTCTCTGTTCTGTTCCATTGCATGACCATAATATTTTAGAGGAGTTTAACCCAGTTCCATTGTAGGATATCACATTTTGGTTTGCTTCAGGTTTCCATATGGTTACATTTGTGTTATGTGCTTTTTTTTTTTTTTTTTTGCAAAAATAACAGATATAATCCTGTTTTGTCTCAGTGCTTCATATCAGGAGGCACACAATGTCAATTTGTCACATAGCTTGCAATATTTAATATTTACAACAATCCGATAAAGTTTGCACCAATATGTAAACTCTCCCCCAGAGAGCCTAGCTAAATTGATCAAGGTCAAATAGCCAGTAAAAAGCTGACCCAGACATCAAACTGAAAGCCATCTGGCTTCAATATCTATGTTCTTTCCACACCACATCAGCTCCCCCAATAGCATCCCATGCAGGCATAGCACACTGTGGCTCTCCATCTGAATGTCACCTGCTCCTTGCACCTGTTACTAATTTTCACTACCTATACAAATATTCCCATCACACTTTTACTCTCTGACAACAATTTTTTGCCTTGATATCCTCATACCTGCTGCCACCCTCTGAATATCGTATTTCCTAGCTACTCAAAGTGTGGTCCACAGACCAGCATCAGACATCACCTAAGAACTTAGAAATGCATAATTTTGTGGCCCATTCTCAACCTACTGGATCAAAATCCATATTTTAACAAGCTCCCCATGTGTATTCACAATGAGGTTGAGAAGGGCTGCTGTGTTTCACTTGCTCACTGGACTTCCTCCATGACCAGTCCTCCACCCTCCCTTTCCCACCACTTAATGGAGGCAGGTCTTCTTCCAGGCTCAACTGCTTCCAAGTGGCCCTGTCCCCTGCAGGGTAGCCATAGCAGAAAAGAGCCAGAATTATCACAGTTTCCAACCGTGACTCCTACAAATGAGATAACATGCTAAGACCTTTAGGAAGAATCTCTCTCCATAAACTGGATTTGTGTGCTTCTTTTCTTGGGCTCTTTAGCAGGAGTGTGAGTTTTTGCATCTGGAAGGGATTTTCATTTTTAGTCTTCTATAAATAAGCCAAACACACGCCATCCTTCGTCACACTCTTCCTGGCCCCTGCCCCTTCACTCTCATTAGCACCCACAGCTGGAGCAGCCTGAACCCCCACCCTCCCCAGCTCACAGGACCCATGCAAACTGTGGAAACTCGAGCCCTCACCTGAGGCCTCAGTGTCCTCAATAGTCCTGTGTGCCTGACTTGGATGAAAAGCCAGACCTCACAGGTAGCTTCTGCTTAGATTCTCAGACCCAGTCTACTTGCTTTAGCTTGTACTTCTGGCTTGAGGCCCCATCTCTGAGTTTTAGTTCTGTTACCCAAACCCCCTTCTGGAACCTGATCTTCCTTGACAGACAGCTTTCATTATCATGCCTGGGTCTGCCAGACACTTAACCATCCACCTTTAGCCTCCTGCTAGGACACATACTGATTCATCTTGTCAGTTGTTTGCAAGTATCAACCAGAATCTGCCATAACCTTGGAAACCCTGCAATGACTTTCAGTCTCAGACTGACTGATGCTAGAAGAGAGGACACTCTTGGCAGGAGATTCAAAAGGAACTACAACTGGACCTGGCTAGTTAATTTTTTTTAGATGAACAGAATGGATTTTATGTCATCTTACTTTTCTCATGAATTCTTTACAGTCTACAAACTGTCCTGCTTAATATCACTTTCTTTGCAGGGCTGTCTGGGTGACCCTGGGAGAGAAGGCTGTCCAGGTTTCTGGCTAGGGATAGAATCCTCAGGAACTGGATGGCGCCAGAACAGGTAGGGGCTCACATTCAACTCTGGAGCATGGTGTAAATTTGAGTCAAAAGAGTATCAGGGTCAAGGTAGCTCTGAAGTCCCAGCCCAAAAATGTTAAAGGGAAAAGGGAAGCAGGTTAAGAAGAAAAAGTCAGGTTTAAAGCAAAGGATCTGCCACTCAAGTCAACCAGACAGACAGGAATAGAAGGCAGAGCCTGGAAAAACAGAATGTCCTGGGGATGCAGGGATTGAGAGAATGGAAGGGGACTTTTTATAGGGAGCCCATAAACTAGCCACAGGTCAGGAGAGAAATGGAAGGGCTAAACTGGTTCAGATAAAAACAAAGTAGGAACGGGGATGCTAACTAGTGCTACAGTGTGTAGATATTGTACTAACTAGAAGCCTCACTGGAAAAAAATTGGATAAAAGTCATTCTACCAAGTTGACACACCAGAGCAAACCCCGGAGCACAGCACCCAAGGATACTCCACAATACAGCCAATAAACACATTAAAAATGCTCAATATAATTAATCATTAGGAAAATGCAAATTAAAACTACACTGAGATACCACTATCCACCTATTTGAAGGGTGAACAGTTTTTTGTTGTGTTTTTTGTTGTTTCGAGATGGAGCCTCGCTCTGTCTTCCAGGCTGGAGTGCAGTGGCGCAATCTCAGCTCACTGCAAGCTCCGCCTCCCGGGTTCACGCCATTCTCCTGCCTCAGCCTCCCAAGTAGCTGGGACTATAGGCACCTGCCACCATGCCCAGCTAATTTTTTGTATTTTTAATAGAGACAGGGTTTCACTGTGTTAGCCAGGATGGTCTCGATCTCCTGACCTTGAGATCCACCCACCTCGGCCTCCCAAAGTGCTGGGAAAAGTTTTTCAACTGATCATACCATGTGTTGGTGAAGATGTGGAGCAACTGGAACTCTTATAAACTGCTAAGGGAATGTGAAATGGTACAACCACTTTGGGACATCTTCACTCCTAAGTATGCATCCAAGATAAATAAAAGCACAAGTCTACACAAAGACTTGTACCCAAATGTTCTTATCAGCTTGATTTGTGATCATTATAAACCAGAAACAAACCAACTTTCCATGTGCAGGAATAGATAAACAAATTGTGGTATAGCCATACAATGGAATACTACTCAGCAATAAAACAGAATGAACTGTTGAGGCACATACAACATGAGTGATTCCTCAAATCATTGAGCTGCATGAAAGAAGCCAGTAGAAGAAGAGTAAGTGCTGTGTGCTTCCGTTTATTAAAAAAAAAAAAAAATTCCGGAACATGCAGATCAACCTACATTGACAGATAGCAGGTCCCTGGTTGCATGAAGACAGGAGTGGAGAGAGGCATGTGAAACAAGGAACCTTTTGGGGGTTATGAAAATGTTTATTCTCTTCATCATGGTGAGGATATCAAAGGTACATGCATATCTCAAAATGCATCAAAAGGTACATTTTAAATATATGCAGTTTATGATACTTCAATTATACCTCAAGAAAGTTGAATAATAGCAAAGCAAAATGAAACAAACAAAAATTCCACATACAATTTATCACATTCCCTTCCTTCTTCCTGCCATGGAGACCAGTAACAGAGAGTGAGGTCCCTGTCAGCCTCCACATCTGCATGAGACGTGAAAAAGATTCCCCTGCCAAAGCGGGGATGAAATTGCAGCAAAAGAAAAAATAACTCTTTACTGATTTAAACAGGTGAGATTTAGGTGTTATTTATGATTACAGCATAGTGCTAATCTGTCTGACTCACACAACCCCCAAACTCAGTATGTTGTCCCAAAGTCTCATTGAAAAAACAAGTTAAGCCAGGTACAGTGGCTCCTGTCTGTAATCCCAGCACTTTGGGAGGCCAAGGCAGGAGGACTGCTTGAGGCCAGAGCTTAGACCAGCCTAGGCAACAATGCGAGACTCCATCTCAAAGAGAGAAGAGAAGAGAAGAGAAGAGAAAAAGGAAAGGAAAGAAGGGAAGAAGGAAGGAAGAAAGGAAAGGAAAGGAATGAAGGAGGAAAGGAAGGAAGGGAAGGAAGGAAGGAAGGGAAGGAGGGAAGGAAGGAAGGAAAGAAGGAAGGAAGGAAGGGAGAAGGGAAATTAATTTTAGAAAAAGAAAAAGAACAAATTAACAGTCCAACACACAGTAGATCATGAAACACTTCAGTACATAAAATCTGCCCCCATAGAGTTTGAGAAACATAAATCAGACTTCTATTTGTTCAAGTGACAGAGTGATTTCAAGATACAAATTCTTGAAGTGATCCATCATACCAACCACACAGTATGTGGTGATGATGAGGGTTAGGACCTCATAAAAGAGGGATGGGGATGTTGGACATGCCCAAGTCACCCCATCTGACACCACGATATTGTTCAGAGCCAAATGAAGAACACAGAACACCCTATGATGAAAGAAAAAGTCAGTACTCTTAAGATGGTTACTTGTAGTGAGATAAACTGAAACATCCCTCTGCTCTTCAGACGAAATTTGAAGTTACACAGAAACTATCTGAAGACAGCACCGTCCATCCCAGATAGTTTAGACAAGGTTTTCTCAATTAATACGAAGCCTCTTTGGAATGAGGGCAGACCCAGAAAGGAGATCAGGATTAATGTTTCATAAGAAGTAAGGCTGAAGTACTATTAATAAGAAACGCAAATTCCTTATAGGAGACTATGCTAGTCTTTAGAAAAAAATTAACACTTGAGATGATGAAGTATTTCATCTTGGGCATTTCAAGAAGCAATCAGAGGCCATCATCATCCAAGAAGTGAGACCAGAGTGTAGGTCCAAACCAGGGCCCTCACAAGAGAAGCCCAAGGGACCACTAGGCACAGCCTTCTATTCCCAGAGGTCTCAAAGGTTCATGTTTTGATGTCATCTCCAGATGAAGGCAAACACAGAGTCACTGAGCTACAGTGACAGAACTGAAAGCAAATGTTTTCAGCGTGGAGCATAAAATGTGTAGCCCATCATCAAACCCAGAGTTCAGTGTGATTTAATTCTTCACAGAAGATTTGTTATAGGATATTTTTGTTTTGGAATTGTTCATTTATAAAACATAAACTTCAAAATATCTAGTTCCCCTCTTTATCCCATGAATAGTTCAAGGCAAAGAGTTGTCCAGAAAAACTCTATAATGTGGAAATGCAAATCAAAACCACAATGACATGCCATCTCATATCAAATGACTTATTCAAAAGTCAAAAAATATTAATAGCAGATGCTGGCAAGGTTGCAGAGAAAAGGGAGCTTATATACTGTTGGTGGGAGTGTAAATTAGTTCAACCATTGTGGAAGGCAGTATGGCAATTCCTCAAAGAGCAAAAAACCGAGCTACTATTCGATGTTACAATCCCATTACTGGGTATATACTACTGGGTACCCAGAGGAATATAAATCATTCTACCTTAAAGACATATGCACATGAATGTTCATTGGAGCACTATTCACAGCAAAGACATGACTCAACCTAAATGCCCATGAATGACAGATTGGATAAAGAAAATGTGGTATATACACCATGGAATACCATGCAGCCATCAAAAAGAATGAGATGATGTCTATTGCAGGAACATGACTGAAGCTGGAGGCCGTTATCCTTAGTAAACTAACTCAGAAACAGAAAACCAAATACCACATATTCTCACTTTTAAGTGGGAGATAAATGATGAGAACACACGGACACGAAGAAGTAAACAACAGACACCAGGGCCTACTTGAGGGTGGAGGGTGGAAGGAGGGTGAGGAGCAGCAAAAAAATAATTATTGGGTACTAGGCTTAGTACCTGGGTGATGAAATAACCTGCACAACAAACCCCTGTGCCACTAGTTTACCTATATAACAAACCTGCACATGTACGCCCAAATCTAAAACAAAAGTTAAAAAGAAACTCTCTAATGTGGTACTGCTGCAGGATGCTTATTGGAACACTCTGTAAAACAAGTCACCTAGACTGGGCACGGTGGCTCACGCCTGTAATCCCAGCACTTTGGGAGGCCAAGACGGGTGGATCCCCTGAGGTCAGGAGTTCGAGACCAGTCTGCCCAACAAGGTAAAACCCCGTCTCTACTAAAAAAAAACATTAAAAATTAGCCAGGCATGGTGGCAGGTGCCTATAATCCCAGCTACTTGGGAGGCTGAGGCAGGAGAATCACTTGAACGCAGGAGGCAGAGGTTGCAGTGAGCCGAGATTGCGCCATTTCACTCCAGCCTGGGCAACAAGAGAGAAACTCCATATCAAGAAAAAAAAAATACAAAACAAGTCACTTAAACACCCTCTAGAATTCAGTGGGAGTCCAATCCATGGAACAGCTAGCTAGATGAGCCCAAGAGATACCCCTTCCAATCTCTTCACAATTCAGTCTTTAAATGCCTTTGAGGCTGCACCTAAGCCGGTGTGGAAGAGCATCATAATGATGTCTTCCAAAGGAAGGAAGAGTTATGGACCTATACCAGGGATTTGCAACCCCTGCACTGTCTTATTCACACTTCCTTTCCCTAGGCCAGGACTCAGTCCTATTTTAAGACAAATTCCTAATTAGGCTTCACACTGTCTCTATTGCTAACCTACAAAATGCCTTTGGGAATTATACAAGGTGTAATTCTTAAATAATAGAGTCAAGAAAAATATATATGGAATTAAAATAGCAAGGTTATTAAAAAATTTTCCTGCAGAAGTAGGAGGTATTCCTTTAGAAACATACAATTCATGCTCACCTTCCTTCACCTAAGAGCAATAACTCTCTTTCTGCAAAAATTAAATGGGCATGGAGGAAAAATTAACCCTAAACTAATTCCAAATCTGGTTGGGATGTAGGGGGAGTCAAAGGAGTGGTCGTATCAGAGATAGTCGATTTTCATTTCCAGAAACCCATTATAGACCACACAGCCATTAAAAAGTATAATTATGACAATTACACAATAAACACAGAATATGCCCAGAATATGCCAATATAAATGATGACTGTTCTGTGATTAAATTTTGTGTGCACATGAGCAAACACTTGAACAAAGCATGGATGAATATAAACAGCTTGATTTGTGTAGCAGTGGTCAGAGCACGGGTTAATTTTTTTTTTTTTTTGCAGTTTGGTTTCTATTAATGTTGTTCATACAACAAATAATTTGTAAAAAGCCATTAAGGTGCCTCGGTGACAATTGGAAAACCAATTATAAATTCCTGCACTTCTAAAATGAGACAGAACCAATGGTGCAGAGCTGCAGCATGGAGAAGCAAAGAGCCTCTGCATTAGAATTTTTTAATTTTTTGCCTGAATAAAAGGAAGGCTTGATTTAAAGAGAAAGGTCATTTTATCTGGGTGTAATTTATCTATGTTTTATTCTAAGAAAGTGGCCTATTTGCAAAAGCTCGCACAAGTAGTCTCTGAGATTCATCCCATGTAGTCACCACCATGGGGTCTTGTTAGAGACACTGACCTACTGACACAGTGCCCCACGTTTACCCTGTTTGGTCACTACCTTGGAACAACCCATACCTCTCTGCAAGGCCCTTTTGCATATACTTCTCTTATACTGAAGGAGTCATATTATACTAACTGTTCCATCATTAGTGCTCTAGCAAAGCTGGATCAATCACTGGACCCCAGATAGAGCCCTAAGTGCTCTGAGATGAGAGGTCAGGACTCAGAGCCAGGGAGCAGACATTTTGGTTGGCTCCACCCCTCCCCCAATGTGTAACAGCTTAGAGGTGCATCCTGATTGGTCTAAGTCAGTCGTGGTGCTCCCATCCTCCTTACCAATGAATAGATCGAGACCCCAGGATGATATTTTTCAACATAAGGTTTTCCTATGTCCTCAGGATTGGTCCAGCTGGAGCCAATGAGACTCCAGAAAAGGTTGCTGGGGGTTCTTTCTTTGGATATTGCTACAACCACATGTGTGGTGCAGAACATCAGCACTCATTCTGTTGCTGGCCTGCAAAGAGCAGAGCCAAGAGGACTGCAGAGCAATAGAAGGTGTGCCGCTAGATTAAGTCAACCTCCACATCTCCCTACCTCTGGATCTCTAGTCTTGAGACCCTTCATGTTTATGCCAGTTTGAATTTCAATCTTCTTTTGCATCCCAGTTGATGTTAGACCACATCCCTGACCTCTCTCCTGAGCACAACAGAGGAATCCAGCTGACACTAAAAGTTAAGGAGACAGGCAGACAAAAGACCATCTCTAGAATCCTCTCACCCTCTTTATGCTCACTCATTTTCACTACCATCTCCTCCCCATTCATGTGCCTGGAATTTAAATTCCAATGACAACAGAAATGAAATGGGCTATAGAGCTCATCTTCTTTAAACTTCTCATGATAGTTCTGAGGAAATTGAGATTCTGGGGGGAAGAAAGGGTACTTACCAAATACAATTCAGAGGCAAAACTACATCCTTTAATGCCCAATGAAAATGTCTATTTCTTAGCAAAATTTTCCCCAGTAATCACACCCCTCCTGCACTGCCCCAAGCAGAATTGGTTATTTCTTCTTCATCACCATCAATATATTTTGTACCCACCTCTATTAGAAACAGCCCCTATGTTGTTGCATAATTATTGGCTCCCACTAGACTGTGCACTTCTTGAAGACAGGGTGCCTGGTTTTAATAGGGGCTTGACTGTTAAGTGAATGGAGCAACATCTTTATCAAACCCATTAATTCCATCTTTGTCAAACTCATTAATTCCATCTTTGCTAAGCCCATTAATTCCAACTTTATTCACATAGAATCTGTGATATTTCTAATTGAGGACAGTAGACAGAATTTCTAAAATGACCTCCCAAAGGTGTTTCACCCTAATCCCCTGGAATCTGTGACTAGAATGAGATATCACTCTTGTGGTTATGCTATGTCATGTGGTACAATTGAACTCAAAAGGGTGAGTTAACCAGTAACTTAGTGTAATGTTACATGAGCCCTTAAAAGTAGAGAACTTTCTCTGGCTGGGTGCATAAGAGGGAGGCAGAAGGGAGAGATTTGAGGAAGATTTGATGCCCTGTTGCAAAACAGAAGACACGAGCTAGGAAATGCAGGCAGCCTCTCAAAGGTGAGAACAAGTCCTGGCAAGCAGCCAGCAAGGACATGAGGATTTCAGTCCTACAACCACACAGAACTGAATTCTGCCAACAACCTGAATGACTTGAAAACAGATTTACTCCCAGAGCCTCCCAGAGCCCCAGCTGACAGACACCTTGATTTCAGCCTTGTGAGACTCTAAGCAGAGTACCTAGCCATGCCTGCCTCCACTTCTGACCTACAACACTATAAAATAATAAATGGAAGTTTTGGAGTGACAAAAAAGTTGTTTTAAGTTGCTAAGTTTGTGGTAATTTGCTATGAAGCTAAGAAAACTAATACAGAGAGTTATTTGCGGAGAGAGTAGGGAAGCTTTGCTAAGCAAATTATTAGAGTAAACCAGCTTTCGATTCTGATGTTGACCTGCTTAGAGCTAACCAGTTTCCAAGATGTTTGTAGAAGTGACTTTGGAGATCATCTGACCCTGGGTAAACAGGCTGCATTTTAAGCCAACTCGAATCAATTGGTGTGATTACCAGGCATGGACTGTTAAGAATTGTGAGGCCAAGCCTGGGTTCAGGGTAAAATAAATCCGTAATTGATTAGCAACACCTGCCATGAGCAGAGAACCTGGCGATGACAGCATGCTTGACAAACCCTTGCTATTCCTACTCTAGTCTGGCCTACTCATTTGGGAACAGTAGTCCCAGAGAAGGGGCAAAATTACATAGTCAATCAAGACTAGAACTAGGAATCAAAGCCTCCTAGCACACAAATATAATTTTCTTTGCACAGTGCAGTTTACTAAATTCAACAGAGCTAAAATATTAATCCTGTTCTAATTCATACCTCAAGAGTCCCCCAGGGCCTGGCAGCAGCCCATGGCTCATATCATGAGCACTGAGGTCTTCCTGGGGACCATATTTATAAGATCCACCCTGAGGAGCTTACATCCCGGCAACCCACTCTCTGCTCAGAACCGGCCAGTGAGAGGAGGCCATCTCTTCCTTCTCCTTTCCCTCTCTTCTCCCAAGAAGCTAGGAATAAGCCACAACTCTTGGATGAAGTGAGAAGACTGGGAACTGGACTTTGACTCATCAGGACACCAAGAAGAAATCAAGACACAAGGTGGAAGTCAGTGGAGAAGCAAAGAGGAAGCAAGCAGCTCACAGACCACATAGAACTCCTCAGGCCACCATGCTTACTGTTACACACACCTTGACAGGCTGGCCCCACTCATTACTGAGGTGAGGGCAAAGCTAAGGTCCTACTGGCAATGACTCACAGAAAAAGCTATAAATAGGAACATTTATGACCATATTTATACAATCAAAGTTGGTTCAATGATAATGTATGGAAAAATAGAATCTTTGCTGAAGAGGAATTTTAACTCCATTTGGGTATATGTTCCCAAGTGGGAAAAAAAACCTGGGCACACAGCTTTAAGAAGTGCGCTGGCCTCTGGTAATTGCTCTAATTACCTGTGAGTTAATTAGAGACCATTACGTGTTCAGAAGTGAGATTTTCATCCTTCAAAATTTGCATTTCCAGCGAGCAGCTCATTCTCTATGCATCATAAGGCGAGTGTTCCCTGCTGATTTCTTTTCCTCATATATAACCAGGCTCACTCTGCGACTGATATAATCAGAAGTCCATTAGACAGGGCCCAAAAAAGCCAGGAAGAGGTAGCAGGCTTCTGGGGCAGACAGATGGGTCTGGAATCTGTCTAGCCCCAGAAGGACGTATTTGAAGAGAGACTGATAATTTGGACAGTTTTTTGCAGGGACTGCTTTTGAGTTTGCTCAGTCATAATGACAGACTTTCCAGGAGAAACCAAATACCAGACACCTCCCTGAGTAAAAAATTCTCATTGCCTGGGTCCTAATAAGAGTGCAGGAGAAGGCTTTCAGTGATTTGGGTGGGGCCTGCCGCTCTGATTCACAGTCATCTATGGGTTGACCCAAGGGCCAGGGCTGGGTGAATTTGAAGACTGTTATAATTTATTTTGCACACACCTTACAGGCCCCACCTGAACAACTGAAAGCCTTCCCCTGGACTCTTATTAGGGCCTAGACTATGACCATTTCTTACCCACTGAGGTATCTGATACTTGGATTCTCCTGGAAAGTCTGTGATTCTGAGCAAATTCAAAAGCAGTCCCCACAAGGAGCTGTCCAAGTTATCAGTCACAGGTAATTAGAGCAATTACCAGGGTCCAGCACACTCTTTAAGGCTGTGTGCCCAGGTTTTCTTTCTCTTGGGAACACATACCCAAATGGAATTAAAATTTCAACAAAGATTCTATTTTTCCATACATTATCATCGAACCAACTTTGGTTGTATAAATGTGGTCATAAACATTCCTATTTACAGCCTTTTCTGTGAGTCATTGCCAGTAGGACCTTAGCTTTGCCCTTGGGTCAGTAATGAATGGGGCAGTCTGACCCCACAATCATCTATGGGGTGACCCAAGGGCCAGAGCTGGGTAGATTCGAAGGCTGTTGTAATGTTCTCAAAGGCATGGGGACTATTCATACTTTTAAACTCAGTAACCCAACAGCAGGAAGCTTTTTAAACAAAAGGAAATCAGCCCAAATAATGAAAAAACTTTATGCACTGTCTTAGCCTGGGCTGCCCAGAAAACTGGGCTGAATTTGCAAATATTTATGTGCAATTACTTTATTAAAGGGTGTAATATCAGGGAAACAGACGAGAGGAAAAAGGCAAAGGAAGCAAGAAAGGAGGAGAACCAACATGGGGTGCCTTATTGAGCTCCCCATTGCTAGGTATTAAGTGAGACTGATTGCTTGATCTCACTAGACGGCCTCTCCAAGGCCATAGCATGACTGTGACTTAAGGTGTCCATGGAAGGGTGGGAGTGTGAGGTGAAGACTTTATTCCATAGCTTCCGTCTCCCATTGGTCAAAGTTTTGCCCTATGAGGCATTAATTCCTTCATACTTCCAGGTTACACGTGTGTGGATGTTGAGAGGGTCCCACTGTGTCTCACACCCCAGATTCAACAAGGAACCCGGGAGCAGGAGGTGAAGTGCAATAGGCTGTGCTCCCGTGAAGTTGGACAGGGTCTATCTGGAGTGGCAGTTCAGGAGTAGATGCCCAAAAGCCATAGAGATGGGGAAGCTGCAAGGTCGTAAGAGGTCTGATACACACCTCAGTGTGGCTGTGGCTTTTCACTGTGTCCATCTCAGCGTGGATTCCAGTGAGGAAGCCCAGGCGTGGCAGTTAAATCATCTTTCCTGTGAATCCTTACTCTGCCACTCACTAGCTGTAGGACTTAGGGCAAACTAACTCCTCTGCACCTAGATATCTGTGACTGCTGAATGAGAATAATACCTACCATAAGGAAATGTTTCAAGGTTTGAATGAGATAATCTGTGTAATGTATGGCCAAGAACACAAACTTAACAAAACCAAATTTCCCCCCCTATATAATAATAAATTGAAACAACATAAACGTCCAATTATTGAAAAATGGTTAAATAAACCACGCTACAACCAGTTATGGACCCCTGTGTATCCTTTAAAAATAATGATACTGAATAAGTGACAAAATTGAAAATTGCTTCTGATATTGAAAAAAAATGATACAAAATTGTATAGGTACAGTATGGGAGGAGAGTGTTGTAGCCAACATGAAATACCGTGTGCAAATGCCTAGGGATATGCACATGCATGACATTTCGGGGGAAAACACTAAGAATTGCTCCTGAATATTATTCACTTTTCTTTCTTGTTAACAGGACTCCAGATTTGTTCGGAGTGCTATCGTGCTCATCCTCAAGTGACAAATCATGATTTGTCTCAACCAATCTGGAAATTTTTTTTCTCTAAATTTCCAACCTCCCTTGCAGTTGGAGAAGGCCATACGATCTGTTTCTGTACAAAATAATCTAATAGGAAGTCTGCTACTTCCCATTCAAGGTCTAGTAGAGCTTTGCTTTGCTTTCATGATAAAAGGGGAAGTAACATGGCAGGCACTGTCCCTTCCTCTTTCTTTCCACTTTGGATGTAGATGTGAAGTCTGGAACTCTGGCAGCCATCTTATAACTATGAGGTAACCAGCATGAGGGAAAGGTCAAGAAATTCAGCTCTGTCATTTGTGAGCCACCGAATCAACATCAAAAACTACTTTCAGTCTCTTGTTACATATTTATTTGTTTAAACATCAATGGTCAGATTTTCTGTTACTTATCACCAAATACACACCTAACTGATATAGGATGCCATGCTAATCAATTTACATGCCGTATCTCATTGATTTTTACACTGGATGTTTAAGGTATGCTTTATAATTCTCAACCTTTACAAGTAAGAAAACAGAGAGCCTAAGTGATTTACCCAAGCTTACCTCACTATTAAATCTCCAAAGCACAATTTTACTCAATCTTTATCCTAGAGTCCTTCTTGCCACTTTAATAGCAAATAGCATATAGAATGCAAAAAGATTGTAAGGCAGAGAAAAGAATGCTGAGCCATGAGAATGGTAAGAGGCTGATCAATGGTGTTGTGGGACATGCTAAGAGGTCTTCACTTCGCTATATTGGGGATAGGAAGCAGCAATGTGCTAAGACCTACCTGTCAGCAAATATTACTGCCATGGTCCCAAGGCCTTAGGCATGATAGAGCTCAATAAATGCTGGGTGAATGAACAAATAAATGAATGCATAAGCCATGAAATAATTGGATAAAATTCTCTAGGTGCATAAGGAGAATGAATTAAAGCAGTCAAGGCTAGAAGTAAGAAGACCATTTAGGAGGTTATTGCATATAAGAAATGCTAAGGTATGAACTACAGCAGTGTCTGTAGGACTAGAAAGGAGGGAACAAATTCAGGAGCAATTCAGAAAACAGAATTGATAGAGTCACAGTCCTCACATGGCCACCAGCTTATCTTCCTGAAAGAACATTGTTTATTAGGCCATTTGGCTGAACAAAAACGTTCAGCAGTTTCCCACACCTTGTAGAATATACATACTGTAAAGTTTGCTACCTACATTCACGGTCCTTCATCAGCTTCTAGCTCTACATCTGCCCCAGAATAACTATTCATCAAATGCTGAATAGAAATGCAAATCAACTAATTCATCAATTTGCATAACACTTAATCATTCACAAATGTCTCTATCTACTTATTTATTTGTTTGGACCTTCCCTCATTTGCTATTTATTATTTTCCAACAACTATGTGGCTTAAGCAGGCAGGATTGGGCACTCACAGGTAGCATGGTTTTGCAGATAAAGAAATGAACATTCAGAAAGGCCATTTGTTAAGTTGACCCTCTGACCAGAGCCTCCCCCATGTACTGCCCCTGCAACTCAAAGCCTGTCCTGCTCTACAACTTGGCTGGATCTTTCCTTGCCCCAGCCTCATGCTCGACTCACTCAGCTTCTGGCCCAGAATGGAGGACATGCCAGCTATCCATCTGATTTATCTAATCCTCAGATGAACTCATGATCAAATCCCACATCCAGACAGCTTTCTTAGCAAGAAAATTGAAGTCATCTCTCTTAACCTAGAAATTGGTTTACAGATCTTTGTCCCACACAGATGGATAATAAACTGCTCTGTTGAACACTATCAAATATGAAACTTCTGAAAGCTTTTTTTTTTTTTTTTGAGACATGGTCTCACTCTGTCACCCAAGTTGGATTGCATGAATTGCAGTAGCACAATTACTACTCATTGCAGTCTTGACCTCCTTGGGCTTGAGCAATCCTCCCACCTCAGCCTCCTGAGCAATTGGGTCCACAGGTGTGCACCACCACTCTCAGTTAACTTTTTATTTTTTGTAGAGATGGAGTGTCCCTATGTTGCCCAGGCTGGTCTTGAACTCCTAGGCTCAAGTGATCCTCTGGCCTCAGCCTCCCAAAGTGCTGGCGTTACAGACATGAGCCATTTGTTAGGCACTTTTCACCCTCACATTAACCCTCTGGCACAGTTGGGGAAACGCGTTTCTTGAGTTAAAGTGGTTTGGCAAGAAGGGCTGAGCTGGGATTAAGATTCCGCTCTTCCCAACTCTGAAGCCCCTGTTACCATCACTGCTGCATCCTGCTCATCTTCCAGGCCCGGGTTAACAACAATGGGAAAGAGTTGAGAAATATTTTTCTAACAGGGTAAACCCTCCTCCCAGCCCAACTCCACCATCCTGGGCCACTCCTCTAGTTACATGATCCTTTGTACCATTTGGCCCAATTGATATTGATCTCATACACATGGGTCAGAGACAGGGTGAGAGTTTTCTCATTTCTCATGGGAGAAAGGCAAGCTCTGCCAAGCCCAGAATTTCCAGCCCCTCCTGTCCCAGCACAAACCATTCACGGTCTTCATACAATTATTCCTGGTGCGGCGTTTTATTTCTAGGAAGCCTTCTGTCCCTCAACCTCACCAGCCCTTGGTTCTTCAGCTCAGAGGTTCAGGACATTTGAGGATTGCATGTTGGCTGTGCGCATGGGGAATTCGGTGACTACCACTGATTGGCATCCCTTACCACACCCAGGGGAATGGGGAAGCCAAGAGATGGACTGAATGCAGGCTCAGGCTTCTCTCTCCTTGCCTCCAAGGGCATCCTCTCCAGCAGGTGACTGGTCATGACAACTACAATACCGATCTGAAACCGGTCAATGGGTTCAATGGAAGGTTTGGCTATCGCGGGAACACCCTAGCCCTCTGTTGGAGCACGTCCATCTTTGGAGAGGTCACCCACTTGCCTCTGTTCTAACAGCATCTCTTCCCTTGACCTGAATTTCTAAGACAGATGTTTAGATGAACTCTCAATGTTATTTTACATTAAAAAAAATTGTGTCTCCAAGTGTGTTGTTTCTTCCCTGAGATTGGAGGAAGGAGCCAGTTCTACTCTCAGCTTCTCTTCTCCCTGGAGAGGAGGTGAGAAGAGAAAGGGCTTCTCAGGCCCACGCCCTTGCACTCCATACCAACGAGTGCCAGGTTTGAAAGGAGAGGCTTCAGTTCTCCCCTGCCAGTGGGATAAGAAGGAGCCACACTGCTCAACCTCAATAACGCACTTCCCCAGCTATCAGCAGGGCCCCAGGTCAGAGCTGGCTATTGTTTCCATCAAGAACAGAGCAAAGGCCAAGCTCCATGGTTTACGCCTGTAATCCCAGCACTTTGGGAGGCCGAAGTGAGGCTGAGATGGGAGGATTGCTTGAGCTCAGACAGGTGGATCACTTGAAACCAGCCTGGGCAACATGCTGAAACCCTGTCTTTACAAAACACACACACACGCACACTATGTATGTGTACTATATATATGTGTACTATATATAATGCACTACATATATGTGCACTATATATGTGTACTATATATAAATATATGTATACATATATATGTATACTATATATAAATATATGTATACATATATATGTATACATATATATGTATACGTATATGGAGAGAGAGAGAGAGAGACAGAGAGAGACAGAGAGAGAGAGAGATTGTCTCATTCTGTTAGCCCAGGCTGGAGTACAGTGGTGTGATCTCAGCTCACTGCAACCTCCGCCTCCCAGGGTTCAAGCAATTCTCTTGCCTCAGCCTCCCTAGTAGCTGGGATTACAGGTGCCTGCCACCACGCCCAGCTAATTTTTTTTGTATTTTTAGCGGAGACGGGGTTTCACCATGTTGGTCAGGCCGATCTCAAACTCTTGACCTCACCTTGGCCTCACAAAGCGCTGGGATTACAAGCGTGAGACATCGTGCCCAGCCCAGGATGTCATTTTTCAAGTGTTCCCTTTCAGTTTATTAGTGGCCAAGGGACAAGCCAAAGCAGATGATGGATAATTAAGAAGGTGGGGCTTTAGAACACAAAGCTTGCCAGAACTCTAGTGTGGGTGGAACTTGATTGTATTGAGTCACCATAAGTGGACAAGGAAGGAACCTCTAACAGTTGAAGGGGGTATAGCTCAGTGGGTAGAGCATTTGACTGCAGATCAAGAGGTCCCCGGTTCAAATCCGGGTGCCCCCTGCCTGAAAGTTTTCTTACTTCCATTTTAAAGTAGATACCGTCAGCCACAGTGTCACCAGAAAAGATGAGAAAACTTTCCTTTTTTTTTTTTTTTTTTTCCCTAGACACAGCACTCCTTTAATCCCACAATGCTCTGTGGTAATTTTAAATCAGATACATTGAAAGGATATTAACTTTTACAATAATATTGTACAATTAAAACTATATATGTAAATCCAAGAAACTGGAGGAGTCTACATATACTGAGTTTCTTATTTAACAATAACTGATGATTTTTATATAATTGAGAATAAATCTTTATCAGATGATGAGACTCATAGAGGATAATAGGTCAATCATTATGGTAATTTTTTAAATCTCTTTTTTTATTACTATTATTACACTTTAAGTTTTAAGGTACATGTGCACAATGTGCAAGTTAGTTACATATGTATACATGTGCCATGCTGGTGCGCTGCACCCACTAACTCGTCATCTAGCATTAGGTATATCTCCCAATGCTATCCCTCCCCCCTCCCCCCACCCCACAACAGTCCCCAGAGTGTGATGTTCCCCTTCCTGTGTCCATGTGTTCTCATTGTTCAATTCCCACCTATGAGTGAGAATATGCAGTGTTTGGTTTTCTGTTCTTGCGATAGTTTACCGAGAATGATGATTTCCAATTTCATCCATGTCCCTACAAAGGACATGAACTCATCATTTTTTATGGCTGCATAGTATTCCATGGTGTATATGTGCCACATTTTCTTAATCCAGTCTATCATTGTTAGACATTTCAATTGGTTCCAAGTCTTTGCTATTGTGAATAATGCCGCAATAAACATACATGTGCATGTGTCTTTATAGCAGCATGATTTATAGTCCTTTGGGTATATACCCAGTAATGGGATGGCTGGGTCAAATGGTATTTCTAGTTCTAGATCCCTGAGGAATCGCCACACTGACTTCCACAATGGTTGAACTAGTTTACAGTCCCACCAACAGTGTAAAAGTATTCCTGTTTCTCCACATCCTCTCCAGCACTTGTTGTTTCCTGACTTTTTAATGATTGCCATTCTAACTGGTGTGAGATGGTATCTCATTGTGGTTTTGATTTGCATTTCTCTGATGGCCAGTGATGATGAGCATTTTTTCATGTGTTTTTTGGCTGCATAAATGTCTTCTTTTGAGAAGTGTCTGTTCATGTCCTTTGCCCACTTTTTGATGGGGTTGTTTTTTTCTTGTAAATTTGTTTGAGTTCATTGTAGATTCTGGATATTAGCCCTTTGTCAGATGAGTAGGTTACAAAAATTTTCTCCCATTCTATAGGTTGCCTGTTCACTCTGATGGTAGTTTCTTTTGCTGTGCAGAAGTTCTTTAGTTTAATTAGATCCCATTTGTCAATTTTGGCTTTTATTGCCATTGCTTTTGGTGTTTTAGACATGAAGTTCTTGCCCATGCCTATGTCCTGAATGGTAATGCCTAGGTTTTCTTCTAGGGTTTTTATGGTTTTAGGTCTAACGTTTAAGTCTTTAATCCATCTTGAATTGATTTTTGTATAAGGTGTAAGGAAGGGATCCGTTTCAGCTTTCTACATATGGCTAGCCAGTTTTCCCAGCACCATTTATGAAATAGGGAATCCTTTCCCCAATGCTTGTTTTTCTCAGGTTTGTCAAAGATCAGCTAGTTGTAGATATGCGACATTATTTCTGAGGGCTCTCTTCTGTTCCATTGATCTATATCTCTGTTTTGGTACCAGTACCATGCTGTTTTGGTTACTGTAGCCTTGTAGTATAGTTTGAAGTCAGGTAGTGTGATGCCTCTCCAGCTTTGTTCTTTTGGCTTAGGATTGACTTGGCGATGCGGGCTCTTTTTTGGTTCCATATGAACTTTAAAGTAGTTTTGTCCAGTTCTGTGAAGAAAGTCATTGGTAGCTTGATGAGGATGGCATTGAATCTATAAATTACCTTGGGCAGTATGGCCATTTTCACGATATTGATTCTTCCTACCCATGAGCATGGAATGTTCTTCCATTTGTTTGTATCCTCTTTTATTTCCTTGAGCAGTGGTTGGTAGTTCTCCTTGAAGAGGTCCTTCACATCCTTTGTAAGTTGGATTCCTAGGTATTTTATTCTCTTTGAAGCGATTGTGAATGGGAGTTCACTCATGATTTGGCTCTCTGTTTGTCTGTGGTTGGTGTATAAGAATGCTTGTGATTTTTGTACATTGATTTTGTATCCTGAGACTTTGCTGAAGTTGCTTATCAGCTTAAGGAGATTTTGGGCTGAGACAATGGGGTTTTCTAGATATACAATCATGTTGTCTGCAAACAGGGACAATTTGACTTCCTCTTTTCCTAACTGAATACCCTTTATTTCCTTCTCCTGCCTAATTGCCCTGGCCAGAACTTCCAACACTATGGTGAATAGGAGTGGTGAGAGAGGGCATCCCTGTCTTGTGCCAGTTTTCAAAGGGAATGCTTCCAATTTTTGCCCATTCAGTATGATATTGGCTGTGGGTTTGCCATACATAGCTCTTATTATTTTGAAATACGTCCCATCAATACCTAATTTATTGAGAGTTTTTAGCATGAAGGGTTTTTGAATTTTGTCAAAGGCCTTTTCTGCATCTATTGAGATAATCATGTGGTTTTTGTCTTTGGTTCTGTTTAGATGCTGGATTACATTTATTGATTTGCGTATGTTGAACCAGCCTTGCATCTCAGGGATGAAGCCCACTTGATCATGGTGGATAAGCTTTTTGATGTGCTGCTGGATTCGGTTTGCCAGTTTTTATTGAGGATTTTTGCATCAATGTTCATCAAGGATATTGGTCTAAAATTCTCTTTTTTGGTTGTGTCTCTGCCAGGCTTTGGTATCAGGATGATGCTGGCCTCATAAAATGAGTTAGGGAGGATTCCCTCTTTTTCTATTGATTGGAATAGTTTCAGAAGGAATGGTACCAGTTCCTCTTTGTACCTCTGGTAGAATTCAGCTGTGAATCCATCTGGTCCTGGACTCTTTTTGGTTGGTAAGCTATTGATTATTGCCACAATTTCAGCTCCTGTTATTGGTCTATTCAGAGATTCAACTTCTTCCTGGTTTAGTCTTGGGAGAGTGTATGTGTCGAGGAATTTATCCATTTCTTCTAGATTTTCTAGTTTATTTGCATAGAGGTGTTTGTAGTATTCTCTGATGGTAGTTTGTATTTCTGTGGGATCGGTGGTGATATCCCCTTTATCATTTTTTATTGGGTCTATTTGATTCTTCTCTCTTTTTTTCTTTATTAGTCTTGCTAGCGGTCTATCAATTTTGTTGATCCTTTCAAAAAACCAGCTCCTGGATTCACTGATTTTTTGAAGGCTTTTTTGTGTCTCTATTTCCTTCAGTTCTGCTCTGATTTAATTATTTCTTGCCTTCTGCTAGCTTTTGAATGTGTTTGCTCTTGTTTTTCTAGTTCTTTTAATTGTGATGTTAGGTTGTCAATTTTGGATCTTTCCTGCTTTCTCTTGTGGGCATTTAGTGCTATAAATTTCCTTCTACACACTGCTTTGAATGCGTCCCGGAGATTCTGGTATGTTGTGTCTTTGTTCTTGTTGGTTTCAAAGAACATCTTTATTTCTGCCTTCATTTCGTTATGTACCTAGTAGTCATTCAGGAGCAGGTTGTTCAGTTTCCATGTAATTGAGTGGTTTTGAGTGAGATTCTTAATCCTGAGTTCTAGTTTGATTGCACTGTGGTCTGAGAGATAGTTTGTTATAATTTCTGTTCTTTTACATTTGCTGAGGAGAGCTTTACTTCCAAGTATGTGGTCAATTTTGGAATAGGTGTGGTGTGGTGCTGAAAAAAAAGTATATTCTGTTGACTTGGGGTGGAGAGTTCTGTAGATGTCTATTAGGTCTGCTTGGTGCAGAGCTGAGTTCAATTCCTGGGTATCCTTGTTGACTTTCTGTCTCGTTGATCTGTCTAATGTTGACAGTGGGGTGTTAAAGTCTCCCATTATTAATGTGTGGGAGTCTAAGTCTCTTTCTAGGTCACTCAGGACTTGCTTTATGAATCTGGGTGCTCCTGTATTGGGGGCATATATATTTAGGATAGTTAGCTCTTCTTGTTGAATTGATCCCTTTACCATTATGTAATGGCCTTCTTTATCTCTTTTGATCTTTGTTGGTTTAAAGTCTGTTTTATCAGAGACTAGGATTGCAACCCCCTGCCTTTTTTTGTTTTCCATTTGCTTGGTAGATCTTTCTCCATCCTTTTATTTTGAGCCTATGTGTGTCTCTGCATGTGAGATGGGTTTCCTGAATACAGCACACTGATGGGTCTTGACTCTTTATCCAATTTGCCAGTCTGTGTCTTTTAATTGGAGCATTTAGTCCATTTACATTTAAAGTTAATATTGTTATGTGTGAATTTGATCCTGTCATTATGATGTTAGCTGGTGATTTTGCTCGTTAGTTGATGCAGTTTCTTCCTAGTCTCGATGGTCTTTACATTTTGGCATGATTTTGCAGTGGCTGGTACCAGTTGTTCCTTTCCATGTTTAGTGCTTCCTTCAGGAGCTCTTTTCGGGCAGGCCTGGTGGTGACAAAATCTCTCAGCATTTGCTTGTCTGTAAAGTATTTTATTTCTCCTTCACTTATGAAGCTTAGTTTGGCTGGATATGAAATTCTGGGTTGAAAATTCTTTTCTTTAAGAATGTTGAATATTGGCCCCCACTCTCTTCTGGCTTGTAGAGTTTCTGCCAAGAGATCTGCTGTTAGTCTGATGGGCTTCCCTTTGAGGGTAACCTGACCTTTCTCTCTGGCTGCCCTTAACATTTTTTCCTTCATTTCAACTTTGGTGAATCTGACAATTATGTGTCTTGGAGTTGCTCTTCTTTAGGAGTATCTTTGTGGCGTTCTCTGTATTTCCTGAATCTGAATGTTGGCCTGCCTTGCTAGATTGGGGAAGTTCTCCTGGATAATATCCTGCAGTGTTTTCCAACTTGGTTCCATTCTCCCCGTCACTTTCAGGTACACCAATCAGATGTAGATTTGGTCTTTTCACATAGTCCCATATTTCTTGGAGGCTTTGCTCATTTCTTTTTATTCGTTTTTCTCTAAACTTCCCTTCTCACTTCATTTCATTCATTTCATCTTCCATCGCTGAAACCCTTTCTTCCAGTTGATCGCATCATCTCCTGAGGCTTCTGCATTCTTCACGTAGTTCTCGAGCCTTGGTTTTCAGCTCCATCAGCTCCTTTAAGCACTTCTCTGTATTGGTTATTCTAGTTATACATTCTTCTAAACTTTTTTCAAAGTTTTCAACTTCTTTGCCTTTGGTTTGAATGTCCTCCCGTAGCTCAGAGTAATTTGATCATCTGAAGCCTTCTTCTCTCAGCTCGTCAAAGTCATTCTCCATCCAGCTTTGTTCCGTTGCTGGTGAGGAACTGCGTTCCTTTGGAGGAGGAGAGGTGCTCTGCTTTTTAGAGTTTCCAGTTTTTCTGCTCTGTTTTATCCCCATCTTTGTGGTTTTATCTACTTTTGGTCTTTGATGATGGTGATGTACAGATGGGTTTTTGGTGTGGATGTCCTTTCTGTTGGTTAGTTTTCCTTCTAACACACAGGACCCTCAGCTGCAGGTCTGTTGGAGTACCCTGCCATGTGAGGTGTCAGTCTGCCCCTGCTGGGGGGTGCCTCCCAGCTAGGCTGCTCGGGGGTCAGAGGTCAGGGACCCACTTGAGGAGGCAGTCTGCCCGTTCTCAGACCTCCAGCTGCGTGCTGGGAGAACCACTGCTCTCCCAGCTGTCAGACAGGGACATTTAAGTCTGCAGAGGTTACTGCTGTCTTTTTGTTTGTCTGTGCCCTGCCCCCAGAGGTGGAGCCTACAGAGGCAGGCAGGCCTCCTTGAGCTGTGGTGGGCTCCACCCAGTTCGAGCTTCCCGGCTGCTTTGTCTACCTAAGCAAGCCTGGGCAATGGCGGGCGCCCCTCCCCCAGCCTCGCTGCCACCTTGCAGTTTGATCTCAGACTGCTGCACTAGCAATCAGTGAGACACCGTGGGCGTAGGACCCTCCGAGCCAGGTGCGGGATATAATCTCCTGGTGCGCCGTTTTTTAAGCCCGTCAGAAAAGCGCAGTATTCGGGTGGGAGTGACCCGATTTTCCAGGTGTCATCTGTCACCCCTTTCTTTGACTAGGAAAGGGAACTCCCTGACCCCTTGTGCTTCCCAAGTGAGGCAATGCCTCGCCCTGCTTCGGCTCGCGCACGGTGCGCACACCCACTGACCTGCGCCCACTGTCTGGCACTCCCTAGTGAGATGAACCTGATACCTCAGATGGAAATGCAGAAATCACCCGTTTTCTGCGTCGCTCACACTGGGAGCTGCAGACCAGAGCTCTTCCTATTCGGCCAACTTGGCTCCTCCCCGAGAAAACTTTCAACTTGCTCTTGGGCTGAAATTGTTCCTCCCACATTCCAGCTGACCACTAGGACAAAAAGTCACTTTAGGATCTCCTTTGTCTTCAATTAAGATCAAGTCCCTGAGGAGATTCTAAATCTATAAGTCTGAGAGCTGTGAAGACAATTTGACAATTGGGTGTGTGTCGGAGTACAGATAAAAATGTTCCTTCAACATGTATTTTTGAAAACTTAGTACATGCAAAACTCCATTGAATTAAAACATGAAAGAAGGGCCGTGCGCAGTGGCTCACACCTATAATCCCAGGACTTTGGGATGCCGAGGCAGGCAGATCACCTGAGGTCAGGAGTTCAAGATCAGCCTGAGCCACATGGTGAAACTCTGTCTCTACTAAAAATACAAAAATACAAAAATTAGCCGGGCATGGTGGTGTGTGCCTGTAATCCCAGCTACTTGGGAGGCTGAGGCAGGAGAATTGCTTGAACCCAGGAGGTGGAGTCTGCAGTGAGCCAAGATCATGCCACTGCCCCACTCCAGCCTAGTGACAGAGAGAGACTGTCTCAAAACAAAAAACAACAACAAAAAAACTCTTTGATGACATCCTTTGCCATAGTCCTTAACGCTACACAACTGCAGCCAACCACTTTATGGGGTTTTCCTTCTGTCAGTTTTACAGTGGTCCATCCCTTCCCCTAGTTTATTGTCATCAACCTTAATTAGGGTGATCTGGTGCTCAGCAACAAGGGCCTTCACCAGCCAGCCACATAGGCAGGCTCATTACAGTTGGGGGCAGCACAAGGATGGGCCCAGCACTTGTCTAAGGCTTTGGCAGCTTCTCGAATTCCACGTGCTAGGCCATCATGGATGAGGGCAGCCTTCAGGACCTCTTGTAAAGCAGTATTAAGGTCCATGACACCTCCAGCACTGATGCCTTCCTGGGCCATGGCGGTGGGTTATGGGTGAAGCTGATTCTTGAACACACCTGAGCCTCTGCCTCCGTGACTCAGTGGCGGTGGGGAAAGAGCAGCAGTTTGTCCTTGGTTAACACTCACTGCACCTAAAATGTGGTCTAGGTTGCATGAAAAGGGGTTAAACTTGGCCAAGAAGTTGATTAAGCATTTTGGCCAGTTTGCTTATTACCATTGATGTAAAAAAGATTAATATGTTACAGTCTCTGAGCATTTCTCTTCCGTTTTTTTAGACAAGGTCTCACTCTGTTGCCCAGGCTAAAGTACAGCAGGAGTGATCTTGGCTCACTGCAGCTGCAACCTTGACCTCCCAGGCTCAAGCAATCCTCCCATCTCAGCCTCCTGAGCAGCTGGGATTACAGGCGTGTGCCACCACACCTGGCTGATTTTTGAGGTTTTGGGGTTTTTTTGTAGAGACAGGATTTTGCCATGTTGCTCAGGCTGGTCTAGAACTCCTGGCCTCAAGCCATCAACTCGCCTTGGCCTCCCAAAGCACTGGGATTATAGGTGTGAGCCACTGTGCATGGCCTTGAAGGAGTTTCCATTTTGCCCTACTCCCCAGGTGACAATGAAAAGTAGCAAATGAGCAGGTGATTTTGACAGCAGCACTGAGCTGTCATAGACACCTTGCTAACTAGCTCAGTGTTTGCTTACTTATAGCTTTCTAGAGATAAAAATGAATGGCACACACTGGTTATCAAAAATGCCCATAAATACTGGCCAGGCGTGGTAGCTCACGCCTGTAATCCCAACACTTTGGGAGGCCAAGGCGGGCAGATCACTTGAGGTCAGGAGTTCAAGACCAACCTGGCTAACATGGTGAAACCCCGTCTCTACTGAAAATACAAAAATTAGCCAGGCATGGCAGTGTATGTCTATAATCCCAGCTACTCAGGAGGCTGAGGCAGGAGAATCCCTTGAGCCCTGGAGGCAGAGGTTGCAATGAGCCGAGATCGCACCACTGCACTCCAGCATGGGCAATAGAGTGAGACTCCATCTCAAAAAAATAATAATAATAATGCCCACAAATAAATACTGCCTCATGTCCCATGTTGCTGTGGACACCCTAGAATCCAACTGGCCCAACATGGTTTGGAGGGCACTGCCAACCTCCTAGGCATCCCCCAACAAGGGTCCTCAGAGACATCCTTCATCTAAGACCAAGTCAGTCCCTCCCTATCTAGATCTGTCCTGGTCTAAATCTTCCACCTAACCATCTCCAAAAACAATTTCAGGCTGAACTCCATTTCTTCTTGCATTTCTCCATTTGTACGTGTTGCTAAAAGGCTCTGGTCCCACTCTAAGTCTGTCTTCTCCTGTTCATCCATTGTACTGCCACCGGAATGATCTTTCTAGATCTTTGCTTTCGATGTCTTCCTGTGCCTCAGACAGAGTGTGTGGCCTTTTGTGATCCGACCACATATGCCTCTCCATCCTGTTGCGCCATCTCTGCCTCACACCTGGTGTTCTTGGGACACCACATTTCAAGCCTGTCCCCCACACACCTGGGCCTCTGCTCAAGCCACCCAACTCCTTTTCATCCAGAAAAGTCCAACTTTTAAGGCTCAGTGTAAAAGACACCTCAGGGAAGTTTCATTTCCCCAGCACTTGACGCAACTAGACACTTGTTATGTTAGATGGACAATGTTTTTGTTTTTGTTTGTTGTTGTTGTTTTTGCCAGCATGATTTCGTTTTCATTCCTACAACCCTAGGAAATAAGTTTCCACACTTTACTGAAGAAAACAACTGAATCTCAAGAGAGTGATTTGCCCAAGGTCTTCTGCTAATAAGTGTAGCAGAGCCAGCTGAGCTCCTCCTCAAGTTCAAGACTCTATTAGGCCCCTTGTGTTGGGAAGAATCGGCTTCTTACTGAAGTTGCATTTAAGATCTTCTTGGGTTCAGTTCAACAGTTTCCCCTTTTCTCCCTCTTTCCTTAAGACAGACTGCCTGTCTCCCACAGTGCCTTCTGGCCTGGGCCTGGCTATCGTATCTTTGCTCACATCTCCCTGCTTGTACTCTTGGCTTCACGTGAATAAAAGCAGCTATTGCAATACCAAAAAGGATATTCTCTGTAGACGCCATAATCTGAGCAAAGGTGCACAGACACAAATGCTCCTGGTAGTCCAGGGCAGCCAGAAGTGGGGTGCCATGGTGGCTGGGAAATCGGCTCTGCTTGTGTTGCAGTATTTTTGTGTTTGTTTTCATACAGACAGGGTCTTGCTATGTTGCCCAGGCTGGTGTCAAACTCCTGGCCTCAAGTGAACCTCCCATCTCAACCTCCCAAAGTGCTGGGATTACAGGCACGAGCCACCGTGCCCAGCCCGAGTTCCAGTATCTTTGGACATGAAATGGAGTTATCGAAAGAAAAAGGCCAGAGCCTTAGAGAGATTCTGGCTAGAGTTAGGGGTATAGCCAGTTTAAGGTGGCTGTTGAAAACGTGGCAGTGGATAATTCCCTCAGTACAGCATCATGTACTGGAGGACTCCAGGGCCCACTGTCTACAAATGCTAGTTTGAAAGACGGCTCTGGTCAGATGAGCCTGTCACTAAATTACAGATTATCTAATCCCACAAAACCCTATACCCCATGGACTTTAGTGTTCACAACTCTGACAATTTCCAAAGTACAGAAAAAAAAATTATACCAGGTGCAATTTAAGAGTTAGGAGTTAGAAAGTGCTCCAGTTTTGTACAGTAACTAAAACATCCTATTCATGATGAGAAGAATTATAGACTGCTATTGTGGGTTCCATCATCTCTCCCTAATTATGGTAGGTCTGAAATGGAAAATGCAAATATAACTGCAAAATTAACATTAAATCAGAAATTTTTTAACAATTGGAAGCTGGTCAGTAGTGGCTCACCCCTGTAATCCCAGCACTTTGGGAGGCCAAGGCGGCAGATTGCTTGAGCCCAGGAGTTCAAGACTAGCCTGGGCAACATGGCAAAAGCCCATCTCTATAAAACTGGAAGCTTAGCTTGTGTTATCGGCTAGATCAACTTGCTTAATCTCTCAGCCAGTGAGTCTTTTTAGTGAAAGATAAAGTTGCTTTTAGTGACAAAGTTTTACTGCCCTCGGCCATGAGAATCTCCAAGGCCAATGGAAATGATCAAAGCTAAGCTTGCTGATCACACTAGCAGGTACCTTGATTCTTAACTTTACTCCTAAGGAAAAGGCACTGACCTTACCTGGAAATGCAAAAGAATTCAAAAGCTGTGAAGGGGAAGGAAAACAGGGAGAGAAGCTCTACAGTGTGTTGGTGGTGGAAGGGGTCCAGGGTTGCCTGGACTCAGGCCAGCTTGGAGTGTGCCCGGCAATGCTGGGCTTCTGATCCTCTAGGAGCCAGCATCTTAGGCTGTAAGACAATACTACCGTGGACCTTCCAGTGTGGTTGTGAGAATTAACCATGTAAAGCTCCTAGCATAGTGCCAAGCACGTAACAGGCACCTAAATATTGGTTATCTTTGCTTTTCCAGTTCCTAAATAAATCAGCAGTTAAACCCAAGGGATGTGTAAGGATCCCACTGGGTCTCATTGATCAGGAGACTGCATCATTCTCAGCCACAAGTACAAGTTGCAATCTCCAGTCAAAGCCCTCAGGGATATGTTCAACAACTGTCTGTACCTATGAGCAAGTCTTTTAAACCAGAAAGTGATTAAAAGCATTTACGTGGCTCCCCCTGAAAAGGAGAGGGGACTAAATTCTGTTACTACATGTCAGGATAGTGGTTACTCCTGGTCGGGGGGAGGCACCAGGAGTTTTTGGAGGACAGCCATGTTCTGTTTCTTAATCTGGGTGCTGATTGGTTATACAGGTATTCAATTTGAGAAAACCAAGCTGAAGTATAAATGTATAATAGTTCAATAGGTTTGTTTTTGTTATTGAGACAGGGTCTTGCTCTGTCACCCAGGCTGGAGTACAGTGGCATCTCCGAGGCTCAGGCAATCCTCCTACCTCAGCCTCCTGAGTAGCTGGAACTACAGGCGTGCACTGCCATGCCCAGCTTTCGGGAGGAGGAGGTTTTCTTCGTAGAGACGGGGTTCGCTTGCCACGTTGCCCAGGGTGGTCTTGAACTCCTGGGCTTAAGTGATCCGCCCACCTTGGCCTCCCAAAGTGCTGGGATTACAGGCATGAGTGACAGCGCCTAGCCAGGACTATGTATCTTAAACCTAGGGAGTGAAAATCAAGACTAATACCCGATCTCTTCTACTGTGCAAGAGGATTCCTCAACAGACCCCGACCTGACAGCTGCCAGAGTGTAACCCGGAGAACCCAAGCTGTGAAACTGCTACCACTGAGCCTTGCTCAGCCAATGCCATGGCTACAGAAAGGGGGTCTGCCAGGTAACCCTGGCTGCAGAAAAGTCTGAGGAACAGCTCTAAGTACAGGATAAGTGGTGAGTGAGAACGTGGGGGCCCTCTAGTCACTAGAGAGAATTCCTTCCCTCAATAAAGGAATATTCATGACAAGCACAAAGCTATGGTCCCAGTCAGCATACTGATCTGGGTGGGGCATGCTATCTAGCAAAGAGCTGGGAACAACAGGCTGTGGTCATGAGACTGACATCCACTCCACAGGATCATGGTTTGGGGGTACTTGGCTATGCAGTGCAATGGCGCAATCTCGGCTCAGCCCAACCTCCGCCTCCCAGGTTCAAGCAATTCTCTTGCCTCAGCCTCCCAAGTAGCTGGGATTACAGGCATGCACCGCCACACCCGGCTAATTTTTTTGTATTTTTAGTAGAGACAGGGTTTCTCCATGTTGGTCAGGCTGGTCTCGAACTCCCGACCTAAGGTGATCCCCCCGCCTCGGCATCCCAAAGTGCTGGGATTACAGGCATGAGCCACCACATCTGGCCAGCTATGGTTTTTAAAAACCTCTTATTTGTCAACTGCAGTATTTGCAGGTAAAATATTACCACCCTAGAAACATGCCCCTTACTTGGCCTCTGCTTTGAAAGCCACCATCAGCTTGAGAGAGACGGTGGCCAGAAGGCACTGATGGAATGAGAGGAAAGAGCCAGCACAGTCAAGATGCAGGAAGATCCCTTTATGATGGCGAATTGGATGGTACACAGTTCTAGAGTAGGGCCTCAGTCACTGGGCCCCAGGAGGCAGAAGGAGCAGGGTTGAGAGGGACGACACACTCCAGGGCTCATGTCACACCGATACACGCGCCAGGAATGACCTCGATATACTTCCCTAAAGCTCAACCCACCCACCAGTTCAGTCAAGAATTATACTTTCATTCTTCATGTTTGGCCACTGAAGATCAAATCCACCATGATGATAGGATTTCAGCACAACGGGCCCTTTCCAGTCACGACAGACAGAAACAAAAATTTGAGAAGAAACAAAAATTCCTTTGACTTCTCTTGCAAGGACCAAAGAGATAAATTTTTTCTTTACCATCTGTTGAAATATTTATATAGACTTTAAAAAAACAACTAACAGTCCATCCTGTGCTCTGTTTCCCTGGAAGGTTTCTCATGATCGCCCCTCCGAGAGCTAGAGGGGTTGTGTGTCTGGGAACAAAGGATTAAGACACTTCAAAATAAGCAATGAAAATCCTAGTGCGACACTCAGAAGTAGATGGTGGGCTTGAGGGGGCTGAGGGGTGGAAGGCGGGTGCTTCGATTGAGGAGCTGGGTGCCACCTTTTGGGAAAGCTAAGTGGAGACAGAAGCATCGGGGCAGGAAGCCCGGCCAGGGAAGACTCAGTTCCTTCCTTGCTGTCCCCTGGGGGACCAGAGGCAGCACGGCCCCTGCATTTCCACTTCTCAGGGCCGAAGACCCGAACTCTGACCCTCCACCCACTCCAGTGACCTGCACGCTAAGTTGGGTGGTCTCTGACTAAAACAGGCTTAAGCCAAGAATTGGGATTTGACTCCCAGAAGACCCAGGGAGAATTCCCTTCAGGCCATTTCAGGCAGGAAGGACCTGGGAGGCTCACTCCCCAGGCAGCTGAGAGGCATGGAAGGAAGAGCCAAGGACAGGAGAGGCTTCCAAGACTCTGAGAGCAGCAGCGGAAGGGGCCAGCCACAGGGTGGGCATGGACCTGGCTGGGCATGTGAGGAAGACGTGCTGCCACTGCCGTCTCACCCTGCGCAGGTGAGACTGTGCAAAGTCTTCGCAGCCAGCAGCACCCTTGATATGCCCTGAGTGCCCTTCATATGTATATATGGAGAGAGATACATACACATATATATTCATTATTTTTAACTGAAATAAAAGCAACGGATTCAGGTTCATTCCCCTTTGAGATGAGTTGCTTAGTCCCCTGCCCTGAGGGGTTCACGCCTTCAGGACTGCCCCCAGGCTAACCCCCACTGAGGGAAAGTGGCCCTGGGATGCAGAGAGGAGAGGACACACACCACAGCAGGTGACCAGGAGGAGGGCCTACCTCGCAAGACTGTTTCTAACCCTGAGAACCTAAGAAATTGTGAAGGACTTGGAGAGGGGCTGGGGTTAAAGGTCACCGGGCTTTTTATTGCAGTTGAAGCAGACTCGGACGGGATGGTCCCATCCACGAGAGGGGACAGCCCGGTGGCCATGGGAGCACTTGTCCGCAGGCCCGGCAGTGGTGCTTGGAAAACTTGATGCTGAACTCCTTCCAGCAGTTGTGGAGTGCAGGATTTCATGGTCAGGCGCCCAGTACACAGGCCTGGCCGCATCCTTTACCAAACCTATGGCAGGGAACAATGGTCAGGACACCCAAAGCCCAATACCCTGAGGCCCAACTAGCAAGAGGGTATCCTCAGATGCTTACTGGCTTGTAATCCCAACTGTGCACAGAACCACTGACAGAGCTGTTTAAAAATGCAGATGCCCAGGCTCCACCACTCACATCCAGATCAGAGTCTTTGGATCTGGAGCATAGGCATTGATTTTCCCTTTTCCTTTTTTTTCTTTTAATTGGAGTCAGAGTCTCTGTTGCTCAGGTTGGAGTGCAGTAGCATGATTTCAGCTCACTGCAACCTCTGTCTCCTGGGTTCAAGCAATTCCTCCCAACTCAGCCTTTCAAGTAGCTGGGACTGCAGACATGCACCACCACACCTGGCTAATTTTTGTAGAGACAGTGTTTCACCATGTTGTCCAGGCTGGTCTCGAACTCCTGGCCTCAAGTGATCCGCCTGCCTCAGCTTCCGAAAGTGCTGGGATTGTAGGCATAAGATTATAGACATGAGCCACTGTGCGCTTTCTTTCTCTTTTGAGACAAGGTCTCACTCTGTTGCCCAAGCTGGTCTCAAATTCCTGGGACTCAAGGGACTCTCCTGCCTGAGCCTCCCAAGTAACTAGGATTATAGGCACGCACCCCCACACCCAGCTCCATGATATTTATATGCCTATGAAGCCCTCCTTGTAAACTGAAGGGGCAGCCGTGTTAAGAACCCCTGGAGGAATTATAAAGAAGTCTGGGCTCTGGAGTCAGACACTCAAATCCCAATTCTATTGAGATCAGGTTAATCAGCAGCTGCTGGATTAAGAAAGGTTAGCTAAGGCTGGGCATGGTGGCTCACACCTGTAATCCCAGCAATTTTGGAGGCCAAGGCGGGCAGATTACTTGAGGTCAGGAGTTTCAGACCAGCCTGGCCAACATGGTGAAACCCTGTCTCTGCTAAAAATACAAAAATTAGCCAGGTGTGGTGGTGTAATCCCAGCTACTTGGGAGGCTGACACATGAGAATCACTTAAACCTGGGAGGTGGAGGTTGCAGTGAGCCAAGACCATGCCACTGCACTCCAGCCTGGACAATAGAGTGAGATTTTGTCTCAAAAAAAAAAAAAAAAAAAAAAAAGAAAGGTTAGCTAACCTCTCAGGGGCTTACTCATCTTTAACAACCCACCTTCAAGAGCTGTGATGAGGATGAGAAGAAAGAATGTGCCTGACATACTGGCCTGGTACTGAACACCCTGTGGATGCTCAGGATGGGAGCACTTGATGAGCACAGCTTGCGGGCTATGCTCTGCCTTCTGTGCCAAGGACAGTCCTTGCCTCTCCCAGGTACCCCTGAGGACAGATCTAACCTGAAATTTAAGCTTGGGCAAAACCAGGAATTCCCACATCATCTACTCACTTTGTTAGCCGCAATGAGGAAATCTGCTCCAGGCCATTTTCATCACTACCCACTTTTGCTTGCTCCCCTACAATGTGCCACACTACCCCAGGCCTGGCCAGCCTTGCCTAAGCCCGCTGTGCACTGGTTGATTTCCCTCCCTCTCCCCCTTGCCATCCTGAATACAAATACCCCTCACATCCAGAGCTGGGAAGCTATTTTAAATCTTTTTGTTTGTTTGTTTGAGACAGAGTCTCACTCTGTTGCCCAGGCTGGAGTGCAGTGGCATGATCTCAGCTCACTGTAAGCTCCGCCTCCCGGGTTCACACCATTCTCCTGCCTCAACCTCCTGAGTAGCTGGAACTACAGGCGCCCACCAGCACACCCAGCTATTTTTTGTATTTTTAGTGGAGACGGGGTTTCACCGTGTTAGCCAGGATGGTCTCCATCTCCTGTCCTCATGATCTGCCTGCCTCGGCCTCCCAAAGTGCTGCAATTACAGGCATGAGCCACCGCACCCAGCCTTCTGAAAGCTTTTTAATGGACAAAGATGATTCTAAATCTTTCCAAATCTTCACATGATGAATGCCCTTGTAAACATTTTCACTGTGGCTGGAATGTTTGTCAATATCCAGAGTTTCTGGCTAAGTACAATTTGTCTTTCAAAACACTACCTTAAGTCTACCTCTTTCAGGAACTCCTCTGGGGCAGAGTTGGCTCGCTGCCCATCAAAGACTTATACTTCCTTTCTATAAGTCAGAGCTGATTTTGGAAAAAGGCTACCTAGCCAGGGAATAAATTTCCAACCCTCTAAAGCCTAGATGGGGCCATTTGATTGGTTCTAGCCAATAAAATGTGAGGGAAAGGGATGAGTGTCACTTCCAGGCTAAGATAATTAAAAACTGCATGTATCTTCTTTAATCTCTCTCTTCTCCTATCAGCTGGTTGGAGTTCAACCCTCATAGAGACCCCAGAAGCCACAGCATGTTGAAGACGCACGGCCTCTATTGGATTGAGTCTCCAGACACGCAGAGTAGAACTTCTCCATCTCCCTACTCCCTTGCCCACAACCCCAATCCCCACCTACCAGAAACACCTGCAATAAACTATTAGATGGATAAGAAATAGCTTCCATAGTCAAGCCATTGAAACTTTGGATTTAGTTGTTGTTGTTATTGTTGTTGTTGTTGCTGCTGCTACTGCTGCTACAGATAGTATTATGATAACGAATATACCCTTCGAATCTCTCCCATATAGTTTAATATTCCTTTTTAAGCTGTACTAGAACAAGAGTCCATGGCTGCGCTTGCTTTGTTATTATATAACACAGATATTCATGGGTCCATCTTTCCTACCAGTTTATATCTCCTGAGGGGAGGTACTGGGTCATTGTTAACTCTGCATGTCTAGCTACTGGAACAGAATGGCTAGTCATTAATGTTTGCCAAATCAGTTTTTGAAGAAAAGAAATGAAATTCTGTGATGTTTAGCAGTTTACACAGCACTTCCCCATATTTGATTTCAGTTTTGATCTGTACTCATTCAGCGTATCTTTGTATAAAACCGTTTGTTCTCTGAGTGGGGAGACTCTGGTAATATGGTTCTTATTATCCTGTATGGGTGAACCTGCCCCGATAGTCACGTAGGTTCTTTTCTGTTTTCCCTAAGTGTCGGCCAGCTTGAGAAATAAAGGGACAGAGTACAAAAGAGAGAAATTTTAAAGCTGGGCATCTGGGGGAGACATCACATGTCGGTAGGTTCCGTGATGCCCCACAAGCCACAAAACCAGCAAGTTTTTATTAGGGACTTTCCAAAGGGGAGGGAGTGTAGGAATAGGGTGTGGGTCACAGACATCAAATACTTCACAAGGTAATAGAATATCACAAGGCAAATGGAAGCAGGGCAAGATCACAGGACCACAGGACCGGGGCAAAATTAAAATTGCTAATGAAGTTTCGGGCACCATTGTCATTGATAACATCTTATCAGGAGACAGGGTTTTGAGAGCAACTGGTCTGACCAAAATTTATTAGGTGGGAATTTCCTCTTCCTAATAAGCCTGGGAGCGCCATGGGAGACTGGGGTCTATTTCACCTCTACAGTTTCAACCACAGAAGACGGCCACGCCCAGGGGGGCCAGTTCAGAGACCCACCCCCAGGCGTGTATTCTGTTTCCCAGGGATGTTCCTTGCTGAGAAAAAGAATTCAGCGATATTTCTCCCATTTGCTTTTGAAAGAAGAGAAATATGGCTCTGTTCCACCCTGCTCACCGGTGGTCAGAGTTTAAGGTTATCTCTCTTGTTCCCTAAACAATTGCTGTTATCCTGTTCTTTTTTCAAGGTGCCCAGATTTCATATTGTTTAAACACACATGCTCTACAATTTGTGTAGTTAACACAATTATCACAGGGTCCTGCAGCAACATGCATCCTCCTCAGGTTACAAGATGACAGGATTAAGAGATTAAAGACAGGCAAAGGAAGTCACAAGGGTATTGACTGGGGAAGTGATAAGTGTCCATGAAATCTTCACAATTTATGTTTATAGATTACAGTAAAGACAGGCATAAGAAATTATAAAAGTATTAATTTGGGGAACTAATAAATGTCCATGAAATCTTCACAATCCATGTTCTTCTGCCATGGCTTCAGTCAGTCCCTCCATTTGTGTTCCCTGACTTCCTGCAACAATCCTGGTTTTACCAAAGAAAACTTTGACACTCAGAGAGTTTAGATTGTCAGAGTGGCCTGGCTAAGTACGGGTACCATGTGCCACATAGGACGGTGGCCAGTAATGACTGTCTCTTAAGTGATTCCCACTTAGATGTATGTGGTCAGGGTGACCTAGCTAATAACTTGCCTTCTGTTGTAGGAACATTTTCTCTCTTTCTTCTCTGAAGAATTGTTCAGAGATTTCACTGCCTGGTGAGGTATATGAGGAATATCAATTCTCTCATCCTCAGGCCTGTCTCAGCCTAGTCTGTGCAAATATTGTCTCAGAAAACTAGGTTGCCATAAAACATATACAATTACTTTGTAAATCATAGAGGCAATAGCAGGTGAGCTGGTGCCCAGATACATGACTACTGGGTTTAATGCAGTGTGCTATACTCTGGAATCACTGATGGGTTTAAATCCAGAAAATTAAAGTGCAATACTAAATGCCAGAGGTCAGCATCCTGGCACTGGCACCCCTATCTGCAGCAGACACTGTTGGCTGCCTACTCAACGGTCATCTTCCTCTTCTTCCTAAGAAAATCTGATTTTGTTCAAGGACGACAACCTCCCCACACAGCCACAGGCTCCTGCTTTAGGGATGGGCATATCATGCGATGCTGGCCCAGAGATGTAAGGAGAAGTCTGCTGGAGACTTCCTGGGAGAGATAAAAAAGAGACATGGGAAGAGGTGATCTTCCTTTTTCAAGTGAATGTAGCCAGGTTTGGATGTGATGTATGGAACTACTGCAGCCAACTTGGAGATGAAAGCAATGTGCAGACAAGGCCAGAGCCAAAAGATATGCAGGGAAGAACAGCTGGAGCTCTGAAGTATCACACTTCCAGTCTGTCTGACCAATGGGCTTCCTTCCTATGTGAGATGATAAATTCCTGGGCCCATTAAGCCATTTTGAGTTTACTTGCATTTGAACACACTGTAAACAATACATTATCAATATCAGCCAGTCATTGAATTTGGTTAACTGTAACAGAAAACTCAAGAGAAGCTGAACCAGGCATGGTGGCTCACGTCTGTAATCCAAGCTACTCAGGAGGCTGAGGGAGGAGGATGGCTTGAGCCAGGGGATTGAGACCAGGCTGGGCAACATAGCGAGACCCCATCTCAAAAAGAGGGGCAGGGGAAAAGAGAGAGAGAGAGAGAGAGGAGAGAAGCCTAAGTAAGAAAGGAGATTATTTCTGTCCTGTAATAGTAAGCCTAGAGATAGATAATCACTGGCTTTGGTTTATTGGCTCAAGGATGTCAGGGCCAAGATCTCTAAAATTATCTTGGCTTTTTCCTCATATTTGGAAGAAAGATGCTTCAGCTCCAGTCATTATGTCTGAGTTCCAATAATGGGGGGAAGGACCAGAAGGAGGAAGGCATAGTGTTTACTTTAAGAAAGCAAAACTTTATCAATAATCCCCAGAAGGTTTTTGTTTACAACTACTGGTTTCAAAAATGGTATAGAATAATAGTTTTTCATCTGAGCACAACGTCATTCTCAACAAAGGGGTTGTTGTTTGTTTTGTTTTGTTTTAGTAAGGAAAAGGAGGAGAATACTGGGTAGAAAAATAGAAGTTTCTGCCATATCACTTTTTAATGTTGAGAGCTGAAACTCCCATTGAAAGAAGAGCCTATGTCTTCAACTGGAATATCCAGAATCCAATCAAAGTAGGCAAGGAGTAGTCAAAAAATACCATGCATGAATGATCTCTGACACCATAAAAGATCTAACAAAGGAGAATTTTTGTAACCAAAGGGGATACAAACAAGGGATCTGGACAACAAAGGTGAGAGTTTAAACAATCATCTGAGCACGGACCTCAAGAAGATCACGGCAAGGAAATTGTGCTTTGCCTCAGCCTGGGAGTTGTTTGGGAATGAACGAGTTGCAAGTATTGTTAGTCCAAGATTTGCTGAGACGGTAAGTGGAGAATCTGTCTGTATGTGGAAGGAGAGTACAAAAAGGTAGCTCCATGACCTCACTTAAAAGATGTTATTCTTCTACTCCAGAACTTTACTAGCCTGTTCCCACATGGAAAGTGAACCCCATGCAATCATCTTCCTGCTCTCCCAATTTTCTAATAAAATGTCTAAGAACATAAAGACAGAAAAATCTGTATCAGTGCAATGGAGAGTACCATCAAAGGCAAGAAATTTCATAGAATTCATGTAGATTGAAATTGGTTGAAGACATTTTTACTTATCTCCTAGTTGATAGCATCTAAAGAAAAAGTTCTTGTAGGCAGCAAGTGGATGTATCCGTAGAAGAACTATTCTTCAGCCATTCTTTTTCTCTTGTCACTCTGAGATTCAAATTGCTCATACAGCTGGTCTCTGATATTGTCCAGTGGTATGCTGGTTAACGTGTAACAATAAGCTCTACAGGGAGCGAGAGATGGTTCCTGATTTGTGGCATTTGCTGATTTCCATGATAAATAATTCCACTAAGGTCAATTTCAGTTCAGTTCTTTGTCACTGAACAAAGAGTTGGAAATATATGTGCATAACTGTCTCTCATAAGCTAGTGAAAGCCAGCTGTACTACACCACTGGCATTGTGGCACAGATTTTGAATGCTCTATTCTGGGTTTGTTGCGGGTTGTTGCTTTTTTTAAAAACCTTTTTCCTTTTTAAATTTCATTTAGCTAATTTTGATTAACTTATCTTCGGGTTCACTGATCATTTCCTTGGCTGTGTTGTGTCTACTAATGAGCCCATAGAAAGTATTCTTCTGTGTTATTATGTTTCTCAGTCCTAGCATTTTCATCCAATTATTTCATAGTTTCCATCTAATAAAATCAACCATCTGGTTCATGCATGTTGCCCACCTTTTCCATTATCATTTTTAACATATTAATCATTGTTGTTTTTAATTTCCTGTGTGACAGTTCCAACTTCTGTCATATCTGAGTCTGCTATGGTTTATTTCTTTGTCTCTTCACAGTGTGTTGGTTTTTTCTTGCTTCTTTGTATGCTTCATAAATACATGTTGAAAGTTGATAGGATATTAGAGAATGTATTAAATAAGTATTATGCCTGGAAATGCCTTTCCTCCTGCCAGGACTTTTAGGTGACGTTTGAATCAACTTAGTTGGAAGTTAAACAAGTTTTGGAATTTGTTGCTGTTATGGTTAATCTCAGTGTTCTATAGTCTTCAAAATTCTCCAGTGTTGCTTTTTGTTCAGAGTAGTGGCTGGTATGCCAGAGAGGGTTTCTTAACATATGCTCTACTCACAACTTTGGGGCTTCCCTTTGCACTGAATTTCTGAGATTTCTTCCCATGCTGTTGTCCCTCTCCCAGAATATACCACTGTTACTTGACATTTATTAGCATGAAGAGGTGAGTGAAAAATGGGGGGCAGCATTTTTAGTATTCTTAATTAAGCCTCAGACATGGACAGGCATAGTATCCACAAATCTTAAGGGTGGAGTATTTTCAGTGGTCCTTCCCTGCCCCCATTTGTAGGTCTGGACTGGTCACATATTCTTACCCATCTCTTAGGGGCAGAGGGTTTTTTCTATTTCCTTCCACCTGCTGCAATGAGTTTTCACCAGTGCCCTATAGGCAAAGTATTTTTCCCTGTCCCAACAGGACTTGGGACTTTTGTCCCAGAGAGAAGACACTGTTCTACTCCCCCAGTCCTGCACCAGCATGGACACTTTCTTAGGACTCTCACCCTGCCCCTAATCTTTTTTCTGAGCACCTGTTGAAATCCTTGGAGAAGAGTCTTAGGTGGGTGGGAATTCCCTTTGTGTCTGTGGTCCCAGATACTATATATTCTCTCACTAGCCCACACTCTGCCTTTAACATTTCGTTAAGGTTTTAGCTGAATTCTTCTTACCAGCATCCACTGCCATCTACCCTGGGTAAGGAAATGCTCATGACCCATCTCTCCTTGGTGATGGTGCCTTTCCCTGGATTTTATTTCAGTCAGTTGTCCGGCAGCCTCAGCTCTCTGATGAATTCAAGAAAAGCTGTGTATTTGTAGGTTTCTAATACTGTCTTAGCTGTAAAAATGAAAACGATTTTCCTCCCTGCTCTCCACATCCCAGGCAGAAGCCAGAAGCCCCAAATATGGACTCTCCATATGTAAATTATAAGAGTATGCTGTGTTCAACTCTGTAAAAATAAATTTCAAAATCTCTGTGAAATACATATATTTCTTTAAATCTTATTTGCAAAGTTATATAAAACATTTTGCTGTTATTATTAAAGATTGAAGATATAAAACTGGTTTGTTGATGGTCTGAACTCAGTGGGACACAAACGTGAATTTTTTTTCAGAGTCTTCAACTCTGCCTTGTCTGTTTCTCTTATCAACACCTTGATGACACTTAGGGCAAAACCTACATAGCTTTCTGGTCACTTTTAGGTAATTTTCTTTTTAAGTCCAGTTGCATTGAAAACTTAAACTTCTTATTATCCTGTCTCCTCTCCCAAGTGTTCTCTTAGTTACACCGACTGACCATCCATGCCCTCCATGTAGCAGGCACTCAAGTGCTGGTTCTTGGGGAGGTTAGAGGCAGCGGGGCATAAGCTTTTCAGAAAGGTACTCTCCGTGACACAGGGAGATGGCTCTGGCACCTCTCTCAATATGGAATATTTAGTATTTAGTATTTATTTTCCTCAACTTTAAGGCATTGACAGCAATTCTAGACAACACAGAAAGCCACGTTTATCAATATTCTTTCACACAAGCTTCCCCCTCTCTGGTATATCTTCTGCATTTCAGAGACAGAAACCACATTCAATAATGCCATCTGATTATCTTTGAGCAGCTCCCCATCACTAAGAGGACAATGCTTAAATTCCTTAATAGGAACTACTGTAAGGGAAGGGGGCGAGGAGCTAACATTTGCTGTAAGTCTACAGTGTGCCAACCACTTTACATGGGTTATTTTATTTGAAGTTATAACCCTCTTGAGAGGTAAGTCTTATTATTCCAAGTTTTTAATTAAAGTAAATCAGTCACAGGAAGATTAAGTAGTTACCTACAGCACATAGCTATAAGCATAGATGTGGGATTTGAACCCGATTCTAAATCTAAACTTAAAACCTGAACCCCGGTTTCCAAGGCCCAGCTGATCCCACTACTACACTTTGCTGCCTTCCTTCCTGATGTGGAACCTTTGTTTCTGAGCAGGGGCTCCCAACCTAGGCTGCACATTGGAGTCACCTGGAAAACCATTTCTGAGCAGGTGGGGGTGAGGGTGGTCTAGAGGAAGATAGCTTTTGAAAAGCCCCAGGGATTTTAGTGTGCAGCCAAGGCTGAGAACAACTGCTTTAGAGCTCATCTCTGACCTCTTTCTTCCAAGCGCTCTGCTCTAACCTTACAGAGATTCCTGGGGGCTCTCCCACATGGGGCTTGCTTATTCCACCTCCAGGCCTTTGCACATGCTATTCTCTCAGAGTAGAAAATCCCCCCCATGATTTCTCGTCACACAAGATTCAGTCCCAGTGTCATCTCCTCTGTGAATCGTTCCCCAGACCCCATTGGCACAGTTTCTTGCTCCTTTATCCTCAAGGCACATTATGTATAAATCTGTTGCCATTTATCCCAAGTTATTTTAATGATTATTGAACAGTAATTCTTCCCTTTGAGAATCTGAGCTCTTTGATAAGTATTCTCTGTTTCTCCATCTCATAACATCATCCATGACCCAAATCAGGCCCTCAGAAATATTAGTTAAATTAATAAATTTCACTTTCATAGGAATAAAAATCATAATTGGGCAAGGAAGACTCTACTTGTTCTCAGATTCTTCTGTCTCCACCTGTAGTGAGCTTGACCTTGAAACCACATGGGTGGGGTCTTGATATACAAAGAGCAATAAAGCAGCTGCAGGAGAGAGCTGGCCTTGCAAATGTAGCCCCTTAAGGTGACAGCTTATGCGGCAGCTGGTGTTCTGCTACCACAGCCAGGCCCAGCTCCTGGCCGGACCCTTCTTTGCCTGCTGTCCCGTTCCCTGGGCTCCATCTGCAGAACAGGACAGCTCCCATTGCCCTTTCTCTTCACTCCAAGGAACACTGCATTGTAGATTTAACTTGAAGTTCAAAATTCCCAGAAACACTCCACTTTAGAATAGTGACACTCAGAGTGGAAGGTAGGGCTGGCACCTACCTAGCGTGTCCCATCAGCGTCTATGAGCCACTGTCATATGTATCTTCTCTTATAAGCCTCTAAACTCCTCTCAAAAGTAGGCATTATCATACTCATTGAACAGATCAGGAAAGCATAAGTCAGCAGGAACAAGGGACTCATCGCTCATTGCACAACTAATCAGAGACAGAGCCAGGATCCAATGCCAGGTCCCCAGGCCCTGGAGCCAGCACCTCCATCCCTCAGGGCCGCCTGATTCCACCGGGGACATTCCTAGGAGGTGAAACAGAGTTTCTCAACCTTGGCACTGTTGACACTTTGGACTAGATAATTCTTCTGTACAGGGGCTGTGCTGGGCACGGTAAGATGCATCCCTGGCCTCTACCCATTAGATGGCAGTAGCACCTCCCAGTTATGACAACAAAAAATAAAAATTGCCAAATAACCCCTGGTGGCAAAATGCCCCATGGATGTTCACAATGTAAAGGATTTGACCCCATTCCAGTCTCAGATCTTGCTTGCAAATAACTGAAACTGATCCTGGTTCACTTAAGGGGAGAAAAAAGGGATGCATTGGAAATGGTATTGGATGACTCATAAGATCCACGGGGATGCCGTAGAATAAGATTCAGAAAAAAAGAGGAGGGAACAGAGGGGGCCAGATCACCAAAATCACACCACAGGAAAACTTCATTCATCCTTCCAACAAATATTTAATCTAACAACGATGGATGGAGTGCCTACCATGTGCCAGGCCCTTGGGATACGTCAGCAAACAAAACAGACAAAGCGCCCACCCCCATGAAGCTTGCATTCCAGTGGGGAAAACCATAAGCAATAAACATTTTAGAAAGTAAGTAACATGATATATTAGAAAATGGCAAATGCAGCCTTTTTAAAAAGTAGAGGAAGATAAGGGGGAGACGTGGATGCTGAGAGGGGATAGGGAAAGATAGGCCTGATTTAGTCTAGCTGAAACATCACTGCCACACGCAGGTCACTCACTACTTCTGGCACCTGCCTGCTGCCCACTGGAGACCATGAATATCACTTCTATCCTGAGACTGTAGAGGTCATTGCTAGAGGAATGAATTCTCTGTCCCTTGCTTCTCACCATCGCTAACTCCAGCTTTACTGTCTCAGGTAGGAGCATCTGCTTGGACAAGCCTGGATCACATGACTGCATCCCAGCTCACATGACTGCATCCCAGCAACCCAGACATGGGATGGCAAATGTCTGACCATTTTGGCTTCTATAGTAGGACGTACACATCAGATGCCGGGCTGAAAAAAATAAAAGAATGCCCATTGTGAGGACATAACCTCAGAAATTAGGCCAACAGGCAGGACCGATGAGAGGAATGAGGTAAAGAGATCAGAACACATTAGCAGAGGGTTTATGAAATGAGATTCTGATTCCAGAGGCCAGCTCAGTGGAGCCCATTATGTGTCTTCTTATAAACAGGTCCTTTTAAAAAATCCAACAAACTGTAAATAATTCTGTACAAACTAGATTTCCACTTCAATGAGTCTGTGTTAAGCAAAGTCTGATGAAGAAAAATCGAGCCATTTAGATTGCTGTTTCCATAACCAGGATGGAGTATCACATTTAAATTTGTAGGAACAGTGATTAGGGCACGGGGGGGTCATCGTTTCAAATGCAGCATCTCTCTCCTGTGTTGTATTAAGCACCTCTTCTGGCTGTTTGCCTGAACACGAGGTCTTGATTCATCCTCTAATTGTTGTCAAGATGCAGTTCAGTCACGAAGGTCAAAAAAACAAAATGTCTAAATCGGCAGCAAAATGAACATTCATGCTCCTTCCCATTTCGTTAATCTATTTAAGCCAATTTTGCATCTATTGTTTATGAGATTTTCCTACTGGTTGGTGGCTTTGCAGCACATGTTCACTCAGGACACTCTATCACAGCCATCCTGTTGTTGATGGCCAAGAACTACCAAGATTAGTAGGTAGCCATGCTATACCAGACACTAAATATTTGAACACCTCTCTGGTAGAGCCTCGGGGGAAATTGGCCCTTCTTCTATGTAAGTCATGAAACAGAAATTTGGAACTGACCTTATGGGGTATGGGATCCACTTCACAGGAGTGAAAACAGAGGCCGAAAAAAGCAAGGACTTCCTTAAAGATACACAGTAAGCCCCTGCCTTCCTGGCTTCCTTCCTGGTTCAGGATGAGAATTAAGATCAGCAGAACTTAGAGCAGCTCTGGCCAGTGGAAATACAATGCAAGCCACAAATGCAAGCTGCACATGTCATTCTAAATTTTTCAGTAGGCACATTTTTAAAAGATAAAAAAAGAACCAAGTGAAATAAGCACAAATAATATATATTTTATTTAAATCAGTATATCCAATATATTATCATTTCAACATGTAATCAATAGAAAAAACTATTAAGTCTTTTACATTCTTTACTAAGTCTTCAAACCCCAGTGTGTGTGCATTTTCTATTCGCAGCACATCTCCATCAGGAGTAACTGCACGCAGCTCCTGAGGCTGCCATATTGGACAGCGAGGGAGCCTGCTCTATTTTTGCATCTGGGAAGTTCTTTCTCTAATTAACCAATGAGTTCTCAAAAAACTCTTTTAAGAGTTAGCAGAATGTGAAAAAAAAATAGTGTAATCATTAGAATTTCAGGTTGGGCAGTTGGAAGAATTTCAGTGCCTTGCAATGTGTTTCCAGGGAAGATTAAGTGCATTTCCCTCTCTGGCAATTTTAAGGAACAACTGGACTCCACAAATAGCCATTGAGGGCTGACAGTGCACCAGGTACTGAGCCAGCTGCTGAGGATGCCCCATCAACAAGATAGGCTTTCCCTGTCCTCAAAGCTCTTGGCCCTCAGCAGAGGAACAATCTATGCAAAGAAGGGGGTGGGGATGAATCCACACCATGTCTGCGGTCATGGGATTCTAGCATTGCTCTGTGGGACACCCGTGGCCACTGGAAAGAGAATAGAATAAAGTGCTGGAATGTAGAGTGCTAATAAAGCATTCCTCTTCTTTCTAGGGCTTTAACCAATTGAGAGATGCCACAGAATTCAGATGGTGATCAATGTGTCAGTCTGATGGCTGCTAGTTAGCTCCAAGGATAAAATAGTCTTCCTTCTCCTTCCCCGTGAGGGAAATCCTAGTTACAGAGAGAATAGCTGTAACTCCTAGTTACACAGAGAACAGCTGGACACCTGTGTCTCTCCTCACCAAGAAGCTAGGCTTGCCACACACAAGAATGCATGAAAAATTCCCAGAAAATGCCATGAAAAATGCCCAGAAAAAGAGGGCCAATGAGAGGGGAAATTAGGCTCTGCAGGGGCAATGCCCTATTCTAACCTCATCATCAGGTGAGCCGTGCCAATGGCACTGGGGACAAGAAGAGCAGTGCCTTCTCCTCAACCCTTCCATAACTCTGGAAGTTCCCAGGAGCCAGGCTGGTAGGGAACAATGGTTTACCTTACTCAAGGTGACTGTTCTATGGCCTTCACAATGAAGCACATGGTCAACCAGGAGCATTGGTGTCCCCTGAGAAATGGGACAGAAGAGGGAGACCAGACTTTCATCAAGACAGGCCTGCTCCTCCTTTCTGTGTGTCTCCTCTGCCAATAGCAACCTCTCCTTCGGGAGTGAAGGCAGTTCAGTTTTTGCAGCCATTCCAGAACTCGGGATGGATCTAAACAGCATATTAGCTAAAGGCCATACGGAACTTTAGGCCAGAACGGCAGTCACTATTCTATCTCTAATTTTAAATTATGCATACCCACATTATCTAGATAGCCCGCTCAGAGAGTAAGTAACAAATACAAATGACAACACAGAATTTCTCCAAGAATTACAATGCCAATCATATACATAGTGCTCTAAGGTAGACCTCCTCTCATGTCTAATTTCCCAAGAAAAGTTCAAGTCCAAAAACATAAGTTCCCTTCCCTCGTAACTTAAAGTTCATGTAAATTCTCATGGCTTCTTTTGCTCGCTGATCCTTCAATTCAATCTGTCAATCCCAGCCATTAAGGTTACAGCCTGAGTAGAGAGAAGCCTCTGTCAGCAGCTCACAGTCTGGGCTCTTTCCCTGGAGTGGTTCAAACTCTTTCAGGCTCAATATTTTAGACTCTAAGTGTCCATAGGCTACAGAAAGTTATCAGAGTACCAGCCTTAGCCACCAACATCCTTAGATACCAAAGCAGTTGTCCCAGGGGACATTCATTTTTCAGGATGCAGTGCCCAGTGTCACCCAAACCCACATTGCTATTGTCGGAAAACAATCCAGTAGAGATTTAGTGGCCTCTTGGGCAAAGAGAAAAATTCTGAAAGGAAAGAAAAAGCCTTCTTTGTTTCAGTTGTGCCAGGATGCTGGCCCGTCCATGCTGGTCATCTAGAGTTCACGACCAGCGAGCATTCGCTCAATTGGAAGAAATCTCTCATCAAGGGCGCAGCTGTGCTCCCAAGTCCTTCTCCTCCCCAACCAGGCAGAAGGTGGAAGCTCTCTCAGCCCTGGGCTTCCCATGGAAACTCAGAGAGAGGCAATGTCCTCCCGCCATGTTCTTTTCCCCCAAATCTTGCCTTTTCAGCTTTTAATTTCTCATGCCTTAGTTAACCTTCTCTGCTCTGATGGGAGTATAAAAAACCTCTCCACCCACTCTTTTCCTGTTTCAGCAAGATTTGATTTATCCTGGATGCCAATCCCTTAACCAGAGCTGAAAAAAAAGGATGAAGGCAGAAACAAGAAAAAAGAGTATTTGCCTTTTACCCCCAATCCTCAGCAGTGCACAAACTGTAAATGCTAGAAATCAATGCATGTGCACTTGAACCTTGTGCCCCAGGGACCGGGGCAAAACACCATGAGGGTCTACCTCCTCCCCTACAGTCTAGGAGATGGCAAAGGCCTTGCCCTCTTCGTGTGGGACTCTGAAGTCCCCAAGGAGTGAAGCTGCTTCCTCAGTGTCAGCTCCCTAAGAAAGATGGTCCTGAGACCCAGAGAAGGAAATACCTACTTCAGCCTGATCCTAGACGTCTACATGCTAAGGTCCCAAACAAGTCCATCCTGACCTAAGATAAAGAAGGCAAAGCCTTGCTTGGGTAACCAACTGACCACTGAGGTCCACTCATATGAAAGAAGCCTGTTCAGCCAGCACCTATTTCAACCTACTATACACCTAAAAACATCAGTCATGATACAAACTGTTGCAGACCACAAATACCAAGTGGTCTAACTAAACCTTCCAAGCTGTGCCAATCAAATCTCACCATGCAGGATTTTAGTTACCATGCCATTACTGTTTCTTGCTAGGGTTTCCCAGTCAGTATACCATATGTTGAAGATTCAGGGCAGTGGTTAATTACACTCCTCTCCATTTCATAATGTGGAACACACCGACCTCATAGAAATCAAAATATCTATTTATTGCTGGTAAAGTTGGATGAGGTTAGAAAATGGAAATTATACCCAAGGGCAAAGTGCTTTTTCCCCATCCAACTGCAAGCAGAGGATCTAGACAACTTCACGCTGCCCCTAGGGCCTCCTCACCATGCCCTTGCAGGGACAGAGCCTGCCCCACATTGCTCATTGTGTGCAGGAGGCAGAGAAGAGGAGAGGAGGCAGGTGCTAGCAAGATTCCAAAATAGGCCGGGCAAGGCGGCTCACATCTGTAATCCCAATACTTCAGGAGGCCGAGGTGGATGGAATGCCTGAGGCCAGAAGTTCAAGATCAGCCTGGGCAACATGGCAAAAACCCATCTCTGCAAAAAAACTACAAAAAATTAGCTGTATGCAGTGGCACACACCTGTAGTCCCAGCTACAGGTGAGGCTGAAGTGGGAGGTTGAGGCCACAGTAAGCTGACATTGTGCTATTGCACTCCAGCCTGGGCAATGGAGACTCTGTCTCAAAAAAAAAGGTCAGGCAAGGACACACATGTGTGATGGCATTTTTCCAAACCTCACCCATGAAACAGGTGCCCTGCCCCTGCCTCCAAGGGAGAAACAAAGAAGGGGTGGAGGAAAAGACAGAATCCATCACCCAGGGTTCTCAGGGTGCAAGTTCCCAGTGCAGGGAGATGAAAGGGATGGTTCCATTGCAGAAATATATGAAGAATTAGTTTCGCTAAAACTCTTCAGAAGTCAGTGGAAAGTTGGTGCTAGAGGGATCTTAAGACCCCAGGGAAGCTGATTGACTTGTTCATGGTCATAAAAGAAAGCTCCTCTGAAATCCCAGACCTCCTGGTGCCCCGGCGTGTGCTCTGTACTGAAACCGCACAGGCTTATTCATGTATTTTTCAGCTAACAACTACTAAGCACTTACCATATGCCAAGTATGTGGTATTACATTTAATTTATACAAGAATCCTATAAGAAGGGGACTATTATATCCATATTATAGATGTGGAAATTTGGGCATAGTAAGTTTAAATAACTTATCTCTCTCTTATCTACAGCATGCACACACTGTACTGCCTGCAGTCCAGCGGGTGCCTGTGCCTGGAAGCCAGGCCCCTTGTCTCAATTACTGTTCTCCCCAGTCTTGGCTTGCGGGAGGTCCCTGCTCAGGGATGGAACAGGCCTGGTAGGATTGTTTGGGAACTCTCTCTCTCACCTGCCTAGGAAGGGACTCACCTCCTCATCTCCTATATTCACAAAGACACCACCAGATATTTCCTTGGTTTCGAGGTAGAATGGTAAGCAAGATACTGTCCCTGCCCTCTGGAACCCACAATCTTCTCAGAAAGACTGACCTGTAAATAGATGATTACAAAACAATGTGGTATTGCTGAAGCAGTATTGCTGAAGCAGGGATGTATACAAGCTGCTGTGGGGTATATTAGTCCATTCTCATACTGCTATAAAGAACGACCTGAGACTGAGTAATTTATGAAGAAAAGAGGTTTAATTGACTCACACTTCTGCAGGCTATACAGGAAGCATGGAGGCCTGATTTTAAGTTTCCTTCCTAGGAGGCTTCAGGAAACTTACAATCATGGTGGAAGGTAAAGGAGAAGCAAGAACATCCTACCATGGTGGACCAGGAGAGAGAAAATACGAAAGGGGAAGTGCTACACACTTTCAAACAACCAGATCTTGGGAGAATTATATCACGAGAACAGCAAGGGGGAAGCCATCCCCCTGATTCAATCACCCCCAACAGGCCCTTCATTCAACACATGGGGATTACAATTTGGCATGAGATTTGGATGGGAACACAGAGCCAAACCATATCAGGGAGCATAGATGAGAATGTGATTAACTCTATGTCAAGCAAGGTCCTGGTAGGACTCATATGATGCACTCAAATGGGTCCATTTGAAGACAGACTAAGAAAGAGGCTATCTACAAAGGTGAAAGCAAAAATTAAATACAACACCCGGAACAGCCCGAAGCCATCACCACTCCCAGGCGTGTCAGGCAGCCCTCTGCACCCATCTCCCCATTCCAGATTCCAGTAACTACCCATTATCTCTAGGAAAGGTAACTTTTAAGAACTATTTCTGTGGGCTACTAACTGGATCCCTGTTAATATACACTAAGGAGAGTGTGACGGCAACTCTTAAAATTGCTCTTGGCTGCTGGATATATTTTGCTGCATGCAATATTGACTTACACTGGGCTGCTTGGAGGTGGAGCTCTTATCTAGATTACCTATTTACAGAGATTCATAAAATCATACATTCTGTAGGAAGCTTGGTAAAGGCAGAAGGATGGAGGCAGAAGATATGGGGGATGGGACTTGCTGAAAATGTAGTTTTGAGCCAGGCTGAGCATATTCTTGCTGTCCATGGAATGCTTGCTGGGGAAATACAAAGAGAGAGTCCTGGGTCTGATCCAAAAAGTGAGAACTGGACCAGGAGGGAAGGAAGAAACAAATCCTAACTGGAGAAAACTACAGGAAGGTTGATTGACTGAAGCAATAATCTATGAGGATTGAGGTGCCAGAAAGCTAGTAATCAAAGTGAGTGCTGAATAGATAGAGCTATACATGCCTGAGACAGTGTGTACTTGAAATGTTTTGCTGACCTAGGATCAACTCTGAAAATGGCAGAGCCTCCAGTTGGCATGAGATTCCACCAGAATCTCTCAGTTAAGGACCCACGGCAGCCCTGAGCAAACTGGAAGTTGAAGCCCAATAACCAAATGTGCTGGCTGAAGTCAAGCCATCAGAGTTTGACTTGGAAAGCTGTGTTTATGTTTAGCAAGGAATCCTTTCCTGGCTTTCAGGATTTCTGACTTGGAGTGGGAAAGAAGGGAGTGATAACAGCACCTATAGTGGAAAGAACAGAGGCTAAGTTACATCAACAGCAGTGGTCCTCATCCTGGTCTTTCTTTGAAGGCAGAGAAAATGGGATACTAAACAGTCAATCAACTGGGTCATCAAATGCCAAGAAGAGGTGGCAAAGCCAACAGTAATGGGAATGTCAAGAGGGTCCTACAGGAGAACAAGGGCCTGGCACTGCCTATTCTCCACCCCACATTCTGCGCTCATGTATTAGGCAGTTCTTGCACTGCTTTAAATAAATACCTGAGACTGGGTAATTTATAAGAAAATAAGTTTAATTGGCTCACAGTTCTGCAGGCTATACGGGAAGCATGGCAGCATCTGCTTCTGGTGAGGACCTCAGGAAGCTTCCAGTCATGGCAAAAAGTGAAGGGGGGCAGGCACGTCACATGGCAAAAGCAGGAGCGAGAGAGAGGGAATGCAGGTGATTGTGGGGGGCAGGGGTATCACATGCCACACACTTTTAAATGACCAGCTCTCACAACCACAAAGACAGCACCTAGCCATGAGGGATCTGCCTCAATGATCCAAACATCTCCCACCAGGCCCCACCTCCAACACTGAGGATTACAATTCAACATGATATTTGGGTGGGGACAAATATCCAAACTATATCAACTCACATACCTAGACACTTGTGCAAAGGGCATGAGTGTATTTGGAGACCTGTCCCTTAGCTGGGTGAGCACTAAGGGTCAAATGCTAACATAAAAATAACTACCCTTGCCACAGGTAATCTTTAAATCTAGGGACCTGGCCACACTTGTAAAGGGAAGGTCAAATACAGGCATTTAGGCTGAAATGGGCATGTTTTTCATTAAACAAAGCATCTGAGTACATCAAAGAACTGGTAAGGTGGCTCCACTGCACTGACAGTTCTGTTATTCAGCCAGAATTTAACGAGCTCTATCTGAAATAACATCACTGAGAATGCTTGCAAATCATGTTTGCTAAGAGTAAACAGCCAAATTTTCAATACACCTCACTTAGAAATTAACATAGTGCCTTGAGAGTAATTAAACATCATTACTTTAGAACCAAAATGTCCCACACGGTGGAAAAATAACTGCATACATAATTGTCTAGACACTCCCTTAAACAAAAGATAGCCTAGTCGAATAGGGAGATGGGTGATGGAATTGGGTTGACTTTTACATTGGCTTTGTTTTTCTGTGTGGACCTGCCTTAAAGCCCCACAGTGATGGTTTTCATAGTTTTCATGTTTTGTTTTCAACTAAGAATAGAAAGTTCTTTCATGTTGACCCGAGAGGCTCATAATCCTTCTTTAATATCATCATGTGTCTTATCGCAAAGTCAGTATTTATGGGTACTACCTGCCTTCTCATGTTGAAGCCCTAAGAACACAGTGAGCCAGGACTCCTGGCCTTGACCCCTCACAGCACACACGCACATCAGGTCTAGAGCAGGGTTTTCAACCATGGCATTCTTAACATCTCAAGCTAGATAGTTCTTAGTTGTGAGAGGCTATCCTGTGCATTGCAGGATTTTTAGCAGCAGGTGCCTGTAGTACCCCTCCCCCAGGCTGCAGCAACCAAAGATGTCTCCAGACATTGCCAAATGTCCCATAGAGGGCAACATCACCTCTGGTTCCAGCACCACTGGCCTAGACAATCAAGGTCTGCATGGAAGCCCTTCCACCTTTTCAAGGTAAATGGGGAGTCAAGGGCCTAACTCAAGAAATGGCCTTGTAGACATTTGCCTTGAACTCTAAAATGGGCCCCCCAGTCTGGGTGCCAGTAATGTCAGCTAATAACCTATGTAACCAGCACAAGAAAACCACTAAACCAGTTTCAAAGCTACCCTGTTTTAGACTGTGGTTAAACTGTTCAGAAAAATGTCCTTCCCTGTTAAGAAGTATCTGACAGAAAGTCAGACGTAAAACAACTAAATAAAGCAATAAGTCATCAACATAAAGTGGTCATTAATTTCTTCTTTTAAGTGACAGGGTCTTGCTCTGTTGCCCAGGGTGGAAGGCAGTGGCATGAACATGTCTCACTGCAGGCTTGACCTCCTGGGCTCAAGCAATCCTCCCACCTCAGCCTCCCAAATAGCTGGGACCACAGGCATGCGCCACGACACCCAAATAGTTTTTTAAAACATTTTTTGTAGAGACAAGCTCTTGCCACGTCATCCACACTGGTCTAACTCCTCAACTCAAGTGATCCACCCACCTCAGCCTCCCAAAGTGCTGGGATTACAGACATAAGCCGTTGTGCCTGGCTGGTTATTGATTTTTTTTTAAAGAAGAGGATTTAAAATAATTAATAGCTTAGCAATAGTTGGTTGGTTGATTGATAGTGATGTACATCCCTGTCTGCTTCCCACAAGTTTTTAAGACCACTAATGTGGTTCTTTTCCTGGATGAGCAGAAATAGTAGCAAGTATTTTCTAATGGATTTTTTATGATATATAATATTTGTACATATTTATGTGGTACATGTGGTCATTACACATTCTATGCATGTGTCAAGTTTTTGTGCAAAAGAAGAACAGCCAGACTGGGGGCCAATATGTCTGGTTAGAAGCAGCTACAGTGCATGGCACTCACAGAAAGGAACAAAAGGGACAAGTAAATACAGCACCTTCAACTGAAACACCCAGGTACTCATATTGGGATTAATCAGGGAAACAGCTTGACCCATGTAGAATGGAGGAAAGCAGGGCAGGGCAATGGCTCACCCGGAAGTGATGCGGAGCCAGGGAAACCCCCACCCCCAGCCAAGGGAAGTGGTGAGTGAATGTGCAACTCAAGGAAACCACACTTCTCCCATAAATCTCTGCAACCATGGACCAGGAGGTCCCCTCATGAACCCACTCCACCAGGGCCTTGGGTCTGACACACAGAGCTGTGTGGAGTCTTGGAAGAGTAGCTGCTCAGGCATGCACAGAGACCCAGAAGCTTTATATACTGCAGCCCCAGGATCCCCAGCAAAGGTGACTGCAACTCAGGCATGGCAAAAAGTCTGTACATACCCCTAGGAAGGGGGCTGAATCCAGGGGGCCAAGCAGCGTCAGTCTGCAGGCCCCACTTCCATGGCACCTCACAAAAAAAGACCAACTGGCATGGAATTCCAACCAGCCACCAGCAACAGGGTAGTGCCTACCTGAGATGGGAGGGAGCTCCCCCTCTTTGCTGTTTGGACAACTCAGCCTTTCCAGCCTGTGGGCTTTGGAGAGTTCAAATGGACCAGAGGAGAAAGGGATTCCGCAACACAGCACAGCTGCTTTACCAGAACGTAGCCAGGCTGCTTTACGCAGGACCCGGATCCATTTCTCCTCACTAGGCAGGACCTCCCAGCCAGGGTTTCCAGCCACCCCCGCCCATATCCAAGGACTGGTCAAGAGTTCTGATTTCTCCATGGGATAGAGTGCCTGCAGGGAGGGCGGGCCACCACCTTTGCTGTTTGAGCAACTCAGCCATTCCAGATTGTGGGTTTTGGAGAGCCCAAACCAACTGAAGTGGAGGCAATACCCTAGCACACAACAGCTGCTTTGCAGAGGCATGGCCAGGCTGCTGCTTTAAACGGGATCTTGATCCATTCCACTGCACTGGCTGGGACCTCCCAGCCAGGCCCTCCAGCTACCCCCAGCCATGTTCTACAGTCAACAGAGTTCTCATTTCTCCCTGGGACACAGTGCCTGGGGAATGGGGTGGCCTGCCACCTTTGCTATTTGGGAGTTTCAGTCTTGGAGAGCCCAAACCAATGGGGAGCTGAAGGGATTCCCCAATACAGCACAGCTGCTCTACCAAAACACAGACCACTTCTTTAAGAGGGTTCCTGATCTCATTCTACTAACTGGGTGGGACCTCTCAACTGGGATCTCCAGCCATCTCCTACAGGTGCATTAAGGCCAGCAACAGGTCCATACCCCCCTGGGATGGAGCTCCCAGAGGAAGGGGCAGGCTGCCATCTTTGCTGTTTTGCAGCCTTCACTGGCGATACCTCCAGGTACTGGAATATCTGAGGTGACTAGAGTATGGAGTGGACCCCCAGCAAACTGGAGGAGCCCTACAGAAAACTGACCAGCCTGTTAAAAGAAAGACAGACAACAACAAAAACACACAAAAAGAAACTCATCCAAAAGGTCAGCAACCTCAAAGATTGAAAGTAGGTAAGCCCACAAAAATGAGAAGAAATCAGCATAAAAATGCTGAAAACTCAAAAAGCCAGAGTGCCCTCTTTCCTCCAAATTACCCTAACACCTCTCCAGCACGGGTTCCGAACTGGGCTGAGGATGAGATGGCCGAAATGACAAAGTAAGCTTCAGAAAATGGATAAAAACAAACTTCGCTGAGCTAAAGGAGCACACTGTAACCCAATGCAAGGAAGGTAAAAATCATGATAAAACAATATAGGAGCTAACAGCCAAAATAGCCATTACAGAGAGGAACATAACTGACCTGATAGAGCTTGAAAAATATACTACACGAACTTCACAATGTAATCACAAGTATTAATAGCAGAATAGACCAAGCAGAGCAAAGAATCTCAGAGCCTAAAGACTGGCTTTCTGAAATAAGACAAGCAGATAAGAATAGAGAAAAAAAAAGAATGAAAAGGAATGGACAAAACCTTCAAGAAATATGGGATTATGTAAAGAGACTGAATCTATGACCAACTGGGGTACCTGAAAGAGATTGGGAGAATGGAACCAATTTGGAAAACATATTTCAGGATATTATCCAGGAGAACTTCCCCAACCTAATTACACAGGCCAACATTCAAATTCAGGAAATGCAGAGAACCCCAGCAAGATACTCCACAAGATCATCCCCAAGACACATAATCATCAGATTCTCCAAGGTTGAAATGAAAGAAAAAAATGTTAAGGGCAGTCAGAGAGAAAGACCAGGTCACCTACAAAGGGAAGCCCAGCAGATTAACAGTGGACCTCTCAGTGGAAATCCTACATGCCAAAAGAGATGGGACCAATATTCAACATTCTTAAAGAATACAAATTCCAACCCAGAATTTCATATCTGGCCAAACTGAGCTTCATAAGCCAAGGAGAAATAAGATCCTTTTCAGAGAAGCAAATGCCAAGGAAATTCGTTACCACCAGACCTGCCTTAAAAGAGCTCCTGAAGAAAGCACTAAATGTGGAAAGGAAAAATCATTACTAGCCACTATAAAAACACACTGAGGTACACAGACCAGTGACACTATGAAGCAACCACAAAAATAAGTCTGCAAAATAACCAGCTAGCATCATGATGACAGGATCAAATCCACAAATAACAATACTAACCTTAAATGTAAATGGGCTAAATGCTCCAATTAAAAAACACAGAGTGGCAAGCTGGATAAAGAATCAAGACCCACTGGTATGCTGTCTTCAAGAGACCCATTTCACATGCAAAGACACACATAGGCTGAAAATAAAGGGATGGAAAAAAATTTACCAAGCAAATGGAAAATAGAAAAAAAGCAGGAGTATTTTTGCAATCCTAATTTCTGACAAAACAGACTTTCAAGCAACAAAGACCAGAAAAGACAAAGAAGAGCATTACATAATGATAATTATGTAATTTAACAAGAAGTAACTATCCTAAATATATATGCACCCAATACAGGAGCACCCAGATTCATAAAGCAAGTTCTTGGAGACTGTCAAAGAGACTTAGACTACCACACAATAATAGTAGGAGATTTTAACACCCCACTGACAATATTAGATAGATCATCAAGACAGAAAATTAACAAAGATAGTCAGGACCTGAACTCAGCACTGTATCAAATGGACCCGATAGACATCTACAGAACTCCCCACCCAAAAACAATGGAATATACATTCTTCTTATCACCACTTGGCACTTACTCTAAAATTGATCACATAATCAGAAGTAAAAATGCTTCAGCAAACACAAAATAACTGAAATCGTAACAGTCTCTTGGACCACAGCACAATCAAATTAGAACTCAAGACTAAGAAATTCACTCAAAACCATACAACTACGTGGAAATTGAACAACCTGCTCCTGAATGACTTTTGGGTAAATAATGAAATTAAAGCAGAAATCCAGAAGTTCTTTGAAACTAATGAGAACAAAGATAAAACATACCAGAATCTCTGGGACACAGCTAAGGCAGTGTTAAGAGGGGGAATTTATAGCACTAAATACTCACATCAAAAAACTAGAAAGATCTCAAGTTAATAACCTAACATCACAACTAAAGAACTAGAGAACCAAGAGCAAACAAACCCCAAAGCTAGCAGAAGACAAGAAATAACCAAACTCAGAGCTGAAATGAAGGAAATAGAGACATGAAAAACCCTTCAAAAGATCAACAAATCTAGGAGCTGCTTTTTTGAAAAAAAAAATAATAATAAAATAGACCACTAGCTAGACTAATAAGAAAAAAGAGAAGATTCAAGTAAACATAATCAGAAATGATAAGGGGGATATTACCACTGACCACAGAAATACAAGTAACCATAAAAGAATATTATAAACACCTCTATGTGCACAAACTAGAATATCTAGAAGAAATGGATAAATTCTCGGACACATAAACCTTCCCCAGACTGAACCAGCAAGAAGCTGAATCCCTGAACAGACTAATAAGGAGTTCTGAAATTGAGGCAGTAATAAATAGCCTACAAACCAAAAAAAAGCCCAGGACCAGAGAATTTCACAGCTGAATTCTACCAGATGTACAAAGAGGAGCTGGTACCATTTCTACTGAAACTATTTCAAAAAACTGAAAAGAAGGGACTCCTCCCTAACTCATTCTATGAGACCACCATCATTCTGATACCAAAACCTGGCAGAGATATGACAAAAAAAGAAAACTTCAGGCCAATATCCTTGATGAACATTGATGCAAAAATCCTCAACAAAATACTGAATTCAGCAGCACATCAAAAAGCTTATCCACCACAATCAAGTGGGCCTCATCCCCAGGATGCAAGGTTGGTTCAACATACGCAAATTAATAAATGTAATTCATCACATAATCAGAAGACAAGACCAAAAACAAAAAGACACATAATGGATGATGGCCAGGCATGGTGACTCACACCTGTAATCCCAGCACTTTGGGAAGCTGAGGCAGGCAGATCACCTGAGATCAGGAGTTCAAGACCAGCCTGGCCAACATGGTGAAATCCCATCTCTACTAAAAATACAAAAATTAACTGGGCATGGTGGTGGGCACTGGTAGTCCCAGCTACTCAGGAGGCTGAGGCAGGAGAATCGCCTGAACCCAGGAGGTGGAGGTTGCAGTTAGCCGAGATCATGCCACTGCACTCCAGCCTGGGCAACAAAAGCAAAACTCCATCTAAAAGAAAAAAAAGATTATCTCAATAGATGCAGAAAAGGCTTTGCTAAATTTGCCATTTCTTCATGTTAAAAATTCTGAATAAACTAGATATTGAAGAACATAGCTCAGAATAATAAGAGCTATTTATGACAAACCCACAGCCAATATCGTACTGAATGCACAAAAGCTGGAAGCATTCCCCTTGAAAACTGGCACAAAAGAAGAATGCCCTCTCTCACCACTCCTATTCAACATAGATTGCCCTGGCCACAACTTCCAATCAGGCAAGATAAAGACATAAAGGGCATTCAAATAGGAAGAGAGGAAGTCAAAACTATTTTTGTTTGCAGGCAACATGATCCTATATCTAGAAAATACCATTGTCTCAGTCCAAAAGTTTCTTAAGCTGATAAGCAACTTCAGCAAAATCTCAGGATACGAAATCCATGTGCAAAAATTGCTAGCATTCCTATACACCAACAACAGGCAAGCTGAGAGCCAAATCATGAATGAACTCCCATTCACAATTGCCACAAAAAGAATAAATACCTAGGAATACAGCTAACAAGGGAAGTGAAGGACCTCTACAAGGAGAGCCACAAACCACTGCTCGAAGAAATCAGAGATGACACAAACAAATGGAAAAACATTCCATGCTCATGGATAGAAAGAATCAATAGCATGAAAATGGCCATATTGCCCAAAGCAATTTATAGATTCAATGCTATTCCCATTAAACTACCATTGACATTCTTCACAGAACTAGAAAAAAAAAGATTTAAAAATTCATATGAAACCAAAAGAAAAGCCCAAATAGCCAAGACAATCCTAAGCAAAAAGAACAAAGCTGGAGGCAGCATGCTACCTGACTTCAAACTACACTACAGGGGTACAATAACCAAAACAGCATAGTAGAATAACAGATACATAGACCAATGGAACAGAACAGAGAACCCAGAAATAAGACTACACACCTACAACAATCTAATCTTTAACAAACCTGACAAAAACAAGCAATAGGGAAAAAATCCCTATTTAATAAATTGTGCTGGGAGAACTGGCTAGTCATATGCAGAAAATTGAAAATGGACCCCTTCCTTGCACCATATTCAAGAACAAACTCAAGATGGATTAAAAACTTAAATTTAAAACCGAAAACTATAAAAACCCTAGAAGAAAACCTAGGTAATACCATTAAGGACATAGGCATGAGCGAAGATTCCATGATGAAATCACCAAAAGCAATTGCAACAAAAGCAACATTTGACAAATGGGATCTAATTAAACTAAAGAGCTTCTTCACAGCAAAAGAAACTATCAACAGAGTAAACAGACAACCTATGGAATGGTAGAAAATTTATTCAAACTATGCATCTGGCAAAGGTGTAATATCCAGCATCTATAAGAAACAAACAAATTCATAAGAAAAAAAAACCCATAAAAAAGTGAGCAAAGGACATGAACTGACACTTCTCAAAAGAAGATATACATGTAGCCAACAATCATATGAAACAAAGGTCAACATCACTGATCATTAGACAAATGCAAATCAAAACCAAAATGAGACACCATCTCATACCAGTCAAAATGGCTATTATTAAAAAAGTCAAAAAACAATAGATGCTGGCAAGGTTGTGGAGAAAAAACGATATGCTTTTATACTGTTGGTGGGAGCATAAATTAGTTCAACCATTGTGGAAGACAGTGTGGTGCTTCCTCAAAGACCTACAGACAGAAATACCATTCAACCCAGCAATCCCATTGCTGGGTATATGCCCAAAGGAATATAAATTGTTCTGTTATAAAGACATATGCATGAATATGTTCATTGCAGCACTATTCACAATAGCAAAGACATGGAATTAACCCAAATGTCCATCAATGATAGACTGGATGAGGAAAATGTGGTACATATACACCATGGAATACTATGCAGCCATAAAAAGGAACAATATCACATCCTTTGCAGGGACATGGATGGAGCTGGAGGTCATTATCCTTAACAAACTAATGCAATAAGAGAAAACCAAATACCACATGTCCTCACTTATAAGTGGGAGCTAAATGATGAGAACACATGGACACATAGAGGGGAACACTTACACACTGGGGACTACTAGAGGGCAGAGGTTGGGAGAAGGGAGAAAATCAGGAAAAATCATTAATGGGTACTAGGCTTAATACCTGGTGATGAAATAATCTGTACAACAAATCCCCATGACACATGTTTATCTATGTAACAAACCTGCACATCCTGCACACGTACCCCTGATCTTAAAAGTTAAAAAAAAAAAAATAACAGCAAGGTAACATGTTCTCTTTTTCTTTGCTTTTGATGGGCAAGAGAAAGATGAACAAGGACAAACAAAAGAGTAACGGTACCACAGTGCAACTTAAGGCCTTCACCCAATGGAGAAAGAAGGGATAAAGGGCATTAACATTTATTTTGAGGCTGCTCCCTACTAAGAACTTCACCGGCATGTGTATCCTCATTGGATGGTTGTGAAGTAGGTTCACCATGCACTAGTTCCCAACTTGTCTGAGTCAGTGAGACAGAATACATTCATATACAAGTGACAAGAAGCAGGTTCATTACTTACAGATAGACAGCAAGGGATGACAGAAACCTAGCATTTACTGTGACCTGGTCCCCCCAAGCTTAGAAAAGCTGCCTGGGGTAGATGGAGTCTTATCTTCACATGGCACACTTGTACCACAGCTGAGGAACCCCAAATGGCAGCCTGTCCCGGATTATATACCTCTGGGTAACATGACATACTGGGCTAAGGTGTTGAAGAGCATTCCTGTTCTCCAGGGGGGACTTAATAGAGCCTGGGATGTTCCAGTCAATTCCCCCTTATCTCAGGATGTTGCATTGCCAGCACATTCTACAGTTATATTTGAGAACTACAAATGAGACAGGTGCAGGGGAGAAACTAAATCAGCTCAAGGCCACCCAGATAATCGTCCTGCAAGGGTCACCTCGTCCTTTGAATTCAGATAGAATTGACTCAAACTTCCTCTTTTGGGCTCTATGGGGAATCCAATCCCTCTCTAAGATTTCTGTGAATTCCTTCAGCCCTAGATTCTCGTAGGAACACCTTTACTCAAATGCCCTGTGTCTTCTGGGTTTCACTCACATCCCATTCCATTTGTTTCTCCCTCAAACATGCAGCACAATGTTTTTCTTTGACTTCTCCAAATTTTATTTATTTATTTATTTATTTATCATTCTTTCTTCTGCCTTCCTCTCTTTCTTTCTTCTCTTCCTTCTTTCCGTTTGTCTGTCTTTCAGTCTTCCAAACAAACATTTGTTGGGCATTTACCATGTACTCAGCAACTATGCTAGGTACTGAGGACAGACTGATGAGTGAACTCAGACATGCTGTCATGCAGCTTACAGTAGAAAAGATGGACAGGAGTCAAATAATGATACAACTTGACACAGAATCATAGAGTCATAAGAACAAAAGAGCTGTACATAAGGCTGGAGAGCACCTTACAGCCTGGCGGGTCAGAGAAGACTTTCCTGGGTCAATGACATATCCTTGAATTCTAAGGGATAGATAGGAATTGACTCAGCGAAGAGAAGGCAGAAAAGAATACCAGGCAGAGGGAATCGCATATCCTAAGTCCCCGTGGAAGAGGGAGCCGAGGAAGCCAAAGAGTGCCACATGAGCAGTATATGCAGAAAGAGGGCAAGTGCCATGAGAGACAGGGGAGGAGCTGTAGGTGGGCTGTGGCATGCAGGTCAAGGCAAACATGTGGTCTTTCACCTGAGAGCAAAGCAAAGACAGCAAGGAATTTCAGGTGTTGGTGGGAGGGAGAGTCTAGGGTGGGTTAAGGTGTGATGAAAGGCATGGCTATAATTTTCAAGAAAAAAAAAGGTGGCCGGGCGCGGTGGCTCACGCCTGTAATCCCAGCACTTTGGGAGGCCGAGGCGGGCGGATCACGAGGTCAGGAGATAGAGACCACGGTGAGACCCTGTCTCTATTAAAAATACAAAAAATTAGCTGGGTGTGGTGGTGGGCGCCTGTAGTCCCAGCTACTCAGGACGCTGAGGCAGGAGAATGGCGTGAACCCGGGAGGCGGAGCTTGCAGTGAGCCGAGATTGCGCCACTGCAGTCCAGCCTGGGCAACAGAGCCAGACTCCGTCTCAAAAAAAAAAAAAAAAAAAAGAAAAGAAAAGAAAAAAAAAAGGTACTTGTACAAATCAATGAGTATTTGAGTATTGCAAATGTAATTACCAGTATAACCAATACCCAAATAAGATACAGAATAGTTCATCTCCTCAGAAAGTTCTGTCAATCCTTTCCAATCAACCTCCAACACCCCCACCCACAATTACCACTGTTTTTATTTTTCTCACCATAAAATAATTTTGCCTGTTCTTAGACTACAGAGGAATCCTATGGCATACATTTTATACCATGGCTGCAGTGTGAACAGCAGATTGTAGAGAAACAATAGTGGATGTGAAGTGGCCCAGAGAGAGATAAAGACCATTCAGACAACCATAGTGATGGTGGAGATGGAAAGAAAGTGCATAGATTGAGGAGGGAGCTATTTCTTTTTTTTTTTTTTTTGAGATGGAGGTTCGCTCTTGTCACCTAGGCTGGAATGCAGTGGCACAATCTCAGCTCACTGCGACCTCCACCCTCCTGGGATCAAGCAATTCTCCTGCCTCAGCCTCCTGAGTAGCTGGGATTACAGGTACCCACCACCATGTCCAGCTAATTTCTTGTATTTTTTGGTAGAGATGGAGTTTCACCATGTTGGCCAGGCTGGTCTCGAACTCCTGACTTCGAGTGATCCACCCACCTCGGCCTCCCAAAGTGCTGAGATTACAGACGTGAGCCACTGCGCCTGGCCAGAGGGAGCTATTTCTCAGGTAACATCAACAATGAAGGACTGGATGTAGAGCTTGAGAGAGAGAGAGGTGTCATGGGTAACATAGGCATTAGTGTGTTTAGCAGACTTTGAAAGTTTGGAAACTTGGAAAGTCCAATAGACCCAACAACTTAAAATTGTGCATAAGAATGGGGGTTCCTTAAAATATTAAACATAGAGGCCGGGCGTGGTGGCTCACGCCTGTAATCCCAGCACTTTGGGAGGCCGAGGCGAGTGGATCATTTGAGGTCAGGAGTTCGTAACCAACCTGGCCAACATGGTGAAACCCCATCTCTACCAAAAATACAAAAATTAGCCAGGCATGGTGGCGGATACCTGTAATCTCAGCTACTCGGGAGGCTGAGGCAAGAAAATTGCTTGAACCCCGGAGGTGGAGGTTGCAGTGAGCTGAGATCGAGCCACTGCACTCCAGGCTGGGCAATAAGAGTGAGACTCCGTCTCAAAAAAAAAGAAAACATAGAATCACCATGTGATCCAGAAATTTCACTTCTGGGTATAGACCCCAAAGTACTGAAAGCAGGAATGTGAACAGATTTTGTACACCCATGTTCGTAGTAGCATTATTGACAATAGCCAAAAGGAGAAGGCAACCCAAATGTCCATCGACAGTTGAATGGAAGAATGGATAAACAAAATGTTGTATATACATACAATGGAATATTATTCAGCTTTAAAAAGGAATGAAATTCTGGCATATGCTACAACATGAGGGAACCTTGAGGACATTATGCTAAGGGAAATAAGCCAGTCACAAAAGGACAAATATTGTAGGATTCCACTTATATCTTGGCACCTAGAACAGTGAAATTCATAGAGACAGAACGTCAAATAGTGATTACAAGGGGCTAGAGGGAGGCCAGGAATAGGGAGTTAGTGTTTAGTGTTCAGGTTTGGGTTGATAGAGTTCTAGAGCTATATGGTGGTGATGGTCACACAATAGTGTGAATGTACTAAAAGTCTATACATTTAAAAATGGTTCAGATGACGCCAGGTGTGGCGTCTCATGACTGTAATCCCAGCAATTTGGGAGGCTGAGGAGGGAGGATTGCTTGAGTTCAGGAGTTCAAGACCAGCCTGGGCAACAGAGCAAGACCCCCCATCTCCACAAAAATTAAAAATAAATTAGTCAGGCAGGTGGCACGTGCCTATAGTCCCTGCTACTTGGCTAGGTAGGAGAATCACTTGAGCCCAGGAAGTCAAGGCTGCAGTGAATCATCATTGTGTCACTGCACTCAGACTGGGCGACACAGAGTGAGACCCTGTCTCAAAAAAAAAAAAAAGTTATGATAAATTTTATGTAATGTATATTTTGCCACAATAAAAAAATCTATTCAAAAAAGTGTGATAACATCATTGAATATTCATTTTCTGTGTCAAATTTTTAAATATTTCTTTTAAATCACACATAAGACAATCTTCTTAAAACGCACTGGGCATTTCTTCAATAGTCTGAAAGCTCCCCTGGTGGTTTTCCACAGGTGCCCACCCATCCACAGTCTCAGTCCCAACCACTGTCTCTGCATCCTCCCCCCACCATCTCTTCTCTGCTTCACCCCAAGTTTCTGTCAATCCAGCTATTAATGTTTCTTCCATCTGCTGCCCTGGTTTCTAGTTCCACCTTATCTTCCATGAGCCATCCTAATGAGCTTCCAAAAAGTCCTACATTTTTGTTTAAGCTGGTTTATGTTAGGTTTTCACACCAGGAAGCCAAAGAGTAAAGGACTTCATGTGTTTATAGTAAGTGCAACGGAAAACATATGACTATTGACATAAAACCTACCACTAATATCAATAAATGTATATAGGCTAAATGCACCCACTCAAAAAAACTGTTAACAAAATAAATACAACCCTATGTTTTTTCAAGAAACACATACAAAACTAAGTAATCAGAAAGATCAAATTAAAAAGTAAAAAAAAATTAATTTTAAATGGCAAAGATAAAATGAAAACAGGTGTCATGGTCAAATATGCTATCATTTAGAACTAAAAGCACTAGACAAGATAAAGAAGGATACTTTATGATGCTAAAAGCTATCATGTATAATGACGTTATTGTTGTTAATCTGTATGCACAAAATAATACAGCAACAACTTGCACAAAGCAGAAATTATAGAAGACAAAAGGAAAAATAGACAAACTCACACTAATAATAAGAGAATTTAAAATACCTCCCTCAGACTTAGACAAATTAAGGGAGAAATACTTAGCAAGGATATAGAAAATCTAAATCAATCAAAAAATATATCTAACAACTATATATTCAAGCCTATATCCTGATAATCTCCTTCTCAGGTACATATAGATCAGTTATGACAAGAGACTATATTTTAAGCTACAAAGAAAATCTAAATTAATTGCAAAAATAGAAATGTCAAAAGCTTATAACCACAATACAATGAAACTATAAATTACTGACAAACTGTTTGAAATAATGCCTTTTACCTGGAAATGTTTTAAAACTCTTTATTAAACAACTCGGGTCGAGGGAAATGCAAACTGAAATTGCAAAATTTCTAGAAAACCCCAATAATGACAGTACTAGATACTAGTCACTAGTATCTAGAAATACAACTAAAGTAGTGCTTTTAGAGAAAAAAAAATCTATATATCCTTAAATAACTATATCAATAAGGATAAAAATGAAAATAAGTTATTTAATACCCAACTCAACTAATTAGAGAAAGGAAAATGAAATAAATCAGAAAAAAAATAAGGAAAACATTCAAAAGAATAAAAGCAGAAATTAATTATTAAATAAAAATTAATATATTTTGAATGTATCAATTAAAAAGAAGTAGGGGAAAATGTAAGTATACAAAATAAGAAATTTCAAAGAAGAAATATTCGTGACAGGAAATTTTTAAATCATGAGAGATTAGTATGTACAAACCTATATAAATAATTTTTCAAAGATAAAGTGAATAACTTCCTCGGAAAATATAATTTACCAAAACCGATCACAATAGAGATATAAAGTCCAAATAGGACACTGTCACTGAGGAAATAAAGTCATCAGAGTGAGTCTCCAATGACCCCTAAAACAATCACCAGGTGCAAATGGTTTCACAGGAAAGTTCTAACTAAAGTTCTAAAGATCAGATTATTTGCAATGGTAGTATTCTAGGGAGTAAAGGATACACACGTAAAAATATTTTAATACCAAAACCTACAAATATTTCACAGAAAAAGTCTAATCTCACTTAACAATAAGATGTAAAAATGAATCAGTTTAGAGCTCTGGGTACATGATGACTATAGACAATAGCATTGGTGTAAATCTAGGTTCATGCTAAATGCATATATTTTAGCTGCTTTTGCCTCAGGAAAGTGGGTAGCAATTTGAGATAACAGGTATGTTAATTTGCTTTCCCATAGAAACCTTTTTACTATCTGAATGTATCCTATAACATCATGTTGTATACCCTAAACATATACAATAAAAATTTGTTTTTGCTTTCATTTTTTGTTTTGTTTTGTTTTGAGACAGGGTCTCACTCTGTCACCCAAGCTGGAGTGCAGTGGTGCAATCATGGCTCACTGCAGCCTCGACCTCCCAGGCTCAAGCAATCCTCCAACCTCCGCCTCCTGTAGCTGGGACTATAGGCACAAGCCACCATGCCCAGCTAATTTTTGTATACTTTATAGAGATGCGGTTTTGTCATGTTGCCCAGGCTGGTCTCACACTCCTGAGCTCAAGCCAACCTCCCGCCTCAGCCTTCCAAAGTGCTGGGACTACAGGCATGAGTCACTGTGCCTGGCCTAAAATTTATTTTTTTTTTTAATTATTAGAGTTTAATGCCAACAACAAAAATACATCATGACTAAGTGTGATTCATTCCAGGAATGCAAGGAAGGTTCATATTAAGCAGTCTATTGGCCAGGCATGGTGGCTCATGCCTATAATCCCAGCACTTTGGGAGGCCGAGGCAGGTGGATCACTCGAGGTCAGGAGTTCAAGACCAGCCTGGCCAATATGGTGAAATCCTGTCTCTACTAAAAATACAAAAATTAGCCATGCGTGGTGACAGGTGCCTCTAATCCGAGCTACTCGGGAGGCTGAGGCAAAAGTTTTGGCTTGAACCCCAGAGGCAGAGGTTGCAGTGAGCCAAGATCATGCCACTGCACTCCAGCCTGGGCGATAGATAAAGACTCCATCTCAAAAAAAAAAAAAAAGAAGTCTGTTAATATAAGTCCCCATAATAACATAGTTGAAGAGAAAAACCACAGAATCATCTTCACAAGTAATAGATAACTGTATTGATGGGAACTTTTGGAATTTCTCTTATAGTTGCTTCTAGTTTCCCAGTGAAATAGGAAACAAGGTCATCAGCTGAGAGTGAGAAATCAGGAACGGGGAAAAACATGAAACATGAAATCGTTGTCTAAGAAACTGTTTATCTTAACTAAATTAAATGAAACTGTTTCAACTATAGAAGATTATTTCTACAATGCTCCTCTGAAGAAAGATGTTTTTCTAACTCCATGTTAGCCAAATCCATCCCTTTTCTCCAATTCAAATACATTATTTCTGTTCTGTCACTAACAGGACTTGAGGCCTTAAGTCACAAAAAATGATTCCTATAGAGTTGGAACTCTATAGGAATGTCCTATCAGTACCTTCCTCCTGGGCAGTCCCTAACCTCCCTCTCTGCTCCCAGTCTCACCTTCTTCCAGTTCATATTTCATATTCAGGCATTCAGTGTAAATTCACTAGTAATTAGCAAAACAAACTCATCTTTCAGGATGATATAGATGCCATCTCAATTCCACATCCAAGAATTTACCCTACAAATATATTGGCCTATATATTTAATGGTGTATGTACATGTATGCTCACTGCAGAATTATTTGCCTAGAAAACAACTAAAATGACCATCAACAAAGGACTGGATAGAAAATATTGTTACCAGCATACAATGGAAAACTATGCAGACTTAAAAAGAAAGTTAGGTAGATCTAGGTATGCTGATTTGGAAAGCTGCCCAGGCTATATTATGAAGCACAGGGGAAATGTTATTTTAGAACCATATTAATAATACAATTCCATCTTTTTAAAGCTATATATTACAAATAGGAATTCATCATTATCCAAGAAGTTGCACATCAGTTGCAAGGTTATGAAGAAGTTAAAAAAAAAAAACAATTTGTTCTGAGATGAGATCTCGCTATGTTGCCCAGGCTGGTCTTGAACTCCTGGGCTCAAAGAATTCTCCTGCTTCAGCCTCCTGAGTAGCTGGAACTAAAGGTATGGGCCATGATGTCCGGCTCCAAAAACCTTTATAATAAGAAAATATTATTATTAGCTCAGGTGCACTGACTCACACCTAGTTATCCTAGTGCTTTGAGAAGCTGAGGTGGGAGGATCGCTTGAGCCCAGGAGTTCAAGGTTACTGTGAGCTGTGATCATGTCATTGCACTCCAGTGTGGAGACGCAGTGAGACCCTGTCTAAAAAAAAGAAAAAGAAAAGAGGAAAAAGAAGAGAGAAAATGCTATGAACATTTTCTGTTTCTAAAATTAAAATTAGTGCCCAAACACATCCCATGCCAATCGCAGCTCAACACTTTAACCAATTTCTATCAACCCAATTAGCATCTTCCTCATGTGGCCACTGGTCCACAGGAAACATTAAGGGATGTACTCACCATCTCTGCATCATTTTCAGAAGCACTAGGTTTTTCTGATGCTCCTGTGCCACTATTTATAGGAGCAATCACTAGAGCACCTTATAAATCAGGAAATTAGATCTCTTATTTGCCAACTGACTTGTTTAAGGTCATATATCTAGTTAATGGCAAAGTTAAATCTTGATCATGCTTATTCCCAAGGTTGTGCTGCTATTTATATCATTCAGCTGCCTCATCCTAGCCATCCTTCAGGGCTGCCAATCAGATGTCACTTACTCCATGAAGCTTTCCAGGATGCCCTTAGCAGGAAATGACATCTCCTTTCTCTGAACCACAACAGGACCCGAATCCCTCTTGTGGACTTTGTTCCTGCCTGCTTTGCTGGAACTGCTGATATAAGGACATATCCTCCAAGTTCTCTTTGAGGAAAGTGCGCTCATTAACTATGTTTGTATAATAGCCAGGGTCACGATTGGGGTGAGGCAAGTGGGGGGCCTGGAGTGCAAAATTTAATGAGGAATTCACTCTCAGAGTCACACATGTACAGGGTTATTTGTCTCATCTTAGTTCCAACCCTGATAACATTTGATAGAAATACAAGTCTACCATATTCTGTAATATAGTGTCCGGTACTGTAATAATCAGAACAGCTTTAGATTGGTGGGTGAACCACCCAAGGTCAGCCAGCTAGCCATTGATGACACAGGGATCCCTATGCTTGTAGATTTCCAACTTATAACATGGCATAGAGCATTGCACTGGGTTCCTGGGGAAGACTAGAAGGGGAGGGAGACTAGAAAGATGGTGAGACGGCTGGGCGCAGTGGCTTATGCTTGTAATCCCAGCATTCTTGGAGGCCGAGGCAGGTGGATCACCTGAGGTCGAGATCGAGACCATCCTGGCCAACATGGTGAAACCCTGTCTCTATTAAAAATACAAAAATTAGCCGGGCATGGTGGCGTGTGCCTGTAATCCCAGCTATTCAGGAGGCTGAGGCAGGAGAGTCGCTTGAACCCAGGAGGTGGAGGTTACAGTGAGCTGAGATCACGCCACTCCACTCCAGCCTGGCAACAGAGCAAGACTCTGCCTCAGGAAAAAAAAAAAAAGAAAGAAAGAAAGAAAAATAAAGAAAGATGGTGAGACATGGGTGCCACCTCAAAATGCTCACATACAAGGAGCCCTGGACAGCAGCTACTAAGTTCCAAAGCTGATTGCAGATGAGAGGCAATCTCCCTTTGCCAAATTCCATTTTCTGTCATTTCCAAAACAGTGATTTATTAAATAAATCATGAAATAACTTAAAATTAGATAACAAAGTAAAAAGAAATTGGATAGATAAAATGAGGCTATTTATCATTTTCTTTGTTTTAGGGTCTGAAGCACTTCCTTCCATTTGTATTCACAATTGAATGTGCTCATTGCTAGGCTGAGCTGGCCAGCAGATGAATGAGGCCAACCAGCCAGCTCCCAACATACTCCTCTGGGCCATCTAGAGGGTCCTGGTGCTCAGGCTTCATTCTAACCATCTGCAAATCACTCCTTAGAGACAGGGAGTGGGGAATTGAGTTAGGCTTCTATTTGCAATAATGGAAATAAGAACTGAGGATTCCACATGGGCACAAAGAGGGGAACGAAAGACACTGGGGCCTATTCAAGAGTGGAGGGTGGGAGGAGGGAGAGGGTCCGAAAAAATAACTATAACCAGGTACTACGTTTAGTACCTGGGTGACGAAATAATCTTTACAACAAACGCCCACAACACGAATTTACTGATAAAACAAACCTGCACATGTATCCCCGAACCTAAAATAAAAATTAAAAGAATAAGAAAATTAAAAAAAAAAAAAGAACTAAGGGTTCCATCGACTTGTGGCTGAACTGTTCTTAGATTTCAAAGAAGCCTCTGAAACCAGGCCACTCTCTATGCCCCCAGGTGGATGCATGATCCCAAAGTCACTCTCCCTGGACTTGATATTGCTGAGAACAGCAGCCAAACCAGGCGAGTCAGTACGGAACAGCATCCAGGGATGACGCCTGTATTTATTCTACCACGAAAGGCCGAATCAGGAGCCTCCTTTAAGTCAGCTTGATCTGTCCCGAACTGCTGGCCTTCCTTATCTGTGCCTGTGACATCTTCCAACCAATCAGTAGACACATCCATAATGTACCCTGTCTCATAGCTTCTCTACAAAGATGGGTGAGATATGGTGTCTCACTCTTATTCCTCCCCTAACCTGACAGTCTCTGGGGTAACTGGAGCAAACACAGCAAAAACTCATTGGTTAAAAAAGACTTTCAAGTTGATAAGTCAATTTAAAGAAAGCAAGAAATTCTTAATCCTTTATGGCTGATGTGCAATCATCAAATCACATTATCACAGACCTCTGTTCCTTAGTGTTTTTTTATGTTTAAACTGTCCTTAGTCTTCTCAAGAAGACTAAAGACCATTATACACTATATCGTAATTAATCGCTGATAAACAAACTAAGGACCTATTAAGCACCTACCCTGGATAAAGCACAGGGTTAGACATGGAGGTAGAAAAACAAAGAAGATACCAGCTCTGCTGACAGCTCTGGATAAAGAACTCACTTGTGGTAGAATCAATAGAAAACCGAGTCCTGGGAGGGATGAGGCCGACGAAATGACAGACCTGTAGCACTGGGAGCTGGGAGCGAGGTTCGAGGAGGCCAGTCCACTGTGTCTAGTCCTTTCACTGTTTTTGAACAGGTGGTTCATTCTGCTTGAAATGGCTCTTTCCCCGTTTTCCATCTAGTGAGCTACCTCTCATCCTTTTAGCCAGTTTTGGTCAATCAGAGGATAGCATTTGGGGCAGGTGCACCTTGAGACGAATGGAAGCCCCACGTGTAGGATAGTTTAGACAGCATTTACCCATTTCCCTTTCCCAAGGTTATCTGCCAAAAAATTAAAAAAATAAAAAATAAAAAAGCACTGGGTCTTTCAGTTTCACTGAATTCATCTGGGCTGCCCTAACGCAAAGCTATGTCAGGGAAGTCTAACTGCCTGCATGTAAGAATTAGGACCATCTCAAGACCAAATTCCTGAAATCTCAACTTTAAGCCTGACTGGTTAGAAGACGCTTCTTCGAATTTACACCTGCTCCTTATTATGTTCCTGATCGTTTCTCTACCCAGAGCAGCTGTAGCTTCCCCTAAGGGCGGCCCTGCCTGTGGCCCTGTGAATAAACATGTCTCTCCAGACCAAAGGAGTCATAGGGGGCTTTGTAATCACAGCTTATGAGTTGTATACACTTACTTAAATGGGCTTGATGCTGTTGATAGTGCTGTTTCTGAAAGAAGAGCTGACATAGGGAGAGTAATTCGAGGCTTTACCTGTTTCTTTTGCAGCTTTATTGTGATATAATTCAGATACCATAAAATTAAGTAGTTTAAATTGCATAATTCAGTGGTTTTAGTATATTCCAGAGTTGTGCAACTATCACCACAAGCAGTTTTAGATCACTTTCACCATTCTAAAAAGAAACATCATACCCATAGCAGGCACTCCCCATTTTCCCCCAACCACCCTGCCCCAAACAAGACACTGCACTTTCTGTCTCTATAGATATGCCTATTCCGGACATTTCATGTCACTGAAATCATACAGTATATGACCTCTGTGTCTGTTTCTTTCATTTGGGATACTGCTTTCAAGGTTCATCCATGTCATAGCATACATCAGTGTTTTAATTATTTTTATGGCTATGTAATATTCCATTGTATGGATAGACAACATTTTGTCTTCATTCATCAGTTAATGGGCATTTGGACTGTTTCTAAATTTTGGCTATTTACATTCAACATATTTGGCTGTTACGTTCAAGTTTTTCTGTGGATGTGTGTTTTCATAGCTCTTATTTGCTGGATCACATGGTAACTGTATTTAACATTTTGAGGAACCCCCAAACTGTTTTTGTAAAGTAGCTACATGATTTTCCATCACCACCAGCAATGTATGAGGCCTCCAATTTCTGCCACATCCTCATCAACACTTGTTATCATCTGTGTTTTTTATTTTAGCCATACTAGTGGTTGTGAAGTGGTATCTCATTGTAGTTTTTATTTGCATTTCCCTAATGACTAGTGGGTTGAGCATCTTTTCATGTGCTTTTTGGCCATTTTTGTATCTTTTTGTTTGTTTGTTTGAGACAGGGTTTCACTCCCATTACCCAGGCTGGAGTGTGGTGGCGCAATCTTGGCTCACTGCAACCTCTGCTTCTCAGGTTCAAGTGATTCAAGCCTCCCGAGTAGCTGGGATTACAGGCACGTGCCACCTCACCCAGCTAATTTTTGTATTTTTAGTGGAGACAGGGTTTCACTGTCAAGGCTGTTCTTGAACTCTTGACCTCAAGTGATCCGCACACCTTGCCTCCCAAAGTGCTGAGATTACAGGTGTGAGCCACCGCGCCCAGCCCATTGTTGTATCTTATTTGGAGAAATGCCTATTTAGATCCTTTGCCTATTTTAATTGGGTTGTCTTTTTACTATTGGGTTGTAAGTGTTCTGAATACCAGCCCCTTATCAGGTTGTAAATATTTTCTTCCTTCCCATGGGTTCTCTTTTCACTCTCTTGATGACATCCTCTGAAACACAAAACTTTTTAATGTTGACAAGGTCCAATATATCTAGTTTTTTCTTTTGTCACATTTGCTTTTTTTTTTTTAAGACGGAGTTTTGCTTTTGTTGCCCAGGCTGAAGTGCAGTGACGCCATCTGAGCTCACTGCAACCTTTGCCTCCCAGGTTCAAGCAATTCTCCTGCCTCAGCCTCCCAAGTAGCTGGGATTACAGGCACCCGCCACCATGCCCGGCTAATTTTTGTATTTAGTAGAGACAGGTTTCACCATGTTGGCCAGGCTGGTCTCAAACTCCTGACCTCAGGTGATCCACACACCTTGGCCTCCCAAAGTGCTGGGAACACAGGCATGTGCCACCACGCCCGGCCCCCATATTTGCTTTTAATTTCATATTTAATAAAGTATTTCCTGACCCAAGATTATGAAGATTTACTCCTATGTTTTCCTGTAAGATTTTATAATTCTAGCTTTGACATTTAGGTCTTTGATTCCTTCAAGTTAATTTTTGCATATGCTGTGAGGCAGGGGTCCAGCTTCACTCTTTTGCATATGGATATTCAGTTGTTCCAGCACAGTTTGTTGAAAAGAATATTTTTTTCCACACTTAAGTATCTTACTGCCTTTGTCAAAAATCAATTGACCATAAATGTGAAGGTTTATTTCTGAAGTCTCAATTCTACACCATTGACTTATATGTTTATCCCTGTGCTAATACCACACTATTTTGATTACTACAGCTCTGTGGTGAGTTTTTTTATATTTATTTTTTATTTTTTCAGTAGAGATGAAGTCTTGCTATGTTGCCCAGGCTAGTCTGAAACTTCTGGGCTCAAGCAATCCTCCCACCTCGGCCTCCCAAAGTGTCAGGACTACAAACGTGAGCCACTGCGCCCAGTCTTGTGGTAAATTTTGAAGTTGAGAAGGCTGAGTTCTTCAATAATTTTTTTGGCTATTCTGGGTTCTTTGTATTTCTATATGAATTTTAGGATGTGCTTGTCAATTTCTGCAAAAATGGCAGCTGAAACCTTCATAAGGGTTGCCCTTTTGTACTTTTTACATATCCTTGTTTTGCTTCATTTGGTTTCAATGACAGGATTTTGATTTATGGACACTTTGATCAAATTCACTCCGTTGAACTACAGCCGTTATGTTGTTTGTTTCTGTGATGCCAACTGATACCTTAAAGTCTATAAAGTGCCCTAAGAGCCAATGAGCCAAACCAGCCTGTCCTTCCCTTTGTCACTCCATCAGCCCACAGCCTATAGCTCCTGAAGGTGAGAGGTCTGAAGCAGTGACAAAAAAAAATCCTCTTCTTTCCCCCATTCCAAATATTTTTATAAACCAGAAACCCTATGGTTATTGTAATCAATGTTTTGAAGCCAGGCATGGATATAAATCATCCCTTCCATTAAATTGTATTTGTTTGGATGTGCTACCCATCTCTCTCTCTCTCTCTCTCCCCCTCCCCATCCTCTCTCTCTCTCTCCCCCCATCCTCTCTCTCTCTCTCTCTCACACACACACACACACACACAGAGAGAGAGACAGGCATTTCCAGTTTGTCTTGCACAGACTTTTAACTTCTAGATAAGTTCAGTCACATCAAGAAAAGTGCTTTTTCTTTCATTTGATAATAGTTTTCATGAGAGGCCTGGCAAAGCTGAATGCTCAGCTGTGGGGCTTCTTTTAAAAGAAAAAATTGGCTTCTAATAGTACATACATGATAATAAACAAAGTATATACATATATACTTTTTTATTTTTTTAGTTTGTTTGCTTTGTTGCTCAGGCTGGAGTGCAGTGGCGCATTCATAGCTCACTGACACCTCAACTCCTGGGCTCAAGCAATCCTCCTGTCTCAGCCTCCTGGGTAGCTGGGACTACGGGTGCATGCCACCATGCCTAGCCTAATTCAAAAAAATTTTTTTTGTAGAGATGATGTCTCCCCATCTTGCCCGGGCTGGTCTCAAACTCTTGGGTTGAAGGGATCCTCCTGCCTCAGCCTCCCAAAGTGCTGGAACTACAGGCATGAGCCACCACACCTGGCCAGAATAATATTATATAGGCCAAATTTGCATATTCCAATTAGCATCGCTTAACTTCTCTCCCCCCAGTAAAAACATAGTAGAGGATGCCTTAGTCTGATTAAGTTTAACTATTCACATAGACCTCAGCTGTCCCTTGGTGCGTGAATAGCGAGTATATTTGGCCAGATGTGGTGGCTCATGCCTGTAATCCCAGCATTTTGGGAGGCCAAGGCAGGATGGTTGCTTGAGCCAAGGAGTTCAAGACCAGCCTAGGCAATATAGTGAGACCATCTCTATAAAAAACAAATATAAAAAATAGCTAGTATATCCAATTACATCAGATAGAAAACCATTCTCGCCTCCGTGTTCTAAAAATGGACTAACTTTGCCTTAAATAAATTTATTTTTTCCTCTTCATGAACTTTAAGTGGAGGCTGACTCTATGAATCAGAATGCATAGCTGAAATTCAGGTTCCACCATGTAATAAATGCATTTTTGTGAGTTCATCCTTTGGGGACCAGACCTATGCTTTGCATATTCCATACATAGTAATCAGGTAAAATTAATCATACATTGCTGAGCTTACAAACTGTTATCTTTACAGGGTCCCTTGTGGTGCTGGAGAGCAGAGAACCCAGAAGTAGGAAAGTAAATGAAATACAGCAATTTACACAAATGATGTTTCATAAGCTGTCCTATGAGAAAAATGTTGGTTACTACTATGATCATGATGATTAATATTATCAGAGCAGAAACCAGGAGACCTTGATTCTACTCTCTAGCAAAGTTCTGTCTTTGTTAGTTTTCTGATGTTGGAGGTCCTTGGCCAGATGTGATGGAAGCTGGGCTTTTGTCCCATGGTACCCAATGAGCAGAGCAGGATTTCTATTTTTATTATTATTTTTTCAACTTTTATTTTACATTCCAGAGTACATGGGCAGGATGTGCAGGTTTGTTACATAGGTAAACATGTGTCATGGTGGTTTGCTGCACAGATCAACCCATCATCTAGGTATTAAGCCCAGCATCCATGAGCTATTCTTCCTGATGCTCTCTCCTCACCCTAACCCCGACAGTCCCCAGTGGGTGTTGTTCCCCGTGATGTGTCCGTGTGTTCTCATCGTTCAGCCCCCACTTACAAGTGAGAACATGCAGTGTTTGGTTTTCTGTTTCTGTGTTAGTTTGCTGATAACAGCTTCCAGCTCTATCCATGTCCCTGCAAAGGACATGATCTTGTTCCTTTCTGTGGCTGCACAGTATTCCATGGTGTATGTGGTATAGAGCAGGATTTCTAACCCACAAGAAGGGATTGAAAGAGGCTTTCTCTTTTCTGAGTTGAAGACCACAGGCCTCTCACATTGGGATTAATCTTTGGAGCTTGACTCCAAACTCTCAGACTCTCCATCTCTTCAACCTCTTTCCCCTCCTGCCCTGCCACACTCTACCCACTGCAATCAGAAAAGCTGAGCCCACACACAAAGAACCTGAGCTTTGGAAATACAGTTCATTAATGGCAGGTGTGTGGAAACCCACGAGGAGAAAGTGGAGGAGACACAGTCCTTGCTATCTTATGCAGCAAACTAGGATTTCTGATGCAAGACATGCAGTAAGGTAATGAGTGAATAGTCCTAAATAGCCTCGGTTTGGAGTCAGAGAAGAGCACTACATGCGTCTGACTGTACAAAGAGATTCCCATGCTCAGTTCCCTAGGCTGCTAGACGTCAATTGTCTCTGTGCAGCTGCTGAGAAGATGGAAGAGTAGGTGTCCTCTTTGGCCAACTGAGGCTGCCATGAGTGCACAGCCCATTGGAGTCATTAAGGCCATCTAAAACTAAGTGGCCATATAAAAGTCATCAAGGCCATATAAAACTATATTCCTTGTTCACAATCCCACCAGATACAGAAAGACGGGAAGAGGAGTCTAGTCCTTTCTACTTGTTCCCAAGTCCTCTTCCACCAAGGCAGGTTATCACGGAAATATTCCAGGATCTGGAATGAGACACTTGGATTTGAGTCCCAGTTCTTCCACTTAGAGACCATGTGACTTTGATTGACTTTGATTGGTCCTTTTGACTTTTTTTTTTTTTCTTTGAGACGGAGTCTCGCTCTGTCACCAGGCTGTGCAGTGGTGCGATCTCGGCTCATGGCAACCTCCACCTCCTGGGTTCAAGTGATTCTCCTGCCTCAGCCTCCCAAATAGCTGGGACTACAGGCGCTCGCCACGGCACCCGGCTAATTTTTGTGTTTTTTAGTAGAGACAGGGTTTCACCATCTTAGCTAGTCTCAGACTCCTGACCTCATAATCCACCCACCTCAGCCTCCCAAAGTGCTAGGATTATAGGCGTGAGCCACTGTGCCCGGCCTCTTTTGACTTTTCTAAGTCTTGGTCTCTCCAAGTGTAAAATGGGGGTCCCCTGAACTACCAACTTCACAAGGTCTTGCTGAGAATCAAATGAGATAATGGATGGAAAGCCCCTTTGAACCAAAATGTACCATGTATGTGGTGATTTTTCTACATTCCTCACTAGTTTGAGCTAATAAGCACATAACTGTGGCCACCAGAAAAAAAAAAAAAGTCACTGCAAGTAGCAGTTTTCTCTCCTGGTGAGGACAGTTCAGTAAAGGCAACATCTCACTGTAAGGTACAGGTAAAGCTGAACTCTAGATCTAAATATGAGCATATCTGTGGCCAACAACACCCTTTTACAGAAAGAACAAGGCCAACATTTTATTCTCCCTATTGCAAGGCTGTTGACTGTCCCAGACACCGAAGGGGAGACTGTGACATGGTGGCCATGAGCATTCATCTCACAGATCTCCAACTACAAGGAGAACAACTGACCAAGGACTCTGGCTGCCTTTGAAATATATTATCATGTTTGAGCCCAGGTAAACCTTCCCAAAGCCACTTCCAGCCACTGACTAAGCGCAGCAGGGCTACTAAGGTGAGCCCTCCAATGTCTAATTGTAGCTCTAGGACTCCGCAACAGTTTTGCCAAATTTTTCTTAGACTGCGTAGCAGTCTAGAAGGCTTCTACCTATCTTTTCTTTCCACAGTCCTTCACTCAGTACAGACATTCTTCATGCAAAGAAAGAGGCCTGTTCATAGTGCACACAGGGGGCCAACTTCATACGAATCACGTGGTGTGAATGGTATGGACTGAGGCCCCTCAACAACCACATGTTCTGTAGCTCTGTTTCTATTGCGAAAGAAGGGATCGCTCAAGAAAAGGCAATAGGGAGAATATAAGGAGGAAAAGCCTTTTTTATTTTTAAGGAATAACTATTTTTGAAAAATAGAGCTTGACAGAAACATTAGTTGAGGAGTAATCCAAAGACTGCATTGACTGTCATGGGAAGCAGGGAGGCCCCTGGTCCTGAAAGTGCTGAGTCAGAGGATTGAGGCTATTTTGCAGGGATTTCATCACATGATATGCAGGGGATGCTGAACTTGATAAATCTGTAAGGTCTGTGAATCTAGAAGTCATTCAATTAAATACAAACATGGGTCTGGATAATTCCAGTACCTTAGAGTTGAAATGATCCTGAGTTCCTGCCTCTAAATGACAAATGTATTTATATGAAAGTGACCAGTGGACATCAACTCTTACTTGCTCCTGTTCTAGACCTTGACAGAAACTCCAGGTGGCCAGCTAGACCCCAGTGCCACCCTTCCCAGGACATTAGCACCCTCGGTGGGTGTGGGATCCGACACTAGCCTCCTTGATAAGAAGCACTGCGCACTGGGCTGCCTCCAGAGCCCTTGACTGCTCACGCCCATGAGTACCACCTGTGCTTGAGGACAAGGCTGTCACTTGCTAGCAATCAGCAGAGGGTTGTCACAAAGCCAGGAGCAGGAATACACCAGGGCAGTATGGCGATCCCAGGTACACACAACCACAAAAGGCTGGTATCCCATCTCCACTGGGAACAGAGAAGATTCACTAGGTTCCTGGGGCTGTGCTTCAGGGGAAATGGTAGGTAAGGAGGAGATCCCTGCTCACAGTGAAAACTTGTGTCCATAGGAGAAGAGTAAACTTTGTCCTGGGTGGCTTGTTCTTGGCCACCTGCCATTCTAGGAAGATTCATCCACACTCCTCCAATTTCCTACCACTCTGCTCTCGGCCTGCTGTGGGTCAGCTCCAGCCTCCATCACTCCATGACTTTGTTCTCATCAAGATCACCAGTGACCTTCAGATTGCCAGAGTCCAAAGCCCACTTTTCCAGGCCTCATCATACTTGCCCTCCTGGCAGCATCCAGCAGTGTTGGCCACTCCCATCTGCCTCCTTACTGGTTTTCTCTCAAGCTTTCTTTTGTTTTTAATCCCTGCACATCACTCCTTCAACAAATATTTATTGAGCATTTACCATGGGCTAGCCACTGGCCTAGGCGCTGGGAACACGGCGGTAAGAAAAAGCAGACATGATTCCAATCCTTACGGAATCTACGCTCTAGCAGAAAAGTCATATGTTCTTCAAATGACACACACACAAATGCCGAATGGCAATCACACTCTGTGAAACAGGTAAAACACTAAAAATTCCACAGAGAATTGAGCAGGTACAAGAAGAGGAAAAAAAGAGTTAGGATTTTTAGCTTTTAAAAAAATCACTACATATACATATAGAAGGTACAATAAATTTTATGCCTGTTCATGGTAATCTATGTACTGAGATACATAGCTTTAACAACTCAAGCTCACTCACAATTCAGTCTGACTTTCACAAACTAATTTCATATTACTTTATATATAGAACAAGACAAATATACCAATTCTTTATTGAACAACTGTGCTAAGCTTTGCGTATGTTATTTAAGTAGTGCTAGGTTTTATATAAATCGCCTTTTCTAATCCTTTCAATAACCCATAAGGAAGTATAATTATCTCCATTTTACAGATGAGAAAACTGAAATTCAGAGACTTTACCAAGCTGGCACATGGCAGGCTCTGAATATAGACCCAGAACTTCCTTTTGACCAAAAAAAAAAAAAAAAATTTACAACGGAAATATCCAATCTTGCATATGCAAATGAAGCTTGTTCCATTCAAATATGTGCTCTAGAGACCACAAAATAGTCTTCCCTAGAAACAGCTTTGTGAACCTGAAGCACAATCTTCTGAATGTTCTCATTGCAGTCAAGGCTTTGTCCTCGAAGAATGGAGTTGATTTTCAACAGTCATTTGGCGCATAGGCTGGTTGCATTGGGAGGGGGAGGTCAGAGTGGGTCATAGAGCACACCTGTCCTCTCATCTGGCCAGCTACTCTCTGTCTGTGATGGAATGGGCTCTCCCCAACCCAAATACAAGTACTTCTTCTGACTCCTGAGTTCAAGGTGGCCACTCATGCTACCTCATGCTTCTGTCCAGTGTGTCTGGCTCCAAAAGTGGGTATATGATCCAAGTAAGGCAAATCAGAAAACCTCTGTTAGATTTAGCATATCAATGTTGGAAAAAAGGTCTCTCTTCTTTTCAGGTTGTATCTCAATTTCCCATTGCTGCTATGACAAATTCCAACAAACTTCATGGCTTGAAACAACTTGAATTTATTCTCTTATAGTTCCGAAGGCCAGAAATCTGAAATCAGTTTCAGCGAGCTAAATTCAAGGTGTCAGCAGGGCTGGTTCCTTCTAAAGGCTCTGGAGGAGGATCTTTTTCCTCACTTTTCTTAGCTTCTAGAGACTTCCCAAATTCTTTGGCTTGTGGCCCCTTACTCCATCTTCAAAGGGCATTACTCCAAGTTCTGCTTCATTGTTCCCTCTCCTTCTTCCACCTTCAACTTTCTTTTTTCTTTTTTTTAATTGAGACAGAGTCTTGCTCTGTCACCCAGGCTGGAGTGCAATGGCATGATCTCAGCTCACTGCAACCTCTGCCTCCCGGGTTTAAGCAATTCTTCTGTCTCTGCCTCCCAAGTAGCTGGGACTACAGGTGCACACCACCACGCCCAGATATTTTCTTTTGTATTTTAGTAGAGACAGGGTTTCATTGTGTTGCCCAGGCTGGTCTTGAACTCCTGAGCTCAGGCAATCCACCCACCTCAGCCTCCCAAAGTGCTAGGATTTCAGTTGTGAGCCATCACACACAGCCAACTTTCTTACCCACCTCTTATAAGGACCACATTGGACCCACCCAGCTGATAATCCAGGATAATATTTCCATCTCAAGATTCTTAATCACATCTGCAAAGTTTCTTTTGCCAGGTAATGGAACATAGTCACAGGTTCCAGAGATTATACATGGACATCTTTTGGAGGCCATTATTCTGGCTAACATAGACTGCAGGTTTTGGGGCTGCCAGTGACTATGACAGCCATGTTAAGAAGGCTTGTCTGTAGGGTATGGGGTGACTAGAAAGAAAAAAAAATAAGACAGAGGGAGAGAGCAAGAGAGAGAGAGATGACAGTACCTTTGAACTTCTAGATTCCAGTTGTCCCCGAGAGAACGACAGAGCGGGAATTCTGGGCTGCAACATGGAGAAACCCTGGCTAAGAGATGGAGAGAGATGTGTTTACGGCCTTTAACCCAGTTTTGCCCACAGCCAACTGCACTCTCAGATATCCAGTTGGGTTTTGTCACGAGGAATTAAAAGTGAAAAAGTACCACGCTTTAGTAAAGAGGGAAGTGTGACTACTAAGAATAGATACTGATTTTCTTTTAGTGAAAAGTAACTGACCCTAAAGCTGCTCCCCAAAGACAAGTCCTAGGGTGAGGAATAAAATAAGTACATAGGTTTGGGGAAAGGCATCTGGCATCTCCGGGTAACTGTAAGAAAACAGTACTCATTTGGAAAGCTATATATACTTGTAATGTTTCAAATAATTTAATATTTTATAGAACAGATACTCATTGTTTCTTCTCCTACCCTTTAATTCATCCTTAGAAAATGCATCCATGATTTATTCTCAAAGAACCACACAATAAGATCACTGTTGATTGGGTCAGGGGCTGATACCCAACCTAACCTGAACCGGTTAAATTCTCTCCAGCCATTTGAAATTGGAACTCAGAGCTACTAGTTATAATTAAACGGTGCTTAACCAGAGAGTCAGAGAAACTGGCCTATACAGAAAGGAACCATGTGAAAACACAGAGAAACAAAGATGGGAGGCCAGGGAGAAAGAGAAAGCAAGCAAATATTAAAAAATAATAATAATAACATTTGGGAAATCTGGGCAAAGTGTATCTTGGAATTCTTGGTATTATTCATGCAACTTTTCTCTAAGTCTGAAATTACATTTAATTTTTTTTTTTTTTTTTTTGAGACAGAGTCTCACTCTGTCGCCCAGGCTGGAATGCAGTGGTACAATCTCAGCTCACTGCAACCTCCACCTTTCGGTTTCAAGTGATTCTCCTGCCTCAGCCTCCTGAGTAGCTGGGATTACAGGAGCATGCCACCACGCCTGGCTAATTTTTGTATTTTTAGTATAGACGGGGTTTCACCATGTTGGCCAGGCTAGTTTTGAACTCCTGACCTCAAGTGATCTGCCTGCCTCTTGGCCTCCCAAAGTGCTGGAATTATAGGTGTGAGCCACCACACCCAGCCTAAAATTTTTAAAGTTTCAATAAATAATGTAAACAATATAAACACTCCAAGTAAAAGACATTGTTAAGAAAATTAAGAGATGAGTGCAGACTAGAAAATATTTTCAAATTCATGTATCTGATAAAGAACTTACATCCAAAATATGTAAAGAATTCATCTAATATATAAAGAACTCAACTTTAAAAGTGGACAATTTGAATAGTTGCTTCACCAAAGAAGATAAACAAAAAAAGATGCTCAATATCTTTATTCATTAGAAACATGTAAATTAAAACCACCTTGAGATACACTTACATGCTCACTAGAATGGCTAAAATTAAAGACTGATTAATACCAAGAGTTGTCAAGGATGTGGGACAACTGAAACTGTCATACATGATGGCAGCAATGCAAAATGGTACAGCCACTTTGTAAAAGTTTTATAGTTTCTTATAAAATGGGACATGCACTTACTCTACAGCCCAGAAATTCTACTTTGAGGTATTTACCCATGAGATAAGGAAACCTAAGTTCACACAAAGGCACGTACTTTATTCAGAAATGAAACTCAAATATGTATCAATTGCTGAACAGATAAATTGTGGTGTACTTATACAACAGAATACTACTCAGCAATAAAAAGGAAGAACTACTGATACATGTGAGAGCATGAACAGCTCTCAAAAGTATTATGCAAAGTGAAAGAAGTCAGACACCAACAGACACTGTAGAGTCCATTTCTATGAAATCTTCACAAAGCAAAACAGTGACAGAAAGCAGATCAGTGATACCAGCGGCCCAGGTGTTGGGAGGGGACTGGCTCAAAGGGGCTCATGGGGGTGATGAAATGTTCTCTTTCAGGATCGTGGTGGTGGTTACATCTTTGTCAAAGCACATCAAATTACAGTTTTTGAACTGATACATTTTAGAGTATGAAACTGATATTTAAAGTTGACTTTTAAAAATTCTCTTCTCCCTCAAAGCAAAGACTACATCAGTCCTCCAAAATAAGGAGCTAGTCTTTTGCCAGCCTTTTGAGAGAAGGAAGGAAAAAACACCTAATTTCTCTACCAGGTTATCCTGCCTCACTCATAAAGCATCTCCCTTTACTTTAATAAGCACATGGATTTCTCTTACTTGCAACCAAAAGATCCCTAAGATATTTGTGATGGAAAGAAAATTAAGTTTCTTAACTAACTCAGGGAGTCCAAACTACCTAGAAACATAATGTCATAAAATCTTCTAATATTGTATGCAGATGGCTTTATCCCTTCTGGAATGCTAATTTTCAGCTTGCTGTCTTCCTAACATCACTCCAGGCATGTTCAGTGCAGTTCACCACCCGACTTGTACGACATCTATTCCAGGACTAAACTCATCATCCTGGTGGAATGGTCTCAATGTTCATTATTCTTTGGGATAGAACAATTTATAAAGTTCAATTATCTGCAATTGCTCTGTTGAAGGAATAATCTCCATATAGATGAAGGCAGCCCAGTGCCACTCTTGCTTGGACTGTAGCATTCTCAAAGCTCTGTGTTTCCAGCAAAGGGGGAAATGACAGAGTCCCAGGTCCCATCTAACTCCCAAGGATTCCTGAGCCAGTAGCTCCTGCCTCCTAGTCCTTGGGCCCCTGTGACAGCTCCATGGAAAATATAACCTCCTTCTGATATGAGCCCTTGTTGTACATGCTGAGAACAACAGCACTGCCAGGCAGCAAGTGTCGCAGAGGGACTACCCTTGGCCACAGCATAATGGCTCATCATGGCGTTACAATTCCATCTGAGGCTGGGAGTTTCATCCAAGACCAGCAGCCAAACGTTTAAGGGTTTGTATCAAGACAAACATAATTATGAGACAGAAAGGGCCTATTAGTTCTACTATGTAATTTTAAATCTCAAACTATCAAAACACACACACACACACACACACACACACACACACTAAAAAACCCCTCTTCATCTTCTCATTTGAGAAGGCTGTAATTATTCCAGGGTCCCTAACAGCTCACTCAATGGCTGGTTAAGCACTGCTTCTTAGCTGACAAGACCCCATTCCATGTTGGTTCAGGTCAGATGCAGGTGGCTGGGCCAGATGACCGGAGGAAGCCCTTGGATTCCATAAGCTCGAGTGTGGGACGCTGGATAGAACATGACTACCTTGTTTGTTTTTAATTAGGAAATTGAAATTGCCACTAACAGGTTTCTGCACATGTGGGTCCAAGTGTGCACACACTGGCATTTGTGTGAAGGCATGAGTCTCCAGGGACATGTGTGTGGCCGTCCATGACCGATCATCCGAATGCTCTTCTCTAAGTGTAGATTATCTCAGGGCATGAGGACACCCTTCACAGCCTGGGCCTCCCTGCCAGCTCTGTCTCCACACTCTTATCCACTTGGTGCCACATATGCACAGCCTTATGGGTCCTGGTGTTGGAAAGGAAAGTGCCCTGGGCAGCAGGCCAGGCCGCCAGCTGATTCACCGGTCAGCACTAGGCAAATTGATTTACCTCTCTGATGTATCCCTATTTCCCTCTCTGCAAAACAAAGACAAGAATATTTAATCCATAGGGTTCATGGGAGGATTTGATGAGCAAATATGTGCAGAAGCATGTTGCCAGTGTGTTTATTGTGTAGTCATAATAATGGAACAGTAGAGTATGATGCAGTAACAGTGCTTGTCTTAGTTTGCATTCTTCCACAAGTAGACTCCGTGATAAGGATTCAAGGCCAAGTAGTTTGTTTGGGGTGGGGAGTCGGAAGAAGACAAAGAAGAGAAGTCAGCCAGTAAAGAGTGCCGTGTCAAACCAGCCACCGTTATGGGTGACAGGAGCATACCCCAGAAGAACACTGTGGACAGTGGTGTGGAATACACTCCTCAATGTTACCCCTGCCTGAGGGAAATGATGGAGTTACCGTCATCTGCCCTGGCCAGGATCTGGTGGGTGGTTAGTTTCTCAGCACTTGCAATATGCTGTACACAAGCGCCCAGAGCTGCAGACGCCAGTATTTGGAATGTGGCCAGTTCCTGCTGAATCCAAGACCTGAGGGCCAGGAGCACGGGCTTGGCAGCAGCTGCTTCAAGTTGGATCATTGACACTGCAGAGCCACGTTTCACAACCAAGGAACTAAACTCAGGGCAGACTTGGATTCCAAAACAAGACGTGCAAAAAGGGCAATTTCAGGAGGAAGATGAGCCCAAAAGGGAGATCTTTCAGGCCTCATGGCATTTGTGCCTCTCTTCACAAAAATAATTTTTTTCCTGCTCTATGTAAACCTTGTACTAAGTGCTGCAGATACAGTGCTGACCAAGACAGAATCTGCCCTGCCCTCCTGGAGTTCCAGTGGGGATGCCTGCCTTAAACCATCACGAAAGCAAATAAGCAATTCCAAATAATAATGAATGATAAGTACATGTGAGTGTAAGTTGAACTGTGGACGAAGGTGAAGGGATGTCAGGGAAGACATCTCTCAGTGACATTTGAGCTCAGACCTGAAGGATGAGTAGGGGTGGTGAGGTGAAGGGGAAGGAAACTCCGAGCAGATGACTTAGCATGTGCAAGGGCCTGGAGGCAAGAATGAGCTTGGCACTCTCCCTGCACTGGTGAAGGGAGCTGGAGCCTGGTGAGAGGGAGGGAGGGGAAATGAGGCTGGAGAAGTAGGGAGGCACCAAACCAGACAGTCTAGAGGCATGAGAAAGAGTGGACTTTATCCTAAGTGCTGAGGGGGCCAATGAAGCATTTAAAGCAAGGGAGTGACCTGATCAAACTCAAATTCAGGACAGTGCCTTTGTGGAAACAGGATCCCTGGAGCAGCTCTGATCATCAAATGCTCTCTGAGCCCAGCTTCATGTGGAGTGTTGGGGGTGACCACACTCTGGGAGATCTGATGGGCATAGTACATGGTAGACATGCTGAATTCTGTAAGAGAGGTCCAAAGAAAAAGGCTCAGAGGAGGTGAGGAGGGGGATCCAAAGAGCCCTGCGGGGGGAAATGGCATCTGAGCCAGGCCAAGAGAGTGGGTGATGCTGGACCTGAGTGTTGGTGTGGAGAGGGTATTCCAGGCAGAGGTGCCAGAGTGAGTAAAGGTGAAGCTGACCAGGCAGTTGTCCTCTCTGCTCCCCTAGGCGGTGGGGCCCGGGCAGGAGGTAGCCTGAAGGGGCACAGCTCCTCTACTCACTTGGCCACCATGTTCAGCTTCTTGGCTGCCAGCGCAGGTCCCAGTGATGGCTTAAGCACCTGGACTGGCTGCTCTGATCCCTGTGGGGGTAATATGGTCACTCAGGCTTGGAGATCCAAGATACCTGAGAGTCAGCAGGAAGCCACCAAGGGCATAGCTGGGCATTGGTTGGGGAGGCTGAGTGGTGGGGTCATTTACCTTCTAAGTCAAACTCACCCTGGCCCCAGTCAAACCCAATCCAACAAGCAAAAAAACAACAACAATTACTTTTCTGTTGGAGAATTTCAGCAAACCTCTGAGTGTGTGTGTGTGTGTGTGTGTGTGTGCACGCGCGCATGTATGCACATGTGTTTCATTGTGACTATGCATCTGGAGGGGTTTGTGAATGTGCTCCCATGTCAACGTGCATGTAAATGACAACAGCTCACGTTCACTGAGCTTGCCACATGCTCTATGTTCTCACCTGAATCCTTCTATTTAATCTCCACCTTATTAAAAGAGAATATTGTCGTCCCCACTTACAGATGAGGAAACTGCATGTTAGATTAGTTTCCACAGTGGGATGTGAGCTAGACTCCTATGGGCAGAATGACTTTTTGCTCCTAGAATTCTAAATCATGCATCAACTCTTAGCAGGAAAGAGATTTTCACCTTTCCTCAAGGTCATGTGGCAGAGATAAGAACCCACTTCTTTCCTGTAAAGCCCTTCAAAACATTGGCTCTGAAATAAAAGTGTAACATTTTCTAATGCAGTCTATTATCAGACGACTGCCACAAACATTAGGAAGATGCACGCAGTCCACTCCAGAGAAAGAAAAGTACTCTGGTGCTGCACAGCATTAAATGGCATGTCTCCTGACTCCTCTGCTTTCTAATAAAGGAAGCGATGACTCTGATCTCTGAAGACACCTGTTCTAAACCCACCATGTGACTTACCTCTTTAAAAAACAAACAAATAACATTTAATTTGCTCGTAAAGAATATCGTTTTTAGGTTTCCAATGTATTTAAAAATTGTAGGTAAAAGGCATTCAAATCATCTTGGCTTTCCAATCTCTTAAATCATATCTGCTTTATGTCGGGCATTTGACAACCCAAACTGACTTATAAAGTGCTCATGTTAATTAGCATGGAGAAATTGTGTATCCGTGTGTGTGTGTGTGTGTGTGTGTGTGTGTGTGTGTCTGAGTGTTTGTATGTGTGTCTGTGTGTGTGTGTATGTGAAGTTGCTAGTATTCCCTTTTGCTGACTCCAAATAAAGCCCGGAAAGGCTTTGGAAGTCTTCCCTGCCCCTTACCCTTTTCCCTTCTTTCTGAGAATTCTTGAAGCCTTCAGAGCAGGGCCCGGCACACAGCAGGCACCAGGAAGTGTCAGCTAATGGTCTAATGACGGTGACGGTTGGCACCATCACCACCATGTCCTTTCCTCCTGTTCCTACTGGGAAACCTGCATCCCCTCAGCCCACAATAGGAAAGAGCCTCCCATGGCCCTGCACACCCTGTATTTTATCCTAGAAGCCAGCAGAGTCCCTTCTCACCATGGCCCCCTGGATCTCTCCGCTTTCACCACCTTGGCCTTCCCTGACTCCCTCAACTTTGCTTCTCCCTCAAACGATAGACCCTGCACCCTCTGTTCCCAGCCTGCACACCCTTCCTCCTCTCTTCTCCCAGTTAACTCCCGCTCGTCCTTCAGATGGCTGCATCGGCATCATCTCCCCAGGAAGCCTGCTTCCATCTCCCCGACTTAGTCCACTCCCCCTATAATGGACCTTCACCACACCATGTCCTGCTCCTTCAGAGTGTGTGTCACAGGGAAAGTTCACACTTGTCTGGTGATGACCTGCCCCTCTCTAGAGCATCACTCCTGTTAGACTGAAATTCCAACAAGGCAGAGCCATGGAGCCCCAGAACCAAGCACAGCTGATCTGGAACATAATCGGCACTCAGTAACATTGGTTGCATGATTTTACAGAAAGGGGTTTGAAGTAACAGTGCGAGAAGGAAGGGACTAAAAGAAGAGTAACAGTGATGGGAGAGAGAACAAGGCCAGATGCTCACACTGGCTCTCCTTCATCCACCCTCTAGGCCTCTCCACCCCTCAGCCTGCCTCCTTCCCCAGCCAGGAGACGCAAATCTGTGCTGGGAGCTTCAGAGGCCATCTGGCTGCAGCACGGTCACTGCTTTGAGCTCTAAGGATGCACCTGGTACATCTCCAGTGACAAAGTGATTCCAAATAATACCCAGGTCCTGTGTCCAACCCTCCTCTCTCCACTCCCTGCCCTGAAAGGGAGTCTCATCACATTCCAGCACCATCTGCTTGGGCACAGCGTGCCAGGCCCTGGCTGAGGGCCCCTGCTGGCAGCAACGGTTCCTGGGCCACCATGGAACCAGCACCCACAAGAGGCAGGCAGTGTCCAGACACATGATCTGGGTCAGGGACACAGTGCCAGCTGCTGAGTCTCATGGAGGACAAGGGGGGCGAGATGGAAGTGTCTGTGGGTGGCACAATGGTGGAATAGCCAGCTCTAGGTGAATCTGCCCTAAATTCAAAACTGTCACACAGCAACGAAGGATGGTATCCTGCTGGCAAAGGTGTGCCCTGATTCCAAAGGGTCAAATTAAGGAAGGAATCCAGGCATGGCAAGGTGGGGACTCTGGCTGAGCATCCTAAGGCCCAGCCTGGCTGGAGAAAAGTGGCCTTGTAGTGCGTCCTCATGTACCCACTGGGGACAGGCTCGCAGGTTCCACTAGCACAAGGGGACACAGGGGACATCATTCAGACAACGAGAGTGGCCACGAACGAATCCAGGGTGTGCGAGTCCACAGCACTGCCCAATGCAGCAAGATCCTTGGTGTTAGGACGAGGCTGCTGCCATCTGCTCTGCTCCAGGCTCACTAGTGCCCACTCCCTGGGTGCAGGAGTTGAGCTGGAATTTGCACCTCCCAGATGTGGGTGTGAATTCCAGCTCAACCCTCACCAGTAACCTTTACTGTGTGACCTCAGGTCAGTCAATGAACTCCTCTGAGCCTCCACATTCATAAAATGGGAACTGTAAATCAGCCTCAGGGGGTGGAGAGGAAGAGTTGTTTAGTCAAAGCCTACTATGTGCCCAGTGGTGAGGAAGGCTCTGGAGATATCACTGTAAGCAACACCAGGCACGGCGCCTGCACTGGTGGGGCATACAGCCTAATGACAAAGATGGATGTTAAGCAACTCATCCTGTAAGTAAACGTTTCATTACAAACCGCAATAAACTGTAAGAATAAAAAGCACCAGACATTGGAAAGTGTTTAACAGGAGGCCTTGACCTAGTATAGGAAAAAGAGGTGCCAGCAGTCTTCCTGGAGGAAGTGACAAGTGAGCAGAATTCTGATAAAGGGAGGGGGGCACCCACTGTGTCTGAGGGCGAAGGGGCCAGGGAGCATTCTGGGAGAGCAAGGGACACATGCAGCGGCTTCTGGATGGACTGAGATAAGGCCACAGAATGCGGCCAGCAAGGCAGAAAGCAGCAGGCGGGGGTGGGGTCCCAGAGGGCACTGCCAACCTCACAGGAGGTGGTGATGAGCTTCCCAGGGCTGGCTTAGCAGCCACCAGAATGACAGCACCCAGCATTACCCACAAAAGAGCATCCTAGCTAGAAGCCAGGCCCAGCAACTGACCCTTCCCGGGATGCTTTCTAGGTTATTTAGATGTTCCTTTGCGAGCACAGAGCAGCCTTAGTTCCAAAATCTTGATCCCTTTGCCCCAAAATCAGGCCTTCGTCCCAGGAGGCCTCTCTACTATTTCTCCCAGGAAGCCCAGCACATGATTCTCAGGAAAATGGGCTTCTGGGGAGCCTGTGTTAAGATGCCGGGATTCTCAGAGTAGGTGTGCAGTGAAGGAAGGCTCCTGGTCCACCTGCACACTCGAAGGGATAAGCACAGTATTCATATGTAGAAATCTCTTTGTCAAAAGACCAAAAAAGGGATCTCTCTTTTTTTTTTTCATGGAATGCTTCACAGATTTGCACGTCATCTAGCAAAGGGGCCATGCTCATCTCTGTATCGGTCCAATTTTGGTATCTCTACTGCTGAGCAAGCATGGGACTCTTATTATTCAATCCTTAAGTTCCTCCTCCAAGACCCCTTTTTTTGAGCCACTGCCCATGAACTCCACAGCTACAGCTTCATAACAAGGTAAATGCAACACAGCAGTTTCCCACCTCTTACCCACTCTAAACCTCTGCATCTTCAGTCTCTCCCTCTGTCTGTGTTGCCTCTTTTAGAGTGTATAATCAAGCCAAAAGAGCCTGGAAAAACCCCTTCTAATCAATAATTCAACATGCTGGTCTCCTGTGACTTTTTTTCATTACAATTCTCCAGGTCAGGCATTCATGAATTCTACAGGATGGAGTTCCCTGCTGGGACACCAAAGTAGAATTAATGTAGTTTGGGGGTAATTATGTGTTTTTTAATTATCCATCTTTTTCTTTTCCTAAACAGCCAGAAAGAATTATTTATAAATAAAGAAAAGTTATGGTCTCATGAGTTGGGCATTTGTAAAGAAGCAGATTCAAATGAGGGTACAAATTAGAGTAACAGGAAACATTTTGGGTATTTGCTGAGTCAAGAAAGACCGATTTAGAAAGAGGTGAAAATAGTTCAAGTACTGTTTAAAAACTGCTGACATGACATTTCAGCTTTATAATGAGCACCACTGAGGCATCAGTGGCCTTGCTCTCTTTTTTTTTTTTTTTGAGACAGAGTTTCCCCCTGTCCCCCAGGCTGGAGTGCAGTGGCACAATCTCGGCTCACTGCAAGCTCCACCTCCCGGGTTCACGCCATTCTTCTGCTTCAGCCTCCCGAGTAGCAGGAACCACAGGCCCCCGCCACCACACCCGGCTAATTTTTTTTTTGTATTTTTAGTAGAGACAGGGTTTCACCCTGTTAGCCAGGATGTTCTCAATCTCCTGACCTCGTGATCCGCCCGCCTCGGCCTCCCAAAGTGCTGGGATTACAGGCGTGAGCCACCGCGCTGGGCCTTCTTTTTTTTTTTTTTTTTTAAGTTGGAATCTCATTCTGTCGCCCAGGCTGGAGTGCAGTGGTGCGATCTCCGCCTCCCAGGTTCAAGCAATTCTCCTGCCTCAGCCTTGCAAGTAGCTGGGACTACAGGTGTGTGTCACCACGCCCAGCTAATTTTTTTATTTTTAGTAGAGATGGGTTTTCACAATGTTGGCCAGGCTGGTCTCAAACTCCTGACCTCAGGTGATCCACCCGCCTCAGCCTCCCAAAGTGCTGGGATTACAGGCATGAGCCACCGCGATTCTCATGCTCTGCCTCCTCCTCTCCTGAACCCCCAACCCATCACTCTTTCTTCCTAGCTGCAGTAGACACTGCTGCTAATGGCTTAGCTAATACCCATTCTCTCCTTCTCTCCATATTCTGTTCCAACAATAGGACTCTGATTTTGTTCAGCATGGCAATATGTCCAATTAAAAATACCTCTCCAGTTCCACTACAGCTAGACTAGGTGAACCCATCCAGCCAATGAGATGCAAACAGAAGTCTACTGTGTGAGAACTTAGGAAAACAAAACTGATTCAGCTGGCATGGTCTGTGCCTTTGCCTTTCTATCTTCTTCCTGCCTGGAATGTGAAAGTGAGGGCTGGAAGAAGAGCAGCCATTTTGCAACCATGCATATAAAAATCACACATTAACAATGGCAAAGCAGAAAGCCAAAAGAAACCTGGACAATTGGACTTTTGGTTTATCCTTCAAGGAACTGAACCAGTCCCGGACAGGCTTCTTTAGGATTCTTGTTACATGTGAAAAACCAATTCTTGTGTGATTACACCACAGTTAGATGAGTTTTCTGTCACATGGAACCAATGCAAGCCCTAAATGACATACATTTCTATATATCAGGACACTCACAGAGCCAACTATACCATCCCAATTTGCATAAGCACCCCTCTTTTGGACCCAACAATTTTGCTGACTCTCCATTCCAGAAAGAGGCTTTAGCAAGGCCTAATATGGAACCTCATGGAAAAGCTGTCCTCTACCCACTTAAAACAGGAAAGGACAATGGGCACTTCTGCAGGTTCCACCAACCTGCAGACAGGGAATGCAGAATTGAATGATACAGTTTCTGAAAGCAGTAACCTCAGTGGCTACAGTGAAAACTGTCCATGATAGTTCGAACTCACCTCACACTTGCTGGAGCCCCAGCTCCTCAAATCCCTTCTGCACCAGCACGGCATCTAGATGACCCAAGCTACCTGAATTCACTTGGCCTCGTAGCTCCCCTGACACAGGTGGCCACTCCATCCTACTCAAAGCAGCTTCCTCTCTGGGCTTCTACAGGACCACTCTCGCGCTTCCCATACTGCACTGGCTTTTCCACTCTGGGCAGTTACCACTTCTCCCTCTCCTCCCCAACCTCTAATTGGTTGATTTCCACAGGACCCAGTCTGGGTGCTCTCCTTTAACTCTCTCAGTGGCCTCCTCCAGGCCCTGCACAATCACTTATGTGCTGGTGACACAAACATTAACCTCTAACCCTACCTTTCTTTAGAACTCCAGCCTCTGACATCCAACTGTCTGCCTGACACCTCCACTGGGATGTCTCACAAGAATCTCAAGCCCAGCATGTCAAAACTTAAATTTGTATTTCATGCAAATCAAAACCTCAATGAGATACCATTTCACACCCATTAAAATGGCTATTACTAAAAAATAAAAAATAAATGTTGTCAAGGGTATAAAAAATTGCAACACTTGTGCACTGTTGCTGGGAATGTAAATAGTGTAGTTGCTATGGAAACAATATGGTTTCTCAAAAAATTAAACACAGAATTCTCCTATAGTCCAGCAATTCCACTTCTGAAAAATGAAAGCAGAGACTTGAGCCCTTATTTGTACATCAATGTTTATATCAGCACTATTCACAATAGTCAATAAGTGGAAGCAACCCAAGTGTTCATTGAGAGATGAGTGGATAAACAAAATGTGGTATATCCACATAATGGAATATTACTCAGCCTTGAAAAGGAAGGAAATTCTGACACATGCTATAACATGGAAGAACCCTGAAGATATAATGCTAAGTGAAATAAGTCAATCACAAAAAGATAAATAGTGTATGATTCCACTTATACAAGGTCCTGAGTAGTCAAATTCATAGAAACAGAAAATGGCATAGTGGTTGCCAAGGGCAGGAGGGGGGTCAGAGAATGAAGAGTTACTGATTAATGGTCACATAGTTTCAGAGGGAAAAGATGGAAAAATTCTGGAGATGGGTGATGGTGATGACTGTACAATAATGTGAATGTACTGAATGTCACTGAACTGTACACTTTAAAATGGTTAGGATGATAAATTTTATGTTGTATATATTTTACTACAATAAAAAATTCATTTTACCCTCTTTTTCTGCCAATCTTCTCTAGTACATACATAGCAGAAGCACCCACCTGCCCAAAATCTGAGTCATCCTTGATTCCTCCTTTTTCATTTTCCTCTACAATCAAACCATCAGCAAGCACTAGCAATACTACCTTCAAAATATATCTTCAGTATCCACCCACTTATTTTCACAACCACCACTTGACCCAAGGTGCCCTCATGTCTTACTGGCATGACTGGAAGGGCCTCTTGCCTTATCTCCTCACATCCTCTCCTGCCCTCCTACCAATCACTCTCCACCAGCAACCAAAGCAGCCACTTCCCTGCTTAACACCTTTCCATGGCTGCCCAATGTACCCAATGCATAAAATCCTAACCGTTTGGCCCTGCAGCCTTGCATAATCCATCCTGTGACTCTCTCTCCAAGTTTATGCGACATTTTCCATGGCTCACTCTTCTCCATCAAACTGGATTAGAAAAAACCAGGGCCTTTATCAAGCTGTTCCATGCCTGGGATGCTCTTCCCACTGGTCCTAGCATAAATCTACTTTTCTTATTTTTCAGGTCTCATCTTGAAAGTCATTTCCTAGAGAGGCTTTCTATGGCCCCCTAACTAAAGTAGGTCCCCTCTGTTATTTTCGATCACAGCATCCATTTGTAACTCTGTGTCTGCTATCTCCCCTGCTAGACTGGGAACTCCAGAAAAAGAGCAACAATCTTTGTCTTGGTGACCATTGCATTCCAGCCAGTGCCAGGCATCACAGTAGGTACTTAATAAGTGTTTGCTAACTGAATAAAAATATGGAGACTGCTAAATTCTACTATTTCCATCAGGGGCCAGCAGCTTCTAACCAGGGACAAAGTGGCTCCTGTCCCTATTATTCTTAGATATCTACTAACAAAAGTTACGCGTTTCATCCCAACGACGTTAGGCTCTGTGTCTAGAGGTCTCACAACTACAGAGAAGAATGCTTCCACCAGAGGACACACCAGTGGTTCCACTGACCTGGATGCTGAGTCTGCCACCCAGCCACTCTGAGGCCCTCTTGTCATTGAGTCATCAGGCAACAGGGGTCACTGCACTGGCAGGAATGATTGATCCTGACTCTCACGGGTAAAATGGGTTGGTCCTACATAATAGGGTAAGAAGGAGCATGTCTGGGATTCAGGAAATACTCTGGGGTGCCTTTTAATACTCCCTTGTTCTATGATTAAAGTCAATGTAAAACTACAATACAACCCAATTCAGGCAGGACTGCTCATGGCTGTGGCCAGTGATCAGTGAACTATAGCCCACAGGCCAAATCCAGCTTGGTAAATCCTGTTTTTGTAAATAAAGTTATTGTTGTAACACAGCTATTCCCAGTTGAGTAGTTGTGACAGAGACTGAAAGGTCCTCAAAGCCTACATTTTAATATATGACCCTTTAAAAAAAAGTTTTCTGATTCCTGGCCTAGACCTACAACCTGCCATTCTTGCTGAAGGCAAAAGAAATGTTGAATGAATAATGAATAAAGGTGGTTGTAAATACCAGCTATGACCATGTGACCAGTTGCAGAAATAAGGATTATATTTGTGAGTACATCTTTCTAATTTTGATATACATGTTCATATATATGAACCACATGTGTTTCCACCTCTGCCATTCCTTTATCATCTACATAGATGGGGTTAGTAGCAACTGCACGTGTATCTCAGGATTTAAGTTACATGTATCAAAGGGGGAGTGTGAAGCAGCCAAGAGAAGAGCAGATGTTACTTCAAGACAAAAAGGGGTTTTCTATCCTCTTCTTGGGAAAGGGTGAACACATGTTTGGCTGTATGTGCATTGGTTGTGTCATGTTGTGCAGAAGCATGACTTTGCTCGTCTTTATTTGGAGAGTATGGTTGAAGGTGATCCATGTGAGTGTCAAGTTGACAGAAGTGGAGCACAGTGACTTTCTAATGTGACAACTTGGTTAAGATGAACTACATTTCCCAGGACTCCCTCTCCTGTAGGTTTCCCATTGGGGCAGGTCCCAAGGGAGATCCTTAAGGGAGATTTGGAGAGAAGAGAAGCAGCAGCCTTTTGCTTCCACACGCTGCCACTGATCTCACTCGCAGCCAGGCCTGCAACTGCTCCATCTTCCCCTGCATCATGCTTCAGCTTCTCCAACTCCCAGGCCAGGAATATACGCTTGGCTGCAGGATGAGGGGCCCTGGCTTTTGTAGAACACCTATACCATCAAGGTCAGAGGCAAAAGAAGCAACCCGGGGCCCAGTCCATCCCATGGTCTCCAACTTGTGCTTGGGGGTTCCAGCATGCTCTCGCTCTCCTCTGCTTCACATCCATCTTCTCTACCCAACAACCTGGTATGTGGACTTCAAGCTCTAGCACAAGATGCAAAAGCCAAATTCCTCTAACAAATCCTATAACAAAACCTAATATATATTAATACACGCAGGACCTCCCAGTGGTTCTGCTTCTCTGATTGAACCCTGATTGATACACCAAGTAGCTACTAAATGCAAGGTACACTTGAAGTGGTGGCAAAGAGGAACAGGCATAAAACCATAAGCCCACGTTATGATGGAAGGAAAATTGGCTCAAATTGCTCAAATAAAATGGAACAAGAGGATAAAGGCTACAATACAGGCATAAACAATGTGTTCCAGGGGCATGGAAGAAGCAAACACTTTGGAGATAGCCAGACCTGAATTATAATCCTGGCACCACCCAACACCAGCTGCGTGACCTTGGTAAATGTCACCCAGGAGTTGTCTGCTCCTTCCACTTTCCTCTCTCTGAAAGGGAACTTCTGGGAAACAGAGATTGTTTCTGACAGCAGGGAACATGTCAGGAAAGGTTTTATATTAAAGGCTGTCACGTTTCACCTTGCAGGAGCGTGGTTCGGCATAGCATTTTTCCATCTTGTGCAGAAGGAGTTAATGCATTTTGGTGGGATAGTGTGGGAAAAGGTCATCCTGCAAATATTCAAAAGCAATTTCATGAAACAGTGGGCTCTCATCCATCTGCTGTAACAAACTGGCTGGGCGCTGTGGAGCCTTAAGCACTATACATTCAGCGAAATTATGACTCCCACTAGGGATATATCATATTTTTTTCAAGGCTGAAATGAAAAGATATACAGTGTACTGTATACATAGGCCTATTATGCTGGGGAAAATATCAGAACTAGTTTTTGCTGTTTATGGAAGATCAATGATAAATCAACCTGTATAATCTGCAACTGACTGTTTCATTTGTTCTTTAATGTTCCACTGATCTTTTGGAAATGAAGGAACTTCACATAAAACATGTAGTTTGATGAACTTTAATCTTACCCATAATTGGATAACAAAATTGGGTACGTGGAGTAATTAAAAGGATTGTGATAAAAGAGTCGATCTGCAGTTTCACATTGAGCTTCTTCCATAAACCAAGGAGTTCAGTTCAGGGCATATTAGGAAACAAAAAACAGCCCCGTGGGCTAGAAAGCTACATTTTTATTGTTGTTGTTAGAGGGAAAGGTATTTACGGAGAAGATAGACCATGTCAGTGAGGGCTAATATTATCACCTAGGGAGCTCTGAGATAAGGACATCAGTTTTAAAGATTAGGCTTCGACCTGCTAGTGAGCAGGAAGTTAACTGCTCGATTTTTCCTTAAGTGAGGTCATTTTTCCAGACTATCTTTAGATTGGTCCATCTATTACACATTTTCCATTGTTGTCGGTTTTACAGAAATGCAGACTTGCAATTTGCACGTAAGCCTGCACGTGCCTAATCCTTGTTTCTGGGCTCTCCAGTAGTGCCTGTCATGCCTGCTCACAACCTTAAAAACGTCTCTCCTTTGCCCAGCTAAGCCCTGCTGGGCTGGCTCCCCACTCTTTTCTTGAGGCCTCCAAGTCCTGGTATCTGACCTCCAGGACCCTGAGCTGAACCTCCAGCAAAGCTACCACTCCTAGAGCATCCCCTCAACCTGGAGCAGTTCTCTCAATCACTGTTTTCTGGCTTTTTCAACACTTCTCCTAGGCCTGTTCCGGTCCCGCCTTGACCTGCTCCCAACCTCCCCATCCTCAACTACTAACTGACCCCAGACCCAACCTTGTGGATCATCTGCCCTCCAGACCAGCTGTAACTCAGCCACTGCACCAGGTCATTAGCCAGGCTACTCTAGTTCCTTCAAATGCTTGCCTTCCAATAACCCTTAAGAAGCTTTTCTTTGTATCACAGTACATGAAAATAAGGTTAGTTTCTCCATTGGAGAGGAGCCAGCAGGGGTGAGAAAGGGTTCCAGAGACGAGGGTCAGAACTGCACTCTAGTCCTACCACTGGTAGCTGGAAAAAGAACCTAATTTGGAGATACCGAATTATCAAGTGATAGTAAAATAGCCAACAGCCCACAAAGTGCTGATCTACAAGGCACAGATGTGAGATCAAAGTAAAACAATGGTTAGCAAAGGGACTGGTAAAGCACTGAACAGACATGAATGCTGCTACGCGTGGCCAGATCTGCTTTATAGATGAGGAAACTGCCCATCAAAAGAGCCAAGGTGACCCGTCCAAAGCCTCACAGAGAACAAGAGGCAAATTCAGGACTAGAATGCAGGCCAGTCTTCCTACATGCTAGGAATCAGTATTTTTGTTTTCTTCTTCTCTTTTTTAATAATCATATTACTTAGATTTTTGTGTATGATAAAACACACAAGACAGACATGGTAACATTTTGCATCCATTGATCTTTTTTCTATGCTGGTTCCTCCCCACCAAAATACAATTATTGTGATACACTGCTTTTATTTTATTTTTTTAAAAAAGAGCTTGGACATTCTTCCTCTTTAAATATTTGTGTATGATGTTTTTAATGACAACAGAGTGTACAACTGGCATGAATGTAGCAACCCCTTATTATTGTATGGTTGTATTTCACTGGGTAGCAGCAGTCATCACTATTACAATAAAACAGCCTCATGCTGAATATACTTGTATAGAACTTTTGCAAATCGCATACATTATTTCACTGGGATGAATTCCTGAAAGTAGAATGACAGGGTCAAAAGTCATAGAAAATTATAAGATTTTTGTTATATTCTGCCAACTTTCTCTCCAGAAAGACTAAAAAACATACACTCTCCCAGCAGTATGAGTGTCCATTTCCCTGCATCATAGCCCAAACTTAACTGGTTTGATTATTTTTTACTACTCACATGGTTTCAGCTTGCATTTCTTTGATGAAATGTGAAATTAAATAGTTCTTATATTTGTGGCTATCTGTGTCTCCTCTTGTGTGAATTACCTGTTTATGTCCTTTGCCCCTTTACCACTGGGCACACTTCATTGTTTTCCTACTGATTTGAGTAGCACTTACTGGGTAGCCACGGACTAGGACAACCATAGACCTCCAAAGTGGGAAGCATCCTCACATGAGCCAGAGAGAACCACAGGAACTGGTCTTGCTAGATAGCCCTGAGAAAAGGAATTGGACCATTTTGCCCTCCTGCATGAGCTCCACTTCTGCTGACAGCTGGTCCTGGAGAAGGCTGAAGCAGTTGAGGGAGGGTCCACAACAGGACACTACTGCCTCTGTTCTGATTCTGGAACGGGGGAAAGAAGATTGGGGTGGAGGTGAGGAGAAGAGAAGGGAAGGACAAGAGAAGAAAAGGAGAAAAGGAGGTGGGTGAGAGACGAAGGGGAGGGAGTTGGTGCAGGACAGTGGGGAATCCACTGGAGAGGAGCCAGCAGGGGTGAGAAAGGGTTCCAGAGACCAGGGTCAGAACTGCACTCTAGTCCTACCACTGGCAGCTGGAAAAGAACCTAATTTGGAGATACCCTCAAGCAGGCAAAGGAAACTTACATTAGTGGAGGGAGGAAGGGAAGGGGCAAGTGACTACTACAATTCCCAAGCCAAGTACCCTGGGCTTATACCTGATTCCCAGAATCCAAGTCCCTTTCCACAATATCCCTCTGCCTTCTGCATGAAAGCCATCGCAAATTAATGTACCTCTAAGAGGCAAATAACTTCCTCTTAGATTGAACTGCTAGCAAAAGACCAGTCATTTGTCATCTCTGATTAAAATGTCCATGGAAAAAATTAGAAATAATTCAGCAAAGAGAGCTACCACTCTCTCTTTGGAGAGAGTTACAGAATGCAAACTAAAGTCGAAGGTGGTGGTAAAGGCAGCATGCTGCCCCTCTGCATATCAGAATAACCAGGCTCCTTCCTGCCACTATATATACAGGGTTCATTGGGTGGGTGGGGTCACTAGGGTCACCAGAATATGCAACCAGAGCAAGAAGGACTCTAAAGAGCCACTTATTCAGTGCTTCTCAAGTGTGCCTTTGTCAGAAGCACTTGCTAGCACAACAAATCAGTCTTTTTTTTCTGGAAATTCTGGTTCAGTACATCTAGGATAGGACCAGAAAAATCAACATTTTTAAACAACAGACTAAGGTGGTTCTTATGATGTGGCAAGGAGTTGATTTTGTCCAGTGCATCTTACATTCAAATCACCCAAAGAGATTAAAAACCACTATCAGGGAGTTCCATTTCTGCCTTTGATAGGCTAATATATTCAGATCAACTCTACTACCAAGAACAAATAGAAATGCCCTGTTTGAACGCATCAGAGAGCTATCAAATGTGGTGAGGTCTTACGGCACCAAGATCTCAGAGAGAAAGAAAGCACAGAACTGAACCTGATATTTGGCACAGCTTTTTGCCTCAAAGCATTTGTTGATTCTTAAGAAAAACTTAAAAGCTGAGAAGTTGTGCTTTGTAGAAACTGATCAGTGAAGAAGCCAAGAGGAGAAATGAAGTAGAAACTGGCAGCCAGGAGTCTACAAAGCTAAGCAGAGCTTTGCTGCCCCACCATCCTGGGGAAACAAAAATAGTGCAGCCATCACCAAAAAGGAGCGGCCCTGGTATGCAACCCAAGCTTTCAGAAGGAACTCCTGAAGCCTGGGAATAAGGACTAACCCAAATAAGCCAGTATTCACAAAAACTAAAGACTGGCTTCAAATCTGCTCAATCCCAGACTGGATTATAACAATCTGCCCCTATCTTGACTTCCAAAAGCAGAAAGAAGTAAATGCTCTAAGGGGAAAATAGCATCATCCAGAGGCTCAAATTCTCTCTTCAGTTTTTCATACACAATGCCTGACATTCAATAAAAAGTTACAAAAACAAGACCAGGTGTGGTGGCGCTCATGTCTGTAATACCAGCAGTTTGGGAGGCGAGGCGGGCAGATCACGAGGCCAGGAGATCAAGACCATCCTGGATAACGTGGTGAAACCCCGTCTCTACTAAAAATACAAAAAAAAAAAAAATTAGCCAGGAGTGGTGGCATGTGCCTGTAGGCCCAGATACTTGGGAGGCTGAGGCAGGAAAATCGCTTGAATGCAGGAGGTGGAGGTTGCAGTGAGCCAAGAGATCACGCCACTGCACTCCAGCCTGGGCAACAGAGTGAGACTCCATCTCAAAAAAAAAAAACAAACTTTTTTTAAATAAATGAATTATGAAGCATATTGGGAGATGTGCAAGGCCAGAAACCAAGAGAAAAAATAGACATAGAAAGAAAAAGCTCTAAGGAGACTCTGATGTTGGAATGATCACACAAAGACTTTCAAAATAACTGATTAATATGTCCAAGAAATTAATTTTAGCAAAGAGTTAAAATCTATTTTAAAAAATCAAATGAAAATTCTAGAACTGAAAAATACAATAATTAAAACTAAGAACTAAATAGATGGGTTTAATAGCAAACTAGACACAGCTGATAAAAAGATTAGTGAATTCAGAGATAGGTCAATAGAAAATATCCACACTGAAAGAATGAGAGGAAAAAATGAATGGAAAATACAGGTGGTAGTAGAGGGGCATGTATGGGACATAATGGGACATGGCAAGCAGGTCCAACATACATGTACTTGGAGTCCTGGAGAGGAAAACAACAAATGGGTCAGAAACAATTTTTACAGACATGATGACTGAGAATTTTCCAACACTGACAAAAGGTATCAAATCACAGATTCTAGAAGTGTTATGAACCCTAGAGGAGTTCAAAGAAAACCACATTTAGGCACATGTAGTAAAACTGCTAAAAAACAAAAACAAATGGGAAAATCTTAAAAACAACCAAAGTTAAAAAGTAAATCAATTTTTAATTTATTAATCCATTATTTACTTTCATTATGTATTAATGGTCAATTATATCAGAATCTCTGAGAGTTAGGCCAGGGCATGGGGCAAGTGGAGAGGGCTTTTTACAAATATACATTCTAGAGCACCATTAGAGATTGTGATTGAGCCAACTTGGGGCAAGGCCCATGAATCAACATTTTCAGCCATCAACAATGGAGTTGATTCTGATGTAGAAGTTCACAAACTACACTTCCTCAAACGTAGCTCTGTCCTTATCCCTTTATAACTAAGGAAACAGAGGCCCATCCAGGTAAGACTGAGGTCAGCTCAAGGTTATACTGTGAATCAATGGCAGGGCCACAGATAGCACATTGTACAGTCACATGGCAATTCCAAGAAGCAACTCTTCTAACCTGGTACCTACAGGCATCCTAGTCCACAGCAAGGAAGGCAGGGGTCCCAAGTGCCTGTAAGGATTCTTAGCCACAGGAAAGATATCAGGAAGGGATTGAAAATACTTGCTCACCTCTACAGGACAGGCATGTGTGAGGCACTTTTACAAATTCCTTTTGATTCCAAAAGTGGGCCCAACTCTATACCATTTATCCAACTTACTATACTGTATTAAATGCTTGATCCATTATCTCTTTTAACCTTTACCACAAACCTATGAGGTAGATATTATTATCATTCCTCATTTTATAGAGGCACAGAGAAGTTAAGTGACATATACAGGGTCACACAGATAAGTGGGGGAGTCAGGAAATGAACCTATTTAGAGTATACATTACTCCTCCGTTCTACTGCCCAAACCTGACTCCCCTATCCCCACCCACCCACCAATTCTCACACACTTACCCTGCAGGTCAAAGGGTGGCTTCTTTAACATCTCCGGCTCTAGACTGTTTTTGGTGATGGGATAAGCCCAATGGAGCAAAAGGAGAACAGGAACTGGAACTGGACCCCTAGGTAATCACCCTAGCACCGCCACTCCACTCTGTGGATTCACCAAAGTTCCTTCCCTCCTGTGGAGGTCAATTTCTTCATTTGGAAAAGAGGGTTTTCATACCTATCTCATGATTGTGGTGAGATTAAATACCTTTGAAAGCCTTTCACTACTCCAAATGTGAGCTCCAGAGTGTGGCTGACATGGGAGGGGATAAGTGTGGGCTCTACTGTTCTTGGAAAGACCTAGGCACTGTGTCCCATAGTGGCTGGCTGCACCGTGGACGGCTCCCGAGAAGCTGGGAGGCTCAGTCTACAGAGTGACGCTGTGCTGCCGGCCCGCAGTGTGCCGCAGTGTTCATTTCCGCGAGAGCCTACGCCTTTACGAGGTGAGCTCATGCTCTGTCCACTATCCGCACAGCCGACAATTCCCACGTTATTAAATGGCTCACCTGGCTGCACTTATTTTATAAAATAGCATGAGCAGCCATGCAGTTATCTATAGGTTTTTCAGTAAACTTGGAAATCTGATCATCTCAGTCTCTGAAATTTCCCTTCTGGTGGCTGATGTTGATGAGATTTTTTTTTCCTACTTTTATCTAGGCTTTAATAAAAGGCTGATAGATTAAATGGTATGAAAAAAATGCTTTTTTACAAGTGATAATAATACAGACAGGGGTAATTCTGCGCAAAACTGTCAAGAGAATAAAATGAGGTATGGAACTCTCCCCTCTCCTTTTGTTACCTTTCATCTCCATGGCGGTTGGGGGCTGTGACCCACCTTCACCCCTGCTGCAGCTGCCCTGAGCTCAGCATCCTCAGGTGATTTTCTATGATATTTGGAAATCTTTTATAGCCCCTTTGCCCCTAGAAGAAAACTCCTATTGTGCTGCCTTCTACCAAATAACATGTTGGGGGTTTAGTAATCACATGACAAAGATCTTTCCTCTGCAGACAGGCCTATATCCCTGGGGTTCAAGGGGAAGGATTAGAGAGGAAAAGAGGGGAAGGTCGAGGCGGAGGTCAGGGATGAGCAATAAGAAGAGAGGAGGAAGAAGAGACAGAAGGATAAAGGGAGACAGGAAGAGGAAGATGGGTATGGAGGGGGAGAAGGGGGATGTGTAGTGGTTGGAACATCTGCAGAGACTGAAAAAGCAAGAAATGTAACAACTTGGTGAAGACACAAAGGCTTGTAAGGAAACCAAGAGAAAAGCCAGGTTTGGGGAAAATGTCAGAGTCCAACAGAATAGACTAGCCAGCTGGGGATGGGTTGAGTCTTGGGGCTTCATAACCAGAGAGAATTAAGCCTAAAGGGCATGCCTAAGCTAACAGAGACCCCATTGGGCCCAGCCTTCCTTGGAAGGAGCTGATTACTGCAGACCTGACCTGAAGGGCTGAGCTAAAGCAGCTGCTCTTGCCCTGGCCCAGGGTGTCCTGGTGGGAGGCAAGGTGAGGCCTTTGTGGCAGCCTCTTTGGCCATGTGAGGACGGCCTGGTCTAGCAAGCGGGTATAGGTCCTGCAGGGGAGACCAACGCTAAGCACCACAGGAAAGGAGCCCTATTCCCAGCCTTCCTGGTACGGGCCCAGTGACTGCCCCTTCAAATCTGTCACATTCCCATAGAAGCCTTTGTAGACTCAGGTACATGAGGTAACTCAAGCAACCAGGCCCAACGTGAGCTGGAAGCTTCAGGACCCCTGTGAGGGCTGGAGAAGAGAGCCAGGAGTCCTCCCCTTCCCCTGCACTCCAAATGAGGAGCAGGTAAAGGGCACTGAAAAGAACATGGGCTTTCAGATCAGAGGACACTTAGTTCCTTGGTTCAAATCCCAAGCCAGCACATCCTTGGAAGATGGCCTTGGCCTCAGTTTCATCTTCTATAAAATCAGGACAGTGATACTTCATAGTGTTGTGAAACTAGATATGCTAATATATGTAAATATATGGAAAGTAGTTGTTCCACACTTCCTCTTCCCCAGCTCCATGTGAGCACATGGAAGGACTTTGGCCAGAGCGACACACCTGTCCTTTCACTCCTCCTCCCCTCACTCCTCCTCACTCTGGGTGGTGAGTTACACAGAAGGAGCAGAGCATGTTAGATTCAGCCCCATCTGGTTTCTTTATTTTGGATCTGACCCCCCACAGGAAGAGTGCTCTTTCTTCAATACCACCTGTATTTTCCATTCATTTTTTCCTCTCATTCTTTCAGTGTGGACATGCCATGTGCTGAGCTCCTGCCCTAATGAGAAAGCCTACGGTGTCTGGCCAGTTCTTCTCGTGAATGGTTGGAGAATGGATGTCTCTGATGTAGGAGTCTAGTACTAGGAAGCTGTATACCCAGGCTACATCCACCAATCCATTATTAATCAAGCTGATCTTTCGACCTAGCCCCATATGACCCCTGTGTCTGTCAGGTGGTTCTGAACTCAGGGGAGGAAGAGTGATATTTGGTGGCTTTCTGATACATAGAAAGTACTCATTAGTACCAGCTACATATGCATCCCCAGAGGCAGGGTCCTTCCACTAAATCTTCTGGTGACTCTCAGTCCACCTGAAGGGACACTTATCCCCCTATATAAAGTAACCCCAAATGAGCAAGAATTGGTCAGCAAGCCATAGTCTTCCATTTCAGTTGTATGATGGACCTTGGGAAAAACAAGAGTTTTATTTCTAACTTGCCTCTGTCCCAGAATCTTGACACCACTCTGCTCTTTGTCAATGTGTGATCTTAAATGAGCCACCACATCCTCTGCTTAGAGCTCCCATCCTCAACCCACATATTTATTTGACTTCCTCCAAGAAAACTTCAGATACCATGGTCTGGAAGACACAGGTTGCTTCTCTTTCCTCTCCACTACCCCAGGTAGTTCTAATCACAGGGCCCTGATTCCCAACCCAAACAAGGCCAATCAGAGGCTCCCTTCCAGGGATTTAAATATTGAGCAGAGATACCCTGGTGGTACCCTAAGAGGTTTAAAAGTTTCTACCACTAAGATTTCTGGGGCTCCCCTGCTTTGTGTCCTTCCTGCTGCCTATGTTTAGTTTGATTTTGCAAACTCCCCAGTATCATTCTGTTGTAGTTCAAGTTCCCCAGGAAACAGATTGAGCTGGTGATTTGTGTGCAGAAAGATTACTGGAAAGTGCTCTCAGCAACAACACCTGTGAGGGAGGAAAGGAAGCAGGATTGAGCAGAGACTAGGACCTGAAATGAAACTGTGCACTGCACATAGGCCTCAGCCAATTCCTGGGGAGCTGGAGCTAGGATGGCCCTTCAGAGGTGTCCTGCCTTGAAGCAACGAAGGCTTTGCACCTCCAAAATGACCAGGTATTGGGTATAGGCTGCCATCAAGAAGGGGCTGTAACCTTGGGCAAGGTGGCCCTCCTTAGCCAAGGACAATTGCAGGGGAGGCCTCAGCTCAGAGCTACCTGCCGCCAACATCCTGGGAGCTGGAGGAGAGCATACCTCAGTCCTAATGAGGAATTGGGAGGCATGCCACAGCATCTAGTCCTCCTTCCAATAGCTCGCTTTTTTCTTACTTTAGTCTTTGCTTGAAGCAAAGAACCATAACTGATATACAAAGCAATCTTAGACTATAGACTCCAATTTACCTCCTGCTCTTAGAGACCCTCTTCAACATCTAAATCAAGGTTTATCTGTCCACCTCAAATTACCCCCCATTCAAAAACCAGAACAAGAACAAGAACTCACATCAACAGGAATGCTGTGCGAGCTGTTAAGCAGTGTGGGGTTCTGCTTGGCAATCAGTCTATGACTGTCAGCTCTTCATTTCCAGTAATGATGTACAGAAGGATGTTAGATGGGACTTCTCCTTTGGTCTAGAATTTTCCACAAAGCAAGGACAATAAATGACAAGTATCACCATATTCTAAAGAGAGGTAATGAACATGTTGTTTTAGACTGGGTCCCCAAAAAAGCAGTGCCTGGGACAAGGAATTGCATGCAGAAAGTATATTTTGGGAAATGATCCCCAAAAAACAGGAGTGGGGACTGGGAAGACGGAAACAGAAGGAAGGCCAATTTGAGGGTGAATTATCCACCTGGTTCCCACCATGGGCACAGAAGTTTGCTGCTACTAGCCTAACAATCCTCTCAGGAATGATGGAGAATACACCTCGGAATTGTCTGCCAAAGGGTTGGAAGACAAGATAATTTATCCACTGGCTTCTAATCCACACTGGCCAAGCATTCATTACCCCTTGAGGTGTTAACTACAACACACTTCCAGGTTTGTACATGCACCAGAATGACTGAGAAGGTCCTTGCAAGGGTCTCACTCAGATGTGACATTCCAGGGCTGAAAATCATGCAGGTGAGGAGAACTGCTGTCTGGCTTCACCTGTATGCAGCCAGTCTGCTGTACCCAATGGCTGGAGGGAAAAAAGTGGTCTGAAAGGATGTAGGTACAGGACAAGGGGTGTCCAACATGCACATCCACGCAGGATTTACCAACAGAGAGCCAGAATGGCTCTTTAGTCGCCGCCACCATCCTTCTCCAGGTTGTATTAGAAAAAAAGAGATTAAGCAGACTCTTTGAAGAAAGAGGACTTATAAGTGTAAGGGTGCTGTGACATTTTCCTTCCCCTCCCCACGATTCCCTGCCATCACTCCAAGCCAAGTAAAGGCTGCTTCAGAGTATGGAAGTGTTTGCCAAAAGAGGAATCTACCTCCTGGCAGAATCAGACACCCTGGTGCTACTGTTAGCTCTGGGAGGAGAGGAACAGCAGTTCCTGGGAGAATGTGACACGTGACTTCCAGCACTTGGGGAAGTAGCAGAACTCTGACAGTTGTGGACTGTCTGGAGCAGCCCTCAAGAGTAGCATGGGAGCAGGTGACACTTCCAGTCTGGCGTGCAGCCAATTACCTATTTAGTCGAGTAGTCACCTCAAGTGGAACTATTAATAGACTCAAGTCATCCTGAAAGGACTTGGTCAAGAAGGCTGCCACTGGGCTAGGGAACTTCAGGAGTGTGCTTCTGCAGGGCAGGATCTGAGCGGAGACTGTCAGAAGTAAGCTAGAGAATGGTACAATACACACAGTGCCAGCAGAGGTTCTCCATAAAAACCACAAAGGAAATCTAAGAAAATCCACTGGGCATTTGACACACAGAAGGCACTGATGGCCAGGTTATACTAGCACTGATTCGAGGTGGCTTTGCCTTTCTCCTTGACTGTCAGAACCTTCAAAGCCATTAGACAGGTTGTGGAGCAAGGAAAATGAAATTCTACACCAAGACTACGTCTGAGCTGGGAGAGGAGGGGGACATAGAAGAAAGAAACAAGCATAAAACTGGATAAGAAAATGAAATTTTGATTTAAGATTGGGCTGAACTTTTTGATCCCTGAAAATGGAACTTCTTTTTATATCTGAAATGTGACAAAAAAATGAAAAGATTTTCCCTAGATATGTTCCTGGGCAGGAAAGGCAGATCCAATTGATCTGAAAAAGAATAAGTTGATTGTACCTTCCAGGACTGGGAGTCATCCTTGAAACCAGATGTAGGCTGTGGTCCTCACCAGATGTTAGCACTTGGAGGACAAGAAGGCATATGAGACCAGAGAACATACCTGGGACCAGCTGCACACCTGCAGAAAGCCACTGGCTTGAGGACTATACTTCCTCCACCCTATGTAGCCATTTTTTTTTTTTTTGAGATGGGGTCTCACTCTGATGCCCAGGCTGGAGTGCAGTGATACAATCTTGGTTCACTGTAGCCTCAACCTCCTGGGCTCAAGTGATCCTCCCACCTCAGCATCCTGAGTAGCTGGGACTATAGGCACGTGCCATCATGCCCAACTAATTTTTTTAATTTGTAGAGACAAGATCTATGTTGCCCAGGCTGCCTGTGTAGCTTTGGTGTCAGAAGTCATCTCTGCCAGACAAAATCTGCTGCACCTGTAGACAACTGGATATGATTCTCATGGCTGGCAAGAGAGTATTCCAATTTAAGCTGAGCTGCCCCATGTCTGTCTGTGATATTTGCCTATTCTCACATTAAATTTACCTCTGGATAGCAGATTTTAGATCCCCTATAGAAGTGTTCCTCTAATTTTAACATGCAGAAGGCACCCTGGGGTGTTTATGTAAAATGCAAATTTCCAACCCCCATCCCCAGAGATTCTGATTTAAGAGGTAGTCTGTAGAAAACAGTTTGAAAAATAGTGCTCTAGAAAACAGTGCTGTCCAATAGGACTTTCTGTGATGACAGAAATAGAGCACTATTCAATATGGTAGGCACTAGCCAAATGAGCCTATGTAGCAGTTAAGATGTGGCTACCATCTTAACTGCTTACCAAGGAAGTAAGTTTTAAATTTTATTTAATTTTAATCAATTTAAGTTTAAATTGTCCCATGTGACTAGGGCTTCCACATTGGACAGTGCACCCTAGAATCTTGTTACTCAAAGTGGGCAGCAAACAACAAGCAGCAGCAGCAGCACCCAGGATTTGTCAGAAATGCAGAATTTCAGGCCCCACCCTAGACACCTCAGACCTACTGAATCACTATCTGCATTGTATCAAGATCCCCAGGTGATCCACGTGCCAATAAAGGTGAATACTCACTTTCTAGAATATTTTGGTGGTTCACTGACTCTTCCATTCCCGAATCATCCACTATCTGTTAACACACTTTCCTTGTTATAGACTAATTATCATATTCAATTGTTTAAATCTAGTTCTTACCCCACATTGTTGGTACCTAGCATTATTGGTCTGAAGGGTATAAAGTGTGTGTGTGTGTGTGTGTGTGTGTGTGTGTGTGTGTGTGTGTGTGTTTGCGTGTGCGTGCGCGCACATGGAGGAGGGTGGGGAGAAATGGGGATGGGGGGAGAGAGAGAGAGAGATAACGCAAGGTTATAACCAGGCTGGAAAGGGCCCTATCTGCAAGCTAAGGGTTTGGACTTTATTCCTTGGGCAATAGAGAACCATCAAAAGCTGTTAAGCAGGTAGGTGGCTTGGGCAGAGTTATGTTTTATGAAGATAATCATGGAAGTATGGAGGATGGCCTGGAGGATGGCCTGGAGTATGGAGGATGGCCACACAGATAACTAATCTCTACCGTCCTCTGGTTCTTACATTAAGTATACCTACAGGGAGTAGGACTTGCTATCTTATCTTACCCCTAGATTTGAGGAACAGCAAGTACTTAGGACTTATAGCAGTGTATCCATTCTACATGGTCAACATCTACAGTATCCCAACCCAGATCTTCAGAATAATATAGTATTCTTTATCTCTAAGCTTGGGAGGAAATAACAAACACTTTTGTATTTCAATCCTGAAGAGATTATTTCTCGGTGATAAACCAAATGTTTGCCATTTATAGTAGTGAACTCTTTGGGATCTGACTCATCATTGAAACAACAATTTGCTTTGAAAGTGTACTTTTCAAACATACTGTTTTAAGACTAAAAGGATAAATAAGACATTCACGGGACACATAATAATCAAAGCAATAAAATACTACAGGTTTTCCTTCAGATATCTTTTTCATTGGCAATGATATGGTCTGTTATCATAAGCCTCAATATTAAAATGAAAAACAGACCAGGCAGGGTGGTTCACGCCTGTAATCCCAGCACTTTGGGAGGCTGAGGCAGGCAGATCACCCGAGGTCAGGAGCTCAAGACCAGCCTGACCAACATGAAGAAACCCCATCTCTACTAAAAATACAAAATTAGCCTGGCATGGTGATGCATGCCTGTAATCCCAGCTACTCAGGAGGCTGAGGCAGGAGAATCACTTGAACCCAGGAGGCGGAGGTTGTAGTGAGCTGAGATCACACCATTGCACTCCAGCCTGGGCAACAAGAGCGAAACTCTGTCTCAAAAATAAATAAATAAAATAAAATAAAAAAACAGTTGCAACTGGTGATGGGAAGAGGCAGAAAATGGGAAGGGGAAGAGTAGGGGACTTAAAAAGTATTTCTAGTTTTTAATCTAGTCTTGGAAATCCTTCGATATACTCAGAGATAGATCCTGGCAGCCAGGGGAAGTCTGAAAGGGAAAGACCCAAAAGAAAGGGGTCTGTTGTTTCCTAGGTGACAGGGGTCTTAAAGGCACTCTGTTCTTAAAAGAATAACTTAAAGAAGTTATTCCACCCAAATACTGTGGGCAAAATAACAGCCCCAACCAGAGCATTCAGACAGAAGACAAAGAGGCTTGTATTGGGACACAGGGGGACCAGAAAGATGAAGAAATCCTGGGGAGGCCAGTACCAGCAAGAGGCTACACACACAGATACAGTCACCACACACAACAAAGGAGGGACTGATGGAGTTCATGACCCTGTAGCTCAAGCAGAGCTGCTAAGTGCAGTGACCAGTGAACCTAACCCACTGGGGTTTGGGAAGAAGACATTAGAACCTCTATTAATATTTACTTTTCATCTTTAAAAGACAAGAAATTGCATTTTGCTAAAAGTTAAAATTTAGATTGACATCAGCCCCTCCCTCCACTTGCAAATCAGAAGGTCCTATGTCAGGTACAGTACACAAGCTGTGGTGGGAGGTGGCAGGGGTGTAGGAGTTAGATAACGTGGGAGGGGTGTTTAGTTGATTTCAGCATATTGAGATGTACTGCAGTTCCTAGGTATGTGCCCAGACACAAGGGCTTACCTATTAGGTAGTTTTTACTAAACCGAGCCACTGGACAAGTAGCTTAAAAAGATTCTTGGTGGCTCACGCCTGTAATCCCAGCACTTTGGGAGGCCGAGGTGGGCAGATTATGAGGTCAGGAGATCAAGACCATCCTGGCTAACACGGTGAAACCCCATCTCTATTAAAAAAAAAAATACAAAAAAAATTAGCTGGGTGTGGTGGCACACACCTGTAGTCCCAGCTACTTGGGAGGCTGAGACAGGAGAATTGCGTAACCCGGGAAGCGGAGCTTGCAGCGAGCCGAGACCACACCACCGCACTCCAGCCCGGGAAACAGAGCGAGACTCCATCTCAAAAACAAAAACAAAAACAAAAAGATTCTTGCAAAGAAACAGCAGACCAAGGATAATTGTAATACAGGTTGAACATCCCAAATCGAAAAGCCAAAATCTGAAATGCTCCAAAATCCGAAACTTTTTGAGTGCCAACATAAGGCCCAAAGGAAATGTCCATGGGAGCATTTCAGATTTCAGACTTTCAGTTAAGGATGCTTACCTAGTAAGTATACAATGCAAATATTCCAAAATCTAAAAAAATCCAAAATCCAAAACACTTCTGGTCCCAAGATTTCAGAGAGGAGATATTCAGCCTGTAATGCAAGCAAAAATGACAACACTAGTTGATACTTCTGTTCCTGGTGCAAGCTGTTCATGAGCCAGGAAAAAACATTAAGTTTTACCAATAAGTCAGCCAAAAAATTTGAAACTATCACAAAGATTTTTTAAAGTAGGTATCTGTGTTCGCCATGGTTAATGATGAATCTCACTCTTCAGATACACACAATGAAAAGTGTGAAGCCATCACAATTAGCAGAAGCTACAGATCCGGAAGATAAGACGAACCTCCACCATGTGTTCAGCAATACTTAACATCATAAGATACTAACTCCAATACTTGTTAAGCAATGCTCACTAAATATAGTCATAAATGTTTATAAACCTTTCAAAAGTTTTCTCACTTAATAGCAAAAGACAAAAAGTAACATACCATTTAAAAATTACTTCTTCTTCATACCATGGAAATGTGGATGAAATACTGGTGAAACAATTTAGGGGGAAAAAGACCCTGACGCATCTTTTTGTCAGGAAGTACTATTGGATGACAAGTAGAAAACACTGCTGACAATCTGAAGAAATAAGTACAGGAAGAAATTTTTCAGGGCGTGAGGCTGAGTAGAAGGAGAGATGTTTCCAACATGTCTCCTCTTACGGTACCACTGCAGGAAGAAAGACATTAAGGTAGCGATGAAGTGGTGAGGATATATTTCTCAAAATTAATCTACCTTAAAAAAAAAAAACAAGTTTATTTTATGAGCAAACTAAGTCTAATCCCTGATGGAATGGCTACTTTGACTGAAATGTTTTTTTTAAAGGTGAGATGGGGCTGGGCACAGCAGCTCAGGCTTGTAATCCCAGCACTATGGAAGGCCGAGGTGGGCAGATCACTTGAGGCCAGGAGCTCAAGACTAGCCTGAGAAACATGGCAAAACCCCATCTCCACTAAAAATGCAAAAATTAGCTGGGTGTGGTGGCACACTCCTGTAATCCCAGCTACTTGGGTGGCTGAGGCAGGAGAATCGCTTGAACCCAGGAGGTGGAGGTTGCAGGGAGTCAAGATCACACGACTGCACTCCAGCCTGGGCAACAGACAGAGGCTCTGTCTCTAAATATATATATATATTTTATATATATATATATATATATAATATATTATATATAATATATATATATAATATATATAATATATTATATATATATATTTTATATTATATATTATATATATATATAAATATGAGATGGTAGATTCCACATTAAGAATTGAGCAACAGCATTACTAAATAATTCACAGGCAAGACTTTCATGTGCTAACAGTATCACTGATGTGAATTTTATAAAATTAAGAACTTCAACATGTAGTAGAATATTTACAACTCTTTGGGATGCAATAGGAGGTACCCATGAACAATACTTTGATTCACTTAAATTTCTCTGATCATCTCAAGGTAAAATACTTTTAAAAGAGCTACAAACTGGCCAGGCATGGTGGCTCACATCTATAATCCCAGCACTCTGGGAGGCCGAGGCGGGCAGATCACGAGGTCAGGAGTTCAAGACCAGCCTGGCCAACATAGTGAAACCCCGTCTCTACTAAAAGTACAAAAATTAGCTGGGCATGGTGGCGGGCACCTGTAGTCCCAGCTACTTGGGAGGCTGAGGCAGGAGAATCGCTTGAACCTGGGAGGCGAAGGCTGCAGTGAGCCGAGATCACGCCACTGCACTCCAGCTGGGGTTGGGGGGGTTGGACACAGAAAGATTCTTGTCTCAAAAAAAACAAGCTGTAAACTCAAATATGAGTTTTATGTGTATTTTTCGCACAAAGAGCAAGTATGCCACATTTCTGACCTTTCTGAGATTGTAAATGGCCACTAGTAAACTTCAAAGAAATAAATACATCTCATTTGAATTTTCAGAGTGAAAGTTATAGTTCATCACTGAGACACAAAGGAACTACTTTCAGAGACTTGTAGTATGAAGAGTGCATATAAAAATGGCTATTTGGAAATATTTTCATCATTATATGACTATGTTGCCAAAAACTATTAATAGTGTGACACCTACAAACACTTTCACATCTACACAACTGAAAAATTTGTAAGCAGAATTTTTCTAACTTGATTTAAAATCTTTGAAAGAATTTCAGTAAGCTTCGAACCTACTTGTTTTTTATGTTTTTGTTGTTGTTGTTGTTGTTGTTGTTGTTAGAGACGGGGTCTTGCTCTGTCACCCAGGCTGGACTTCAGTGCCGCAATCATAGCTCACTGTAACCTCGAACTCCAGCCCCTACTTTTTAACAAAGTAAATGTGTAGCACCTTCTGATTAACATGCAAAAATGACAGATTCACATCAAGAAAATGGATATTTACCAGCCAGATTTAAATTAAAAAAAAATTATCTTTGCAAAATTGGTAAATAGGATTGAAAATTTTAGTAGGTATAGTTTTCCTTCCATCTGAATCTGCTTCTCTAGAAGGTATCCTTTTCAGCTCTAACAGCCCTTAAGACCAAATATTGAAATAAACTGAAATTAGAACCAGAATTTTGAATCATTCAAAAGGTGTTAAAATAAGGTTTTCAAAAATAGTAAATGTCCAAAAGATTTCATTTAAAAAATATTGCTTTTTTAAAAAGTCCATTATAAATTATATATAACATATTCTACTTCAACATCATCTCATGCTGCTCTTGATCATATTGCTCTTTTTAAAAATGAGTATATTACACTTATTTATATATGTATAAAATATATATAAACAAGTATATTATAAATTATATATCATATATTCTATTTCAACATTATCTCATACTTCTTGTGTGTATATTTTATAATGTGTATGTTATTACTCAGAAAAATTTATTATTACTTTAAGCATATAAATAAACATATTTGGGGGTAGGTGCTTACAGGGATTGGCAACTACCATTAAAGGGCAGGAGGTCTACAATCATCCAGGAATAGGGAAGAAGACAACCCTAAAAAGCAAACAAGAGAGCACTAAGAAGGAAAAGTAGCACAGAAAGACAATGTGACACACACACATGGACTGCCCAACACAACGCAATGCAGTAATAGAAAACTTGTTCTGGGATAATCCAAGCCTGAGACAATGCTAAGGGGACAGAATCTCAGCAGCAAACAGCAACCAACATAAAAATGAGCAAGTGCACAGCACAGGCAGGGCAATATTCAAACTGGTTCATTCCTTCATCAAGAATTGATTGGCTCTTAGGCATTCCTGAAGAAGAATTAGGAAGGAGGCTTACCCTCATAGCCATCAAGACTTAAAACTATGAGAACTAAAGCAATGTGGGGCTGGTGCTGAGACAGAAAAACATAACAAAGGGACAATGAAGTAAGCCAGCAAACAGATTCACATATATTGGAGAACTTAATCTATAACAGACATAAAGTTACATATTCAATAAATGTTGCTGGAACAACTAAAAAAAGAATTTATTGGCTCTTTATTTTTTGTGTCTGTGGTAGATACTGGAATAAACTATGAACTTGGCAGAGAATTTGCCTTTGAGGAGATTGTAGGGTAGTGGAGAAATTAAGCATGTAAACATATGACTAAAGAGCAGTGTGATCAACTGAATTTCAATGATCTCTGCAGGAAAAAAAAAAAAAAATTGGGACCAGGAACTGTCTGCAGCAAGACACTCACGCCTAGTCACATTTATCAATCTCCTAGTTAGTAAGACTTTGTGATTAAGTGTATAATGCTCTTGACTAGAACTTTATATAGTTTACTTTCTAATTAAATTAAGCACAGTTCTATAGTACATACAGCAAACACAGACCTATGTTGGGGCCCTGATATATTTCCAATTTCCCAATATTTGAAATTGTTTTTGTGCAGATCTAGTTGCTATTTCTCTTCTACTCAGATTGTCCCCTCATCTGAGACGCTCATCATTCTTGCTTCATGTTAGCCTCTACTGAAGTGCTTGCCTCCTGAGTCTAAGGCCTTGTCTTCAGCCTCTGTGTATGCCCTAATCAGAGTTACAGTGTTGTAATCACCTACATCATAGGGGCATTTTCTCCCTTCCAATATCCCTGCACAAAGACTACTGTGCATTAGTGATCACTAGGGAGTGCTTCTCTTTTCAGGCCGAGATCCTGTGGCCCTCTGACTTTCCTGAATCTCAGCACCCTGCATTTTCTGGCCAGTTAACTCGGCATTCTGTCTGCACTTGAGGAGCTGGTAGAGTGGTTTTTAAATGCTCTCATTTAACAGAAGAATAACATAGACTAAGTTCAACAATGCCAAACTTTCTAGACCTGCAGCAGGTCAGGAATTTTACTGCTCTACCATTTCACACCAACAGTCATGTCAGCTACATTAACATTCACTTTAACCTTATAGTCGAAATAATACTTAACAATATTTTTAACCAGTACAATAATGTGACTTCATAGCTTCTGAGAATTCAGTTTCCTTCCCTTTCCTCATCATACATATTATATTGTACAAACCCATATTCAGCCTGATATTTTTCAAATGTTTTTACTTTTGTACATAAAACATCAAATTTATGCTACTATCCAAAGAATAATGGATGAGTATTTTGAATGAAACACTTCCAATGTATTCAATTATTTCATTAAAAAATTCTCTCTCTCACACACACACTATATGTCTAGTTGTGTACTAAGCATAAGAAGTATAAAGATCACTTCTTTTCTTTGGAGCTCACAGTATGGTGAAGGGGACAGATATGACAACAAATAATTTGATACGTAAGACAACATGATAAGCACATCAATGGCCAAGGCCACTCAGACAAGGGAAGGAACACTCACTCTGCTTGGGAAAGTAGCAGAAGACTTCACAGAAGAGGTGATGCTAGGGCTGAGTCTTCAAGGGAAAACAGTCTTCTAGATGAACAACAGAAAGAGCATTTCAGACAGAGAGAAATGCATGCTTACTATGTGCAAAGGGCAGAAGCCTGCAGTGCTCAGTCAGTGTTACAGGAGAATACAGAGTTGGGAGAGAAGAGGCTAGAAAAAGTAGATGAGGAGACCTCTCTTAAGGGGCTTTGTATACAACAGAAGCCATCTGTTTGCTACCCAAGAGGCTCTGAACAGCCACCGGAAGACCTTAGTCAGGGGTGCTGCATGATTAGATTCGTGTTTTCTAAGATCAGTTTGACTGCAGCTTGAGAAATAAACTGGAAGAGGCAAGATGGAAGCCAAGGGAAGCAGGTGTGACACTCTCGCCTAGTCCAGCTTAGAAATGCTAAAAGGCTGGACAAAAGGAGTGACAGGAAAATTGAAAGGAGAGAATAGATTTAAGAGGCATTTCAGAGGCAAAATCAACAAGACCTGGTGACAGGATGGACATGGAGTGTGAGTAAGAGAGCCACGTGACTCCCGGGTTTCTGGAGATGACCAAATCCTCCCCACAACAAAATTATTGCTCCCTAGCTGTGTTGCCATCTGCCAACTTTCAACTCACAGCAAATTTCATTTCCAAAGCAGAAACCATGAGTAAACAGAAATAATTTCTAACTTATAAGATACTAGATCTTAAACTCATCAAGGGCTGATACATGCAGTGATGGTAACCAATCAGTGGAGTAAAAGTATTTAAATCATAAAAGGTTTCCCTCCACTAACCACCAAAAGCTACAAAGTGTCCAACATAAAATTCTAGAGTGGGTAAAGGAAGTCATGATGAAGTGAGATAATATTCTTAGGGAATTCTGTATCCAAAGCAAATACCAACAAATAAATTAATAGTCCCCAAGTCTCCATGTGCCTGCCAGGACAGACCAGGTCATGAAAGGCGTAATGAAATACAGTGCCCACTCCCGCAAGTTTACCTTCCTCTCGCACTCAGTCGGAGCACAGTTCCTCATAAATATTTAACTTAAATTGCAAAGTAGACAGATCAACTTGTCACATTAACACCAGGAAGTTAAGCTGAAAATCACAGGCTGATAGCCTCCATTTTAATTAATATTCTACTATTCACACTTCTATTGGTTTTTAAAGATGGTTTTATATAAGGTATTTCATAATTACAATTTTAAAATGCAGTCTGTATTCACATTAATGAACAATTTCAACTAATTTTTGACAAGGGAAAAATACACATACTTTGCTTTACTCTCATATAAAACACTGATTATTTGGCTGTAGTAATCCAGATTTAAGCTGTTGACGAGTCTTCGTAAAGGACTTCATCTACCTTCATGTCGTTTTCATTCACTGGGACCTGGAGGCAAATCTGTTCTTTGAAAGCCAACGCCAGGGTGTAGGGCTTCACTTCCTGATGCTGCAAACAGCGCTTCAGATAGGCATCATAGTAGCCCTTGCCCCTCCCCAGTCGGTTGCCATGTTTGTCAAACCCAAGGCCTGGCATGAAGATGAGATCAAGTCCCCCTGCGGAAAAGAGGAACAAATTTAAGAGGATTAATTGTTTCTGAAAGATCATTTCAGGATGTGTTTTTTGTTTTGTAATGACATCAATTCTTTCTCTGATTTCTAAAAACAATGTGTGACCATTAATATCCAAAAAGCACAGAGTTGGACAAAAAAGGAAATAAAACGTACTCAGCAACTTAGTTAAGTCTCTTATTCATCCTCAACAGATCTTTTACATATATCTGTACAAAAGTGCCAGATTCCCAGGCCTCATTCATAACTAGTTAAATACAGAGAATCTCCAGAGATAGGGCCCTCTTTTTTCTAGCATCCTGGTGATTCTCCATACCTGTCAGGTTTGGAAATCAATACCCCAGGATAATGACAGTTGGAGGGCGGGAAACAGTCAAGGAGGAGCCATAAAGGACAAAGCTGTTTCTCAGGGTCAGTGAGCAGAAAGAGAGTCCACTGTCAGGCATACCAAGCAGTTCAGACAGCCTACTCCCTCCTCATTTCCCCTCCCATTGGAGAGGCAAGGCCAGGCTGCCGGGCTTCCCCAGACTCGTGTGAGAGCAGGCTTTGACCTACTCAAGGAAAGGTACAAGATGGGGACCCACAACTAGTTCTCTGGCTACAACCCTCTCAAGTAACACGAAGACCAGAACTGGCTATGACATTATCAGGACAGAATGCTGGAGCTCAGGGTGGGAGGCAGGGTCCTGGAGGCTATAAAAACCCAACTGCAGTAAGGGTGTGTGGGGATTCCCATGAAGATGGCAATGAAGGTCACTAGGTGAAGAACCTCCATGAGGGAATGGTACTCCAGCCTCTGGCAAGAAACATGGGGTACCAGTGTCAGCATAAGAGCCACATTACATGTCAAACCCAGTAGTCTGCCCTGTAGCCTCCTTATACTGAGTCTTGGCCTCCTGACAGCTGTCCTGGGGGTTTCTGGGTGACCTATAGCTTAGTTGTGGAATAACCATTCATATAGCATTTGCTGGCAAGATATACCAGGGTTGGAAGCCATGAATTCTCCAGAACAGCATGTTCAGAGTAGAGAGGATCAGACTGCCAACATGGCTAGCCCCCACTATCAGCAGATATTCTGACTACCTGCAGAACTGTGAGGTGAACTCAGCTTCTCTCTAGCTCCCAGCATACACCTGGTCACCCCTGCCTGCCAAAATCCAGCAAAGCATGCCTCAGATTACAGTAATGACCTTCCCCTGTAAACCTCCTTGTCTATTCCAATCCCAACTTTCTAAAAAGGTCCTGGTCACTGACCTCTGTCTTTCCTCCCTGTTCCTGTCCAGCTCATTTGTCCCTCTTGGGATTGACAGTGGACTGTGAATTTGGACTTTACTCCCTCGTGTCCTCTTTCTGTTGCCAGAGCACCATCAGGCTTGAAGTTCAGTTCTGTCTTCTATACCTAGAACACACAATGCGCAAACCTTTCTAAGGATTCCTGCCTCTTTACAGTATGGCAAGGTGCTCTGTAAGGTCCTCTGGAGGACACACAGTCTCTTCCCTTCATGAAATGGCAGTTCAGTTAGTACAAAATATAACCGCATGTAATTTCCATTCCAATGCACGGCAGCAGTCTCTGCCAAATGCCCCAAAAGCAACAGGGACAAATACTAGAGACCCCAGCAGGGGGAGAGCAAACGCTGGGTGGTCAGGGAAGAATTCATGGAAAACTCAACTTGACCTGGATTTTTAAGATGTGTCAGAGTTGGGTCTAAGTATCTTTCAGAAACCAAAAGAAAGGTGGCAAGAGCTGAGTGAGGGAGTAGGGAGTGGGGAGCAGTTTACTCGCTTGGACAGAAGGATCAACCTGAGGAGTAGCAGAAGACATGAGTGTAGAGTTCACCAGGTACAGGCATGGAGATTTGGGGTCAAAGGCACAGAGACCCCCTAGAACACAACAGCAAAAAACCAAATAACCCAATTAAAAACTGGGCAAAAGACTTAAACAGGATGGGCACGGTGGCTCATGCTTGCAATCCCAGCACTTTGGGAGGCAGAGGCGGGCGGATCATGAGGTCAGAAGACAGAGATCATCCTGGCTAACATGGTGAAATCCCGTCTCTACTAAAAATACAAAATATTAGCCAGGCATGGTGGAGGGCGCCTGTAGTCCCAGCTACTCGGGAGGCTGAGACAGGAGAATGGTGTGAACCCGGGAGGTGGAGCTATTGCGCCACTGCACTCCAGCCTGGGCGACAGAGTGAGACTCCGTCTCAAAAAAAAAAAAAAAAAAAAAGACTTAAACAGACATTTGTCCAAAGAAGACATACAAATGGCCAACAGGCATATGAAAATATACTCAACATCACTGATCATCAGGGAAATACAAATCAAAACTTCAATGAAATACCACCCCACATTCATGAGGATGTCCAATATCCAAAAAATAGAAAACCACAAATGTTGGCAAGGATGTGGAGAAATCAGAACCCTTGTACACTGCTGGTGGGGGTGTAAAATAATGCAGCCATTAAAGAAAAGAGTATATGGGTTCCTCAACAAATTAAAAGTAGAACTACCATATGGCCCAGCAATCCCACTTCTGGGTATTTATCCAAAAGGATTGAAGTCAGGGTCTTAAAGAGATATTTGCACTCCCACGTTCATTGCACCATTATTCCCAAGTGCCAAGATATGGAAACAAGTATGCATCGATGGATGAACGAACAAACCAAATGTGGTACATACATTCAATGAATATTATTCAGCCATATCAAAGAAGGAAATTCTGCAATATGCAACCCATGGATAAGCCTGGAAGATATTATGCCAAGTGAAATAAGTCAGCCACAAAAAGACAAATACTTTATGATGCCACTTACATGTGGTATCTAGAGTAGTCAAAATCTTAGGAACAGAATGTAGAATGATGGTTACCAGGCGCAGGAGAAAGGGGGAGACAGAGAGTTGCCATTCAATGGATACAGAGTTTCATTCATGGAAGATGAAAAAGTTCTAGAGATCTGCTGTACAACTGTGCTTACAGTTAACAATACTTTCCCAGACACTTACAACTTTTAGGAGGGTAGATCTCACATTATATGTTATTTACCACAATAAAAAATTTAAAAAAGCAAAGAGACCAAAAGAGAAGCCAAGAGAATAGTCAGGATTCCCACCAGATACAATACACAAGAAAGAAAAGGCAGAAGTTTGGAACATCCACATTTAGGTAGTTGGAGGAAAAGAATGAAGAAATGAAACAGAGATAAGAAAACAACGTTCTCAAATCCCTTGAGCGAGAGTTAATCTACTCCCTCTTTTCTTGTTACTCCCTGTACTTTGATCACAGCTCTCACTGAAGTCTACCTTGTACCACAGTTGATGGTACACGTCTCTGTCTCCCTCACTGGACAGAAAATTTCTTTGAGGGCCATAATTTTTCCAATTCCTCTTTCATCCTTGGATTTTAATAGAATTTTAGGCCAAAGAAACCCTGAAAAATGAATATTTTGCCTGCAGAATGGATCAATCCTAGCATGACATCCTCTATTTTAATAATTCCGAAGTACATAAATTTGGCTCAAAGAGGCAAAAAAATAAAATAAAATAATAAAAATATAACTTTGTATGGCTGCTTTTTCAAAATGAGTTTTACACTTGAGAAGCAAGACGAGAATGGTTTTGGATTCCCAGGTAACTAAGGCTCGGAAACAGCCCTTCCTAGGTGGAGGTCCTTACATCGTACATGCGGTGTTGTTGTTGTAGCCCTGCCCACAGAACTGTTCCTGCTGCTCCCTTCAACCACGGGGATCACAGGTTGCTCCTGGCCTCAGGTCCTTAAGATATACTTCCTAGTCTTCTCCCACTTCTGCTACTTGTTAAATCCAAGTGTTTTCCCTGAAACACATCATGTATTCTTTGCTTGACTTTATTTGTTGTCATCCTTGAAGCTCTTCCTGTGCCTTACCACCATCCCCACATGCATCACCCACCCCACACACACCCCTGGGGCTCCTCACACTTTGGGAACACTATGCTGGATGTTTTTCCTCCTCAAAGGTGACAGCTCAGTGGGGCTTAAAAATCATGCAGAGGCTCAACAAGCTTCCCTCACACACACTGGTCCCACTAATAGAGGTAGACACCAGAGACACCTTCACACACCACAAGGTCAGAATTCAATAGGGGAGACAGAAGAAAAACCTTAGTCCGTGCACAGTTCTGCATATGCCTCTGGCATTGCTCTGTTTTCAAATCGCCAAAGACTCATTAATAGCGTCCACTGACAGTGCAATGTGCAAGAGCCAACCTGCTCTGATTTTAATCCTGTGTGCACTTGCTTCACATTCTGTGTTAGTGGGCACAGAGCTCTCTAGATGTCATAAGATTGTTCTGCAGAGTCATGGTTTGTTGAGTGTTTTTCTCCAGGCTTCGCTACCTTTCCAATGTGATCTTGCATTCCAAAACTACAAAGCTAACCTTTGGAAAACTCACCCAACCCCACATACTGCATTTATTTGCTCAAAAACATCTTCCGTCTTTTCATTTGGTGCTGGCTCTGAAACAGCAGTGCCCTCTGGAGGCAGTCTGATGTGGTGATTAGGGGCATGGGCCCTCAGGCTATTTCTTAGCTGTGTGATCATAGGAAAGCTACTGCAATCTCTGTGCTTCCATTTGTTTTCTCATCCGTAAAATGGAGCTGGTCATGAAAACTGTATTAGATAATGCAACATATCTGTTCACAACAATTGTATTTATTAGGATACCTTTCTATTTTTTTAAAAAGAAATCTCAGGCACTATTTCTTGAACCAGGTAGCAGGGAAAGGGGTATAGTTTCTCCAATATTTCAAGTATTTTTTGACCAGAGCTTTTACAATCTTACCTTAGAACTGGCTCTTACATGTTCTCTCAGCAAAGGGGTTCAGCAGAGCCAAAAAAAGAGGAAGAAAACCAGGGGAGAATGAGGTTATAGAATGCAGATTAGCACATTTTTCCTACAAAAGACCAGAGAGTAAATAATTTAGGCTTTGCAGGCCTTAGGGTCTCTGTTAGAACATAACTCTGCTGTGTAGTATGAAAGCAGCCAAAGACAAATGTAAATGAATGAGTGTGGCTGTGTCCTGATAACATGTTATTTACAAAAACAGGTGGAGGGCCAGATTTGGCCTGTGGGGCTGCAATGTGATAACCCCCATCATAGAACATAAGGAAAGAGAGTTTCAGGGAGAGAGAAGTAGACGCAGTGTCAAATGTGGCAGAATGGACAAGTAAGGTAAGGACACAAAAATATCTATTAGATTTGGCAACTAGGGAATCACCGGGGCAAGGATAATATAAGTGGAGAGATGGGGACAGATGCTGAGCTGCAGAATCTTCGTTGACCAGGAAAAAAGCCTAGGTAGTAGGCCTCGAAAAAAAATGAAGAAGTAAGATTCTATAAATGCCTCTACTTCCTGAGACAGAAGTATTAGGCTCTGAGGATTCAGTTCACCGTACAAAACATTCTTATTAATTCTGGCAGCGAGGTAGCCTGGGCCCCTGACACCTCCTAAGATGTCCTGAACTCAGACTCCCTGTCCTGAGCTTTTCAGAATATAATCAGTTCAGCTAGTGGACTGTCTTTACTGTAATACTGAAAAGAAGGCTGAAAATAAGTGTTAGAGCCCAAGAGGTATGTGGGCACCTTCCTATCTGCACACCTTTGCTCCTGCGACATTGTTTTTCATTCCTGTAAGGGTTTTCTACTCTTTTTGTTAACTTATTTATCATAACAATCATAATATCACAAATCTTAAACTTCCATTGAGTCCTCCCAGTCCATGCAGTTTGGTGTGACCAGCTCTTATCCTATACTGTAAGAATGCCTGTGGTCCATTAAGTAGTAGGAATCCTTCTCCCTTCCTTCTAGGAACAGAGCTTTTGTCTTTCCCCAGAGAATTTGAGCTCAGTTCTGTTTACCGTGAAAAAAAGAATGACAGTGAAGGATATAAGGGATATAATGAGTAGTCCCCTTGCTGTATTTATTTTAGCTTCCTGACTATATCCAAGGAGTGACTTGTTCAGATTATCCTGTGAGATACCTAACTCTTAACCAAAGTCCTGCTTCTAGAAGAGAAGGAGAGCACAGAAACTAACATTTGTAAAGCGCCTACGATGTGTCAGCCAAGATGCCATATCCTGGAAAGAGAAGGATGAATAAAACCAGCTGGTCAGTACATCTACCTAGGGAGGCAGGAGGGTGGGAACTATTATCCCCATTTCACAAAAGAATAAACTGATGCTCAGAGAGGTCAAATTACTCCCTAAAGTCATTCAACTCATAAGAGACTCAGCTCATAAGAGGTGAAGCTGAGGGCTTGCTGTTCCAGATGGATAATATACATGGTTCCTATTACCAAAAGATACAAATGAGATTAAGTAAAGGTATGGAGGAAACACAACAAGGCCAAGCATCTTAGAGGTAGTACAGGAGAGGGGTTAAGTGTGTAGGATTCTAGACAGGCTGCCTGGGTCTGAATCCAGCACTACCACTTATTAGCTATGAAACATCATCAAAATTACCTTCACCTAAAATCTAGAATGGATAAGCATATTATGATGTAAAGAGTCTCTAAGCTATTAATACCAAATGTCAACTTAATCAACTGCTGCATGCCTACTCCTCAGGCCACGTGGCTGATTACAGAGAGACACAGGTACTTCCATCAAACATGCTTCTAAAACATGAAGAAGCTGAAATCCTAAAATAAAATACAGAACCAATAATTCATGATAGCTCTTGAGGCAGAACTGTCAAAAATCAATACCATATGTTTTGAACTCATTATGATTGCCTTAGAAAGAACAGACTGAAGCACAACCTCCTTGAATCACTCTTCATATAAAACAGTACAGCACATACAAGGCAATAAACAAAACCATTTACATGACTGCAGTAATAAAATATATTCAACTTCTGATTATATACAAAAATTGGGTTTTTAAAAAACATGGTTCCCTGCAAATCTATAACATACTTAAGGAGGAGTTAACTGAGCCACCTATTATTATAGACTGTTAATTTTTAAAAATTACATTGTAAACATACCTTCACTCTTTCTGCTATGAATGGTCACAACCTATTTTGGCCATCTGGGAATATTCACACTGAATCAAACACACCGTAGTGAGAATCATCTATTAAAGACATGACCACCATAATTGATCACTTCTGCATTCTTACTATAAAATTCTTTCTTTTAACACAGATACTAACATTTGCACCAGAATACAGCGACCATATTTGTCACAAAAGCATTAGAAATAAGTACCAACACCATGTAAGGTGGCCCTTCTCCTAGTATCCCTGGATGACACGGGTCATTCTGCTAATCAGTTACTGAGGTATTCAGAATATAAGACAATCTGTGTGCATCTTATATTTAAAACCCAAGTGTATTATGGGTTCAAGGCTTTCACTCAATCTTATGAACACTATGTGTTTAAATGAAGGAAGCAGGAGGTGACAGGAATTTAGACTCTTCTAAGTAAAGCTGAAAAAGCTAATAAGAAATGTGGATAATATTTAGTGACTTGGCTGCTGAAGATCTCACAGCAGCACTTTCCTCCTACCTAATCCAAAGAGCCTAGAAAAATATCAAGGACAAGAGGCCAGGAGTCAAGATAAAATGGGTTATAGAAACCAATCCTTCTACCCATAATACAGGTTCACCCCTATAAGGATATCTCAGGAAGGATACGAAAGAAGAGTGGCTACCTCTGAAACAAAGTATTAAAGAACAGGAGACTTGGATGAGAAGACTATTTTACACTTTCATAGTACTCTTCTATATGGTTTACATTTTTATCATGTGCATATGGAACCAAATTTTAAAAAATATCATCCTTATATTTTTTAAACACAAACATCAAGGACAAGAGCCTTGGAGGCAGTCCTGCACAGCAGTTATCTGTGCAGGCTTTTACAGAGACTGCCCAGGTTTGAATCCCATAACAACCATTACTAGCTAAGAAACATTAGTAAAGTTACTGAAATTCTCTTTGAAACCCAATTTCTTCTTCAGATAAAAATAATGCTATTTTAGAGGGACTAAATAAAGGAGATAAAACTCTAGTAAGTGTTCAATAAATTCTAGCTGTATTATACTTGGGGATATGAATAATGCCTATCCTCCTTCTGTTGACTCTGAAAGTTATTTCTTGAGTCATAATACTAACACTACAAGAGCTATCATGCAGATTTCCTATCAGCCCAAACCATGTGCAAGGGTGGGCCTAGCTCTCTACTGCCACCTCCTGTCAGCTAGAAACATGCAGAGCGGTCCGTAAGAAACTGCTCAAGCCTTAGGCAGAGCAGGAGCCGTGATGGCTCACTGAAATACAGTCTCCGAAACACGTGTGATAGGAAAGCATTCCTCTGTTAGAAATAGCCTTTCTCTTTAAAAGGCTCCTTTGAGGTGTATCTGTTTACAAACCAAGAAAAATGAAGTTGCTCTTTTATAATTTCTTTCAGCACATTCAGCTGTGTGCTAGACACTGTGCTAAGCTCTTTGCAAACATGACTTAATTTAATCTTCCCAACAAGATGATGTAATTTGCCCAAAGTCATACAGCTAGGAAATGCAGGCCTGGGAATGTGAATGGTAGTGTAGCTCTAGTGAAGTGTGGAAGCTCTTTGTTCTTTCCCTACGAAATTAAAGCAGACAGGGAGAGCGCTGCTTATTTGCCTTGGTGGTGGAATCAGTCAAACTGGATGCAGCGTCTGTACCAGTCAGGTCAGGGCCATGGTGAGGGACAGAAGGCACACTCAAACTAGGGAAACTAGAAAAGATTAATAAAGAGATGGAGATGCTTAGAGAAAGCAAGAGAGATGGTACAGTCCCTGGGGTAGCTGACTGTACCAACAACTTGGCCTGAAGGTGCAAGGGGAAGGGCTGGGGAGGGCATGGTTATAAGAACCCGCATAGCTGCGATGAGAAGGCTGCCTGACTGGAGTGTGGATGTGCACTGGGGGCGAGGGGTAACACCCTGCAGCCTCTGGTCTTCATTGCTGCCTGCTGATGTAGTCCACAGAGGCTGGTCTTCCTTGCCACTAAGCAAGTAGAAAAGATAGACAGTGGATCTAGAGGTGGCCAACCAAAATCACCTAGCAAAAGACCAAAATATGGTTATTATCAGTGGTTACTCCTGGCTTGGAGATTTGGGCTTATTTTTAATTTATTCTTTATGTCTTATCTTTATAAGAACAAAGCTATTTTCCTTTAGAAAAAAATATTTTTAACAATATGCAGAAAAATTTCCAGTCTTCTTTTTGAAGAGGTACTTCAAACATGCTATTTTCTTAAGTATGTTTTTTATATCTTAAGCCTACTACGTTGTCTAGAAAATAACTCTAAAATCATGTCAACAGATAATAGTAATTTGATTTACATTATTTTCTTAATCAACATCATCATCACCATCACCATAAACAACTACAATTGTATATGAAAGAAGCAAGCTAGGTTGCTGCAGACTGAAAAGTGGGAATGGTGTCCCAATACTTTACCACTGGGGTTTGCAAACTATAGCCTGCAAGTCAAATCTGGTCCACTGTATGATTTTGTACATAAAGTTTCAATAGGACACAGCCATGCTCTGTCTTCACACTAAAACAGCAGAATTGAATCACTGCAACAGACACTGTATGGACTACAAAGCCCCAGATATTTACTATCTGGCCCTCTGCAGAAAAAGCACCCTGCCAATCCCTACTTTACAGCTTCTGCCATAAGGTTTTTAACAAAAAAAAATCTATACATCAGCTTATCCTATCTTAGCAGATACTGACAAAAATAAAACTTACTGGAAAAAAATATAATTTAAACTCTCTTTACTGCAGATATGTAAAAATGCTCTGCAGAAAATAGGATCCACATCAGCAGTAGCTTAATATAAATGGCATTTCTAAATATTATATTTATTTGGCATCTGAGTTGTTGATAATCAGATGGACCTAAAAATGAAACAGAGAAGACATTAGAACTTCCTATTATTTTTCACTAACTGTAGGCAACCTCTGCTTGTCTGATTTTACTCATCTGTAAAATGGGTGGATGGAACTTTTCAATAACTTTTTTATTAACTTTCATTTTAGGTTCAGGGGTACATGTGCAGGTTTGTTATACAAGTAAACTCATGTCACAGGGGTTTGGTGTACAGATTATTTCATCACCCAGGTACTAAGTATAGTACCCAATAGGTACTTTTTCTGATCCTTTCCCTTCTCCCACTCCCCATCCTCAAGGAGGCCTCAGTGTCTGCTGTTCCCCTCTTTCTTCCATGTGTTCTCATCATTTAGCTCCCACTTATAAGTGAGAACACGCAGTATTTGGTTTTCTGTTCTTCTGTTGGTTTGCTTAGGATAATACCCTCCAGCTCCAACCATGTTGCCGCAAAGGACATGATCTCACTCTTTTTTATAACTGCATAATATTCTATAGTATATATGTACCATATTTTCTTTATTCAGTCCACTATTGATGGGCATTTAGGCTGATTCCATGTCTTTGCTATTATGAATAGTCCTGCAATGAACATATGTGAGTATGTGTCTTTATGGTTGAACGATTTATATTCCTTTGAGTATAGACTCAATACTGGGATTGCTGGGTCGAATGGTAATTCTGTCTTTAGTTCTTTGTGGGATCATCACGTTGCTTCCCACAATGGCTGAACTAATTTACACTTCCACCAGCAATGCATAAGCGTTCCCTTTTCTCCACAATCTCACCAGCATTTGTTATTTTTTGACTTTTTACCAATAGCCATTCTGACTGGTATGAGATGGTAGCTCACTGTGGTTTTGACTTGTATTTCTCTTATGATGAAAAAATTTCAGCATTTTTTCATATGCTTCTTGGCCATGTATATGTCTTCTTTCGAAAAGTATCTGCACATGTCTTTGCCTACTTTTTTAATGTGTTTGTTTTCTTCTTGTAAATTTAAGTTATTTATAGATTCAATATCTCAGATCTCTTTAGAATCAAAGCTTAGTGACTCTGAGAATTTAAGGACAATACCTTGTTTATCTGTGTGATTCAATCAAGAAATAAATTAAGTCAGTCACACACACAAAAAAACAAACATTATATGATCCTAATTAAATGAAGTCTTGAAAGCAGTCAAACCCATAGAATCAGAAAGTAGAATGGTGGTTACCAGAGGCTGAAGAAAGGGGGGAAAGAAGAACTGTTTAATGGGTATAGATTTTCAGATATGCAATATGAAAAATTCTGGAGATCTGTTGCACAGCAATGTGAATATACTTAACACTCCTGAACTGTACCTTTAAAATGGTTAAGATGGTAAATTTTGTTATGTGTTTCCTTACCACAACAAAAAAAGAAAGAAAGAAAGAAAGAAATTAGGCATTTAGGGAAGAGTCTAGAGGGCAGTCCATCCTATGCTCACATTCATGTGAGGGTGTACTCAAGAAAAAAAAGTCTAGCTTACTCTTAAAAGCAGTGAAGAACAATTTCTTCAGATACAGAAATACAACGGTGTTTTGGAGCTATTTCTATTTTTCTCAGTTTTTAGAAGATGAGCTCGCAAAGTCACTTTTTTTTTTTTTTTGAGACAGAGTTTCGCTCTTGTTGCCCAGGCTGGAGTACAGTAGCACGATCTCGGCTCACTGCAACCTCCGCCTCCCGGGTTCAAGCCATTCTCCTGCCTCAGCCTCCCAAGTAGCTGGGATTACAGGCATGCACCACCACGCCCAGCTAATTTTTATATTTTTTTAGTAGAGATGGGGTTTCATCATGTTGGCCAGGCTGGTCTCGAACTCCTGATCCTCAGGTGATCCACTCACCTCGGCCTCCCAAAGTGCTGCGATTACAGGCATGAGCCACCGTGCCTGGCCCACTATTCTTAATTAATTATTGCACAGTATGATTTCCAAGCCTTAAGAGTTTAGTAAAATGGAAACTTCTTCCTGTCTTTCACCATTTTTTTACTGAACTGTTAAATGAGCACTTGAAAGTCCTGCAACCTCTCTGGTTCAGTATATTTAACTAAAATAAAATTACACAGTACATTATATTTCTTCAGCTTGCTCTCTTCTTGCATGCCTAAGAGGACTCATAGCCCAGCTAATATGAGCCTTGTGCCATCTAGAACAAATTCTATTACAGCAAGTCTATGATAAAGTAACCTATTACTTTGAAATAATAGTACATGGATTTTATATAATGTGCTTTTCCAGTTAGTTCCAAGTGCCTTTTCACTGCAACTAGCCTTGTTATCTGCTTCAATAAGTCCTCTTCTGGTGGGGGAGAAACTTGCTCTTAAAACCCAAAATCCGGCTGGGCACAGTGGCTCACGCCTGTAATCCCAGCACTTTGGGAGGCCAAGACAGATCACGAGGTCAGGAGTTCGAGACCAGTCTGACCAACACGGTGAAACCCCCGTCTCTACTAAAAATACAAAAATTAGCTGGGCATGGTGGCGCGTGCCTGTAATCCCAGTTACTCAAGAGGCTGAGACAGGAGAATTGCTTGAACCCAGGAGGCAGAGGTTGCAGTGGGCCAAGATTGCGCCACTGCACTCCAGCCTGGGTGACAGAGCGAGACTCCATCTCAAAAAAAAAAAAAAAAAAAACATAATCCTCTCTAAAACCTTCTAAAACAGCTTTACAGGAAAAGAGCAGAAAAAAGTTTGAATCAAAATTTAATGGATTCAAATCAATAGTCATTACTAATGACTCACTTTATGGAAGGCCCTGCCCAAGGAACTACAGATAACACAGAGATAAGTTACTATTCATGCCCTCTAGGACCTAACAACCTGGTCAGCTAAAAATGCATCTAATCAGTTGTCTGTAAAGAGATTATTAAATAATAGTAATAAGGGGTAGAATAATGTAAGTTCCAAGGTAATAGGTACAAAGGAAGGAAGTTGTATTCCCTTGAGAAGGGAGTTAAACACAGGAAAACCTCACTAGGGAGGTGGCCTATTGTATCAACCACGAAAGGATGAGTCTTTCAGAAAGGAAAAGTCTTTTGGAAACAAGAACACCTGGGTTTTAGCCCTCCTCTGTTTGTGTGACTTCGGACAAGTCATTTCCCACCTAGGCCTGTTCTCTTATCTACAAAATGAAAAACTGACTTAGATGATCTTCAAATCCCTTCCAATTCAGATAATCCCCTATGTGCCAATTAAATAACTAAAGGATACAGAAATTGGGAGACTGAAGACAAATCTGTCTCTGTGGACTAACAATAAATTTGTAAAACACTGACATCTGCTGGAAATTAAGAAAACTATTCAATCCATCTCATAAATAGCCTTTAAAAACCTAGTCTTGAATACTTTGTTTTGAAAACATGTTATCAAAGATGCAAGTTTCTTATGAAATTATATCTTCTAATATTTTATTTTATCAAACTTAAGAAAATTGTGAAGAAAATAACTTTAAAATTACTTCAGAAACGTCTGTTTCCATTTGGAAATTTGGGCCTATGCTCCTACGCTTTCCTATATGACAAAAATAACCAGCTTAACAACACAATGGACAAATTTCTATTTGTAAGAACAACAAATATAAACTGATCCGGAATACACTTAACAATATACTTAACAGGACCAGTGCAGTAACAACATGACTAGAAGCAAAAGCATTTACAAAGGAACACAGCAAAGTCCTGGAATAAATGGGGAGGCACACCATATTCCTGAAGAAGACTGAATATTGCACAGAAATCCATTTCCCCCAAATTAATCTACAAATTCAACACAATTCCAATCAAGCTCTCAAGGGGATTTTGGAAAAGAAACTAACAAAATTCTTTTACAGTTAATCTTAAAAAATAAATTTAGAATAGTCAGCTAAATTTTTCAAAGTAGAATAATGGGGCAGGACTCATCCCACCAGGTATTAAAATCCATTGAACAGCCATTATACATCTATATTCATCAAAATACTATGGCACTAGTGCCAAAATAGGCAGATTCCACAGATAGTTTGGAAAAGACAAAAACATCCAGATACACACCCAAACATATATAAGAATTTTGTTCATGAAAAGGTAGGGAAAGGGTAGATTACTCATTAAATGTGTTCGGACACCTGGCTAACATTTCTTTATAAAACATATTCTCAGCCAGGGGCAATGGCTCATGCCTGTAACCCCAGCACTTTGGGAGGCCGAGGCGGGCAGATCACCTGAGGTCAGAAGTTCGAGACCAGCTTGGCCAACATGGTGAAGGCCCGTCTCTTCTAAAAATACAAAAATTAGCCAGGCATAATGGCGGGAGCCTGTAATCCCAGCTACTCGGGAGATTGAGGCAGAAGAATTGCTTGAACCCAGGAGGCAGAGGTTGCAGTGAGCCAAGATTGTGCCACTGCACTCCAGGCTGGAAGACAGAGAGAGAATACATGTCAAAAAAAAAAAAAAAAAAAAACCCTTATTTTCTCTCCCTGTATACATAGGGATTCAAATAAAAATTCAAAAAGGATTAAGACTTTAATATTTAAAAACACAAAATACTAAGATAAAATGATGATGATTTATATAAACTCAAGTGAAGTAAGAACTCCTAAAAATAAAGCCAAAGGCAAAAATCCTAAAAGAAAACATTAATAAACTTTACTAATAACATTTTAAAACATCTGTATCCTCGCCCTCAAAATACAAAAAGTTAAGAAAAAGGTTTAAAAATGAATACAAATTGGCCAGGCGTGGTGGCTCACGCCTGTAATCCTAGCACTTTGGGAGGCCGAGGTGGGCAAATCACGAGGTCAGGAGATGGAGACCATCCTGGCTAACATGGTGAAACCCTGCCTCTACCAAAAATACAAAAAATTAGCCGGGTGTGGTGTCGGGTGCCTGTTGTCTCAGCTACTCGGGAGGCTGAGGCAGGAGAATGGCGTGAACCCAGGAGGCAGAGCTTGCAGTGAACAGAGATCGCACCACTGCACTCCAGCCTGGGCAACAGAGCGAGACTCCATCTCAAAAAAAAAAAAATGGATACAAATTATTTGCAGCATACATGACAGACTAATGGTTAATCTTTTAATATATAAAGAATTGTTACCAACCTGGAAAAAAATAAATGAATACCAAGAGAAAGATAAATTCCCGGAAAGAAATGGGGCAAAGAACAGCACTTTACAAAAGATGAATTAGAAAGGTTAAAAAACATTTTAGAAAGCTTAGTATATATTTTGAAATTTTCATAAGTAGTGTATTTTAACCATTATAACTTTTCAAAGAAGCAAGGAGAAATTAAAATTTAAGGATTTTTTTTTTGATTAGTACTTCAAAACAAAACCAGAAATACTGATAAGACAAAATTAAGTTACTTCCAAGGTTGAAAATTCACACAGATGCCCACAATGAATTTCTTCTGAGAATAACTTTTTCAATATATTAATGAGGTTTCCGGTTACAGTGTACTTTCTTGAGAGACTTATTAAAAGGGGTATGTTTCCTTCTGATACAACCTCATGGCAAACCACTATTCAAAGTTAAAGACTTAATTACAACTTCCCTTCTGAAGCCTTCTCATGCACTTTAGGCAAAGAGAAATCTCCATCTTGTGTTCCCAGAGCACTCTGGGCACATCCCAATGGGATCCTTAGCACCAGGACTGAAATCACTAGTTCATGTGGAATAGTCATCGTCGTCATCATCATCATCAAGCACTTATATGCACTGGCATTGTACTAAAAGCTTTATGTAAATTTCCTATTTAATCTTCAAAACAATCTAGTGAAGCAGATATTATTACCCTCATTTTCAAATGATCAGAGGCTTAGGTGAAGGGGTTTACTCATGTCCACTCAGCTAGTATGCAGCAGTCAGTAACTAGACTCAACTCCACCTAAGACCAAAACCTTGATCCTAACCACTCCTTATCCATCGTCCCCCTCCATACACCTGTCTTCCCCAACAAAATGTGAACTCCTATGGCCAGACACCACTGCCCCTTATTTATCTTTTTGTTTCCAGGGCATCACATGGAGGCTACCACACAACTGGTAGTCATTAATGCACGTTCATTTGTTATTTCGGCCATTCACTCACTCAGGGAGAGGTCAACATACTCTCATGTGTTGGTGATGAGTACGTAAAGTGGCATAACCTTTTTTAGTAAGCAATACAGAAACACCTATAAAAATTTAGAATTCATAGCCATTTCATGGATAGATGTTGATCCCATGGACTTACTTGCATAACTATGCAGAAAAATATCTATCAGGATGTTCTTTTTTATTTTTATTTGTAATACCTAAAAAACAGAAGCAACCCAAATAGCTATCAACAGAAGACTGGTTAAATAACTTAGAGCACATCAATGCTATGTAACCACTTAAAACACTATGCTAAATCTATATGTGTTGCTATGAAAAGAGTTCTATGGTTTATCAACAAGTGAAAAAGTAGGATGCAAAACAAAATGTGAACTCCGATCCTATCTGTATAAATTTTTTAAAAGGATACAAATATATATATCTAGAAGGATACACAAGTATGTTAACAGTGGTCACATCTGGGGAACAGGCTGGGAAGAAGAGGGGTGGGACTTTTTCTTTCATACCCTTCTAAACCATTTAAATTATTTACCATGTGATTAGTTAGATGGCATGTAATTACTTTTATGAATGAATGAATTGTTGCTCTACTGTTTGGCTTTTTTTTTTCCTTTTTGTTGTTTCTAACACCAACATAGACTAAGATGAAGTACAGTTAACTTGGGTTGGCCAAGACGGCTAACTGAATCAATCCTCTCATATCCCTGTTTTTCATTCAAAGACTATGTCCTTATCTCAAATATTTGGCAGCTTGCACATAAATATGCCTCCTTCCCACCCCCAAAAAACTAACTAACACACCCTATAAGTAACATCAACCTTTCCCTCAAATTTTATTTGTTAAACCTTCAAAGGGTACATGAGAGAGGCAAGTCTTACCTGGGGTCAGCCAATTAAATCTGCTTTTTATCTACGGTTTATCACTAACTGAACATACAGCTCAAAGTACAAAGTTAATTACTACTTTTGCAAGGAGAAACTGAAAATGCTGATGGGTGAGCAGCAGGACAATTCTTGTATTTCTAATGTCTTACTCTCATTGATCATATCAGCCCTCACAGAAGACTATCTTGCCTAAAGTTACCATTCCTCATTCCAGCATCCCTTTATCATTTTATCCTGTCCTTTCTACAGCAAAAAGAGGTATTAAAAAAACTATCTTTACCTGCAGTCTCTTAATTCTAGCAAATTAATATCCATTTCTATATATATGAAGATTCTGCTGTTTTCTCCTTTTAGCTAACCCCTTCCAAATTTATATTTATAGTTTCTCTCTACTTTTATAAATTATACTAGGCTACAAAATAGTTTCAAAAACATTTCACCTAGAAAACCTCATCTAGAAAGGCAAATTGATCTTGGTCCATCTACATTTGCCATGGCCTCATCACCTAGCCACTAAGATCCCTGTTTGTAATATCAGGGCACACCCCAAGACCATACTCTGGCAAGTCCTGAATCAATATCTCCTATGTCCTGACCTCCAGAGCTATATATCCAACTAGCCATCTACCAGCATTTCTGGGAGGTCCTGGAGCCACCTCAAACGGGATTCACTATGTGTCCCCCAACCCCCTACATCTCCTCTCTCTTCTGCATTCTTTGCCTAGGTTAAGAGCATGACATGCAGATGGCAAAGCCAGACTGTCCCTCAACAGCCTCAAGTGGCCTGGAGACTCTACATGCTGCATATGTCAGAACTTGTTCTATCCTCTCCATTTCTAAAAGTGGTCATCATTTCTCATCCATTCGAATCCATCAGATTCCCAAGGGATGGTCCACTCCCAGTTTCTTTGGCTGTCCCTTGGGACAGCCTGTCCTCCTTATTTCTGGCAGAACAACCTTTCCCAAACATAGAACTAGTCATGTTACTCCTATGATTAAAGTCTTTCAATAACTAACTCCCAGCACCTACAAAATAAAGTTCAAATCCCAGATGTGTGACATACAATACCCTTCACAACGTGGGCCTCCAGCCTCAGCTCAGGCCATGACACCAACTGAAATCACAACCTGCCTTGAGCTGAATGCAGCAGAGGCTGCTGGTTGCCCATCTGGACATCATTCTCTCTTTCTCCTTAGTAGCAGAAAACTTTACTCAGGAGGCCATGAATCCCACCGCAACACCACATTTCTCACCTTCCCTGGTAGTTATGTATGACCTTGTGCCTAAGTTCTGACAAATGGGACTTTCAAGGTGAAGGATGCTCTTTTTCTCCCAACACCCTCTCTTTCCTCCTGCTGACTACAATTCAGAGTTGATAGCCGAAGCTTGAGATACCAGGCAGGACCATATGGCATATGCGGCAGGATCTGTCCCTAATGACTGTGGGGCCTGTACAACAGCCACAGACTATAAATACAACTCCCAGACTTCTTTTCCAAGCATCTCACTGATATTTTGAAGTTTTCACTGATACTTTGGAGTTTTCTGCTACATGCAGCCGAATCTGATTCTAACTGATAACCTGAGCATGCCCTCCTTTTACTCGCCTCCACAGCACATGACGGCAGTAAGGAAAGGCACCGTGTGCCATCCCACAAACAGCATGCCTTCGGGGAAAGCAGACCTGGCAGGAAGACCTGGCTCTGCCTTTTGACTGTGGCATGCCCATAAATAATGCTCTGAGACTTACTTTCTGCAACTGTGAAAATGAGATAATAACATAGTCATGATGAGTAATAAGCTTACATATGTAAGAGCACTTAGCATAAGGCTTAGCACTTAGTAGACAAAGGGTAGCTACTAATAATTTACCCATGTCACTGTCTCTGTACAAAAAGTCCTTGGGGCCAGGTACGGTGGCTCACACCTGTAATCCCAGCACTCTGGGAGGCTGAGGTGGGCGAAATACCAGAGGTCAGGAATTTGAGACCAGCCTGGCCAACATGGTGAAACCCCATATCTACTAAAAATACAAAAATTAGCCAAGTGTGGTGGTACGCGCCCATAGTCCCAGCTACTCAGGAGGCTGAGGCAGGAGAATCGCTTGAACCCGGGAGGTGGAGGGTGCATTAAGCCTAGATTGCGCCACTGCACTCCAGCTTGGGCAACAAAGTGAGACTCCATCTCAACAAAAAAAAAAAAAAAAAAAAAAAAAAAAAAAAAGTCCTTGAGAGTAAATGTCCAGAAACTGAGCTTTCATAGACCTGTACACGCTTTCTGGTGCTTACTTCAATATAGTGTAAGAAACTTGACTCATAAGCAGGGTCCAGGCTTATGACAAGTTAGTACCCCCTTGCTTGGCACAGTGTCACACACAGTAGGACTCTCAGAATATTTGTTACACAAGTGAGTGAACAAATACAACACTTTAGAAAGGAAAAGAAAAAGGCAGAGTGGACATAATTGATCACTGGGCTCAGCTCCTGATTTTCATTTGCCTAATTCTGATTTCTTTTTGGCCTTAGGCAGATGGAATAGAGAATATTTTTATGGCTGGCATTTGCAGTTTTTTAAACAACAAAAACTGTTTTTTAAAAAGTCAAAAAGAAAAACACCCCAAAAAAATAAACGTTCACTCCAGGCAAACTTCCAAATATTGTGATGTGTTTTCTCTTTGTTTCAGGGGAGAGGTTCACAATGAAACAAAATATTACAGCAACCTTTTGCAGATTCAAAAGGTTAAATTCAAAATGTTATCAATAATGTAACTCCCACTGTTTTTACAAAGAAAACCTTGATCCATAAAGATACACAATTTCTATTACAAGAAAACGAAGTGGAAATGTACCTGAACTTGTAAAACTGTCATTATTTAAATATAAGTCTTAAAATTCAAGATAAAGACCTTAGCACAAATATTTGACTTTCTACTTTCATTTCCAGTGAAATGAACAAAGGAAAACAAACTTGGGAAAAATGTCTATTATGATTAGAAACCAGGAAAGAATGCCATATCTAAGTCGGAAACTTCGAGGTATTTCTGCAAGATATAATTTAGGAAAAAGGGAATTTGATAATGAAATACATGTTAAAGAAATGGCTGCCTTGGGAAGAGCCGGAAGGAAACCAGTGTGGAACTGCAGTCAAGCCCCCAGCCAGGAGGAGCAGGTATACGTATCGTAACGATGGGTCTCTGGGCAGCAAGTTGCTAAAAAGCAAATCTTGACCCTTCTTGGGCCTCAGACACCTAGTGCAAAGCTGATTTAACGAGGAAGACCACCTCAGCCCTCATCCCTGCTTACCCTCAGCAGTGTGCTAGGCAAAATGTGGGTATGGCCATGAATCCTAACAAAGGCTCCATGTTTGGATCTTCTGCCCCTGCAAATACTGGGCTATGCTGACAAAAACCAACCATGGAGAAAATAAATCCTTCATACAGTGGCAAAGCTCCCTCCGGCAGGTGCCTACAATAATCGCTTATTCCCTTCTCCCCTCAGTTTACTGCATCTTTCTCAAGCAAAACAAAATGTAGCAAATTTAAACTATTCCCTTCTTTCTTCATCTGGGCCTGAACACCAACCACACAATCTCTAACAGAGCCCATCAGAACTACCAATAGCAGGCAAACCTAAACCTCTTTAAGGTGAGGGAAGAGAGAAAACAGTCACTGCAGTTTGAAATTTTATAAGTTTTTTTTTTTTTTTAAGGAGGAGGAACAGGAGCAGCTTTTTGTTTTTTTTTGGTCTCTGTGACAGCGATGGTGGCATTCGAGAGGCTAATGGCTAAGAACAAATCCAGCAGCAGGAATATGTCCAGTTCTCATGAATAAAAGGATCTGTGTTTTTTCCCTCAGAGGACCTGATCATGGGTCCAGAAGATAACTATTTGAGTTCAACGGTTTCCTTCTTTCCTAAGTTTTCCCCTTGATTTTCTCTTATGTCTTCCAAATATTTACCTGTACATTATTTGGTGAAAACAGTTACCTGATGGAAGAGTTTGAATCTATACTTCCCAGAAGTAACCCAAAGGCATTTGAAAACAGCAGTGAGAAAGAGTGTCCTGGATAAAGCATAATGAAAAACATCTTGTTGAGAGTTAGGATCTGGGCACAACCCCCAAATAAAAAGGGAGCTGATGTGGATGCTTCTACAATACAGTAGGATGACAGCCAAGCAGACAGTAGGTGTGCAGGATCTCTTCAGCAGGCGAGACCCTGGGACTGCCTCCTATTCAGTGCACGTGCATACACAGAACACGAGGGCAAACACACGACCTTCCAAAACATTTTTTTCTTAAGAACTGCTAGTGATTGGCCAGGCACGGTGGCTCACACCTGTAATCCCAGCACTTTGGGAGGCCAAGGTGGGTGGATCACCTGAGGTCAGGAGTTCCAGACCAGACCGACCAACATGAAGAAACCCCACCTCTACCAAAAACACAAAAAAGTTAGCTGGGCATGGTGGTGGCAGGCACCTGTAGTCCCAGTTAGTTGGGAGGCTGAGACAGGAGAATCGCTTGAATCCGGGAGGCAGAGGCTGCAGTGAGCTGAGATCGTGCCATTGCACTCCAGCCTGGGCATGCCACTGCACTCCAGCCTGGACAGCAGAGTGAGACTCTGTCTCAAAAAGAAAAGAAAAAAAAAAAGTACTCTTTTAGTGCCAAAAAAGCAAATCTGCAAAACCACATACACCAACAATTTATCTTACTTCCCATTTTCCCCCATTCTCCAGCCTCCCCTAACTCACCACTCCTATGAACTATAGTTTCTACAGGATAAAAATAGCCTAATACATCTTTTAAACATTCCTATCCAAACTGGTTCAGGTATATTGTCAGAGCTATCATCACTATCTTTCTCAACTCAATGGGAACTTGAAAGTTAGCAAATTATATAAATGAAGAACAATTCTTGGTTGATTATCACCATCAATTAACTGTTGAGGTGATTTTAGAAAGCCAAACTCTCAGTGGAGTAAAATCAATATGCTCTTTCTAAGGAAATAAGATTACGTAGCAAAAAAAAAAAAAAGGGGGGGACATTGAAGTTTTCTTTAGGCCTCTGTATGTATATTACCATATGTCACATATGACAAATTTATCTCATTTTCACTCATTACTAAGTAGATATTTTTCTGTAATCCAGCTAAATCTTTATTCTCTTGTAGCTTGTTATAACTATCAAATTCTGAAATATTTCCAAACATTTTTAAACGTAGATAAATGAAAAAATAGAAAAAAATGTAATGATGGTCATAAAAAAAAAAAACCAACAGAAGTTTTCCAAACACATTTCTTAACAATGCCTTAGTCACCAGTAAATTACTAGAGCTAGTATATGTGGGACATAAATTTCTAATTAATGTACTAAGATAATGTTTTAGAGAAAGTTTCTATCAGGAATCTAAAAATGACAATTTTCTAAATATAAAGATGAAGAATCAGCACTAAAAATCTAAAGTTCTTTTTTAAATCTTCAACTTGGAAGAGTATCTCCAGTCAATACAGAGACCTACAATCTACTGGGATCATAGAAGAATGCACACTGTAGCTTTGAGTGGAGTGTGTGTGTGAGAGAGAGAGAGCACGAGCGAGAGAATGAGAGAGATCACACACGTGAGAGTGAGCCCAGCAATCCAACGTTGGTATAGACCATGCTAGCATTTTTTATTTTTTATTTTGAGCGAGGTCTGAATTTTCTCTAAATATTTTGCAGTCTGTAGCACAGTGCTAGGAGACAGTAAAAGTAACAGCCAAGGTGTTGCATGCAAAATCAAGTATCTAGCTTGTTTTAAGCAGACTAAACTTAAGTAGGAATTTCCAATGAATAAAGCAGATTAGGGAGAAGCACAAAATATGTAATAGCTTTTATTTTATATCACCTTTTTCTTTCCAATTTCAATGTAGCATTCAATATACAATAGTGAATTTTCTGCAACTTCGAATATAATTTCATGATGTTGAGAATGAGTCATTATTGAAAGAGCTCTGTATCAGGTTTCTGTGTGGAGCAGATTATTTCCTCATAGAAGATAATCTTCTTAGATTCAAAGAGAAATATAGCACGTACTATGAAGGGTTTGGGGAAAGGAGAGGTATTTCTTGGTGTGATGGTTAATTTTATGCATCAACTTAATTGGGCCAACAGGTGCCCAGACCAAATATTATTTCTATGTGTGTCTATGAGAGTGTTTTAGGATGAGATTAACAATTGAATGAGTGGACTCAGTAAAGTGGACAGCCCATCTCAATGCAGGTGGCCTGAATAGAATAAAAGGCAGAAGAAGGAATTTGTCCCTTCTTTCTTGCCTAACTGCATGAGCTAGGCCATCTCATCACATTTCCTGCACAAGGACTAGAATTTACACCATAGGCTCCCCTGGTTCTCAGTCCTTCGGACTTTGAGTAAACACCACTACCTTTCCTGGGTCTCTAGCTTACAGACAGCAGACTTTGAGACTTCTAGGCCTCCACAATCACATGAGCAAATTCATTATAATAAAGCTCCTAAAAGTATAGATATAGATGTAAATATAGATGTACACGCACACACACAAACATAAAACTTATTGGTTCTGAGAACTCTGACTATACACTAGGTGCATTTTTTTTTAATGTAAACCTTTTCATGAAAAATGAAAAAACGGTGAGTGTTGGTAGCTTATTTGATAATACATACAGTACTTTGGGGTACTGTGACTACATCAGGTCATAAGGAATAAAAGTAAGTATGTATTTATGCCACCAGCATTTAATAAAATATACAAAAGGAACGAAAGCAGACTCTTGGCAAATGAAGTATTTTTAGTCATTGTACTTACTTAAAGAGAAAACAACTCCACAAGTATCCTTACTTTGTTGTGGTATTTAATTACTATTTTAAAAGTTAAATTCTATATCTCTCACAATAAAGATGGGGAGAAGGACCAGTCTGAAGAATCAGTGCAAATATTTCCCATTAAAATAGACATATTTCAGGACAAAGCTTTTAACAATGATATTTGAGAATATGCTGCATCTATAATATAAAATTAGAAAACACAGTCATACAAAAGAATAATCTGAGATTTGTAACAATTGCTTAGAGGTTTTTGTTTTATTTTTTTGAGACACAGTCTTGCTCTGTTGCCCAGGTGGGAGTGCAAGCATAGCTCTCTGCAACCTAGACCTCCTGGGCTCAGGCAATCCTCTCACCTCAGCCTCCCAAGCAGCTAAGACTACAGTTGTATGCCAACACAGCCAGCTAATTTTAAATATTTTGTAGAGATGGGGTCTCATTACGTTTCCCAGGCTAGTCTTAAATTCCTGGGCTCAAATGATCCTCCCACCTCGGCCTCCAAAAGTGCTGGGATAACAGGCATGAGCCACCATGCCTGGCTCACTTAACAGATTTTTTTAAAAGATTAATAATTTTAAAATGTTAATGATGGCAAAGGAATAACAGGATAGACAGAAGAAGAACCCAAATCAATAAAATAGACAAGATAGGGAACTTCGGTTATAAACCCAAATGATTTTGAAAGTGATGGGGATAAAAAGATGAGAGAAATATATTACAGATCCAGAAGAACCAAAGTAACTATAATAATAATTTCAAAAACAGAGGAAAGAAGGGATTATCAAAAAAGATAGTTGAAAATAGTTCCCTGGAGTTAAAAAGGACATGAAACTTTAGGATGAAAGAGATGACTAAATACCAATTAATTCACAAAATTAATGAATATTAAATTTGGAAATCAAAAATAACAAAAATTCCTAAAAGAAGTCAAGCAATGAAAAAACAAGTTTCTTACAAAGGAAAACATGAATGACATCAGACCTCACCTACAATACTAATCACCACAAGACAACAGACTAGTTGTCTAGAACACAGGTCACAAACTATAGCCCTAAGACTAAATCTGGTCTGTTGCCTGTTTTTGTAAATAGAGTTGTATTGGAACACTGTCTGTTTTGGTACCGTCTATGGTTTCTTTCATATTGCAGTGGCACAATCGAGCTGCTGTCAAAGATTCCATGGCCTGAAAAGCCTAAAATATTTACTATCTAGCACTTGACAGAAAATAATTGCCAAATCCTGGGCTAGAATTCTGGGTGGACAAAAGAAACAAAAACAAAAAACTGTGACCCTAGAATTCTATCCTATTCAAGAATTCACTGATGTGTACAAAGACAGCCTCAAAAATAAAAGCATTCTGAAAACATACCACTCACGGACCATGCTGAAAAAAACTACTTAAAGGAATATTCCATCTGACCAAGAAATTCATCAAAATACATAAATCAAGAATAAAGAAGATATGCTATAACAGTAGGAACAAGGAATCATGAACCCAGGAAAATTTACAGTTCAGTTTAAATGACTCTTCTCTATACTCTATAATATAGTAAGAAAATAATCGAATGTCAATGAAAAAAATTCTTTAAAGAATATACACATCTTTAAACTACTATTAATTTTAAACACCAGTTTATGTTGACAAAAGCTAGAAAGAAAAAGCACATTGGCCGGGCGTGGTGGCTCATGCTTGTATTCCCAGCACTTTGGGAGGCCAAAGCAGGCAGATCACCTGAACTGAGGAGGTCGAGACCAGCCTGGTCAACATGGTGAAAGCTGTCTCTACTAAAAATACAAAAAATTAGCTGGGCGTGGTGGCACATGACTGTAATCCCAGCTACTGGGGAGGCTGAAGCAGGAGAATTACTTGAACCTGGGAGGTGGAAGTTGCAGTGAGCCAAGATTGCTCCATTCGACTCCAGCCTAGGCAACAGAGTGAGACTCTGTCTCAAAAAAAAAGAAAAGAAAAGGCACATTTAATTTCTTGTCTTTCACAGGGGTAAGGTCAATAAATACTATATTTATAATGCTAGTGAGAATTTGAGGCTAAAAATATTTTAATGTAACCAATAGTAGAAATGAATGCATAATTATGAAGTACTAGAGGGAAAAAAGGACACAAAGAAAAGGAAATGACAAAAAAAATTGTCTCCCAAAAACATGATGACAAAGGTAACAGAAAGAAGGCCAGACACATGCATTATTCCCAAAAAAAGAGGACAGACTGAACAGCCTAACTAAAAGACTACCAGTTGGGTACAAATATCAAAAATTCAATCATAAGCTATTTACAGAGGGATGCCCCACAGAAAATTGATGAGGGGAGAATTCAAGACAAAGGGATTTTTTTTTTTTTTAGTGTTCAATTTCCACTTTATCTTCTTTCATTACCTCTTTTATAATTAACGATTCATTTGCAGTTTTGCTGAATAAAAAAATTATACAAATATTCTCAGACAAAAAAAATTAATGCCAAACTTAAAGGTGATTACTAGAAAAATAGTACTTTTAAGTACTACCAAGGAAACTCTGTATAATGTTTGAAGTGACAATTTGAAATGCTTAAACAAAAAGAAAAGAAGAAAATTAAATGCTGACTTCAAATGCTATTAAAATTAAAATTTTTTACATAGGCCGGGCACGGTGGCTAATGCCTGTAATCTCAGCACTTTGGGAGGCCGAGGCATGGATCACGAGGTCGGGAGATTGAAACCATCCTGGCCAACATGGTGAAACCCCATCTCTACCGAAAAAATACAAAAATTAGCCGGGCATGGTGGTGGCCACCTGTAATCCCAGCTACTAGGGGTGCTGAGGCAGGAGAATCGCTTGAACCCAGGAGGTGGAGGTTGCACTGAGCTGAGATAACACCACTGCACTCCAGCCTGGCGACAGAGCAAGACTCCGTCTCAAAAAAAAAAAAAAAAAAAAAAAAATTTAAGTATAGCTACTTTATTTCATTTTAATAGAATACACGAGGCCCAAACAGAAATCCTGCAGTTCAATCAAAATAAGTCTTCAAACTAATGAAGCTTTTTTATGCTATACTCTTTACAGAGATCATTAAGCACACTACAATGAAGAAATCCCATTTTCTCTGATCTAATTCTGTAACATTACCAGGTAACACTGTGGAGCCCTATGACCTTCTGGTCTTGTAGGGCTCAGGGATCATGGGTGTTTAAATAGGGAAATGTCATGTGAGTGATGCAGGACAGGTGAGCCCCAAAACTGGGGTTATGCCCAGGAGGGTTTTTGGCTTTGCCGGGAAAGAATTCAGGAGTGAGCCTTTGACTGAACAGTACTGCTCCTTGCAGAGTAGGGCTAGCGCTCAGGCAGTAGCCCAGAGTCAGCAAGGCAGGGGCTCCTGGCAACTGTATTTAACATTCAGGTAAACCCACATTTGGCTATATGTAAATTAAGGGGCAGGTCAATGCAAATTGAGGTTATTTAGAACTTTCTACAAAAGGATCGTAATTTCCAGGTTGTTGCCATGGAAAGGGGTAGTAACTTCCAGGTCATTGCCATGGCATTTGTAAATCGTCATGGTGCTGGTAGGAGTTTCTTATGCCAATGAGCAATGACAGCAGCCAGGGATCACTTTTGTCATCGTCTGCTGGTTTCTGCCGGTTTCTCCATTTTATCCTGTCTGGACCACATCCTGTTTTGGTCAGCAGTGTCGTGACCAAAAAGCAAGTCCTGCTGGTCTGTTACCTCATGAGAAAGGATGCCTTTTCACCATAGGGCTGTGCACTTCTGAAAGACCTTAGAGGCCCAGCCTAGCTGACCATTAGGGAGACCACAGGGCTTGCAAGTAGGACGCAGTCAACACCACAGGGCACTCAGTAAAACCTCCAGGAAACAGAGTGAGAACAGCAAAAGAGGAAGCTCAGGGCTTCAGGACCCTTCACCTTTCAGTCCCCATCCTTCTTTCTGTATCCCTATCTCAATCCCATTGTGACGCCTCCTGGTGCCAGGCTCCAGCTATAGATATATGATGTAGTGGTTTAGGGCTGGGGTCTTAACAGCCAAAGGGACCTGGGTCTTAATATTATTTCTGCCACTCATGAGTTGTGTGACCATCGATAAGGTACTTCATCTGAGCCTTTTTTCTGATCTATAAAATAGAGGAGCAGGATATTAATAGCACCCATGCCTCTGCAGGGTATGGAAAGAATCAAATGAAGCAATGCAAAATAATTGCTTAGCACAGTTTCTGGCAGGTAGTAAGTACTCAAGAAATTTGGACTGTTATTACATTATGCATCTCTCCCACATACCACATCCCTGAAAAATCAGAAATTTCCTCTCCTGAACATTCCCTTTTGCAATGATGGTAAGAAATCAGTGAAAATCCTCTCTGAAAAAAAAAATACTGTATATCAAACAAAATCATCCAAAGCCAGCCATTTCAGGGATTTGGAAGCTGACCAAAGACTGAGTAGGAACAGCAGAAGTCTCTGGTCCTCTTACCTGGTGAGGTTCCCAGGCCCCCAGCTCAGTCCTCAAGAATGGCAGTTTTACCAATATGGGGCTGGCTGGAAAAAACAGCAGCTCTGCTGCCAGAAGGGGCAGACTTAACTTGTGGTAGGGGGCTTTGTGAGCTAAACATAGGAATATTACAGGAAAAATTACAGCTTTACTTGCCAAGGTTGTAATCCCAGTTGGTGTAAGAGCATAATGGGAATGTAATGTGGCTATACTAAAATAAGAGGTCCATAGAAGGGCTGAGATAAACTCTTCCTACATACCTGGCTGACTAGAAACTATAGGGATATGCAGGGAAGATCTGAGAGAGCTTGGCAGAGAGTAACAGCCAAGGACAACTAGAGAAGTGCTAAAACTTGAATGCACTCTGCAACTCACAGACAGATCAATCAGTGGAGCTTCATGCATTCCAGTGTTTGAAAACAACTACTATCTAAATCACTGGCTCAGAATCACTTCTAGAATGGCAGAGTAGAAAACTAAAAATCTGCTCCTTAATAAAACCAGCAAGAACATTGGGAAAAATGGTCAAAATCAACTTTTCAAAACTCTAGAAATTAGTCAAAGGCTTACACCAATCTAAATGTTTATTCTCTGTAAGAACAGTGAGCTTTGTGCCTTTTCAACTTGCCCCATTCCCATCCCCCTCTCCCCAGCTTCATGGTAGACTTGAAAATCAACAGCCTTACAACTAAAATAGCTGTGACAACCACCAACAGCCTGGCAGCCAATGGAGGGGCAGAACAGGTTTGGAGCTCAACAAAAGCTCCATCCCAGAAAACTGTCACTAATTAATTTGTCTGGCAGTTCCCTGAAAAGGTGCATTGTCAGGTCTTATCTTTACTTGATCTGACTCATAGCTCTCTCCATGCAAAAAGCCCTAGCCCTAGGACATTTATTTTAAAAATCAATGGCAATTGTTTAATATCACAGCTGTCTGGGGCAGGAATCCAGTTAGTGCTAACAAGAGGCTGACCAAAAAACTTAAAAGGAAAAACTGGGGAAGAAGATGTCCTGAGGAGCCTTTGAAAAGCTCCGACATATTCCAGGGAATCTAGAAGGCTATCTCAGGGCTGTTCCTTGCTGAAAAAAAGAATTCAGCGATATTTCTCCTATTCGCTTTTGTAAGAGGAGAAATATGGCTCTGTTCTGCCCGGCTCTCAGGCAGTCAGACCTGATGGTTATCTCCCTTGTTCCCTGAACATCGCTGTTATCCTGTTCTTTTTTCAAGGTGCCCAGATTTCATATTGTTTAAACACACATGCTTTACGAACAATTTGTGCAGTTAACGCAATCATCACAGGGTCCTGAGGCGACACACATCCCCAGCTTACAAAGATGATGGGATTAAGAGATTAAAATAAAGACAGGCATAGGAAATCACAAGAGTATTGATTGGGGAAGTGACAAATGTCCATGAAATCTTCACAGTTTATGTTCAGAGACTGCAGTAAAGACAGGTGTAAGAAATTATAAAAGTATTAATTTCGAGAACTAATAAATGTCCATGAAATCTTCACAATTTATGTTCTTCTGCCATGGCTTCAGCCGGTCCCTCCGTTCAGGGTCCCTGACTTCCCGCAACAAAAGCGACAAAAAAAAAAAAAAATCACTAGAGATCCTCAGATCCTCATAAGATTAACAGCTGAATTGTCAATGGCAACCTGGAGGCCAGAAGGCAGTGAAAATAACACATTCAAAGTGCTGAATGAAAAACACTGCCAGCCAAGAATTCTATCTCCAGCAAAGCTGTCCTTCAAAAACAGAGAAGACACAATGCCAAGACAATGCAATACGGAAAGAATCATCTTTTTAAAGACAGTGCTGGGACAACCAAATATCCATATACAAAAGAATAAGTTGGCCCCAACTTATACCATTTACAACAATTCACTCAAAATACATCAAAGACCTAAATGTAAGAGCTAAAACAATAAAACTCTTAGAAAAAAACGGAGGCATAAATCTTCATGACCTTGGATTAGGCAATGGTTTCTTAGCTATGATACCAAAAGCACAAGTAGCAAAAAATTATTACATAGGACTCCATCAAAATCAAAAACTTTGCTTCAAAGTTCACCATCAAGAGAGTGAAAAAACACAATGGGAGAAATATTTGCAAATCACATATCTGACAAGGAACTTATTATCCAGAACACATAAAAAACTTAGATAACACAACAGTAAAAAGGCAATGTAATTAAAATTGGGCAAAAGATTTGAATATTTGAAGAAACAATCATTGGCTCACCACTAAGCTATATGGACATAGGAGCAGCACCTAGGAAGCCAGGCCAAAAAATAAATAAGCACACAAAAATTGAGCAGAGATATCTATAGACACATATCATAGGGAGATATGTGCTAACTGGCTAAGAGCAAGCTAGTTACCAAAAAACAAACAAACACTTCAAAAAGTAAATCAGAATCCAGAGATACTACAAGATATTATCAAAAAGATTTCAACAACAAAAAAAATATAGGATATGCAAAGAAACAAGAAAGTGACCTATAATCAAGGTGGGGGAAATCAGTCAAGGAAAATGAAGTCTAAGTGGGCCAAGATATTCAATTTAGCAAAGACATCAAAGCAGCCATTATGAATATGAGCCAAGAATTAAAGAAAATTCTGTTCAAAAAAACTAAAGTAGGCCAGGCGCAATGGCTCATGCCTGTAATCCCAGCACTTTGGGAGGCCGAGGTGGGCAGATCACAAGGTCAGGAGATCGAGACCATCCTGGCTAACATGGTGAAACCCGGTCTCCACTAAAAATACAAAAAAAAATTAGCCGGGCGTGGTGGCAGGCACCTGTAGTCCCAGCTACTCAGGAGGCTGAGGCAGGAGAATGGTGTAAACCCAGAAGGCAGAGCTTGCAGTGAGCCAAGATCATGCCACTGCACTCCAGCCTAGGTGACAGTGTGAGACTCCATCCCAAAAAAAAAAAAAAAAAAGTAAAGGAAACAAATGTTCCTAGAATTAAATGAATATATGACACCAATGACTCAACAAATAAAGAATATCAATGAAGAAACTGAAACTTTCAATAAGTATCAAACTCTACAGTTGAAAAGTTCAACAACTGGCAGGGCACAATGACTCATGCCTATAATCCCAGCACTTTGGGAAGCCAAGGCAGGTGGATCACGAGGTCAAGAGATCGAGACCATCCTGGCCAACATGGTGAAACTCCATCTCTACTAAAAATACAAAAATTAGCTGGGTGTGGTGGCACGTGCCTGTAGTCCCAGCTACTCAAGAGGCTGAGGCAGGAGAATCACTTGAACCCAGGGACCAGAGGTTGCAGTGAGCTGAGATTGCACCATTGCACTCCAGCCTGGGCGACAACAGTGAAACTCCTTTTTTAAAAAAAAAAGAAAAGTACAACTACTGAAATAAAAAATGCACTACATGGATTCAACAATGGGTTTGAGATGATGGAAGAAAAAAGGCAGTGTACTTAAAGACAGATCTACAGAAATTATCCAACGTGAAAAAAGAAAAAAAAGACTGAAGAAAAATGAACACAGCCTAAGTGACTTGTGGGACAATATCAAGAATACCAATATACTATACATGGAATAAGAGTCCTAGAAGGAGAAGAGAGACAATGTGGCAGGAAAAAAATTTTTTTTGAAAAATAATGGCTGAGAACCTCCTATAGTTGATGAAAAAATTAATCTACAGACCCAAGAAGCTCAATAAATCCCATATAGGATAAAACTAAAGAAATCTACACATGCCAGGCACGGTGGCTCATGCCTGTAATCCCAGCACTTTGGGAAGCCACGGCGGGTGGATCACGAGGTCAGGAAATCAAGACCATCCTAGCCCACATGGTGAAACCCCATCTCTACTAAAAATACAAAAAAATTAGCCAAGCGTAGCAGTGCACACCTGTAGTCCTAGCTACTTGGGAGGCTGAGGCAGGAGAATTGCTTGAACCCGGGAGGCAGAGGCTGCAGTGAGCCAAGATCATGTCACTGCACTTCAGCCTGGTGACAGAGCGAGACTCTATCTCAAAAAAAAAAGAAAAGAAATCTACATTTTTACACATCAGAGTCAAACTGCTGAAAGAGAAAAATAACTTATTATAAAAAGGGAAATACAAAAATAGAATGAATGATGACTTCTCATCAGAAACAATGGAGGCCACAAGGCAGAAGAATAACATTGAACATGCTGAAAGGAAAAAAAATACATATGTCAACTAAGAATTTCATATTCAGCAAAACCCTTTCAAAAATAGAGGCAGAATAAGACATTCCTAGATAAACAAAAACTGAGAGAATTAATTACTGGCAGAGCTGTCTGAGAAAGACTAAAGAAAATCCTTTGGGCCAAAAGGAAATTACACTGGATGGTAACTTGAATTCACAGGAAAGAATGAAGAACACTGGAAACAGTAAGTAGGAAGGTAAACACAAAAGACTGGTTTTTTCTCTTTTCTTCTATTCCTTTTTAAAACATAAGAGTTCTTAAAGCAATAATTATAATACTATTTGTTAGATTTATAGTACATACAGATGTAACTTATACTGTCGTGTGAATTAGGAGGACAAGAGAGACCTCGGGGTAAACCAGGAGGATCTTTTCTGAGTGCACTCAGACCCAGCAGACTCAACATCCAAAAACTGAGCCAAGAACAAAGACAGCACTTGACGCTTATACACACTTCTAAAAGGGGATGGGCTAACTTGAGTCAAGCTTACACTGGCGCAAAGCAAAAGCAAGGATACAGAGGCAAGACAAGACGGTTAATCAAATTGTAACAGGTTCATAACTCAGGATTACACATGACCATTGCTATGCAACTCAGATGGCCATTATCTAGTTTGCCGTAGTGCCTAGCAAGGCTTATTCCATGGCCTTCACTATGGTGCCCAGGTGGCCGTATCTCAGGCCTGCTCAGTTGCTTTATGACCATCACTCCACTGCTTAGATAAAACAGAATACTAGAAGTCACTAGTTACAGGGAACAGGAATCTATAAACTCATACTGTAAAACAAAGAGAAATTTGTTTTTCTTCTCCCTATGTGGAGGGAGTGGTGGGAGAGTCTCCAGAGCACATTCTTCTGTGTCCTGGCTTCTTAGATAGTATTATCAAGACTTTTCCTGGGTTTCAGCTGTGCTTGTTGCTGCCTCTGGGACAAGTCAGCCTAGCACAGGAAAGCTTATTCCCTTTTTTTTTTTCTTTCTTTCTTTAATTTCCTGCCTCAATATGACAATAATAACATAAATGGGGAAGGAAGAATGGAATTATATAAGAGCAAAGTTGCTGTATTTTACTGGAGTCAGATGAATACTAATCTGAAACAGACTGTACTAAATAAAAGATGTAATCCCTCCAGAAACTGCAAAAACAATTTAATACATAGCTTAAAAATCAACAGAGGAACTAAAACAGCACATCAAAAAAAATTTAACACAAAAAATTTTCATTTTCATTTGTATCATGCTTTTCATTTGTATCATCCATTAGTGGAATTTTGAAATTCCACTAAATGACCAGTACTTCCCAAATTTTTCACTAAGGTAACTGCAGAGAAAGTTAAAATCCCTGGAGGGTCTGCCTGCAGGCCTGCCCACAGAGGCAAAGTTTTTGCTTTAATATTTTGTGTTTTACCTTTAAATTATTACCCTTTTTTTTTTTTTTTTTTTTTTTTGAGTCAGAGTCTCACTCTGTCCCCCAGGCTGGAGTCCAATGGTGTGATCTTGGCTCACTGCAACTTCCGCCTCCTGGGTTCAAGCAATTCTCCTGCCTCAGCCTCCTGAGTAGCTGGGATTACAGGCACCCACCAGCATGCCCAGCTAATTTTTTTCCTTAAAATTTGTGAATTTTATTTATCTTCTATATGCTACCTTTGTGATTGTATTTGTTATAAAACTAATGTGTGGTTTGTATGTTTATATGTTTGTTTTTCTGGTTTGTTTCTGCTAAAATGTTGAAGTAAAATTAATAGTTGAAGAAAATTTACCCAATAAGGCCTGTAATAGATGCATGCCTTCTTGAGAAGCAGAGGCCTAAATCAGTGGCTTTCAAACATTTTAGAAACTCAGTAAGAAAAACATCATGACCCATTTTATACACAGCACATGCATATACACACACACATGCACACATATATACACACAAAACTCTGACTAAAATCAAAATTTCTTTCCTAGCTCTTTCTTGTTTTTTAATTAATCACAGGACTTCTTACAAGTGATTCTGGTTCCCTGTGTCACTACACCCAAAGAACACTTAAATTTTTACAGTGGATTTGACTGCTTTAACCCAAAGTAATGACATGGGCAGTTAGGAAGATATTTTTTGTTTCTGTTCAATTTCCATCTCATGATTTGCTGCCTACTTCATCCAACAGTAAATTAGTTTATTCTGCTTTTGTTCTTTTTTTTCTTTTTAAGACGGAGTCTCGCTCTGTCGCCCAGGCTGGAGTGCAGTGGCATGATCTCAGCTCACTGCAAGCTCTGCCTCCTGGGTTCACACCATTCTCCTGCCTCAGCCTCCTGAGTAGCTGGGACTACAGGCACCCACCACCACGCCTGGCTAATTCTTTTTCTTTTTTTGTATTTTTTAGTAAAGACGGGGTTTCAACATGTTAGCCAGGATGGTCTCGATCTCCTGACCTTGTGATCCGCCTTCCTCAGCCTCCTGAAGTGCTGGGATTACAGGTGTGAGCCACTGCGCCCGGCCTCTGCTTGTTTATTTATGGATAATAATCAATACAATCTGGTTTTGTAGATGACGATTAACATAAAAGATAAACATTGATGGATCATGTGCTATTATATCTGCATTTCTTTGCAATACTATCAGTCATTCACTCAATATACAATTCTCAGCTGTACTTTAAAAAGGATATTTAAGTTACTGAAGAAAGAGATGGTACCTCAGATTCATCAGGGCACTGTGCTAAGCCCAAACACACCAAAAAAAAAATGTTTGAAGACTATTTATATGTTTCTCTAAAGGACCATCAGGTGAAAGTTACATGAAGCCATAAACTTAATATGGAGAGTACTTTTCTAACCTTTTATAAAGTGGGGTAAATGAAATGGGGTTCTCTATTAAATAGTGGACTCCTAATCCCTGCAAGTAGTAAAGCAAAAAAAAAAAACAAACAAAAAACTTTTAAACTACATATATAGGATATAATAAAGCAAATCCAATGACAAAAGGTATGCTGAGGTGTCAAAATACAGGGCGAAAACACAGGAGGAAGTGTTTAAATATGACTAAGAAATCTAAGAAGACTTTTGGAGGAGGCAGCATTTAAGCTGGGCATTCATTTACACACAGGTCTTTACTACCCTAGCTTGAAATTTAAGGTTCAGAGCAATAAACTAAAAAAAGAATTTATTTTTTCTAATTCCAACTTCACTCCTCTTAAAAATTCTGCCCTTCCTCTGAATTAAATGTATACACAAAAACATAGAAACCTAATAGACATTTTAATGTCTCAATTAAGGTGATAAAATAAAAATTGAATTGGAAAAGCAGTTTAAACACCTGAAGTTCTATATGTAGCGAGGTTTAAGTCACCTGGGTTAGTCCTTTTAAAGACAGTTAAGTGTTCAATAGTACATTCAATGAATCATTATGCTTGAGTAGAACATTTAGCAGGCTAGCCCATCTTGGCAAGAATAACAGGGCATAACCCCTAAGGAACTGTCTTTTAATCTTAATGGGCTGGGAGTTAACAAGAAGTAAATTACCATTCTCTGAAATGAGGATATATTCTAAAGCCGCTGCAAAAGATAAAATAGACAATTCTGGAACAGGTCCAAGGAAGCCTATCATGGGTGCACTTCTCATTCAAATGAAAGGCCCTGTTATAAATCAAAGCTGTAGCTGGTTCTTCCTGTGTATTTAGCCGAATACAAAATGACTGAAAAAAAAAAAAAAGCTTAACTTTGAGACCAGAGTACTTTTAGATACATGTGACTCAGTCCAAGTTCTTCCTTGGGAAAATATGACAATGTTCCCATGCATACAGTTACCAAGGGTACCTGTTCCATGAATAACGGTTTTAATGCAGTATGCTGTCAAGAGAGAGAAAATCTAGGTAGTAAAGCAATATTAATGAATGAAGTGTGAAGAAAAATGGCACTTCAAAGGGCACTGGAGTGGAAACCAGAACTGGGTGACCTCGCATTATCATTAACTGCCTGTGTGTCCTTGGGGAAGTGACAGCCTCCCTGGGTTGCAGTTATCCTATCTGAAAACAAAGAAGATGAAGCAAGGACAGTAAGGGTTCACTCTCCCTCCCACAGTGCCTAACTCAGGAGGCAATGTTCTCAATTGTCCAGAGAGGGAGGTCACCCAAAATGCCTACAATGGCATGTGCGATGTGCAAAAGCACATTCCAAAATTACAATTGCTTTCATTTACTTTTAGTCATAACTTATTTCAAAAGTTCAAATACAATTAGTGAGAACGATTTTTGTTAAGCTAAAGAAACACGTGTTAAAGGTTTGGAAACACTTTCAATGAGAAGATAAGCTGTAACTCATATTAAAATATCATACCATGTAGGATCTTATAACTACTTATTTCTTGGCTTAGTAAAAATTAAGCATTCTCATAGACATGCTGACAGTCACTGGTGGGACCAGTGGTGTTAGAGTCTCCACAGAATATTATTAAAAATACCCAGACTGTCAGAAAATAAATGTCTGTTATTTAAGCTGCACTGCCTGCCCCCAACAAAAAATAAAAAACAAACCCAGAGACTGGATTGAGAATACCACATTGACCCAGCAGCTGTTACAGCACTCGGGCTCAGGAACCAATCTAAGTATTACTCCATGTACTTAGCCTTACAGAAGAACACAGAAGAGGAGATATGGCAGGTTCAGCATCTTTACCTCATCCAGGGCCCAGCAGCTACCTCAGTACACTGCTTCTTTTGCCTCCTCACTCACACAGGGTGCAGCAAGAGCCAAGGGGCACATAGGTCACCTTCACACAGAGAAGCTGCAACTCCCATTTCCTGCCCATCTTTTATACAGATCTAGTTCCACAGACCCAAGGCTTCCATGCCAACTCACAGCTCCCAATTCAGGTGTAGTAGCACACAGTAACAGGCAGGTACAGGTACATCCCACATTATCACAACTCTATGGCTTCCCCAAAACTAGTGCTGAGAGAAGATAAGTTTCAAGGTTATTCCCCCAGGCAGGCCCAGCTTAGTCCGGGACCGATGTTAACTCTTTACTCACAAATATAAAAAATGTTGGTTGGGTGCAGTGGCTCACGCCTATAATCCCAGCACTCTGGGAGGCCAAGCCAGGAGGATTGCTTGAGGCCAGGAGTTCAAGATCAGCCTGGGCAACAGAGTAGACGTGTCTCTACAAAAAATTTAAAAATTAGTCAGGCATGGTAGTGTGTACCTGTAGTCCTGGCTACTCAGGAGGCTGAAGTTGGAGGATCACTTGAGCCCAGAAGTTCAAGGTTACAGTTAGCTATGATTACACCCCTGCACTCCAGTCTGGGTGAGAGAGTGAGACCTTGTCTCTAAAAACAACAAGTTACAGCGCCTTATAAAACAACTGACTCTAGTATACTTTTTAATGTGTCCCTGTGTACATGCACACAGTTTTTTAAATCCAGATTTTCTTTCATAGCTATAAAGTGTTGATAATCTATTCATTTATACAGGCACGCTTTGAATTCAAAACTGTTAGCTTCACCTCAAGAAACTTTTACTGAAAGTCTACAACATAAACCATATGACTAGGTACCAGGGATACAAATGATTTAGAAGAAGGTTTCTGCTCCGAAAGAGTCTATCAGCAAAGAAAAGGGATATACTTCCAAAAAGAATTAATAAAACGTGCTAATATACGTAAAGTGCCAAGTACATAAGAATTACGGAAGAAAAGGACTAGTACATTGTAGGCAGCCATGGAAGGTTTGGGGGAAATAATTTCTGCTTACTGTTAATAACTGCCATGTATTGATCTCTGACTACAAGGCGAACTGTACTAGGCACTTTACATATATCACCTTACTACCTTACTTTATCCTCTCAACAACACAATTAGTCAGTACTGTAATTATCTCCAATTTTCAGATGGGGAAATTTGGACTTTGAGATGTTAAGTAATTCTGCCCAAGTGGTAAAGGCCAGATTCAAACTCAGATCAGTCTGACTCCAAAGCCAGTGATCTTAAGCACCAGACTAGAAGAGACTATCCTGAAGAAACACATAATATATTCTAGACTGGAAAATGGTATAAACAAAATCACTTTCACAGCAAAGCACATAACATTACCCTATGCTTGACCACTCAACATCAGCAAAAACAACAGCAGCCACAGCAGCAACAATGGCATTTTTACTGAGCACCTACTATGTGCCAAACACTAGTCAGACATTTTCTCATTTAAACTCCATAACAGATATGTAAGGTAGGTCTGAGTCCACTTACAGGTAAGAAGACTGAAACTCTAAGAAGTTAAGTGATCTTCCCAAGGTAACACAATTAGAAAGGAGCAAAACTAGAATTCAAATCCAGGTTAGTATGATTCTCAAATCCGTATTTTCCATTACTAGGAAATACTGTCTTCCAGCAGACCACTTTGGCTGAAATAAGGAGCTGTACCAAGGAGGCACAAGTATTAAGATAGAGAGGGAGGTCAGACCCAGAAAGTGGCCTGAATGTTTGGATTTCATCCAATGTCCCTTCTTTTGACAACAACCAGCAGGAACCATTGTTTGCCCAGGTACACAGATCTATTCAGCGTACAGAGAAGGCTTGAATAGGGTAGATGACCTGTACAGAAAGGTACTTTGGGAAAATTAATATGGCCAGGAAACCAATTTAAAGTTTATTCCAATGGAACAGATATGAAGAATGAAAATTGTAGACTAAGAATTCCCCCAAAACTGGAATTAGAGAAAGACAGGTGATAAAAACATTACAAAGAAAAACCTGGTAATAAGTAGATGGTGGGAAGGAGGCAAGGATAATTCCATGTCTACAAAGTGGCTGCTAACAGAAATATGAAAAACAAAAAAGAATGATAAGAATGAATTTAGACATGCTGAAAATAAGGAACAGTGAGACATCTAAATGTTCAACAAAAGGTGAAAAAAGCTAAAAGTTCAATAAAAAGTTGAACAGGACAGCTCAAAGGAGAGAGCCCTGTGACATGCCAGCACAAACCTGCTTCTGTGAGGACAATAGGCTAGTTAACTCCAAAACACTGGGAACCAGGTCCATGCTGTTCCCTGCTATACTCCCATCACACCTTCCACAGAGCAGTGATCTACACATCTTTTCTGAATAAAGTATTATGAGCCAATCCAAATTTCTCCAGCCTCCTGAGGATATCATGACTCCATCAAATATGCCTTGATGAAATCCATACCCACTATCTTTTATTATATTCTTGCAGACGCCATGCAACCCTAACAAAGAAAGAAATGAAGTCAATGTGAGCTACTCACAGTGAACCAATCATAACCCTCCCAAAAGTACTGATCATGAACAACCTAGAAGGGTTGTTCAAAGACTCTGTCCTTGATGATGCCCCACTCAATTACTTTAAAATGTTTTATTTGAGGACTAGAAAGTCTTCGTTGTGATCATTAAGTTATGGCTCAGGTAACTACACATAGATATTAATTCCCAAAAAGCCTCCAAGAAGATCATAAGTTAAAAATCAGCACTGACAAAGCTATGACTGCAAAGAGCCTATTATATTCTGCAGAATTTCAGAAATGATTGACAGCATTGGTGAGTTTAGTTTTGACTCTCCAGTATCCATTCCCCCTTGTTCTGGAAACACAACAAACACTCTCACCCTACTCTCAGCTCAGTGGTTTGGGTAGGGCTGCCGAGCTGGGCATATGACCTAGTCTAAGTCAATCCGCACTTCTTTTCTTCCTGGTCACAAAGAATGGGTCAGGGACAGGCACGTAAGACCCAGGCCTAAGCCAGTCAGCCGATTCCATATCTCTGGCCATAGTGATTAATTTCAAGATGCCCATTTGGGTCAAGAAGAGTTAGGTCCAGGACTTTATCGGACTGTTAGAAAACAAACTTGTTCTTTATTGCTAGCAGTAAGGATGCCATGGAACCTAGAGCTGCTATGGGCCACCATGTGGCACCAGTAAATGAAACTGATATAGATGGAAGCAAAGCCAAAAGGCAGAGATAGACTGGCTCCTAATGCCACTGATCCAGCCAGCCCTTCTGTGAACTTTTCAGTCTCTGGGCCAATAAAATCTCATTTTTGCTTAAGCCCGGTTGAATCAGACTATATACTTGCATTGGAAAAATTCCTGCTCTAATCTAATTGCCCAAGCAGCCCTTACCTTGAGGATAAACTTGGGAAAGAATCCGACCCTCGATTTCATTTAGCAATCTATTTCTTTTGCTACATATATAATACAAGAATAGCCCATGGGAAATTTTTGCTTAGGAACTTATAATTGCAACTGAGGACACAAAAGCTCACTCTTTTCTAAGCTCTGATAATGTGAGCAAACAAGAAAGATAAACAGACAACAAAAGCTACACCAACGACAGCCTGAGCTCTGATCAGCTTGTCCCAAACACTGTAAAGCTAGATGTATGCTTAAGCACTGAAGTTGTCACATTTTAAGTTGCTGATGCAAGTAAAAATCCACAGTACAGAGTGTGATGTTAGGAGATAACAAACAGCTGAGGCTGCCTACTCAAACATTTCTATAAACAACAACAGCGAGCTTTGACCCCAGACTGAAGTTTCGAGAAACTGTGGGTATAATCCTCTATCCCTTTACAATCCAGATTGCAAGTATCTGCAAAGAAAAATGCATGGGGGAAAAAAGCCACTGGTACTACAAATATAGCATAAATAAATACTATAGAGGAGAAAAAAAAAATGAGCAACCAGTTGTGGGGTTTTTTTGGTGGACGTTTTTCTATTCAGAACCATATTCTAAATTTCTATGTTTTTAATATTCAGTATCTTTTCATTTGACACTTATATTTGACATATAATACAGGTTAGGATATTCTGTTTATGTTCATTTTCTGTCTCATCAGCTATAGTGTGAGTCCCTTCAAATCAGGGCCTTATCTTTCCAGACCTAAAATAGTGTCTGACACAAAGTAGATGGGTGAAAATATCTGCTGAAAATTACCGAAATGTTAACTACTTGGCTAGTAATGAGTTTATCTTATAATGAATAATTCTGACTTCCTTGCTTAAAATTAATAAATTACCATTTATTCGATAGCTCCTATGTGACAAATGACATGCTAAAAACCATACATAGGCCGGGCACGGTGGCCTGTAATCCCAGCACTTTGGGAGGCCAGGGCAGGTGGATCATCTGAGGTCAGGAGTTCGAGATCAGCCTGATCAACATGGTGAAACCCCATCTCTATTAAAAATACAAAATTAGCCAGCCACGGTGGCGCACGCCTGTAATTCTAGCTACTGAGGCAGGAGAATCACTTGAACCCAGGCGGTGGAAGTTGCAGTGAGCCGAGATAGCGCCATTGCACTCCAGCCCGGGTGACAGAGTGAAACTCTGTCTCAAAAGAAAAGAAAAAAAAACCTGCATAAATGATTGACTCACTTATTTGGATTGAGATTATCCTAACCAAGAAGTGTAAATATAAGTTAAAAGGAAAAATAATGCTTCTTCCTTACTCTTTTCACCACTGTACTTGAATAGAACCAGAACAAATGCACAAAAGTTCAAAGTAACACACTTTAGCTCAACCCAAAGAAGATGTTCTAGAAGGAGCACAGCTGTTCTAAAAGGAATGAGCTGCCTCTAGAGGAATTAGTTACTGGAGGAAACCAAGTAAAATTCCAATTAGCAGGCACATTATAGAGATGATACAAGCATTGAAGGAGCTGTTAACAGAGTCAACTGGAATTGGGACAGTATCCTGGGTTCCACCATTAAGCCTGCGAGTCTGGAGTAGCTGCATTAAGTTTGAGCAAAGTCAGTAGCTATAATTTCCTGTCTTTTCTTCTCGATAAACCTAGGCTGCTCTCCAAGATACTCTGTATTCCCTTATTATCTCATTGCCTTAAAATGCTTGCAATCTTTCCCCTTGAAAATATGAAAGAGTTTTAAAATGCTGACATTCATCTGGCCTATTGATGCAGGACATGAAGGAGGTAGATCTGAATGTATTTTTGGTGCCTAACATCTAGCAAAGCCCAAGATTGGACAATACAGGGAAAGTTAAACTAGCAAAGTACATAATCCCTCTACTGTTACGAGTCCTTGACCCTCTCCCCTCTGACTCCATCATACTGACTTTATAGGCTATGGTGTTATATTGGAAGGGGCAGAAACTGAGCGAAGACTGCATAAAGTTGTGCTAGGGCTTCTTTGCAACCACTTAAGTCTTAGTCAAAAATATACACCTCTAAGATGGGTTTCAGGCATTATACTAAAAAATAATACCCTTAGCTTGTTTTGCTTTCATCTCTTTACCTGTTTCATAATGATAAAACTTCCCAAGCAGCTGTTGGCCAGAGAACAGCATGTATTAAGACCCAGCAGTAGAGAAGGCAAAGTGGAGTTGGGAAACAGAGATACTCAGAGTGGCTGGAACTCAGACTATGAAGTGGGGAGTAGAAAGATGTGAAAATAGAAAGATAGCAGGGCCAAGATTAGGAAGAACCTCGTTAAGGAGGGTTTACTTCAATCTAAGGGCAATAGTAAGTCACAGAAAGATTTTAAGGAGGGGAGAGAAGTGGCAGATTTGTGTTTTCAAAATCTTGTTTCAATTACTTTTAAATAACCAATAAAGAGGAAGGAGAGGATGCAAGACATGGAGAGAAAGAACAGTTAAAAGGCCTTTCCAGGAATGCAGGCAAGAGGAGATGTCAGCTTAGACTGCAGTAGTAGCAGTGGGTTGGAGAGAAATGGACAGATTCAGTAAATATTCAGTAGGTAAAATCATTAGGACTTAACAATAGACCACAGGTGGGGCATAAGAGAAAGAGGGGAGTCAAGGATGACCTGGAGATTTCTGGCATGGCCAGCTGGGTAGCTGGTGGTGCCATGTACTGAGATAAACACATGGTAGGTAGTCGAAGTTGAGAAGATATAAGTGCTCATTAACATTAATAATAATATGCTCATTAGCAAGCAGACCATAACTGAAACCACAGGAAATAATTATTCAGGAAAAATATATAATTCAACCCACAAGGTAGGGCAACAATATGTGAGAAGTCAACAATATTATTCATTTACACTTTACAGTTTTCAAAAGGCATCACATCCTAAACCAGGTAATACAGGTGTCTTGGAACGTAGGCAAAATACAAATTAATCCCTTACAGGAAAAGCAACTCCCACTGACCCACACATAACCCGTGGATCTGAGATCTAACAACTGGTCATAATCTAACAACATCCTAACACCATAATACTCACCTGTGGACAAGGCCTCCTCCCGAACATCACCCTCACCAGGCTGAGGGATATTCCAGGATGTTTTGGGAAGTAAAGAAATTTCCTCTGGTGATTCTATTCTCACCATATCCATGTGATTGCTCTGGAACCGGTACCGAGGGATGAAGCAGATTTTGCCTCGTTGGAAAATGTCCTTGATGATCTCTTCTGTCTCAATTTCATCTTGCATGCTCAGAAAGATGGAAATTCTTTTGGACTTTTGATACTCACTGTGGGCAATCACCTAAATGGGAAATTATGGCAATTATATTTTCCAAGACTATATTTAGCAACTCCTCTTAACAATTCCTCCTTTCTCTCTCAGCCTTCTCCAATTTCTTTAAATATTAAAAAGAAAAAAAAAGGGGGGGGGACCAGAGTGATATAGTGGGTCAGACAGTGTTGCATCATGAAGCCTGACTTTTAGTTTGGGACCCAGCACTTACCTGCTCCTTTTATCCCTTCCTGGTACACCCACTCTGGTAGGTGTGAAAACTCATTAAAAGGTCACTGTGGAGACAAGCTGTCTATCCAGAGAATTCCAGGCTTGATCCCCACCTATCCATTTTAGTAGTCTTCGGTCATTTCACATGCTTTTCCTAGAGTATGCTTTATTTTACCTCTGTATCTTGGCTCCCACAAGCTTCTCCACTCCTTGGATTGTCAGGCTTCTCTCTCCTCCCAAATTCTACCCATTTAAAGCCCAACGCAAGCCCTAACTTTTCCTAACTTCTGCCGAACCCTTACTACATTTAGAGTTAATATATACCTTAATAATGATGTACTGTCATGAGTGGGTCACTAATTGTTTCATGTGCCCTAAATGTGGTATCCCTAACCGGTCCATGAACTGAGTTCTCTGAGGCAGAGAACATGCCTCTACCATCCCCATCCCATTTCCTAAAATCCATCTGTTCAAATGAATATTAAAATATTCACAATTATGGGGTGGGGGCAGATCCTGGTGAAAGAAACCATATTCAGTTGAATCATCCATCAGGCAGGAGAAGGTAAATGAGCTTTGCTCATCATAGAAATGTCAACAATCTCAGGAACTTATCCACACTCAGAAGTTAGCCCTTCGCTCTCTTTTTTCCTTTTTTTTTTTTTTTTTTTTTTTTTTTTGAGACAGGGTCTCCCTCTGTTGCCCAGGCTGGAGTGCAGTGGTGCAATCTGCAACCACTGCCTCAATCTGCAATCACTGCCTCTTAGGCTCAGGCAGTCCTCCTGCCTCAGCCTCCAGAGTAGCTGGGACCACAGGTGCAAACCACCATGTCCGGCTGATTTTTCGTATTTTTTGTGGAGACAGGGTTTCACCATGTTGCTCAGGCTGGTCTCAAACTCCTGAGCTCAACTGATCCACCCACCTGGACCTCCCAAAGTGCTGGGATTACAGGTGTGAGGCACTGCACCTGGCCAGCTCTCTTTTTTTCCCTTCCTTTTCTGTTCCTCCCTATTCTCCAAACTAAAAAGAAAAGAATACTTTTCTTATTCTTTATAAGACTTTTTAATACTTTTGTTATTATTATATAATTGTAAGCCATAAAAGTAGCTTATAAATATGACTGGCAGAAAGATACAGGAACAGTAAGTCAGGTTATCACTAATAAAAAAGGAAACACAGAAATTAAGTAGATAGAGCACATCAAACCAGTCTAAGGAAGAAAGTTAACTCTCACATTCTGAAAAGTTACAAAATTGTTTTGAGGCCTGAAATGGGCAAAGAAAGGAAATGTGAAACCTAGACCTGGGCAGGCCTGGGGCTTTTGGCATCCAACTACTATATGAGAAAGTTAAGTATCCTTTTTGCTCTCTTTACAGCAGAATATAGAAGATCGAGAGTTGAATAAGCAGTAATAAACATCAGTTAACACTCAATGTGAGACTGTGCATGCATATTTATCTTCCTTCCTCAAATCCCATTTATATGATGGTAAAGAAGCACAAAAAAAGAAAATCCATTAGAGTACTGAGAATAAGAGAATAGAGACCTAATTTCTGTAAGACAAAGAGTGGATGGGACAGTATTTTACTGACAAAACAGCAGCAGATCACAACACTCAGAGAATAAGGGTGCAGGTCAGGCAGAATCCACTCCTCCCTTGAAATCCCAAAGCAACCATAAAAGGCAGAGGAAATCCCCATTAGCTAAGACATCTTCATTCACAAATATGTACAGATAACAAAGGATCATCAAACATTTTGAAAAGTCAAAATACAAAATAGAAGGATGGGGAAAAAAATAAGAAGGGGAGAAAAAATGGACAAACAGGACAGATAATTTTTTGAAATTCTAATTAGTTTTCTCAGACACACTCAAGAAGATAACTGCATTTCTAAAATAACAATAGACTGCTATGGGGAGGAAGCAATCAGGGAATTATGAAATAATCAATGGAAACTAAAATTGTGATTAGCAAAATTAAAACAACTTAGGAGAAAGCCGTGGAGTAGGGGAAAAGGCAAAAATAGGAAAAATGAAAAAAATGTTAAGAAATAGAGAAGATCAATCTGTGATTTTTATTATCTGATTAACAAGAGTTCCAAAAAGGCACAAAGGAAAATAAATAATCAAAGAAGATATACTTGGCTCACACCTGTAAACCCAGCACTTAGGGAGGTGGAGGCGGGTAGATCATCTGAGGTCAGGAGTTCGAGGCCAGCCTGACCAACATGGTAAAACCCCATCTCTACTAAATATACAACAATTAGCCAGGCGTGGTGGCACATGCCTGTAGTCCCAGCTACTTGAGAGGCTGAGGCAGAAGGATCACTTGAACCCAGGAGGCAGAGGATGAGCCAAGATCATGCCATTGCACTCAAGCCTGGGCAACAAGAATGAAACTCCATCTCAAAAAAAAAAAAAAAAAAAAAAGAGAAAGAAAAAGAAAAACACGAGTCTCCATATTGAATGGGGGCCATGGGTGCTGAGCAGAACAAGGAAAATAATTTTAAATTTGAAATTCAAACTATCAATCAAGTATGAAGGTAAAACATTTCCTAATGTATATTTAAAAGTTTACCACCCCCAAAGATACTTTCTCAAAAAAAATTATCTGAAAATATACTCTAATAAGATGAAGGGAAAAGAATCCAAGAAAGACAAAGATATTAGACTCAAAAAGCAGCCCTAACTCAGAAGTGGAGTAAGGAGGAACCCCAGGGCAATGGCAGTGCAATGGGCCAGAGGCAACCAGACCAGAAGAAGCAAGGGGCTGGAGTGTTTTCAAAAAGAGAGTGGATTTATTTTAACAGACGATGAAAAAGAATCTATTGATAAGATAAACACATATTCTTGATTTGTCAAAAAAGGAAAAATAAAGGCAATCAGAAGCTCCTGGAAAAATACAGAAATTAGAAATATGCTCCAAATGGGAACAAAGTAAAAAAGAGAATGATTTTGAGCAATTATGGGGGAAAAGAGAAAAGCTTTGGTACTGACACTTGAAACATTACCTTCCTAGCTACACATATCTAGTGACATAAAGTTATGTCTTTTCTTACATATTCAATCATACAACTTGATTCTACAATGAATACCATCTACAGAACAAAAATACGGCTGGGCGTGGTGGCTCACACCTGTAATCCCGGCACTTTGGGAAGCCAAGGTGGGTGGATCATGAGGTCAAGAGGTCGAGACCATCCTGGCCAACGTGGTGAAACCCCATCTCTACTAAAAATACAAAAACTAGCTGGGCATAGTGGCGCGCACCTGTAGTCCCAGCTACTCGGGAGGCTGAGCCAGGAGAATCGCTTGAACCCGGGAGGCGGAGGTTGCAGTGAGCCGAGATTGGGCCACTGCACTCCAGCCTGGCAACAGAGCGAGACTCCATCTAAAAAAAAATTAAAAAAATAAATACAAGGTATGTATTCAGTGCTTTACATATTTTTGTAAATACTGTTTACTGTAAATACAATTTACTGAAATCTCAAGTTTGGAAATCGGTCACAAATACTGCTCAGTAGACTCATTATAGTTACAGAACAAAGTTTAAATATTACAAAACCTGGCCAGGCGTGGTGGCTCATGCCTGTAATCCCAGCACTTTGGCAGGCCGAGGCAGGTGGATCATGAGGTCAGGAGTTCAACATCAGCCGGGCCAAGATGATGAAACCCTGTCTCTACAAAAAATACAAAAATTAGTCAGGCGTGGCGGCAGGCGCCTGTAATCCCAGCTACTTGGGAGGCTGAGGCACAGAACTCCTTGAACCCGGGAGGCGAAGGTTGCAGTGAGCCAAGATTGCGCCACTGCACTCCAGCCTGGGCAACAAAGCGATACTTTGTCTCAAAAAATGAAAAACTGGCTAGGCGCGGTGGCTCACGCCTGTAATCCCAGTACTTTGGGAGGCCGAGGCAGGCGGATCACGAGGTCAGGAGATCGAGACCATCCTGGCTAACACGGTGAAACCCCATCTCTACTAAAAATACAAAAAATTAGTCGGGCGTGGTGGCGGGCGCCTGTAGTCCCAGCTACTTGTGAAGCTGAGACAGGAGAATGGCATGAACCCGGGAAGCAGAGCTTGCAGTAAGCCGAGATCACGCCACTGCATAACAGCCTGGGCAACAGAGCGAGACTCCCTCTCAAAAAAAAAAAAAAAAGGAAAAAGAAAAAGAAAAATTACAAAACTTGACAACATAAATATAACAATATAAATGTCAGAAACTGACAGAGGGAGTAGAAAACACAGTGAGTAAAGGGGCACTAATTTCCTCATCTTAGGGAATCAAGATATGACATAAACCTGAATTTCTTTACCATTTAAATTACTTCTCTGATAAATTTCTAAGTTATAAAAAGGTACAGTGCCAATAAGAATAAATACGCTTTTCTAAATGAAAGACATCATTTAACACCTTTATTGAGCATTCACTATGGCAAAACACTACACAGTACACTGATGTTTCCAGTGATGATCCATTGGTTAGTCATGAAATCAATAGTGGGCTACAATTTTTAAATGAAATAGAATAGAAAATATTAAAGTTCGAGCCAGGCACAGTGGCTCACGCCTGTAATCCCAGCACTTTGGGAGGCAGAGGCGGGAAGATCACGAGGTCGAGTTCGAGACCACCCTGGCCAACATGGTGAAACCCCGTCTCTACTAAAAATAGAAAAATTAGCTGAGCATGGCGGCACGTGCCTGTAATCCCAGCTACTTGGGAGGCTGAGGCAGGAGAATCGCTTGAACGTGGGAGGCAGAGGTTGCAGTGAGCCGAGATCATGCCACCGCACTCCAGCCTGGGCGACAGAGCAAGACTCTGTCTTGAAAAAAAAAGAAAATATTAAATTTCATTGTATGTGCTTAAGAGCTGTAAAATGTTCCTTGTATGTGTATATTTGTTTGTACAGAGTAAAATGTATTTATTACTGAGGGTCATGGGTCTGCTTTTTAATTTTTCTCTCTCCTCCTTTAATGCCAGCTCTCAGTCGTCATTCTATTGCTGTCAGTGACTCTGTATCTATGTAAACTATTTCCATCTATAGTTTATGAATTCTAATCTTCTACGGAGAAAGACAACGTAGAAGATTAGAAACTGAATTCATCTTTATTTTCCCCATGCCCCTCCAAAATTTGTTCCAATTCCTACCTTCTTTATGCCTAAGGCTAAACACCATTATACCAAGCTCTAAATTTTGGAATCACTGGTGACTCTCCTCCCCTTCCAGTATTCTCTAACCTCTTCCAATCAGTTGCCAAGTCCTGCTGTTTCTCACTTAACAGTCTCCCATTTGCCTCCTTTCCCCTCATCTTCACTGCCCATGCTCTGGTTTGCATATTTTTCATCTTTCACTTGAATTGGCACAACAGCCCCTTACTGGTCTCCATATTTTTTTTCTTTCTTCCTTCCTCAACCCATTATCCAAATGCTGCCATTATACTCTTCCTAAAGGACATAACAAACAATAGGTAAAGCTCTGAATACATCCCTTTACACACTTCTTTAACTCTCACAATCGACCTACAAGAGTGATATTATCCATTTTATAGACAAGGAACCAAAGGTTCTGAGAGATTATGAGACCTGTCCAAGGATATACAGTTAAAAAACAATGGCGCCAGATTCAGCCCAGATCTGTGCAGTTCCAAAGCCCATGCTAAACTGTATCCTGTCATCTCTTGCCTAAATATCCCTACTCACACTCCCCTATCCCATCTTTCCCTTCACCTGAAAGAATTCATCTTGTTCTCCGAAATTCATCTCAAACATTTTCCAATAGAAAGCTTTCCAATTTCCCCTCCCCAAGGCTATGTTTCCACAACATTGGTGTTTACCTTTATCATATATCTGGCTTCAATGCAATTCTTTATTCATGTCTGTTTCCTCTTCTAGGCTCTCTGCTCCTTTAGAGCAACAATCATATCTTTTTCATCTCCACAACCCAGTATATAGCCAAGTGTGCACTACATAGGTGTTCAACATATGTGAATGAATTAGCTAAATTTTAAACAACTAGATAGTAAGGACAAGAGTCTATATCCTTTACATCTACTAAAACACCCAGCAATGCTTCCTCATAATAGCTAAAATAATTCTGTTTGAACGAACGAATTAACATCTGTATAGATTCCCTCATACACACCTACATAGATGAAGAGAGGGGTGAAATGAGCATATATGCTTTACTGCTTTAACCCATAGGCACCTTGAATTTGAGTAAATAACGGATAATAGAATAGTGAAGGGTAATTAAGAAAGCCTGATGGTATAACTAATTCCAAGGAACATCAAGTTTCCAAATATCTGGTGTCTCTGAAGCATGATGCTGGGAAGACAGATCATCAGTTTGACTTACAACAGAATTACAAATACGTACTTATTCAGGGGACATTAAATTTTTCTTCCTCTGGTGTCTAACAAAAATGAGTCCCCAAAAACTCTTTAGAACATGCCTTCACAACAGGATATGACTGCCATTTTATTGATAAGAAAACTGACATTACATAGACTAAAAATACATAGCAGTGCAGTTGGTGAAAGTAATGAAACAGAGGTCTGCTAACCAACAAACACGGACCCTCACTTATTCCTCTCATTTCTCTCTTCTGTTTCCTACGTTCTTGGGAAGCCTGGATATGATAGCCAAGTCTTCCTTTCGTTCACTCAAGAAAAAGCATTTAATGTTGACCAACTCTGAGACAGGAAAAGCCTAGGCCCTGGAGCTACTGAGACACAGCCTTAGCCCTCCATATGCTTAGTGAAGTCCAGTCAACCTCTGAGTTCTGCCCTTTGGCATCTCCACACCTTTTTTGGTGTTCCCTCGTCTAAAGCACCTGCATCTTTCTCTGGCCATTTTACTAATATAACCGGAGTCTTACTCGTAGCTCATTAACTTTAGGCCTCACTGAGGGAACCTGGGCACTCAGGTGTTCACCCATCTCCTCTACCACAACTTTCTGTTCTCACCGTGCTCTCACCACAGCACCGTCATCCCCACGGAGGGTTTTCGAGCACCAAAAGAGCCACCCATGCAAACAAACTCCCCTCCCAGAGATAAATCTGTCAACCCCTGCCGTCCTCTCGCTCTTTAGCCCCACAACTTTCACTACCGGGCCCTCTCCCCGCCATAGTGCCAAGAGCGTCCAGACCACGACTAGGGGGCGTGCGCGCGCCGGGAGGGGAAACGTGCGCGCGCCGGGGGGTGGGGGGGCGCCTAGCCCAGCGCCAGCACGGACCATGCACAGATCAGCAATCGCTGGCCGCCAGGCCTTCGGAGGGTCTGTCCGCCGCGGCTTCCGCTACGGGCGGCCTCGCACCTTCTGGCTCAGTACGCGGGACTGGCGTAGCCGCTCCTCGGCACTCATCGCCCGCAGACGCTGCTTCAGCTCTCCCCGCAGGCTCCGCTTGGCGCTGCTCACCGCTGCCGCCGCCATCTCACGCCCAAGCCGAGTCCAGTCCCGCCCTCGGCGCCCTGGGCGCCCTCGGGTTCGGTCTCCGCCCCTGGCCGCTCCCAGGTGGATCCGCGGCCTAGGGGCGGGTCGGGGCTCGGGGAAGCGCCCCCACCCCGCTTCCGGGACGCGGGCCCGCGGCGCGCCGCGCGCTTACCTCGCCTCTGGCCCTTGGGACCCAGCCCTCGTGCGGTCCCCGTGGTCCGGCTCGCCCTCCCCGGTTAGGGGAGCGGTGGCGAGGCGCCGTCGCTGCCCTGCCGCCTGACCTCCCTGAGCCTGGGCCCTCACCGGGACCGCGGAGGCGGCAGCGCCACTGGCGGGGATGGTAAAGATGGCCGGCAGTACCCACGGTGCCTGGCATCTCTTGTACTGTTCAGTAGTGGGACTTCAGGGGCCAGAAAAGAAGGGCAAGGCAGGACATGTAGCGAAATCGTCACGAGTCGCTTAACTACAGGGATAGGTCTGACAGATGCCCCGATTTCCTTCTTGTGCAAACATCAGAGTGTAGTTACACAAAGTTACTACACACCTATGCTACACACCTGTACAGCGTATTTTGTACCGAATACTGTAGGCAATTGTAAGCACCGTGATACTTGTGTATCTAAACACAGAAAAGGTAATGTGTTGGTTGGCTACCACATCAGTAGGTATTAGGAATTTTTCAGCTCCATTATAATCTTAAGGGACCACAGTGGTTGATGGAAATGTCCTTATGTGATGAATGTATAGATGATACATAATCGGGAACACTGCTAAAGCAATAACTGTAGTGTAAAAGCCAAATTTTGCGGGTTTCTAGTGTGAATGTATTCCAGGTAATAGTGCCCACATAGGTACTTCCTGTTATAACCATCAGTGACTGTTCATTCCCACCACTCAGCTCTGATTAAAACACAAAAATGAATTAAAACTAAAAGCAGTTGGGGGGTGGGTGAGGCACTTGCAGGAAGAGGTAAAAGAAACTGTTAAGTCTTAAACTGCTCCCAGTAGACAGGCGCCTCAGATGGCATAGACGGTTGCCTCTCAGATGTGACTTCCTAAGAAAACCAGAGCTGTCTCTGCCAAAAATACGTCCCTACTGACCGCCCCAGTGTCTTAATCCCCACCGTTAAGAATCACACCTCCTAGGTAAAGCATTAATTAAGTGCCCGGTGAGAATGCACATGGCTTGAGAGGGGAGTTCTGGCTTCTTTATGGAATCTATCAACAGCTTCCAGGGAAAGCTAATGCAAGTCCCAGGGGGACTGTGTTGTAAGAAAAAGGGAAGGCCAGGCAGGTACAGCGTATACATAGTGCAATTAGATTTGCTGACCTAAAAGTTAGAACACGAGGTCTAACAAACTACGTACTTTTCTAATCTGTTCATTTTTACCAAAAAATAAAAATTAAAATTAACACTAGCTCCACGTTGAATCATTTACCAATTTTCTTTGTTCAGAATATCCCAGAGTATCCTGCATATCAGGTTGCCATATCCATCAACCCCAAATGGCAAGCCAGAGAGAGAAGGCTGGGGAGGAGGCATCAATGGAAACTCTTAAGCAGCCAGGGGCACTGGAAACTGCAGAAAGCATGGGAAGGAAGGAGGGAAGAGGGAAGCCGACCTGAGTCTGCTTCTAGCCTGAGTCCGCTTCTCAGTCTAGTCTGCAGTCTAGCCTAGTGACACAGAAAAGGACTTTTGGGGTAATGGCACACCTTAAAAGTCTGCCTGGGGCAGAAAAGACACCGCCTTCCTGGTCATCATCCCATAATTAATTGCCTGGATCCTGTGTTGAGCTTTTACCCTTTGGCTGAATTTCCAGCCAGACTCCAAAACTGAAGACAAAAATGGCATATAGAGAAAAATACATACAATTTATTCATTAAATAGGGACAAAATTTCTGTAACTCTGGAAGGTCAAGTTACATCATCAAAGTTGTTTATTTAAAAGTAGAAGTATGTGTTGGCAATCGTTTTCGTAAGAGTCAGAAAAATTAGGCCGGTTTCACAATATGGAGTGTCCTTTCTGGTCAACAGTATTGCTTCAGGACAGAAGAGCATTTCACAGATCTTTCCTGTAACTTCTAGAAAAGTCATCCAGCCAGATTTAGGCTCAAGCTTCTTTACAAAGCCATTTTCCTATGAGAGAATAAATTTAACATTTTAAAAATCATTGGAGATTAAGTATGCTGGAATAAAAAGCAAAAATATTTTCATTTAAATAATGCAAATAATCTTCTATCCCTCTAAAGGAGCATTGTGTAACAGAAACACAGTGTGGCCTACATCTGTAATTTTAATTTTTGGTAGCCACATTTTAAAAAGTACAAAAATAGGAAAAATTAATTTTTAAGATATATTTAGTGATAATGATTTCTGTATGTAATCAATGTCAAATCACTAATGAGATAGTTTTTTTCATAACAAACCTTCAAAATCTCATGAGTATTTAGTACTTACAGCGTATCTTAATTCAGACTAGCCACATTTTACTACCATAGTGAACAGCAAGCACAGCTCTAGAGGATAAAAAGTCTTTTTGTTCTTGTTCTTGTTTAATTGTCCAACATTGATTTCAATGCACTTATATTTGTAATATGAATTCTATTATACTGTAAACTGCATTGTATTGAAACTCATGAGAACTCACAGTAAATCCAAATTAAACCAATACCTTTGAAGCTATGAAAAGGTTGATGGTTTCTTTTATAATCTACTCTCTTTGTGATCGGACATAGTTTTAAAAATGTAGGATAACCCAATTAACTGGACATTTTATTTAATTTACAATCTATAATCATAGAATCCTCACTGAAAAGTCCCTCTGAGATCATCTAGCCTAATGCTCTCTCTTAACAAATGAGGAAAGTGAGGCCCACAAAAAAAATCAGTTATCTAAGATTAGCCAAACCCTTGGTGCCTGGACCTGGATTAGAATGCAAATACCCTACTTCTTTCCACTCCATACATTTCCAAACAAGTGCCAAAATATTCGAAAATTGTTAAAATAATTTTTTCGAATGTTCATCTAGCAAACATTTGTGGCTGCATCTTACAGGTTCCAGAACCTGGGGTTACAAATGCCTGCAAGTAGCTCAGAGCAAAGTGTAACTAATATTGAAACGTAAACCAAGCATAACCCTTTGATAGTTGGGAGAGATTCGAGAGCTCTGCGGTGCCTTGGAATCATTTTATGAACATCACTGGCAAAGCAGATGAATACCACCAGCCAGGGGGATTTCATTTGAAAGACTTAGAAAGCCATTTTCTGCCTACGTAAGTGTGCGTCGTGCTCTGAGACATGCTGTCATGCCTTGACAGAGGAAGGAAACTGCCCCTCTTCTTCCTCTTTCCCTTCTGCCAGTACATACTCATAGATTACACTCTAGGGAGGTATCCACTTCATTACGCCCCTTCCTAAACACCATATTTCGCAAGTATGATGAGACCCTCTGAAATGACTTTTATTATAACGATAATCATTGTCTATTATCATTGATCAGTTAACATGTCATATACATCAACGTCTAAAGAAAGGACAGTGAACAAAGAAAATATTGATAAATTCAGCCAGATGAAGATTAAAAATTTTTTTAACTATGAAAAACTAAAAAGAACAATAAACTAGGAAAATATTTACATATACCATGAAAGTGTTCATTCAAATGTGAGAGAAAATTCTCAGGCCCTTAATAGTTTAAAAAGGAGAGACCATTAAACAGAGAAATATAAATCATTCACAAGTATATGAGAAAAACATTAATAGCAGTTAAAGAAATGTACATTTTAACAAAGTCTTATTTTTTTTAGACCTATTAAAGTGGCTTTATTTGATGCCTATTAAACCCTCAAAATTATTAATAGTACCACCCACACTGATAAGGTTGCTATGATATTGTTCTATTGATATAATACTTTCGAAAAGAAAATATGTTTTCCAGTATGCTAGAATATCGTAATTATACACACATCTTATGAACCAGTTACTCCACTGTTAGAAATTTATCATGAGGCAGTCTTCTAAAATATTGGAAGGTAGGGGGCACCAGAAAAGCATACCTATGCTTCACTACTGAACCATTATATCTAAAAGGGGAAAACCAGGCTGGGCGAAGTGGCTCAGAACTATAAACCCAGCACTTTGGGAGGCTGAGGTGGGGAGATCACTTGAGGTCAGGAGTTCGAGACCAGCCTGGCCAATGTGGTGAAACTCTGTCTCTACTAAAAATTCAAAAATTAGCTGGGTGTGGTGGTACATGCCTGTAATCCCAGCTACTGAGGAGGCTGAGGCAGGAGAATTGCTTGAACCTGGGAGGTGAAGGTTGCAGTGAGCCAAGATCAAGCCACTGCACTACAGCCTGGATGACAGAGTGAGACTCTGTCTCAAAAAATAAATAAATAAATAAAAGGGGGAAAATCAAAACCAAATTGTCTAACAATTGGGAATTGGTTAAGTAAATTATGATATGGCAAATTAATGAACTATTCTGTAGACATTAGAAATTAATGCCTAATGTTAACATGGAGTATGTGAGACAGTGTTGAAAATATTTGTATGTCACACCAAAAAACTCTTATGTACACCCTAATTATAATTGCATACAATGTCTGCATGTGGATATGTTAGGGTGATGGGAGTGACTTTTCTTCCTTTCAAAAATGTTATTTTCAAATATATTTTCTTTAATGATGCTATTTGTATCTTAAGACCATTATATAAAAATAAATATACAAATAAGGATTCAATATCCTATCAGTAATGCAGTAGTAAATAAGAATTGTTCAGGCCTTATTATTTCTGGGAACAGTGATAGTTTGTTAAATTCAGCTACCTTGGTTTCAACAAAACCTAAAGCATAAAATAATATACAGTATCAGTAATCTAAAGAAAATCAGAACCTCAGAATTTTTAAAGATACAGGCAGCCAGGCACAGTGGCTCATGCCTGTAATCCTAGCACTTTGGGAGGCTGGGTTGGTAGAATTGTTTGAGCCTGGTAAGTCAAGGCTGCAGTGGGCCATGATCACACCACTGTACTCCAGCCTGGGTGGCAGTGCAAGACTTTGTATGGGGAAAAAAAAAAAAGATACAGGCAAGTATCATGCTTTCTCACTTCTCTAAAGACTATTCCTTTGTTCACTCAGGAAATATTCACTGAGCATTGGCCACATGCCAGTATCAGTTAAAGTACTGGAAACACAGTGGTGAACAAAGCATACAGGATCCGTGTCCTCACTAAGCTCACATTCTCATGGCAGACACAGACAATAAACAGATAAGCAAATAAATATGCAATGGGATGTCCAGTCATGAAAACTATTATGAAGGCAATAAAGTTGGGCAGGGAGACAGAGAGTGATAGTGGTACTTTCTTAGATGGGTTGATCAAGGAAGACTTCTCTGAGGAGAAGAATTCCTTGGAAGGGATACCTGGGCGAAAAGAAGAGGGAAGGCAGGCGAACTTATGGCGGAAAATTATTCCAGGCAGAGGCAACAGCAACTGCAAAGACTGGAGGATGGAGTGTGCTTAGTTTATCTAAGGAGGCTGGAGCTATGAGAACAGGAAGGGATTCGTAGAAAATGAGATTTGAGAGGCAGGTAGAGGCCAGGTCATAAAGGGCTTTGGGTAACTTCATACTCAGGATGTTGTGCTTTTGTTCCCAGGGTGAAGGGGCATTTTGGAGAGTTCTGATTAGGCCAAGATCAGATCTAATTCAAGTCTGTAACATATCACTGTGGGTACTATGTGGAAAACAAATTATAGCAGATAAAGGATGGAACCATGGAGTCTGGCAGGAGGCTACTGACAGAGTCAAGTGATTACAGCATTTCAAAGGGGCAGCCAAGGGGATTTGCTGATGGATGGATGTGGGCTATGAGAGACAGGAGTCCAGGCTGACTCCCAAGGTTAGAGAACTAGCACTTAAGAGAGCTTGACTGAGGGGCCCCTCGGGAGAGGTGCTTTTCTCTAACTCCTGTGTCACTATCATGCATTTCTGCCTGTCTTGAGGGTCTTTTATTTTTCACTAAATGACTTTAAAATCTCAAGTAAAAATTCAAAAGAAATAGAAAAATTTTGCCCCAAAACGTATTTAATAAAAGGATATATATGAATACTTGAGATCATAGCACCTCACTGCTAGATGTTTATATGTTTTGGAAACGCCTTTGCCAAACTGAATGCTTAGTCAATCATCTATATGTCTCTGTGTGCCCATTTATTTGGCCTCAAATTAACCAGACTATTATTTAGGGTAAGGGGATGACAAAGAAAAGAAAGACCTCTTGGCCTAACTCTATGACCCAAGCTTTAAAATGGTGGTTACTTGGAAAGCACCAACTCTGACTGTACGTCCTACTTTCAGAAGGGCAAAGAATTACCTATCTAAACTTCCTGGAATTTCCCACATGACTCTCATAGTTGCACAGTATTTGACAGTTTGCAAAGCACTTTTAAAAAAAAGTTTTATAATCCTTTAACTTTCCATTAAAGGTAGGTATTATTGTTTTCATTAAATATTATATATAATAATGTCATCATTTTCATTAAATATTATATAAAATAATCATGTCATATCATTTTCATTAAATATTATATATAATAAATTATCATGTCATATATTATTATATACATTATATAAGGAATCTGAGTCTCAGAGTACCTCAGTAACTTACCCAAGGTTATACCTCTAGTGAGTAAGAAAACCAGAGTTCAAATCTCCAGTTTCAGTGTGGCTTCACTAAATCATTCCCTCAGCAAATATTTGTTACCTTCTATGCAACAGGTCCTAGGCATGAGGTACACAGTGATGCATTAAATAGATATGATTTCTCCCATGTGGAGCTGAGTGCCAAGCATTCTTTCTACTCCCCCAGCATATGCAGAGGAGAATGCTTCATTGAAGGGGGAGGAAGTAAGAAGATCCACCTGGTTCAAAAGGAAGGGTGATCCCAAGAGAAGAGACACGAGTTTCATCTCATGATCATACTAATGGTTTTTAAGAACCATCCTTTCCTTATGAATGCTGGAGGCAGCCAAATGGCACTAGCTCTCCTGTCAGATCTTGTGAGAGCACATCCTCTCAGCACTTCAAATTAGGAGAGCGGACAGGAGGAAACCATGGTAAATGTGGAAGAGGACAAAAAGAGAGATGAGAAGCCACAAACAAAAGAAGGCAGGAAGGCAGGTAGGCAGGAAAGACAAGCTGATAAAAAGGAGAAAGAGAATAAGGAAAGAGATTATAAGTCCCATTACTGATAGACCAGTCTCGTTTCTTCCCATTAGGGGATCTGCTTTACATGGTAACTAGTATCTAACTGTATTTGATCATATAATTTATGGAAACTAAATATAGTCAGATTCTCTCAATGGAAGCTAGGTAATACTACTATTACTAACAACAAAAACCCTAAACTTGTACTGAGTACTCATTTTCAGGAATTGTTCCAAGTGCTTTGTTTACATTAACTGATTTAATCCTTATACAAGTCCCAGGAGATAGGTTGCAATATTTTCCTGTTTTTACAGATGAGGAACCAAGGCTTAGGGAAGTTAAGAAACTTGTATAAGTCCGAGGTCTGGAGATTGAGACCATCCTGGCTAACACAGTGAAACCCCATCTCTACTAAAAATAAAAAAAAATTAAAAAATAAAATAAAAATTAGCCGAGCACGGTGGCAGGCGCCTGTAGTCCCAGCTACTTGGAAGGCTGAGGCAGAACAGCATGAACCCAGGAGGCGGAGCTTGCAGTGAGCAGAGATCGCACCACTGCACTCCAGCCTGGGCAACAGAGTGAGACTCCATCTCAAAAAAAAAAGAAAGAAAGAAACTTGTATAAGTCACACAGGTAGTAAGCACTTGAGCCCAGAAATGAAGCCAGGTCTGTCTGCTTCCAAGTTGGTGCTCCAAATAGCTATGCTATACTCACATACTGCATTCTTAATACAAAGTTTCCATAAAGTCTCTGGGCACTTTTAAAATTTAATTAAATTACAGATTGTGGCCAGGCGCGGTGGCTCACACCTGTAATCCTAGCACTTTGGGAGGCTGAGGCAGGCAGATCACGAGGTCAGGAGATCGAGACCATCCTGGCTAACACGGTGAAACCCCGTCTCTACTAAAAATCCAAAAAATTAGCCGGGCGTGGTGGTGGGCGCCTGTAGTCCCAGCTACTCGGGAGGCTGAGGCAGAAGAATGGCAGGAACCTGGGAGGCGGAGCTTGCAGTGAGCCGAGATCACGCCACTGCACTCCAGCCTGGGCGACAGAGCGAGACTCCGTCTCAAAAAAAAAAAAAAAAAAAATTATAGATTGTATGTTTTATGATCAGTGATTTCTTGAGAGTTTTTTCAGGCAAGTTAAAGCCAGTGCTCACATCTTGATAAAGTTGTGAGTGCCTCCTCTACTCTTACCTCTTCTTGCGGGCCACTGACTACTAGCATAAGGAAGTGATTGTGCCATTTCCCCTGAAATGAATCATTCAAGAGTAAATTCATTCATTTGAGCAGATTTGTCAACATCACTATGAAAAGAAGGTAACAGTTTTCCATGTCAGTTTGTACTAACCCAAAAAAGCACTGCCTTTCCTTTCCTTAAGATCAATGTCTCATCTGAGCTGGAAAAGGAGCACATAGATTGCTTTGAAATGACATCTTCAAGAGTATTTATTTCATGTCTACAACCTGAACTATTCAGGTGTTTTTTGTTTTTTGTTTTTTTAAAGAGCTTGGAAACTTTAGAAAGGCTGAGTGTGTGCACATGCAGGCAATGTGTGTATTTGTATCTACACTCGGGAGAGATTCATGCAACTGCACTCATGTTTACATGAGTGTACCACCCTCGAAAGATGAGGGTACTACTAGAAATTCTCACAGACAAGATTCCACAGCCTTTGCTAACAATGAGTTCCAGAAGCTCACAAAATTTATTGTGGAGAAGTTAAATTTTTAAGTAATATTTATTCACTGTCTGTGTGTTCCAAGTACTAAGCTAGGCATTGGAAATACAATCCAAAACCACATAGAGCCGGCAAACTAGTAGAGTATTTCTCTGCAGGCTCATCTGTGGTCCTCTGTGCCAGACAACGTTTGCCTTCACCTGAAATCTACACAGTGCAGCTGAAATTTCCACCAGTCCTCAAGTATAGCCTCCCACAGCCAACTAGAAGAAAACATGACAAAACATTTCACATGCTTCGCCCAGCCTCAGTCAGGCTCAGTTAGAAAGAACTAAGTTCCAGAAAGAAGATGACTAAGAAAGGGGAGTAGCTTCAGTAAGCTCTATCATGCAGGAAGGCCTTAAACAAAATGAAAAAGGCATCAAGTAAAAGATCAATAAATTTGATCGCAACAAATATTTAAACGGCTATAATGACCGAAGACATTGTCAGCTTTAAAGAATAATCAGCAGGCCGGGCGCGATGGCTCACGCCTGTAATCCCAGCACTTTGGGAGGCCAAGGCGGGTGGATCACAAGGTCAGGAGATTGAGACCATCCTGGCTAACACGGTAAAACCCCGTCTCTACTAAAAATACAAAAAATTAACCAGGCGTGGTGGCGGGCACCTGTAGTCCCAGCTACTCGGGAGGCAGAGGCAGGAGAATGGTGTGAACCCAGGAGGCGGAGCTTGCAGTGAGCTGAGATCGCACCACTGCACTCCAGCCTGGGAGACAGAGTGAGACTCCGTCTCAAAAAAATAATAATAATCTTAATAATCAGCAAACTAAAGATAACTGCCACATATATAAAAATAATTTGTATCCAGAATATTCAAAGAATTCCTACAAATCAATAACAGACCAAATAATAGGAAAATGGGCAAAGGATATAAACAGGCAATTCCCTGCATAAGATTTACAAATGATCAGTTAATATATGAAAAGATGCTCAAATGGAAAAATATTTAACCTTACTGGGAATCAAGGAAACAAGAATTAAAACAAGATAAACTCTGCAGTTTTTTAGCCCAACAAATTAAGGAAAGTATAACAGATTGCTACAAACTAACATTAGTCAGCTGGGGTAGGGAGACATGGATACTCTAACAAGCTGCTGATGGGAGTGTAACTTGGTGGAGCCACTTTGGAAGGCAAGGACCTAGTAAATGAAAAAATGTACGTACACCATGACCCAGCATCTACAACCCAACATCCACCCTAGAAAACTACACACATGCATGAGGAAAAATGACATTCAATAAAGCACTGTGTGTGATAACAAACCTGAAATAACCTAAACAGCTATCAGCCACAAATGGCCAGATACTCTACAGCATTTACATACATTAGAATATACATAGCACTTTTAATAATACTATTTTAAATACCTTTGGATAAAAAAAGTTGCAGAATTACCACCATGTACTGTTTTTACATATACACATGTAAATATATGTATGCAAGATTTTTATGTATATATAAAATACATAAACATACATGTACATATATGTACATATATGTATGCTCATATAAAACATTTTACATAAAACATTTACAAAAACTTTTTTTACAAAGAAGTATTATGTTAGCCTGGCCAACATGGTGAAACCCCATCTTTACTAAAAATAAGCACCAAAAAAATTAGCCAGGCGTGGTGGCAGCCACCTGTATTCCCAGCTACTCCAGACTCTGAGGCAGGAGACTCACCTGAACCTGGGAGACAGAGGTTGCAGTGAGCCGAGATCGCGCCATTGCACTCCAGCCTGGGCGACAGAATGAAACTCTCTTAAAAATAAATAAATAAATAAGAAAGAAATAACTTATATTACCAAAGCCTTAAAACCTACATTCTTTTACAGGTTCATTTTTGCTACTAAAAACTAGTGCAACAGGAGTCACATGCAATGTGCTTTGGCTAGAACAGTGTATTGTGGTAACACAAACCATTTACATTAAGACACTACTTAATTCTGCTATTTACTGCCCAAATTGTCTTTTTCAAATATCATGTCAAAATTACACGAATTTATATAGTTGTAGACATGTTCCTAGCAGAAGGGTAAGGGAGGCAGGGGTCTGGGTAAGTGGAAGGAGAAGGCAAGTAGCCCTTTTGGGCTACCAGGGCACCAGGACCGGGTTCCCTGGGCAATTTGGCACAGGGATTTGAATGCAGGGTGGCCTCAAAGATGGGACTGAGCAGCAGCAGCAACATCAGCGATCCAGAAAGTTCACAGGATGTGAGCAATACTGTTTTGGGTTCCTTATCTGATATTCCTAAAAAACAAAGTTGCTGTCGTTTTTCATGAAAACAGACTACATAGTTTATTTAGGTAGATACGATAAACATTTTAATAGTTACACTTGCGCAATTTCATTTTCTAAATGTAAAGTTAGGCCGGGCGCAGTGGCTCACGCCTGTAATCCCAGCACTTTAGGAGGCCAAGGCGGATGGATCACCTCAGGTCAGGAGTTACAGACCAGCCTGGCCAACATGGTGAAACCCCGTCTCTAGTAAAAGTACAAAAATTAGCCGGATGTGGTGGCAGGCGCCTGTAATCCCAGCTACTCGGGAGGCTTAGGCAGCAGAATCACTTGAACCTGGGAGATGGAGGTTGCAGTGAGCCGAGATCAGGCCACTGCACTCCAGTCTGAGCGACAGAGCAAGACTCCATCTCTAAATAAATAAATAAATGAAAAGTTAAAAACAAGAATAAGAGGCATTCTAAACCACTTTTGGTCGTGGGTGCTATCAAATTCAAGAAATTTTTTTGTCCAATTAAATTGTTAAATTTAAAACAAACAAGTATAATAGATCATAAGATCATATCAGCTGTCTTGGGTTCCAATTCTATCAAAAATGCATTATCTAAACTTATTGAAACCAAAATTTCTCCATCTGTGATGTATAATCTTACTAGCACTAAGTAACAAGGAAAACATCAATGGCTTTTAATGTATCAGGTTATATTATGATCCCTACATGACCACGCGGTAATGAAACTGACAAATTTTATCAGTAGGATTTTTTAAATTATAAAAGCAATTCATATTCATGAGAGAAAACTTGGAAATCACAAAAAGTACAAAGCACTTTAAAACAAAGTGCTTCTGTAATCCTACAAAACAGAGCCATGCCAGTACTTTGGTTAATTCTAAAACTGACTTTTAAAATCAGACACTAGATCTAGACAGTATTTTCTTTTTTAATTCATCATGGGAAAGGAGATTCAATACTGCCATTATTCAGAATCTGTGTGAAATTCCTCATCTGTAACTGGCATAACGGTCATGTAAGAAATTTGGTCTCAGTTTACAGTTTCACCTCATTTTAACCTAACATCACTGATAGATTGATTTCATTTAAATTAGTATAACTGAAGTCTTACTATACTGTGGTTCTGTTCAGAAACATAAACATGAATATGGTACTGTCCTCCTGCTTAGATTGCTCACAATCTAGACTACACAGACCAAAGTACAAGGTGGTTGTGTTAAATATACTCTAAGAAAGGATATATAAACAGTGATAGTGTGTCCGGAGTTGGTTCCTTCCACCGGGTTCTTGGTCTCGCTGACCAACAATGAAGCTTTGGACCTTTGCGGTAAATGTTACAGCTCTTAAAGGTGGCACAGACCCAAAAAGTTAGCAGCAGCAAGATTTATTGTGAAGAGCAAAAGAACAAGGGTTCCACAGCTGTGGGAGGAGACCCGAACCAATTGCCTCTGATGGTTGGGGTGGCCAGCTTTTATTCCCTTGTCCCCGCCCACATCCTGCTGATTGGTCCATTTTACAGAGTGCTGATTGGTGCGTTTTTACAGAGTGCTGATTGGTGCATTTACAATCCTTTAGCTAGACACAGAGCATTGATTGGTGCATTTACAATCCTCTAGCTAGACAGAAAAGTTCTCCAAGTCCCCACTTGAGGCAGGAAGTCCAGCTGGCTTCACCTCTCAATAGGTTAACATTAAAGAGGAAGTAAACCAAGTTAAAAGTTCAGAACTTCACTCAATAGGTTAACATTAAAGAGGAAGTAAACCAAGTTAAAAGTTCAGAACTTCACTCAATAGGTTAACATTAAAGAGGAAGTAAACCAAGTTAAAAGTTCAGAACTTCACAAAGGAAAGAAAATCTGCATCGTGCTTGAAGAATAAGGAAAATTTTGGTAAGAGGAAGAGAAAAAAGGGATGAACATCAAATGCCAAAGGACATAAATGTTCATAAAGGTTCTGGGAAAAGCAAGTAAATCTAGGAAAAAGGCAAATTGGCATTGGACTGCTGAGGACTTCTAAGTATCTTGCTAATCCATTTTTATTCACCAGGCATGATAAGGACTTCTAATGGTTTTCAAAATTCAAACCTACCCTCAAGAAGAAAACAACTGGCCATTACTGAGGATATTCAGAGAAATGTGCCACAGACTTAAAAATAAAAAATCCATGATGCTTCCATTGCTAAAGATCTCTCCCACACTTAAGCTTAGCACTTTCTCTTGAAGCTATCTTATGCTCCCACACAGACCACAACAGAATTAAAAGAACACTTAGAATTCAGATAACTCAACTTTTTTATTTCTTTGTAACATCCCCTGCCACAGGAACATTTGGCAGTCTTCTGAAGATTATTTCCAACAATTTTTTCCAGCAGTCCATATCATCCAAAAACAGCTCTATTAGAAAATCCTTCCTTCTACTAAATCAAAATTTTCCTGCCTCTAATTTACACCTATTAGTGTAATGATGAGGAGTTATATAAGTAATAATCCTTATTATAGTCCTTCAAATATTCAAAAAGTTCTCTTCCCAAGCTAAATAGGCTAAATAAAACAAGGTCAAACGTTCTTCATTAGACATGACTTTTAGGTTTGGTGTGAATCTCAACTTCACTTTATTAGCTATGTGACTTTGGGCTTAGCTTCTTTTACTCTAAAATGGGGATAACATGACACATTCTACCACATGGATGTACTGTGAAGACATAATGCTAAATAAGCCAGACACAAAAAAAAACAAATATTGTATGATTCTATTTATATGAGGTACCTAGAGTGGTCAAAATCATAGACACAGAAAGTAGAATGGTAGTTGTCAAGGGCTGGGGGTCATGGGAACAGGCAATTGTTCTTTAATGGGTATACAGTTTCAATCGAGGAAGATGAAAGTTCTAGAGATGGATGGTGGTGATGACTGCACAACAATGTGAATGTACTTAATGCCACTGAACTGTACACTTAAAAATGATTATCATGGTAAATTTTGTTATGTACATTTTACAATAAAAAAAGAATAGTAAGTATGACAAAATTGTACACTTTAAATGATTTAACATGTGTAAAGGAGCTGGGCATAATGGCTCACGCCTGTAATCCCAACACTTTGGGAGGTTGAAGCAGGTGAATCACTTGAGCCCAGGAGTTCAAGACCAGCCTGGGCAACATAGTGAGACCTTGTCTCTACAAAACATAAAAAATAAATTAGCCAGGCGTGGTGTAACACACCTGTGGTCCTAGCTACTCAAGAGGCTGAGGTAACACAATCACTCAAGCCTGGGAGGTCAAAGCTGCAGTGAGCTGTGGATTCCACCACTGCACTCCAGCCTGGGTAACAGAGCGAGTCTCTACCTCAATTAAACAAAAAAAAAAGTGTGGCCGGGTGCGATGGCTCACGCCTGTAATCCTAGCACTTTGGGAGGCTGAGGTTGGTGGGTTGACTGAGCTCAGGAGTTCGACACCAGCCTGGGCAACACAGTGAAACCCCATCTCTACTAAAATACTAAAAATTAGCCAGGCGTGGCGGCGTGTGCCTGTAATCCCAGCTACTCAGGAGGCTGAGGCAGGAGAATCGCTTGAACTTGGGAGGTGGAGGCTGCAGTGAGCTGAGATCACACCACTGCACTCCAGCCTGGGCGACAGAGCAAGACTGTGTCTCGAAAAAAATAAATAAAATGCCTTACACCAAGTGTCCCCAACCCCCAGGCCATGGACCAGTACCAGTCAGCGGCCTGTTAGGAACCAGGCCACATAGCAGGGTGAGTAGCTAGGCAAGTAAGCAAAGCTTCATCTGTATTTACAGCGAGTCCCTATTGCTTGCATTACTGCCTGAGTTCCACCTCTTCAGGTCAGCGGTGGCATTAGATTCTCATAGCAACATGAGCCCTATTGTGAACTGTGCACACAAGGGATCTAGGTTGGGCACTCCTTATTGGAATCTAATGCCTGATGATCTGTTACAATCTCCCATCAACCCCAGAAGGGACCATCTAGTTGCAGGAAAACAAGTTCAGGGCCCTCGCTGATTCTACATTGTGCTGAGTTGTATAATGATTTCATTATATATTACACTGTAATAATAACAGAAATAAAGTGCACAATAAATATAATGCATTTGAATCATCCCGAAATCAACCCCCATCTGCCACCCCCAGTCCGTGGAAAAATTGTCTTCCACAAAACCAATCCCTGATGCCAAAAAGGTTGAAGACCGCTGCTTACACAACACTTGGCATATAAAACATGGGCACATAATAGTGACTGTAATAGACTTACCAACTATGGGGCCTTGCTTGGCTAAATTCTATTTTTTAAGAAAGTAAGAACCTGGGGCCAGGCGTGGTGGCTCACGCCTGTAATCCCAGCACTTTGGGCGGCCGAGACGGGTGGATCACGAGGTCAAGAGATCGAGCCCATCCTGGCCAACATGGTGAAACCCCATCTCTACTAAAAATACAAAAAATTAGCCGGGTGTGGTGGCGGGCGCCTGTAGCCCCAGCTACTCGGGAGGCTGAGGCAGGAGAATGGTGTGAACCCGGGAGGCAGAGCTTACAGTGAGCCGAGATCGCGCCACTGCACTCTAGCCTGGGTGACACAGCAAGACTCTGTCTCGAAAAAAAAAGAAAAAGAACTTGCATTATCATGTCTCTCAGTATTCCCAACACTGTGCTGCACACAGGTACTCCAAGAATTTGTTCCATTAAAGAAAAAATATTAAAGCCATTTTAGAATGACTGGAAAACCACTGCAAACAAGGGAATAGAGGGCCAGACATGGTGGATCATGCCTATAATCCTAACACTTTGGGAGGCTAAGGTGAGCAGACTGCTTGAGCCTAGGTGTTTGAGACCAGCCTGGGCAACATAGCAAGACCCTGTCTTAAAAAAAAAAACCAGCTGATTAGTCTAACACACACACACAAAGAAACCACATTACTTTAAAGTAACATCTCCTTGGTACAGAAGAGTCTAGAAAACATAAAACTTCCCAAGATGTTAGTATGTTAATCAGTGAATGACTGCCAAACTACTCAGATAAATGGTGATAAGTACACAAATTGCTTTATTAACTTAGGCTTATCAGATTAAATTACAGGCAAATTTTACCAATGGCCCTCTACAAAAAGCATACATGAACAAAGAAGTCATGTAATAAATAAACTCTCAGCAGTGAAGAGCCACAAGTGACAAAAAAGACTAAAAACCACAGAGCTACCTGTCTCTGAATTGGGACATTTATCAACAAAGGTTATTCTTGAGAAGTCAGTATGAGTTTAAAGCATCTTCATAAACGTATCCAGTGAGCCAAGATGTAGCTTGACATGGGTTTAGGCATATCACTCCCAATGATGGAAAGGAACAGAAATTTTATCACTAATATTATGGTGAACATTGGTAGGATCAAAAGTCTGGATAAAAGGAAATATGAGAATTTCTCATGAGAAAAATAAGCAGTGTCTAGAAAGTCCAGACCAAACTGATTCCTTGCAAAATTCAAAATTAGATTAAAAAGAATGTTTGGAAGTTAAGAAAGGAAAAGTGAATACATGGAATCCTAGCTAGAAGATTCACCGTGAACAAGTTCAACCGAATCAACTGCAATGGTTATTTTCAAAGGTTAGTAATGTAGTATTCTTCGCTGTAGGTGAGAATCTTATAGGCACAGTATAGCTTAATTATAGTACGGCATTTGACAAAATCTTTCCTAATATCCACATAAAATGTCATATGGGCCTGACAATAATAGACAGAACTAGTTGTTACTGAACAACCATAATGTGTGCTGATTAATGGACTGGTGTTAATCTAAAGTGAGTCTAGCTGACTTGCACACTTCTGAGTAATTTATTCTGTCAATATTTTTATCAACAATTTGAATGAAGACATAGTAGGTATGCCTACCAAATATAAAGATGACCAAATAGAAAGTGTATTAAATGTCTAAATAAAAACTAACAAAAGGAAATTTAAAAGCCTTATATTTAAGCACACCTAAAAAAATAAAAAATAAAAATAAAAGCCTTATATTTAAGCTAAAAAAAAAAAAAATCCACTACACAAAAACAGGATTAGGGAGACTCAGTTTAACATCTTATGTATAAAACATTTTAGAGAGAAGTTGACACTTCTGGTTCATATTAAGCATAAGTAACAGAAGTTAAAACTGTTAATGAAATATTTGGTTTAAAAAAAAAACAAACCAGCATTTGGCTCATACCCACCACACTCTGTCTGGTCAAATATCATCTAAAATGCTGGGCACAATGTATAATGACAATGAGCAATTAAGGGTTAATTAAGAAAAAATAACCACGGTTGAAGGATCAGAGAATTACATTATCTAAGGAATGGTTAAACTAACTGGGATTATTGACTCTGAAGAAGAGAAGGGAATGCTCACCATGTGTGGCAGGGAGAAAGGGTCAGCACGGACACGACGGTAGTCTTCAAATATGTGAAGGGGCCATTCGTGTGAAAACGGGGTTATACTTGGAAAAAGCAAAATACAGTGAGAACAGCATGGGCTATGATGTATAAAGACCCAGATTCAAATCCTGGTGCCATGATTTACTGTGTGTTATTTGGCTTGGAGACAGATTAGCATCCTTACCTAGAAAATGATACTTACCTCATAAATGTATAAAAATTAGAGGCAAAAAATATTTATAAGCTGCCTGGCACAGACTGACACACTGTGATGCACAGTGGTGTTAGTTCTCATCCCTAGACCTTTCTGTAATTCTAGAACAGTGTTTTCAAAGTGAGAACTGAAACTCATTAATGGGTCACAAAATCAGCTTAGCTGGATAGTAACCAGTATTTTTCTTCTGATGAAACAGAAGGAAAATATTAGAGCACACCATTTGTGGCAAACATAATCATAATTTTGTGAAACTTCTGTTTCAGTTATTCATATACATGTGAATAGATTATGAGTTAAAATGTATTTCTTATCATGAAGTTGGATCCAAGAAAAAAATGTGAAAGTGACTACTGTAGAGCACTATTTTCTATGTGTGTTCTATAAGATACTAGTTCCTTGGGAGCTCGATTAGATTTAGGAACAAACCATACTCCCTAGAGATTTACTATGTTCAGTACACATTAGCATCTCCAAGAGCCCAGCATTAAAGAAACCTGTTTATCTTTCTTGAATCCAGTTTTTTCCCACATTTATTCAACTCCAGAACCCACCCACTTTTTTTTCCTACATGGTATTTATTGACATCTTCAGAACTACCACTTTGCAGCATATACACTCTGGAGGAAACATTCCTCTAGATGAAAAAGAAGATGCAATGGCTAGAAGTTATAGAAGGTAGATTCTTAGCTTGCTAAGAAGAAAAACATCTCAACTTTGAATCTTCCTGCCACTGACATCCACCCCCTATAACTTTTACCCTACACACATGCCTCATGCATTTTACATATGATTTATCCAACTTTCAATTCACACAAATGTTCTCAGAAAAAGTGTAGGACATCTATAATATCTAGATATGAAGCCAGGATCAAAGCAATAAGCAGGAATCATCTGGTCAAAAGAAACTCCTGGCATAGTATTTAGGAAGACTTGACAAAGCTTAACAAAGCTCATGCTCAGGAACCACAGCAGCCCAAGACTTAATCGGCTTTTCCAAGTGGACTCAATGTGTTCTAATACATAATTTAAAGTGGGCTTGTTATAAGTAAAGTGTTTATTTAGAAACAGAATGCTTGCTCCTCAGTACTGCAAGGAAAAATCAGCATTTAGACAAAAAGTGTTTTCAGCAAGGCAATTTTACTTTCTGCAGAAAGGGTGCTCCTCACAGGTGAAACAATGGCAACAGCACACCCAAACAAAGGAGGGAAGCAATTTTTATCCCTTATGCAGCTTGTCCCTGCTACTGTGTCCTGTCTCCATTGGCTGGAGCTGGACCTCACAATTTAAATTAAACCTGACTGGCTAACAACTTAAAACTTTCCTAAATAGGGAAAGGCAACAGAGAACAAAGGAAATGAGGAAGTTGCTTGCAAAAGGACTTAGAAAAGTAATAATATTTCCAAATAAGGAAGGGGCATAGGCTGCGAGCTGGAACGTGCCTGTGAGCATGTCCAGCACAAATATCTTGGTTAAAGTACAAGGACATAGAATATACTTATTCCCTTATATCTAACAGCTACATAGGATAGGGCTTAATGAAGAGTTATTAGCACAGAGCAGAGGAGGCTGGAAGGAAGTTAGTCTTTAAAAGAAACTATTATTTCTAACACTTAATGATTTATTCTTTAACAAGAAGGGAAATTTTTAAGAGGAAACTTTTTACTTTCTACAATTCCCTCCTCTTGATTTTGTATTTTTCTTTAAACCTTTTTTTTGTTTAAACGTGTTTTGGCTTAATTGTTTTGCTTGAGTTTTTAAAAGAAAAGGTTTTTATGGCTGATGAAATGTGAGGGCAACAGGGATAGCCAATCGAACTAGAGAGCAAGTACTGCTTTAATTATTTGGCAGAGTGCCCAGCAAAGGTCCTTTATAATACCACCATACATCTGCTTGGGGATGAATAAGGGTGGACTGATGGGTCAGCTTTTGGAAGTGCCTGACCTTACTGCATCCTGTTAAGTCTCCAAGGAATGCCAAATTTTCCCCTTGTCATTGGAGACACGAGATAAAATTGGTCTTGGAAGATGGAGGCTGAATGGCCCTTGGGGTACTGCACTTTAGGAAACAGCAGAGAGAGTTTGGCACAGTTTACTATCCTAGGCTGTAGGATTTTGAAAAAGAGCTACCATGCAGTCCATGTCCTGTTAATTAGAGGACCATCTGAGTGGAAAGGAGACAACCTGAGCCTCTGGCCTACTGTGTGCACAAGCATAATAATGGCTTTTATTTAGAGTGCAGAGGGAAAATTTAACCCATTTTAGCTAGGCATCTACATCCTGATACCCTGTCTTAATTGCTATGGTTTGCCTTAGATTTTTTACTTCTACTACAGAGACTTTGGTTTTGACACTATGTTTGGGAGGAGTGATTGATGGAGAGGTTGAAGGAGCAATAAAGCTTATTTTAAAAATTCCTTTAGGATCCTTTTCTGAAATGTCAGTTCCCATATTATGACTTAATGAAGGGGAGGAGTTTTCAGATGTTGCAATAGTAATAGTAAGCTGTATAGGATTACACTGGTTATGTTGACAGCTAGAAAGAACAACTCTTTTGGTGAAATGGATATATGGTTTTAAGGACAAAGACCTCTGGAAGCAGTCCACCTTAGACTTCTAGTGTTCTATAGGATATTAGACCAAGCAGAATATAGAGATTTTGTTTTAGAGGGACAAAAGTCCAATTCCTACCAATTAATATAGCTACTATTCTCTGGATTATTAGTATCCTTATAGGAACTTATTATGTCTTTCTAAACTAAGGAAGTCCAAGAGGGACAGAGATATTTTTCTGAAGTAGTAAGCTGTGTTTGGTTATTTAAATCTTCACAAGGTGTAACTAAACAGGCATCAAAAGTAATAAGTTCAGGTGAGTTAGATCTAGTTACATTAATAATAAGATGGGGAATAGTTAAAGGGAAGAAAAAGAAAAAGATAAAGTTTTCTTAGCCTTAATTTGGTAGGGCTTGACCTTGGAACAATGTCCCATGATTGTGAAGGTGATGACACTTTCTTGACTCGGGTATGATGTGTCCATCCTTTTTCTGCTGTGCGAAAGGCAGTCTCGGTGGTTAGCAGCACAAGGTAGGGTCCTTCCCAGGCTGGCTCCAGTTTTTCTTCTTTCTATCCTTTGATGAGGACGTGGTCCCCAGGCTGGTGCTAGTGTACTGGAAATTCTAGGGGTGGTACCTGTGCTAAAAGACTTTTAGTTCTGAGGGAAGGGAAAGTGGAAGTATATAATTTCTGAGAAACTGATCTTTTGTTTTAGATGTGGGGGCATCAGCAGTGGAATGTAAGTAAGGTAACCCATAGGTATCTTTTTGACTTTATAGTCCGTAGTGCCTTTTTGCTAAGAAATTTCTTTTTCCTTGTTTTTACTTATGCTGTCTCTGAGGGACCCTTTGGGGCTCCTTATTTTGTCAGAACTCTGCATATCCTGGGGCTTGAGGCCCCATGGTGACGCCTCCCGCTCCACCCCGGCTCAGTGCTGCCTAGGGGACGCTGCAGCCCCACCACCTCTTAAGGTCTTGGCCTCCTTCTGGCCCTCACCACTCCCACGCATTGAGGCCTTAGGGATGAGGGGCCTTGTGATTCACCCGGCTGCCCCTGGACCTTGCTCCTCCCTGAGACCCCGCCATCTGGCCCCTGGCCTTGGGCTGGGCTGTCTGTCTAATGGTTGCCCAGCCCCCTCCCCCACACAGGAAGTGTCTGTCTGTGGTTAGGTCCTCCAGCCGGCTCGCACTGCAGCCTCTATAGGAGTGGCTGGAGGTGAAAACTCGTTGGCATTAAGCCTGAGCTTAGAGGGCCCCGGCCTGGGTTCTTTGATGCAGTTGGAACAAGATTTTTTTTTTTTAATAAGGTGTTTGGATAATATTTCTTTTTGGTTTAGCAATATTCATTTTCCTTTTGAATTTTTTTAGCACCTATTTTTTAATCTTTTAATGTAGGTAAAAATCTATATTCTTATGCCTCCTTATAATTCTTTTACTAAAAGTATATTTTACTTTCTTTACATACTTTGCACATAAACTGTTTAATAGTTTTATATTCAGGATGGCTAAAAACTTTTAAATTATACAATATTTCTTGCATAAATTCCCTTTTATAACATTTTTTTCGACTTTCACAATCTTTAACATGCCTCAACTTTTTGACTACCTTTTACACTATTTCTCTCCCGTTTTACCTTCTGTGACTTTCTTTGATCTCTGTCTCTTTCAGTCTTTCACTTATTCTCTCCCTCTCATTTGGGCTCTTTTTCTGTCATCCCGTTTCCTCTTTCTCTTACACTTAGTCTTCTGGGCTGGGTGGGATCTGCATGGCCACAGTCCGGGCCACCGCCGCCGGCCTAGCGGCTAGGCAGATAGACGCCTGCCCCAAGTTGCATGAGTCATGCCCCTTCGCCTCCTTTGCTCTCCTCCCGGCACCGGTCCCTGCCCTCTTCCACACAGAGCCAGGCTGGGGAGAGGGACCCACCCTCTGGCGCGCCTGGCTGCCTGGCTGCGTGGCACAGGCTCCTGGCTCCGGTGCGCTCATTGTCTCCCACTCGGCTCCAACTTGCAGGTGTCCGTGGCCAGCTAGCCTCTGAGGGTGGCAGGATGCACCCGAGCAGCACGGAAGGTGCGGGGCTCGGGGGCCAGCAGCCTGGGTGGCTCTGGCTGGCTCTGGCTGGCTCGGCCGGGAGTGAGGAGAGTGTCTCAGCCACTGCCGCTCTGCCAGGTGCCAGCAATCCACAACAATGTGGAGCCACGTTCGCTGCTCTTGCTTTCTCTGACTTCCTTTCCTAGTTTCTCTTTCTTCTCTGCTGCTCTTTCCCTTGCCTCTTTCTTCCCCCAAGAATAGGGGAAAGGGAAGTTTTGAACATTTTTCCTATGACCGGAAGTTTCTGTGAGGTTCAATCTCCCCCTAATGGGGATTTTTCACCTCTTTTTAACCTCCAAGACACCTCGACTAAGGAATACTTCACCACCCCCGCCCCCCCTCCCCGCGGCTTTTCTTTCCTTAGTCCTAAGGAATGCTTTACCTTGGTATGTCCCAACCAAAGAATGCTTCACTGCCCTGTGGCTTCTTTTTCCTTAGTCCTGACCACCAAGGAAGTATTTTACTGTCTCCCCTGGCATTTCCTTTCTTGGTCTGTGCAGAGTTGCCTGGTCCAGGTGGTATGTGAGGATCTTTTACTCCAGGTCACCAGCCGGTTTCTTTCCACATTGCTGAGAGTCCAGTTTATTTGTCATAACTGGTGGGTCTCGATTCCTTACCCTGAGGCCGCTACAACAAGGCAGTGGGGCGCCTTCCTCATGAGAGAGGACCAGAGACCCACCCCCCCACCCCCGGAGGAGAATGGCTCCCTGTACAGGCCACCGCCATTGTTACAAGTAAAATGTTTATTTAGAAACAGAATGCTTGCTCCTAGGTACTGCAAGGAAAAACCAGCATTTAGACAAAAAGTTTTTTCAGCAAGGCAATTTTACTTTCTGCAGAAAGGGTGCTCCTCACAGATGAAACAATGGTGACAGCACACCCGAACAAAGGAGGGAAGCAGTTTTTATCCCTTATGCAGCTTGTGTCCTGTCTCCATTGGCTGGAGCTGGACCTCACAATTTAAATTAAACCCGACTGGCTAATAACTTAAAACTTTCCTATATAGGGAAAGGCAATAGAGAACAAAGGAAAAGAAGAAGTTGCTTGCAAAAAGACTTAGAAAAGTAATAATATTTCCAAATAAGGAAGGGGCATAGGCTGCAAGCTGGAACGTGCCTGTGAGCATGTCCAGCACAAATATCTTGGTTAAAGTACAAGGACATAGAATATACTTATTCCCTTATATCTAACAGCTACATAGGATAGGGCTTAATGAAGAGTCATTAGCACAGAGCAGAGGAGGCTTGAAGGAAGTTAGTCTTTAAAAGAAACTATTATTTCTAACACTTATGATTTATTCTTTAACAAGAAAGGAAATTTCGAAAAGGAAACTTTTTACTTTCTACAGGCTGATGAGTGCAGCTAATCCTCATTATTATAAGCATCACTATTATCATCACTTGCAAGAGCCATGTGACAATATTTAGATGATTCTGGGTTCTTTTAAAGTGCATACATACTCAGGATTCCTTTGGGAGGATGCAATTTCATTTATATGAAAAACTGTCACTACCACAGTCAGCTCTAATAATATTTGATATCACCTGGTAATAAAGGTTTGTCGGCTGGGTGCGGTGGCTCACGCAGCACTTTGGGAGGCCAAGGCGGGCAGATCACGAGGTCTGGAGTTCGAGACCAGCCTGGCCAGTATGGTGAAACTCCATCTCTACTAAAAACACAAAAATTAGCTGGGCATGGGGGTGGGCACCTGCAGTCCCAGCTACTTGGGAGGCTGGGGCAGAAGAATTGCTTGAACCTGGGAGGCGGAGGTTGCAGTGAGCTGAGATCATGCCACTGCACTCCAGCCAGGGCAACAGAGCGAGACTCCGTCTCAAAAAAAAAAAAAAATAGTAAATAAAAAATAAAGGTTTGTCACCATATACTCAAGAGTACTTCTGTTATTCAAATCTCCTAACTGGGAGTTACAAATATCTCTGACTCTGCTCTTGTAGCTGTCAGAGCATAAAATGCCCTTCCCACTCTTTCCTCACTTCCAGACTCCAAAGCCTCCTCCTCAAAGTTTGGCCCCTCTACTTTGGACTACTGTTTTCTTCCCAGTTACTGCGCACTGACAGTACTTTTGTTCTCTCTTTCGGCAATTCACCATACACTTTCTAGTTTATTTATCTGCATAAAACTTAGTTCTCAACAAGACTATAACTGCCTTATGAACAGGAATCAACAGTTGAGAATCTTCAGAGTCTCCTATAACATCATGTAAGAGCTCACTAAATGTTTGATTTAAATAACTAGGCTTAAGAGTAATAGGCTGGGCATGGTGGCTCATGCCTGTAATCCCAGCTCTTTGGAAGGCCGAGGCGGGAGGATCACGAGGTCAGATCGAGGCCATCCTGGCTAACACGGTGAAACCCGTCTCTTCTAAAAATACGAAAACAAAAAATTAGCAGGGAGTGGTGGCCAGTGCCTGTAGTCCCAACTACTCGGGAGGCTGAGGCAGGAGAACGGTGTGAACCCAGGAGGCGGAGCTTGCAGTAAGCCAAGATCTCAACAGTGCTAAATGCATACATGGATTATCTTACTAAATTTTCATAACTCTATAGAGGTAAGTGCTATCATTATTTTCTCCATCATAGAGGAAGAAAGTGAAGCTCAGAATAACTTGCTCAAGGTCATACAGGCCTGGGCAAACCCAGGGCCTGAATCCAGCAAAGCTCTTAACTACCTCAGAACACTGCACAGTTCGAGCCCTGCAATACTACAGTCTATGAATGATTTCGATTTCACTAAGTTAGAAATTTGAATTTCAACAGAGACATTTTAGCTAAAAGGTAAAATTTTAAAGAGGATGAATTAAGAGAATTTCCCACAGACATCTTTATAATAAAATGAGGAGAAAAGCCTCCCATTTCCTATTTATGAAAGTGATATTAAGGTGTGTGTCACAATTTCATCAAGAAGTGGCTTATGACAATACAGCTTTGGTTTAGGTATTAAAATAGGACTCTTTTCTGCCCATAGGAGGACATGGAAATGAAGGATAGATGTGATAAATGTCAATTCAGAGCTCTGCAAAATGCCAGACTCAATTCTTGTTTTAAAATATCAGAGCCAGGGCTCTTGTTTCACCCTTGATTCTTCACACAAAACACCACCATCCTCTGACCTCTTCACACAGAGCAAGCTTTACCCCACTACCTAAAGGGGAGTGCTGATCCACATGGTCTCCCCATCCACGCTAGAAATTGATCCCAAACACCAACCGCTGCATAGACGTCGGCGACTTTGGTCTGCACCCCCCGAACTTGGTGATACCTCATCAAGCCAAACCCCTCCCCAACATCCAAAATGCCCAGACCAGCATCCGAAAGCTGGTCTCCTATACAAAGCAGAATCCCTGCCTACAAAGCAGTTTCCCACCTCCGACTCCTCCCCACGGCGAACAGCCCTTCTGGATCCAACCAACCCACCAACCCCAATAGGGCCCAGCACCCAGAGGGTCCACAATCCAGAGAAGGAGCTACAAGCCCTGTACTTGCAAGCCTCGAACCCCCAACTCCAACTGACCTCCCCTCTGCCAGAGCAAGACCACGAGTACCCGCCGAGAGCGGACCTGGCTGGCTACACAAAGCCAGGCGCCCGACCAGAGGGATCCTCCGGGACGTCCTCCGCCACCGGGGCGTCCCCGCCCAGCCCCGCCCGGCGCCCGGCGCTCACCAGCTCTCCTCCCCCTCCTCCTAGCCTGACAGACGCTCCAGGTCGTCTAGCAAGCCGCCCTCCCCCGCCGCCAGCAAGAAGGTGGCGTCTCGCAGCTCCTCGTTATTCGTCCGCCTCGGGTCCATCCGGCCCCGCCGCCCGACTTTGCGCTGAGACCCAAGGGGAAGCCCCGAGGGGACCCCGCGCCGTAGGAGGGAGTGGAGGAGCCGGCGAACCGCGATGGAGCCGGGGCCCAGCACAGCGCGAGCGGCTCCTCGGCTGTTCGTGCTGCTTCCCCAGCTTCTTCACCGGCACCTGCAGCTTCCGCACCTCCTGGTCCGCGTTCACGTTAGAGTTAACGTCCTCCATCCCGGCCCCGCTGCCTCCGCCGCCCGCGGCCCTCTCGCTCTCGCAGCAACAAGGGAAGAGCCGGAGGAAAGAGGCGTCCACGCCGCTCACTCCAGCCGAGGCCCCCGCATATAGCAGGGCCAGGCCCCGTCGCCAGGGTTCCCCCAGCGCGGGTCCCGAAGCACCGCTGGCCACAGATGAACCGCCTCCTCAGCGCAGGTCCGGGATTCGGGGAGGCAGCGCCAATATCCGGTCTCTGCAGCCATCTTCCCTCCGTCCCTCCGCCCACCGAGGGTCGGCCCTGTAGGTGACCTCAGAGCGTCGGGGATGGGCGTGGCCCCGTCGGGCGCTAAGAAGACCTAGCGCAGAGAGGACCGCCGAGCTCCCGACGGGGCGGGGCCAGGTGTGTGAGGGGCGGGGATTGGACCCGGAGGGGCGTGTCTGGACTGCCGGCGGAAGTGGAACGCGGCCTGACCTGCGACGGAAAGCCACTGCAAGCCCGGAGGCGAACAGAAGGCATTCCGCGAGCCGGGCTGAGTTGGTGAACACGGTCCTCGTTCACCCCGCCTATTGGTCTGGGCGTGTGGGGTATTCTCCACCCACTTATACGGCGTGTGGGACCGACGGGCCCGTCCTGCCCGGCTCCGGTCCGGATCTCGAGTAGGCGCTCAATGGGATTCGGGGAGACGTAGTTTACTTTGTTCAGCAAATATTTAACCGATGCCTATTTTAATGGGAGATTGTTTCCGCTGGCGGGAGCCTCAGAGACCGCCTGTGTCCTTTAAGAAACCCGAATTTCAGACAGTTAAGAGAGGTCTAAGGTCAAAATAATAATCATAATTTCTTCTTACTGGCCAGATACTATGCTAAGCCCTTTTTAATTTTATTATTATTATATTTTGTCACCGAGGCTGGAGTGCAATGGCCCGATCTTGGCTCTGCAACCTCCGCCTCCCGGTTTAAAGCGATTCTCCTGCCTCAGCCTCCCGAGTAACTGGGATTACAGGCGGGCGCCACCACGCCTCGCTGATTTTTGTATTTTAGTAGAGACGGGGTTTCGCCATTTTGGCCAGGCTGGTCTCGACCCTGACCTCAGGGTGATCCGCTCACCTCAGCCACTCAAAAGTGCTGGGATTACTGGCGTCAGCCACCGCGCGCCCGGTCGTGCTAATCACTTTGAAAGGCATTATCTCATCGGTTAAAACATAGTTTTCCGGACTTAAAAGTTTACAGCACACTGGCGCAGAAGATGGAAAACCGCTGCTTGCCTTTCTCCGTTTATTGACTCACATTCTGCTCTTTGGATCATTTTCTTCGGAAAAAGTTTTCCAAAGTGTGTCTTGTGTATTAAAAGTTGTGTATTAAAAGTATTTGAACACGCTGACAGATACTGAAGAATGCAGAAAATTGTATGAGTGTGAAAATCTGCCTTTACGATGTGTACTAGTGGCAGCAAATCCAAACAAAATTTAAGTGCTTTGTTTTGATCACATTCATTGGGCTTCAGATGTCAATTGTGCGCTGCTTTGGCTTGTGTTTGCAGCCACAAACACAAGTGGAGTTATTAACGCCACTCACTAAACACAAGTGGAAGTTATTAAGAGTGGAGGTTCCCTCCTCCACTCTTAATAACAGTGATCCAGTTCGTGTTTTTTTTTTTTTTTTTTTTAGACGGAGTCTCGCTCTTTCGCCCAGGCTGGAGTGCAGTGGCATGATCTCGGCTCACTGCAAGCTCCGCCTCCCGAGGTCACGCCATTCTCCTGCCTCAGCCTCCTGCCTAGCTGGGACAACAGGCGCCCGCCACCGCGCCCGGCTAATTTTTTGTATTTAGTAGAGACGGGGTTTCACCGTGTTAGCCAGGATGGTCTAGATCTCCTGACTTCGTGATCCGCCCGCTTCGGCCTCCCAAAGTGCTGGGATTACAGGGGTGAGCCACCGCGCCTGGCCAGTGATCCAGTTCTATTACACCTGGGTGTGGACTCATGCCACGACTGATTTGCTTCTACCCTTTAGCTTTTCTAGTGCCTTAGTTTCCTTGCCTAGAATATCCTGCCTGCCATAGCTGATTCGTTTTCTTAAAACCCGTACTCGCTCATTCATTCAGGAAACCTCTTCCTGAAAATTCCACAAAAATCTAATTATTCTTTGTATTCTAGCATTACCCGAGCCATAGTTTTCAATAGGTGTTTGCACTTTTTAAAAAATTGCATTATTTTCTAAAAATTATTTTGTTTGTTTTTGTCTGTTTACTTGATTTAAAGACACCATTTTTGTTTACCATGTCTAGTACACTGACACAGTGGATACTCAATACTTGGTTTGTTGAAAGTTAAGTAGAATGTAAGTTCTTACAGGCCAAAGACCAGGTAGATGTTTATTCATAGCAAAAAAAGTATTGTGTTAAAAGTTTGCTGGCTAACTGTAAGTCGAGTATTTTCCTAACTATACAGACCTAGTCAAAGTGAGAGGTGACAGCGTGCTGGCAGTCCTCACAGCCCTCGCTCGCTCTGGGCGCCTCCTCTGCCTGGGCTCCCACTTTGGCCAGCTTGAGGAGCCCTTCAGCCTACCGCTGCACTGTGGGAGCCCCTTTCTGGGCTGGCCAAGGCCAGAGCCGGCTCCCTCAGCTTGCGGGGAGGTGTGGAGGGGGAGGCGTGAGCAGGAACCAGGGCTGCGCGCAGTGCTTGCGGGCCAGCGCGAGTTCCGGGTGGGTGTGGGCTCGGCGGGCCCCGCACTCGGAGCGCACGGCCAGCCCTGCCGGCCGGGCAATGAGGGGCTTAGCACCCAGGCCAGCGGCTGCAGAGGGTGTGCTGAGTCCCCCAGTAGTGCCGGCCCACCGGCGCTGCGCTCCATTTCTTGCCGGGCCTTAGGTGCCTCCCCGCGGGGCAGGGCTCGGGACCTGCAGCCGGCTATGGCTGAGCCTCCCCGACGAGCACCGACCCCTGCTCCACGGCGCCCAGTCCCATCGACCACCCAAGGGCTGAGGAGTGCAGGCGCACGGCGCGGGACTGGCAGGCAGCTCCACTTGCAGCCCCGGTGCAGGATCCACTGGGTGAAGCCAGCTGGGCTCCTGAGTCTGGCGGGGGCTTGGAGAACCTTTATGTCTAGCTAAGGGATTGTAAACACACCAATCAGCACTCTGTATCTAGCTCAAGGTTTGTAAACACACCAATCAGCACTCTGTGTCTAGCTCAGGGTTTGTGAATGCACCAATCCACACTCTGTATCTAGCTACTCTGGTGGGGACTTGGAGAACCTTTGTGTGGACACTCTGTATCTAGCTAATCTAGTGGGGACGTGGAGAACCTTTGTGTCTAGCTCAGGGATTGTAAACGCACCAATCAGCGCCCTGTCAAAACAGACCACTGGGCTCTCTGTAAAATGGACCAATCAGAAGGATGTGGGTGGGGCCAGATAAGAGAATAAAAGCAGGCTGCCCCAGCCAACAGTGGCAACCTGCTGGGGTTGCTTTCCAGAGCGTGGAAGCTTTGTTCTTTTGCTCTTTGCAATAAATCTTGCTGCTGCTCACTCTTTGGGTCCACACTGCCTTTATGAGCTGTAACACTCACGGGAAAGGTCTGCAGCTTCACTCCTGAGCCAGTGAGACCACGAACCCACCAGAAGGAAGAAACTCCGAACACATCCGGACGTCAGGAGGAACAAACTCCGGACACGCTGCCTTTAAGAACTGTAACACTCACTGCTAGGGTCCACGGCTTCATTCTTGAAGTCAGTGAGACCAAGAACCCACCAATTCCAGATACAAAAGAATGTATTTGTTTGCGAACATAATTGTCAAGTAATATATATTATCTGTATAATGCACATCTAAATATCATTGCTGTTTCGGACCAGTCTGAACATGTTGCCAGAGGGTTGAAAATCATGACTACTGGCCGGGCGCGGTGGCTCACGCCTGTCTGTAATCCCAGCACTTCGGGAGGCCGAGGTGGGCGGATCACGAGGTCAGTAGATAGAAACCATCCTGGCCAACATGGTGAAACCCTGTCTCTACTAAAAATACAGAAATTAGCTGGGCATGGTGGCATGCACCTTTGACTACAGGTGCGTGCCTGCAATCTCAGCTACTCGGGAGACTGAGGCAGGAGAATCTCTTGAACCCCAGAGACAGAGGTTGTGGTGAGCCGAGATTGCGCCACTGTACTCCAGCCTGGGTACAGAGCGAGACTCCATCTCAAAAAAAAAAAAAAAAAAAAAAAGACTACTTCATGTATAGAAGTTCTCACTTGCGTTTAATGCTTTGTGAAATAGATTCCAACTAGTCAGTGTCTGTAAGGAGAACCCTTCCAATATACTCCTTGAAAAGAGTAGTTCACTGGACATAGGAAGTTAGCACTAACGTTTGGGGCAAGGAGAGCTTGTTGTAGTGTGGAACAATGAATTAAGAATCGTAAAGCCTGATGTCGGGTTCTAGCTGTAGCATAAATGTGCTTGCCCTGATCACTTGTCTCTTAATCTCTGGTCCTTAATTTAGAATATGTGAGTTGGAGGATCTCCAATATCTCTTCCAGGACCAAAAAGTAAAGGATTCTGATGAGTCCCCGTGGTTGCAAAACATAAGAGTAAATATACTTAAATATATAAAGTTAATAGTAGATAGATATACTTGGATTTTTTAATTCAGTTGCCTTACTCAATATCTTACCTTTTTCATTTGATAAATATTGAGCATCTACTATGTGGCAGGCACCAATCTACATATTTGGATGTTTAATAGGCCGTGTAAGTACAAGACAACTTTCGTGTTCTTTTTTTTTTTTTTTTTTTTGAGACGGAGTCTCGCTCTGTTGCCAGGCTGGAGTGCAGTGACGCGATCTTGGCTCACTGCAACCTCCAACTTCCAGGTTCAAGGTATTCTCCTGCCTCAACCTCCCGAGTAGCTGAGGTTACAGGCACGCACCACCACGCCCACCCAGCTAATTTTTGTATTTTTAGTACAGACAGGGTTTCACCATTTGGCTAGGATGGTCTCGATCTCCTGACCTCGTGATCTGCCCACCTCGACCTCCCAAAGTGCTGGGATTGCAGGCATGAGCCACCGTGCCAGGTGACAACTTTCAACTCATACACACACACACACACACACACACACCCTCGTCTGCTTGTCCTGTAGTCTTCACCATTCCAGTAAATGGCAGCTCTTTTCTTCTAGATGCTCAGACCAAAAACCTTAGGATAGTCCCTACTCCTCACTCCTCACTTTCTTTCACCCACCAAATCCCTTTTTTTTTTTTTTGAGATGAAGTCTTGCTCTGTCGCCAGGCTGGAGTGCAGTGGCCCGATCTCGGCTCACTGCAACCTCCGACTCCAGGATTCAAGCGATTCTCCTGCCTCAGCCTTCCTAGTAGCTGGGACTACACACACGCACCTCCATGCCCAGCTAATTTTTGTATTTTTAGTAGAGATGGGGTTTCACCATGTTGGCCAGGATGGTCTCTATCTCCTGACCTCGTGATCTGCCCGCTTCAGCCTCCCAAAGTGCTGGGATTACAGGTGTGAGCCACTGCGCCCAGCCTACCAAATCCATTCTTTAAGCAAGTCATGCTGGCTCTGCATTCAAAATATGTCTTATTACTTCCCAGTACCTCCACTGCTGCGACTCTATTCAAGTCGCCATCTTCTCTTGTCTAGATTACAGTGGTACTGTTTTAATGAGCTATTCCACTTTGCTACTTACAGAATCTTGTGTACACGGCAACCAGATGATCCTTTGTGTAAGTCACATCAGGTCACTCTCCTGCTCAGAATCCTCCAGTTGCTTCCCAACGTATTTCAGAGTCTTTTCCCTGGCCTATAAGGCTCTGGATACTTGGCAACTTCCGCAAGTATCTCAATAAACCACCCTTCCCCTTCTCACTGTATCACACTGGCCTTCCCGATGTTCTTCAAAGAAGCCAAGCATGTTTCTACTTTAGGAACTTTGCACTTGCTTTTCCATCTATTTAGCATCTGTTCTTCCTCCACATTGTCATGTGACTGACTCCCTCACTTCATTCCGGTCTCTGCTCAAGTATCACCTGAATTCACTATCCTCATTATGATGATTCTCCATAAAATAGCATCCCTATCCCCCATCCTCTTAATTGTTTCATTTTTCCTCAGACACATCTTTCTTTCCTTCCTTCCTTCCTTCCTTCTTTCCTTCCTTCATTCCATCCTTCTTTCCTTCCTTCCTTCCTTCTTTCCTTCCTTCCTTCTTTCCTTCCTTCCCCTTTCCTGCCTGTCTCTTCTCAATAGAATGTGAACTTCATGAGAACGGAGTTCAGTTACATTCCCAGTGCCTACAACAGTGCCTAGTACATGCTGAGTGCTCAATAAATGTTTTTTGAATGAGTGAATGGATTTAGGTTAAGTGAAGCCTCCTAAAAGAGAATTTCAGATAATATGGTTATATCTTAAGTCCTTGAAGGGGAAATTTGCAATTATTTTGAATGGCTGACTTTTTTTTTATTTTGAATCAGAGTTTTGCTCTTGTCGCCCAGGCTGCAGTGCAATGGCACAATCTCGGCTCACTGCAACCTCCACCTCCTGGGTTCAAGCGATTCTCCTGCCTCAGCATCCATAGTAACTGAGATAACAGGTGCCCACCACCACACCTGAGTAATTTTTGTATTTTTAATAGAGACAGAGTTTCACCATGTTGGCCAGGCTAGTCTCAAACTCCTGATCTCAGGTGATCTGCCTGCCTCGGATTCCCAAAGTGTTGGGATTACAGGAGTGAGCCACTGCGCCCAGCCGAATGTTTGACTCTTTTTTTTTTTTTTTTTTTTTTTTTGAGAAGGAGTCTCGCTCGCTTTGTCGCTCCGGCTGGAGTGCAGTGGTGCAGTCTCAGCTCACTGCAATCTCCGCTTCCCGGGTTCAAGTGATTCTCCTGCAGCTGGGATTACAGGCGCCCGCCACCATACCTGGCTAATTTTTGTGTTTTTAGTAGAGACAGGGTTTCACCATCTTGGCCAGGCTGGTCTTGAACTCCTGACCTCGTGATCCACCCACCTTGGCCTCCCAAAGTCTGGGATTACAGGCGTGAGCCACCACACCCGGCCGGTTGACTTTTACAATTATATTTTTCCCTTCCAAAAGAGCAACATGTCATACTATATATGTCGTCCTTAAAACTAGGTCACTCTCCACCTCCTGAGAGCCAACAGCCCTTAGGAGTTGCTGAGGAGAGAGTATGAGGACAAGAATATTTCCTTTCTATCCTTAACCTTGCCAGGATCTTCCTCTTTCTGGTGAACTATGATACCCTGTCCTCTCTGGTGACTCAGAAGCGTTAGAGCATTTTTTTTAAGTCACTGTAAATGTGACTGTTGTATAGATACAAGAACTGTTATATAGATACAGAGCTAGTAGGTGTCTAAAGTATGCATCGCAGTTAGCCCAACTAGCTTTTCAGGGGTTGTCTTTTATGATAGCCTTGCTTTCTTACTGGAAGAGGGACTGTCTTCTTTTCTAAGCAGGTGTGGCCATTTTCATAACTTGCTCCTACATGCATGTTAGCGCTTAGCAAAATTCCTGACAAAGTGGAAAATATTACAAGCCACTAAAAGCATTTAGAATGAAAAACTGTTACTCAATGGCTTAAAGATATTTAGCCATTCTAAAATCCTAAATCAAAGTGTGTGTGTGTGTCTGTCTGAGCACATGCTAAAAAGTAATTTAGAAATTACTAGACATAGAAATATTTGCATTTCCTTAGAAAATGCTCACTCCTTTGACAAAACCTTTGCTATCCAATCCATCCATTTTTTAAAATAACAGATCATTTCACTAGACGGTCTGTTCATTTAATCTTCATGGGTACAGATGGTCAGGTATTTTCTATTTATCCTCTTTCATTTATTCCTTACCAGCATCCTTCCTCCAGATGTGCCTCCCTCTGGTCTATCAAAGGGCCTCTTCTTCACTGTCTTGGCACAATGCAATTTTACAAAGGAATCCCAGGAACCTTAAAGGTTAGGTATATAAGAATTGAAAGCTTGGTGGCAAAAAGAAAGGGGAGTTTCTTAGGGGGATTCTGTCTAGACGGTGGTCCCCTACCACACTGTTGGGGGGCATATATTATATAGATGTAGGGGTGGGTAAGTCTGTGATCAGAGCAGAGGGTGAACAGGTTCTTGAACTGTTAGGAAGCTGCTGTCTTACCCAAAGTGAAACAAATACCTTGTCTTTCACCATTTTTCTGGCAGGAGATGGAAAAATAAGATTCTTAAATAACATCTACTATTTCTTTTTTTTTTCTTTAGTATATCAGTAGGACAGTGAAGTTGGAAAAGTGGAATATGAACCACTTCTGAATGTCTTTGATGTTTTAGAGAAAGTACTATTCGAAGATGGAAGAAAACATACTAGAAATAATCCAAATCTCCAAGTCAATAAAATAAGTCTCAATAATCTGCCCTAGGATTTAAAATATATTATTCTGAGTATTGACTTGGAGATGCAATGGAGAGAGTAGATTATAAATAGAAACTTGTATCAAGCAAAAGTAAATTAAGCTGCCATTAAGATACTTATATAATTAGCCTTCTAAGAAGTTGAGCGAATTCTATTTCTGAGTCTTTGGGCACCCCTGGAGTATTACACAGACAAGGACATCATCAACTATTCAATTTGACCAAGTATGTCTACAAAGTTACTTTCTGTCCATCATCCTTCTTATGTAGACAAAGTTATATGTGCCCTGGAAGTTTAATTCTGTAAATATCCAGGTCTCCAAACTGGCCCAGTAATAATAGTAACAGCTATTGACCACTTTTATGACACGTAATAATTCATTTAAAACTCACCATAGTCTTTAGAGGTAGCTGCTGTTACCATCATCATCTCCATTTTACAAATGAAGAAACTGAAACACAGAGAGGTTAAATAATTTCCAGTCCCATAGCCAGAAGGTAGTGGAGCTGAATTTGAACCCAGCTGATCTGACTTCAGAATTGCGCTCACAATCTTCTTTGGCCCATGAACATGATGAGTTCTCCATTCTTCTACTTAAGAAAGTATTAATACCTAGTTAGCCACCCTCTGGGGTAGGGATTGAGGAACAATGTTGAGAACTTAAGGGTCATTGCCTTTGTGATACCCAACAACTCAATCTTCTTCCTCTAAGAGCAAGTTTGCCAGTTTTGATGTCTCAGCACCTCTGGAATCCGCACTGAAGGAATCAGTTCCTTAGAGAGGAAGGCAGTTCCTGGATCTCTTGTTCGAAAGTTGGCTGTGTATTTGGGCAGTACTCCAGCTACTGGAGAGATAGGTAGGAAAGCCGGGAGACCCATCAGTCAGCAGTTTGCTAAAGTGAAGTTTCAGTGTCCAGGCACAGTGGCTCACGCCTGTAATCCCAGAATTTTGGGAGGCCGAGGCGGGCAGATTATTTGAGGTCAAGAGTTCAAGACCAGTCTGACCAATATGTTGAAACCCCATCTCTACTGAAAATACAAAAAAATGAGCCAGGCGTGGTGGTGCATGCCTGTAGTCCCAGCTACTTGGGAAGCTGAGGCAGGAAAATTGCTTGAACCCAGGGGGTGGAGGTTGTAGTGAGCCTAGATTCCGCTACTGCATTCCAGCCTGGGCGACAGAGTGAGACTCCGTCTCAAAATAAAAATAAAAATAAAGCTTCAGCATCTGAGCTTCTCGTTGCAAAGGTTAGTGAACTAGCCCAGCCTGTAGGAGTTTTTGGGAGCAGAAGTTAGCGGAAGGAGTCTTTTACCCAGGGTAGTAGTACCACCACAATCAACAAAGCAAGAAGATTTGAGAGTCAGAATTTACTGGCAACAGTCCTGGGCCTATACATCAGAGAAGAAAAATTTGAACGGGTCCTGAAATAAGATTAGAAGCAGATCTGAAAAGCCAAAGTAAAGAGCCAGGGAAACAAATGAAAGCCAGGCGCACTGGGTTCAATGCTAGATGACAGGGTGATTCTTTGTGAATGCCAAAAGGAAGTGGTTGCAGGCAGTTGCAACCTTTGTTTCCATGCCCTTTGTAGCAGGGCATTTGGAAGAAACAGTTGCATTTAAGGGTTAGGGATTCTGTGCCTTGGCAGGGTTGTGAGTTTCCAGCATTGAGACCAGTTGGTAACCAGATCTGCTCGACTAGAGCCCAATCTGCAAAGCTCCCTAATGCAGAAGGGAGCTTTACCATTGTGTAAACAGATTCTATCTTCCCATGGTTCCTAGAAACCAGATAGCCTTCATCGCACATCTTCACTCTATTCTAGAGAAATGAGGGCAAGGTGTTGGGCAGGGCAGGTTAGAGACGAATAGTCGGGTATGGCACAGGTGGCTCCCTGTTATCAGTGGGTATGGTTTACCTCACATGGGGCACCTACAAACGAAGTAGTGGCCAACAGAGCTGCTTTGTCTGTGGGCATGTTTGTCTACCTGCATTATTAGAGGACTTGTTTCCTCTTCCCTACCACAACAATCCTCCCAAATTGTTTGAGCTTTTTCTACTGCCTATTTTTGCAGCCGATGTCAGTTGATCAAGAGGTATGGCCTGGTATTTAGTCCACCTTGAGTCAGATGCAGGTATCAGTTAGCAACTCTGCTTACTAAGTACTTGAATATTGGGTTCAAATCATGTTATAGTATCATTTATAGACAACTCATGAGCAAACCACCAAAATTCTGCTGTGCAATAACAGCAGGGCAGATCATGGTATTAAATGTATTTATCCTGGCAGGGAGAAGGTATGTGTATACTGTAGGACAGCTGGAGTGTGTGTATTGCTTTCAAAGGTGGGATTGCAGGCTACATGAGAGAAAATGAATTTCCCCAACCTCTCCAACGGCCAAGATAAAAGACATGCCTTTCTATCTCTTCACCTTTGATGCATTCAAAGCTACATCATCATGTTACACAAGGTCCCTTTTAAGAGTAGGTGTAGCCTGGGCCAGCCATGGTGGCTCACGCCTGTAATCCCAGCACTTTGGAAGGCTGTGGTGGGTGGATCACTTGAGGTCAGGAGTTCGAGACCAGCCTGGCCAACATGGTGAAACCCCATCTCTACTAAAAAATAGAAAAATTAGCTGGGCATGGTGGCAGGTGCCTGTAATCCCAGCTACTAGGGAGGCTGAGGCAGGAGAATTGCTTGAACCCAGAGGTTGCAGTGAGCCGAGGTCATGCCATTGCACTTCAGCCTGGGCGACAGAGCAAGACTGTCTCAAAAATAATAATAATGCTGCAAAAATAACATTCTCATTCACCAGTCTCACTCAGTTGTTGGAGAAATTACTTAATTTTCAAAATTGTGGGGTAAGATGTGTAAGATCTATGCACAAAGCTATTTATTATGGTATTATTGCAATAGCAAAAGACTGAGAGCAACCCAAAATTATCAGTGTGGGACTGGTTTTAAAAAACTATGATACATCCACGTGATGGAGGACTATGCATCTATGAAAAGGAAAGAGATGAAGATCATGTAGCTCCAGGATAACTGGTTCAGAATGGTGCTTATAGTATGCACCTTTAGTACAAGAAGCAGGAAGGGACATGAAAATATATACATATATACTTATGTTTGTAAGAAGCTATGATGAGAAGATAAACCCAAAATAAATAAAAATGGTAAACAAATGGAGAAGGAGGGCATAGAGTGAAGGGCATAGAAATAGTCCTATGGAGAAAAATAGGGAGGGGGGTGGGGCAGGATTGCAATTTTATTATTTATTTATTTATTTTGAGACAAGGTCTTGTTCTGTCACCCAGGCTGGAGTACAGTGGTGTGATCTTGGCTCACTGCAATCTTTGCCTCCTGGGCTCTGAAGGAGGCCAGCCCCTCCACACCTGTGGGTATTTCTTGTCAGGTGGGACGAGAGACTGAGAAAAGAAATAAGACACAGAGACAAACTACAGAGAAAGAACAGTGGGCCCAGGGAACCGGCGCTCAGCATATGGAGGACCCGCACCAGTGCCCGTCTCTGAGTTCCCTCAGTATTTATTGATCATTATTTTTACTATCTTAGCGAGGGGAGTGTAGCAGGGCAACAAGTGGGGAGAAGGTCAGCAGGGAAACATGTGAGCAAAGGAATCTGTATCATGAATAAGTTCAAGGAAAGGTACTGTGCCCAGATGTGCACGTAGACTAGATTTATGTTTCTCTTTACCCAAACATCTCAGTGTAGCAAAGAGTAACAGAGCAGTATTGCTGCCAGCACATCTCACCTCCAGCCACAGGGCGGTTTTTTCCTGTCTCAGAATAGAACAAATGGGAATGGTCAGCTTTACACCAAGACATTCCATTCCCAGGGACGAGCAGGAGACAGAAGCCTTCCTCTTATCTCAACTGCAAAGAGGCCTCCCTGTTTCACTAATCCTTCTCAGCACAGACCCCTTACGGGTGTCGGGCTGGGGTATGGTAAGGTCTTTCTTTTCCCATGAGGCCATATCTCAGGCTGTCTCAGTGCAGGGAAACGTTGGACAATACCCAGGCTTTTTTGGGCAGAGGTCCCTGCGGCTTTCTGCAGTGCATCATGTCCCTGGTTAATAGAGAATGGAGAATGGCAATGACTTTTACCAAGCATACTGCCTGCAAACATATTGTTAACAAGGCACATCCTGTACAGCCCTGAATTCATTAAACTTTGATTCATTACAGCACATGTTTCTGTGAGCACAGGGTTGGGGCTAAAGTTACAGGTTAACAGCATCTCAAAGCAGAAACAATTTTTCTTAGTACAGATCAAAATGGAGCTTTTTTGTCTTCCTTTTGTACATAGACACAGTAACAATCTGAACTCTCTTTCTTTTCCCCACGGGGCTCAAGCAATCCTTCCACCACAGTCTCCCGAGTAGCTGGGACCACGGAGGCTTGCCACCATGCCTGGCTAATTTTTGAATTTTTGTAGAGATGGGGTTTCACCATGCTGCCCAGGCTAGTCTCAGACTCCTGGCCTCAAGTGATCCACCCACCTTGGCCTCCCAAAATGCTGGGGTTATAGGCCTGAGCCACCACGCCCAGCCAAGTCTGCTTTTTAAAACAGCTTTCTTGACACACATACTATAACATTCACCTTTTTTTTTTTTTTTGAGACGGAGTCTCACTCTGTCACCCAGGCTAGAGTGCAGTGGCGTGATCACAGCTCACTGCAACCTGTACCTCCTGGGTTCAAGCGATTCTCCTGCCTCAGCCTCCCAGATAGCTGAGACTACAGGCACCCGCCACCACACCCGGCTAATTTTTGTATTTTCAGTAGAGATGGTGTTTCACCATATTGGCCAGGCTGGTCTCAAACTCCTGACCTTGTGATCCACCCCCTTGGCCTCCCAAAGGGCTGGGACTGCAGGCGTGAGCCACCGCACCCAGCCAATATTCACCCTTTTAAGTATACAGTGTAGTTCGTTTGAGTCATTATACAAAGTTCTGCGATCATCACAACCACTGAGTTGCAGAATATTTCCATCACCCCCCCAGGTCCTTCATGCTCATCTGCAGTTACTCCTTGTTCCTTTCCCAGCCCCAGCCAACCACTAATCTACTCTTTACTACTACAGATTTGCCTTTTCTAGACATTTCATACAAATAGAGTCATACAATATGTGGCCTTTTGTGTCTGGCTCTTTTTGCTGGGCATAATGATTTTGGATTTCACTGAAGTGGTAGCATATATCAGCATTTCATTCCTCTTTTATGGCTGAATTGTATTCCATTGTGTGGATATACCACATTGTGTTTATCCCTTCTCCTGTTGGTGGCCATTTGGCTTGAGTCCATGTTTTGGCTATTACGAAGAATGCTGCTGGCCAGGCACAGTGGCTCATGCCTTTAATCCCACTTTGGAAGGCTGAGGTGGGTGGACCACCTGAGGTCAGGAGTTCGAGACCAGCCTGGCCAACATGGAGAAACCCTGTTTCTACTAAAAATACAAAACTTAGCCTGGCATAGTGGCACATGCCTGTAATCCCAGCTGCTGAGGAGATTGAGGCAGGAGAATCACTTGAACCCGCGAGGCGGAGGTTGCACTGAGCCAACATCACGCCACTGCACTCCAGCCTGAGCGAGACTCTTTCCAAAAAAAAAAAAATGCTACAAAAATAACATTCTCATTCACCAGTCTCACTCAGTTGTTGGAGAAATTACTTAATTTTTTAAAAATTGTGAGGTAAGATGGTATAATTTGGAGTTTTTCCTCGTGTTTCCAATTTCTCAGAAATTTGGTTACACTGTATTTATAGTTTTAAGAATAAATTTCGGCCGGGCGCGGTGGCTCACGCCTGTAATCCCAGCACTTTGGGAGGCCGAGGCGGGTGGATCACGAGGTCAGGAGATTGAGACCATCCTGGCTAACACGGTGAAACCCCACCTCTACTAAAAATACAAAAAATTAGCTGGTTGTGGTGGTGGGCGCCTGTAGTCCCAGCTACTGGGGAGGCTGAGGCAGGAGAATGGCGTGAACCCGGGAGGCGGAGCTTGCAGTGAGCCCAGATCACACCACTGCACTCCAGCCTGGGTGACAGCGAGACTCCGTCTCAAAAAAAAAAAAAAAAAAAAAAAAAAAAAAAGAATAAATTTCATTCATTTGATTTAAATTTTATCATGAAATAGTTCAGTCATACACAAAGGCATAAGAAGTATAACAACAAAACAATCATGTACCCACTACAGCTCAAGAAATATCCCTTCCTCCAGGAGATAACTACTATCATAAATTTGTGTTTATCATTCTCACTCATTTATCTGTATGTACTTTTACCAACATATACACATTCTTATACAAATACAGTATTGTTTTGCATGATTTTAAATGGAATATGCACTGCATAAATATAATCCTGCTATGTACTCCTCTTAATACTTTAGTACTAACGTTGTAATTTTCACAATAACCATAAGATGTGGAAAATATTATCCCCACTTTACAGATAAGAAAATGAAGGCCAATCAAGGTTGGAGAATTGCCAAGGTCTTACTGTTAGGAAAGAACAGAAGCAGGTTTGAACCAAGTGAGCCTGACACCAGAACATCTGCATGACTATGCCACACTATTTCAAATGCTGTTATACTATCAGTATTCTTATGCCATCTTCTTTTTCCCTCAGCATTATGTTTTCAAGATTCACCATGTTGATACATGTAACCCTAATTCATTATTTTCACTGCTGTATGGTATACTGTTCAATAAATAGACCACAGGTAATTTGTTCATTCTTCTATTAATAGAAGACATAACCAACAATGTGGCAAGTGCATACTTGTACATGTCTCCTTGTGCATATGTGCAAGAGTTTCACTAGGGTATATGCCTACAGATACAATTTCTGGGTTACATAATATGTGCATCTTCAAATTAACAAGATATTCCCAAGTATTCTCCAAAATGGATATCATTTTACTTTCAGGAAATAAGTTTGTAAGAAATTCTGCTGTCCATAGTTACCATGTATAAAAAAGATACTACAATAAAAGAGAAGAAAACATCAAGAAAAATGACAAAAAATAGGAGCCAAAATAGAATAGCAAAGTCACCCAAGTCTGCCATTTATAAATTCTTCCTCTTAAGTGCATGCAACAGAGGTGAAACACAGCATTTCTCTACTCTCAATTTTCCTTGCCTTCTAAGCAATATTCAACTCTCAGACCTTCTCTGAAGAGTGTGGACATGAGAGTTTACTACAAATATTAAAATTTCTGAATTTGACATGAATCACGTTAAGGTGGATTTCCCTCACAATTCAGCATTTCATTTGATCCCTCTCCTCCTCAAGCATTGCCATCGGTTTCTTCCCTACCAGCTTGAAACTTCCTATTTAATTTCATTCAAAATGATGGAGTATGAAAGAGCTGAAATGCTCTGTTTCATATGGAGATGTAGATACAATATAGAGACATACCTATAGACCTCAAGTAAGTTTTCTCAGCAAAGACCCATGATAAAGTTGTAAGAAAACAACAAATTTGGCATGATATTTTAGTTCGATAATTTAGATGCATCCAACTAGTAACAAATCTAACTGCATTTTAAAATAAAAATTTAGCCCTAGTTCATGATTTTCACTACTATATGTGTACTGTTCGATAAATAGACCATAGGTAATTTGTTCATTCTATTCAAGTGAAGGATGATGACAGCCTGAACTAGAGAATGTGATAGGTATGGAGAGGTGGTGACAGAGAGGAGGCAGAATGGCAGGATTTGTCAATCAGATATGAAGGGTGAGAAGAAAAGACAGAGGGAGGAAGGATGTTCCAAAGTGTCCAGACTGTGCGATTTAATTTCCTTCACCTCCCTGTCAAATGATAAGTTTGAATGCCAGCAGCACCAAAGCATCGTATGATTGAAGATCTTTTGTTTCCCTAGATGCATGATAAGGCAAGGCTAAAAGCCCCCAAGAAAATCAGAATGGCAAAATAGCCCCATCACATACTCATGTAGAAGGAGAGAACTCAGAAATGAATATTCTTTCTCAAGTGATGGCCTGATCTCCCTTTTCCATTTACCGCCTGATCTCCCTTTTCCATTTACCTCCTCCTTTTCATCATATTGCTTCTTACCCTGTCTTAAGGTACAATGTTTTGGGGTAAAAAGGGCACTCACCCTCATACGACAGTCAATGAAAGTGTAAATTACAGCAAGCTCTTTGGTTTTTGTTGTTGTTGTTGTTTTTGAGACAGAGTCTCACTCAGTCACCCATGCCAGATGGTGCAATGGCACCACCTTGACTCACTGCAACCTCCGCCTCCCAGGTTCCAGCGATTCTCCTGCCTCAGCCTCTTGAGTAGTTAGGACTACAGGTGCCCGCCACGATGCCTGGCTAATTATTTGTATTTTTAGTAGAGACAGGGTTTCACCACGTTGGCCAGGCTGGTCTTGAACTCCTGACCTCAAGTTCTCCGCCTCCTTGGCCTCCCAAAGTTCTGGGATTACAGGCATGAGCCACGCGCCTGGTCTACAGTAAGCTTTTTGAAAAACAATATGGCAGTATTCTCCAAGAGCTTAACTATATTCATAGATTTAGGTCAGATAATTCTAGCTCTGGTAATTTAACCTAAAAAAGTAATTATCTGGAAAAAATATTCATGTACATAAATGTTTATTTTGGAAATATTTATAACAGTAAAAAACTAAAAACAATCTCCATGTAAAAAATTTGTACCTTGTGAAATTAGACACATCTCTCTTTTCATTAATGTTTTAAAAGAATTTTTAAATGAAAGAATGGTTATATTATAATGTTAAGAAAAAAACGGCCAGGCGAGGTGGCTCACACCTGTAATCCCGACACTTTGGGAGGCCAAGGCAGGTGGATCACGAGGTCAGGAGATCGAGACCATCCTGGCTAACATGGTGAAACCCCATCTCTACTAAAATACAAAAAATTAGCCGAGCACGGTGGCACGCACCTGTAGTCCCAGCTACTCAGGAGGCTGAGGCAGGAGAATCGCTTGAACCCAGGAGGCGGAGGTTGCAGTGAGCCGAGATCACACCACTGCACCCAGCCTGGGTGACAGAGCACGACTCCGTCTCAAAAAAACAAAAAAAAAAGAAAAAAAGAAAAGAACAAGGCTGAGGTGGAGGATCACTTGAGGCCAGGAGTTCGAGACCAGCCTGGGCAACATAGCGAGCCTCTGTCTATACAAAAAATATTCAAAATATTATCCAGGCATGGTGGCTCATACCTATAGTACCAGCTACTCAGGAGGCTGAGGCAGGAGAACCCCCTGAGCCCAGAAGTTCAAAGAGGTTATAGTGAGCTATGATCGCACCACTGCACTCCAGCCTTGGTGACACAGCGAGACTCTGTCTCTTAAAAAGAAAGAAAGAAAGAAAAAGAAAAAACAGTATAAAAGTAAATATCTATTATAATGTCAAGTTTATTTTATAAAAGCATAGTAAAAACTGGAAAAAAATATATCAGGATTATGATATAGGTGATTTTTGTTTTCTTCATTTTATTTTTCTCAAATTTCTATAATGTAATTTCTTATATAATGAGAAGAAAGGGTGCTTTTTTCCAACCCTACCCCACATCCACCTGTTAGATCAATTCCGAGGTGTTAAAGCAAGATCGTTGACAAAGCAAAATAGTTAAAAGACAAGCACAGTTCCGCTGGGCGCAGTGGCTCACTCTTGTAATCCCAGCACTTTGGGAGGCCAAGGCAGGTGGATCAAGAGGTCAGGAATTTGAGACCAGCCTGACCAACATGGTGAAACCCCGTCTCTACTAAAAATACAAAAATTAGGTGGGCGTGGTGGCGCACACCTGTAACCCCAGCTACTCAGGAGGCTGAGGCAGGAGAATTGCTTGAACCCAGGAGGCGGAGGTTGCAGTGAGCCGAGATCGCGCCAATGTACTCTAGCATGGGCGACAGAGTGAGACTTGTCTCCAAAAGACAAGTACAGTTCAACTGGACTCCTGGGTAGATTACTAGAAAGAGTGCAGCATCAACCTGAGCTACCCATAGAAGCTCAACAATTCGTTAGCAGCTGATTAATGCTGAATTTAAGCCAGAATAGGAGAGAAGAGCTGACCTTTGGGCTTTACCCATTAGAGGTTAGGATTGAAAGCTACAGGATAAGGAGCCAGCCAGTGAGGCTGAACTGATGGCCTCTTACCTTTTACCACTCCCTCCATCCTTGAATTAGAACAGCTCTGTCACCAGGGCATCATTCTATCCACCTTGTGGGCTAGGACCAAGGCTTAACTTACCACATTCAATTTTTGGACTCCTTGAATAATTACTAGGAAGATAATAAGCATGGCTGGGGAAATATGCTCATCTTTATCTATGATTAATTAGGCCCTTAATAATTTGTAATAAGTCAAAAAACATGAGAGGGAGAAGGAGAACTAAAACACTAGTTGTCAGTCCTGGGACAACTGAATGTCCACATGCACAAGAAGGTAGTTGGACCCCTGCCTAACATCATATTCAAAATTTAACTCAAAAAAGATCAAAGTCCTGAATGTAAGAGCTAAAACAATAAACACTTAGAAGAAAAATAGGCATAAATTCTTTATCACTTACATCATCAAGTTCATAAGTGGATTCTTAGTTATGGCCCCAAAAACACGAGCAACAAGAAAAAAATAGGTAAATTGGACTTCATCAAACTTAAATATTTGTGCATCAAAGGACACCATCAAGAAAGTGAAAAGACGACCTATAGAATAGGAGAAAATATTTGCAAATTATGTATCTGATAAGGCATTTGTATCCAGAATATATAAAGAACTCTTACAACTCAGCAATAAAAAGACAGATAATCCAATTTTAAAATAGGCAAAGGACTTGACTAGACATTTCTTCAGACAAGATATATAAATAGCCTTTAAGCACATGGAAAGATGTTCAACATCATTAGTCATTAGAGAACTGCACTTCAAAACCACAAATAGATACCACTTCACACCCACTAGCATGGTTGTAATTAAAAAAAAAAGGAAATAACAAGTATTAGCAAGGATGTGGAGAAACTGGAACTCATACCCATGGGAATGTAAAATGCTGCAGACACTTTGGAAAACAGTTTTGCAGTTCCTCAAAAAGTTAAATACAGAGTTGTCATATGGCACAGTAATTTCACTCCTACATATATACTTAAGAAAACATGTTCACATAAAACTTGCTTATGAGTGTTCATAGCAGCACTATTCACAATAATGAAAAAGTGGAAATTTCTGTCAAGTTTCTACCAACTGATGAATGTCTAAACAAAATGTAGAATTTTCATACCTCGGAATATTAGTCATAAAAAGGAATGAAGTACTCGTATATACTGTGACACAGATGGACTTTGAAAATGGTATACTGCCTGGCTCATGCCTGTAATCCCAACACTTTCAGAGACCGAGGTGGGGGGATCACTTGAGCCCTTGAGTTTGAGACAAGCCTAGGCAACATAGCGAAACCTCATCTCTACAAATAATAATTGTTTAAATATTAGCCAAGCATGGTGGCACGCACTTGTCGTCCCAGTTACTCGAGAAGCTGAGGTAGGAGAATTGCTTGAGCCCAGGCAGTCTGCAATGAGCCATGATTATGCCACTGCACTCCAGCATGGGCGACAGAGCAAGACCTTGTCTTAAAAAAAAAAAAAAGGAATACTAAGTGAAAGAAATCAGACACAAAAGGCCACGTATTATATGATCCTGTTTATATGAAATGTCCAGAGCAGGCAAACCCATAGAAACAGAAGGTAGATTAGTGGTTGCCTGGGGAAGCTGGTGGAACTGGGGTACAGGATTTCTTTTTGAGTTGATGAAAATGTTCTAAAGTTAGAGTGTGGTGATAGTTGCACAAGTCTTGACTATACTAAAAACCACTGAATTGAACATTTTAAAAGGGAGTTTAATGTTATGTGAATTATATCTTCCTAAAATAAAAGAGATAAAAGAAAATATACATTGTAGGGGGAATGCAGTAAACATAAACCAAAAACAAACTTTGGGTACCTACAGGGAAAGGGTGAGAGCTGGGTGGAAACAATGGGAGGATGGGAACAGAGTAGCAGTGACGAGGAGAGAGTAGCATTTCTCTGATTGTAGCTTTGTATATAGTTCTGACTCAGAACCATGGTAATGTTTCACATACACACATACATCCAGTCAACCAGGGTGTGGAGGCAAGCCAAAATAGAATGCAAGCAGAAAAAAAAAAAAACTGTGTAATAAATAACTAACATTACCACCACAAAGTGGGTGGAGAAGAAAATACTTAAGTAATTTAGTAAACTTTTATTTTGACTGTGTCATAAGACTAAAGACAAAAACAACTTCATACAAATATTGTCCTCTGGTTAGTACATTTGTTTTTCACAGGGGTATAAATTAGCAATTGTGAATCTACCTTATCTGTATCTGTATATCATTGAACAAATAAGTAAAGTTGTTGTGACCAATGACAATCAGGACTCTCCCTGTTGGAAAAACAAGTTACAAATAAGAAAAGGGGGAAGGCTAGAATGACCCCTGTTGTTTTGGATTAGAATCAGAGGTGTCAATCTGAGGTATGAACACATGGTTTTTAGTGTACACACACAGATAGATACGGCAGGAACTCGCATCCAGGAACAGAGCCCTTTGCTCCTCCCTCAGAATGAATGGGGACCAGAAATCAGATGTTTATGCCCAAGAAAAGCAGGATTTCTTTCAGCACTTCTCCCAGATCGTTGGGGTGCTGACTGAGGATGAGATGGGGCACTCAGAGATAGGAGATGCTATTGCCCGGCTCAAGGACGTCCTGGAGTACAATGCCATTGGAGGCAAGTATCACCGGGGTTTGACGGTGCTAGTAGCGTTCCAGGAGCTGGTGGAACCAAGGAAACAGGATGCTGATAGTCTCCAGAGGGCCTGACTGTGGGCTGGTGTATGGAACTGCTGCAAGCTTTCTTCCTGGTGACAGATGACATCATGGATTCATCCCTCACCCGCTGGGGACAGATCTGCTGTTATCAGAAGATGGGCATGGGGTAGGATGCCATCAATTATGCTATCCTTCTGGAAGCATGTATCTACTACCTGCTGAAGCTCTATTGCCAAGCACAGCCCTATTACCTGAACCTGATCGAGCTCTTCCTGCAGATTTCCTGTCAGCCTGAGATTGGGCAGACCCTGGACCTCATCACAGCCCCTAGGACAATGTGGATTTTGGCAGATTCACTGAAAACAGGTACAAATCTATTGTCAAGTACAAGATAGCTTTCTACTCTTTCTACCTTCCTGTAGCTGCAGCCATGTACATGGTAGGAATCGATGGTGAGAAGCAGCACGCCAATGCTTAGAAGATCCTACTGGAGATCGAGAGTTTTTTCAAATTCAGGATGGTTACCTTGACCTCTTTGGGGACCCCACTGTGACCCGCAAAGTTGGCACTGACATCCAGGACAACAAATGCAGCTGGCTGGTGGTTCAGTGTCTGCAACGATCCACTCTGGAACAGTACCAGATCCTGAAGGAAAATTACGGACAGAAGAAGGCCAAGAAGGTAGTCCAGGTGAAGGCACTGTATGAGGAGCTGGATCTGCCGGCCGTGTTCTTGCAGTATGAGGAAGACGGTTACAGCCACATTATGGGTCTCACTGAACAGTACGCAGCGCCCCTGCTCCCAGCCATGTTTCTGGGGCTTGTGTACAAAATCTACAAGCAGAAAAAGTGACCTAGAGACTGCAAGGACTCGGGAGAGGAGGCACTCAATAAATATTGTGTAAAAAAAACAAAAACAAAAACAAAAACAAAAAAAAAGATACAAAATATATAGAAATATCTTTATTTACATTTTTTTCTATATTTTATTAACTGGCTCTGTTTGTGAGAGGACCTGGAAGCAATAACACACCAGTAGCAATGAAATCTAACATCAAGATCTTGGTTTCTTAATATCATTTTCCAATTTAAAAAAAAAAAAAGAGCTTCTTGGAGAAATGGCTGATTCTAGAGTTGGGGCAGTGAAAATCAGAGCCGAGACTGGAGTATCTTGTGGTGCCACAAAGCAAGGACATGCTCTGAAAGGAAGGGAGCATGACAAGAGGGAGCCAGGAGCTGAATCAGGGTTCCCAATGGCTAATGCTTGGACAATCTGAGCAACAAAATAATGATAATCTTACATCATAACCCATAAAATAAATATCCATAGTGCACACTGATATGAATAAATAACTAGGAGAGAAGAGATATGCTTCCTTATCACATAATTCCAGTTAATAAATGTGGAAGGAATAATGGAAATGGAAAATCACCATTAAGCAAACATTGCAGTTATAATTGTTGCAGATGAAAACTGTTGATGGATGCTAAGCTTAGTGGGTGGAAGAATGATGAGAAACATCATAATCACAAAAACACCATAATCTTAAAAATATATCCCCACAAGAAACTTAATAGTGGAGAAACCTAGCAGACACCACCTTAACTGAGTAGTCAATGTTAGCATTACTAATAAGATGACATATGTTCCCCCCAGTATGATGCACTGGAAAGGACACAGCTTTCTGTTGTATTCCTGCCAGAAATGTATAACCTCAATCTAATCATGAAAAACCATCAAACCCAAATTGAGGGACATTCTATAAAATGCCAGACTAGTAATCTTCAGAAGTCCCAAAGTCATGAAAGACAAAGACTGAGGAATTGTCACAGCTTTAAGGAGACATGACAACTAAACTGCACGATCTGTTTTAGATTTTGGACCGGAAAAGGACACTAGTGAGAAAACTGGGGAATACCAGTAAGATTTGTAGATTGGTTAATCATACTGTATCAATGTTAATGTCCTTCTTTGGATAGTCATACTATAACTATATAAGATGTTAATGTTGGTGGCAGCTAGATGAAGTGTACTATTTTTGCAACTTTTCTGTAAAACTAAAATTAGTGCAAAATAAAAGTTCAAAAAATTTTTTAACTGTTAAATAAACATTGTGAAAGCATGTGATAGGAGAGACCATCATATGAAAAACATGGAAATTTTGGTTGACCCTATGTGTTAAGTCAAAAAACATGTAGCTGGGCACAGTGTCTCATGCCAGTAATCCCAAAGCTTTTGCAGGCTGAGAGGGGAGGATCACTTGAGCTCAAGAGTTCACGACTGGCCTGGACAACAAAGCAAGATCTCCATATCTACAAAAAAAATTTAACATTAGCCAGTTGTGGTGGCATACACCTGTGATCCCAGCTACTTGGGAGGCTGAGGCAGGAGGACCACTTGAACCCAGGAGGTTGAGGCTGCAGTGAGCACCACTGCACTCCAGTCTGAGTGACAGGCATTTTATTCACTAGAACTCCTCCTAGGAAAGTACCATGTGTATGACTTCTTTTTTTAAGAAGTACTTCTGGAAGACACTTGGGGTAGAGAGCTAGAAGCCAAAATGATAAAAACATGATCCCTCAACTGCTGTACATAAGATGACTACAGGACTTAAAGTTGCTTCCCAAAGGGAAGAGTAGAGGGAAATCACTCAAATACAAAGAAAAGATTGTGGGGATAAGAAGGCTAGTTTCTCCTGCATTGGAGGGAGAGGAGAGAAGGGGAAAGTCCCTGGAAACAACACAGCCAGGAAGAAAAATTTGAAGAATAAAAATGTCTAAGAGGAATTTTTTTTCAGTTATATTTTATGTGGCCTCTCACCTCTCTCCCCGACAAAATATTCAGTGGTCCTTATTGCACAGTCGTGTGAGTGGATTCTTGTGGGTAAACATAAGGCTGATTAGTATGGGAAAAATTTAAAAACTGGAGGATGAGGCCAGGCATGGTGGCTCACACCTGTAATCCCAGCATTTTGGGAGGCCGCCGCAGGCAGATCACGAGGTCAGGAGATTGAGACCATCCTGGCTAACATGGTGAAACCCCGTCTCTACTAAAAACACAAAAAATTAGCCAGGCATGGTGGTGGGCGCCTGTAGTCCCAGCTACTTGGGAGGCTGAGGCAGAAGAATGGCGTGAACCCGGCAGGCGGAGCTTGCAGTGAGCCGAGATCATGCCACTGCACTCCAGCCTGGGCAACAGAGCGAGAATCTGTCTAAAAAAAAACAAACAAACAAACAAAAAAAACACTGGAGGATGAGAGGAGAATGGGCATCTGGACTACAATAAGGCCAGTGATAATAGGTACCATTTCTGAGTTTACTAAATGCCAGGTGCCAAGTTAAATTTCTTATGTTCCTCAAAATGAACCACAAAGTACTTATTATTACAGTATTTTTATAGAAGAGGAAACAGGTTTGGAAATCCTGTGTCTTGCCCTAGCTCACGTACGTACTACATAAAGGTTATCAGATTCTAACCCAGGATCTCCAAAACTGACACTAAAATGCACCTCCTCCTCTGTCACAGCACTGTTTTATTAGCTCTGTAGCTCTGTTCTTGTTCATCCTGTGAAGTATGAGACCGGCCCATGTTCTGTAGTCACCTGTATCTTCACTGCTCAGCACCAGGCCTGGTGTGGAACGGATGCTCGGCAGATAGCTGCTGAGTCAGTGAGGGAAGGCTGTGTCATGCGACAATGAGGTGGGAAGAGCAACTTATTAAGCTAATAAAATCCCCAGCTGCTGTTGGAAGTCCAGGTCAAGAGAAGAAACCCCATTGTACTCTTTGCTGACGGAGCTATAGCTGAAGCGCTGCACCACACTTTAAGGGTGGTATGGAAAGCTAGTTTTCAGAAGGGGCTGACTTCCTCAGCTCGGGGTGGTAGGTAGTCATTGTAGAAATTTAAAAGAAAAGCCACAGTGTCACCAGGGAAAACCCAATAACCAAGTGCCATGCGGTCTCACTGGTTGTGTTTGGGAAGTACTACCACTAATCAATGTATAAACCAAGTGCCAATTTGCAGGAAGAAATAAAATTATCATGCAAACGATAATACAGTCAGCCTGCACAGAGCATTCTCTCCATTTAGATAGATCAGGAGGTTGCTGGTGACCCCTCCTTCCCCCGTTCCACCATCACCCCCACCCCCACTCCAAGGAAATGACTTTTCAGCTGAAATCACAAGGCTAAGTATGCATTCTTTAGGTGAGAGAGTGAGAACAGGGAAGAGAGAAAAACTGGAAAATTTTTCATGAAGAAACAACTGTATATACAAAGTTTCTAAAGGGAAACATGGCATGATATTTTAGAGGAATTGAAAGGTGGCCACAATGGCTAATCAACCAAGAGCCAAGAGGAGAGAGGCACGAGATGAAGCTGAAGAACCTGGGTCCAGATGACATGAGCTTGTATTTTGTTTGTCTGTTTTTTTTTTTTTTTTTTTTTTTGAGACAGAGTCTCGCTCTGTCACCCAGGCTGGAGTGCAATGGCATGATCTCAGCTCACTGCAACCTTTGCCTTCCGGGTTCAGGCAATTCTTCTGCCTCAGCCTCCCAAATAGCTGAGATTACAGGTTCCCGCCACCATGCCTGACTAATTTTTTGTATTGTTAGTAGTGACGGGGTTTTGCCATGTTGGCCAGGCTGGTCTCGAACTCCTGACCTCAGGTGATCCACCCGCCTCGGCCTCCCCAAGTGCTGCAATTACAGGCATGAGCCACCGCATCCAGCCAGTGTCTGTTTGTTTGTTTGTGTTTGTTTTGTTTTGAGATGGAGTCTCACTCTGTCACCCAGGCCGGAGTGCAGTGGCACAATCTTGGCTCACTGCAACCTCTGCCTCCTGGGTTCAAGCGATTCTCCTGCCTCAGCCTCCCAAGTAGCTGGGACTACAGGTGCCTGCCACCATGCCCCACTAATTTTTTGTATTTTTTTTTTTTTTTTAGTAGAGACAAGGTTCCACCCAGTTAGCCAGGATGGTCTCTATCTCCTGACCTCATGATCTACCTGCCCCCGCCTCCCAAAGTGCTGGGATTACCGGTGTGAGCCACCGTGCCCAGCCATCTGTTTGTTTTTCAATGAACATTTTGGAATAATTTGAAATTCACCTAAAAGTTGCAAAGATAATACTAACAGTTCCCACATATCCTTTATCCAGTTTCCCCAAAGTTAAGATCTTACATTACCATGGCACATTTGACAAAACTAAGAAACACTGATATATTACTATTAAATAGACTCCAAACTTTTTTTTACTGGTTTTTCCAGTGATATCAGTGATATCTATTTTCTGTTCTAGGATCCAGTCCAGGGTACCACACTGTGTCTCTATAGGCTCCTCTTTTTTTTTTTTTTTTTTTTTTTTTTTTTTTTTTTTTTTTTTTTTTTTTTAGTTGGAGTCTCACTCTGTCGCCTAGGATGGAGTGCAATGGCACTATCTGGGCTCAATGCAACCCCCACCTCCCAGGTTCAAGCGATTCTCCTGCCTAAGCCTTCCTAGTAGCTGGGATTACAGGCATGTACCACCACGCTGGCTAATTTTTGTATTTTTAATAGAGACAGGGTTTCACCATGTTGGCCAGGCTAGGCTTGAACTCCTGACCTTGTGATCTGCCCACCTTGGCCTCCCCAAGTGCTGGGATTACAGGTGTAAGCCACCATGCCTGGCCTATAGGCTCCTCTTAAACGTGAAAATTTCCTCAGACTTTTTGTTTTTGATGACCTTGACAGTTTTGAGAAATACTGGTTAGGTATTTTGTAGAATGTCCCCAATTTACATTTGATGTTTTCCTGGGATTATGGGTTTTGGGGAAACAATACCACAAAGACTAAATGCCTTTTCATTACATGATATCAAGGTGTGCTATCAACACAACTTATCACCTTAACCTTGATCACCTGGCCCAGATAATTTTTGTATTTTTAGTAGAGACAGGGTTTCACCATGTTGCCCAGGATGGTTTCAATCTCCTGACCTGTGATCCTCCTGCCTTGGCTTCCCAAAGTGCTGGAATTAATTGAATGATTTTTAAGCAGTATTGTGACATTAGATTTCCTTTTTAAGATTAATACGCTGGCTGTATCAAATGTACCAAATGGAGACAGGTGTAGATATGGATACATGAGTAAAAAGGCTGTGGCCTGGGCCGGTCGCTGTGGCTCACGCCTGTAATCTCAGCACTTTGGGAGGCCGAGGCGGGTGGATCACGAGGTCGGGAGATCCAGACCATCCTGGCTAACATGGTGAAACCCCATCTGTACTAAAAATACAAAAAAAAATAGCTGGGCGTGGTGGGCGCCTGTAGTCCCAGCAACTTGGGAGGCTGAGGCAGGAGAATGGCCAAACCCGAGAGGCGGAGCTTGCAGCGAGCCCAGATCGCGCCACTGCACTCCAGCCTGGGCGACGACTCCGTCTCAAAAAAAAAAAAAAAGGTTGTGGCCGGGCGAGGTGGCTCACACTCCAGCACTTTGGGAGGCCGAGGCGGGCAGATCACCTGAGGTCAGGAATTCGAGACCAGCCTGACCAACATGGAGAAAACCCGTCTCTACTAAAAATACAAAATTAGCCAGGCATGGTGGCACATGCCTGTAATCCCAGCTACTCGGGAGGCTGAGGCGGGAGAATAGCTTGAACCCGGGAGGCGGAGGTTGCGGTGAGCCGCGATCATGCCATTGCACTCCAGCCTGGGCAACAAGAGCGAAACTCTGTCTCAAAAAAAAAGCGGGGATTTGGGGGGGGGTTGGGGGAGGGAAGGGGCCGGGCGCGGTGGCTCACACCTATAATCCCAGCACTTTGGGAGGCCGAGGCAGGTGGATCACGAGGTCAGGAGATCAAGACCAGCTTGACCAACATGGTGAAACCCCGTCTCTACTAAAAATAGAAAAAAAATTAGCCAGGTGTGGTAGTGCGCGTCTGTAGTCCCAGCTGCTCTGGAGGCTGAGGCGGGAGAATTGCTTGAACCCGGGAAGCGGAGGCTACAGTGAGCTGAGATCGCGCCACTGCACTCCAGCCTGAGCGACAGAGCGGGACTCCGCCTCAAAAAAAAAAAAAAGGTTCTATCAGTGGTTGGCATAAAAGTTAAGAATGAGAAAAATGGGTAGATTAAGAGATACTTAACAAGTAAAATTGGCAGCATTTGTCCATTTTTAGTTGAATAAAAGGAATGGAAGAAGGTTTGAGAATGACTGCCAGGAACCAAGTTTCTGGTTGAGAAGCTGATTGGATATCAACAAGGGTGAAAGCAAAAGGACACTGAAGAGGCAGGCAGAGCTGCCTGAGGACTTACTGATGGAGGCGACCCCAGCACTGTGGAGGAAGAATGCTGTGGGTCAGGTGCCCCGGCGGAATTCCGGAGGCATCGATTTCCTGTGTATTCATATCTACTCTGATGATTCTGCACCCTGGACAGAACCCTTTAAAAATAAAACACCCTTGTCCAGTTAGGTAAAGCTTTGATTCCCTTGAGGGAAAAGTCTTCCTCATTTGCTCCAAAATCCTTGACAGTTAACAACAATGTAGTATTCATACTCTGCATTTCCATCAAGGATTGTACTTTCAAAGCACCAGCACTTGTACATGCCACACTAGGTGTGAAGTTCATTACGGTTCTGAGTCCCCAGAGAGCTCTGTGGACATTTCACCAATTTTGTTTAAGCCTCAGGAGCCATGTTACCAAGGCACAGATCAAGATCCTAAAAAAAGACTCAGTAACATAAGAGGTTTCAGAAATTGGGAAGAGGGAGTGTGGTTGACACTGTAGGGAAGCTTCTTGAGCAAGGGAAAGATGAAGTCAAGCTGTTCACAGGGAAGTAAATTGTGAAAGGCCTTAGAGCCCATTTTAAGAACTTGGACTATTTCTCTGTGTGCAGCGGAAACCACTGAGTTGTGAATGGAGAGGGAACACAAGTGATCTTATATTTTGAAGGACCCTTCTGACTGCAGGTTGGGAACAAATTGTAGAGGAGCAAGGAAATAAGCCAGACGACCAGCTAGGAGGTCACTGCAAAATCTATACAAGGGACTTCAAGTGGCTCGAGTCAGGATAGCAGTAGTTTAATAAGTAATTTATATATATATGAAATTATATATATTAATTTTATATAAATTATATAATTTATGTTAATTTATATATAATATATATAATTTATATACTTTTTTTTTGAGATGGAGTCTCACTCTGTTGCCCAGGCAGGAGTGCAGTGGCATGATCTCGGCTCACTGCAACCTCCACCTCCCAGGTTCAAGCGATTCTCCTGCCTCAGCCTCCCAAGTAGCTGGGATTACAGGTACGCGCCACCACACCCAGCTAATTTTTGTATTTTTAGTAGAGACGGGGTTTCACCATGTTGGTCAGGATGATCTCGGTCTCTTGACGTCGTGATCCGCCTGCCTCGGCCTCCCAAAGTGCTGGGATTAAAGGTGTGACCCACCATGCCTGGCCCTGTATGTATTTTGATGAAAGAACCACACAGTTTTGCCTGATGGATTGAACGTGTATAGTGAAAGAAAGAAAAGAGTCAATGAGTACAGAAGATTTCCACCTTAAGTGGGTAAAAAGATGAAAATGCCATTAACTAAGATGGTGAAGGATTCAGGGGTTAGAGGTTCAGATATTCAGATTTAGACAGTAAATCTGAAGTGCTTGTTAAACATCCAAGTAGAGAGACATCAAGTCAGCAACTGGATATTTGAGTCTGGAGTTGAAGGGGGAGGTCTTGGCTGGAGATACGATTTTGGGAGTCATCAATACATGGTGGATCCTAAAAGCCATGCTACTGAAAGAGATATCTAGCACATGAAGGCAGGTAAGGAAGAGAAGTAAGCCAAAAACTAGCCAGGGCACTCCAATATTTAGAGTTACAGAGTTTAGCTTGGGGAGATGAGGAAGATTCATCAAGGGAAACAGAGTAATCAGCGACATGAGAGGAGAACCAGCACAGAGTAGCGTCCCAGAAGTCAAATTAAAATATGTAGAAAGTCATTCACTGTGTCAAATGTCACATCAAGGAAGTTGAGGGCTGAGAATTCATCCCTGAACTTAGTAGTGGGGATGAGAGTCTGATTGATACATGTTCAAGAGACAATGAGAGGAGAGGAATTGGAGACAGCATATTATAGACAGCTCTTTTGAGGATTTTTTCTGTGAAGGGAAGCAAAAAATAGGGTAGTCACTGAGAGACTGTGTGTTTGGTTTTTTGTTTGTTTGCTTTTACCATAGGAGAAACTATAGCAAGTTCAGGTGCTAATAGGACTGGTCCATTAGAGACAGGAAATTGTATGATACAGAATAGTTTCCTCCTGCAGAGGAAATAAGAAACAAGGTCTAACACACAAATGTAGGGGTTGGCCTTAGAATAACTGATTCACCATAATAGCAGGAAGGGAAATTTAACCTGTCTAGATGCAGCAGGGGAGGTAGATATGGCAGAGAGAGGATGTAGAAGTTCTCAGTGAAATAGGAAGCAAGGTCAATGGAAATGAGATTGTGTCAAAATAATTATGTTGCAAGAGTTTATAATACTAAACTCTATATATACATTCTTCTGTTGCTCAAATAGCCTAGTCATCTACCTCCTACTTTAAAACAGTGTAAGGAATCATGGGTCATGGGTTTGGATCTCACATGAGCCGGTCAGGCTTAGCTTTTAAGGCAATAAATCATAGTCCTAGGCTCAGTCAGCTGTCTTGAAAATGCTGCCTCTAGTCATAAGGCAGATGAATCTACAAAAACCCAAACTGTAGAAAAACGATTTGGCGTTGTCCTGTCCTGGTGATGGGATCCTAATAGCATCTTCAAGCAGAAATAACCACACAGAGCTCCCAATTATAAATAAAGGATTTGTTGTATTTCCATGTCTGTGGGATGTTACCAAGCAAGGTTTCCCTGTGAGCAACTTTGGACACTATGCAAAACGTGTCCAGATCCAAAATAGTGGCAAGCAGTTTAAGTTGGGGACAATACAACTGGGAGGACACATGCAAAAGGGTGGAAGGTGAAAAAGAGGGAGTATGGGGATGGCCACCTGGCCACCAAAGGTCCTCACCATCAGTGGGGAAACCAGTTTCACCCAGTTGGCCTTCATGCAGAGTTTCAGCCTGTGAAAGGGATGGGGAAGGAAGCATAGGGTCTGAGTGGCCCCATGGGATCAGGAGGAAGTGGTGTAGGAGGAGGACGCCCAGTGACTGAGAGCCAGTGAGGACTGCTGGGAGGTCAGATGCCCCCAACTCTGTGACATTGGGCATGTTTCTTACTGGTTTTAAGCCTGTTTCTTCAACAGTAAAATACGGAAAATATCTACTTCAGAGGGACATCATGAAGATTAAAAATTATGTATCTAAAGTTCTTCACAGATGGACAACAACCATTAAACAGCCATTACACTCTCCCATGCTGCATTAGTCAATTTTCTGTTGTTTATAACGAAATACCTGAAATGGGTAATTTGTAAAGGAAAGAAATGTATTTTTGTACTGCTATGGAAGTCAGGAAGTCCAAGGTTGAGGAGGTGCATCTGGTGAGGGCCTTCTTTTTTTTTTTTTTTTTTTGAGACAGAGTCCCACTCTGTCACCCAGGCTGGGGTGCAGTGGTGCGATCTTGGCTCACTGCAACCTCCACCTCCTGGGTTCAAGCGATTGTCCTGCCTCAGCCTCCTGAGCAGCTGGGACTACAGGTGCACACCACCATGCCTGGCTAATTTTTGTATATATATATATTTTTTTTAGAGAGACAGGGTTTCACCATATTGGCCAGGCTGGTCTTGAATTCCTGACCTCATGATCCACCCATCTCGGCCTCCCAAAGTGCTGAGATTACAGGAGTGAGCCACTGCGCCTGGCCCTGGTGAGGGCCTTCTTGCTGGTGGGGACTCTGTGGAATCCTAAGGCAGTGCAGGGTATCACATGGCAAGAGGGCTGAGCATGCTAGCTCAGGTCTCTCTTCCTCTCCTTATAAAGCCACCAGTTCCCCTCCCATGTTAACCCATTAATCCATTAACCCATTAATTTATTAATCCGTAAATGGATTAATTCATTCGTGAGGGCAGAGCCCTCATGATCGAATTAGCTCTTAAAGGCCCAGCCTCTCAACACTGTTGCATTGGGGATTAAGTTTCAACATGAGTTTTGGAGCAAACCATAGCACATGCTATTACTGAGAACATGATGTTCAGCCTCACTCCAGCCTCATTTGCTATGAAATGACATAATCAAAACCAATTAATGTTCATTCCCATTTGTTGTTGTAGTTTTTGTTGTTCTTGTTGTTGAGACAGAGTCTTACTCTATCGCCCAGGCTGGAGTGCAGTGGCACAATCTTGGTTCACTGCAATCTCTGTCTTCTGGGTTCAAGCAGTTCTCCTGCCTCAGCTTTCTGAGTAAATGGGATTACAGGTGCACACCACCACGCCCAGCTAATTTTTGTATTTTTAGTAGAGACGGGGTTTCACTATATTGGCCAGGCTTGTCTTGAACTCCAGACCTCAAGGGATCCACCTGCCTCAGCCTCCCAAAGTGCTGAGATTACAGGTGTGAGTCACCGTGCCTGGCCCCCATTTCTTTTTAAACAAAAATATTATTGAACTCTTACCAAGTTCTGAACTGAGCTCTGAAATGAAATGGTAAACAAAAACAGCCATAGTTCCTGCCCGTACAGAACTTAGTATCTATTGGGGAAACAGATATATTGATTTAAAAATCACACAAATATAACCCTGTAATTGAGACAGTGACATTTTGTAAGACTATAATTGCAGAATTTAACCTAGTCAGGGAAGGCATCCAGAAGAAGTGAACTTTGAGCTGAACTCTGAAAGGCAAGTAAGCATTAACCAGATGCAGAGGCAGAAGGAACAGCACAGGCAAACATCTGTGGCAGAAGGTCCTGAAAACAGCCCAGCAAAGCTGCAGAAGAGACAGACTCCGGAGGAGGACACAACTGAAATGAAGTGGGACAATCACAGTAGAGAACAAACCACGTAGGGAGGGCCTGGTAGATTGTCAGCAAGGCTCTAATTTACAATGACAAAGTCCTTTTAAATGACAAGGCAAACAAAATAATGGTGCTTCAGGACTTTATTCATGGTATTAATAACTTTCCAGTTTAAATTAGTAGTTGCAGTGATTTTTATTTCTCTCATTTTGTATTGTTTACATTGCTTCTGATGAGTGTTTATTATTTTTCACAAAAAACCGCTTTTTTCTTTTCTTTTCTTTTTTTTTTTTTTTTTTTTGAGACGGAGTCTCGCTCTGACACCAGGCTGGAGTGCAGTGGCGCAGTCTCAGCTCACTGCAACCTCCGCCTCCCGGGTTCAAGCAATTCTCCTGCCTCAGCCTCCTGAGTAGCTGGGACTGCAGGCACCAGCCACCACGCCTGGCTAATTTTTGTATTTTTAGTAGAGACAGGGTTTCACCATGTTGGCCAGGATGGTCTCGATCTAACCTTGTGATCCGCCCACCTCGGCCTCCCAAAGTGTTGAGATTACAGGCATGAGCAACCGTGCCTGGCCAGAAACACTTTTTTCTAAGTCAACTTCATTGAGATATTATTTATCTACAATAAAATGCACCAGTTTTAAGTGTACATCTCTATGAGTTTTGACAAATTTATACACCCATGTAACTACTACCACAATCAAGATGAAGAATATTTCTATCACCCTAGGCAAAGTTCTTAGTCAATACTCACATCCCAGCCTCAGGCAACAACTGACCTGCTTTCTGACACTACGTATTGTCCTTTTTTGAGTTTCACATAAAGGAGTTAATACACTATGTACTCTTGTGACTGGCTTTTTTCACTCGACATGTTTTAGAGATTTATCTATTCTGTTGCATGTACCAGTAGTTCATTCCTTTTTATTGCTGAGTGACATTCTGTCTCATGGATATTCCAAAGTGTGTTTATTCACTCCCCTGTTGATGAACATTTGGGTTCCAGTTTGGACTATTATGAATAAAGCTATGAATAATATAGGCATATGTTTTATTTCTTTGGGGTAAATATCCAGGAGAGGAATTTCTGGGTCCTACAATAAGTGTATGTTTAACTTTATAAGAAATTTCCAAGCTGTTTTCCAAAGTAGTAGTACAATTTTATATTATCATCAGTAGTGTGTAAGACTTCCAGTTGCTCATTTTCCCAAAAGCTTGGCATTATCTATCTTTTTCATTTTAGCTGTTCTGGAGGATATGTAGTGGTCTCTTGCTGTGGTTTTAAATGCATTTCTCTGATGACTAATGGTGCTCAACATGTTCTCCAGAACATCTTTTCCATGTCTACTGGCCATTTGTGTATCTGCTTTTGTGAAGTGTCTGTTCAAATCTTTTACCCATGCTTAGTATTAGGTTGATGATGATCTTGTTATTGAATTATAAGAGTATCACCTATCACAAGTCCTTTATCAGATATTAGTGTGGTACAGATTGTCTCCCATTCTGTGGTTTGCCTTTTTGAGAGCTTTTTTAAATAGCTTTATTGAGGTATAATTCAAATACCTTCTGTTTGAGTTCTTAAAGTGTCTTTTTAACAGTAAAAATTAAAAAAATTTAATTTTCTTCTAGACGTTGTATAATTTTCACATAAATTTAGGCCTGTGATCTCTTTCCATTTAATTTTTCTGTGCCACATGAAGTAAGAGTTGAGGTTTATAAAAACCTTTTTTTTTTGTTTGCTTTTTGAGATGGAGTTTCGCTCTTGTCACCCAGCCTGGAGTGCAATGGTGCGATCTCAGCTCACTGCAACCTCCACCTCCTGGATTCAAGTGATTCTCCTGCCTCAGCCTCCCAAATAGCTGGGACTATAAGTGCACGCCACCACACCCGGCTAATTTTTGTATTTTTAGTAGAGATGAGGTTTCACCATGTTGGCCAGGCTGGTCTGGAACTCCTGACCTCAGGTGATCCACCCACCTCGGCCTCCCAAAGTGCTGGGATTACAGGCGTGAGCCACTGCGCCCAGCCATAAAAACCTTTTTTTAAAGTAAATTAATAAACAAAACACACAGCAAGGTACAGTTTAAAAGACCAGGTCACAGACCAAATCAGAAATAGTCACTGATTTCCCAGTGTCACATTGCTAAAGAAACAACTGCAGTGTAAAAACCAGATTTTGTGGTTGCTCATGTGAATGTATTCCAGGTAATAGTGCCCATATATGTACTTCCTGTTAGAACCATCAGTGACTGTTCATTCCCACCACTCAGCTCTGATTAACACACAAAAATGAATGAACACGGCCGGGCGCGGTGGCTCATGCTTGTAATCCCAGCACTTTGGAAGGCCGAGGCTGGTGGATCATGAGGTCAGGAGATTGAGACCATCCTGGCTAACACGGTGAAACTCCGTCTCTACTAAAAAAAAAAAAAAAAATACAAAAAATTAGCCGGGAGTGGTGGTGGGCACCTGTAGTCCCAGCTACTCAGGAGGCTGAGGCAGGAGAATGGCGTGAACCCAGGAGGCAGAAGTTGCAGTAAGCCGAGATCGCGCCACTGCACTCCAGCCTGGGCGACAGAGCAAGCAAGACTCCGTCTCAAAAATAAAAATAAAAAAAGAATGAACACTAAAAGCAGTTGGGGGGGGGGTGGGGGTGAGGCACTTGGAGGAAGAGAAGGAAAAAGGAAACTGTGAAGTCTTACCCTGCTCCGAGTGACAGGCGCCTCAGATGGCATAGATGGTTGCCTCTCAGACGTGACTTCTTAAGTAAACCAAAGCTGCCTCTGCCAAAAACGCTTCCCTACTGACAGCACCTGTGTCCTAATCCCCACCGTTAAGAATCACACTTCCTGGCCAGGTGCGTTGTCTCACACCTGAAATCCTAGCACTTTGGGAGGCCGAGGCGATCAGATCACCTGAGGTCAGGAGTTTGAGACCAGCCTGACCAACATGGTGAAACCCCGTCTCTACTAAAAATACAAAAATTAGCCGGGCGTGGTAGGGGACACCTGTAATCCCAGCTACTCTGGAGGCTGAAGCAGGAGAATCGCTTGAATCCGGGAGGCGGAGGTTGCAGTGAGCCAAGATCACACCATTGCACTCCAGCCTGGGCAACAAGAGCGAAACTCTGTCTCAAAAAAAAAAAAAAAGAGAGAGAATCACACCTCCTAGGTAAAGCATTAATTAACTAAAGTGCCCGGCGAGAATGTATATGGCCCGAGCTCCGGCTTCTTTATGCAATCTATCAACAGCTTCCAGGGAAAGGTAATTTTGTAAGCCCCCGGGGGAATGTTTCTAAGAGGAAGGCAAGAGGGCCTGGCCTGTAATCCCAGCACTTTGGGAGGCCGAGGCGGGCGGATCACGAGGTCAGGAGATTGAGACCATCCTGGCTAACACGGTGAAACCCCGTCTCTACTAAAAAATACAAAAAAAAAAAAAAAAATTAGCCGGGCGTCATGGCGGGCGCCTGTAGTCCCAGCTACTAGGGAGGCTGTGGCGGGAGAATGACGTGAACCCGGGAGATGGAGTTTGCAGTGAGCTGAGATCGCACCACTGCACTCCAGCCTAGGCGACAGAGCGAGACTCCGTCTCAAAAACAAACAAACAAAAAAATTTAAAAAATTAAAATTAAAATTAAAAAAAAGAGGAAGGGAAGGCCAGGAAGGTCTAGAACAAGGTATGGAGTTCCCATATCGCAATCAGATTTGCTGACCTAAAAATTAGAACACAAGATCTAACAAACCACGTAATTCCTAATCTGTTCATTTTTACAAAACAAAAACAAAAACAAACCCATTTTTTTAAACACTAGCTCCACATTAAATTATTTACCTAATTTTCTTTGTTCAGAATATCCCCGAGTATCCTGCATGTCGGGTTGCCATATCCATCAACCCCAAATGTCAAGCCAGAGAGAGAAGGCTGCGGAGGAGGCGTCAGTGGAAACTCTAAGCAGCCAGGGGCACTGGAAACTGCAGAAAGCATAGGAAAGAAGGAAGGAAGGAGGGAAGAGGGAAGCCGACCTGAGTCTGCTTCTAGCCTGAGTCTGCTTCTCAGTCTAGCCTAGTGACACAGAGAAGGACTTTTGCGCAATGGGCACACCTGAAAGGGTCTACCGTGGGGCAGAAAAGACACCGCCTTCCTGGTCATCATCCCATAATTAATTGCCTGGCTCCTGTGTTGAGCTTTACCCTTTGGCTGAATTTCCAGCCAGACCCAAGAAATTAAGACAAAATGGCATATAGAGAAAAATACATACAATTTATTCATTACATGGGGACAAAATTTCCATAACTCTGGAAGGTCAAGTTACATCATCAAAGTTGTTTATTTAAAAGTAGAAGTATGTGTTGGCAATCGTTTCCATATCAGTCAGAAAAATTAGGCCGGTTTCACAATATGGAGTGTCCTTTCTGGTCAACAGTATTGCTTCAGGAGAGATAGCATTTCACAGATCTTTCCTGTAACTTCTAGAAAAGTCATCCAGCCAGATTTAGGTTCAAACTTCTTTACAAAGCCATTTTCCTATAAAAGAATAAATTTAACACTTTAAACATCATTGGAGATTAAGTATGCTGGAATAAAAAGCAAAAATATTTTCATTTAAATAGTGCAAATAGTTAATCTTCTACCCCTTCTACCCCTGTTAAGCAGCAGCATCTAACAGAAATACAGTGTGACCTACGTCTGTAATTTAAATTTTTTTGTAGCCATATTTTACAAAGTAAAAAAATAGATAAAACTAACTTTTAGGATAGTTTTAGAGTTATTTTTATTTTAATATGTAATCAGTATAAAATCATTAATGAGATATTCTTTTTTCATAACAAACCTTCGAAATCCAATGAGTATTTAGTACTTAACAGTACATCTTAATTCAGACTAGCCACATTTCACTTCCATAGTGGACAGCAAGCACAGCTCTAGAGGATAGAAAGCCTTTTTTTTTCTCGTTCTTGTTCAATTGTCCAACATTGATTTCAATGCACTTATATTTGTAATATGAATTATATTATACTGTAAACTGCATTGTATTGAAAATCATGAGAACTCACAGTAAATCCAAATTAAACTAATACCTTTGAAGCTATGAAAAGGTTGATAGTTTATTTTATAATCTACTCTCTTTGTGATCAGACATAGTTTTAAAAATATAGGATAACCCAATTAACTGGACATTTTATTTAGTTAATTTACAATCTGTAGTCAAATAATCCTCACCAAAAACTATCTCTGAGATCATCTAGCCTGAAGCCCTCCATTATTTTAACAAATGAGGAAATCGAGGCCCAGAAAAATAAGTTATCTAAGATTAGCCAACCCGTTGGTGCCTGGACTTGGATGAGAATGTGAACACCCTACTTCTTTCCACTCCATACATTTCCAAACAAGTGCCAAAAGAATTAGAAAATTGTTAAAATAATTTTTTCAAATGGTCATCTGGCAAACATTTACGTCTTCACCTTACAGGTTTCAGAACCTTGGGGTTACAAATGCCTGCAAGTAGCTCAGAGCCCAGTGTAACTAATATTGAAATGTAAACCGAGCATAACTCTTTGATAGTTGGGAGTGACTCGAGAGCTCTGCGGTGCCTTGGAATCATTTTATGAGCATCACTGGCAAAGCAGATGAATACCACCAGCCAGGGGGATTTCATTTGAAAGACTGCCTAAGAAAGCCATTTTCTGCCTACGTGTTAAGTGTACATCGTGCTCTGAGACATGCTGTCATGCCTTGACAGAGGAAGGAAACTGGCCCTCTCTCTTCTTCCTCTTTCCCTCCTGCCAGTACATACTCATAGTTTCCTATACACTCTCAAGAGGTATCCACTTCATTACTCCCCTTCCTAGAATTTTCATAAACCCCATGTTTCGCAAGTATAATGAGGCCCTCTGAAATTATTATTATTATTATTTGAGATGGAGTCTTGCTCTATTGCCCAGGCTGGAGTGCAGTGGCGCGATCTCAGCTCACTGCAGCCTCTGCCTCCCGGGTTCAAGCAATTCTCCTGCCTCAGCCTCCTGAGTAGCTGGGACTACAGACGCGCACCACCATGCCCGGCTAATTTTTGTATTTTTAGTAGAGACGGGGTTTCACTATGTTGGCCAGGCTGGTCTTGAACTCCTGACCTCATGATCCACTCACCTCGGCCTCACAAAGTGCTGGGATTACAGGTGTGAGCCACCGCACCCAGCATGATTTTTATTATTATGACAACGATCATTGTCTATTATCATTGAGCAGTCATAATGTATCACCTTATATACATCAATGTCGAAAGGACAGTGAACAAAGAAAAAAATGATGAATTCAGCCAGAAAGAGATTAAAATTTATTATTATTATTTTTTGAGTCAAAGTCTTGCTCTGCCACCCAGGCTGGAGTGCAATGGCGCGATCTCAGCTGGCCGCAACCTCTGCCTCCTGTGTTCAAGCGATTCTTCTGCCTCTGCCTCAGCCTCCCAAGTAGCTAGGACTATACAGGCACACGCCACCACACCCAGCTAATTTTTGTATTTTTAGTAGAAACCGGGTTTCACCATGTTGGCCAGGATAGTCTCGATCTCTTGACCTCATGATCCACCCGCCTCGGCCTCCCAAAGTGCTGGGGTTACAGGCATGAGCCACCGTGCCTAGCCTAAAATTTTTTTAAACTATGAAAAATTAAAATTAAAAGAACAATAGACTAGGAAAATATTTACATATAGCATGAAAGAGTTCATTCAAATGTAACAGAAAATCCTCAGGCCCTTAATAGTTTAAAAGGGAAAGACCATTAAAGAGAGAAATATAAATTATTAACAAGTATATGGGAAAAACACTAATAGCAGTTAAAAATGTACTTTTAACACAGTCTTATTGTTTTTTAGACCTATTAAATTGGCTTTGTTATTTTATGCCTAGCAAACCTCAAAATTATTAATAGTACCACCCACATCATTAAGTTTGTTGTGACATTGTTCCATTGATATAATACTTTTGGAAAGAAAATATGTTTTCCAATATGCTAGAGTATTGTAATTATACACACATCTTATGAACCAGTCATTCCAGTGTTAGAAATTTATCATGAGGCAGTCTTCTAAAATATTGGAGGGTAGGGGGCACCAGAAAAGCATACCCATGCTTCAGTATTGAAGCATTATATCTAAAAGGGGAAAACTCGAAAAAACCAAATTGTCTAACAATTGGGAATTGGTTAAGTAAATTATGATATAACAAATTAATGAAATATTCTGTAGACATTAGAAATTAATGCCTAATGTTAACATGAAATATGTGAGACAGTGTTGAAAATATCTACAATATGTCACAGGAAAAAACTCTTGTGCACCCTAATTATAATTGCATACAATGTCTGCATGTGGATATGTTAGGGTGATGGGAGTGACTTTTCTTCCTTTCAAAAATGTTATTTTCAAATATATTTTCTTTAATGATGCTATTTGTATCTTAAAACCATTATATAAAAATAAATATACAAACAAGGATTCAATATCCTATCAGTAATGTAGTAGTAAATAAGAATAGTTCAGGCCTTATTATTTCTGGGAATGGTGATAGTTTGTTAAATTCAGCTACCTTGGTTACAAGAAAACCTAAAGCATAAAATAATATACAGTATCAATAGTCCAAAGAAAATCAAAATCTCAGAATTTTTAAAGATACAGGCAGCCGGGCGCAGTGACTCAAGCCTGTAATCCTAGCACTTTGGGAGGCTGAGATGGGAGGATTGCTTGAGCCCTGGAGGTCGAGGCTGCAGTTAGCCAAGATTGCGCCACTGCACTCCAGCCTGGGTGACAGCAAGACCCTGTTTCAAAAAAACAAACAAACAAACAAAATACACGCAAACACCATTATGTTACTCCCACTTCTCTAAACATTATTATTCATTTATTCATTCAGGAAATATTCATTGAGCATTGGCCACATGCCAGGTACCATTTAAAGCACTGGAAACACAGTGGTGAAGAAAGCATACAGGATCCCTGCCCTCACTAAGCTTACATTTTCACGGCAGACACAGACAATAAACAGATAAGCAAGTAAATATGCAATGGGATGTCCAGTCATGAAAACTATTATGAAGGCAATAAAGTTGGGTAGGGAGACAGAGAGTGGCAGTAGTACTTTCTCAGTTGGGGTGATCAAGGAAGACTTCTCTGAGGAGGCAACCTTGGAACAGAGGCCTGAGCAAAGGGAAGAAGTAAGCCAGGCAAACTTCTGGCGGAAAATTATTCCAGGCAGAGGGAGCAGCAAGTGCAAAGGCCTTGAGGGTGGAATGTGCTTAGCTTATCCAAGGAGGCTGGAGCTATGAGAGCACGGAGGGATTCACAGATGAGATTTGAGAGGCGGTTAGAGGCTAGGTCATGTAGGGCTTTGAGGACCACAGTCAGGATTTTGTGCTTTTGTTCCCAGGGTAAAAGGGCAGCTTGGAGGGTTATGATTAGGCCAAGACATGATCTAATTCAAGTTTTTATTTTATTTTATTTTTTTGAGACAGAGTCTCACTCTGTTACCCAGGCTGGAGTGCAGTGGCACGATCTCACCTCACTGCAACCTCCGCCTCCTGGGTTCAAGCAATTCTCCTGCCTCAGCCTACCAAGTAGCTGGGATTACAGGCATGCGCCACCACGCCCAGCTAATTTTTTGTATTTTTAGTAGAGACGGGGTTTCACTGTGTTAGCCAGGATGGTCTCGATCTCCTGACCTCGTGATCCGCCCGCCTCGGCCTCCCAAAGTGCTGGGAATACAGACTTGAGCCAATGCGCCCGGCCCCTCAAGTTTTAAAAATATCGCTGTGGGGGCTATGTGGAAAACAAATTCTAGCAGATAAAGGATGGAACCATGGAGTCTGGCAGGAGGCTACTGACAGAGTCAAGTGAGAGAGGAAGGCGGCCTAGATGCACAGGGTATTACAGCATTTCAAAGGGGCAGCCAGGGGGATTTGCTGATGGATGGATGTGGGCTATGAGAGACAGGAGTCCAGGCTGACTCCCAAGGTTAGAGAACTAGCACTTAAGTGTCATACATTTCTGCCTGACTTGAGGGTCTTTTATTTTTCACTAAATGATTTTAGAGTCTCAAGTAAAAATTCAAAAGACATAGAAAATTTTGCCCCAAAACTTATTTAATCAAAGGATATATATGAACACTTGAGATAGTATCACCTTGCTGCTAGATCTTTATACCTTTTGGAAATGCCTTTGCCAAAGTGAACACTTAGTTAATCATCTATACATGTCTCTGTGTGCCCATTTATTTGGCCTCAAATTGACCGGACTATTATTTAGAGTAAGAGGATGACAAAGAAAAAAAAAAAAAAGAAAAAAAACCTCTTGACCTAACTGTATGACCCAACCTTTAAAATGGTGGTTACTGGGAAAGCACCAACTCTGACTGTACATCCTACTTCAGAAGGGCAAAGAATTACCTATCTAAACTTCCTGGAATTTCCCACGACTCTCGTAGTTGCACAGTATTTGACAGCTTGGAAAGCACTGTTTTACAAAAAGTGTTTTATAATCCTTTAGCTTTCCTTTAAAGGTAGGTAAGATTGTTTTCATTAAATATTACATATATAATAAATTATCATATGTCATGTCATATTATTATATACATTATATAAGGAATCTGAGTCTCAGAGTACCTCAGTAATTTACCCAAGGTTATACCTCTAGTGAGTGAGAAAACCAGAGTTCAAATATTCAGTTTCAGTGTTGGTTCGTTGAATCATCCCATCAGCAAATATTGTTACCTTCTATGCTAGGCATGAGGTACACAGTGATGCATTAAGTAGACACAATTTCTCCCATGTGGAGCTGAGTGCCAAGCATTCTTTCTACTCCCCCAGCATATGCAGAGGAGAATGCTTCATTGAAGGGGGAGGAAGTAAGAAGACCCATCTGGTTCAAAAGGAAGGGTGATCCCAAGAGAAGAGACATGAGTTTCATCTCATGAACATTCTAATGGTTTTTAAGAACCATCCTTTCCTTATGAATGCTGGAGGCAGCCAAATGGCACTAGCTCTCCTGTCAGATCTTGTGAGAGCACATCCTCTCAGCACTTCCAATTAGGAGAGCGGACAGGAGGAAACCATGGTAAATATGGAAGAGGACAAAAAGAGAGATGAGAAGCCACAAACAAAAGAAGGCAGGAAGGCAGGAAAGCAGGAAGGCAGGAAGGCAGGAAGGAAGGAAAGACAACTGACAAAAAGGAGAAAGAGAATAACGAAAGAGATTATGAGTCCTATTACTGATAGACCAGTCTCGTTTCTTCCCATTAGGGGATCTGTTTTACATGGTAAACAAAAATCCTAAACTTGTATTGAGTACTCATTTTCAGGAATTGTTTCAAGTGCTTTGCATATATTAACTAATTTGATCCTTATACCAGTCCCAGGACATAGGTTGCAATATTTTCCTGTTTTTACAGATGAGGAAACAAGACGTAGGGAAGTTAAGCAACTTGTACAATTCACACAGGTAGTAAGCACTCGAGCCCAGAAATGAAGCCAGGTCTGTCTGATTCTGAGTTGGTGCTCTGAACATCTATGCTGTGCTCACATACCGCTTTTTTTTTTTTTTTTTTTTGAGATGGAGTCACTCTGTTGCCCAGGCTGGAGTGGCACAATCCCGGCTCACTGCAACCTCCGCCTCCCAGGTTCAAGTGATTCTCCTGCCTTAGCCTCCTAAGTAGCTGGGATTATAGGCATCCGCCACCAGGCCCTGCTAATTTTGTATTTTCAGTAGAGACAGGGCTTTACCATCTTAGCTAGGCTGCTCTTGAACTCCTGACCTCAGGTAATCCACCCACCTCAGCCTCCCAAAGCGCTGGGATTACAGGCATGAGCCACTGCACCCGGCACATACCGCATTGTTGATTCAAAGTTTTCATAAAGTCTCTGGGCAATTTTAACATTTAATTAAATTATAGATTGTATGTGCTCACATCTTGATAAAGCTGTAAGTGCCTTCTCTACTCTTACCTCTTCTTGTGGGCCACTGACTCTACCAGCATAGGTGTGTGATTGTGCCATTTCCCCTGAAATGAATCATTCAAGAGTAAATTCATTCATTTAAGCAGATTTGTCAACATCACTATGAAAAGATGATAACAGTTTTCCATGCCAGTTTGCACTGACTCAAAAAAGCACTGCCTATCGTTGACAGAATCAATGTCTCATCTGAGCTGGGAAAGCGGCATGGAGATTGCTTTGAAATGACATTTCCAAGAGTATTTATTTCATGTCTACAACTTGAACTATTCAGGTGTTTTTTTTAAAAAAAAAAAAGAGCTTGGAAACTTTAGAAAGGCTGAGTGTGTGCACGTGCAGGCAATGTGTGTATTTGTATCTACACTCGGGAGAGGTTCATCCGGCCACACTCATGTTTACATCTGTACCACCCTTGAAAGATGAGGGTACTACTAGAAATTCTCAGAGACAATTCCACACCTCTTGCTAACAGTGAGTTCCAGGAGCTCACAAAATTTATTGTGGAGAAGTTAAATTTTTAACTAACATTTATTCACTGTCTGTGTGCTCCAAGTATTATGCTAAGCGTTGGAAATACAATCCAAACCCAAATAGAGCCTGCAAACTAGTAGAGTATTTCTCTGCAGGCTCATCTGTGGTCCTCTGTGCCAGAGAACATTTGCCTTCACCTGAAATCTACACAGTGCAGCTGAATTTCCACCAGTCCTCAAGTATAGCCTCCCACAGCCAACCGGAAGAAAACATGACAAAACATTTCACATGATTCGCCCAGCCTCAGTCAGGCTCAGTTAGAAAGAACTAAGTTCCAGGAAGAAGGTGATTGAGAAAGGGGAGTAGCTGCAGTAAGCTCTATCATGCAGGAAGGCCTTAAACAAAATGAAAAAGGCATCAAGTAAAAGATCAATAAATTTGATTGCAACAAACTTTTAAACATTTATAATGACCAAAGACATCATTAGCGTTAATCAGCAAACTAAAAGATATCTGCCACATACATAAAAATAATTTGGGTGCATGGCTCACGCCTGTGATCCCATCACTTTGGGAGGCCAAAGGGGGAGGATCACCCGAGGTCAGGAGTTCGAGACCAGCCTGACTAACATGGTGAAACCCTGTCTCTACTAAAAATACAAAATTAGCTGGGTGTGGTGGCACATGCCTGTAATCCCAGCTACTTGGGAGGATGAGGCAGGAGAATTGCTCGAAACCAGGAGGCAGAGGTTGCAGTGAGCTGAGATCACACCACTGCACTCCAGCCTGGGCAACAAGAATGAAAACTCTGTCTCAAAAAATTTAAACAATAATAAAAATAATAATTTGTATCCAGAATATTCAAAGAATTCCTACAAATCAATAAGAAAAAGACAAAATAAAAGGAAAATGGGCAAAGGGTGTAAACAGACAATTCCCTGCATTTACAAATGATCAGTTAATATATGAAAAGATGCTCAAAATGTAAAAAAAAAATTAACCTTACTAGAAATCAAGAAAACAAGAATTGAAACAAGATAAACTCTATATTTTTAGCCCAACAAATTAAGAAAATTATGATGAATTGCAGCAACCTACTGTTAGTCAGCTGGGGTAGGAGAATCCCGGGGCATATCCTAACGAGCTGCTGATGGGAGTGTAACTTGGTAGAGCCACTTTGGAGGGCAAGGACCTAACAAATTAAAAAATGTATGTACACCATGACCCAGCATCTACAACCCAACATCCACCCTAGAAAACTACACACACGCACAAGGGAAGATTTACGTAAAATGATATTCAATGAAGCATTGTGTGTGACAGCAAACTCGAAATAACCTAAACAGCTATCAGCTAGAAATGGCCAGGTACTCTACAGCACTTACATATAACAGAATATACACAGCACTCTTAATAATACTATTTTAAATAATTCTGGGTAAAAAAATAAGTGGCAGCATTAGTACCATGTACTATTTTTACATATACACATGTAAAAATATGTATGCAAAATTTATATGTATACATAAAAAATCTATGTGTATATGTAAAAAAGGTATGTGTTATATGGTATAACATATATGTTATGTAAAACATATACATAAGCATACATATACATTTTATATAAAACTTTTTTTACAAAAAATGTTTTACAAAGAAGTATTGTTTATTTTCTATGGATAGATTCAGTAGGCATGTTTTGCATGCAAAATAATTGATAACAGTGGTTACCTCTTGGGAGAGGTGAAGGCCGTTGGAGAGAGGATCAATGAACACTTAAGTGCTTTAAAAAAATAATTATTAAGTATATTGGAATATAAAGGAAACCATATACATCCAGCTGTGTCAGGCTTTTTACCAACATGAGTTTCAACACAGGCCTCTACATAGTCTTGGCTTTTTTAGGCACTGATAATAAAGTAAATTTTTATTTGAAAATTCTTGAATAAAGGTTCTTGCTGGTCATACAGTATATTATGTTTTAATCAACAAACTTTAACAGCCCGGAATTTATTATTAGTAATAATGTGTTATATATTATATGTAATGTAATTTGCTATATATTAATATATGTTACTATTTATTATGTATTAGTAAACTGAAAAACACCAATTTGTAAGCGATGAACTTACAAAAATTTACACCTGTCTTTTGCAACCCATAAATACCTAAAAATAACAGCATCTGATAGCAACTTTCTGTGCTGATTGTAGAAATTTCTGTACTGTCTGTACTGTCATGACAACCCTAGCAAAAGCTAAGTACTAGATTAGAGTGTGTGCACAGCTGATTGTGAAGCTGCATGAGAGAGGTGCTTTATTAATCCCCAAAGCTCACTACTGTAATTTATACTGTTAAGAATAAAAACTGAAAACATAAGTGCTTTCCAACTATAAAGTTCAAGTTCAAGGATTCATTGGAAATAAGCCAGAAAGTATATTTTTATTTTAAAAATTAAAACAAACCACCCAAGGAAAATAGTATTCTTAGGTAAAGTGTTTTGTTGTTGTTTTAACTAGCAAGGAAATTCTCAATTTCTATTTCACAGGAAAGAACAATGAAGAATTTTTCCATCACACATACCCAGCCTCCGTTTTGCCTTATCCATTCTCCTGTGTTATTCATTATGAACTCCGCAACAAAATATGAAATCTCCTTATAGGTATCCACATCCGGGGCAATTTGCTGTCGTAGAAGTTTCTTGATGAGAATACCTTCAAATGCAAATATGGTTACAATTCTTCCCCAGTTAATGATGCCGTCTTCAAACTCCTTTTCCATCACTTGGTTGAATAGTGTTCTGGCAGTGTCTACGGACACAACATTAACATTGTCCAAGCATGACTTCAGATTCTTTTCCACTTCTTTTTGGACTGAGAACGCAACATTTTGTAGCACTCTGGACGTTTTGCTTGGACCTGATCCAGGTTGTGGTATCTGTAGGACGCACTGCAGATAGTCCTGAGCCAGCCTGTAAATATATCCAAATTCACAGTCTGTCATCTTCTGCCTGGTGGAGAGCAAAGTCTTGAGCTGGCTCACCTTGAAGCTGTTGAGGCAATGTGCTGAGAATGCTCACTGAGCTTGACTGAGTTATGACACATGATGATACATGGAGGCTGGTGGAATTTCTGTTTGCATCACTTTATAATATCCTTCCTCCTAGTCACTTTCGTGCGTAGGCTGTGTTTCATGTCATGTATGAAAGAGAAAGTTTAAAATGTGAAAGAGGAAAATGTTTCAGAGAAGCCACTTCCTCATCCTGTGATTAATTCAGCTTTGCAAGTCTTAAATGCAGGATGTGGAGAAATTAGAATCCTTGTAGATTGCTGGTGGGAATGTGAAATGGTACAACCCCTGTGAAAATGTTGGCAGTTTCTCAAAAAGTTAAATACAGAATTGTCAAAAGACCCAGCAATTCCATTCATAGGTATACACCCAACAGATACTCAAATACTTACATACGAATGTACATGGCAGCACTATTCACAATAGCCAAGATGTGGACACAACTCAAATGTTCATCAACAGACGAAAGGATAAATAAATTATGGAACATTATTCATCCCAAAAAAGGAATGAAGAACTGATACATGCTTCAACAGGAATGAACCTCAAAAACATTAGGCTAATAGAAAGAAGCCAAACAGAAAAGGTCATACATTATGTGATTCTATTTCTATGAAATATCCAGACAGTTAAATCCATAGGATAGAAAGCAAATTGGTGGTTGACAGGGGCTGAGAAGAGGAAGGAGTAACTGCTTAATGGGTAGAAGGTTTTCTTTTGTGTGATGAAAATGTTTTACAAGGCCGGCCGCGTTGGCTCACGCCTGTAATCCTAGCACTTTGGGAGGACAAGGCGGGCGGATTGCCTGAGCTCAGGAGTTTGAGACCAGCCTGGGCAATATGGTAAATCCCCGTCTGTACTAAAATACAAAAAATTAGCCAGGCGGGTGGCGTGTGCCTGTAATCCCAGCTACTCGGGAGGCTGAGGCAGGAGAATTGCTTGAACCCGGGAGACAGAAGTTGCAGTGAGCCAAGATCACGCCACTGCACTCCAGTCTGGGCAACAGAGCGAGACTCTGTCTCCAAAAAAAAAAAGAAAAGAAAATGTTTTGCAGCTAGATAGAGGTGGAAGTTGCACAACACTGCGAAGGTACTAAATGCCACTGAATTGTTCACTTTAAAATGGTTCTGTGAATTTCAAATTTAAGAAAAGTCTTAAACGCCATCCACGGGGTAAACCGGAGTAACGACAATTTGGAATGGAGACTACAAAACAGCCTGGGTGGCAGAGAACAGGGCCTCTCGAGGTGACTCTGGCAGTACCGCCCTTGATCATTTGTAATTGAGTAAGGATGATACCGAGAGGGAAGAAAAAAATACCCTCTTTGGGCCAGGCACGGTGGCTCACCCCTGTAATCCCAGCACTTTGGGAGGCTGAGGCGAGCGGATCACGAGATCAGAAGATCGAGACCATCCTGGCTAACACAGTGAAACCCCATCTCTACCAAAAATACAAAAAATTAGCCAGGCATGGTGGCGGGCACCTGTAGTCCCAGCTACTTGGGAGGCTGAGGCAGGAGAATCCTTTGAACCCAGGAGGCGGAGCTTGCAGTGAGCTGAGATTGTGCCACTGCACTCCAGCCTGGGCGACAGAGCGAGACTCCATCTCAAAAAAAAAAAAAAGAAAAAGAAAAAGAAAATACCTTCTTTGGTCTTCACCTTCCACCTACTCTAGAATTTCTGATAGAAAACAAAATTCTGCTTTAAGCCTGACTTAATTCACATTTTTAACTCAGGTAAACTATCCGATGTGTGGATTAGAAATTGCAGGACCAGAAAGAGCACTGGACTTACAGTCAGAGGGCCTGGACTCAGTCCCAGCCAAATCTCTCTTTCTTTACTCAGTATGTACCTTGGGTCTGTGCTTAATTTGTAAAATGAGGCAATACATGTTGACCTCAGAGGGTTGAGGTGAAGTTCAAAGAGATGACCTATGTAAAGCCTCTATCACCATGCCTGGTAAAACGTACGTGCCTAATCAAAGCTAGTTCCTCATTGTTCTTTTGTGGACTAATGAGGAATTTGGCCTCCCAATCATCTCTTTACCTATCAAGGATATAACTTCATAGGTGAAATGCAAATCTCATTTGATTTAGCTATGGCAGCAATCCTGAGAAAAGGTTTGCAGTGGATGGAAGAAAAAGGAGATAACTCATGGTCGCTGGAGAAATTGAATTCACTTTTTTTTTCCATCCACATATGGAGTGACTTTGAGTCTTTTATCCTGTCTATGACCAGCTGCAAATAGGAAAAATGATTCATATATAACCTGCATTTCTGAACTATCACCATAGGGTTAAGGAGGAAAGGAGAGGTGCTGCTTAGAATGCTCGTTAATAGCGTGGCAGCCATGAAAATGCATCTTTCAGACCTACTGTGGTGGTTTAATTGACTAAGGGCCCCAGCCGCAGTGCTTTGAATCTACCACAGCTTTGCACTGAGGCCACACATCCTACAGGCTGTTCCCAGCCAATGACTGAGCAAAGCAGGAACCTTAAGATCGGTTCCTGCAAGTCAACTTCCTTTGATAGGTAACTTTGCTTCAATGACTCCCCATGGGCTTTGCTGAAACTTCCTTCGACTGCACAGTCATGGAAGACTTCCTACCCCATCTTCCTCCTTCTGTCCTTTGCAGAGGTCAGTCCTGCATTGTAGTCTGACAGCTCTGTAGTCTCTTCTGCCTCCCTCCCTCTTTTCCCTCACAGGCATTTACCCCAGTAAATCTGTTAGACGTCTAATCCCCTCATGACATTTTCTTGGAGTATCCAGACTGATATAGGACCTGTAGAGCACAAAGGAGCATACAGATATGTTGTCAAGCCACTTCTCCAGGAATTCCCCTGGGAAAGTTCTCCCGTGCCTCCTAGACTGTGCCCGTTGGCCCACAGGAGCACAAAGCCAAGAGCAGGCTGCTGTACCTCCTTAAATCATCTTTGAGCATCATAAGAACCAGGGAAAGGATGGGAAGATTGAGTTTTCTCTCTCTCATTACATTTCCTTGGTGCTGAATATTTCTTTAAAAATAAGAGAAGCAGCCGGACCCGCTGGCTCACGCCTTTGGGAGGTCAAGGCGGGTGGATCATTTGAGGTCAGGAGTTCAAGACCATCCTGGCCAACATGGTGAAAGCCCGTCTTTACTAAAAATACAGGCAGTAGAGGCACATGCCTGTAATCCCAGCTACTTGGGAGGCTGAGACAGGAGAATCACTTGAACCCAGGAGGCAGAGGTTGCGGTGAGCTGAGATTGTGCCACTGCACTCCAGTCTGGGCAACAGAGTGAGATCCTGTCCCCTCAAAATAATAATAATAATAATAATAATAGAAGCATGTGGTTTTAAAATTGCAATCAAGCATCTTTGGCTGGGTGTGGTGGCTCACGCCTGTAATCCCAGCACTTTGGGAGGCCAAGGCAGGTGGATCACTTGAGGTCAGAAGTTTGAGACCAGCCTGGCCAACATGGTGAAACTCCATCTCTACTTATAAAAAAAAAAAAGTATAAGACCAGGCACGGTGGTTTATGCCTGTAATCCCAGCACTTTGGGAGGCCAAGGCAGGTGGATCACGAGGTCAAGAGATCGAGACCATCCTGGCCAACATGGTGAAACCCTGTCTCTACTAAAAATACAAAAATTAGCTGGGCTTGGTGGCACGCACCTGTAGTCCCAGCTCCTTGGGAGGCTGAGGCAGGACAATCGTTTGAACTCAGGAGGTGGAGGTTGCAGTGAGCTGAGATTGCACCACTGCACTCCAGCCTGGGCAACAGAGGGAGACTCTGTCTCAAAAATAAAAATAAAAATAATAATAATTAGCTAGGCATTTCATTTATTCAACAAAGATCAACTACCTGCCTTCACTGGGTCCTGGCTTGGGCAATGGGTGGAAATAGAAAAAAGATAGACCCTTGTTTTTGTTTTTTTGAGACGGAGTTTTGCTCTTGTCGCCCAGGCTGGAGTGCGATGGCGTAATCTAGGTTCACGGCAATCTCTGCTTCCCGGGTTCAAGTGATTCTCCCGCCTCAGCCTCCCAAGTAGCTGGGATTACAGGCGCCTGGGAACACTTCTGGCTAATTTTTGTATTTTTAGTAGAGATGGGGTTTTACCATGTTGGCCAGACTGGTGTCAAACTGCTGACCTCAAGTGATCCGCCTGCCTCAGCCTCCCAAAGTGCTGGGATTATAGGCATGAGTCACCACACCCAGCCTAGGGCTTTATATTTCTAATCTTCTGTATGCCAAAAGGAGTTGCTTTAAAAATTCTTACATATTGTGGGCTAGGCGCAGTGGCTTACACCTGGTAATCCCAGCACTTTGGGAGGCCAAGGCAGGCGAATCACCTTAGGTGAGGAGTTTGAGACCAGCCTGACCAGTATGGTGAAACCCTGTCTCTACTAAAACTATAAAAATTAGCCAGACATGGTGGCCGGTGACTGTAATCCCAGCTACTCAGGAGACTGAGGAAGAAGAATCACTTGAACCCAGGAGGCGGAGGTTGCAGTGAACCAAGATCATACCACTGCATTACAGCCTGTGCAACAAGAGCGAAACTCCCTCTCAAAAAAATAAATAAATAAAAATAAGAAATAAAAATTCTTACATATCATGGCCTGCTTTAGTTTCTTTTGGGGAGTTTCCAAATTATCACTTTTCAAGGATAGGTGGGAGAGAGAAAGACAAAGTTCTTTCCAAAAAAGGGAAAATTCTTTCTTTCTTTTATATGAAATGTGAAAGGACTGGTGCGGGGCGGAGTGGAGGGAAGTGTGGGTCAGAGGCAAGTAGCTGACCATGGACCAAGTGTGAAGAGATGGGGGATATCTTCTCTCAGTGCCACTACAATCTGAGTCTGCATTCGCCAGGGTCTACTGTACAGGCCTGTAAAGACCAGCTCATGGTTCCCCATCCTCTGAGCTGCTCTGTCAACGCGTGGAACTTTGTATGAAATTAGGGGTCCAGCCCAAGTACATTCTGAATGAGTCAAACAGAAGGCATATTGTCTGGAAACCGTATGTGTATCCAGTTATCCCATAAACATATACTAAACTGCTACTGTGTAACAGGGACCGTATTAGGCGCTGAAGTTAAAAATTCTTGCCTTCAAAGGATTTTCAGTCTAGGAGAACCTATACCATATTATAGGCAGTCAAAGGAACTGCATAAGAGAATAATTAAAGTAGGTCACTGCAGTGGCCCCGAATGCAGAGACCCTCCCTGGAACCCTTGCTCAGGCCCTGGAGCCAGGTTTGCAGCCTCACAGCTGGGAGTTCTGGAAAATGCACATGTGTAACACTGATCTATCACAGGTGGAAACGGCAGCCAGTTGGGGAGAGGGTGATGATGGAAGATAATTGGCGAAACCTGTTCACACTTAGCAAGTACCTAGCCGGGCGCGGTGGCTCACGCCTGTAATCCCAGCACTTTGGGAGGCTGAGGCGGGCAGATCACAAGGTCAGGACATCGAGACCATCCTGGCCAACATGGTGAAACCCCATCTCTACTAAAAATACAAAAATTAGCTGAGTGTGGTGGCGGGCACCTGTAGTCCCAGCTACTTGGGAGGCTGAGGCAGGAGAATCACTTGAACCCAGGACGCGGAGCTTGCAGAGAGCTGAGATCGTGCCACTGCACTCCAGCCTGGATGACAAGAGCAAGACTGAATCTCAAAAAACAAGCAAACAAAAAATAATAATAATTATAGTAATAAGTACCTATGGCCCAACCAAGGTTCTCTCTGTGATTGTTTTGTCCAGAAGTTCTTACTGAAGAAGCGTGAAGTCCTGGCTAGGACTGAGGAAACTACTTGTGTTTGTCATGAGAATAACAATAAGAAGAATATGAGCCATCCTAGTAATTAACAATTTCTTCTATTTGTAAGGTGCTTTGGACTTCATTCTTGTGATTCTTATCATATACATATATGTGAACTACCACCTCATGAATATTCATTGTGCTTACCTAAATTGCCATATTTATATACAAATGTTCCAGTTATCCATTGCTTTGGTAACAAACTAAGTTCTCAGAACTTAGTGGCTTAAAACAGTAATCATTTATTTTGCTCACGAACCTGAACTTTGGGCAGGACTCTTTAGGAATTATTGGTCTCTGCTCCAGAATGTCTAGGGTTTAGGTGAAGGGGGTATAGCTCAGGGGGCAGAGCATGTGACTGCAGAATGTCCGGGGTTTAGCAGGAATGATTCAAACAGCTGGGGTTCGGCTCTCCTCTGACCAGGGAATAGAAGCGATGGGCTGACAGCCTAGCCAGGTAAGTCTTGATGGGGAATAAGAGGGAAGAACCCTGAAGCCACCCTGGCTGATGAGTGGCCAGAGGAATGCAAGCTACAAGACAAGGTTTGTAACCTCAAAAAGAACTACTGAGGTCAACTTCTCCTTTCTCCAAAGTTGGCTGGGCTTTTGGCTGCTTCAGAGGAGGTGACTCAGGGGAACTCCCACCCCTGGTGTGTTCTTTAGTTTCTCGAAACTTATCATGGCTACTTCCCTATTCCAAAGCCCCGACCAGAGCAAATTATCTGTAGGGGAGAACGATCTTCAATAGTGACACGAGAGTAACACAAAGGGGAGCAGGAAAATATGCACGAGAAGCCACCTGCATGCCCTCCGGTCGTCCCCCTTGGTCCCATGGGGCCAAGCCTTGGTGGTCAGAACACACAACGAAGGAAAGTCGCCCAGACCATCAAGAAAAGCCAGAGGCCCAGGGTGACAAGGCTTCATTCAGTGGGAGCTTGGTTTCTATCTGGGGAGATGAATTTCCAGGAAATCCTACAAGCATAGGATCCATGTCAGCAGGATTTCCCCCCAATTTTCCTGCTATCTGTGGGAACAAGGCTTAAGAGGGTACTGGAAAGAGTGACTAGTTGTGAACCAAGGGAGCTGAGAGGCAGGGAGGGAAGGAAAGAAGTTTCACGAAGCCTGCCTAGTGGGGCAGAATGTTTTGACTGAGGTTGTGGAGAGCTCAAAGGAGACGGAGGAGGAAAGAGTGCGGGAAAGGAAGCAAGAGGGGAATTAGAGTTACGGATGGTCCATATAAGATGGAGTGCCTGAGTGCAACTGTCATCACGTCACTAATTTGTCCTTCCTCATCCCCTCCGGCACACCTGTGCATGCCGGTGTGTGATCAGCGCAGCCTTGCCTTACCCTCTGGGAATCTGACTTTACTATCCACTGGCCCTTCCAGTAATCAGCTCAGGATCCTCCAAAGGATTCCCGCTGCCCATGAAGGGGAGCTCAGATTCCTAAAAGGCTCTCCATGCTCTGACTCAGCCTCCCCCATCAACCCAATCTCACCCCACTCCAGTCCCCTGCCAGTGCCTGCCCTGACACTGACAGGCATTTCCTTCCCTGGCACCAGCTATGTGTTCTCACTGTTGTCTCTAACTGAAATGGCTCTTCTCTTCCATTCCCGTGTCTTTAAATCTTCTCCATCTCCGAGGTCCAGTCAAATAAAGCCTTCTCTGTTTACCCTGGCCAAGAAAAACCTCTTAGTCTGTGCCCCCAAGGAATTTGTGCCTGTGTAATAGCAGGTCTCATGGTGTATCTTATACTGCAGCCATTGTGCTGTTTTATACCCTTTGCTGGACTCCAGACTGGCAGCTCTCCTAGGAAGAGGGCTGTCTTACTTCTCTTTGATTCCCTCAGAAGGCATAGTGACTGGACTGCCATATGCTAAGCACATGATAAACGCTGACTGGATTCTATTATTATCATTGCTGGTAATGTTGAGTATTCTACAAATGGCCTGTTTCGTAATCAGGGTGATACTGTAGCTGAAGCTAAATTAGTGTTTCAGTTCATTTTTACTCCACAAAGCAAAAGCAAAATTTACTTTTCTTTCCCTAAATGACATCTGGGGGGAAGTACAAGAGAAAAACCTATTTGAATAGGACTTTTAAGTGATTCGGGCAGAAGGCCTTGGACTTTCCACTGCTCTGAATGGAACAGCAAAATATTCAACATGAACCAAAGAAGCAGAAGTACTCAGTAACAGCAAGCACAGCTGGGCCCCTGGAGGGCAATTCTCTGGGAGAGTCAAGGCCTCAGAATGCACCAAAGAGCAAAGTACAGAGAATCCACAGCCACTCACTCAGCCCATTGCTCAGCCAACTTCACTGAGCACCAACTGCATGCAAGACCCTGCACTGGGCTCCAGGAATACATACACGGGGAAGTTGTTTTGTTCACAGGGCAATAGGGGTGCCACACGTACTGCCAGAAAATTCACCTGCAGAAGGTTAAGTGCCACAATACAAAATGACATGAAGTTCATCCTAGAGGAGTAAGAGAGGCCTTGCAAAGTAGGCTGACATACAAGCTGGCTCTTATGGGACCAATAGAATGCCACTGTGCAGACAGCACAGAATTGGTAAATGTGCAGGTGTGAATCATGAATTATGCTTCTAATGAAGCTGAAATGTAGAATCTGGGGCTGTGGATAAGTTGTAAAAGGAGAGCAGAAATCCAGTTGTAGCGGCCTTGTGTACTGGGTCAGAAGTTCAGAATTGACTTTGAAAAGTAACAGGGGCTGGGCACGGTGACTCAACACCTGTAATCCCAGCACTTTGGGAGGCCAAGGCGGGTGGATCATGAGGTCAGGAGATCGAGGCCATCCTGGCTAACACAGTGAAACCCCGTCTCTACTAAAAATACAAAAAAATTAGTAGGGCGTGGTGGTGGGCGCTTATAATACCAGCTGCTTGGGAGGCTGAGGCAGGAGAATGGCATGAACCCAAGAGGTGAAGGTTGCAGTGAGCCAAGATCCCACTATTGCATTCCAGCCTGGGTAACGAGCAAAACTCCGTCTCAAAAAAAAAAGAAAGAAAAGAAAAGAAAAAAGAAAAATAAAAGGAACAGGAACTTTTGAAAGGTTTTAAGCAAGAGAGTACCATGGTTAGATCTGCATTTTAGGAAGGTTATTTGGACAATCGTATTTCTTTCTTTCTTTTTTTTTTTTTTTTTTTGAGACGGAGTCTCACTCTGTCGCCCAGGCTGGAGTGCAATGGCACGATCTCAGCTCACTGCAACCTCCTCTGCCTCCTGGGTTCAAGCAATTCCCGTGCCTCAGCCTCCTGAGTAGCTGGGACTACAGGCACACACCACCAAGCCCCGATAATTTTTGTATTTTTAGTAGAGACAAGATTTCGCCATGTTGTCCAGGCTGGTCTTGAACCCCTGACCTCAAGTGATCTGCCCTCCTCTGCCTCCCAAAGTGCTAGGATTACAGGCGGGAGACAGCACGCCCAGCCTAGACAGTCCTATTTCTAATGGACTTGTTTCTGGGGAAATTGGAATCAGGAATAGCAGAGATTATTTTGTAAAATCAACTTTATCGAGGTGTAATTTCCAAAAATAAAATCCACTCTCTTTAAATGTACACTCTGATGAGTTTGGGGGAAGGCAGTATTTGGGTTTTTGTTTTGTTTTGTAGAGGCAGGGCTTTGCCATGTTGCCCAGGCTGGTATCGAACTCCTGAACTGAAGGGATCCGCCCACCTCGGCCTCCCAAAGTACTGGGATTACAGGTGTGAGCCACTGCATCTGACCAGTGACTTTGATAAGTTTTGACGATTGTAAATACAAATGTAAACATCCCTACCACAATATAACACAATATAAAACATTCCTACCGCCCCAAAATGTGCCCTTATGCCCTTATGCTCCTTTGTAGTCAATTTTTTTTTTTTTTTTTTTTTTGAGACAGAGTCTTGCTCTGTCTCCTAGGCTGGAGTACAGTGGTGAAATCTCAGCTCACTGCAACCTCCACCTCCCGGGTTCAATCCTGCCTCAGCCCCCCTGCCAAGTAGAGTAATGGGGATTACAAATGTATGCCCCCATACCCGGCTAATTTTTGTATTTTTAGTACAGACAGGGTTTCACCATGTTGGCTAGGCTGGTCTTGAACTCTGGACCTCAGATGATCCACCCACCTCGGCCTCCCAAAGTGCTGGGATTACAGGCGTGGGCCACCACGCCCAGCCTTGTAGTCAATTTCTTACCACCCTTGGCCAGAAGCAACCATTGATCTGCTTGCCATCACAATAGATTCATTTTTCCTATCCTAGAATTTCATATAAATTGGCCAGGCATGGTGGCTCATTCCTGTAATCCCAGCACTTTGGGAGGCTGAGGCGGGTGGATTTCTTGGGGTCAGGAGTTCAAGACCAGCCTGTCCAACACGGTGAAACCCGTCTCTACTAAAACTACAAAAATTAGCTGTGCACAGTGGCGCACGTCTGTAATCCCAGCTACTTGGGAGGCTGAGGCAGGAGAATCCCTGGAACCAGGAGGCAGAGGTTGCAGTAAGCTGAGACTGTGCCCACTGCACTCCAGTCTGGGTGACAGAGCGAGAGTCTGTCTCAAAAAAAAAAAAAAAATTTTCATATAAGATCAACCAGTATGTACTCTTTTTATGTCTAGCTTCTTTCACTTAGCATGATGATTTTGAGATTCACTGGTGTTATTCAATACATCAGTAGCCTGTTCTTTAAAACTGAGTGAAATATTCCATTGTGTGAATATACCACTATTTATTTATCCATTTTCCTGTTGATGAACATTTGGGTTGCTTACAACTTTGGCTATTATGAATAAACTGTCTGTAAACATTCACATATAGATGTTTTATTTACACAACTACTCAATGTTGTAATTATGTCACAAGTATCAGTTGACTGTTGCTACAATAATGCTGCATAATAAACTTCCCCAAAACTCAGCGCCATACACCAATAATCATTCAGTATCATGCCCACCAGTTTGCAGGATTGGCTGGGGCAATTCTGTTTTGAGCTGCAGAGCTACGGGTTAGCTGGGCTGGCTCTGCTCCCTCTGGCTCTCGTCCTGTGGGACCAGTGGCCTCCATGGGATGTACTTTTCTAACCGAGGTGGCAGAGGCACAAGCAACCCCAACCACAGAAACTCATTTCAGGCCTCTGCTTGAGCTGCATCTGTTAACACACACCTTAACAAAGCAAATCACATGGCCAGTCCTCTAGTGAGAGGGCAGTGAATATTTGCTGAATAATCCAAACTATTACACGAGCTATAAAGGAAGTCCCTTCCTTGGTAAAGAAAAATTGATCTTTACTGATCTGCTATTATAATGGACATCTATTGCACGCTTCCCTTCTTTTTAGAAACAGCACTTCCCTTTTTACTGAGAAATTTTCCACTCACCAACTCTAATCATAAGGTTTCAATTATAGGTATCAGATTTACCGCAAAACCCTTCAACTCCCAGGTTATAGTATCTAACCACACCAGAGGCCAATTAGAGCCCCCCCCCCACTCAAGCTTTTAATTTTAATAACACAGCAATAATAATTCCATTTCCTCCAGCACGCACGTTCTGGATATGAGGCCCAACAGCTTTAGTGGTTGTGTTTCTGACTTTGGGAAGGAAGTTGGTAAACATAAATGAATTTCATGTGCTGAAAGAGAAGAGATGGCAGATGGGGAGGGTGTCCTAGTGGCCTTCAGGTTCTTTTTTTTGAATTGTTCCATCCTGTATTTAGGTAGAAAAACATCTCAGAGTCCTTCCAATAAATTCTTTTTGTCGTCTCTAACTACAGGGCTTCCAACAAGTATATTTCCCCAATACAGTACCATTGGGAGAATCTGCTTTGGCTCTACTGAGAAAATTGAATGAGGGTCAGGATAAAAGACTTCCAGAAAGAAGGCGGGGTGCGGTGGCTCAGGCCTGTAATCCCAGCACTTTAGGAGGCCGAGGCAGGCGGATCACGAGGTCAGGAGTTCGAGACCAGCCTGACCAACATGATGAAACCCGTCTCTACTAAAAATTCAAAAATTAGCCAGGCGTAGTGGCACATGCCTATAGTCCTAGCAAATCAGGAGGCTGAGGCAGGAGAATCGCTTGAACCTGGGAGGCGGAAGTTGCAGTGAGCCGAGATTGTGCCACTACACTCCAGCCTGGGCGACAGAGTGAGACTCCGTCTCACAAAAAAAGACTTCTGAGAAAGAAACACTGATCACAGTGGACGGGAGTGAACAGCTGCAATGGTGATTTAGATGTATAGTGAGCCTCAGGTGTTTCTCCCTGCACCACTTCCCCACTTTTGTGGTTGATAGAACTGCACTTTCCTGGAGGGACAATCCCAGCATTTTGGGAGGCCAAGAGATTGAGACCATCCTGGCGAATGTGGTGAAACCCCGTCTCTACCAAAAATACAAAAATTAGCTGGGCGTGGTGGCACATGCCTGTAGTCTCAGCTACTTGGAAGGCTGAGGCAGGAGAATAGCTTGAATCCAGGAGGCGGAGGTTGCAATGAGCTGAGAATCGTGCCACTGCACTCCAGCTTGGAGACAGAGAGAAATTCCGTCTAAAAAAAAAAAAAAAAAAAACCTCTGGACTCTCTCTTTGACTCCTATCAATGTAGATGTGGCAGGTGTTAAGTGGTGTGGCTCGGAACATGCAGAATTCTAGTGTTTCTTCTTCTCTGCTGATCAGTATCTCCATCATGTCTTTCCTCCAAAACTCTAGACACATATGTCCAACTACCCACCTTACCTCTCTCCTGAAATATCTAATAGTTATCTCAAGCTTAGCATGTCTAAACTCAACTTCTGATTTCCCACTTGCCTTCTAACCTACACCTCCTATGGTGTTCCTCAACTTAGGAAAGGCATCACCATCCACTCCCCTCAAAACACTCAGAACACTTGTGTGTCTTCTCTATTTATCTCATACCCCATATCCAATCTATCAGCATGTCCTAACAACCCTACCTTCAGAATATGTCTCAATCTGACCACTCCTGCCACTTCCACTCCTACCAATCCTACTCCAAACCACCATCATCTCTTATCTGAAATATGCGATGGTCCCCCAACTGATGTCTCTGCCTCCATTCCTGCCCTACAATCTGGGCTTCCCAGGACCACCAGTTCCCTTCATTCCCTGTAAACATACACCCATCCCCCATCCGTCATGCCAACATTCCCTCTGCCCACAACCTGCTTGCCACTGTCACCCAACCACTTGCAGTAGCAGGCCAACTCTTTCCCTTGAAGAAGCTCAGCCTGGCAGATAAGGACTGAGAGCAAGAGGAAGATCTTCCAGGAGTTTTCAGAGTCCACTAAATCTAAAGAACCTGCCACCTGCATGAAACATGAACTGCATGGAAGACGAGCGAAAACTGCAGCTGTGCTCCATGTTTCCAATTGAATACCATGACATTTGGCAGGTGTACCAGAAAGCCAAGGTTTCCTATTAGACAATTGAGGAGGTAGATTTCTCCCAGGACATTGAGCACTGGAAGCCCTGAAGCTTGTGGAGAGAGATTTTATATCACAGGCTCTGGCTTCATGGCAGTAAGTGATGGAGCTGGACTTGGTGAGCTGATTTAGTAAAACAGGACACGTTACAGAAGCACAGTGTTTCTAAGGTTTCCCAGGTAATGCGGACAACGTGTATGCTGAAATGTAGAATCCCTTTTTTTTTTCAGACAGAGCCTTGCTCTGTTGCCCAGGCTGGAGTGCAGTGACGTAATCATGGCTTACTGCACCCTCAAACTCCCGGGTTCAAGCGATCTTCCCGCCTAAGCCTCCCGAGCAGCTGGGACTACAGATGTGCACCACCATGCCTGGCTAATTTTTTTTATTTTTATTTTTAGAGATGGGGTTTCCTTATGTTCCCCAGGCTGGTCTTGAACTCCTGGCCTCAAGCAATTTGTTCACCTCCAACTCCCGAAGTGCTAGAATGACAGGCTTGAGCCATGCTTCTGGCCTGAAGGGTAGAGGTTCTTTGTTAATATTTACACAAAAGATTCCAAAAAGGAGGCCTCTCTCTTCAATGCCATCGAAATAATGCCCTGTGTAAAGAAGAAGGCAGAGAAGCTGCTCATGGAGAATGGCTCTTTCAGCAGTAGAGGAGACCTCTTTTGGTGGTTTTGCATAGACATTCTGTCTCAAGAAATGAGGATAAAGACCTGGGATCATAGTAGCCAACGAAATTACTAGCAGAGGCCAGGCGAGGTGGCTCATGCCTGTAATCCTAGCACTTTGGGAGGCCAAGGCAGGCAGATCACCTGAGGTCAGGAGTTCAAGACCAGCCTGGCCAACATGGTGAAATCTCATCTCTACTAAAAATAAAAATATTAGCCAGGCGTGATGGTGGGTGCCTGTAATCCCAGCTACTCAGGAGGCTGAGGCAGGAGAATGACTTGAACCCAGGAGGCAGGGGTTGCAGTGAGCCGAGATCACGCCACCGCACTCCAGCCTGGGTGACAGAGAGAGACCCCATTTCAAAAAAGAAAGAAATTACTAGCAGAGATGAAGTTGACACTGTGACTTTACCTGTCTCATATTTGAACACCTGTTATACAAACCTTCAGAGTGAAAACTAAATGAAATAATGATCAGTGCTATTAGGCATTGAACAAAAGCTCCTGAGGCCTGCTGTGAGGCTTATTAGAATGAACTGCACTTTAATGAGTCAGCATATGGAATTCGTAGCAAATAGACATGATGGAACTGGGTTTTAGCAAAGATTTGGAGTAGAAAAGCCATTTGACGTGTTTTGTGATAAAATATACAAAGCACATAATTTACTACTTAAGCCATTTTTAAGTGTACAGGTCAATGGCATTAAGTACATTAATGTTGTTTTGCAACAATAACCACCATTTATCTCTAGAACATTTTCTTCATCCCAAACAGAAATTCTGTACTTTTTTTTTGTTGAGATGGAGTCTCACTCTGTTGCACAAGCTGGAGTGTGGTGGCACGATCTCGGCTCACCACGACCTCTGCCTCCCAGGTTCAAGCGATTCTCCTGCCTCAGCCTCCTGAGTAGCTGGGATTACAAGCATGCGCCACCATGCCCAGCTAATTTTGTATTTTTAGTAGACAGGGGGTTTCTCCATGTTGGTCAGGCTGGTCTCGAACTCCCCACCTCAGGTGATCCACCTGCCTCGGCCTCCCAAAGTGCTGGGATTACAGGTGTGAGCCACCACGCCCGGCCAGAAATTCTGTACTCTTTAAACAATAATTCCCCATTCTCACCCCCAGCCCCTGGTAACCACTATGTAAACAAGAAGGCAGAGAAGCTGCTCATGGAGAACGGCTCTTTCAGCAGTGGAGGAGACTTCTCCTCATAAAGACTTTACGTCTTTAATAATTTGACTATCCTTGATACCTCATGTAAGTGGAATAATACAATATTTGTCATTTTTATGTCTGGCTTATTTCACTTAGCATAATGTGTTCAAGTTTCATTCATGTTGTAACATGTGTCAGAACTGTATTCCTGGCCAGGTGTGGTGGCTCACACCTATAATCCCACCCTGGTAATTGGGAGGCCAAGGCGGGTGGATCATTTGAGGTCAGGAGTTTGAAACCAGCCCGGCCAACATGGTGAAACCTCGTCTCTAGTAAAAATACAAAAATGTGGCCCGGTCTGGTTGCTCACACCTGTAATCTCAGCACTTTGGGAGGTCTAGGCAGGCCGATCACTTGAGGTCAGGAGTTCCAGACCAGCCTGGCCGACATGGTGAAATCCCATCTCTACTGAAAATATAAAAAAATAGCTGGGCATGGTGGCAGGCACCTGTAATCCCAGCTACTTGGGAGGCTGAGGCAGGAGAATCACTTGAACCCAAGAGGCGGAGGTTACAGTGAGCTGAGATTGTGCCATTGCACTCCAGTCTGGGCAACAAGAACGAAACTCCGTCTCAAAAAAATAAAAATAAAAATAAAAATAAAAATACAAAAATTAGCCGGGCGTGGTGGCACACCCCTGTAATCCCAGCTACTTGGGAAGCTGAGGCAGGAGAATCCCTTGAACCCAGGAGGCGGAGGTTGCACTGCACTCCAGCCTTCGTGACAGAGCATGACTCCATCTCAAAAAATAAATAAATAGGCAGGGCTCAGTGGCTCATGCGTATAATTGCAGCACTTTGGGAGGCCGAGGAGGCAGATCATGAGGTCAGGAGATTGAGACATCCTGGCCAACATGGTGAAACCCCATCTCTAGTAAAATACAAAAATTAGCTGGGCATGGTGGTGTGCGCCTGTAGTCCCAGCTACTCAGGAGGCTGAGGCAGGAGAATCACTTGAACCTGGGAGGCGGAGGTTGCAGTGAGCTGAGATCACGCCACTACACTTCAGCCTGGCAACAGAGTGAGACTCAGTCTCAATAAAATAAAATAAAATAAAATAAAATAATAAAATAAAATAAAAATAAATAAATTAATTCTAGCAAATTGGAAGATGTCAGTTTTGTAACTTCAAAGGTAACTTTAAAGTCTACTTGTTAAATAGACCTTAATAAGTCTATTTAATAGTCCATAAGTTTGTAGCACATTTTATATGTGTGTTAGTGTATATACATACATATATATACACACACACACACACACCTTGATAGCCTTTATTGTTCAAAATCCTCTACGGTTTCCTTTAGCACTGGAACAAGAATCCACGCTCTAATATGCCTGGAAGAGCCCATGCTATCTGGCCCTGACTCCTTCTACTTTATTCTTCCCTCCCTTCCCGTTGCTCACCTGACTCCAACCACGCCATTCGTCTTGCAGTTCCCAGCACACCCCATGCACACCCTGCCCCTCAGCACCTTTGTACTCACAGCCCTCTGCTGCCTGGAGTGATCTCCTTCTGATATCCGCATGAGTTTTCCCTTCACCTTATCTTCTTCATAGTGCTTACTGCCACCTGACAATAGATGATTTATTTGTTTGCATCAGCTTCTGTCTCTCCCACTAGAACGTAAGCTCCCTGAGGAAAGAGGCCTTTCTTTGTTCACCACAGTAAACTCAGTGCCTCGAATATAGTATTTGTTGAATGAAAAACAGATGGGTGGAAAAAGACTGAGACATGGAGAGTGATAGGACCCTAATGCTATTGTTTGAGACCCTTAATCCAGCCATATCTGCACCAGACACACTGCCAAATGTTTCAGTTATCTCAACCAATAAAGTCTTTTTTGCTTAATTCAGAGTGTAGCCAGCTATTGCTGTGATAATGCTTTGTAACAAACAATTCCCAAATCTCAGTAGCCTACAGATACAAACATGGTTTTTTTTTGTTTTTGTTTTTGTTTTAACTTGCAAGGTCTGTGAACTGGTTGGCGTGACATTGTTTTAGGCTATGGGTCAAGTTCTAGTCTGCAACGTATGTCTGTCATACTGGGTCCAGCAGCTACACTGGGCATGCTTTTCTCGCAGCAGATAGCAGCAAAGAACCCAAACAGAACTACCTGAGCACACACAGACCTCTGCTCATGTTACCTCTGCTCACACTCCCAATGCCAGTGGGGCCAGGAAATAGCTACTCTAGTGGGAAGTACTATAAAGTTATATGGGGAAAAAAAGGCATGGATTTATAATTTCAGTGCAGGGAAGAAGTGAAGAATCAGCAACAATAATTCAATTGATCACATTCAGTAAGCACCTGTTGCTTAAAAGTGAAAAAGTCCTGACTGATGCAAATCTACTGCATTAGGGCTAAAGCTGCAGTGGAGAAGTCGGACTAAGAGACATGGGCGATAGAGGTCACAGGTAGAGAGAAGGTGGGTAGAGAAGGTCATGTGAGTGAGAAAAGGCTACAAGGGACCTGATCAGGAGAAGACAGACATAAGGGCAGCAGTCCTGAGCACATATTCATGTGGCAGTGGAGGTGCAGACTCTGCATTCAGCACTCTGGAGCCAGCTGGCAGAGAGTGGAAAGAGCCAGAGAGAACTGGACTCTGACCCAGCTTGGTCACTGTAACTCTGTGGTACTGGAGAAGTTTCCTAACCTCTCTGAGCCTCAGTGGCTTCATCTGTAAACTGGGATGAATAGTAGCAATAGTAGGTTTTGAAAGTCATTTTTCTTAAAAAATGCCATTAAAGGACCTAGTACAGGACTTTGGCCCACAGTAAGCCCTCATAGCGCTCCTATACTCCCCAGTTCTTGCCTAAGGGCAGAATGGAAAGTAGCAGCCTCCCCCTTGCTGACTGTACTGATGTTCCAAGACCCTTTGAAAGTTATGTGTCTGGGACTTAGTGCTAAAGAACTGGCCACCCCTGCCACTCAGATGCTGCTCGGCCAGGCAGTGAAGGAAAGATTCACTCCCCATCAAGCATGTAGCCCTTCATGCCCAAAGGCTTCTGGAATACTCTGACCCTCCCTCCCCCAGCTCTGCATCACCTTCAGCTACATCAGGGAAGATATTCCTGCTTGGTAGGGAACCTTGAGTCCAAAGTCACAATGGCATCCCAATGCCTGGATCTTACCAAAGAGACCGGATTTCCACCCTTCACAAAACCACTGTCTTTGTGGTTTTTCCTCTTTGGGGTAAAACTGCAAGAGATGCTTGGGGTCTCAAAGCTACTGGATCCCAGAAGCAGGCAGCCCAGCTCTGGAGCACTCCACCTTTCATCAGGGACACAGCCAAACCAAGAGAAGGACGCTGGGCTGGAAAACACATTCTGAGACCTTGGTGCTAGTCCTGGATCAGCCACTGGCTTAAATCCCTTTGCTTCCTGAATTTCCTATTGGGTTTACAAAGATAACATGTACCATTCATAGATGTCGTGAGGATAAAACGTTCTAATCAAAACGAAGGTGTTTTGCAAACTCCTAAGCTCTGTGTCCATGTGAGCTCCTCATGATGCTCCGTGACTTTTGAACAGGAAACTGTCTCAAGTGTTCTTGCAACACTCTCTCTCCTTCATAATAGATTTTGCTGCAACCTTCAGTGGCTTCTCATTGCCTGAAGCTGGACGAGTCAGCCACTGGGAGGTCTAGGCTTGGTCTCTAGCCCAGGCTCAGCCTCAGCCTTCCAGTGTGCATCTTCCTCTCTGGGTTTCAGTTTTCCTACCTGTAACCTAAGTTGGACTAGAACATTTCCAAGTTCCTCCCAGCCCTGTAAATTCTATCTTTGATACTTATCTTAGATCTTTACAAGGGCTTAGCAGTCTCCTAAAATAAGGGAAGAGAGTTGCTTCTACTCTAGCAAAAAAAAAGTTGGGGACAGATGAAGGAAGAATGGGTGAAATGTTGGAAATTTGTGAAGCTGAGTGAGAAGCAGGTGGGGGTTCATTATGCTACTTTCACCATTTTGTGTAACTTAAAAATTTTCCCTGATAAAAAAAGTTTTTATAAAATAGAAGTTCCATTGAATTTGAGTGTCTTTACAGCCTTTGTTTTCTGGTACCCTTGGGAGGCATCCATCCCGTTTAATAAAAGGTACCTTCCACAGGAAACTCCCTTCCTTTGTCATCTTTGGTATCCCCATCTCCATCTTCCACAACAGACAGTTTGAACAGCCGCACCACTCCAGCATCAGGACAGTTTGGGGGGGTTTCCAGAATCTTCTATTCCCACTTCCCATTTCTCAAATCATTTGACCTGTCGTACGTACAAAGTAAAAAGTCCTAGACAAGAGACAGGAGAGGATTTAAATTCTTGGCCAAGCTGGGGACATTAAGGAGGCCTCCAGGGCAAAGCCTCTATGCCTACAGCTGAGTCTTCATTGTGGATCTTAGTCCAGGTACAGAGGAATTAATGGTCAGAGGTGGTTTCTCCCTGGTTCATTACATGCCTTGTGTTTGGTAGCATTTTGAACGCATGGGGGAAGCGGTAGGGCTCAGTGCAGTGGTTTGGAGACCCCATGGCCTGTGCACAAAGCATCTCCTCATGTCTCAATTGCCCCTCACTGGTGAACTGTTCATAGTGCAGGGCCCCTGCTCAGGAGGTCTTCTCTTAACCTGAGGCAAGGTGGGTGACTCCCGTGGTCCCACCTAGATGGGCTGGCCATCCTAAGGAAAGGTAGCGATCATTCCAGGCCTAGGTACACCCTCTCAGTGGAGATGCCGGAACTACTTCCCACAATGACACAGGCGCTGTCAGGACGACAGACTCAGACTAAGTCCAAACCAAGGGAGGGCAATCCCAGCCCACCTGTCCTTTCTGTCTTGGTTCCCTCTCTGCCAGCCAAGCCCAAGTGGCCAGTCCCAGCTGCTGGCTCCTGCCCATAACAGGGCATCATGTGTCTGCCCTGAGGGGCTGCACTTTTCTCCACAGCCAGGCAAGTCTGCCCTGGAAAGTTGCCTTTTTTTTTTTTTTTTTTCCGGAGACGGAGTCTCGTTCTGTCACCCAGGCTGGAGTGCAGTGGCACGATCTCGGCTCACTGCAACCTCTGCCTCCTAGGTTCAAGTGATTCTCATGCCTCAGCCGCCTGAGTAGCTGGGATTTACAGATGTGTGCCATGGATGCCCGGCTAATTTTTGTATTTTTAGTAGGGACAGGTTTTCGCCATGTTGGCCAGGCTGGTCTCAAACTCCTGAACTTAGGTGATCTGCCTGCCTCGGCCTCCCAAAGTGCTGAGTTTACAGGGGTGAGTCGCCACACCAGGCCTGGAAAGTTGCTGTTCAAACCACTCTGCAGGCCGGGCGTGGTGGCTCACGCCTGTAATCCCAGCACTTTGGGTGGCCGAGGCGGGTGGATCACTTGAGGTCAGGAGTTCAAGACCAGTCTGGTCAACATGGTGAAACCTTGTCTCTACTAAAAATACAAAAAATTAGCTGGGCGTGGTGGCATGTGCCTGTAATCCTAGCTGCTGGGGAGGCTGAGGCAGGAGAATCACTTGAACCCGGGAGGCGGAGGTTGCAGTGAGCCGAGATCGTGCCACTGCACTCCAGCCTGGGGGACAGAGTGAGACTACGTCTCAAAAAACAAAACAAAACAAAACGAAACAAAGCAAAACAAAAAAACCACTCTTCAGTTGGCACATGCAGGCAGACAAGCCTCTGGAGTCAATGATGGCAAAAGTAACTGTTCAGGTTTTATCAGATTTTCCCTGTTGTGTGTTTTAAGCAAAAAATGCCGAAGAATCTTTATCTGAATAGCTCAGGTTTTTCTGTGGTCCAGTAAGAGGACATTGGGTGGGGAAGTAGGGGGAATGTACCCATATAAACTGGATGCATTCATTATGTTTTCATTGATTATTTATTGAACTCCTGCTATGTACCTAGCACTGAGCTGGGTGCTGAAGATGAAGAAAAATCAGACAAGTCCTGCCCTCAAAGAGTTCCCCAGACTAGACTAAGTAGCAATAAGACATAAACAGAAAAAGCTATCATAAAATAAAATAGAAAGCAATGAGTGTAAAAGGATTATGGTAAGGTGACGTAAGAATTTTTCTTTTTTTTTTTTTTTTAGACAAAGTCTCACTCTGTTGCCCAGGCTGGAGTGCAGTGGCATGATCTCGGCTCACTGCAACCTCTGCCTCCCAGGTTCAAGCGATTCTCAGCCTCCTGAGTAGTTGGGACTACTGGTGCGCACCACCATGCCCAGCTAATTTTTTGTATTTTTTGTCTTCAGTAGAGACAGGGTTTCACCATATCGTCCAGGCTGGTCTCTAACTTCTGACCTCGTGATCCACCCGCCTCGGCCTCCCAAAGTGCTGGGATTACAGTCATGAACCACCGCACCCAGCCGTAAGGATTTTTAAAAGGGAAAAAAAATGAATATTTACTGAACATCTAGCATGTGCCAGGATCGCACTGAGAATTCTACAAACCTCATCTCATTTAAAGTTTGTAAAAGGACTTATTAACTGTTTCACGGAGGAGGAACCCAAGACCCAGAACTTGACAGGTCACACAGCTAGTAAGTAGCAGAGCCAGGATTAAAACCCAGGGCCATCTGACTCCAAAATACATAGATTAAATGCTACTTGTAAATTTTTCTGCTAGGCATGGTGGCTAACGCCTGTAATCCCAACATTTTGGGAGGCCAAAGCAGGAGGATCATGTAAGGCCAGGAGGTCGAGATTGCGGTGAGCTATAATCACACCACTGCACCCCAGCCTGGGTGACGGAGTGGAACTTTGTCTTTAAAGACAAAGTTGTCTTTAAAGAAAAGTTTTTTTTGCCTGGGCGCGGTGGCTCACGCTTGTAATCCCAGCATTTTGGGAGGCCGAGGCGGGCGGATCACGAGGTCAGGAGATCGAGACCATCCTACATGGTGAAACCCCGTCTCTACTAAAACACAAAAAATTAGCCGGGTGCGGTGGCGGGCGCCTGTAGTCCCAGCTACTCAGGAGGCTGAGGCAGGAGAATGGCGTGAACCCAGGAGGCGGAGCTTGCAGTAAACCGAGATCGCGCCACTGCACTCCAGCCTGGGCGATAAAGCGAGACTCCGTCTCAAAAAAAAAAAAGAAGTTTTTTTTTGTTTTTCTTAAATTCACATATAATGAATGATAAATGCAACCACTTGATAGCTCTATTCAGCATAACAAACAATTGGGTATCAATCTCATCTCTAACTCTGGGTTATTGGGGCTTCTGCCGTTGCTGGGCTTGGCAGACTATCACGTAGGAAAATGTCCCAAGACTATCTCAACAGGCCGCCGCAGGGCGCCATCTCGTGTTCTCAAATGGAACTGCAGCGGAGGAACCTTTGTAGTCCTGAGCCCCTTCCTCTCTCTCTACTTAATATCAAACTGCAAAGTGCTGCAGGCACCATTACCAAAGGCTTAGCCTGAATTGAGAAAACCAGAGACCTCTGGCAACTCTGTATGGGAAAACACCTGCAAATCAGAGTTGCTGTTCTGCTGTGTTTGCAACAAACGTCCTTCATAATACAAGGAGTTCCTTGTCTGTGACAGACCTTTGCTAAGACACTGGAGATTTGAGAGGGAAGATGTGGCCCTTGAGTTGCTCACAGTCTAGTGAGGGAACAGCCAAATGCATGAAAATCATAACTGCATGTGCCAAGTGCTCTGATAGAGAGGAACACAGAGTGAATTGGAAAGCCTCCCGGATGAGATTACCATGGAGCTGAAGCTTTGGCATGTGTAGGAGTCTGTCAGACTGAGAAGAGGTTAAAGATAGATGATCCAGGCTGAAGGATGGGATAGAAAAGTGAACAGAAGCTGGGGCAGAACTGCAAGTGTTTCAATTTCAGCAAAGTCCAGTTAACAACCAGTGGAGGAAAGGCCACAGGTGGCCAGGGGCCAGGTCATAAAGGATCTTCAAGTGATGTTAAGAAGAATAGACCTTCTCCTGCAGGCTATGGGGCTTGGAGCAAGTCACTGACTCAGTTAGATCTGAATTTTATTTTATTATTATTATTATTATTATTATTATTATTATTATTATTATTGAGATGGAGTTTCGCTCTTGTTGCCCAGGCTGGAGTGCAGCGGCATGATCTGGGCTCACTGCAACCTCTGCCTCTTGGGTTCAAGCCATTGTCCTACCTCAGCCTCCCGAGTAGCTGGGATTACAGGCGCCTGCCACCATGCCTGGCTAATATTTTTTGTATTTTTAGTACAGAGGGGGGTTTCGCCATGATGGCCAGTCTGTTCTCGAACTCCTGACCTCAGGTGATCCACCCGCCTCGGCCTCCCAAAGTGCTGGGGATTACAGGTGTGAGCCACTGTACCTGGCCTAGATCTGCATTTTAGAAAGAATAATCTAGTAACAGAGGAGAGTCTGGAAGGGAGAGGACCAGAAACCAGGAACCTGGTTCAGATGCTTTCGTAATTTGGTAATCCCCTTTGTAACTAGAGAAGACATACTTGAGACCCAAATTAAGGTCAAGATCATCAGGGTGGAGACAAAAAGACAGATCTGAGAGGCATTAAGGAAGCAAAACCACAGTGACCGATGACTTGGGAATGAGGAAACTGGAGGAGTTGAGTAAGTAAAGGATACACTCCTGAGGGCAGGTTTGATGGAGAGGATAAGATCCGCTTAGGACATGTGGAGTTGGTATTGAAGGAACAAAGGAGGCAGTTCAGTGGGTCTGGAGCTTTGGAGAGATGTTTCAGCCAGAGACTGGGAGTCATTCACATATTTATAGCTCTGAAGTCTTCGAAGAAATTGAAATCACCCATGAAAAGCGGGTCGTGTGGGACGAGAAGAAAAAGCATAGGATAGTACCTGGGGGACCTTGGATGTTGTTTTCAAGCTTCTAGAAAAGGAGCCTGTACAAGATCAAGAAGGTGGCCCAAAGTGGTAGGAATGAAAAACAGGCACATATGGAATATATACTTCTGAGAGTACCGAAGATTTTCCAAAGGGTATCCAGGAATGGAACTTTAAGAGAATCTTCAATTTCGTGTGTTCTCTTTTCTAAGCCAGATTGCTTGCCAATGAACCAATATTTGAAGGATTGTGCTGTGGGTTTTCTTTCCTACTTCCTATTCCACAATCCTAGTCTGCCACTGTGGTGCATTTTTCCCCAGGGTATGAAAATCTAGGGTGCCAGAGCAAAGGGACAGCTCAAAGTTTTAGTGTAGACAGTGACAGCATCACTAGGAACCAATCAAATATCAGCTGATACACTGTTAAAAGCAATTCTGATGATAGATTATTATGTGATTTTGGGAGGAGATTTCTAATTGAATGACATTTATATAACAAATCTTTCCTTCCTATCTACTTATTTTGTTTTAAAAAAATTTCTCAGTGCTTATGGTCATAAAAAAAATAAACAAAAACAGAAAAAAGAAAAAGTGATGCTGACCCCTAGCAAAAAGAAATAGTCACTCATGGATATATAAACAAATAGATAACATAATTTTTTAAGTCCTATCTGTCTCATTAAGAGATGCATCCCCAGCCGGGTGTGGTGGGTCACGCCTGTAATCCTAGCACTTTGGGAGGCCGAGGCGGGTGGATCACCTGAGGTCAGGAGTTTGAGACCAGCCAGGCCAACCCGGTGAAACCCCATCTCTACTAAAAATACAAAAATTAGCCTGGTGTGGTAATGTGGATGCATCATCCCCAACAAAAGTATACACTTTCATATTAAGATTTATAAGATACTTGTTATTTTGAATACTAATAATTATTACAATGATAACTGCATCCAAAAGAAATTGCTCTTCATCTGACCCTTTTCCATTTAGTCCTGCTGTGAAAATCTTTGTCCCGGCCCCTGCCCCATGTCACTCGTCAGTTTCCATGATTCCTCCTCTCTGTTCCAGGCTCTCCCAAATCCACTCCCATCTCTCAACACCCCAAGACTGATCTTCCTACAGTCTGACCATAGGAGTCCCTGGGAACCCAAAGTGTGGGCCCTGGGGCTCCAGCATCAGCATTGGCATCACTGTGGATTTTTTTTTTTTTTTTTTTTCGAGACGGAGTTTCGCTCTTGTTGCCCAGACTGGAGTACAGTGGCGCAATCTTGGCTCACTGCAACCTCTGCCTCCTGGGTTCAAGCAATTCTCCTGCCTCAGCCTCTCAAGTAGCTGGGATCACAGGTGCCCGCCACCACACCTGGCTAATTTTTGTATTTTTAGTAGAGACGGGGTTTCACCATGTTGGCCAGGCTGGTCTGGAACTCCTGACCTCAGGTGATCTGCCCGCCTCAGCTTCCCACAGTGCTGGGATTACAGGCGTAAGCCACTGCACCCGGACCCAGGATTTTCATTTTGGTTACAATGCAGCTCAGCAGTCCTCCAATGGAATACTGAATAAACAAACTATAGTACATATGTAAACAGAATACTACTCAGTAATAAAAAAAAGACTGGGCTGGGCACGGTGGCTCATGCCTGTAATCCCAGCACTTTGGGAGGCCAAGGTGGGCAGATCACTTGAAGTCAAGAGTTCGAGGCCAGCTTGGCCAACATGGTGAAACCCCATCTCTACTAAAAATGCAAAAAATAGCTGGGTGTGGTGGTGGGCACCTATAATCCCAGCTACTCAGGAGGCTGAGACAGGAAAATTGCTTGAACCCAGAAGGCGGAGGTTACAGTGAGCCAAGATTGCACCACCGCACTCCAGCCTGGGCAACAGAGCAAGACTCCGTCTCAAAAAAAAAAAAAAAAAAAGAACGAACTATTGATCTATTGATACAAGCAACACAGATAGATGTCAACATATTATGCTAAGTTTAAAAAGCCTTATAAAAAGGTAAATACTGTGTAAATACTGTATAATTCCATTTATATGAAAGTATAAAACAGACAAAACTAATCTATGGTGGAAAAAAAATCAGAGGAGTGCATATCTCTGAGGAGCAAAGGTGAAGATTGACTGTAAAGAATGTAAGAGGAGGCTGGGAACAGTGGCTCTCGCCTGTAATCCTGGCACTTTGGGAGGCCAAAGCAGGCAGATCACCTGAGGTCAGGAGTTCGAGACCAGCCTGGCTAACATGGCGAAATCCCGTTTCCACTAAAAATGCAAAAAAAAAGGCCTGACGTGGTAGTGCACACCTGTAGTTCCAGCTACTCAGGAGGCTGCGGCAGGAGAATCACTTGAACCCGGGAGGCGGAGGTTGCAGTGAGCTGAGATTGCACCATTGCACTCCAGCCCGGCAACAGAGCGAGACTCCATCTCAAAAATAAAAATAAAGGCCAGGTGCGGTGGCTCACACCTGTAATCCCAGCACTTTGGGAGGCTGAGGCGGGTGGATCACAAGGTCAGGAGTTCAAGACCAGCCTGGCCAATATGGTGAAACCCCATCTCTACTAAAAATACAAAAATTCGCCGGGCATGGTGGTGGGTGCCTGTAATCCCAGCTACTCAGGAGGCTGAGGTAGGAGAATCACTTGAACCCAGGAGGCGGAGGTTGCAATGAGCCAAGATCGTGCCACTGCATTCCAGCCTGGGCAACAGAGTGAGACTCCATTTCAATAAGTAAATAAATAAATAATTTTAAAAGAATATAAGAGGACTTTCTGGGTGATAGCAATATCCTATATCTTGGAAGAGGTTTGGGTTACACATGCATTAGTCAAAATTGAACTAATGTACACACATGAGGCGAATCTCATCTGCAGTTAATTGACTGTAAATTTTACAACAAAATTAAAAACCATAAGCAAATATTGAATTCTAGTTAATAATATGCATGCTGACTACCTGGGTGAAGTATACTGATATCTGTGATTTACTTTAAAATTAACCAAAATCAGGCCAGACACAGTGTCTCATGCCCGTAATCCCATTGTTTTGGAGGCCTAGGTGGTAGGATCACTTGAGCCTAGGATTTTGAGGCTGTCATGAACTATGATCATGCCCCGGCACTCCAGCCTGGGCAACAGAGCGAGACTCTGTCTCAAAAAACAAAACAAAATAAAAAATTTAAGTTGGCCAAAATTAAATGAATTAGGCCAGGTGCAGTGGCTCACGCCTGTAATCACAACACTGAGATGCCAAGGAGGGAGGATCACCTGAGGTCAGGAGTTTGAGACCAGCCTGGCCAACACGGTGAAACTCCATCACTACTAAAAATACAAAAATCACCTGGGCATGGTGGCACATGCCTGTAGTCCTAGCAACTCAGGAGGCTGAGGCAGGAGAATCACTTGAACCTTGGAGGCAGAGGTTGCAGTGAGCTGAGATCATGCCATTGCACTCCAGCCTGGGCCACAGGGCAAGACTCTGTCTCAAAAAAAATTAAACAAAATAAAAAAGTGAAATAAACTAAAATGAATTAATCAAGGGATAGAGGGATGAAAAGATCTGTAGTTATATGATAAAGCTAGTAGAGTAAAATATTAACGGTAGACTAGCTGATGGGCATATATGGCTCTAAAACAGAAAAAAACTAAGGTGAAAAATAAATCTGAACAGTGGTTGCTGAGGTCAGGGAAGATTGCCTGGGAGAGGACTTGAGGGAACTTTCTGGGTGATGGCAGTGCTCTCCATCTTGGTATGGCTCTGTTTAATGCAAGGATATCTATTTGTAAATTTTGAGGCTAAGATTTATGCAGTTCAATGCATGTACATTTTGCCAAGAATAACGAACTATAAGAAAATAATAATAGAGTAGAGGTGAGGGGAGGTATAGATAAAACAAGAATAGCAGAGGCCAGGCGTGGTGGCTCACACCTGTAATCCCAGCACTTTGGGAGGCCTAGGCGGGCGGATCACCTGAGGTTGGGAGTTCGAGACCAGTTTGAGAAACCCCATGTCTATTAAAAATACAAAATTAGCTGGGCGTGGTGGCACATGCCTGTAATCTCAGCTACTCAGGAGGCTGAGGCAAGAGAATCACTTCAACCCGGGAGGCGGAGGTTGCAGTGAGCCAAGATCGCGCCATTGCACCCCAGCCTGGGCAATGAGAGTAAAACTCCGTCTCAAAATTAAAAAAAAAAAGAATAGCAGAATGTTGAGTTTTATTAAGACTGGATGATGTATGGGTGAGAGTTTATTACATTATTATCTTTATTTTGTATATATTGAAATTATTTCTCCAATAAGATGCCTTTCCAAAGAATGTGATTTACAATAGCATCAAAAATATCAAATATATAGCAATAATCTAATAAAAGATATGCAAAAGCTCTCTGTAGAAAACTATTAAATATTATTGAGAGAAATTAAAGAAAACTCACATAAATGGAGATATATAATGTGTTTATAGATTGGAAGACTCTATATTTTAACAATATCTATTCAATGTAATCTCAATAGAAATCCCTGCTGCTTATTTAATTGTGTAAGTTAACAAGTTTAGGCCAGGCACAGTGGCTCATGCCTGTAATCCCAGCAATTTGGGAGGCTGAGAGGGGCATATCACCTGAGGTCAGGAGTTCGAGACCAGCCTGGCCAATATGGTGAAACCCCACCTCTACTAAAAACACAAAAATTAGCTGGGCATGGTGGTGCATGCCTGCAGTCCCAGCTACTCAGGAGGGTGAGGCAGGAGAATCACTTGAACCTGGGAGGCAGAGATTGCAGTGAGCTGAGATCATGCCACTGCACTCCAGCCTGGGTGACAAGAGAGAGACTCTGTCTCAAAAGAAAAAAAAAAAAAACCATACAAGTTTATTCCAAAACATATATGGAAATGCAAATGACCTAAATAGCCAAGACAATGATGAAGATGAACAGAGTTGAAGGACTTGTACTACTAGATTTCAACATTTACTGTGAAGTTATTAGTTAGGGCAGTGTAGCATTGGTACAAGGATAGGGGAATAGACCAACAGAATAGAATACACTCAGAAATAGTTTCATATGTACACATCCCTAGATTAATAACAAATGTGCCACCACTGCAATTCAATGGTGGATAGGATGATATTTTAATCCAATGGTGGTGGATAAGTTAGATATTGTATAGGGGGAGGAAAGGAAAACTTTGACTCTTACCTCATAACATACATAAAAATAACTTGAACTGGATCATCAACCTAAATATGAGGCAAAACCAATAAGGATTCCAGAAGAAAACATAGGGGAATATTTTTATGTCCTCAGGGTAGGTAGGCAAATATTTCTTAAACAGGACACAAAAAACTCTATGAAAAATAAATTGACAAATTATACTGTATTAACATTAAAAACTTCTTTAATCAAAAGACACTATTAGGAGACCAAAAGGAGAAGCCATGGATTGGGAAAGTATATTTGTAAAACATATTTCCAACAAAGAACTCATAACTACAATATATAAAGAACTTCTACAAACCATTAAGAAAAAAAATCAGCCCCATTTTTAAAAATAGGCTTGGTCAGGAACTTCATAACCAATAAATATATGGAAGAGTGCTTCACATCATTACTCATTAGGGAAATGTGAATTCAACCACAATATGATATCACTACACATCCCAGAAGAACATCTAAAATCAAAAAGTCTGACAATACCAAGTGTTGGTGAGGAGTGGAGCAATGGGAACTCTCTTACATTGCTTTTGGAGTGTAAATTTGGAAAAGGTTTGGCAGTATCTACAAATAAATCAATATCCTGGCTTTGCAATCCCATTCTTAGTATATACCCAAGAGAATCTGTGCTATGTGCATCAAAAGACACATACAAGAATGTTCACAGCAATTTATTTGTAATACCCCCAAACTGAAACAACCCAAATATCCAACAACAAGGAGAAAAGATGAACAGAAGTTAGAATAGTGATGGCCTTAAGGATGGAGTTGTAATTGATTGGGAAACCTTATGGTTTGCTGTAAATATCCAACTTGCTCTGAATAGAGGTTCTCTGGGTATAGATGTACGTAAAAATCTACTGAGTTGCATACTCAAGCTTCATACAACGTATGCACTTTCTGCATGTTATATTTCTATTTTAAATATTTTTAAAAGCTTCTACTAGATACTATAAAAGAACATATTCATGACGAATATTTCTTAAATAGGAAATTAAGGCCCGGCGCAGTGACTCACACCTGTAATCCCAAAAGTTTGGGAGGCCAAGGTGGGTGGATCACGAGGTCAGGAGATCGAGACCATCCTGGCTAACATGGTGAAACCCCGTCTCTACTAAAAATACAAAAAAATTAGCCGGCCATGGTGGCTGGCACCTGTAGTCCCAACTACTCAGGAGGCTGAGGCAGGAGAATGGTGTGAACCTAGGAGACGGAGCTTGCAGTGAGCCGAGATTCTGCCACTGCACTCGAGCCTGGGCGACAAAGCAAGACTCCGTCTCAAAAAAAAAAAAAAAAAAAAAAAAAAAAAGGACATTAAAGCACTAATAGTAAGGAAAGGACTGATAGATTTCACCATGTTAACAATTAAAAACTTCCCTTTATCAAAAGATGACGTTAAGAGAATGACAAGCCTCTGAGTGGTGGGGGTATTTGCAATACTTGTAACAGACAAAGCATTATATCCATATTATATAAAGAGCTGACTCTATGTACATGTTTGTGTATGTGTGTGTATACCTACAGAATAAGGAAAGAAAAATACAGAGCACACAGTAAATAAATGAGTAAAAGACATGAATAAGCACTTTGCAATAGAGGATACTAAATGGCCAATAAATATATGAAAACGTGCTCAATCTCAATAATCAACAGGGAAATACAAATAAAAACCATTTACGGGCTGGGCACGGTGGCTTACGCCTGTAATCTCAGCAGTTTGGAAGGCCCAGGCAGGTGGATCATTTGAGGTCGGGAGTTCGAGACCAGCCTGGCCAACATGATGAAACCCCGTCGTGGTAGTGGGCACCTGTAATCCCAGCTACTTGGGAGGGTGAGGCAGGAGAATTGCTTGAACCCAGGAGACAGAGGTTGCAGTGAACCGAGATCACGCCACTGCACTCCAGCCTGGGCAGGAGAGCAAAACTCTATCTCAAACAAACAAGCAAAACTATTTACACCCACCAAAATGACTAAAATTTAAAAGACCATGTTACCAAGTGTTGGGACAGATATAGAGTAGCTGCTTCTCTCGTATACGGCTGAAGTGTAAATTGGTACAATCACTACTTTGCTGTATTTATTAAAGTTGGTGATATGCACACTCTAAGATCAGAAATTCCATCTCAGGTTTGTACCTAGCAGAAATACATGCATGTATAGTGCAGGAGACATGCAAAAAAAATGCTGATAGCAGCATTACTCAGAAACATCAAAAACTAGAAATAATCCAAATTTTCAAAAGAAAAAAAAAAGCAGGAGCTGAATATGGTGGCGCATGCCTGTCATCCCAGCTACTTAGGAGGCTGAGGCAGGAGAACTGCTTGAGTCCAGGAGTTTGAGTCCACCCTGGGCAACATGGTGAGATCATGTCTCTTAAAAAAAAAAAAAAAAAAAAAAAAGACAGGAAAGTGGTTTCCTTAAAAGTCAGTGTTGGAAATAAGAGCTCGGAGTCGCAGGAAAAACAAGCACTCAAACAATAGGTTTCTCAGCAAAGCAAGTTTACTTCTACAGAAGGCTGCCGCTCATGCTTCTGGCCGCTGCGAGCACAACTAACAAAGGAGAGGAGTTTTTATCCCTAACATAGTCCCTATTCCTGTGTCCTTCCCCTATTGGCTAGGGTTGGACTGCACAACCTAAGCTAACCCCAGTTGGCTAAGACTTAAACTTTTCAGCCGGGCATGGTGGCTCACGCCTGTAATCCCAGCACTTTGGGAAGCCCAGGTGGGCGGATCACGAGGTCAGGAGATCAAGACCATCCTGGCCAACATGGTGAAACCCCGTCTCTACTAAAAATACAAAAAAATTAGCCGGGCGTGGTGGCCCGCGCCTGTGGTCCCAGATACTCGGGAGTCTGAGGCAGGAGAATTGCTTGAACCCCTGGAGACGGAGGCTGCAGTGAGCTGAGACTGCACCACTGCACTCCAGCCTGGCGACAGAGCGAGATTCCATCTCAAAAAAAAAAAACAAAAAAAGACATACTTTTCCAATTAGGGTAAACGTGCGATTCGCAAGGGAGGGTGGGGGATAGGAGTGGTCCCTCTGCTACAGCACAAGGCGTGTTCGGACATGTCTGGGCAAGTCCGGGCACAACAAGAGCGGGAGGGCTGCTCACAGGCTAGAAACAAGAAAGTACAAGGAGGTGAGGCTCCGAACCAAGGACAAGGACATTACACAATTAAACCCTTTGAAGACGAATTCACCATCTCTGGCAGTCAGAATGATAGAGGGAGACAATTGCAGATAGAACAAGGCCTTTGGGAGAACGGGGAGTTGAAGTGGAGGAGGTGATGCTGGAGTACTGGGAATGTTCTATTTCACGATGAGTGTGAATTACAGTTTATGGAACTGTGAGTTTATGTTTGATAACACTTCTCCAAGTAAGTGTTACATTTTGCAATATTAAAAAAAAAAAAGAAACTTTAAAATTAACAGGGAAGGCCGGGCGCAGTGGCTCAGGCCTGTAATCCTAGCACTTTGGGAGGCTGAGGCGGGTGGCTCACCTGGGGTCAGGAGTTTGAGACCAGCCTGACCAACACGATGAAACCCCGTCTTTACTAAAAACACAAAAAATTAGCCGGGCACGGTGGCAAGTGCCTATAATCCCAGCTACTCGGGAGGCTGAGGCAGAAGAATTGCTTGAACCTGGGAGGTGGTGGTTGCAGTGAGCCAAGATCCCGCCACTGTACTCCAGTCTGGGCAACAAGAGCGAAACTCCATTTCAAAACAAAAAAAATTACAGGTAAAAATCAGTAACATGTAGGACTTGACCAGATAGAGAAGGGAAGGAAGGTTTTTATAGACAGGGCAGAGAGCACGAGGGAGATACAGGGCCTGGGGCGTACCAAGCTAGTGGATTGGCGGAAGTATGGAAGGCTGTCTGAAGGTCCCACAACAAGGAAGCGTGCAGTGGGAGACAAAACCAGGACAATTCAAGGCCAGGCTATGAAGGACTGTGAATAGAACCACCACACATGACTGAAATTTGTGCCCTGCATCCAGGTACCAGCCAAGAGGGCAAAGGTATTCACCCTGGCATGTGCTGGGTCTGCTGGAGGAAGAGAAATTCTTTTCTAATTGCACAAAACTTCACCTCATGGAGAAGATAGTATCTCCTTATATGTTGTTTTTTCTGTAATTTGAATGTTTAAAAATATATATTTTTTATTTATATATGTATATACTATATATGTATATATAGTATATTATATATTCCGTTAATTTTAAAGTTTCTTTTTTTAATACGTATATAATATAGTATATATTATTATATATAATTATATAATATAGTATATATTATTATATATAATTATATATATTATAAAATATATTATATATAATTATATATTTATATATTATATAATATATAATATATTATATAATATATTTCTATATTTATATATTATATATTATATATTATATATTATATATAATTTTATATATTATATTTATAATTATATATATATAATATATATATATATAATATATATATAAAATATTATATATTATATAATATATAATATATATTATATTATATAATATATAATATATATTATATTATATAATATATAATATATATTATATATGTGCATATATTTTATATACTATATATTATATATTTTATATATAACATTATTATATACTATATAATATATTTTATATATAACAAATATATTATATAGTATATAATATATTATATATTTTATATATTATATAGTATATAATATGTTATATATTTTATATATTATATAGTATATAATATATTATATATTTTATATATTATATAGTATATAATATATTATATATTTTATATAGTATATAATATATTATATATTTTATAGTATATAATATACATTTTATAGTATATAATATATTATATATTTTATAGTATATAGTATATAATATATTATATATTATATTATATATTATATAGTATATAATATATTATATATTATATTATATATTATATAGTATATAATATATTATATATTATATTATATATTATATAGTATATAATATATTATATATTATATTATATATTATATAGTATATAATACATGGTATATTATATAGTATATAATACATGGTATATTATATAGTATATAATACATGGTATATTATATAGTATATAATACATGGTATATTATATAGTATATAATACATGGTATATTATATAGTATATAATACATGGTATATTATATAGTATATAATATAATATATGGTATATTATATAGTGTATAATATATGGTATATTATATAGTGTATAATATATGGTATATACCATATAGTATAATATATGGTATATACCATATAGTATAATATATGGTATATAACATATAGTACAATATATGGTATATAACATATAGTATATTATATAGTATAGTATATATGTGTATATATAAGGTATTTTATATAATATATAATATATTTTATATATTATATAATATATAACATAGGTTATATATAATATATTATATGTGTTATTCTATATATATATTATATAATAGAGAGAGAGAGAGAGAGAGAGAGAGAGAGAGAGGAAGGATGTGGGACTTTATCCTGGAGGCACTGCTGAATGATAATATGCATCAGGCCTCCTCCCAGCATCAGACTCAAGTCCCTGTAAGGCTTCTTCCCTACCCAGATTAGAGGGCTCTGGAAGAGGAGCCACTAGTAATTCTTCGTCTTCTTTGGCATACCCTCCAGCAGCCTCGGAGCACTCTGTGCCTGTGAGGTTGCTGAAACATTGCAGACTGACTGGCTCCGGGCTTCCATCCATCACCATTACTGGGGCTGGGCCAACACTGGCATTTTAAAGGATTCAGCAATTAAGGTCATTAGTGGAATAAGGTGATCTCACAGGTGGAGCAGGCCTCAGCTGCTTCAAAATACAAAAAGATCAGACTGTCTCCTGAGATTTTTCACAGGCAGGCTTTGTTGATTATGGTGTTGAAAGGGGCAGTAAAGTCTTAACACTGGGTGCCAAAGGCCTGTGGCAGTCCAGGTGGGTTGTTTCCTCAATTCCTCCTTACACTCCACACCCTTGCATCTCTTTTTTTTCTTTCTTTCTCTTTTTTTTTGAGATGGAGTCTCGCTCTATAGCCCAGGCTGGAGTGCAGTGGTGTGATCTCGGCTCACTGCAACCTCTGCCTCCTGGATTCAAGCAGTTCTCCTGCCCCAGCCTCCCGAGTAACTGGGACTACAAGCACGTACCAACACACCTGGCTAATTTTGTACTTTTAGTAGAGTCGGGGTTTCACCATGTTGTCCAGGCTGGTCTCAATCTCCTGACCTCAGGTGATCCACTTGCCTCAGTCTCCCAAAATGATGGGATTACAGGCGTGAGCCACGGCGCCTGGCCCATCCTGGCATCTCAATTCTTCACAGCAAAATTCTTGAATTGGCTGAATATCTTGGAAAACGTCCTCTCACCTTCATCAGTGAGTAAGAACACTAATATAAACAAACATCATTCAAATTAGCTAGAAGGTGAGCTAATGAGGACGAGTACTGGGCAGTAAGTGGGAAGTCCTATTGTGTTGACCATTTGTCCTGGAGCACAGCAGCACCTGTTGGGCTCCCTGCTGGCCTCCTTTCCTGTGCCTGTGGTTCTCTGACTCTCTTCTACAGACTCTGTAACTCCCATGTCCCAAGCTTCAAGACTGGGAGAATTAGGGAGCTCCAGAAGCTTTGAGGGGCTTCAGCAACAAGGCAGTCTGGCTGCTCGTCCCTGTGTCACAGAGACCTGAGTCTCTGTCCTGAAAACCCATCTGGCCCCTAGCCTTCTTAGAACCAGTGTACTCAGCCTGGGTCTCCAGCGAGTGCCAGCTCCGAACTTCCCATTCTTGTGTGCTCTTACTGATAAAGACTCCTGCCATTTCTTGCAGGGCAAAAGATAATATTCAGAATTTGTCTCTGCTTCCAGTCTTTATCATGATTCAATAAAAGCAAAAATGTGATAGTTACATAAGCTAAACAACAGACTTCAGCCGCATGGCTGATATCGTATTCTATCATGTTTTATGTCCAAACAAAAGTTTTTTTTTCTTGAGACAGGTTCTTGCTCTGTTGCCCAGGCTGGAGTTACAGTGGTACAATCATGGCCCACTGCAGCATTGGCCTCCTGGGCCCAAGCAATCCTCTGATCTCAGCCTCCCAAGTAGCTGGGACCACAGGCATGCACCATTGTGCCAGGCTTTTTTTTTTTTTTCTTCTGTAGAGACAGGGTCTCCCTGTGTTGACCAGGTTGATATCAAACTTCTAAGTTCAAGTGATCCTCCCACCTCCAACTCCCAAAGTGCTGGGATTACAGGCATGAGCTGCCACGCCTGCCCTCCCATCAAATTTTTTTGCCAATGCATTCCATCCCTGCTCTGCGAAGTCAGGATACTGGTGTGATGTGAGTGAATTTAGCTGAAATATTGAGAAAGACATGTTATGCATACAAGGATATGTGCGGCCTCGTCCATGCTACACTGCTGTTCTCAGAGGTAGTTCCCCTGGAACTGCCCCCACCATTTGCAAACATCCTCTTTGGTTTCCACAAGCCAAGCGTCCAAAGAGCACATCTAGCTGCAGATTCCTGACCCTTTCAACCTGCTTCATTTAGTTGGAGTTAATTGCTCCATGCTCAGTCAAGTCACAAGAAAAAAACCACAGGTGATTATTACTATAGTCCAAAAGCCGGCCTTTTCTAATTTGATGTATGGACACATTTTGTATGACATTTAGGAAAATGAGGCGTAAGTGGCTCCAAATGAAATTCGGTCATATATAATTACCACATAGCAAAAGGAATGTAATTCAAAACTATTAAATAAAAAAATTGTCCACATTTGAGAGTTAAAGATCTTCCACTAAGGATAAATCTTCTTTAAAAATATGGTTATTGTGGCCTAGGGGTCTCACTTACACCTCAACAAAGGTAAGTACAATGAAAAGTTCATTTTAACGTCACATTTTATCATGCCCTTGACTGCATTAATATTTCTAATAGCTCATCTCTCTCATTTGAACCCTTCAAGCCTTGGACCACTTGGGGGTTTTTGTTTTATTTACCTCATATCGTTGGAGAGAGTAGTATTTTAGTGATATATAATAATGTCTCAGGCCAGGCGCAGTGGCTCACACCTATAATCCCAGCACTTTGGGAGGCCAAGGTGGGCAGATCACCTGAGGTCAGGAGTTTGAGACCAGCCTAGACAACATGGTGAAACCCCATCTGTACTAAAAATGCAAAAAACATCAGCCTGGTGTGGTGGCACGCATCTGTAGTCCCAGGTACTCAGGAGGCTGAGGCAGGAGAATCGCTTGAACCGCGAGGTGGAGGTTGCAGTGAGCTGAGATCACGCCACTGCACTCCAGCCTGGGTGACAGAGTGAGACTCTGTCCTAAAATAATAATAAAAATGTCCCACTTCCCATTTTCTAGTCTCTCTCTGTTATTGTCAACCCTTTATCTGCAGATGCTTCGACACAGCTATTTTTTCTACAATGAAGAAGAAGCTAATACTATCCTGACATTCTGAAAAAAGAATAATCTCAAAATATACAAACTTTTCTCATAGCTTAAAAGATAACATGAAAAAAATATGTCTCTTCAAGTGACTTTTTGAAATATGTTCACTGGGTATCATATTTTCACATCTTTAACAGTACCTAGCCACCTAACCTACAGAAGTGGAAGCATGGGACCTTCCGACATTCTCTTGCTCCTTGCAGCCCTCAACCTACAAGGAGTGAGTAGTGGGATGGGGAACTTCTATAAAGGCCCCTCAGAACTGGGCACAAACAGGACCAAAGGACCAAAATGGTACTAAAAGGCTGGAGGTAGAGCCAGAGACAGGAGATGCAAACAGAGGTGCCATGTCCAGGATGCAGGAGAGTCCCAGCAGGCATGGAAATGGACTTCACAATGTGGGAGGTTAGACATAAAACCCCATGAGAACCTTCCTAGGGGGCAAGTCAAGAAGCAGAATCAGAGGCCTGTGATCTCCACACTCTGTTTCTTTCTTTTTTTTTTTTTTTTGAGACAGAGTCTGGCTCTGTCGCCAGGCTGGGGTGCAGTGGCGTGATCTCGGCTCACTGCAACCTCCACCTCCTGGTTCAAGCGATTCTCCTGCCTCAGCCTCCCAAGTAGCTGGGACTACAGGCACCCGCCACCACATCCAGCTAATTTTGGTATTTTTAGTAGAGATGAGGTTTCACCATGTTGGCCAGGATGGTCTCACACTCCTGACCTCAAATGATTCACCTGCCTTGGCCTCCGAAAGTGCTGAGATGACCTGGTGATTCACCTGCCTCAGCCTCCCAAAGTGCTGGGATTACAGGTGTGAGCCACTGTGCCTGGCCTCTTTTTTTTTTTTTTTTTTTGAGATGGAGTCTCGCTGTGTTGCCCGGGCTGGAGTACAGTGGCATGATTTCAGCTCACTGCAACCTCCACCTCCCAGGTTCAAGCAATTCTCCTGCCTCAACCGCCCAAAGAGCTGGGATTACAGGCATGCACCACCACACCTGGCTAATTTTTGTATTTTTAGTAGAGGCAGGGTTTCACCATGTCAGCCAGGCTGGTCTCAAAACTCCTGACCTCAAATGATTCACTCGCCTCGGCTTCCCAAAGTACTGAGATTACAGGCGTGAGCCACCATGCCCTGCCAGACACACCCTGTTTCTTTCTTTCTTTCTTTCTTTCTTTTTTTTGAGACAGAGTCTTGCTCTGTCACCCAGGCTGGAGTGCAGTGGCGCGATGTCAGCTCACTGAAACCTCTGTCTCCCGGGTTCAAGCAATTCTCTGCCTCAGCCTCCTGAGTAGCTGGGATTACAGGCACCTGCCACCACGCCTGGCTAATTTTTTGTATTTTTAGTAGAGACAGGGTTTCACCATCTTGGCCAGGCTTGTCCTGAACTCCTGACCTCGTGATCCACCCTCCTGGGCCCCCCAAAGCGCTGGGACTACTGGCGTGAGCCACCACACCCGGCCAGACACACCCTGTTTCTTGTATGAGTTCTGTATTTTTGTGTGCCACACAAGGTTGCTTTGCATTTGGTAGTACCAGAGGTTTAGGTTGGCACCCCCTCAGATGATGACTGAACAGCTCATTGGCACAGAAACCTGGGTGGTACTCTGGGAAGGATGCCAATGGACACTCAAACAATACTCCTGCTGATTTTTTTCAGCCTACTTGCCTGACACTTAACAGTCAGCAGCCCCACTTGACCAGTGTAATGGTTAAAAGCAAGGAGCCACTTTTATGGGTTTGAATCCTGACTCTGCCACTTAACAAGTTGCATGATCTTGGGCAGGTTACTTAATCACTCTGTTTCCCTATATGCAAAACGGGGATAATAATAGCACCTATTCCACAGTGGTGTGGAGATTGCATAAGTTAATACAAGCGAAGATCCTACAAGGCCTGAAACATAGTAAGCACTCAATAAATATAAATACTAGATATTATTGTTGTTTCCACTCTTTTGGAACCTTCCACCTAATTTTTCCTGCCTCCCCAGGATCCTCCAAATTCCTTACTCACATTTCTTTACCACTGTAGACCAAAAGTCCTTATTCTCTCATGTTACCTTACAGTAGCCCTCGAGTTCCTGACAGAAGAGCCTGATTACTTTACAAAAAAAGCCAACCCATCTCATAAACTATAAAACAAAAAAAGATAAATTGGTTTTATCAAACTTAAAGTATTCAAAGGATACTGTTAAGAAAACGACAAGATGAGTCACAGATTGTGAGAAAAAAATCAAAATCTGTATATCTGACAAAGAACTTGTGTTTAGAATATATAATGAACTCTTGTCCTCAGTAACAAAAGACAACTTTTAAACTCAACTTCTAAAAATGGGCAAAAGATATAAATAGGCATTTTGCAACAGATATATAAATGACTAACAAGCAACTGAACAGAGCTCAACATCATTAGTCAACATGGAAATGTAAATTAAAACCACATTGAGAGGCTGGGCACGGTGGCTCACGCCTGTAATGCTGACACTTTGGAAGACCAAGGTGGGCGGATCACTTGAGGCCAGGAGTTCGAAACCACCCTGGCCAACATGGTGAAACCCTGTCTCTACTAAAAATGCAAAAACAGGTAGCCAGGCGTGGTGGCGGGCACCTGTAATCCCAGCTACTCGGAAGGCTGAGGCAAGAGAATTGCTTGAACCCAGGAGGCAGAGGCTGCAGTGAGCAGAGATCACGCCATTGCACTCCAGCCTGGGCAACAAGAGCGAAACTCCATCTTAAAAAAAACAAAACAAAACACACACACACACGCACTGAGAGACTGCCTCTCAATACCCTCTAGACTGGCAAAAATAAAAAAGATTGATAATACCAAGTGTGACGAGGACATAGAAGAACTGGAACTCTCATACACTGCTGGTGGGTGTGTAAAATGGTACAATCACATTGGAAAATAGTTTGGCAGTTTCTTATAAAGTTAAACATAAACTTATCATACAACCACATAATTCCACTGTCAGTATTCTACTTAAGAGAAAAATATGTCTACCCAAGGAAGTCTAGTCAAATTTTCATAGCAAGTTTATTTATAATAGCCCAAAGCTATTATAAATATAATAGCCCATTCAAATGCCATTAACAGGAAAATGGATAAACAAAATGGTATATCCGTACGTGGAATACTAATCAACAATAAAAAAGAATGACTTACTAATACATGCAACAACATGAATAAATATTTTAAAATAATGTTAAAGTAAAAGAAGCCAGACACAAAAAAATTCCCTATCACATAATCCTGTTTACATGAATTTCCTGAATAGGCAAAACTAATCTTGTAATGGCAGAGAAAGCAAATGAGTGGTTTTCTGGGGCTGGGGTATGGGAATCGGCTGCACAGGGGCATGAGGGAACTTTTTGAGGTGGTGGAAATATTCTATATCTTGATTGTGCTGGCTGGCGGTTACACAGGGGGTTTACGCTTGTCAAAACTCATTGAGCTGAAAAAGAAAATCCCACATTAAATGGTACATTTAAAATGGGTGCATTTTATTATATGTAAATTTTTCCTCAGTAAAATAACTTTTTAAAAACAACCAGCCCATTTGTTTAGCAACAAAAAAATTAGTTCTGCATGCCCCGGGGTGGCAGGGAACAAGATAGCTAGAGGCCAGAGAGGGAGTCAGTTGACTCTTTCTTAAATAGACTTTACTTTTTAGTAGTTTAGGTTCTCAGCGAAATTGAACAGAAGGTACGGAATTTACCATTCACTTCCTGTTTTTATATCCTCACAGCCTTTCCCACTAACAACATCCCACTCCAGGATGATACATTTGTTACATTTGATGAACCTACATTGACACATTATTATCACCCAAAGTCTAAATTCACTTTTGGTGCTGAACATTCTATGAGTCTGGACAAATGTATAATAACATGCACCCATCATTATAATATTATACAGAATAGTTTCATTACCATAAAAATCCTCTGTGCTCTGCCTGTTCATCCCTCCCTACTCCCTAACCCCTGGCAAACACTGACCTCTTTACTGGCTCCATAGTTTTCCCTTTCTAGAATGTCATATAGTTGGAATGATACAGTCTGTGGCCTTTTCAGATTGGTTCCTTCCACTTAGTAATATTTAGCATCCCTTCTTATCTTTTTATGGCTTGATAAATCATTTATCTTTATTACTAAATAACGTCATTTTTTCTAGATGTATCACAGTTTATTTATCCATTCATCTATTAAAGGGCATCTTGATTGCTTCCAAGTTTTGGCAATTATTAATAAAGCTGCTACGAACATTCATGTGCAGGTTTTTGTGTGGACAAAGTTTTTAACCATTTGGGCAAATTAGGAGCATGATTGCCGAATCATATGATAAGTCTATGTTGTGCTGTGTAAGAAATTGCCAAGCTTGGCTGGGCATGGTGGCTCATGCCTGTAATCCCAGCACTTTTGGAGGTCGAGATGGGCAGATCACCTGAGGGCAGGAGTTCGACCTCACCTCACCAAAGAAGATATACAGGTGGCAAATAAATATATAAAAAGATGCTCACATCTGTCATAAGGGAATTACCAATTAAAACAACGAGATACCACTACACACCTATTAGAATGGCTCCAATCCAAAACACAGACAACACCAAATGCTGGCGAGAATATGGAGCATCAGGAGCTCTCACTCATTACTAATGGGAATACAAAATGGTACAGCCACTTTTGGAAGAGAGCTCAGCAACTTTTTTTTTTTCTTTTGAGACAGAGTTTCGCTCTTGTTGTCCAGGCTGGAGTGCAATGGCACAATTTCAGCTCACCGCCTCCGCCTCCCAGGTTCAAGCAATTCTCCCGCCCCAGCCTCCTGAGAAGCTGGGATTACAGGCATGCGCCACCACGCCTGGCTAATTTTGTATTTTTATTAGAGATGGGGTTTCAGCATGTTGGTCAGGCTAGTCTCGAACTCCTGACCTCAAACCCTCCACCAGCCTTGGCCTCCCAAAGTACTGGGATTACAGGCCTGAGCCACTACACCCAGCCTGCTTCCCCATTTTTTAACCAGTTTGTTTGTTCTTATGGTTGAGTTTTAAGAGTTCTTTTTTTTTTTTTGAGATGGAGTCTTGCTCTGTCGCCAGGCTGGAGTGTAATGACACGGTCTCATGGCAACCTCCGCCTCCCGGGTTCAAGCGATTCTCCAGTCCCAGCCTCCCAAGTAGCTGGGATTACAGGTGCCCACCGCCACGCCCAGCTAATTTTTTGTATTTTTAGTAGAGACAGGATTTCACCATGTTGGCAAGGCTGGTCTCAAACTTCTGACCTTGTGATCTGCCCACCTTGGCCTCCCAAAGTGCTGGGGTTACAGGTGTGAGCCACCACACTCAGCCTATTTTTTTTTTTTTTTTTTGAGACAGAGTCTTGCTCTGTCGCCCAGGCTGGAGTGCAGTGGCGCAATCTTGGCTCACTGCAACCTCCGCCTCCAGGGTTCATGCCATTCTCCTGCCTCAGCCTCCAGAGTAGCTGGGACTACAAGTGCCCGCCACCATGCCTAGCTAATTTTTTGTATTTTTAGTAGAGGTGGGGTTTAACTGTGTTGGCCAGGATGGTCTTGCTCTCCTGACCTGTGATCTGCCCGCCTCAGCCTCCTGAAGTGCTGGGATTATAGGCGTGAGCCACCGCACCCAGCCTTACGAGTTCTTTGTATATTTTGGATAACAACAGTTTATCAACTATGTCTTTTGCAAATATTTTCTTGCATCCTTGGCTTGTCTTCTCATTCTGTTAACAGGGTCTTTCACAGAACAGAACTTTTAAAATTTTAATGAATCCCAGCTTATCAATTATTTATTTCATGGGTTGTGCCTTTGGTGTTTTATGTAAAAAAGTCTTCACCATAACTAATACCCAATACCCAATGTCACACAGATTTTCTCTTGTTGTCTTCTAGGAGTTCTATGATTTTGCATTTTACATTTGGGCCTATAATCCATTTTGAGTTAATTTTTGTGAAACATGTAAGATCTTTGCCTAGATGTTTTTTCAAGTGTTTGGCCAGTTCTTCAGCGCAATTTGTTGAAAACAATATCTTTGCTTCATTGTATTGCTTTGTCGCTTTGTCAAAGGTCAGTTGACTGTATTTATTTGGCTCTATTTCTGGGCTCTATTCTGTTCCATTGACATATTTGTCTATTCTTTCACCAATACCATACTGTCTTGATTAGTGTAGCTTTAATAATTAGTCTTGAAGTTGGGTAATGTCAGTCTTCCAACTATGTTCTCCTCCTTCAATATTGTGTTGGCTATCCTGTCTCTTGCCTCTCCATATAAATTTTAGAATCAGTTTGGCAATATGCAGAAAATAACTTGCTGGGATATTGGTTGGGTGTACTTGGCCATTCTTGCTTTGGTGTAAAGGAATACCTCAGACTGAGTAATTTATGAAGAAAAGAGGTTTAATTGGCTCACAGTTCTGCAGGCTATAAAAGCATGGCACCAACATCTGCTTGGCTTCTGGTGAGGACTTCAGGAAGCTTACAATCATGGCATAAGGCGAAGTGGGAGCAGGCATGTAACATGACTAGAGTAACAGCAAGTGAGCCAGTGGGGGAGGGCCTAGATTTTTAAACAACCAGATCTTGAGCAAGAATTCAATTCTCACCAATGGGAAAGTGATAAAACATTCTTGAGACATCCGCCCCCACAATCCAATCACCTCCCAGGCCCCACCTCCAACACTGGGAATAGTATTTTAGCATGAGATTTAAAGGAGACAAACATCCAACTTATACCATTGGGATTGCATTGAAATTATAGATCAAGTTAGCAAGAACCAATATATTGACAATATCGGATCTTCCTATGAATGACTATGGAATATATCTCCATTTTATTTAGTTATTTGATTTCTTTCAGCAGAGTTTTATAGTTTTTCTCACATAAATCTTGTGCATATTTTGTTAGATTTACACTTATTTCATTTTTTGAGGTGCTAATGTAAATGATATTGTGTTTTTAATTTCAAATTCTAATAGTTCATTGCTGGTATATAGGAAAGTGATTGACTTTTTTGTATTAACCTTATATCCTGCAAAGCTGCTATAAGCACTTATTAGCTCCGGGGTTTTTTTTTTAATCTATTCTTTCGGATTTTCTTTTCTTTTTCTTTCTTTCTTTTTTTTTTAAATTGAGACAGAGTCTTACTCTGTCACCCAGGCTGGAGTGCAGTGGTGCAACCCCGGCTCACTGCAACCTCTGCCTCCTGGGTTCAAGTGATTCTTGTGCCTCAGCCTCCTGAGTAGCTGGGATTACAGGCATGCACCCCCATGCCTGGCTAATTCTCGTATTTTTAGAAAAGACGGGGTTTCTCCATGTTGGCCAGGCTGGTCTCGAACTCCTGGCCTCAAGTGATCTGCCTACCTTGGCCTCCCAAAGTGCTGGGATTACAGGTGTGAGCCACCACCCCGGCTCTTTTAGATTTTCTACGTAAACAATCATATCATCTGAGAGCAAAGACAGTTTAATATTCCTTCTTAATCAGTACATATTTTCTTTTCTGGTCTTATTACATTATTAGATCTTCCAGTATGACACTGAGAGGTGACAGTGTGCTGGCAGTCCTCACAGCCCTCGCTCGCTCTGGGCGCCTCCTCTGCCTGGGCTCCCACTTTGGCGGCACTTGAGGAGCGCTTCAGCCCGCCGCTGCACTGTGGGAGCCCCTTTCTGGGCTGGCCAAGGCCGGAGCCGGCTCCCTCAGCTTGTGAGGAGGTGTGGAAGGAGAGGCAGGGGGGGTACCGAGGCTGCGCGCTGTGCTTGCGGGCCAGCGTGAGTTCCGGGTGGGCGTGTGCTGGGCAGACCCCGCACTCCGAGCGGCCTGCGGGCCCCACTGGCCCTGGGCAGTGAGGGGCTTAGCACCTGGGCCAGCAGCTGCTGTGCTCAATTTCGCTCCCGGCCTTAGCTGCCTTCCGGCGGGGCAGGGTTTGGGACCTGTCGCCTGCCATGCCTGAGCCTGCCCGCCCTCCGTGGGCTCCTGTGCGGCCCGAGCCTCCCCGACGAGCGCCGCCCCCTGCTCCAGGGCACCCAGTCCCATTGACCACCCAAGGGCTGAGGAGTGCGGGCGCATGGCGGGGGACTGGCAGGCAGCTCCACCTGCAGCCCCAGTGCGGGATCCACTGGGTGAAGCCAGCTGGGCTCCTGAGTCTGGTGGGGACATGGAGAACCTTTATGTCTAGCTCAGGGTTTGTGAATGCACCAATCGACACTCTGTATCTAGCTACTCTGGTGGGGCCTTGGAGAACCTTTATGTCTAGTTCAGGGATTGTAAATATACCAGTCGGCACTCTGTATCTAGCTCAAGGTTTGTAAACACAGCAATCAGCACCCTGTGTCTAGCTCAGGGTTTGTGAATACACCAATCGACACTCTGTATCTAGCTACTACCAGGGGACTTGGAAAACCTTTGTGTGGACACTGTATCTAGCTAATCTGGTGGGGACGTGGAGCACCTCTGTGTCTAGCTCAGGGATTGTAAACGCACCAATCAGCGCCCTGTCAAAACAGACCACTGGGCTCTACCAATCAGCAGGATGTGGGTGGGGCCAGATAAGAGAATAAAAGCAGGCTGCCAGAGCCAGCAGTAGCAACCCGCTAGGGTCTTTTTCCACACCGTGGAAGCTTTGTTCTTTTGCTTTTTGCAATAAATCTTACTGCTGGTCACTCTTTGGGTCCACACTGCCTTTATGAGCTGTAACACTCACCGCGAAGGTCTGCAGCTTCACTCCTGAAGCCAGTGAGACCACGAGCCCACTGGGAGGAATGAACAACTCCAGAAACGCCGCCTTAAGAGCTGTAACACTCACCATGAAGGTCTGCAGCTTCACTCCTGAGCCAGCGAGACCACGAACCCACCAGAAGGAAGAAACTCCGAACACATCTGAACATCAGAAGGAACAAACTCCGGACACGCTGCCTTTAAGAACTGTAACACTCACTGTGAGGGTCCACGGCTTCATTCTTGAAGTCAGTGAGACCAAGAACCTACCAATTCTGGACACAGTGAGACCAAGAACCCACCAATTCCGGACACAACACTGAAAAAGAGAAGTGAAAGAGGACACCCTTACCTTGTTTCTGAGCTGAGAAAGCTTCTTGTTTCTCACCATTAATAGGTGTTAGCTATAGGGTTTTGTTAATGTTCTTTATCAAATAGAGGAAGTTCTCTTCTAGTCCTAGTTTGGTGAGAGTTTTTATCATAAATGGGTATCGGACTTAGTCAATTTTTTTTTGTATCTATTGATGTAATCTTGTGATTTTTCTTTCTCTGTTGATGTGATGGATTATAGTGATTGAGTTTTTGAATGTTGAACCAGGCTTGCATACCTTGGGTAATTCCATTTGGTCACGGTATATAATTCTTTTGTTTTGTTTTGTTTTTGAGACGAAGTCTCGCTCTGTCACCCAAGCTGGAGTGCAGTGGCGTGATCCCAGCTCACAGCAACCTCCACCTCCCAGGTTCCAGCGATTCTCCTGCCTCAGCCTCTGGAGTAGCTGGGACTACAGGTGCGTGCCACCATGCCCAGCTAATTTTTGTATTTTTAGTAGAGACAGGGTTTCACTATGTTGGCCAGGCTGGTCTTGAACTCCTGACCTCGTGATCCACCTGCCTCAGCCTCCCAAAGTGCTGGGATTACTGGCGTGAGCCACTGCACCCAGCCTGTTTTGTTTTGTTTTGTTTTTTGAGTTGAAGTTTCCCTCGTCATCCAGGCTGGAGTGCAATGACGCGATCTCAGGTCACTGCAACCTCCACCTCCCAGGTCCAAGCAATTCTCCTGCCTCAGCCTCCCAAGTAGCTGGGACTACAGATGTGCACCACCACGCCCAGCTAATGTTTGTATTTTTAGTAGAGATGGGGTTTTTACATGTTGACCAGGCTGGTCTCGAATTCCTGACCTCAGGAGATCTGCCCCCTTGGCCTCCCAAAGTGCTGGGATTACATGTGTGAGCCACCAAGCCTGGCCCTGGTTATGGCATACAATTCTTTTTACACATTGTCGTATTTGATTTGTTAATATGGTGTTGAGTATTTTTGCATTAATATTCATGAGAAATATTGGTCTGTAGTTTTCTTTTCTTTGTCTTGTTTTGATATTAAGGTAATATTGACCTCACAGAATGAGCTAGGAAGTATTCCCTCTGCTTCTATCTTCTGAAAGAGATTAGAGAGTCAGAATAATTTCTTCCTTAAATATTTGATAGAATTCACCAGTGAACTCATCTGGGCCTGATGCTTTCTGTTACAGAAAATTATTAATCATTGATTCAACTTTTTTTTTTTTTTGAGACAGAGTCTTGCTCTGTCACCCAGGCTGGAGTGCAGTGGCGTGACCTCGGCTCACTGCACGCTCCACCTCCTGGGTTAAAGCAGTTCTCCTGCCTCAGCCTCCTGAGTAGCTGGGATTACAGGCACTTGCCACCACGCCCGGCTAATTTTTGTATTTTAAGTAGGGATTCGCCATGTTGGTCAGGCTGTTTTCGAACTCCTGACCTCATGATCCGCTCACCTCGTCCTCCCAAAGTGCTAGGATTACAGGCGTGAGCCACCATGCCTGGCTGATTCAAGTTCTTTAATAGATATTGGCCCATTCAGATTGTCTGTTTCTCTTCATATGTTTTGGCAGATTGTATCTTTCAAGGAATTTGCCCATTTCATCTAGTTTGTCAAATGCCTGGGCATAGTTGTTCATAATATTCCTTTCTTAACCTCTTAATGTTCATGGGATATGTAATTATTAATATCAGAAGTGAAAGAGGTATCTTTCACTTCTGATATTAATAATTTGTCAACTCTTTTTTTTTTTAGCCTGGTTAGAGGCTTATTGATTTTATTGATCTTTTCAAAGAACAGACTTTTAATTTTGATGATTTTTTTTTTTTTTGAGACGGAGTTTGCCCAGGCTAGAATGCAGTGGCACAATCTCAGTTCACTGCAACTTCTGCCTCCTGGATTCAAGTGATTCTCCTGCCTCAGCCTCCCAAGTAGCTGGGACTACAGGCATGCACCACCATGCCTGGCTAATTTTTATATTTTTAGTAGAGGCAGGGTTCGCCATGTTTGCCAGGCTGGTCTCAAACTCGTGACCTCAAGTGATCTGCCTGCCTTGGCCTCCCAAAGTCCTGGAATTACAGGCGTGAGCCACTGTGCCCAGCTTTTTTTTTTTTTTTTTAAAGAGACAGGGTCTTGCTCTGTTGCCCAGGCTGGAGTGCAGTGGCCCGATCTTGGCTCTCTGCAACCTCTGCCTCTTGGGCTTGAGTGATCCTCCCAACTCAGCATCCTGAGTTTCTTTTTGTTTTTTTTTCGGACTATTTTCTCTTTGCTTTTTCATTTCAGAAGTTTCTATTGACATATCTTTAAGCTGAGAGAGTCTTTCCTCAGCCTTATGCACATTACTAATGAGCCCGTCAAAGGCATTCTTTATTTCTGTTACAATGTTTTTGATCTCTAGCATTTACTTTTTATTCTTTCTTAGAATTTCCATCTCTCTGCATTGCCCATCTGTTCTTGCATGCTTTCTACTTTATCCATTAGATCCCTTAGCATATTCATCATAGTTCTCTTAAATTCCTGGTCTGGGCTGGGCGCAGTGGCTGTAATCCCAGCACTTTGGGAGGCCGAGGTGGGCGGATCACGAGGTCAGGAGTTTGAGACCAGCCTGGCCAACATAGTGAAACCCTATCTGTACTAAAAATACAGAAATTAGCCGGGTGTGCTGGTGCATGCCTGTAGTCCCAGCTACTCAGGAGGCTGAAGCAGGAGAATCGCTTGAACCCGGGAGGCAGAGGTGGCAGTGAGCCAAGATTGCACACCAGCCCGGGTGACAGTGTGAGACTCCATCTCAAAAAATAAAATAAAATAAAATAAAAATAAATTCATGGTCTGATATTTCCAGTGTCCCTGCATATCTGAGTCTGGTTCTGATGCTTGCTCTGTCTCTGCAAACTGTGTTTTTGCCTTTTAGTATGCCTTGTAGAAGAAACTGAGATAAATAAGCCTTTAGTGATGTGGTGGCAAGGTGTGGCATGAGGGGAAGGGAAGCATTATATAGTCCTATGACTGGATCTCGGTCTTTTAGTGAGCCTGTGCCTCTGGACTGTGAACTTCACAAGTACTTCTCAGGTTTTTTCCCCCGCCACCTAGGTGAGACATGGTGGCTATAGTGGGTTGAGGTTGGGTATTTTTCTTCTATCAGATAGAAGGCTAAAGAGGGCTGGAGTTGGGCATTTTTCTCTCCCCTGATTGGCTAGGCTCTGATAAAACCCCAGACAATGGTGAAGTCGTTTCTCTGAGTGCAGGCCTTGTTAAGGATAACAGAAGGCAGCCAGGCACAGTGGCTCAAGTCTCCAATTCCAGCACTTTGAGAGGCCAAGGCAGGAGGATTGTTTCAGGCCAGGAGTTTGAGACCAGCCTGGCCAATATGGCAAGACCCCATCTCAACAAAAAACATTAGCTGAGTGTGGTGGTACACACCCATAGTCCCAGCTACTTGGGAGGCTAAGCAGGAGGATCCCTTGAGCCTGGGAGGTGGAGACTAGTGAGCCAGGATTATGCTGCTGTACTCCAGCCTGGGTGACAGAGTGAGACTTTTATTAAAAAAAAAAAAAAAAAAAAAAAAACGAGAGAGAGAGAATGACAGAATATTCTTATACATTTCAAAATGGTTTGTTTTCCCCTCTCCCTGCTAGAAGCACAAGGGGATTTTTCTCTGATAATCATTGTGAGAACCTGTTAGAACTCCTGGAGGTAAAACTCAAAAGTATGGCGGCCCCCCTGAATGAGTCTTCCTGGAATTAACTGTCAAACTTGCCACTCTGAGTCTCCAGCAATTCTTGAATTACAATTCAGATTTTCCTATCCTGGTACAGGTTCCTGTGGAAGTTTCTATTACAGTAAATTGTGATTCTCTGCATTTGCCTATCTCTCCAATTTTGGGGGCAGCAGTTTGCTATGTGACCTTACTTTTCTAACAGAACAAAAGAAGAGATGTTATTTTTTTTCAGTTTGTTCAGCTTTTTACTTGTTAGGACAGAGTGCTGACTTCCAAGTTCCATACGTGTCGGACTGGAAACCAGAAGTCAGGAGTCAGTTTTTTAAAAACACAAGTGCTTCTTTTAAAAAAAAAAGATTGTCTTTATTTAGAAAGTGTATGATGATTGAAATGTTAAAGCTAGAAAGAATTTATAAATGGGGAAATTGAACTCTAGAAAGGTTGTAACTTACTTATCAGTCAAGGTCTTGGTGGGAAACAGATGGTATGCTTTATTTTATTTCATTTTTATTTATTTTTGAGACATGGTCTCATTTTGTCACCCAGGCTGGAGTGCAGTGGCGCAAACACAGCTCACTGCAGCCTGGAACTCCTGAGCTCAGGCAATCCTCCCACCTTAGCCTCATAAGTAACTGCAACTACAGGCACATGACACCATGCCCAGCTAATTTTTCTAATTTTTTGTAGAGATGGAGTCTCGCTATGTTTCCCAGGTCGGTCTCAGCCTCCTGGGCTCAAACAATCTGCCCACGTTGGCCTCCCAGAGTGCTGGGATTACAGGTGTGAGCTACTGTGCCCAGCCCTAGATGGTGTATTTTAACAGGGCAATTTGAGAAGAGTTTAAAAAAGCAACTATGTATACAAAAGGTATGAGCATGGTTTAAGAAAACATATGAGGCACAAGTAGTGCTGTATGCCAGGGCCAGTAACAGCCTGGAGCTATTACCCCCACTAAGGCTGAAGAGGCAAGGGTGAAGGACTAGTTATCAGAACACAGGAAGGGTATCAAGAGGAACAACTGTTAGAAGCTATGACCCCTAAAAGGATGCAGCCAACTCACAACAATATGGTAGGAAGGAAACCTCCCACCTTCCCATCTCCTGCCAATATTGTCCACTGACCAAGCCCAACCAGGAGATGAAGGGCAAAGGTGCCACTGATGCCACCCATCCAGGTTGGCCTCCTGGGACACAGAGCACAGCAAAGTGGAGAGTGGATCTTCATACTGTGATATCCTTGTCTCCCAGAGAGGTATGCTTAAACCAGGATATTCTTGGCAATAAATAGCATTCAAAGTCCTTATTTTGGTCACCTCTGTTACTTTTAGAGAATACCTAATTTGTACTCCCTGGAGGAAGGATATCTTATTTAGTCCTGGAAAAGTTGTTCTACCCCCACCCGCCAAAAAGGGCAAATGATTTCTTCTAAGGAACATAAAGATAGGAAGGAAAAAGGAAAATTATGTCCAAACATTTATATGCTGTTACCCCACAGCTTTTTCCCCTCGGAAGCCCTCCATTCTGCTGAGGTGGCAGCAGAGGTAAGCTCGGGGTACAGGTCCCTGGTCCAAGTCTTTTCGTGTCAGGGGTCTAGCGGCAGGCAGGGAGGCCAATCAACAGGTGCTTTCCCACTTCTGCCAGCATCACTGAGACCCTTAGGAAGACAGTCTGGGCTCAGGAGCTGGGCCTGGAGCTCCTCCAGGACCTGCTTCTCTGGTAAGTGTACAGCTGCTGACACGAGAAACTTGGGCCATATGGACTAAGGATCCTACTCCCCACATGCCTTGCAGAGGCTGCTGCAAGCCCAGGTTTAAACAGTGATGCAATGTAGCCTCCACTCCTCCCTCCCAGCACTCCCACATTCAACCATCACCAAGTCTTGTCAATTCCAATTTCAAATAAATTTCAAATTCATCCACTTTCCTTGATCCCTCGTGCCCCAATCCCAGTCCACAGCTCTTTTGCACTTTCGCACTTGTCTTCCTGTTGTTCTTCCTGCTCCCATTTTGTCCCGTCTAGGCTTTCTCATTACTTTAAGGAAGAATTTCAAAATCCTTAAGATGACCTTCAAAGCTTTACATGATCTAGTCCTGCCAGTCTCTCTGGAGCCATCTGATGTTCACTTTTTACTCTTGATCTTTCAGCCATCCTAACCCTCTCTTCTCTCCTCTAACACAACCTCTTTCCTGCCTCAGGGCCTTTGCACATGTTATTCTCACTTAGCTCATGCTTCAGGCTTTAGTTTAGTAGCCACATCCTGTTTTCTTCTTTTTTTTTTTTGAGACAGAGTCTTGCTCTGTCGCCCAGGCTGGAGTGCAGTGGCGCAATCTCGGCTCACTGAAACCTCTACCTCCCTGGTTCAAGCAATTCCCTTGCATCAGCCTCCCGAGTAGCTGGGATTACAGGTGCACACCACCACGCCTGGCTAATTTTTTTGTATTTTTAGTAGAGACGGAGTTTCACCATGTTGGCCAGACTGGTCTTGAACTCCTGACTTCAGGCAATCTGCCCGCCTCAGCATCCCAAAGTGCTGGGATTACAGGTATGAGCCACTGCACCCGACCCACATCCTGCTTTCTTATATTGACATAGTAACCTGTAATGTTTTTCTTCATATAATTTGTCATATTTTAAAATTATATGTTTATTTTTTTGATTATTTGTCTCATGTCTGTCTGCCCTACTTATACTTGTTTTTTGAGATGGAGTCTCGCTCTGTCACCCAGGCTGGAGTGCGATGGTGCGATCTCAGCTCACTGCAACCTCCGCCTCCCAGGTTCAAGCCATTCTCCTGCCTCCGCTTCCCAAGTAGCTGGGACTACAGTCACGCGCTGCCACGCCTGGCTAATTTTTGTATTTTTAGTAGAGGCAGAGTTTCACCATGTTAGCCAGGCTGGTCTCGAACTCCTGACCTCAAGTGATCCACCCGCTTCGACCTCCCAAAGTGCTGGGATTATAAGCGTGAGGCACCGTACCCGGGCTGCCCTACTTATTCTTCGTGTGTGTGTGTGTGTGTGTGTGTGTGTGTGTGTGTGTGATGGAGTCTTGCTCTGTTGCCCAGGCTGGAGTGCAGTGGCGCAATCTTGGCTCACCGCAACCTCTGCTTCCCAGGTTCAAGCAATTCTCCTGCCTCAGCCTCCCGAGTAGCTGGGATTACAGGCTCCCGCCATCACATCCTGCTAATTTATGTATTTTTAGTAGAGACGAGGTTTCACCATGTTGACCAGGCTGGTCTCGAACTCCTGAGCTCAAGTGATCCACCCACCTCAGCCTCCCAAAGTGCTAGGATTACAGGCGTGAGCCACGACACTGAGCCTGCCCTACTTAGACTTCTTAAAGGCAGCTCCAGTGTCTGATTTGCTCATCACAGAATTCTCTATTCCTAGAATTGTGCCTGGTGTTTAAGAGGCCTAAACAGACATTCTTTAAATCAGGGGTTCCCAGCCTCCAGGTCATGGACTGGTACTGGTCCACCGTCTGTTAGGAACCAGGCCACACAGCAGGAGGTGATTGGCAGGCAAGCGAACAAGGCATCATCTGTATTTACAGCTGCTCTCCATCACTCGTATTCCCACCTGAGCTCTGCCTCCTGTCAGATCAGCGGCGGCATTAGATTCTCACGGGAGCACAAACCCTATTGTGAACTGCACGTGCGACAAATCTAGATTTTGCTTATGAGAATCTAATGCCTGATGATCTGTCACTGTCTCCTGTCACCCCCAGATGGGACCGTCTAGTTGCAGGAAAACAAGCTCAGGGGTCCCACTGAATCTACGTTATGGTGAGTTGTATAATTATTTCATTATATATTACAATGTAATAATAACAGAAACAAAGTGCACAATAAACGTAATGCACTTGAATCATCCTCAAACCATCCCCTGCACACACACACGCCATCCCTGGAAAAATTGTCTTCCACAAAACCAGTCCCTGGTGCCAAAATTGTTGGAGACCGCTGCTTTAAATGGATGGAATTAATGAATAAAGGTGCACTTTACAATGTAGGTTTTATTACTGTTTAGGTATGGCAAACCCAACAGACAACTGCCATTGGAAAGATATTTTGTTATACTCCCAGATCCCATAAGAAGGGGGCATGCCAGCTGGGCGCAGTGGCTCACACCTGTAATCTCAGCACTTTGGGAGGCCGAGGCAGGCAGATCATGAGGTCAGGAGATCGAGACCATCCTGGCTAACATGGTGAAACCCCGTCTCTACTAAAAACACAAAAAATTAGCCAGGCATGATGGCAGACGCCTGTAGTCCCAGCTACTCGGGAGGCTGAGGCAGGAGAATTGCTTGAACCCGGGAGGCGGAGGTTGCAGTGAGCCGAGATTGTGCCACTGCACTCCAGCCTGGGTGATGGAGCGAGACTCCATCTCAAAAAAAGAAAAGGAAAAAAAAAGCAGGGCGTGCCACACCATGGGGAACACACAAGAAAGCACCAGGGCTAGACTGAAGGCAGAGGGAGAGAGAGAAAAATGTGGACAAGAGCCTTTGTTGTGGTTTCTATAGGAAGGAATCAGGGAGACAGTGTTGGAATTGGCTGCTTTGAATAATTACAAGGGGTTCTGGGGTATAGGGGCTATCTCTAGCTATTTGGTACCTGGCCCTGGAGTTATTAGGACAGGGAGTGTGAGAGTCCAGTAAAGGAGATGGTTGGGAGGGGGGACTCTGGATTGGTTGGTTTGTATTTGAATAACCCTAGGAGGGCAGTCCCTCTAGAGTCAAGGAGGACCCAAGATGTCAAAGCATCAGAATACAGAAATAAAAGACATGGTTAATATAAGGGGCAAGACCCAGTACTTCATTCATACAAATGCCCCAGGGATTGGTCTTTCATACACACACACGTGCACACACAGACACAGACACACACATCCCTCCTAACCATGGGACTGCTGACTCAGAGAAAGAAGCCCCTGGGCAAGGGTTATTGAAAGAGGTATTCAAGTATGGTTCTCTACTTTCTTTCTAGGAACAGCATGAACACTTCATCCCTTTTGTTTCCTTTCTAACAGGGATATTAGGAAGAGTAACTACCTCCCCAGCTGGAAGCTGGTATATCTCGCAGCAGGGCTGGGCTTCTATTTCAGAAAGAACACGGCCACTTTGCTGGAACCAGAGCAGTGGCACAATCCGAATCCTGGCGGAGGGCAACAAGTCAGCTTCATGCTCAGAATCTGCTTCTCTGAAGGCCTCTGAATTACCAGGAAGAATCTAAGTACAAGCAGACATATTTCTCCCGGGCGTGGGGTGTGGGTCAGTGTTCTCAGTTGCAGACCACAGAATCTGCCCCAGCTAGTTTAAACAGAAAGGTATTTATTACGTGTTAAAGACAGATCACAGAATCACTGGAGGCCCTAAAGAAATAGACACTAGAATGAACCTTCCGGAAGGACTCCCAAAACCACAACACAGAACTGTGCAGCCAAGGGACCTTCTGCTTCTGCATGATCAAGAAGCTTCAGAAGCAGGAAGCTGCCACCCCAGCCACCTCCAGGAAACTACCTCCCAAACCAGGAAATCACTGGCAGCCTCCAGTTCCATACAGCCTCTACCACCATTGCTGCCACATTGCTCTCCCTACAAAATTCAACACCACATGCAGGTACATTTGGTTGGTTGAAAGTAATTGCCATTTTGTACAGTAGCTACAAGGGGGTATGGAAAATGCCATTTGTAGTCCTAGCCTCTCAATTAGAATGGATGTCAGTATACTAATCCATGTGTATACCACACATTGTTTGGTCCTTTCCCTGGGCCTGGTGTGTCCTTAGAGGATCAGAACATGTTTACTTTTTTTAAAAAAATTGTGAATTATTCAACAAAATTCTGTCCCTAAATCTCAGTGGCTATGGCTTGGCTGCCCATGGACCAACTTTCTAGATATTCAAGGCCAACCTGCCTAGATGTCTAAAGGTTACTGTGCTCCTATCTCCTGCTGGCATACACCATGGCTTCTTAGAACATACAGCCAAACATTTGTCCAAACTTCGGCCTGGCACAGTGGCTCACACCTGTAATCCCAGCACTTTGGGAGGCTGAGGTGGGCGGATCTCTTGATGTCAGGAGTTCAAGGCCAGCCTGGCCAACATGGTGGAACCCCATCTCTACTGAAAATACAAAAATTAGCCAGGTGTCGTGGCAGGTGCCTGTAATCCCAACTACTTGGGAGGCTGAGGCAGGGGAATCACTTGAACCTGGGAGGCAGAGGTTGCAGCGAGACGAGATCGTGCCACTGCACTCCAGCCTGGGTGACAGAGCGAGACTCTGTCCCCTCTCCCCACAAAAAAGGCCATGCATGGTGGCTCTTGCCTGTAATCCCAGCAGTTTGGGAGGTTGAGGTGGGCAGATCACCTGAGGTAAGGAGTTGAAGACCAGACTGACCAACATGGTGAAACCCTGTCTTTACTAAAAATACAAAAATTAGCCAAGTGTGGTGGGGTAGTCGCTTGAACCTGGGAGGCAGAGGTTGCAGTGAGCCGAGATCACACCACTGCACTCCAGCCTGGGTGGCAGAGTGAGACTCTGTCTCAAAAAAATAAAAAATAATAATACATTTTAAAAAATTGTCCAGCCGGGCGTGGCGGTGGCTCACGCCTGTAATCCCAGCACTTTGGGAGGCCGAGGCGGGCGGATCACGAGGTCAGGAGATCGAGACCGTCCTGGCTAACACGGTGAAACCCCGTCTCTACTAAAAATACAAAAAATTAGCTGGGCGTGGTTGCAGGCGCCTGTAGCCCAATTACTCAGGAGGTTGAGGCAGGAGAATGGCCTGAACCTGGGAAGCAGAGCTTGCAGTGAGCCGAGATCGCGCCACTGCACTCCAGCCTGGGAGACAGAGTGAGACTCCGTCTCAAAAAAAAAAAAAAAAAATTGTCCAAACTTCAATGAGAGATTGGGATTTCGCAGTATTTTTATCTAGAACATAACATTTCCCAGTTAGAGTAACCAGTACTGTCTGCTACGCCAGTGCAGGAGGCTTAGCAACTGTTCTTGATTTTCTCTGTTCCCTGAGGCTTATTAAATAGTTCTCCTAACTGGGAAGAAACACAGGTGGGAAATACCTTGTTGGTTTAGATAAAGGCTTAGAATTTATAAGCAAGAGCCCTAAGTTCAGATTCTGACTCTCCCATAATTTATATGTGTAATTTTGGTCAAGTCATTTATCTTCATGAAATATACATTTTCTCATCCCTAAAATGGGCCTTTATGAAGTAGCAACTACTTCATAAAGCTGTTGAGAAAAGCAAAAGAGATAATGTATCTAAAAATGTTATGTAAACTGAAAAAATATTGTCCTGAGCTAGTAATCAGGCTCTATCTCATGAACTAACTCTCATGAATTTTTTAGAGCTGTCTGGAGAACTGTGTTGAGAAGGATTCTGAGGGGTACATCCAGGTTTATTGGGAAAAAGTACTATTGTTGGGTAAAAATGCCTGCTGTGATTACCAGGGTTTGTTGGCATTGGAAGGGCACTGGTAAAGACGGTGTCACATATTTGACATTACCACTCTAGATAAGCAGGTGTTGTAATTAGCATCATAATGACAGAAGTCATCTGGAGCAGCCCTAAGAAGACAAAGAAGCAGCAGCAGCATTCAAGAAGCGGAATATCAGCTAAAAGAGAATGTAGCCTAAAGAAACAAATGACTTATTTTGCTGGATGAGGAGTTGGTTTCCCAAACAGCAAACTCCAAGCTGAGCCTTGGTGGGTTAGGAATAGAGCTGAACATTTAGCTCCTTCTCTACCTCCTTTGTGAGTTCCCATTCATCTGCCATTTCTCAAGTGTCCAGGCCAGGTCCTCTTCCATTGTCATGATGCCAACTTGCAGAGTAATCTTTTTTTTTTTTGAGACAAAGTCTCACTCTGTCGCCCAGCCTGGAGTGCAGTGGTGCAGTCTCCACTCACTGCATCCTCCGCCTCCTGGGTTCAAGCGATTCTTGTGCCTCAGCCTCCTGAGTAGCTGGAATTACAGGCGCCTACCACCATGTCCCACTAATTTTTGTATTTTTAGTAGAGATGGGGTTTCACCATGTTGGCCAGGCTGGTCTCAAACTCCTGAACTCAGGATATCTACCTGCCTCAGCCTTGGGATTACAGGCGTAAGCTACCGTGCCCAGCAGCAGAGCAGTCGTATCCACTCCCATGGCTTTAACCACCTCCATGAATATCTCTGCCCCAGATTTCCTAAGCTCTACAACTGCATATCCAAATGCTATCTGTACATTTATACTTCGCCTATATGAGACCAAGTGTCTAGTTGCAAGCAACAGAAAGCAACCTTCGTGAATTTACACAGAAAAAAAATGTTAAAAATATTAAATAGTTCACAGAATCTCTGAAAGGACACTAGGCAACACAGCAAAAAACGTCAAAGATCATGCCACAGAAGTGCCATCAGTGGACAAAGTCATAGAATCCTGGGCCACTAATATCACTGACATTGAATACTAGATGCTGCAGCTGGAATAGGTGCCATGCCAGCCTCAGAACACTGGCAGGACAAACTCTCCTGCTGCCTCCTTCACCTGAATGGATTCTGTATGCCATTAGCTTCCAAATCAAAGTCTGAGGGAGAAGTGTCTGAATGACAGTGACTAGGCCATGTGCCGGTGCCTTGGACGCAAGGAAATCTGAGAAAGTACGAGTTGGGCATTTTTCGCTTTATGGTGGGAGGTAGGCTCTGCCTTATAAAGTTTGCAAGAGGGTTTAAATGCTAGATGGCCCTTTTGGGCTAAGATGATATGGTGGAGCCACAAGAGGGAAGGAGTCTGGTCCCCTAAACCACCATGTCACCTTGTTGCCATGCTGATCTGAAATACCTGCATCGGATTGTCATGTGGAGCAAAACAAAAATAAAATAAAATAAACCCAAAACATCTATAGTGTTAAGCCACTGAAATTGTAGAATTTATTTCTTATGGCAGATAGCAGTATTATCTTAACTACCATAGTGGCCCAAAATCATTTTAAATTTCCACTTGATTGCCTCAGCAGATTCTTAAATTCAGGAGTCATCCTCTTTATCCTACACCTCCAGATTTGCTCTCCTTTGTTTCCAGCCTCCCTAGCCCTCAGTCAGAAGCTTGGCTGTCACCTTGCACTCCTCCCTCTGCTTCACCCCTGACATTCAATCAGAGACCAAATTCTGCAGATTCCTGCTGTCAATTCCCTCCTCAGCTTTTCCACTTTTACTGTCTTGGCCCATTCACCAATTCTCATCTCTTTTCTGCTCTGACTACTGGATCAGTCTCTGAATGTGTCCTTGCCTTTACTCTGCCTCAGCTCCAGTTCATTCATCCATTCATCCATCCATCCATCCATCCATCCATCCATCCAACCAACCATCCATCCAACCAACCATCCATCCATTCAACCATCCAAGCATTCATCCATCTAAACATCCAATCATCCATCCCATCCATCCAACCTTCCAATCATCTATCCATCAACCTATGCAATCATCTATCCATCAACCTATGCAATCATCTATCCATCCATCCCATCCATCCAACCATCATCTATCCATCCACTTAATTTATATGTATTAAATACATTACCAGGGGTTAGACAGTATAAATGTTATAATAAATGAGTCCTTGACAGAGGACCAAGTGTTGGGGAGACCAACGCTAATGAAATAGTCTCACTAATAAATATGTAATTACAGGTGCTATGAAAGAAAATTACAGGTTGCTGTGAGAACATCATAATGGGGCTCTGAACTGGTTAAGAGGTCAGGGACATCCTCCTTGAGGAGGTGACTTTTGAGCTGAGGTCTAAAGGCTAGAGGAGGTAAATTGGTCAAGGAGATGGGGACTATGATCTTTCAAGCAGAGGGAACAGTGAGTGTGAAGACTCTGAGGCAGGGAGGAGCTGGACACATTTGGGAAGCCAAAAGTCCAATGTGGTAGAAGAACCAGTCTTTTTTATCATGGTATTCCCAGGACCTAGCAGGGTGTCTGACACATAATAGGTGTTTCAAGAGCTTGTTGAAGGAGCCCATGAATGAATGAAGAGATGGGTGGTGGAGACAGATGGATAAAGAAATGGAACTGTAATCATGGCACAACGTACCACTGAAAAACAGAGCTGCAGCCTCCTTGCTGGTCTCCTTACTTCAGGTTTGGCCACCTCCAATCCCTACTCCACCCTATGGCCCCAGGAGCTTAGGCCATTATAGCACTTATCACACTGGATATAATTGACTGGTTATTGTCTCCCTCCTCCTCCATAATGAGCTCCACAGAAACTTGTTTACCAATAGAGTCCCAGCACCCAACCCACTGCCTGCAAAGAGGAAGCATTGCATATAAAAATTTAATGCGCTGGTAGGCATAGGAGGCAAACACCCAGCATCAAAGTCAATTGGGCAGGAGAGGGTGGAGTTGAGAATGAGTAAAACACAGTCAGCTGCCAGTGTCAGCCAGCACAGGAGGGGCTGAGAGCCAAGTGGAGCACTTACATGCCAGTGGCATTTGACAGTCATATATAGAGACAAGCCTAGAGCCTGCAGAGATGAGCAAGAAAGCAGGTGCAGGAGATGCAAGGAGGAGCTGCAGGGCAGGCCCACGTCAAACAGGGGATGGCATCCTTTTGGCCTTTAAAGAGCTTGGCTTACACCTGTCAGGTCACACAACGCCCTTCAAAAGAAGGCACCCATACCTCCTGACACTTAACTTCTTTTTTTTTTTTTTTCTTTGAGACGGAGTCTCGCTCTGTCACCCAGGCTGGAGTGCAGTGGCACGATCCCGGCTCACTGCAAGCTCCGCCTCCTAGGTTCATGCCATTCTCCTGCCTCAGCCTCCCGAGTAACTAGGACTACAGGCGCCCGCCACCACGCCCGGCTAATTTTTTGTATTTTTTAGTAGAGACGGGGTTTCACCGTGTTAGCCAGGATGGTCTGGCTCTCCTGACCTCATGATCTGCCCGCCTTGGCCTCCCAAAGTGCTGGGATTACAGGCGTGAGCCACCACGCCCAGCCTTAACTGCTTTTCCTACTGCATCTTGGCTGTGTGTGTGTGTGTGTGTGTGTGTGTGTGTGTGTGTGTGTGTGTGTATAATGCATCCCCTAGGAGGACATCCTGTTTCTAGCCTCTGCACCTTCCCAATGCCCAGCCCAGTGCCTGACTCAGTGCCTGAGTAAATGTGCGTTGGAGGAATGAACAGCCAGCAAAAGAGAGAAGACATTGGGCCTGGCAGCAAAGCAGCTGGAAGGGAGGCCCCTAAACAAACAGAGCCTCTGCCAGGAAATCTAACAAACGAGGCCCCATGGACGATTGTGAGTTGTTGTTTGAATGCTTCCTGTTTGCTGGCTTGAAACCAGACTTCCTACAGTGTCTATTCTGGTCCTCTCACTTTGACTTACCGCTTTTCAAAATGATCAGTTTCACCATTCATTCTGCCCTTTTGGCTCCTAGTTTCTGCAACAGACAGATTGAATCTTCATGCATTTATTCATGAAACACTTCTGGAGTCCCTATTATGTGCGATACACTAAGTCACCAGACTCAGGATTCTATGAGAGAACCTGGTGGGAAAGACAGCTACAAATAAAAATTCACAATCTAGAGTGATAAGAGAACGAAACACCAGGGTGACACTGGGGAGCAGACACTCACACCAAAATAATATATGATTGTGTTTTTCCTGAATTCATTTCCTCATATATGAGTGACTAATGAACAAGATTGGAGGTATTTGGGTCAGGAATGCCACTAATTGTTTCCCAAACACCCAGCTGTGTGGTCATTCAGGGCAGCTGGGAACAAACACCAGCCCAACAGTGTTCAAACTTCCAAGGACCAAGCCTGGGGGCTTTGCCACAGCACCAGCAATTACTCATTTGGCATGCGGCCACTCCTCACTCAGCCCCAAGGACCTCAGTCCTGCACTAGAGGGGTTTCCTGGGACAATGCTAAAACCAAACCAGTTCTGGGCAAACTGGGACAGTTGGTCACACTGAAGTCTGTGGGCTTTGCTGAACTTGCAGGTCTGCACACACGCCAGGACAGCTGGTCTGGATCGGGGATAATAGAGGGAGAGGCATTAACTGCTGCGTGGAATCTTAGCCTCAGCACCTGCCTCTCTAATCTGGCACCCTGCCAGCCCCAGCTCCTAAGATGCAGGCCACTCACACTTCCTGCCTGCTGACTCAGCCACACCTCGGCTGCTTAGTTAGTCCTGATGGAGGCAGGACAAGTGGCCTTGAGCCAGTGAGGAGGGTGGAGACCCTGCTGCTCTTCATCACTCTATCCTTAGCAGCTAGCATGGTACTCCATGGAGCAGGGGTTCACTAATGAATGAGTTAAGAGTGGTCTTATGGCCGGGCGCGGCGGCTCACGCCTGTAATCCCAGCACTTTGGGAGGCCGAGGTGGGTAGATCATGAGGTCAGGAGTTCGAGACCAGCCTGGCCAAGATGGTGAAACCCTGTCTCTACTAAAAATACAAAAATTAGCCAGGCATGGTGGCGCACGCCTGTAGTCCCAGCTACTTGGGAGGCTGAGGCAGGAGAATCACTTTAACCCAGGAGGTGGAGGTTGCAGTGAGCCGAGATCGTGCCATTGCACTCCAGCTTGGGCGACAAGAGTGAAACTCTGTCTTAAACAAAACAAAACAAAACAAACAAACAAAAAAAAGAGTGGTCTTAGTCTCTCTCTGTTCAGTGGGGCTTAAAGCCTCTGACTCCTGCCATGTACTCCCCTCTACCCGCCTCCTAAATTCTCTTCTGTTGCAACTGAAATACGGGACACCAAGACCCCAGGGACCAAGCCAGAAAATGCATGCTGCCTGAAACCCAGCCGTTTCTCACTTTCCCACTCCATGGGGACTCTTTTAAGGCTGCGCAGGCCCCTTTGGCCAATATCTGACTGCCGCCTGCCCCCTTCCCCCCTGAAGTGGCCTTGCCTTTTGCCTGCCAGACTTCCCATGTGCTGGAGTTTCCTGGGCAGATCTCCGGCATGTTGGCTGCTCCACCGCCCACAGCCTCGGGTCTGGCAGCTGCCTAGATGGGGATCCTATGTTTTACATACGCCTCCTGGGAAATCTGCATGCTGACTTTTCTGACCTTCTGAGCTGACAATGCTTTTGGGTTCTATCCCCACCCCACCCATCTGCACCCTCAGGGTCAGTCACCATCAGTCGGGTGATGAGGAGGAAAACAAGGTATTAAGGGAAGTTCCAATCTTTTATTTTTCCCCCATCAACACATTTACCATCAGCTAGCACCTGAGTCCCTGGAGAGCTGTGAGGAGGGTGTAGGAGGATCACGGGGCTATTTGTAGACACAGCCTCAGAGCTGGAGGGAACTGTCTGGGTCACTGAGCCCAGCCTCCCACCTGAGCAGGAAAGCAAACTTGCTGTACTCTGTCGATAAATGGGCCTTAAGCTTTTGCTTGAATCTGCCTTCATGGGTGGCTCACTCCCTTTCTGGGGTGTGGTTCATGGTTAGATTGTGCCTACTGTTAGGATGTTTTCCCTATATCTCTTGTAGTAAAATGAGCCCCTTGTTGTACATGTCAAATTCCAATGTTGCACTCCTGGATTCTGGTAAGCTTACCCTGTCGGTACCACTGTGGGTTGAGATGAGATCTCCCACTAAGGATGGGATGTTTCCCATCATTGATCCATTGTATCAATCAGGATCCCGACAGGTGCACTCAAGTTAGGATAACATGAGGAAGATTTATTTTCAAAAGGACTACTTACCAACTTATGGGTGGGATAGACAGGAACCCCAGAGACAGTGCAGTGATCTGCCTTCACTAGCAGTGGAGATCTTACTTGTTAGGCCTGATGGATCAGGGGACAGACTGGTAGTTTCTGGAACCCACAAAGTGGAGTCATGTATAGGAGCTGTCTATCAGAACCACCTAGGGGCTTTCCAAATGCACTCTCCACTCCCAGACTCCCCAGGAGAGTTTCCTAGAGCAACAGGGAATGCAGGCTGGTTATCAGGGCCTGTGAAGCAAAGAAGCTGCATTTCATCACCAGATGTGAAGGCTGAGTTTGGGGCTAAGAAAGAGCAAAGTTGGAGGGGTTAGGACTCAGGCAGGCACTGGCCTGGGGCAGGGAGCCTGGGCAAAGCACAAATGTGGCCTGTGAGAGGCCCTGCAAATGAGATGAGCACCTGGGGCCTATTGTTGCAGTTGACCTCTGGCCTGGCCAGGGCCTGTGTTGCTCCCCAAGATTTCTTTGCCACCCCAGACTCGGGATCCATTTCCTTGAGTAACAGACGGCTCCTGTTCTCCTCACTTGAGAGTTCTTTTGTCTGACTGGACTCTTCCTTGTTTTTGTCAGTTCAGATGAGTGACCTTGTTCAGCTGAAGTCTTTTCTTTGGGCCTGGGGCCAACTTTTCTTGGGGCCCACCTGCTGCCCAGTTCCTCTATGATCCAGCTCTAATGCTTCCCAAATTATAAGGTGAATAAAAATCCTTAAGGACCTTGTCAAAATGACAACACTGATTTAGTAGGTCCTGGTGGGCTCAGAGATGCTACATTTGTAGCAAGCACTCAGATAATACTGATGCTGCCCGTCCACACACCACACTTTGAGTAGCAAGCCTTGAACCCAGTGGTTCTCAATTCTTGGCTGGAATGAGCTTGAGCTCATCTGGAGCACATGGTGAAAACACAAAGGCCCAGGCCCTTGTGTACTCCAATGAGCCTGGACCTCAGCCAGCTGCATTAGCTCTCAAGGTGATTCTCATATACATTAGGGTTTCAGAACCATTGCTGGGCCTCTAGTGTGTTGCAGGTGGCTGGCCTGATTGGGTAGCATTGGTTGCCAACTGCATTTAAGGCCCTGGCACAACTCCCTGCCAAGACTTCCTGGAAGGCTCTTTCCCTAAGGGTGGCTTTATGTTGTCATTCCTTGACATTATGGGTCTCCTGTAGTCCCCCTCATCACTCTCCAACAATAGGTCCCTTTCCTTAAAGCTCCAGGTCAGTGCTGACACTGGATGTCCCCATTGCCTATAGCAGTGTTAGCAAACTATGGCCCACAGGCCAAACCAGCTGGCCACCTGTTTTGTAAATAATGTTTCATTAGAACAGTCATGCTCATAAATACAAATACAAAAATGCTCCCATCCCCTTTGCAAATAGCATGATCAGGAAAATTGTCTCCCTTTGAAATATAACTTCCTATGAAGCTCCTATTAACCAGAGCTTTGAGAGCATGGCATGTGCCCAGTGTTGAGGACACAAGGCTAGGCCACAGATAATGAACTCTTCCCCAGCAACCCCTGCAATGACCCTCCTCCCTGGGGGTCTGTGGATACTTCCCCTGCCTCCTTCTCCCCTATTTACATGCCAGGGCTAAGAGGGTGATAGACAAGCGTGAAACAAAATTACTTTCCATGTGAAACAGGCTACCCTACTTTGGCTGCCAAATGAAAATGCGAAAAGGTTCAAAAATACAGTTTCTTGATGGATTGAAGATTGTGGAAACGGTGAGAAGGAAATGAGGCGGCCACTAGGGAAGCCCAGAGGAGATGTGGTGAGGCACCTAACATCCCCCTCTTCTACAAACCTTCAACCCCAGCTGGGATGCACAGTAAGAAAATTCAAGCTTCTTGGCCCGGCACGGTGGCTCACGCCTGTAATCCGAACACTTTGGGAGGCTGAGGCAGGCGGAGTACCTGAGCTCAGGAGTTTGAGACCAGCCTGGGCAACACGGTGAAAACCCGTCTCTACTAAAATACAAAAAAAAAAATTAGCTGGATGTGGCAGCGTGCACCTGTAGTCCCAGCTACTCGGGTGGCTGAGGCAGTAGAACTGCTTGAACCCAGGAGGCAGAGGTTGCAGTGAGCCGAGATCGCGCCACTGCACTCCAGCCTGGGCAACAGAGCGAGACTCTGTCTCCAAAAAAAAAAAAAAGAAAATTAAAGCTTCTTTTAGGCCTCCCGTCATTGCAGCAACTGCACTGTCAAAGGTACAGCATCATCATCTGACCCAACAACCTCCAGGTAAGATATAGCAAGGATCCTCAGCCTGGGACTTGGCTCCATCCAATGCTTTGGAAGGGGAATCTGGCTTGACATTACAGGTCTCCTGCAGGCTCCCTCATCACTCTCCGATGATGGGTCTCCTTCCTCAAAGCTCCAGGTCATTGCTGACATTGGTTGACCCTGCTGCCTAGAGCAAACTATGGCCCATGGGCCAAACCAACCATTTTGTAAATAATGTTTTACAATAATGTATCTACAAAATAGCACCTATTTTGTAAATCACGTTTCAATAGAATACAGTCATGCTCATTTATTTATATCAGACCTCCCTCCCCCCAGTTACATTTTGGGTTGTGACAACTGAGGAGTGCTACTGGTATCAACTGGGTAGAGACTAGGATGCTGCTAAATATCCTACAGTTCACAGGACAGCCTTCATAACAAACAATGATCCAGCCTCAAATGTCAGCAGGCCAAGGTGGACAATACCTTGTGTATTGTTTATGGCTGCTTCTGAGCTAAAATGGGAGAGTCGAGTAGATGTGACAGAGATCACATGACCTGCAGAGCCTAAAACATGTTCTATTTGGATTTTGTACTAGTCAGGGTTTTCCATAGAAACAGAACCAATAGGATAGAGAGAAAGGAAGAAAAAAAGAGAGAGAGATTTAAGGAACTGGCTCATGTGATTATGGAGGCTGGCAAGTCCAAAGTCTGCAGGGTGGACTGGCAGGCTGAAGACCTGGGAAGAGCCAAGGTTGCAGTTTGAGTCTGAAGGCTGTCTGCTGCAGGATGCCTTCTTCCTCAGGGGAGGTCAGTCTTTGTACCATTCAGTCCTTTGACTGATTGGATGAGGCCTACCAACATTGTGGAGGGCAACCAACTTTACTCAAAATCCACTGATTTCAATGTTAATCTCATCCAAATGTACTCTCACAGAAACATCCAGAATAATGTCTGACCAAATATCTGGGTACTGTGGTCCAGCCAAATTGACACATAAAATTAACCATCAAAGCCAGGCGCCGTGGCTCACACCTGTAATCCCAGCACTTTGGGAGGCCAAGGTGGATGGACTGCGAGGTCAGGAGTTCAAGACCAGCCTGGCCAATATGGTGAAACCCTGTCTCTACTAAAAATACAAAAATTAGCTGGGCGTGATGGTGCGCGCCTGTAATCCCAGCTACTTGGGAGGCTGAGGCAGAAGAATCACTTGAATCCAGAAGGTGGAGGTTGCGGTGAGCTGAGATTGCATCACTGCACTCCAGCCGCGACAGAGCAAGACTCTGTCTCAAAAAAAAAAAAAAAAAAAATTAACCATCAAAGGCTTTTACAGAAAAAGTTTGTAGAACCCTCGGAGTCCCACCTCACCAGAGCTGAAGACTTGTTGGATTAACCTCATGAGAGGATTTTAGGTGGGCGTGACTTTGGATGTCAAGGAGAATGGAGAGTAAGCTGTGATCAGAACGCTGTGGTCATGCCTCCATGGCTCTAGCTGACTCCCCCAAGGGCAAAGTCCACCCTGACCCTCCCCTATGGACACAGTCCTTAGTTTACAATGTAATTTCACATTTTTTTTTTATTTGAAACGACCCTTTAAGGTAGAGTCCGGGGAGATGATACTGTTTCACTGATAAGCAAACTGAGGCCCAGAGAGGTGAGGTAATACCACACAGGGAGTTCGGGTGAGAATGGTGATCTCCTGGTTCCCAGTTTGGTGTTCTTGGGAATCACAATTCACTCTAGGGTGACCAACTGTTCTGTGTTGCTGTTGTTGTTGTTGTTGTTGTTTGAGATGGAGTCTTGCTTTGTCACCCAGGCTGTAGTGCAGTGGCACGATCTTGGCTCACTGAAACCTCCGCCTCCTGGGTTCAAGAGATTCTCCTGCCTCAGCTTCCCGAGTAGCTGGGACGACAGGCATTTACTACCACGCCCGGCTAATTTTTGTATTTTTAATAGAGACGGGGTTTCACCATGTTGGCCAGGCCAGTCTCGAACTCCCCACCTCCCGACCTCAGGTGATCCACCCACCTTGACCTCCCAAAGTACTGGGATTGCAGGGGTGAGCCACCGTGCCTGGTCCTGTTCTGGTTTTTATAGGCCCAAGAGATTTCCTGGAATGCAGGATTTTAGGTGCTAAAACTGGGGAAATCTGAGGCAAACTGGGACAAACTGATCACCCCACTTTGCCACCTCATGGATGTCTGACCTCAGTTACCCTAGCACTAAGTAGAATTAGCCAGCCAGGAGCTCAAGGCCCTGGGGAGACCCCTCAGTTAGGTGTGATGTGAGCAGACTGCCAGCACGGGCACCAACCGGTGTGTGTCCCTTTTCTCCAAACTCGAGAACAGAAATGTGATGGCAGCTTGAAGGGGGCTGGAAGGAGCTCTAGAACCCAGAGGTGAGACCTGCCTCAGCCTGCACCCCCTTTAGCAGCCAATGCCCCTGCTTGCCCCTAAGTTTCTCCATCTCTAAAATGATGATCTTTGGGTGCACCTAATAAATATTTACATTTTTACATTATACTTTCTTCTAGCACCGGAACTAATATTCATTCATTATCATAGACTTGGGGGGAATAAAAAGAGGAAAAAAAAAAGTTTTAACATCTAAATTTCCACTAATTCTAGTTTTTCCTAGATTTTTTTTCCATGTACAAAATTTATGCTTACTTTCACTCACTAGTGATTATACTATACAATTTTATTAGGTTTTTCCTTTTTTTATAACCTTTTCGTTTTTAAAAAAATTCTTACTAGATTATAAAATTGGTGAAAATATGAAAAACACATGAATAAAAAAGCCAATAGTAATCATCACCTATAATGCCACATATGTAAATATATATATACATATATAAATATATACACGTGTATATATAAATATAAACATCTATTTTCCTAGGCATATATGTGTTTACATTTATACGTGTATGTGTGTATATATTTAAATATGTATATATATTTACAAATAGGAGATAGTTATAGATATTTTAAAATACACATATATATACACAATACATGTGTTTATATAAACACATACTTTATGTATCTGTTTATAATTTATTTTTATTATAAAATTAATATATTTTCATTAGAAAAAATTCAAACACTCATAAATAAGCTTTCTCTTAGCCTCAAAACCATCCCTCAGAGATAATAACCCCTATTTTCAATTTGGTATCTATCTTTACAGGCATTTATTTCATTTGTAGGTATACATGTGTCTACATTTTTAACACAGATAGGATCTTAACATAGTACTGTTCTGTGACTTGCCTTTTCACTTAAAATATTATTGGCATATTCATAGAATGTTCTCTCCTGCTTTATTCACTTAACTTTCAAAGATAACTTCTAGACTTTTTATAAACTGAAGTATTTTACTGAATGGCTATAGTTGTTAAACCTCACTTTGGCACTTCTTTGTTATTTCTGATTTTAACTTATTTTTTAAATTACACAAGTAGTATGTAGATACATTCACATTAAAAAAAATTCAAACTATAAGGAAGAGGCCAGGCGCAGTGGCTCACACCTGTAATCCCAGCACTTTGGGAGGCTTAGGTGCCTCGATCACCTGAGCCCAGGAGTTTGAGACCAGTCTGGGCAACATGGCGAAACTCCATCTCTACTAAAAATACAAAAAAACTAGCAGGGTATTGTAGTATGCACCTGTACTCCCAGCTATTCTGAAGGCTGAAGTGGGAGAATTGCCTGAGCCCAGGAGGCAGAGATTGCAGTGAGCTGAGATCCCACCACTGTACTACAGCCCAGGGGATAGAGCCAGACCCTCTCTCAAACAAACAAACGAATTCAAACTATAAGGAAGAAAAGAGAGCAGTTTGCCTTCCTCTTTTCCCCACCCATATTCCTGTCCAGCAATAGCCACTGTAACAGTCTCTCTTCTATGCATTTACATATATGAACATATTTATCTACTGGATTCACACAGTACCTATTGTTCTGCAACCTGCCTTTTACATACACGTAGAAATCTACAGAGCCTTCACCGGCCTATTCAATGCCTTTACTGGATTTAGAAAAAGGCACTCCTTTATCAAATAAGTATTTTTTAAGTTAGCACAATCTGATTAGCTCTGCCAAGGGTGCTTTCCAGAGTGTGGCCTGGCTCTGGCATGGCCTGGCTGTGCACCACACTCTCATCCACTTATACTCTGAACTCCCTGAATGCCAGTGTGCTTGAGCCTCCAAAGAGGGCACAGTCCACCTCCACATGAGGAATCCATGTCAGATTTGGAGTTAGGCAGGAGGCAGGGATTGGAGCAGCAGGTGAATAAGAGGAGATTTCAGTGGGCTCCTAGAATACATGTGGGACTGGTTTTAACTACATATGCATGTGTGTGCTGGTGAGTGTGAGTGCATGCTCTGCTGAGTGTGTGCATGGCTATGTGTGCCGGTACTAAACTACATGAGCACAAGCAAGCTCTCACATCTCAGTATATGTCTAAGATGTCAATGAAGTTCCCTTGTGCAGTGAACAACCTAGACAGCAGTAGGCAGCATCCCTGGAGATGGACTTGTTTTTAACAGCTACATAGCAATGCATAAAATGGCTGTATCATAATTTAGCTAGGTGTTCCCTTTTTGATGGATATTTAGCTTCCCTCCCTCCCTCCCTCCCTTCCCTCTTTTCCTCCCTCCTTTCTTCTCTCACTCCCTCCCTCTCTCCCACCTTTCCTACTTCCCTCCCTCCCTCTTTCCTTCCCTCCTTCCCTCCCTCCCTCTCTCCTTCCTTCCTTCCCTCCCTCCCTCCTTCCTTCCTGTCTACCAACCTGTCTATTGTTATTACAAACAATGGTGTTAGGAATTTCTCTGCACTCACTTCTTTGAGTATTTCTGTAGCCTAGACTACTAAAAGCACAATTACTAGGTCAGAGGTAGGTGCACTTAAATTTTAAAAACTATTGCCTTCTAGTATTTTTATGCCCCAAACTGAATGACTGACAGTCCTTGTTTCATCATGACCTTTCTGGCTTTAAGTATAGTTAAAACAATTTTCTAGCTTTGAAGGCAAGGTATGGTATCTCATTGTTTGTTTCCTTTGCATTTCTTTGCTTACTAGCTAGATTGAACATGTTTACCACTTTGTTTGCCAATTACTTTTGGTTGCTTGCTAATTATCTGTTTGTGTCCTTACTCATTTATCTATTGCAAAAGACCAACTACTTTTAGCCATGACTGGATTAGATAACTAATTAGATAACTTATTGTTTACTAAGCATTTTTTTTGTGCCAGACACTATGCTAAGCACTTTGCACAGACTATTTTTCATTTAATTAACTTAGCGAAGAAGATATTGTTATCTCCACTTTAAAGATAAGAGACTAAGGCTTAGAGAACTAGAACAACATAGATCACTCACCTGGGTGAGTTGAAGGTGCCACAGTTTGAGCCCAGCACTGACTACTCAGTCCTCTAACCACTCAGTTGTATTGTCACAAGGGTGTCTTGAAACTTCTTTAACATGTGATTTGTTGACTGATTCATTCATTTAATGAACACTGATTTCCCACACTGGGGCAAGCACATATCTGCCTGGCACCCAGGCCACAGTGGGTTTGCAAGGTGCTACCTATAAGCTCTACACATATAGTGTGGCATGAATGCTAAGCTTTGGACTGATAGGGACAAGCAGAGGGAGCTGTTACTAGAACCTGGAAAGAGTGGCTGGGTGGAAAAGGCCATTGACAGGAGAATGGCTTTGGTAGAAGAGTGTCACCAATCTTTTATGACCAGCAGCACTAGAACCAGAATAAACACCTATCCTGACACTCCTCCCTCCCTCCCATCTCCTGCCAGTGCTTCCCATGCACCAGACACCACTGGAGGCTAAAGGACAAGGATATTCACTGAGGAAGTCCATTTGGGTCAGCCTCTCAGGGTACAGAGTTGGGGAGGGCATGATAAAATATATCTAGGCTGGTTGTGGTGGCTCACGCCTGTAATCCCAGCACTTTGGGAGGCTGAGGAGGGCGGATCACTGGAGGTCAGGAGTTTGAGACCATTCAGGACAACATGATGAAAACCTGTCTCCACTAAAAATACAAAAATTAGCCAGGCATGGTGGGAGGTGCCTGTAATCCCAGCTACTCAGGAGGCTGAGGCATGAGAATTGCTTGAACCTGGGAGGCAGAGGTCACAGTGAGCCAAGAACGTGCCACTGAACTCCAGCCTGGGAGACAATGAGGCTCTATCTCAAAAAAAAAAAAAAAAAAAGAAAGAAAGAGAAAGTATATCTAGAGGGACAAACAGAAGACATCCATCACCTCGTCTTCTGCACGTGTGGTGGATTCCCAGCAATAGCTGGGGATCCAACCATTTTGCTCACTGGACCAGGTACACCTTAATAGTGGCCACTTGTGGGATCTACTGGGCCAAGGCCTAGACAAGGCAGGTCACTGATGCAAGTTCATTGGAGAGAAAATGGGTTTGCAGGGGTGTTTATGGGGTTACTGGGAATTTTACTCTTTTAATTTATTTTAACTTTTAGGTTCAGGGGTACATGTGCAGGATTGTTATATAGGTAAACTCACGTCGCAGGGGTTTGTTGTACACATCACTTCATCACCCAGGTACTAAGCCTAGTACCCAATAGTTACATTTATTTATTTTCGAGACAGGGTCTTGCTATGTTGCCCAAGCTGGAGTGCAGTGGCACAAACATGGCTCACTGCAGCCTTGACCTCCCAGGCTCCCAAGTAGCTAGGACCTCAGCTCCCAAGTAGCTAGGACCACAGGTGTGTGCCACCATACTTGACTACTTTTTTAATTTTTTAATTTAGCAATATGCATTTAAATTCATCCATCTTTTCACATTTTGATAGCTCACGTCTTTTTATTGTTGGATACTATTCCATTGTACAGATATATCACACTGTATGCATCCATTCACCTATTGAAGAGCACCTTGGTTGCTTCCAGTTTTCGGCAATTTTGAATAAAGTTGCCATGAACATTTGTTTGCAGTTTTTTGCATGGATAGACATTTTCAAATCAGTGGGGTAAATACCAACAAGCGTGATTGCTGGATCATACGGTAACTCTATGTTGATCTTTGTAAAAAAATTGCCGAACTCCCTTCTAGGTGGCTGTATAATTTTGCATTTCCCATCAGCCATGAATGAGAATTCCTGTTGCTCCACATTTTTGCCAGAAACTTGTGTTTTAGGTTTTTGGATTTTAGCTATTCTAATAGGTGCATAATGATACCTCTTGTTTTAATTTGCATTTCCCTAATGACAAATGATGTTGGACATTTTTTTCCATATGCTTATTTGCCATGTGTATATATTATTCTTTGGTAAAGTATCTATTCAGATATTTCACTCTTTTTTTTTTCGAGACGGAGTCTGGCTCGGTCGCCCAGGCTGGAGTGCAGTGGCGCGATCTCGGCTCACTGCAAGCTCCGCCTCCCGTGTTCAGGCCATTCTCCTGCCTCAGCCTCCGAGTAGCTGGGACTACAGGCGACAGCCACCTTGCCCAGCTAATTTTTTGTATTTTTAGTAGAGACGGGGTTTCACTGTGTTAGCCAGGATGGTCTCGATCTCCTGACCTTGTGATCCGCCCGCCTTGGCCTCCCAAAGTGCTGGGATTACAGGCGTGAGCCACCGCGCCCGGCCTAAAGTAGTATTTAAATCAATTAGAAGCCATAAGAAAGAGTAGAATTGATAAGTAAATACAAGATGGTGGCTGGGTGTGGTGGTTCATACCTGTAATCCCAGCATTTTGGGAGGCTGAGATAGGAGGATTACTTGAGCCCAGGAGTTTACAACCAGCCTGGGCAACTAGGGAGACCTCGTCTCTACAAATAAAAATAAAAATAGGCCGGGTGCTGTGGCTCACGCCTCTAATCCAAGCACTTTGGGAGGCCGAGACAGGCATATCAGCAGGTCAGGAGTTCAAGACCAGCCTGGCTAGCATGGTGAAAACCCGTCTCTACTAAAAATCCAAAAAATTACCTGGGCGTGGTGGTGCACGCCTGTAGTCCCAGGTACTCGGGAGGCTGAGGCAGGAGAATGGCTTGAACCCAGCAGGCGGAGGTTGCAGTGAGCCGAAATCACACCACTGCACTCCAGCCTGGGCAACAGAGCAAGACTCCGTCTCAAAAAAAATAAAATAAAATATAAATAAATAAAAATAAGTTACCTAGGCAAGGTAGTGTGAGCCCGTGGTCCCAGCTACTCAGGAAGCTGAGGTGGGAAGATCACTTGAGCCAGGGAGTTCGAGGCTGCAATAAGTCTGATTGCATTACTGCACTCCAGCCTGGGTGACAGAGTGAGATCCTGTTTTAAAAACAAACAAAAAAAAAGATGAAACTTTTTTTTTTTTTTTTTTTTTGATACGGAGTCTGGCTCTGTCACCCAGGCTGGAGTGCAGTGACGCCATCTCGGCTCACTGCAAGCTCCGCCTCTCAGGTTCACGCCATTTTCCTGCCTCAGCCACCCGAGTAGCTGGGACTACAGGCGCCCACCACCACGCCTGGCTAATTTTTTGTGTTTTTAGTAGAGACGGGTTTTCACCATGCTAGCCAGGATGGTCTCGATCTCCTGACCTCATGATCCACCCGCCTCAGCCTCCCAAAGTGCTGGGATTACAGGCGTGAGCCACCACGCACAGCCTGAAACATTTTTAAAAAGATAACATAAACAGATAATCCTTTGAATCCTAGTCAAGGAGCAGGAATAATTACAATTAGAATGAAGAAAGGGCTATACAATTAGGTATAGGATAGTTCTATGTGTTGAGAACAGCTAGCCTGGCCATCACAATAATGCTGTTAGATGTCCTGCCTGAATGAACCCAGTGGGATGTTCCCTGAGAGGCATTATGGGGCAGCATTCCCTATCCTCATTTGGTTACTGTATCAAGTGCTTGGTTTTGCATCTCAGAATGCTGATTTTGTCATCAGATCCATTTCTCAGGCAGACTCACAATAGCCAAGTTCATAAGACTGATGTATAAATCTAAGTACCAATTTATAAATTAAAAATGAGAAATATAACTGAGGCTGGAAAACAGCCCAATCATATTAATCACAACAAAGGAAGTCTGTTAGATAAATTGAGCATTTCTAATAACAAGACATCCTTGTGAAGAATGTAAACTAGATAAAAATGTTCATTTTACAATAAGGATCACCTTGTCAGCTGGACCAGCATATGTGAAATTCAGCCACTGAAACTGCCTATCCCCTGGACCGTGCTGAGATGAACACTGCTGATTATTGCATCTCTGACTCTCCTTTGTCTCTGCTTCTACGAGGACCAACCTTCCCCTCTTTATGATTGACACTGGCTTGTTTCAGATAGGTCAGTGCATTCTAAAGGCAAATGAACAACGGCAGTCCTAGGAGCCGCTCCATCATTTTAGTTACAGAGCTCATGGACATAGATCCATGGTCTGCAGACAGGTTCTGGGAGATACGGGAACTTTCTAAACTAGATGGAAAGCTTTACATATAGTTTTTGCAGTTTTCTAAGGAGAGAATCTACAGGCTTCATGAGACCCTCAAAGAGGCCCACAAACTAAAAACAACAATTAAAATCTTCAAACATCTCTACTGTGATCTTTTTGAGTTGGGTTTGCAGTTTAATTCTCAGTAATTTTATCCTCATGCTCAGAAGAAACTCACATTTGCCCCAGGGTGCTGACAGCACAAGTATATATTAACAAATAAATTTGAGGCCAGGTGCAGTGGCTCACGCCTGTAATCCCAACACTTTGGGAGGCCGAGGTGGGCAGATCACAACAAGGTCAGGAGTTCAAGACCAGCCTGACCAACATGGTGAAATCCTGTCTCTACTAAAAATACAAAAATTAGCCGGTATGGTGGTGCATGCCTGTAATCCCAGCTATTCAGGAGGCTGAGGTAGGAGAATCGCTTCAACCCGGGAGGCAGAGGTTGCAGTGAGCTGAGATCACACCACTGCACTCCAGCCTGGGTGACACAGCGAGACTCCATCTCAGAAAAAAAACAAAAACAAAAACAAAACAAATAATTTCAATGAAATAGGCAAATTTCTATAAAAATACATACTATCAAAATTGATAAAACATGGAGTGAAAAACCTGACTGGACCAGTAAGTCAGGCAGAGACTGAGAACGTTTTCAAGCATAATGTTGGAAAGCAATCTCACACATGGAAATATGTAGTATGGAGAATGCAAGCATCATGGGGAAGACTGGAAATCATAAACATACTCATTTCTGGAACTGTCTATGGGCCCATGGGGCAAAGCAATGGGTATGCCTGCATCCAATCATCTTAAAGTATAGGGGGAACTTGGGACCTGGAGAACAGGGGAGAAGGATTTAGTCCAAGTGAGCCTTTGAGTCCATCTTGCCTTGCTTGCTGCTGGTGGAGGGAGAGTATTTGAATACTAACCCTTTCAGGAGCAGATCTTTTCAGACCCTTCCTGTCTTGCCCAGAGGAACTACTGCTAAACAAGAGAACACACATGAGTAAGACTGCCGGGGACACCAGCGGATGAAGCAACAGAACTAACAACGAAACAAACAGCATAGACTCCCATGCTGACTTAGTTGGCATTCTGGTTTTCTCTCTCTGAGCATAAGTATCCTTTGGCCTGAGTAAATTTCCTGGAATTATCATAAAAGGGAGGATAAAAGAGGGTAAGGGAAGGTAAAATGGGAGTTTAGAATCATTTAACGTAAGCTCATTTGATACTACTGATGAATTGGGCTACATCAGGTAGATATAGATGAAAAATCTAAACTAAAACATTAACAGATGTAATTAAACAACATAATGAAAGAAAAACTCACTATAGTTGTGCTAAGCATATCAATAATACAAGAAAAATTCAATAAGTAAGCCTATTAATATACTACTTTAAAACTATAGATCAAATATAAAAATGATCATCTTTGACCAGGCATGGTGGCTCACACCTGTAATCCCAGCACTTTGGGATACTGAGGCGGGTGGATCACAGGGTCAGGAGTTCGAGACCAGTCTGGCCAACATAGTGAAACCCTGTCTGTACTAAAAACACAAAAATTAGCCGGGGATGGTGGCACATGTCTGTAGTCCCAGCTACTCGGGTGGCTAAAGCAGGAGAATCGCTTGAACCCGGGAAGCGGAGGTTGCGGTGAGCCGAGATCGTGCCACTGCACTCCAGCCTGGGCGACAAAACAAGACTCCGTCTCAAAAAAAAAAAAAAAAAAAAAATCATCTTTATGGAAGGGAAAAATCAGTCAATACAATTCAATAGCCATTTCTAACAAAAATTAATTATAAAAATAGATGGTACCTCTTTAGCATCACTTTTTTAAAAATTGCAATAAAATATACAGAGCCCAAAATTTACCATCTTAACCATTTTTAAGTGTACAGTCGGTGGCATTAAGGACATTCACTTTCTAGTGCAGCCATCACCGCCATCTATCTCCACAATTCTTTTCATCTTGCAAAACTGAAACTCTGTACATATTAAACAATGACTGTCCATTCCTCCCTCCCCTCAGCCCTTGGCAACCATCATTCTACTTTCTGTCTCTATGAATTTGATAACTCTAGGTACCCCATCTAAACAGTCATACAGTATATGTCTTTTTGAGACTGGTTTATTTCGCTTAGCATAATGTCCCCCAGGTTCATCAGTGTTGTTGTATGTGTCAGAATTTCCTTCCTTTTTAAGGTGGAATAATATTCCATCTCATACATATACACCACATTTTGTGTATCCATTCATCTGTCAATGGACACAGGATGCTTCCACCTTTTGGCATTGTGAATAATGCTGCTTGAATATCCGTGTATAAATATCTCTTTGAGACCCTGCTTTCAGTTCTTTTGGTTATATGCCCAGAAGTGTAATTGCTGAATCATACAGTAATTCTAATTTTTTGTGGCTGCACTATTTTACACTCCCACCATCAGTGCATAAGAGTTCCAATTTCTCCACATCTTTGCCAACACTTATTGTTCTGTTTATATAGTAGTCATCCTTGGAACACATTATTATTATTATTTATTATTATTATTATTATTATTATTATTATTATTATTATTATTATTTTGAGACAGAGTCTTGCTCTGTCGTCCAGGCTAAGTGCACTGGCGCAATCTCGGCTCACTGCAACCTCCGCCTCCCGGGCTCAAGCAATTCTCCTGCTTCAGCCTCCCAAGTAGCTGGGACTATAGGCGCACGCCGCCACACCCAGCTAATTGTTTTTGTATTTTAGTAGAGACGGGGTTTCACCATGTTGCCCAGGCTGGTCGCGAACTCCTGAGCTCAGGCATTCCGCCTGCCTTGGCCTCCCAAAGTGCTGGGATTACAGGTGTGAGCCACCGCGTCTGGCCAGAACACATTTTTTTTTTTCTTTTTGAGATGGAGTCTCGCTCTGTTGCCGAGGCTGGAGTGCAGTGCCTGCGATTTCGCTCACTGCAACCTCCGCCTCCCAGATTCAAGCGATTCTCCTGCCTCAGCCTCCTGAGTAGCTGGGACTATAGGCGTGCGCCACCATGCCCAGCTAATTGTTGTATTTTTAGTGGAGAGGAGGTTTCACCATGTTGGCCAGGATGGTCTAAATCTCTTGACCTCGTGATCCACCCACCTCGGCCCCCCAAGGTGCTGGGATTACAGGTGTAAGCCACCACGCCCAGCCGAGAACACAATTTTTTAAAAAGACATTTATTCCAAATAAATCAGCATTTGCCAGAAACTAGTCTATAATGGAATGTCATATCAATATTATCATATCAACAACATGATATATCGATCAATATTGTCATATCAATAATATCAATATTATTTAATTTTGCTTTAAAATTCTGGCTACATCAGTAAGACATGAAACATAAATAAAAATATAAATATTTTAAAGAAAAAGAGAAAATACTATTTTAGTTATATTAACAAAAAACAAAGCAGGCTGGGTGCCTGTAATCCTAGCACTTTGAGAGGCCAAGGCAGGCGGATGGCCTGAGGTCAGGAGTTTGAGAACAGTCTGGTCACCATGGTGAAACCCGGTCTCTACTAAAAATACAAAAAAAAAAGCGGGACATGGTGGGGTGCGCCTGTAATCCCAGCTACTCGGGAGGTTGAGGCAGGGGAATTGCTTGAACCAGAGAGGTGGAGGTTGCAGTGAGCTGAGATCGTGCCACTGCACTCCAGCCTGGGCGACAGAGCAAGACTCTGTCTCAAAAAACAAACAAACAAACATACAAACACACAAAAACAAAGCAATCAACTGAAAAATTATTTAAAATATTTTTTAAGGATGGGGTGTGGTGATATACATCTGTAATTCCAGTACCTTGGGAGTTTGAAGCAAGAGGATTTGCTTGAGCCCAGGAGTTTGAGACCAGCCTGGGCAAAACAGTGGTAGCCCGTCTCTACAAAAAATTTTACAATTAGCTAGGCATGGTGTTGTGCACCTGTAGTCCCAACTACCTGGGAGGCTGAGGTTGGAGGGTTGCTTGAGCCCAGGAGGTTGAGGCTGCAGTGAGCTATGATTGTGCCACTGCACTCCAGCCTGGGAGACAAAGCAAGACTGTCTCAAAAAAAAAAAAAAAAAAAAAAAAAAATATATATATATATATATATATATATATATATATATATACATACACTATATATATATATATACACACACACTATATATATATATACATACACTATATATATATATATACACACATACACTATATATATATATATTTTTTTCTAACCAGTTTAGTGGTTAGGTATACAATAGATATACAGAATTAAATAGCGTTGTAATATATTATCAATGACTAGCTTGAAAATATAAAAAAATTTCATCCACAGTTTCAACAAATCATAAGTGAATTATTAACAAAAAAATAATGCTCATAAGCATTTCTCTTTAATATTTCACTGTTAAGTTAAGGAAACAAAAATATGAGAAATGTTTTTTTTAAAAGCTGAACAAATGAGGAAAAAAGACAGCAGATTTCTTTTTTTCTTTTTTTCTTTTTTTTGAGACAGAGTCTGTCTCTGTCGCCCAGGCTGGAGTGCAGTGGCGCGATCTCGGCTCACTGCAACCTCCGCCTCCCAGGTTCATGGCATTCTCCTGCCTCAGCCTCCAGAGTAGCTGGAACTACAGGCACCTGCCACCATGCCTGGCTAATTTTTTTTGTATTTTTAGTAGAGACGGGGTTTCACTGTGTTAGCAGGTTTGGTCTCGATCTCCTGACCTCGTGATCCGCCTGCCTCGGCCTCCCAAAGTGCTGGGATTACAGGCGTGAGCCACCGTGCCTGGCCCGACAGCAGATTTCTTAATGGGCCATCCAGATACTGTGAAGATGAAAATATTTCTCCCTGCTCCCCCAAATTGTTTTTGGCAAATGCAATTCCAATTCAAATCTTGGCAGGATATTTCTTAAACAACTGATTAAATTATTCTAGAGTTAACCTAGAGGCATAAACAGATCAGATTTTCAAACAAAATTCAGAAAAAGAGCAATGGATAGTAAAAAGACAAGCTCTAGTAGACACTAAAGCATATTATATAGCAATGAGATTAAAATGTCATGGGTCTTGAATAAAAACACGCTGTTGAAGCAAAAATAGCAAGAATAGTGGAAAAACTCAGATCTAGAATTTATTATGTATAAAAAGTTGACATATGCTAAAGAAGGCCTCACACAAAACCATGGGGAAAAGGAGAGTTGATATATTTGTTAGAACAATTGATTAGAGATGGCCGGGTGCAGTGGCCTGTAATCCCAGCACTTTGGGAGGCCGAGATGGGTGCATCATGAGGTAAAGAGATCAAGACCAGCCTTGCCAACATGGCGAAACCCTGTCTCTACTAAAAATATAAAAATTAGCTGGGCGTGGTAGCACGTGCCTGTAGTCCCAGCTACTTGGGAGACTGAGGCACGAGAATTGCTTGAACACAGGAGGCCAAGGTTGTGGTGAGCCGAAACTGCACCACTGCACTCAAGCCTGGGTCACAGAGAGAGGCTTTGTCTCAAAATAAAACAAAAGCAAAAGAACAATTGGTTAGAGACTTGGAAATGGAACAATTTACATGCTTATAATATACCAATTTTTTTTTTAATCAAACTTCAGAAAAACAAGTTTCTAGTCTAACTAGGGAAGAGGCAAACAAATCTCATTCTTTCTTTTCCTTTTCTTTCTTTTTTTTTTTTTGAGACAGAGTCTTGCTCTATTACCCAGGCTGGAGTATAGAGGCACAATCACAGCTCGCTGTAACCTAAACTCCTGAGGTCAAGTGATCTTTCTAACTCAGCTTCCTGAGTAAGGCATGTGCTGCCACGCCTGGCTAATTTTTTTTTTAACTTTTAGTAGAGAGGATATCTTGCTATGTTGCCTAGGCTGGACTGACAAATTTCAGTTTAACAAGGGAACTACTATTGCAGAAGGAAGAATAAAGTGTGTGAAACACAGAAGAGGGGCGTCCTAATTATGGCTAGAGGAATCAAGACAGCCTTGACCAATGAGCAGGCATTTATACTGGGTTTTGAGGGATGAGTGGGAGTTTGATAGGGATAAGAGAGAATACCCGTACAAGGATGAGGTCATAAAAAGGCCCAGCATCCTGAATGTAATGAATAGAAGGAGGTGGGCAGAAGCATGTCCATGAGTTGAGGGAGCTGCTTGCCTGAACGCCTACTACAAGTGTAGTACTCTTTCAACAATTTTAAGACACCGTGTCAACCTGATGGTAGTTTAGACCAGCAGTCCTCAAAGTGTGATCCATGAACCTCTGGAGGCCCTTGAGATCCTTTTAGAGGGTCTGCAAGGTCAAAATTATTTTCATTGTAATGTTAGGTCATTATTTCTCTTTGTCATGAGTGTACAGTGGAGTTTTCTAGAGGCTACCTGATGTGTGATATTGTAACCGATAAAATGTAGAGGCCCGGTGCGGTGGCTTATGCCTGTCATCTCAGCACTTTGGGAGGCTGAGGTAGGCGGATCACGAGGTCTAGAGATTGACACCATCCTGGCTAACACGGTGAAACCCTGTCTCTACTAAAAATACAAAAAATTAGCCGGGCGTGGTGGTACATGCCTGTAGTCCCGGCTACTTGGGAGGCTGAGGCAGGAGAATCGCTTGAACCCTGGAGGCGGAGGTTGCAGTGAGCCGAGGTCGCGCCACTGCACTCCAGCCTGGGCAACAGAGCAAGACTTCGTGTAAAAAAAAAAAATGTAGAGGAAAATAGGAGACTCAATCAAGCAGTCTTGTGCTGAGCCAAACATTAAGGAGGGCCTGCGAAACCAAAAGTTTGAGAACTTTGATTTAGACTCTGATGAAAAGCTATTAGAGGAAACACTATTAACAGAAGTCAAGTCCATGAGAAGTTTTTCTAAAAGTAGCTCCTTCCCCATTAACCAGAGCTTCAAATTCTGTTTTGGTCCTATCCTTCCCTGGGGTTATGTTAGAAGTGGGTGTGCCCTTGGAGATAGTTTTGAAAAGGTAAATTGGAAAAGTGGATTAAAACCATCAATTCTTTGCAAGCTCCCTGTTTCAAAAGATAGAATTTATCTCCCTACCCCTTGAATCTAGGTCAGTCTTATATCATTCTTTCATACAATATAGCAGAAGTGTCATCATACGACTTCCAAGGAAGACCAGGCTCATGCTCCTGTATTCCTGAAAGTGCTGTGCTCTGAAAGACTATGAGGGAAGAGAGGCCCCAGCTAAACAGCCATCACAGCTCATCTGTCACCTACAGCTTCTCCATGAGAGAGTCCAGGCAACACTAGCAGCAGGATTGCCCAGTCCACCCACAGAATCAAGAGAGATAATAAATTGTTGTTTTAAGCCACTAGGTTTGGGGTGTTTCTTACGGAGCAACAGACACTTGATAGAGTTGGGGACTAACTGCCTGGCCTCAAATGCAGAAGTATGTATTTTATCTCCTGGACCAGGGTTTCTCAACATGACATGATTGACATTTGAGGCTGATAATTCTTTTTTTGTTTGTTTTGAGACGGAGTCTCACTCTCTCGCCCAGGCTGGAGTGCAGTGGTGCGATCTCGGCTCACTGCAAGCTCCGCCTCCCGGGTTCACGCCATTCTCCTGCCTCAGCCTCCCGAGTAGCTGGGACTACAGGCGCCCACCACCACGCCCGGCTAATTTTTTTTTTTTTTTTTTTTTTTTTTGTATTTTTAGTAGAGATGGGTTTCACCGTGTTAGCCAGGATGGTCTCAATCTCCTGACCTCACGATCTGCCCGCCCGCCTCGGCCTCCCAAAGTGCTGGGATTACAGGCATTAAGCCACCGCGCCTGGCCGAGGCTGGTAATTCTTTGTTGAGGGGGGCTGCCCTGTGCATTACAGGATGCTTAGCAGCATTCCTGCTGCCACTAGATGACAGTGACAGCTCCACCCAGTTGTGACAACCAAAAATGTCTGCAGACATTGCCAAATGTCCTGTGGGGGACAAAATCCCACCCCCTCCTTTAGAACCATTGTCCTAGGCCAAACCATTCTGAGAATAAGAATCACCTGGGGGGTTATTAAAACTAGATTTCCAGACTCCTCCCCTAGAGATTCTTATTTATTGTGTCCAGATTATGACCTGCAATGTGAATTTTTTAAATGCTCAAGGTATTCTTATCAGAGGAATGTGAGAACTGCTACAGCAGAGACGAGGAACCAAAAGAGGTCTGACCTGCTCATTTTGTGTTTCAGGAAGATCCTTCTGGAAGCGGTTGGAAGATAAATCGGGTAGGATGTGGGGGGATGTAGAAAAGAGAATAGAATTGGAGGCTATTACTTAAATTCAGGTGAGAAATAACAAGGGAGTTGTATAGGGCAGTGGTGGTGGGGGTGCATTCCAAAGATATTTCTAAGGCAGAATCAGTGAAATTCATGACGAATTGGATATTGGGGAGAGGAGGGCTTAAGGAAAAAAAAATGAGGCCAGGTGCGGTGGCTCACGCCTGTAATCCCAGCACTTCGGGCGGCCGAGACGAGCGGATCATGAGGTCAAGAGATTGAGACCAGCCTGGCCAACATGGTGAAGCCCCGTCTCTACTAAAAATACAAAAATTAGCTGAGTGTGGTGGCAGGCGCCTGTAGTCCCAGCTACTCAGGAGGCTGAGGCAGGAGAATCACTTGAACCTGGGAGGCGGAGGTTGCAGTGAGCCAAGATTGCACCACTGCACTCCAGCTTGGCGACAGAGAGAGACTCCATCACAAAAAAAAAAAAGAAAAAAAAGAGCAAAAATTAAAGAACTTTTATACTTCAAATGATATCATCAAGCAAGTGAAAAGACAATATGCAAAATGGGAGAAAATATTTGCAAGTTACATATCTGAAAAGGGACTTGTATCTAGAACATGTAAGAACTCTTATGACCAACAATAAAAAGACAAACAACCCAATTAAAAAATGGGCAAAGATCTGAATAGACATTACTTCAAAGAAGATACCCAAATGGCCAATAAACACATGAAAAGATGCTCAACATCATTAGCCATTAGGGCAATGCAAAGCAAAACCACAGTGATACACCACTTCATACTCACTAGGGTAGTTATAATCAAGAAGACTGATTATAACAAATGTTGGCAAAGATGTGGAGAAACTGAAACTCTCACTCATTGCTGGTGGTTATGTAAAATGGTGTAGTCTCTATGGAAAACAGTCTGGCAGTTCCTCAAATGGCTAAACAGAGTTACCATATGACGCAGTGTCTACCTACTCCTAGGTAGATACCCAAGACAAATAAAAACAGGCTGGGCGTGGTACACCTGTAATCTCAGCACTTTGAGAGGCCAAGCTGGGAGGACTGCTTAAGCCCAGGAGTTTGAGACCAGCCTGGGCAACATAGTGAAACCCCATCTCTACAAAAAATAAAAAAAATTAGCTGGGCATGGTGGTGCATACCCGTAGTCCCAGCTACTTGGGAGGCTGAGGTGGGAGGATGGTTTGAGTCCAGTAGTTGAGGTGTCAGTGAGCTATGTTCATGCTACCACACCCTCACCAGGGTGACAGAGTGAGACCTCATCTGTTAAAAAAAAAAGTCCCTATAAGAACTTGGATAAAAATGTGAACAGGAGCACTATTCACATAATGGGCAAAAAGTGGACAACAACCCAAATGTCTATAAATTAATGAATAAATGTGTTATATTAAATATTAATACAGTGAAATATTCAGCAATAAAAGGAAATAAAGTGCTGATACATACTACAACACGATGAACTTTGAAAACCTTATGCTAAGTGAAAGTAGCCAGTCTCAAAAGACCACATATTATATGACTACATATTTATGAAATGTCCAAAACAGGCAAAACTAGCCAGGCATGGTAGTTTGCACCCATAGACCCAGCTACTCAGGAGGCTGAGGCCAAAGGATCACTTGCAAAACTTAAGGGACACACAGTAGCTTAATGGTTGCCTAGGGGTGGAGGTGGGCCATGGATTGGGGGAAAGGGGAATGTGACTGCTAATAGGTACAAGGTTGTTTTTTTGTTTTTTGTTTTTTTTTGAGATGGAGTCTTGCTCTGTCACCCAGGCTGGAGTGCAGTGGCGTGATCTCGGCTCATTGCCACCTCCGCCTGCCGGGTTCAAGTGATTCTCCTGCCTCAGCCTCCCAAGCAGCCGGGACTACAGGTGTGCACCACCAAGGCTGGCTAATTTTTGTATTTTTAGTAGAGACAGGGTTTCACTGTGTTGACCAGTCTGTTCTCTAACACCTGACCTCAAGTGATCCACCTGCCTCGGCCTCCCAAAACCCTGGTATTTACAGGCATGAGCCACTGCACCCTGCCAAGGTTTCTTTATAGGGTGACAAAATGTTCTGAAACTGATTTGTGGTGATAACTGCACCACTGTGAATATACTAAAAACCACTGAATTGTATAATTTCTTTCATTTTTCTTTTTGTTTTTTCTTTAATAGGAGACAGAGTCTTGCTATGTTGCCCAGGCTGGAGTGCAATGGCCATGATCCCATTACTAATCAGCACAGGAGTTTTGACCTGCTCTGTTTTGGACCTGGGCAGAGTCCTCTTTCTTAGGCAACTTGATGGTGCCCCCCACCCTCTGTGGACACCAGTGGGTACAGTGCACTACTGCCCAGAACTCCTGGACTCGAGCAATTCTCCCAGCTCACCCTCCTGAGTAGCTGGGACCACCGGCATGTGTCACCGCGCCCAGCAAATTGTATTCTTTAAAAATGGGTAAGTTGTAATGATATGTGTGTTAAATCTCAATAAAGCTTGAGTTTCTAGCTTTAATAACTGGAAACATGGTGTCACCATTAGCCAAAATTGGGACTACAGGAGGAAGAATGTGTTTGGGGGAAAATAAGCCTTGGACATATTGAATGGCTGTGATAAGCACACAGTGAATGTCCTGCTCTGGAACACAGGAAAGAAGATGGGGCTGGAAATAATAATGCATACACAATCATTTATTGAGCATCTGTTACATACCAGGTGCTGTGAATATGTTGTTTATGTACACTGACCGGTAGGTTGCGTATGTATACTGTTTATTGTTTCTGCTCCCTCTCTTCCCCTGTGTAAGTCAATGAGAGAAGGGCCTTCATCTTTCTTAATGCTGTCTCCAGCACCTACAGCACAGGCTGGCAGAGAGTCGGCATATAGCATTTACTGGGTGAATAGAAATGCAGTATCTTTTAACCCTCATAACAATCCTTTGTGGTAGGTTTTCGTTCCCATTTCACACAATTTTCTTAAGAGCACAAAGCTAGTAAGTGACAGTGGTCTGTCTGCATTCCACGTCACAATGCAATACTATAATCTCTCAATCTCCCAGAACGAATCTGGAACAAAGGAAAGCAGTAAAGGTCATGTAAACCCAATTTCTGCAAATTCATAATAACTGCATATGAAAATCCAACTGGGTTAGGTGCTGGAGTTAATACAACGATAAACTGGACAAGAATCGGAAGAAAAATACATTTAAGACAAAATCCGTAAGACTTGACGCATAACCTTGCTAGTTCAAGAAGCTCTTTCACACATATTATGTTATTTAACCCCCACAAATAGCCTAACAAGTAGGTTTTATTACCATTCCAATCAGGCTTTTGTCCTCCACTTAAACTGTACTCCCCAAGGTGACTTCTGTGTTGCTAAATGCTCAACAGGTACTCACTTCAGGCACAACATTTAAGGGAGCACCAAAAAACTAAGTGATCAAGATGAATAACATTTTTATTTTTTAAAATTAAAATTAATGCAAAAAAAAAATCCATGAATAACAAAATACCAACATTTAAAATAAAGAGGATTCTCAGGACTGGGCTCGCCTACCTGGATGCCCTAACGGAACTCCTCATTCACAATAGGATTGAATGACCTCGAACTAAAGTGTCACGTACTTCCTGCTCGTGATGCTCGTGAGCCCGAACGAAGGCTGAAAAACTTCAGGGGGAGCCATTCTGCCTATCACCCCTAGTTCCAGCGCAGCAGCCCAGCGTGCACCACGCAGGTGGGAACTGACCCCGTGCTTTTGGAACAGGCTGGAACTGGGGGTGCTTGTGCCTGTGCATGTATGTATTGCACACGTGTGCATGCACGCTTCTCGTCTTGCTTCTATTTCCAAGTCCCAGTTCAGGACAGGGCAGAGAACTGCTTTCCAGTATGCGCCCTGAGCTCGGACTTTGCGCTTGCAGACTGAGGCGCCGGCCTGCATGGGAAGACAGAAGCTCAGAATTCCTTCCTGCACAAGTGGCAGGTGGAGTGCAACTCTTTTTGGTGCCTCAGTCCAAGACAGGGACACGCCATTCCCTGCGAGGTGGCAAAGGTACCTGAACCTACATAACCAAGCCCTTAAAGTCTCCGCGGCACCTCTTAATCGCCTTCCCGTAGCTATTGGAGGTAGAGAAACCGCGGCGGGAAGCGCCCCAGAGAGGGCAGTGGAGCAAGGGACACTGGAGGTGCAGAAGGCGGAGGAGCATCTCCTTTCGCTCCGCCCCGCCTCTTTTCCTGCCTCCGGCCAATTGCCGTGCGCTCCGAGCCTTGACCCCGCCTCTCCCCGCCTCCTCCGGCCTGCGGCCCCGCCCGCGCCGGTAATAATTAGCGGGCGGGCGGGGCCCGCGCGTCAGCCGCGGGAGCCGGCCAATCCAGTGGCTCTCCTCCGCGGTCGCGTCATAGGCCGAACAACCAAACAGAAAAGTTTAATAAACAGCGGACGGAGGGGCCGGCGGTGGCGGAGCCGGAGCAAGCAGGGGTTCGGCGGCATTACCTGTACCCATTCACCGGCGGCTACCGGCGGCGGCGCGCAGCGTGTCAGGCGGAGAGACCCGCCGCCAGGTGAGGAGCGCGGCCCGCGGGGCCCGGCTTGCCCGGCGCTGCCCCTCCCCCGCCTGCTCCCTTCCCCCACCCGGCTGCAGCTAGGCGAGGCCCGCCCCCGGCCCCTCCCGGCGCCCGAGAGCCGGAAGCGGAGGGCGGCCGGCCGGCGCAGCAGGTGGTGGGCCCGCGGGGGCCGCGGGCGAGAGGGCGAGGACTCCCGGCTCCGGGGGTGGGGGCCGGAGATCGGCGGGTTCACCTCAGACGGCGCGCGGGCGCCCGCGGCCGGGGGCCGCTTCCTGTCAGGGTGGTCGCGCTGGGGTCGGGAGCCTCAGTTCTTCAGGGCCGCGGAGGCCGCGACGCGCGCCGCCCCGAGCGGGTTGCGAGCGGTTGGCTGGCGGGGGTCGGAAGGGCCCCGGGCACACTGGGGCGCGTCAGTTCCCCGCCTCCTCCGAGTCTCAGGTCCTCTTCGGGATGTTTTTCCACCTGCGGCGTTTTTCAGAAACCAGCCGGAGGCAGCCCGGTGTCTCCAACTCCTGACTGGCACCGGGAAGGGAATTGGTCTCTTTTTTTCCTGCTTGGGTTTAGCTTGCTTAGGATTCTAAATTTTTTGTCTGCTTTTTTGAAATAGTTATATTTAAGTTTTAGCTACCTAAAAAAGTATGAAAGAATATTGTGTTTGAAATCTTTTTAACTTGGTTTTTAAGTCACGTGCTAACTATCCTACACAGTTGGGACGCTATGATTTACCTTCACATCTCGGAAGTTGTAACCAGTTGTGAGGAAGTTAGGACCTTGGGGTTACCTAAAGATAATTTATATTAAGTTGTTGGGCCATAAAAACTGGGCAGAATTGGCCACGCGCGGTGACTCAACGCCTGTAATCCCAGCACTTTGGGAGGCCGACGCGGACTAATCACGAGGTCAGGAGATCGAGACCATCCTGGCCAACATGGTGAAACCCTGTCTTTACTAAAAATACAAAAATTAGCTGGGTGTGGTGGCGGGCGCCGGTAGTCCCAGCTACTGGGAGGCTGAGGCAGGAGCATCGCTTGAACCCGGGAGGCGGAGGTTGCAGTGAACCAAGATCGCGCTACTGCACTCCAGCCTGGCGACAGAGGGAGACTCCGTCTCAAAAAAAAGCCGGGCAGAATTAATGATTTTGAAGCTCCGAGAAACAGGATTAAATTCCTCTTTCAAACCGAAATCGGAATTTGATTTTTTAAAAGTGTAAAATACCATAAACTTTTAAGGTTAGTTGTTCGGTAACCATGTCACCAATTTTAAGGCACTTTCTGAGTTGTGTATAGTTTCTCCAGAGCCCTAGGGGAAATGTTTTGCAAAATATGCACGTTTAGCTTTCCAAAACAAGTTGTCTTTTTTATTTTTACTTTTTTACGTTTTAAAATGTGTTTAAAGGGAGACATCACAAATGTGCAGGAGAAAATACAGGGGTCGGTGGATTTATTATCTTGTAGTGATAACTTTTTGGGTGTATGCATATGTCAGAACTTACACGTTTTACACTTCAAATATGTGCAGTTTATTGTCAACTATATGTCAGTAACGTTTTTAAGAAGTAACCAAAATATATTTAATACTACCAAAAAAAAACACGGTAAAGTATAAGCAGATAAAAACATCATAAATCCTTGATGACTCCCCCCAAACCCAAAACTGGAACATTACTAAAACTTGCATTTGTCTATGAGTTTCTTATCTGTGCAGTGGATTTTGTGTATGTCACTTCCTTGACTTTTTGAAAAATAGTTTTATCATATATGTTTGTATGCCGAAACTGTGTGGCATTTAATTTGTTTTTCTTTTGAGCTTTATAAAAATAGTATGTGGCTGTAGTTTATTTCATTGCTTTATGATATGTTAATCTGCCATAACTTATGGGCACTTCGACCGTGTTTTTATTGTTTTTTATTTTGTTTTGTTATAAGCAGTCTTGCTCTGTGAACATTTCTTGTTTCCGGCTCTTGGTACACAAGTACAAGAATTTCTCTAGAGTAAATACTTAATGTGGATTGCATTAGACGGTATTAGGTAATCAGGACTAGAATAGATTGAATTACTTAGAAATAAGATGAATGAAAAACATTAGGATTCTCTATTATGTTTAAATAGAAGATTCATAGCCGTAGTGATTGAACTAGTTCAACCTAGTTGAACATTTGCATGAAAACCCAAAATTCCTGTTAACCTATGTGTAATGACTCTCTTACTTTGAAGTCACATTGTAAAAAGTCTGGCACTGTTTGGTATCTCCTTTTCAATGCAAAAATAGTATAGTAGAAAAAACGCTGGATTGTATGTAAAATAAATTATCCTTTCTGCTGTTCCTCTCCTCCCCTCTAATCTCTAGCAAATTACTTAAAAATTTCTCTTGTGCCTTAGCATACTCATGTAAAAGAAACTTGTCCTAAGCTTATCCTTCCACTTTTGCACAGACTTTAATTAAGGAAAACACCTGTCAAATGTCACACCCTTTAAGGGAAAGCATTAGGACCAAGGTGTTATTCTGTGGAATTAAATTTTGTATCCTTTGGAACATTTTTGGAAAAGTTGTGTGGTGGTTCAGGATTTGTTAACTCCATATTTAAATATGTTTTAGATTAGAGAATGCCCACAAGGTGTGTTTCCCGAGGATCTGTTTCATTATGCTAACAGGAACACAGCGACAAATTAGGGAATAGTATCTCCTTACTATCCTGAAGATAGGTGTGTTTTTATGTGTTTCATGTTTCATTCATGTATGTAAGTGTGAATTTACATGTAATTTTGAATAACCTTTTTGTTTGAAGGCATGGGAGTAGAGATGGTTTCATTTTTTCTATATGTAGCTTGCAGACAAATATCAGGATGCTTTGTTTTGGTAGGGCTGTATTCTGCTTTTAAAAACCTTATTTTTTATTTAATTATAAGGACAATGTGTATATGGGGTTTTCCCCCTCAAACTTGAGAAAGAATAGAAAGTTACTAAGAAAAGCCACCTATAACACCATGATAGATAACTATTATTAACATTTTGTCAGGTATACCCCTGGTCTTTATGTGTGTATTCTTAATATCCTAAACTATTAAGAGTCCATTCTAAACACTCTCAGCCTGGCTCTTTCTTAAGAACTTACCGAAATGTAATCTGCCTCACCATCTTATTTCATATAAGATGATAATAGAAGTCATCTGTTACCATTGCTTCAACTTTTCTACTCTTCTGCTTCATTTAAATGTGTAAATTTGTAAATTACAGTATCTTACTCTCTGACTCAAAACCTCCCAGTAGCTTTTCAATATACCAAATAAAATTGAAACCTCTTACTGTGGCTTATATACCTCAGACCAGCAAAGTCCACTAGAAATACAACGTTAGTCACAAATGGGAGCTACATTAAGTAATTTAAAATTTTCTGGTAGCCACATTATGAAAAAAAGAGAAACTGGTGAAAATACGTTTTATGTAACCCAAAAACTATTATTTCAACATGTAATCAGTATAAGAAATTGTTGATGGGATAGTTGTCTTTTTTTAGACTGTCTTTATAATTTGGTGTGTATTTTCCACTTAAAGTACATCTCAATTCAGACTAGCTACATTTCTTTTTTTGTATTTTTTTTGAGACAGAGTCTTGCTCTGTCTCCCAGGCTGGAGTGCAACGGTGCGATCTCAGCTCACCGCAACCTCTGTCTCCTAGGTTGAAGTGATTCTTGTTCCTCAGCCTCCCGAGTAGCTGAGACTACAGACATGCACCACCACGCCCAGCTAATTTTTTTTTTTTTTTTTGAGACGGAATCTTACTCTGTTATACAGGCTAGAGTGCAGTGGCACAATCTCGGCTCACAGCAACCTGGGTTCAAGCGATTCTCCTGCCTCAGCCTCTCCCCAGTAGCTGGGACTACAGGTGCATGCCACTACACCCAGCTAATTTTTGTATTTTTAGTAGAGAGGGGGTTTCAGCATGTTGGCCAGCCTGGTCTCAAACTCCTGACCTCAGGTGATCCACCTGCCTAGGCCTCCCAAAATGCTAGGGTTACAGGTGTGAGCCACTGCACCCGGCCTAAATTTTTATGTTTTTAGTAGAGACCGCGTTTCACCATGTTGGCCAGGCTGGTCTTGAACTCCTGGCCTCAAATGATCTGCCTGCCTTGGCCTCCCAAAGTGCTGGGATTACAGGCGTGAGCCACCATGTCTGACCCAGACTGGCCACATTTCAAGTGCTCGGTAGCCACATATGACTAGTGGTTACCCACATGGACAGTTCCATCTTATAAAAGTACTATAACCTAGTTATCTGTTGGGTGTAACTTAAGTTTATTATTTTTTTCTTATTATTATAAGTAGTGTGATAAATATAAGAGCTACTACTATGTATTTGTCATTGTTTCTTTCGGATCTAGTCTGTCTTACAATCACTGAATCAAAGCATATGAACATTTCTTAAAGTCTTTTCATAAATATTGCCAAATTTTGTCCTTAAAAGTTTGACTAACATCAAACTTTAATATCAAATTTGACTAAAAATATGACAGAATACACATTTCTTGTATATCTTTACCAGCATTATCTGTCTATCCATCTACCCTCCATCTTTCCTTCCCTTTCTATAGGAATCATCATATATTTCTTTAATTAATTATGATGGTAAATAAACCTGGATATTGGACATCTTCTAGTTTATCTTTTGCCCATTTTGGCTGGTGTTTTATATTTGTGATACCCTTTTAAACTTTTTATATTTTTAGGATTTAGGATAGCAACTCTGCTATATACTGCAAATATACATATACACACAAATATATATACACATGTATACATACACACACACACACACACACACGTATGTTTGGGTTTTTTAAAATGTTTTTTGAGACACGGTCTTGCTCTATCACCCAGGATAGAGGGCAGTGGTGCAGTCATGGTTCACTGAGGCCTCTACTTCCTGGGCTGAAGTGATTATCCCGCCTCAGCCTCCTGTGTAACTGGGATTACAGGCGTTCCCCACCATGCCTGGCAATTTTTTGTGGAGATGGGGTTTTACCATGTTGCCCAGAATGGTTTCAAACTCCTGGGCTCAAGCAATTTACCTGCCTTGGCCTCCCTAAGTGCTGGGATTACAGGTATGAGCCACTGGGCCTGGCATGCAAATATTTTTCCTGGCTCTTCATTTACCTAACAGTGTTGTCTTTTCTCTTGCTCTCTCTCTCTCCCCCTTTTTTTTTTTTTTTTTTTTAACAAAACAAAAAAACAGGCAAGGGTTTTTACTTTTTAAGAAAATTAGGTTAATACTTTCTTTTATGGCTTCTACTTTGCTTTTATATTTAAAGGCTTCTCCTACCCAGTTAAGTTTTCTTCTAGTTCTTTTACGGTTTCATATTTCACATCTGTCTTTTTCTGTTCATCTGGGATTTATTTTGACATATGTGAAGTGAAATAACCTCCCTTATTTTTCCTTAAAAATTTTGGCCCCACTAAAAAAAAAAACAACTTGTTGCCTTGAAATAAAGCTGCCTTTATCATATGTTAAATGCACATCTTCTTGGTTCTTTTTAGGTTTTATTGAAATATCAATGATTTGGTACCAGTGTACACTTGTATACATGGGGCATGGTATTTTCATTTTGTAAACAAGTGTGTTTCTGTTATTGTTTAAGTCTCCCCCCCATCCCCCTTTTTTGGTTGTTGCTTTGTTAGTCCTCAGATTTTTTAGTTTATTCTTTTGGGGCTTCAAATTAGTTTTGGTTTTGATTTTTTTTTTTTTTTTTTTTTTTTTGGAGACAGAGTCTTACTCTGTTGCCCAGGCTGGAGTGTGATGGCATGATCTTGGCTCACTGCAGCCTTTGTCTCCAGGTTCAAGTGATTCTCATGCCTCAGCCTTCTGAGTAGTTGGGATTACAGGGGTGTGCCACCACACCTGGCTAATTTTTGTGTTTTTAGTAGAGATAGGGTTTCATCGTGTTGGCCAAGCTGGTCTCGAACCCCTGACCTCAGGTGATCTACCCACCTCGGCCTCCCAAAGTGCTGGGATTACAGGCGTGACCCACTGTGCCTGGCCAGTTTTGAATTTTTTAACTTAAAAAAATTGCAACTTTTATAATATTTTATGTTTTATAATGAAAAAATGTAATCCTATTGAATGTTCCTCTGAGCATAGCTTTAGCTATATTACTTAAATTTTGATGAGTAATATTTTTATGTTTATATATTTAAAAACCCCTGCAGTTGCAGTTTTTATTTTTTCAACAAGTATTTAAGCACCTGCTCCATCTAGACATTCTGCCAAGTGCTGAGGACACAACTATGTACAAGACAAGGTCTCTTGCCTTCATCCAGTTACAGTCTGTCAATATAGACAAACCAACGAATAAAGAATTTTCAGATTTCGACAAGTGTCTAGGAAGTAAATAAATAATAGAAGGTGCTAATTGGATGATCTGAGACTGTCTCTCTGAGGATGTCATGTTTAAGTTGATTGGTGGTACCAAGGTGTGTATGGGAGTTTCTTTAGCTTTCCCAATCTATCGAAACATAAAAAAAAAAAAAAACGGAGTCTCACTCTGTTGCCCAGGCTGGAGTGCAGTGGTGTGGTCTTGGCTCGCTGCAACCTCTGCCTCCTGGGTTCAAGCAATTCTCCTGCCTCAGCCTCCTGAGTAGCTGAGATTACAGGCATGCGCCACCATGCCCAGCTAATTTTTGTATTTTTAGTAGAGATGGGGTTTCACCACGGTGGCCAGGCTGGTCACAAATTCCTGACCTCAGGTGATCCACCCGCCTCAGCCTCCCAAAGTGCTGGGATTACAGGCGTGAGCCACCACGCCCAGCCGAAATGACTAAGTTTTTTTGGGAAAATATTTTGTGAAAATTGCTTTGCAGGCCTGGCTGAGATCACTTGATGTCAAGAGTTCAAGACCAGCCTGGCCAACGTGGCGAAACCTCATCTCTGTTGAAAATACCAAAATTAGCTGGGCGTGGTGGCCGGTAGCTGTAATCCCAGCTACTCGGGAGGCTGAGGCAGGAGAATCACTTGAAACTTAGAGGCGGAGGTTGCAGTGAGCCGAGACTGCACCACTACACTCTAGCCTGGGCGACACAGTGAGACTCCATCTCCCAAAAAAAAAAAAAAAAAATTGCAAACAGTTTGAAGCCTCTTCCCCATCTTCCAGCTGGATTGCTGCTCCAAAGCTTGTCCTGTGTAGAAAATTTGGAACTTTGATTCTGAGTTCTAAAATCAAGAAGTTGAAGGTAGTTTCCCATGTGAAGAGAACTGCTGGCACAAATGGTACATATGCAAAGTGCTTGACTTGACTTTGAATTTGACAGAAGATTAGAATGACTGGTGTTTACTGAGGGAGGACAGTGGGACAAGCTTTGTTTCAGGACTTGTTTGGGAGACTTTTATTTTTTATTTCCAAATGGTAGGGCTGCTTCCACCCCTCCTGCCTTCCTATGGAGTTTTGATTTTGTAATCCAAATCAGTCTCCTACAAATAGCATATATTATTTTACCTCTTGTTACTTTTCTTCATTATTTCTACTGTTTTCAGTTTTCTCTACTCAAGACCTTTGCATATGCTTTTGTTTTGCTTAGTTGTGATTTCCTTGAGGAATCCTTCCTTGATGCCACAAAATAGGTTAGGTCTTTCTCTTGGCTTCATGGGCTCATTTTATATTGGGCTTTTCTTTCATAAACATTTGTAACAACTCCAGTTCATTAAGTTTGTGTGAATTGTTTTAGCATCTATTTCTTCTTCCAGAACCATAGTCTGGTAGCTACCATCCACTTGTGGCTATTTAAATAAATTTAAATTTAATTTAATATTAAAAATTCAGTTCCTCATTTGTATTAGTCACATTCTAGGTGCTCACTCAGTGGCCTTATGTGGCTAGTGGCGATTGTGTTGGACAGCAGAGAGACAGTCTTCTGCAATAATAGATACTTATCTTAATTTATAGTCCTGTGGCTAATGGCTACCATATTTTATTTAAATAGTCACATCTGACTATTGAGATATGGCAAGTCTGAACTGATGTATTAAGTTTGAAATAGGAACTTGATTTCTAGTACCAAACAATGAAAATATCTCAATTTTTAAAATATTACATATTGAAGTAGTGATATTTTACATGTATTGTGTTAAAATATACTATTACTGTTAATTTTATTTCTTAATTAAAAAAATTTTTTTTTCTTGAGACGGAATCTTACTCTGTTGCCCAGGCTGGAGTGCAGTGGCACAATCTCGGCTCACTGCAACCTCTGCCTCCTGGGTTCAAGTGATTCTCCTGCCTCTGCTTCCCAAGTAGCTGGGACTACAGGCGAGCACCACCGCGCCTGGCCTGTTTTTTTTTTTTTTGTTTGTTTGTTTGTTTGTTTTTGAGACATGGTGTTGCCTTTGTCGCCCAGGATGGAGTGCAGTGATGTGATGTTGGCTCACTGTAGTCTCAACCTCCCTGGCTCAAGGGATCCTCCCACCTCAGCCTCCTAAGTAGCTGGGACTACAGGCGCGCCACCATGCCTGTATAATTTTTAAAAATTTTTAAAATTTTTTGTAGAGATGGGGTTTCACTGTGTTGCCCAGGCTGGTCTTGAACTTTTTTTTTGAGATGGAGTCTCGCTCTGTTGCCCAGGCTGGAGTACAGTGGCACGATCTCGGCTAACTGCAGCCTCCAGCCCCCGGGTTCAAGTGATTCTCCTGCCTCAGCCTCCGGAGTAGCTGGGATTACAGGCGAGTGCCACCACGCCTGGCTAATTTTTGTATTTTAAGTAGAGACTGGGTTTCGCCATATTGGCCAGGCTGGTCTCGAACACCTGACCTCAGGTGATCCGCCCACTGTGGCCTCCCAAAGTGCTGGGATTATAGGCGTGAGCTACCGCGCTCAGCCGGTCTTGAACTTTAGAGCTCAAGTAATCTGTCTGCCTTGGCCTCTGAAAGTCTTGGGATTACAGGCGTGAGCCACCGTGCCCAGCCAATTTTTAAATTTCAATGTGACTACTAGGAAATAGAAAACCACATGTGGCTCTCATTATGTTTCTGTGAGACAGCACTGGTCTGACTCGACCATAAGTTTGTACAGTGGTAGGGACTATATCCATTTTATTTACTGTGGTATCTTCAGCGCATAACAGACGTTCAAAAGATTTGGTGAATGAATAAACTAACTCTGTTAACTTTTGAATGTTATTGCATAGTTTACAGAGAATGTTACCTATTCAGCTTTTGCTTTTCAGAATTGTTTTCTTTGTGACTGATTAAAATGGTTGAGAAAAGCTCTTTCAGTAACTATATAAAGAATGAGTCTTCGTCTTTTATGTAATATTTTATTTATTTTTTTCTGGTTTAGGCCTCCAAGGAGAGAGAGAATTTAAAGTTGGCCAGTCTATTTTCTCTTAGTTTTTCTATGTCTAGCACTTTTTCTTAGATGATCTATGATATGTTGTTTGGCACATGAAAATTTATGACTTAAAATCTTAATAGTTGAGTATTATAAATGCCTTCTCTTTTATTTTTGTCTCACTATTGTGATCCCTGTTTCTTTTTATTTTGCATTAATCAGTGACCTTGTTTATCCCTTGAGACCTAAAACAAAGCAATGTACTGTTTTTTTGTAGAAAGATACCTTATCCTATCGGCTTGGTTTATGCTTGCTTATTTGTATGTTTCCTTAATGTTTCCTTTGTGTTCAGTGTTTGACCTCATATGCCATTCATTCAAACTCCCCAACTCCTCATACACACCTTGTAATCTTTTCCCTAAGGAGTCAGGAGAGATACACCAGGAATTGCAGGCTCAAATATATCTTACTTTTGCCAGGGAAATATTTTTTTTATTTTTTGTTATTTATTTATTTATTTATTTATTTAGAGACAGAGTCTTACTCTATAGCCCAGGCTGGAGTGCAATGTCTGCTGCCCGGGTTCAAGCAATCCTCCTGCCTCAGTCTCCCAAGTAGCTGGGATTACAGGCACCTGCCACTGCACGAGGCTAATTTTTGTAGTTCTAGTAGAGACGGGGTTTCACCATCTTGGCCAGGCTGGTCTTGAACTCCTGACCTTGTGATCCACCTGCCTCTGCCTCCGAAAGTGCTGGGATTTACAGGCGTGAGCCACCACACCTGGCCATATTTTTTTATTTTTTATTCCCCATTGAGGTGTTTTTCAGAGTTTATCCTTAGTGATCCCAGTTATGTTTTGCTAATGTCAGGGTGGTCTTTTTATCAACTACTACAATAAACCACCAGTCGTGCCAGAGAAAATGCCCAGGATTAATTTCTTTTGTAGGAAGAGCAGTTTGAACTATATGGAATCCTTCAAAATTCTAAGAAAGTGTTTGCCCTGTTCTGTATATATTCTGCCAAAAGTTGTTCCTAATAGTCTAGATATTGATTCTTTATGTAAGTAGGGTCTTTTTAATCAAAAGTGAAGTGGGACCAAATTGTTCAGTGGCTTGTTCTCTTCTAAATTGTTTTTAGCTGATAAGATTTGGGAAACTTTCTGGGCTTCCACAAATAATATACAATACATCTTTGAATACTTGATGCTTAAAAAGTGTTGTTACTGCATGCAATCAGGGAGCTCCAGAGCTTTTTGCAGGCTCCTTGTTCCTGAGAAGCAATATTGTTTTCATATTATCTCGGTTATACATTTTATGGTTGTGACATTGCTTTCTTTTTGTTTTTGCTGTTGTTTTCTGCTGCTGCTGATTTAGAAATGAAATAAGCTAACTCTTAATTTTAACCTGTTTGCTACCTAAAATGGTAATCATCTTGATGTTCTTTCAAGCAGGTCCCAGAGATCTTAAAATGATCCGGAATCACTGAGTCCACAGTTCTCTTTTCTCTTGGTTATGTATAGATGGAGAGTGGTCTTGGTGTTATATTAGTGTATGATTCGTATTTGTTTCATAATTAACTTCGAAGTGAAAAATTGATGCGAGAGCAAAGGTTTATTTGGTTTCCATAACTATTTACTAATTTTATGCTTGCCAGATTTTAAGATTAAACTGTTTGCCATCTCTTTTTTTTTTCTTCCCGTAAAACCTTTGGCCATCTACAGTCACTTTTCCTCAAATCTTATGCTGTAATTCAAACTGTATATTCTTTTTGCTGATTGCTTCTGTACCTCCTCTGCTTCCAGTGTTCTTTTGCAAGAGTGTCCACACAGTGGGAAGAAAACCTGAACTTGACTCATGAAGTGCTGGGCATTCAAAACAGTGAATCCTTGCAAAGGATCTTGGGAGTAGACCCCTGTGAATTGGCTCTTTCAATTTGTCCACTTAAAGGGCATAATAGATTATGCAGCTGTTTGGGCTTCAGCAGGGTATTGCTCCATATTCATGCCTAGTTGCAATTATGTGAATTTTCAGTTTGTTACAAAGACTTCCCTTTGTATTCAAAACAATTTTGTTGGCTTTGTGTTCTAATATTTGAGTTTTCTCTGAGGAAAAATAGTTGCAAGATTTTGAACTTTGAAAACTTCAAATTAAAATGTTTAAAGGTTTTGTCACTTTTTATTTTCTGATGCAAACCATACATTGAAAGCATATTTTAAGAAGAAGTCACTCTAATAAGCTTTAATTTCGAGTTTATGAATCACAGGATTTTTGGTAGAGGTAAAAACTATACTTACACCGTAAATTAGACATTAAATGCCATTTAATCAGTCAGATAATGATTAATGTTAGAGTAATGTTTGATGGGCCAAGCTGCTAAAACATAAGCAGTTCTAATTAAAATATATAAACTTATCACGTAAAAATAGCAAACTTAGTAATGTATAAAGTGACAGTAGGTCTTTTTTGCTTAAAAATCAGAGTTCCTGTGTAGTGTCTCTTTATGATCTCTGTAGTAAAAATATTATTTAACGTAGCTTAGTGAGAAGTTTAAGAGGAGTATACCTTTTACTTTAGGGTGCCCATGCCACTTTGAAGTTATGGAGTGCAAAGTAGTTTCCACACATTAAAAAAAAAAAAAAGATGAAAAAGACTTAAACTTTTCTAAATTTTATACCTGAACATGTCATTAGAACATGTGCCTTTTGCTTTTAGATATCTGTTTGCCAATGGTTAAGCATTAACCTTGGCAAAATACTCACATGTCAGATCTGTTAAATGTAATAGTATTTCTGCCCAGTATTTTCTTCAGTTTTAAGTAGAAATATCAACCTTTGATGTCACTGAAATTTCTACTCTGTTGTGATACTGAGAACATAAATGTCAGTGAGTTTGATAGCTTAGAAGTGAATCTTTTGCATTCAGTATTTTAGTGCTGTATATTTTCACTTAAGTTATAGTTTTCTCTTTAAGTCTTAGAAAAAAACATTGGTTTGTTCCTCTTAGCAACATATTGTAATGGATTTTCTGTTGCCGTTTTACAATTTTCAGGTAAAATGTGAACTCTATTAAAAATAATCTGTCTTTAAAGCATAACTTCACCTTCATTGCTCCATAAAAATAAATGATTTAGATTAAAAGCATTGTATTTTAAACAATTGGTCACAGCTGCTTCTGTGAGATTTTCATTTTTGTTACTTAGTTTATTTTTCACCTAGACAAGGGTAAGCAAACAGTATATGATGGGAAAACTGAAACCTTATGTACTGTTTCTTTAAGAAACCAGCTTATCCAGGAGGTTTTAGTGTGTCTAACCTAACCTGCTAGCAAGGAAAAGTTCTTTAAAATAATGGATATTAGCCGTATCCAATCACAATTATCAGTTTCACTAACAGGGAGGAGATTTTACTCTTCAGCCACTAGAATTGGAGAAGGTGGAGCTTGGTATTCAGGTTTGGTTGCTTTGGAGTACAGCTTCAAGTGAAGTTAATCTGAGGTGAAGCAAACAGAAAATTGTGGAGGTTTTGTTGGTAGGATTTTTGTTCTAATCTTTTTATGATCCTTTATTTTATAATTTTGCTCCTTTATGATTCTGTGTGTGCTAGGTTTTGTCACTGTTTTTATTTTCTGATGCAAACTGAACACTAAAATTAAGCAGGGAAGCAGAACAAAAGGGCTCTTTGGACAGGAAATAGGTGTTCAGAGAATCAAACTTGACTTTCTCCTATCATTATTTTTAGTTCAGAATATGAGTGTCATTAAAACATCTTAGACTCAAAATCATCTCCAATAACAGGATTTTTTTTTGAATTGGTTGTTTGAACAGTCAGTTGTCAGTTTTTATAAATGACATCTTGAGGAGGTTCATTTGATATGTCATTTTCCTTAAACTTAAAATGTTAAGTTGCTGAAAGATAAATGTGATAGGCTTAAATACGTCTTTTTTAGTAAATTGAAATGCCAACTGTTTAATTTTTTTAACCCCAGCACAGCACCCCTTTTAATTTCAGTATATTTTAATTTAACAATATGTTGACATTTTTAATATGCTTATAATTTTTAATATGCTCATAATTAAAAAGGCCATTGATGAACAAAGTGAAACTGCTTTCTTCTTACTTCATTCAAACTCTTCATTTCTTTCAAAGGTGGAGATAAGTAATTAACATTTCGAAACAGGAAATGAAAGGATTTATATTTTTAAAAGCTATAGGTAGGCTACTACAACTTTTTTTTAAAGTATCTGATTCTATTTACATTTCTTATTTATGACGTAATTGTAGTGTATTTCAGTACAAGAATATTTTTTAGAGACTGTTTTCTTTATATTGTTGCTCTTTGTTCTCATAGAAATTAAGGTATAAATTGCAATAATCATTGCAATAATCAGACCAAAAGCCAGCTAAGCATTTTCAGCCATTGTATTTGCTATGCTACTTGTTCCGGATCATGCAAAGGTTTTTAAATTAATGCTTTTCTGCTATATCTGTTGTTTAAACAATAGTGTAATAATAATGAAATCAAGAAAAGTTACCTATCTACCCACCAGCAGATCATTGTTTGGTCATCTCATTTTTTTCCTGTTCCCTTCTCTGTCTTATATTCTTGCAGTTTTCCAATAATTATGAATCTGTGCAGTTTTATGTTTTCACTTAACTATCTGTTGAAATTGTTTTCATTTCAGTAACTATGTAATTCTCTTAAATTGATGTGACCTGAATTAACCTAGTTTTTTGAATTGTCTACTTTTAGGTTCTAATTTTTCGTCATTTTTAATAGTATTGCGTTGAACACACCTGTGTGTAGCTGTAAAATATTTTCCTTTTTAAAAAAGATTTCTTTTGGAAAAATCCTGGAGTGGCTTTACCTAGATCAAAGGATAATGAACACTTCACTGGCCAAATTGTTTTTCTAAAAAGTTATACCAGTTTATATCGACACCAGCAGAATATGCTTCAAAGTTTTTCTGATGTGTAGCCCCTTAAATGTTCTGTTAAAGTGTGCCTATGGAGCTCTCTGACTTGTTGATTAGTTTTTGCCTAAAAGCCTATTTTCAACACCACTTTCCAAGATGTAGATGGATATAAAGCAATTTTTCTGGATATTAAAATCAGCTGAGGGAAATTGGAAACACTTTTACCCACTTAACTGAGCAATTGTATCTATGCTAGATATTTTATATACTTAGTGTATGTGTTGCTATTAGTAAGTATGGGGCTTAATGTTTTACACTGGCTTTGTTATTCAGGCTGGCTTTTCTTTTTCTTCTGGTAAGCACATACCAGAAGAAATATTTTCTTTCAAGAAAATATATCAGAAACATTTTTAGGAGGAGACTGGAGTAGTGCCAGTTAACATTAGGAGACTGGAGTAGTGCCAGTTAACTTTACCTGTCTCAAAAACATGTATGAATAACCTTTGTCATTATTTGTGCGTTTCTTAATTTTGAGTTTTTAAAAATACACTTTGGAAACAGATAACTTTTATGAATAATTACAGGCTTTGAAATGGTATATCAGCATCTTTCCAGTATTTTATAGGTTTCAGTTAAAGGTAAGAACTTAACTTTACACACATATAGTGGTGCTAGACATATGTTGTTTCTGTTTGTCTTTAAGAGCATGCTTTGTTGGCATTGACCACAAATTATGTATACTTTTACTAGCTTGTCTGTTAAATGAAATAGGCATAACTGGCTTATAAACTAGTTGAGTAACGTTCTAGAATAAACTTAAGTTGTGTTAAAATCAAAGACAATTCTAAGACAATCATATTTTTTCTTACAAATGGGGAGTAATGATAAGCCATAGGCTGGGCTATAACTCATTGATGGAACCAGTAGTTGAGCATGTATGGTATGGAGTTAGTCTAGCTCATTTTGCAATTTAAATAATTTAACTTACTTTGTGTCAACTTTTATTTCAATTAACTGATAATTTAGTATCTCTGACTTTCAGAGCTGATGCTGGTATGTTTGTCATTGTGTTTGTTTCAGAGGGAAGTTTTTTTTGTTAATGTCTACTTTTATTGTTTGATTTTTTTTCAGATACTTTGGTGTTGAACATTTGGGATAGAAGAGAGAAATTTAAAATTAAAAATTTTCCATATTTCTATCACAAATATTGGTAATTTGACAACATGTAATTTGATTGTCGTCTTAATAAAATTTAATGTTATTGCTACCAAATAGAGATAAAGGTAATTGTAAATACTGTAGTGAAAGTTTAGCTGTTGATTACATTTTGCTGGGTACCCCAAGGTAAAGAAGTGATTTTTTTTAGTGGTTTCTGTAACTGTAATTCTGCAGTACTACTGATCTTACATTGACAGATTTAGGGAGTATCTTTTTGGTTTCCTAGGGAGAGTGGAAAGTAGTTTTCTACAAGGAGAAGAAAACTTTTAAATTGACCTAGGTATTTGGGTCAAGATATGAAAAGTGATGGTTGCGTTTTATTTCAAAAATAATGTATTCAAAGTCTCTGTTGTTAGATGCCATTCAAGAGGAACATAGTGATTTTTTTCCCTCCAAATAATATGAGGAAAAAACTTAATGGGCAGTAAGTTGATAAAACTTGAAAGAACCTAGAGCCATTTTTGTTTAAACCTATTAATGCTAATTTTTGAACTGATGTGTCTATGAACTTGTTTGACTAAATTTGGTTTTCTGTGTTTGTATGCCATCGGAGAAAATGAACTCGAAACAGTTTTGTCGTTAGTAGTGCTTTGGTAGAAGAGAGCAGATCCATCTATCCCTGTTTATACCTTTTTTCCCCTTCGCAATATAAATACCCTGTGTCATCTGCTACCAATAGATTTTTGTAAGTACTAGATTTCTCAGCAACATTTAGTGCCATTGACTACTTTTCCTGCTTGAAACTCTTCTCATTATTTTCATGATACTGTCTGTGCTTTCCTCATTAGTGATCTCTGTGTCTTTTGCAAATGTTTCTCCTTTACAACCATTAAGTAATAGAAGTTCGTAGCATTTTGTTCTTAACTCTTCTCTAGACTTCCCTTTTGATAATCTCCAGTCCCATATCTTTAATTAGCATACTATACATATTAATGGTTCCAACGTCTGAATCTAAAATCCAAAACTTTTTTTGTACCTGAGACCCATATTTATCCAGCTCACCAAAAGTCACAGCAAATGGGTGATACTGCCACCCAAGCCAGAATCTGATTGTCATTCTGATTCTTCTTCATCACCAGTTAGCCACAATTAGCCTATAAATTTTAAATTCAGTGTCTCTAGAATCAATCTTTTTTTTTTTCCTTCACGTGTTAGCATAAGGCCACACGGTATGATTTCTTAGATGACTAAACACCCCCCTAATTGATCTTCATTTCCATTTTAGGCTCTGTATAATACATTCTTTACTGTGCGGTCATATCTGTTTTTCTCTGCTTCATATTCGTTAGTGAATACTAGCTAGAGTGAAGAATAACACCAGCTGATTCTGTGCTAAACATTCTCTCAGATGGTCCCCACGCTAAGTACTGTTAGTCTTTTCGAACCAGTAAGTCAATTTAGAAAGGCTAGCTAATTTGTCTAAGGTCTCCTTGGCTGGTAAGTGACTAGCATACTTTAAAACTGAGGTTTGTCAGACTGGAAGTCCTTTCCTTTACACACTGAGCTGTGTGCTTTCCTGAGCTTACTTCTCTATTCCTTTTTTCCCTCACATCATTCCACTTCACTCTTTAACCACCAGCTATTTGTAATTCCTTCTTCTAAGGCATAGTGAAAACTTGCTGCCTGTCTAAAAATGCTTTAAGGGAAACAAACATTAAAAAAAAAAAGTATTTCTGACAGTTTTTTGGAACACTTTGATAAAGGATATTAAACATTTTAGCATCCCCAGGATACAAGAAGATAAAAGAATGAGGCACAGGCAAAGTAAAGGTAGTTTTCCTTATGCACATAGTTTTGAGTTTCATAGCTGTTGAATTCCTCACGTTTAATAAAAGCTTGAGACCAAGCTGTGTAGTGGGAAGATTAGGCAAAGTGCAAAAGCACTTTAAGCTATTTGAAATGCTAACAACTCCTTAAATAACTGTTGGCTTGGACCTTGTGCTCATTCTGCATCCGGGTGTATAAAGCACCTGCCTGTGAACAAAAGTCAAATAACTTACTGAGTAACTTATACATAGGGTAGAGAGGCTACATAGATTATTTTGCATCAAATATTCTATCATCAAAAAAGTTAAATAATGCAGACAACATTACTTACAAATAAAATTGACGTGAACAGAAAAATAGTTGATTTGGAATCATTTTCATTTAAAATATTTTCTCTTTGTCCTCTGTGCCATTCCCCCTCTAACATATTTTAAAGCAAAAGGACCTCTATTGGACCAAAAAAAGAAAAAGTAGCCTTTTTATTCATAGCTTTGAAAGCAACTTGGTGGTAAAGGAAAAAGGTCAAATTGATGAAACTTTTGAAATACAGGTAAATATTACCAATGTTTGTTTCTTTGAAGGGATCAAATTATTAACTATAGTTGGGAATTAAAGGTAATTATAAGCATAGTAAAAATCCATGAATTACCCATTGTAAGAATAGGAGTGAGTTTTCTTTCTTTTTTTTTTTTTTTTTTTGGAGACAGAGTCTCGCTCTGTCACCCAGGCTGGAGCACAGTGGCGTGATCTCAGTTCACTGCAACCTCCACCTCCCTGGTTCAAGCGATTCTCCTGTCTCAGCCTCCCAAGGAGCTGGGACTACAGGTGTCTGCCACCACGCCCGGCTAATTTTTGTATTTTTAGTAGAGATGGGGTTTCACCATATTGGCCAGGCTGGTCTCGAACTCCTGACCCTTGTGATCCACCCGCCTCGGCCTCCCAAAGTGCTGGGATTACAGGTGTGAGCCACCGCGCCCGGCTTTCAAAACTTTTAATGTGGCATTATTTACTATCCATAATAGTCTTTTGCTATATTTTATTTTTTCAACTTTTATTTTAGGTTCAGGGGTACATGTGTAGGTTTGTTACATGGGTAAATTGCATGTCACTGTGGTTTGATGTACAAACAATCCCGTCACTCAGTGACCATAGTACCTGATAGGTGTTAATAGTTTTTCAACACTCGCCTCTCCCCAGCCCTTTCCTCTAATTGTCTCCAGTGTTTATTGTTCTCATCTTTATGTCCTTGTGTACTCAGTGCTTAGTTCCCATTTATAAGTGACAACGTGGTATTTGGTTTTCTGTCCTGCATTAATTCACTTAGGATAATGGCCTCCAGCCCCATCCATGTTGCTACAAAGAACATGATTTTGTTCTTTTTTATGGCTGCACAGTATCCCATAATGTATATGTACCACATTTTCTTTATGTAGTCCACTGTTGATGGGCACCTAGGTTAATTCTATGTCTTTGCTCTTGTGAATAGTGCTGTGATGAACATAAACGAGTGCATGTGTCTTTTTGGTAAAATGATTTATTTTCTTTTGAGTATATACCCAGTAATGGGATTGCTGGGTCTAATGGTAGTTGTGTTTTAAGTTCTTTGGGAAATCTCCAAATTGTTTTCCACAGTGGCTGGACTAATTGACATTAACACCAACAGTGTATAAGCATTCCATTTTCTGGGAAACTTCACCAACATCTGTCATTTTTTTGACTTTTTAATAATAGCCATTCTGACTGGCTTGAGATGATATTTTGATTTTGATTTGCATTTCTCTAATGATTAGTGATGGTAATGTTGAGCATTTTTTCATGTATTTGTTGGCTGTATTTATGTCTTCTTTTTTTTTTCATTTGCTCAATTATTTTATTTTATTATTATTATACTTTAAGTTTTAGGGTACATGTGCACAGTGTGCGGGTTAGTTACATATGTATACATGTGCCATGCTGGTGTGCTGCACCCATTAATTTGTCATTTAGCATTAGGTATATCTCCTAATGCTATCCCTCCCCCCTCCCGCCACCCCACAACAGTCCCCAGAGTGTGTCTTCTTTTGAGAAGTATGTGTTCTTTTGCTCGTTTTTTAATGGGATTATTTGTTTCTTGCTTGTTGAATTCTGGATATTAGACCTTTGTCAGAGGTGCAGTTTGTGAGTATTTTCTCCTATTCTGTAGATTATCTGTTTACTCTGTTCTTTCTTTCCTTTTTTTTTGGAGACGGAGTCTCGCTCTGTCGCCCAGGCTGGAGTGCAGTGGCGCGATCTCGGCTCACTGCAAGCTCCGCCTCCTGGGTTCACGCCATTCTCCTGCCTCAGCCTCCCAAGTAGCTGGGACCACAGGCACCCGCCACCACGCTTGGCTAATTTTTTGGATTTTTAGTAGAGACGGGGTTTCACCGTGTTAGCCAGGATGGTCTCGATCTCCTGACCTCATGATCCGCCCACCTCGGCCTCCCAAAGTGCTGGGATTACAGGCGTGAGCCACCGCACCCGGCCTACTCTGTTCTTTCTTTTGCTGTTCTTTTGGTATACATTAAATAATAAAAATGTAAAATAATGACAATAGATTTTGAATGTTATAATAGATTTATGTGATATATAATTTGAAAAGAATGTTTTCCTTAGCTTTTTTTTTTTTTTTTTTGAAATGGAGTCTCGCTGTGTCGCCCAGGCTGGAGTGCAGTGGCGCAAACTTGGCTCACTGCAAGCTCTGCCTCCCAGGTTCATGCCATCCTCCTGCCTTAGCCTCCCCGAGTAGCTGGGACTACAGGCGCCCGCCACCACGCCCAGCTAGCTAATTTTTTGTATTTTTAGTAGAGTCGGGGTTTCACCGTAGCCAGGATGGTCTCGATCTCCTGACCTTGTGATCCACCTGCCTCGGCCTCCCAAAATGCTGGATTACAGGCATGAGCCACCACGCCTGGCCCTTAGCTTTGAGAAACAGAATACACAACCGTTTTTCTGTTTTTTTTCCCTTTCTTTTTTTTTTCTTTGAGATAGAGTCTTGCTCACCCACCCAGGCTGGAGTGCAGTGGTGCAATCTCCAGTCACTGCAACCACCATCTCCAGGGTTCAAGCAGTTCTCCCGTCTCAGCCTCCGAGTAGCTGGGATTACAGGCACCCACCATCATGACCAGCTAATTTTTGTATTTTAGTAGCTACGGGGTTTCACCATGTTGGCCAGGCTGGTCTTGAATTCCTGACCTCGGGTGATCCACCCACTTCGGCCTCCCAAAGGGCTAGGGTTACAGGCATGAGCCACTGCACCCGGCCTACACAACCAGTTTTCTTAAATTTTGTAGATAATTGTTTAAAATTATATATACAGTAGTTGCCCCTTATTCATGGGAGATATGTTTGAAGACCCACTGTGGATAGTACCAAACCTATATTTGCTGTGTTTTGTCCTATACATAAATACCTATGACATAGTTTTATAAATTAGACATAGTAAGACATTAACAATAATAGAATAATTATACTGTAATAAAAGTTATGTGATATCATCTCCCTCCCTCTTTCTCTCAAAATATCTTAGTATCTTCAGGCTGTGGTTGATCTCAGGTAACTGAAACAGCCGACAATGAAATCTTGGATGTGTTAGGTCATTCTTGCATTACTATACAGAAATACGTGAGACTGAGTATAAAAAGAGGTTTAATTGGCTCATGGTTCTTCAGGCTGTGCAGGAGACATGGCACCAGAGATCTGCTCAGCTTGTGATCATGCCTCAGGAAGCTTACAATCACTGCGGAAGCAAAGAGGGAGCTGGTGCATCACATGACAAAAGCCAGGAGCTAAAGAGAGTGGGGTGCGGAGAGGTACCACACACTTTTAAGCAGCCAGATCTTGTGAAAACTATCTCAAGGACAGCACCAAGGGGATGGTGTTAAGCTATTCATGAGAACTCCTCCATCCCCATCATCCAGTCACCTCCCATCAGGCCCCACCTCCGATACTGGGGATTACAGTTCACCATGAGATTTGAGTGGGGACAAATACACAAACTTTATCAGTTGATAAGGGTGGACTACTGTAAGGTTATCTTTTCTCTGAATGAATACTAAGTCTCAGTAGCTGTAGGAATTTAAAAAATACATTTACTTTTTGTAGAAAAAATTTATTCTTTGCAGACTTTCAAATGAAAACCTACACTGAAAAGGTGACATTGATTGCCTAAAATAATTGTTTCAGTAACAAATTTTTATTGAGTTGTGTGCATACAGCCTAGTCAGATAGTCAGACTAGTTACACAGTCAGATGAGCTTGTAAAGTACTGTAAAATGGTCCTTTTCTGGAGGAAACTCACATACTGTTTGATAAAAGTAGGGGATATGAGTATTTCCTATCTGATAAGTCAGTGTTAAAGACTTTAGACAAATTTAATGGAATTTAATTGAGCAAAAAGCGATTCAAGAACCAAGCAGCTCCCAGAACCAGAACAGTTCAGGAGGACTGCAGAGTACCGTATTGTCAAATAACATATTGTCAGATAACATTTATGGTCAAGAAAAGGGAAGTGACATGCATACAGCAAAGGGAAGTGAGGTACAGTAACAGCTAGATTAGTTACAGCTCAGCCTTTGCCTCATCTGAACACAATTTGAACAGTTGGCCACCTATGATTGGCTGAAACTCAGCTACTGTGATTGGCTGAGACTTGGCTACTTATTACAAGAGTAGGTTACAGTCTGCTTACATATCAAGTTAACTTTATAGTGCACTATGTAGAGAGAAACTTTGGGCCAAACCTAAAATATGGATGGAGGCAGCCTCGGGCCAGACTTAATTTAGTTTAATGTCAGGATCATATATTACTGAGTGCAAACTTGTGTTTGTTATAGATGATTGCTGTAGAAGTTCAAGTGGGAAGAAAGATAAGCCAAGATAATAAGAAAATTAGAAAAAGTAAAATCTGAGACATTCCTTGAAGATTTGTTAGATAGGTTTGAGACTGGATGTACACTAAAAGCTTTATTTACCCGGAAAGAGGCAATCCTGGAATGGCAAAATGGAGGGAGTAATAGATTCTGGATATGCCAACCAAAATTTTGCTGGTTTAGCAGGTGCCATTTAATTTCTCATTTTTCCAGTAAGCCCAGGTGGGGAAGAGGTATGGAGTATACATAGGATATGGGAATGGTGTGACTGTGAGCAGTGGTGAATTATGAAGGCTTCTATGCAAATAAGTGGTAAAAACAGGGTTTGGAATATTAATTTAATTGCAACTCATATTGGACACTATCAGACACATTAACTTTAAGTTCTCACAATATCATGAGATGGGTATTATTGTTGTGCCTATTTCGCAGATGATAATGCTAAGTTTATAGAGAGATAGGAAAAATTGACAAAGGTTAAACAGGTTTATAGACAGATAGGACAAATTGACAAAGGTTATGTGGCAGAGCCTAGATTGAAATTGGGAAGGCTGATACCAGAGCATGATCTTGCTATTCAGGTTTACTTAGAGAGGGAAGGTTTACTTAGGGAGAGGAATTCAAGGCAGGGAGACTACCAGTTGTTGTTTTTGAAGTTCTGTGGTAATGTGAGTAATTTTACTAATGTTCCTAAACCTTTGGGTTTGGTATCTCAATATCACTGTCAAGTGACTTTCTGGGAAAGGTAGGAAAGATTGACAGATGGATATAGCAGGGATTATTCATTCTTATTTTAGTGAGTGTCAAAGGATGGAAACTGGTAAGAGTTCCAGATATTTAAGGAGTTTATTATGAGGATTGGACCATGCTTCCCTCCTTGTTTTGCTGAGTTTATATCTTCTGGTTCTTTGATTTCCTATGAACTAAAAATCAGAATTCCATCTTAGAAATTTATTATTCAATTGAACTGCCCTCACCTCCCTTAATTTTCTTTTATAAAGTTTTCTCTGAGGTGGATATGGGATAGAAAAAATGATGGTGGACTGAGCACCTACTATGTATCCTATACATATATACATATGTTATTTTATTTATTTATTTATTTTGAAATGGAGTCTCACTCTGTCGCCCAGGCTGGAGTGCAGTGGCGCGATCTTGGCTCACTGCAAGCTCCGCCTCCTGGGTTCACGCCATTCTCCTGCCTCAGCCTCCCGAGTAGCTGGGACTACAGGCACCTGCCACCACGCCTGGCTAATTTTTGTATTTTTTAGTAGAGACGGGGTTTCACCGTGTTAGCTGGGATGGTCTCAATCTCCTGACCTCGTGATCCGCCCGCTTCGGCCTCCCAAAGTGCTGGGATTACAAGCATGAGCCACCGCACCTGGCCTATACATACGTTATTTTAAACCTCCCAGCCCTGTGAATTGGTGGTGGTATTATCCATAATAATAAATTCTGCACAGGTTTCTTAAGCAACTACTGGGTGCTATGCTAAGAACTTATGATATGTTGGGGAAACATGCAGAGAATTTATATTAAATGATAATGAGGGAGAAAAGAGACCAGATTATCATTGGAGCAGAGTCAGAGAAGACTGTAAAGTGGCTGTGCTAAGACTTAGAAAATAAATAAAAGTTAACCAGAGTGAGTGAAAGGGATGTTAGGTAAGCCTTGTAACTTTAGAGAAAAGCGTGTTCATGGAGATGATTAAGCATGGAAGTTAGGCTGGGCACAGTGGCTCATGCCTGTAATCCCAGCACTTCAGGAAGCCAATGTCAGGAGTTTGAGACTAGCCTGGCCAACGTGGTGAAACCGTGTATCTACTAAAAATATAAAAATCAGCTGGGCATGGTGGTGAGCATCTGTAATCCCAGCTACTCAGGAGGCTGAGGAGGTTGCGGTGAGCTCAGATCATGCCATTGCACTCCAGCCTGGGCAACAGAGCGAAATTCCTTCTCAAAAGCATGGAAGTTGAGAGCTTTAGGGCCCAGGAGGAAAAATGGCAGGAGAATGAGGCTTCATAGACAAGATGAGCTAAACCTATTCTCTTAGTGATGGAAAACCTTTGAATTACTGATTTGGGGCGTGGTCTGATCACCCTGAGAGGATTTAAATATCCTCTTAGGCAGTAAAGTGGCATGGGTTCAAGATTGTGCAGCTAAGAAGAAACAGCTCAGATCTGAATCCAGGCCTTGTCTCAGTATTATAGCACTCTGCTTCTTATGAAGTCTGTTTAAGCCTAGATCAGGGTTAGGCATGATTACAGCACACACATAGTTGCTGCAAATCAGTTCAGAGAGGCAAGAGATTAAGTGAGATTTACGAAGTGTAGGTCGATCATCCCAAATTCGAAATTTGAAATACTCCAAGATTGGAAATTTTCTGAGTGCAGACACGATGCTGAAAGAAAATGTTCATTGGAGCATTTCAGATTTTGGATTTTCAGATTAGGGATGCTCAACTGTTAAGTATATAATGCAAATATTCCAAAATACAAAAAAATTTGAAATCTGAAACTCTTCTGGTCCCAGACATTTTGGAAAAAGGATATACTTCCTAATAACTGAGGCCTAACTGGCCAAGAAGTGGGAGGGAGGAGGGCCTAAACCAGATGTAATGGCATAAAAGGGTTAGATGAGGAGTATTGATTTAATTACTAATTTACGTGGGGGCAGTGTGTCAGAAATGACCAAGGCGTTAAGCCGGGTTGGCAGAGAGATGATAGTTTCCTTGAAAACAATACTAAGTTAGGCAAAGCTATTTCTTGGAGCAAGTTCCTGAGCTATGTTGAATTTTGAGATTTAGGATTTTCTCTTCAAGTCATTGAAGGTTTTTGCTTTTACTAACCTGCAGATTTGACTCTGTATTAGACTCTGAGGATACAGAGATAAATAATACATGCTGTCCCAGCATCTGAGGACCAGGTGAGTGTCATCCTGCATCATCAAGCCTCAGAATGTCTCCTAAGCTGCAGTCTGAACCTAATTAAGAATTTTTAAGTCGGTTAATCCTGCCATGCCCCCTTGGTTCCTATACCAAATACAGTTCACTACTCATTCCTTTTGCTCTAGAGCTCTATTCTGTAATGAACAAGATACTTAACTCCTCACAGAATCTTTGTTTCCTGCCCTAACTGAAGCTTTCATCTTTCAAAGGACGCCACTTTCCTCCTGGTCCTCAAGTGTTGGCTGCTGATTCTTCCATACGTCATACCAGGAGGTTAAAAGGGGAGTGAGTTCTGTGTTTTCAGACCATTACTCTTCTGTCAAGTATCAAGGCTACTCCTGTTCATTATCTCTTTTTCTTTTCTCCATCGTTCTTTCACGTTCATTTAGAATTTTTGTACGTGGTTTAAGTTCTTCACTCTGTTCAAGTGACTTTCCACTACTGTGAATGCTGGGATTTGGGTCTGTTTTATTCGTTACTGTATCCTCAGATCCTAGAACCGTAGCTGGCACATAGGAAATGCTTAATTTTTATTGAATACATAAATTCATTTAAATTTCAAAGTAAATTAATTTTTTAAACTCCTATGACCTTTGTCTCCAGAGCTTTCGTAATCAACTCCCAAAATCACGACCTTAATCATTGCTTAAAACAGTTCCACTTCTGAACTTTTCTGGTCATACAATTGAAATACATATTAATTATGGAAAATTTGGCAAATGGATAGGCAAAAACAAAAAACACTCATCATCTAACTAGTTAGCAATAAAAATGGATAAAAATATCTGTATATTTTTCTAGCCTTTTTTCTGTAAACATGCATACCTAGGTTTAATTTTTTTAATGGGGATCATATTGTACATACTGTTTTTAAAATTCCTGGTGTGTTTTGTGTGTGTGTGTTTAACTTTAGGATATTTTGTGAAATCTTTACATGTATAGTCATGTGCCACATAATGACATGTTGGTCAGTGATGGACTGCATATAGACTGTGGTCATGTGTGTTTATAATACTGTATTTTTACTGTACCTTTTTTATGTTTAGATACACAGATACTTACCATTGTGTATTACTCTCTTCGTCTCCAGACCTATAAAAAAAGGTAGTTTATCTGCACCCATACCAGTAGACGTATTAATTTTTTTTAGTTATTGGCAATTCATTGGTGAAAAAAATTTTATTTTATTTATTTATTTGTTTTTGAGATGGAGTTTCAACCTCTTGTTGCCCAGGCTGGAGTGCAATGGCGCGATCTCAGCCCACTGCAACCTCCGTCTGCCGGGTTCGAGTGATTCTCCTGCCTCAGCCTCCCAAGTAGCTGGGATTACAGGCATGCACCACCACACCCAGCTAATTTTGTATTTTTAGTAGAGATGGGATTTCTCCATGTTGGTCAGGCTGGTCTCAAACTCCCGACCTCAGGTGATCTGCCTGCCTCAGCCTCCCAAAGTACTGGGATTACAGGCATGAGCCACTTGCACCCGGCCTAAAACTTTTTATATTGAGGTATAATTTACATACCACAAAATTCACCTGTTTCATAAGTGTTCAGTATTTTTTAGTAAATTTATAAAGTTATGTTGTTACTACCACAATCCACTTTTAGAACATTTCTGTCACCCAAAATATTCCTTGAACCAATTTGTAAACAATCCCCTTTCCTACCACCCATTATGGGTAACCAGTAACCTATAGATTTGCCCTTTCTTGACATTTCATATAAATGGAATAATAACAAAAATGACCTTAAAATGTTATTGAGGTACATTCATGTTGCACTACCTGTCATTAGCTTAATCTTTTATTGTGATAAAATATACATAAAATTTACCATTTAAACTGTTTTTAAATAGACCATTCAGTACCATTAAATACATTCACATTGTTGTATAACTATTACCACTTTCCATCTCTAGAACTATAAAAATTGTCCCAAACTGAAACTGTACCCATTAAACTATAACTCCCAATCACGTCTCCCCCAGTCAGTGGTAACCAACATTGTTTCTGTCACTGTGAGTTTGACCATTCCAAGTATTTCACGTAAGTGGAATCATACAATATCTGTCCTTTTGTAGTGTGGCTTATTTAATTTAGCATAATGTCTTCAGGGTTCATCCAGATTGTAGTATGTATCAGAATTTCATTCCTTTTAAAGGTGGAATAATACTCTCTATATATACATACCACATTTTGTTTATCCATTCATCCATGTATGGACACTTGGCTGCTTTTATGCTTTGTCTGTTGTGAATAATGCCACTGTGAACATTTGCGTACAAGTGTGTGGCATATGTTTTTGTTCTTTGTGGGTAGAAACCTAGGAGTGGAATTTCTAGGTCTTAGGATAATTGCATGTTTAACTTCATACGAAATGGTCAAACTGTTTTCCCAAGTGGCTGTAGTTTTTTACATGCCCACTAGTCGTGCTTGGGAATTCTGTTTCTCTTCACCCTCATCAAAAATCGGTGTGGTCAGTCTTTTAAATTTTAACCATTTTAGTGGATGTGGAGTGGTATTCTATTGTGGGATTAATTTGCATTTCCTAAATGACTAATAACAACTCTGATTTGGAATGCTTAATATCCTACTTTTCTGACTGTAGCCTCCTGTCATTCCAATGCTCATTCTCCTTTTCCCAGCACGTTTATTCTTAAGCTTTAAGCTTTATCAAGATTTCTGGTCCCAGCACCTCTTGTTTCATTCTCTCCTCTAGCTTCAGTTCCCTCTTCAATCACTTTTCTTCCAGTATTCTTAGCTTTGAATCTTTGCCCAGTTTTGCCATCTACTCTGCTTCTAAGTGCTATCAGAGGAAATCATATAGTTTTGTTTTGACACTACTATGAATTTTTTTGTAACTTTTAATTTATATTTATTTTCAAACTTTTACATAGTTATTGCATGTACAGTACAAGGAGCTTTCATACATCGTTTTTCTAGATTCCCAATTGTTATACTGTGTCCTGTTTGCTTTATCATATTCTTACTTTCCTTGGGGGTGTATTATGCATGCATATATAAAAATTAAATTAGTATGCACATACTATATATGCATTGTATATATAATACATATGCATGCTATGTTTTTCTGAATCATTTGAGCATAAGCTGGAGACTTTTACCCCTACATACTTCAGTATATATTTCCATAGAGCAAGAATATTCTCTTACACAGTGTGATTAAGTTATCAAAATCAGGAATTTTAACTTTTATGCAATAATATTATTTAATATACTGTCCTTATTTAGTTTTGTCAGTTGTCTCAACAATACCCTTTATAGCTTTTTGTTTTGGTTTGCTTTGTTTTTTTAAGCTTTACTACAAACTTTATACTTTACAACTCCAGCTTGGACTTGTCCATCCTTTTTGATCCTAACCCTCTACCATTTTTCTGTGTGCTTATCTTAAACCTTCTCTATTCTTTAAGACTTTGGCCGAGCACAGTGTGGTTCATGCCTGTAATCCCAGCACTTTTAGGGCCAAGGTGGGTGGATTACCTGAGGTCAGGAGTTCCAGACCAGCTTGACCAACATGGTGAAACCCTGTCTCTACTAAAAATACAAAATTAGGGGGTGTGGTGGTGCACGCCTGTAATCCCAGCTACTCAGGAGGCCGAAGCAGGAGAATTGCTTGAACCCGGGAGACGGAGGTTGCAGTGAGCCGAGATTGTGCCACTGCACTCCAGCCTGGGCGATAAGAGCGAAACTCTGTCTCAAAAGAAAAAAACGACTTCGTCCTCACTCTTTCCTTATGCTTTATTGTTACCATTGACATAATTTTGTGAGTTTTCTCAATTTCCTGCCCCTTCTTTTCCTTAATTTACAAATACCTGTATCTTCATTTACCCTCTTTTCTTTATGGAAGATAAATTCTTTCTGGATAAGAAAATTCTGTTACGTGTGCTGTAGATCATTGCTGTCTAATATGGTAGTTAGTAGTGGCTATTTAAATTTATTAAAACTTAGCTCCTTAGTTGCACTAGCTCCATTCCAAGTGCTCCGTAGTTCCACAGGGCTGGTGGCTACTTAATATATTGGGTAGCACCTTTCTAGATTCCCTTCTTTCCCAACATTTGAGGGATTTTTCTTTATCTCATCTTTATCCATAATAGACCCACCATAATCTTGCCCTTGCTTATCTCAGTATCCTCATCTCAACGTGTACTGTACTTCAGTCACAGTAAACTACCAGCATTTTCTCTAAATACATTGTTTCGGGCCCTTTTCACTTTTACAGCTGTTATCTTCCCACATCTTCCTGAAAGACCTACTCATAATTGACAACTCCTTCTGTTCTTCACTGATCACACCAGATTGCAATAATTCAACATATTTGCCTCTTGTACCAAAGCTGTGAGATCCTTTGTGAGTAGGGGCCATATTCTGTCTTCGTGTGTGAGTGTGTGTGTTTTTTTTTTTTTTTTTTTTTTTTTGAGACAGAGTCTCTGTCACCCAGGCTGGAGCAGTGGCACGATCTCCTCACTGTAGCCTCCACCTCCCTGGTTCAAGCAATTCTCCTGTCTGAGCCTCCCGAGTAGCTGGGATTACAGGCTGTGCCACCACCTGGCTAATTTTTGTATTCTTAGTAGAGATGGGGTTTTGCCATGTTTGCCAGGCTGATGTTGAACTCCTGGGCTCAAGTGATCTGCCTGCCTCAGCCTCCCAAAGTGGTGGGATTACAGGTGTGAGCCACCACTCCCAGCCTAGCCTTTGTGTTCTCTTGACCTAGCATTCAACTATATGTTGAATTGAAATGAATATGTAATCTCTGCCTTCTAGCTGCTTACCATAGGCTGATTGATGATCACTTGTATAGACTCCATTGCCTGTGGAAATGGAATAGCTTTCCTTGTAATACTGCCTGAGCTCTGCTTTCCACCCAGTCCGTTTTAGCCTACTTGAGCCCTGGACCTTGACTGCTGTCTGGATGCTTGAACTATGTTTTCCTTTTTATTTTTCTAATCATCTAGAATCCAGCCTAACTCTCCACCCTTCTAGGTATTTATATTTTAAGAGTATCAGTCTACTTGTGACTCTTGAGTGCACTATGTAGAATCATGGTATCATGTTTTATTTAGTCTGTAATATCCTTCATCCTCATTCAAAATATTAAGGTGAGTCTCCCACCATAAACCAAAACAATCCTTTCCCTATAACGAAGCTAATCACTGTATAACTTCTCTTCCTTGTTTCTATTTGTGTTGTTTCATATTATATTGTGACTTGTTAATTTGTCTGTTTTCCTGAGTAGCAGCCATTCCTTATTCAAATCATACTGCTCAGAAACTTTTTCATTTCAGCTTACGTAGCTATTAAGTAGTAAAGCAAGAATTTGAAGCCAGATGTACATTTTTTTCTGTATCCTCAGTATCTGATAGTACCTAAGTACTCAAGAAATGCCTCTTGAATTGACCAGTGACCACAACTCTGTCAGAATCTGCATTTCATTCTTTTTGATGTCTTAGCATGTTCAGGTGCTTGAGCTTTGGAGTCAGACTCTCTGGGTTCAAATCCTTGCTTTACTGCTTACCAGCTGTTTGACCTGAGCAAGTTCCATAATCTCTGTAGGCCTCAGTTTCCTCATTCTAAATAGTTACTACTACCTTTAAGGGATATTGTGAAGATGAAAGGAGACAATGCAGATAAAACATTTATCATGGGACCCCTCAATTCTGTTCTTACTATTTGTCCTGCAATTCTGACTTACCTACTAGCTCTTAGTTAATCCTGCTCCATGCTCATCCCATGTTTTTGTTTGTTTTTTTAACTGGCAGAGCCAATGAGACATCTAAGTGAATTTCTAGTAGGCAGTTAGCAAAAACAACCCTGGAGAATGGTCTGAGAAAGAGTCATATTTGGGGGAGATTTGCTCAGAACTCCTATTTAGAACTTTGAAACCTGAGCTAATGTATATAAAAAGACAAATAGCAGGTGATGGGATTTTGAGATACCATTCTAGGAGCCATGTATCTTCAGGCAACCCAGTTTTCAAATATTTTTTATTGGTCTTCTAAATTTTTGGAATATTTTAGAAATAATAACTTTTTGACACCCTTAAAATACAGAGTCACACATTTGGAAGTAGCACAAAAATTTGAACTGCCTCTTTGCCGCAACCCACTAGAGGTTTATGTTTTTCTACTGAAATATTCTATCTTGTTGAATCACACATCCTAGGTTTTGATTTAGAAGATATGGTCACCATAGGTGTTACTTGACTTGGCCACTAGGAGGAAGAGAAGTTGCCAAAGGAAATTCTTGCAAAGAAAGATTTCATTAGTATCATATTTTCTATTTAGTTGTTAAGGGGTGTGTGTGTGTGTGTGTGTGTGTGTCGGGCACACGTGCACATGTGTAGTTTCTCACCCTATTAGGTGATTTTATATCAGAATGGGGTGAGAAGGAAGGAGGAGGATGTACGTGAAAATCTAGAGGTGTTATTGAGAAGACTGAGTACCACAAAAAGCTCTGAATCTGGATGCCTAATGGATGGTTTGTATGTGATTAAACTCCAAGCCATACTTCATTCTTCTAATCATTTTGGTAGTTTTCTCAGAATAATCAAATGTTCTTTTGAAAGAAAAGGTAACCAGGACCTTTCGTTCATTTGCTTTCGCAGAGTTCCGTTTAGATAAAATGGTTAATTTTTATAATGTTATGAAAACTAAAAAGTGAACTATTTTAGAGAAAAGTAACACTGAAGATTGCCAGTTTGCCATCGGTATCCTTGATTTGCTCTTCTTCATCTCTAATAACAGATACAAATTTTTAATATATTTACTATTAAAAAAAAAACTTTTTTTAAGAGACAGGATCTTGCTCTTGTCACCCCAGCTGGAGTGCAGACGCACAATCATAGCTCACTGTAACCTCAAACTCCAGGACTGAAGCAGTCCTCTTGCCTCAGCCTCTTGAGTAGCTAGCACTACAGGCACGTGACGCCATGCCTGGCTAATTTTAAAATTTTTTGTAGAGGCAGAATCTTGCCGTATTGCCCAGGCTGGTCTTGAACTCCTGACCTCAAGCGATCCTCTCACCTCAGCCTCCCAAAGTGCTGAGATTACAAACATGAGCCTCCGTACCTGGCCAATCCATATATTTAATATCTCACTTTGACTGTTAATGTTAATAGCTGATAACATTCTTGAAGGTAGACATTTGCTCCCTGATAATGAAGAAATGCTTTGTTTCTGAGTAGAGGTGATGTTTTTGTATTTAGTTTTCTCCACATATATCTGTCCCACTTGCAATGGATAGTATTTATCTGCAAAACAACTGTTAACTGGAATGAATTATCAAAGAAGATTTATAGAAAAAATTTGGTTTGTTGGTGGTTGGGAAAAAAAAAATCAACTGGCCAGCATGGTGGCTTCCACCTGTAATCCCAGCACTTCAGGGATCAAGGTGGGTGGATCACTTGATCCCAGGAGTTCGAGACAAGCCTGGGCAACATGGCAAAAACCCATCTCTACAGGAAAAAAAAAAAAAAAAAAAGGATTGCTTGAGGACGGGAGGCGGAGGTTGCAGTGAGCCAAGATCGTGCCACTGCACTCTAGTCCGGGCGACAGAGTGAGACTCTGTCTCAAAAAACAAAACAACTGCGTATCCTCATTAAACAGTATAATAAACTGAATGTGCTATTTAAAACATATCAGTTATTCATTGTTAACATGTTTTATTAGAGGGGTAGTAACGTTTTAATTTATTCAAAGTTCTAAATGGTAAGAGAGAGGGGGGAAAGTTCTTGTCTCATCATTCAGGCTGAATTAGTGTCTTACATTTTGTATCCCTCAAGGCTGTGCACGTAATCAGTGGTGGGTGAATGGGTTCATTGACGGTGTTACCCTGGAATGTTTTACCTTGGCAACATTGACACACTATAATACCAATAGAATTTTTAAAAATTGTTTAAATTTGAAGGCTACTCTTAAAAATAGCTATTATTTTGAGCATTTTAATTTTGTGGTAAAGAAGCAAAAATGTTTCAAATGAATTATATTAAAATACTTTTATATTTAGCTCTCTGAAGAAGTCTTTTGGTCTCAAAATACCCAATTTACTGTAAGTTAATATTTAGGCTTTATGTTTAAATATTGGCTACTACAATTTTTTTTTTTTTTTGAGACAGAGTGTCGCTCTCTCACCCAGGCTGGAATGCAGTGGCACGATCTCAGCTCACTGCAACCTCTGCCTCCTCGGTTCAAGCAATTCTCCTGCCTCAGCCTCCCGAGTAGCTGGGATTACAGATGTGCGCTACCATGCCCAGCTAATTTTTGTGTGTGTGTGTGTGTTTTTAGTAGAGTCGGGGTTTCACCATGCTGACCAGGCTGGTTTCGAACTCCTGACCTCGTGATCCGCCTGCCTCGGCCTCCCAAAGTACTGGGATTACTAGCGTGAGCCACCATGCCCAGGCAGGACTTTCTTTTTTTTAAATATACAAGTTTTTGTCTAGAAAAGGAACTCTTTAGGAACTTGAATTATTTTGTAATATAAATGTAATAGATGAGCAAGAAGGTTGTATTTGAGGTGTGGGGAGGGAGGTTGCTTTCTCTATATTCTTTCAAATAATCGGAAAACATGAAGAAGTGATTCCTGGCTGGGCGCGGTGGCTCACGCCTGTAATCCCAGCACTTTGGGAGGCCGAGACGGGCGGAGCACCGAGGTCAGGAGTTTGAGACCAGCCTGACCAACATGGTGAAACTCCGTCTCTACTAAAATACAAAATTAGTCGGGCATGGTGGCGCATGCCTGTAATCCCAGCTACTCAGGAGACTGAGGCAGGAGAATCGCTTAAACCCAGAAGGCGGAGGTTGCAGTGAGCCGAGATCGCGCCATTGCACTCCAGCCTGGGCAACAAGAGAAAAACTTTGTTTCAAAATAAATAAATAGTTAGATAGATAACTTAATTTGGAGTTTTTAGCAAGGAGACACACTTGCTACTGCCTTCTCAATGGAAGAATAGCAGAGCTTTACTGGAGAAGTCTTGTCTCTGTTCTTTAATTCCAGTGTAGTTTCGGGAAGGGTGCAGTAGAATAATAAGATTGGGAGGAGGTAGACATTCACCTGACTTAGATCTGTGAGTCATACCTTATCATCAGTGGAAAGGTTTATGTCATTTGGCACTTACATTTGGTATTTTAAACTGGAGCACTATTTATTATAACTCAGTCATCATAAATCAGTTTAAACTGCTGTTGGATTGGATGGAGTTTGTGTGTGGAAACAAGATAAGGAATCTGGTTCTTTTAGCTATTTAGAATCCTTGGAACATGAGGTTCAGATGCTTACCAGGTTTTATTTTGCAATAATTCAAATTTATGGAAGGTTAAAATAGACATGTATTTCCTATCCCAGTCCCTGGGCTGGCAACTGAACTAGGCCTGGTACTAGTCTGTGGCCTGTTAGAAACCTGGCTGCACAGCAGGGGAGCGCGTGGGAGCTGGCATTACCACTTGAGCTCCGCCTCCTGTCAGATCAGCAACACTGGATTCTCATAGGAGTGCGAACCCTCTTGAGAACTGCTCATGAGAGGGATCTAGGTTACACACTGCTTATGAGAACCTAAGGCCTGATGATCTGAGGTGGAACAGTTTCACCCTGAAATCATCCCGCCCACCCCTACCCCCTACCCCAAAAACACACACGGAAAATTTGTCTTCCACGAAACTGGTCCCTGGACCTCTTAGTAAGATTAACCCATTGTTAACATTTTGTGCTATTTACTTATTCATTCTCTGTCATATTATTTTTTTCTGAATCTTTTGGGATTAAGTTGCTTACATCATGTTCCTTCACCATGTAATATTTCAATGTATAGTTTTAACAACAAGGACCTTCTCTTGTATAACTGCATTACAGTTATTAAATTAAGGAAATATGCAGTTATCTAATACACAGTCCACATTCACATTTTACTAGTTTTCCCATTAATGTTTTTTTTCTTTTGTGTGTGAGACGGGGTTTTGCTCTTGTATCCCAGGCTGGAGTGCAATGGCTCACTGCAACCTCTGCCTCCCAGGTTCAAATGATTCTCCTGCCTCAGTCTCCCAAGTAGCAAGGATTACAAGAGTGCCATCACGCCCGGCTCGTTTTTGTATTTTTAGTAGAGATGGGGTTTCACCATGTTGGCCAGGCTGGTCTCGAGCTCCTGACCTCAGGTAATCCACCTGCCTCGGCCTCCCAGATTGCTGGGATTATAGGCGTGAGCCCAATAATCATTCTTTAGGGATTTTTTTTTTCCTGTCCAGAATCCAACCCATAATCATTCATTGCATTTAGTTGCCACATCTCTTTATTCTCCTTTAATCAGGAACATTTCTTCAGCCTTTCTTTGCCTTTAATGACACTGACATTTTTGAAGAGAGTGACAGACCATTTATTTGTAGAATCTCCCTTAATTTGAGTGTATCTAATGTGTTCTCATGATAAAATTTAGGAATGTGGTTTTGGCAGGAATGTTACACTTGTGTGCTTTTCAGTGCATCACATTAGGAGGCACATGTCCACTTGTTTCCTTATCAGTGATACTTACTTAGATCTTTAGGTTAATGTGATACCTGCCAGGTTCCTCTACTTAAGTTAATATTTCTCCTTCTGTAATACATAATTTGTGGGAAGACACTATTAGACTCAATATATACCAGTCCTCATCAAACTTTCATTCACAAAGAGTTTTAACATTCTTTGGTAACTTTGTCTAAATCAAATTATTACTAGATGGTAATAATTCAGATATTTAATGGATTTAGATATTTAACCGGGTTTAGGTATTTAATTGTAGGAGCTCAGTACCATAGTAGGAACCGCTTTGAGCTGTTGGATTCTTTAGCATTATAAAGTGCTTTGTGTTGAACAAGAATGTCTCCTGAGACTTCTATACACTGTTTCAAGTTCTGTACTCTGTACCACGTGAGATGAGCCTGCTTTATTTGTGTCTCTCTAACTGCCCTTCAAAATGTGTTCTTTTTTGTCTTTTCGATAGGTTACTTGCTTTAATTTCATATAGTCACTTCTTGTAAGAGATGACTTTCCTGAATTTATAACCATCCTGTTGGTTTTCTGATAACATTCATTCATCAGTATCACACTTAACATATGGTATCCAAATCTGGATACTAATTCCAGATACAGTTTGATCTATCAGTACAATGGATCACTGTTTGCCTGTAATCTAGCTTTATGCTCAAGAGCACCAGGTTTTGGAGACAAATAGATTTGGCTTCAGGTCCTAGCTCTGCCACTTAACTAGCTCTGTGATCTTGAACCAGTTCCTAACATCTCCAAACCTGTTTTGTCATCTGTAAAGAGTTGGTAATAATAGCACCTGACTTTTAAGGATGGAATGAAGATTAAGCGTGCATGTAAAACTCTCAGTGGTGTCTGTTATATCGTAAACACCTATAAAATGTAAATTATTTTTATGCAGAAAGCATGCTTCTGTTTTATTGCCCAAGATTGGTACAGTTTATGTTTTAGCCCTTGTACTGCAGACTCATTTAAGCCTGCGGTGAAATCAGAGTTTTAATCAGTTCTACTGAAGCAAAGTTAGACACTTGGACAAATATTTTAACTTATTATGATAGAATACCTTTCATATAACTCTTATGAGATTTTGAATTATTTTTAAAATATTCATATGTACCATATAAGTCGATTATAGAGAAACATTTGAGTTACTTTGAATAAACCCTAAAACATCAAGTCATCTCTTACAGCATAGCAAATGTTAAATATTTCAGCATTAATTAATAGTTTTAAAATTAGTCTATGAAATTGGAGTGTTTGGGTGCTATTTCTCATGGTGTTTTTGAATTATGTTGCTAATATAAACAGTACATTTACTATGTTCATGACATCTTTAAGTTTTTCCTAAAATTTACTATAGAAATTTAGACCAATATACATATTAGCCCAGTGTACATATAGGGGAAAGGTATAGCCCAGTGTACATATAGGGGAAAGGTAGTTATCTCAGTATTCTAGGATGTTTTAATTGAAGTGTACATATTTTGCTTGAAGTTTACTTACAGTTGTATTAAAAAATGCAGGTGAATAGGAAATGCATTGAAACATCAAAGCCTAGAATCTTTCTCTGTATTGTGGCTTTCTGATACTGTTATACATTAAAGTTTAGATATAATGTGTTAGATTTTTTTTTTTTTTTTTTGAGACGGTGTTTCCCTCTGTTGCCCAGGCTGGAGTGCAGTGGCATGATCTCAGCACACTGCAACCTCCACCTCCCAGGTTCAAGTGATCCTCCTGCCTCAGCCCCTCTAGTAGCTGGGATTACAGGCATGTGCCACCATGCCCTGCTAATTTTTGTGTTATTTGTAGAGACGGGGTTTCACCATGTTGGCCAGGCTGGTCATGAACTCCTGACCTCTGGTGATCTGCCTGCCTCAGCCTCCCAAAGTGCTGGGATTATAGGTGTGAGCCACTGCGTCCGGCATGTGTCAGATTTTTAAATGGCACTTTTTATGTAGCAATATAAATTTTTTTAAAAATTAAATCTTTTGGCCTGGTGCAGTGGCTCATGCCTGTAATCCCAACACTTTGGGAAGCCAAGGCAGGTGGATCACCTGAGGTCAGGAATTTGAGACCAGCCCTGCCGATATGGTGAAACTCTGTTTCTACAAAAAATACAAAAATTAGCCAGGCGTGATGGTTGGGTGCCTGTAGTCCCAGCTACTCAGGTGACTGAGGCAGGAGAATCTCTTGAACCTGGGAGGCAGAGGTTGCAGTGAGCCAAGATCGCACCATTGCATGCACTCCAGCCTGGGCAACAAGAACGAAACTGTCTCAAATAAATAAATAAATAAATAAATACATACATTTATTTTTGCAGTGCAAACTGTCATTATGACTGCCTATGTAATACATATTTGCTAATGGGATGGAGAAACAAAGATTTTTATCTTGTAATTGTAGTTCTTAATTTACAGACTTTCTGTATTTTTGGTATTTTGAAAGTTCAGTTTAGTAGAATAGTTTTTTTTTTTTATGGGAACAAGGTTTTATTTTCTAGGCAAGGCTTCTAACACTTGATTAACCTGTAGTAATAATGGTACTGTAGAAATTTTAATCTGTCAAGAAATGTGCTATAAACCATAGAAAATGTCAGCAACATGGCTCCTCCTGCTGTCACAAAACAATCTCATTCTCCCTAGTCCGGTGCTATGACATGTATACTTGAGACTCTAAAGGCATTCCACTGACTGTTGGTAAAAGTGTTCTTTAGTTGGTAGCTGTTTATTCTAAATAAATTAGCTAGACTTAAGGAAAACAGAAAAATACCTACTTTTGCTTACTTTGGATAAAATGATTATATAAAGTAATCCTTACTCACCTAGTCTGTGGCCAGGTATAGAAAATCTATGGATTAGTTATATGCATATTGTTAATAATGTCAAATACCAATTGGAATGTTTTTATTTTTCACTTTTTCTTCAGCCACCCTTTTAACCTAGCTATAATAGCGAAAGCACTCCTTAAAATTTTAGGTGGTTAAAATGTGGTACGTAAATTTTATATGTCTCAACTCTGTTTCATGTTAAATGTGTTACAGGAATGAATCTGAAGTCTGCTGCAGTAAAACACAGAAGGCTTTAAAATGTTTTCTTGCATAAAATTCAAAACTTTTAAGTAGCTGCTTATGAGAATAGGGAAGGCAGAAAGCTAATGTCTGTCTCAAGATACAGGACAGCTGTTTGCTCATCAACCTCAACTGTGTGAGTAGAGACTTAAGCCTGTAACCCTATGTAATTGGGCATAGTAACTTAATTTTTTTTTTAATTTAAAATGCTTGAAGATAGACCTAAGTCATCATGATGAGACATTTTTAGGGTGTATTTTTTCTGGTGGGTAGGATACTGAGGGTGGAGTGGGTGGTAGATTTTTATTTATAAAATAATTTGTGCAATAACATTTATAACTAATGTTATTAGTGACTACACATCTTTTTTCAGAATTATTATAAGCATTGGAATCTGCATTACTAATTTATTATTGTGAAGCAAAAGATTGTAATTCTTTAGATTGCTGTTTATTTTGCATTGATTTCAGCCATTTAAAGTTAATATTTTGACCAAACAACCATAAAAAAATTACTTGGGATTATGATGTTTGATATTAATAGAGAAAATTGCTTCTGGAAATAATAATTTAAATTATAATAATTTTAAAAGCTAATATTTTAAAAAATAACTTCATTTAGTCAAAGAGTATATCAAAATACAAGCACCCTTGTTCCCTAAATGCAGTTGAAAGTTTTTTAAATTCGCCAATTTTATTTTTTAAAGTACTTTGAATAATAGAAATGCCTATGGAAGAAAAAAAATCTCCTTTTCTTTCCTTTAAGGTGTTAAAGTTAACACCTTAAGAATCTATGGTAGGGTGGTGTCTGGTTTTTTTCTACCCTCCTCCCCCCGACTTTTTCTTTATGGATTTAGGAGTGAGACTCTTAATTGGATGTTTTTTCTCTCTCTTTAGAAGAATGCATTGTTTGTACAGATGGAGTGATTAAAATGTACAGCATTGTATTGAGCAAAATGATGAGCATGTAGACAGAGACTTATAAAATCTTGTTAACTGTTCACTGAGGCATGGAGTAGAAGGAATGTTATGCAGTGTATGCACTAAAATGAAATTACTTTCTCTTTCATAACACAAATGTGTTGACTGAAGGAAAATAAAAATGGACTATCTTTAGAATCAGTGAATGAGAAAACATTTAGAAAACGTGAAGAATACACACTGAATATGGATATCCTTTTTTTTTTTTTTTTCGAGACGGAGTCTCACTCTGTCGCCCAGGCTGGAGGCAGTGGCACAATTTCTGCTCACTGCATCCTCTGCCTACCAAGTTCAAGTAATTCTCCTGTCTCAGCCTCCTGAGCAGCTGGGACTACAGGCATGCGCCACCATGCCCGGCTAATTTTTGTACTTTACAAAGAGGTGGGGTTTCACCATGTTGGCCAGTCTGGTCTCAAACTCCTGACCTCCAGTGATCTGCCTGCCTTGGCCTCCCAAAGTGCTGAGATGACCAGCGTGAGCCACCTTGCGCGGCCGAATATGGATATTCATAATGAAAGTGGTCAAAGGATATGTGGCAGAAATGGAGGGACACATGTTGCTGCATTCAAAACTAGTGAAAAACCCAAAGGTTTCACTTTGCCCCATTATTTTCTTTTCTATATTGGTCAGTAGATACATAACACTGTGTAAATCTCCAGAGGTTATCTAGTTCCTAATCTTTCAGTATTTCTAGAGAATAAATATTTATAATCTTGTTTAATGATTACAAGGCTCACTTTAATGCAGTTTTAGGGTCTGTAAAACGAAATTTAATTCTTAATTTACTGCCATTTGGCATTTCCCTTGAAAAGCCAAGTTTAATTTGGTGCTGCTATTCTGTGAACAGTACTTCAACACCCTTCCCTCCTCTTTTTTAATTAGTGTTAAAAATAAGGAAAATTCAAGGTGAGAGAGGCCTTTGGAACATACTAATGAAACTTTGATTTTTAAAATGAGATTAGGAGAGAACACACAATAGGGAAGAGAGTTGCTTTTATCACTGTAGAGGGTTTAGGGGGAAATTGTATGATAGTAAATTGGTCCCAAATTTCTTTTTATCTCTCTGAGATGATTCTCTGTGTTCTGTTCTATATTACTCTTCTCTCAAGGGGATAAAGTTAGAAGCTAATTAACTTTCCTAGGATAGAAAGTACATGTAGGAATATGTGAGCAACATATATAAAACTCATCTACTTTATTCCCTCTTCCTTGCTCTACCCTTTACCTTACCACAATAGTGTAGGCTTCTCATTGATCCTGTACGAAATTCTGTCATTTGGTTTTGCTTAGATTTTTAAATGTATTTGAGCTTGTTTTACTGTTGTATAATGCAGTATATTAAAATGAAGTTTTTGGGCTATATAAGGCCATGTAACATGGTCATGTACACAGGCTATAGAGTCTGGCTGCCTGAGTTCAGATCCTAGCTGTCCCTTCTAACATCTCTGTGATACTGAGCAAATTTCTTAAACCTTCCTGGGCCTCAGTTGTGTAATCTGTAAAATAGATACAGTAATAATTTGCTACCTGGTGGGATATTGTGAGGTTGAGTGAATCATCAGTGCTTGCAAATTATTATCATTATTAAACCTGTTTGTTCTTTGAGAGGAGGAATACTAGGTAGCATATTATAAATGCTCAAAATAATAGATTTTAAGGCTTTAGGATTAAGAATTTGAACATTACAAAGTAGGATATTTTCAATTAAGGTATCATAAGAAACATCTCAAGAAGAGTAGAATAGAAATCTTTACTCCCGGCTGGGCGTGGTGGCTCACGCCTGTAATCCCAGCACTTTGGGAGGCCAAGGCGGATGGATCACAAGGTCAGGAGTTCAAGACCAGCCTGGCCAACATAATGAAACCTCCGTCTCTACTAAAGATACAAAAAATTAGCCGGGCATGGTGGCTGGCACTTGTCATCAAAGCTACTCGGGAGGCTGAGGCAGGAGAATCGCTTGAACCCGGGAGGCAGAGGTTGCACTGAGTGGAAATTGCGCCATTGCACTCCAGCCTGGGCGACAAGGCAAGACTCCATCTCAAAGAAAAAAAAAGAAAAAATCTTTACTCCCCTGCCTTCCTGTCTCAATCTGCTGTGTGCATTAGCCCCATTTCACATTCTCAGTAGCTACATGTGACTGATGGCTACTGTGTTGGACAACACTGTTCTAGATAGTTGGTTTCACTAGGTAATGTATTTGCATTAAACATGACATTTATTGATGACACAATTCTCTTTGTCTGGAACATGAAAGATTGGTTCTTGTATCAGATATAACTCCACCAAGAAAGAGAAGAGGAAGCAAAAAATATTTCTTCAAGAATCTTGGTGAAGGTTAGGTGTATTTTCTCTGGGTTTTATGTAAAGTGTTTTTTTTTTTTTTTTTTTGAGACGGAGTCTTGCTCTGTGGCCCAGGCTGGAGTGCAGTGGTGCGATCTCGGCTCACTGCAAGCTCTGCCTCCTGGGTTCATGCCCTTCTCCTGCCTTAGCTTCCGGAGTAGCTGGGACTACAGGCTCCTGCCACCACGCCTGGCTAATTTTTTGTATTTTTTAGTAGAGAACGGGGTTTTTTAGCATGTTAGCCAGGATGGTCTTGATCTCCTGACCTCGTGATCCGCCTGTTTCGGCCTCCCAAAGTGCTGGGATTATAAGCATGAGCCACCACGCCCGGCCATAAAGTGATTTTTAAACAATTTATAAAATTTATTATAGTGTAGTTATTTTTATTTTTCATTTTTATTTTTGAGATGGAGTTTCACTCTTGTTGCCGAGGCTGGAGTGCAGTGGCATGATTCTCCTGCCTCACCCTCCCATGTAGCTGGGATTACAGACGTGTGCCACCACACCCAACTAATTTTGCACTTTTAGTAGAGACAAAGTTTTACCATGTTGGTCAGGCTGGTCTCGAACTCCTGACCTCAGGTGATCCACCCGCCTCCCACTCGGCCTCCCAAAGTGCTAGGATTACAGGTGTGAGCCCCCGCGCCCAGCCTTGCAGTTACTTTTGAATAAAGGTATTGACAGTTGAGTCAAGCAGTGTTGCAAGTATTGAAGTCTGTCAGTGACTGCTTCTCAGATTAAAGTGAGCCATCTGTTTATATGTGATATGGAGATGAAAACTGATTTTTACATTTAAATGCTAGTAGATTTCTTATCTAGAAGCACCTTTGAAGACTAGCAATGTTATGGGTGGCACATTAATTTAGAGTCTTTCAGGAAGGACTAGGTTTCAGTTAGTGGTTTTATTGTGAGATAAATTTATCTGTTTGAGATGATTCCACTAAAGGTTAAAAGTAGTCTGGATTTCAGCACTGATAATCACTTTTACTTTGTGCTTAGAAATAGTGTAGGTGTTAGGGGAGATACCAAAGGATAGGAACAAGCTATTAATGTTATGTTCTAAAAGAAATCACTGTTTACTGGATTCTAGTCAGGGACCAGAACACATGGAAATAGAAATCCATTCTACCTAAGGAAAGAAAAAAGGATTATTTTAAAAATCTTTGGAAAATCATATGTAATTGAATTGCAAGTATATAGCCTTGGTACTTTTTATGTGTGTGCTATTCTGTCTCCTCCCCACCTCCATCCATGACTTTAGATAGGTTCATCGGGTCAGTGTTCATCCAGGTCTAATCACCTTGTCTGGAGGGTTTATCCCATGGTACTAAAAGGTCAGCAAGAGCTGATTTATAGGTATACAGATTGTCTTAGAAGGGAATGTTAGTAGGGAGGCAGTGAATGGCATGTGTAACTTCAGTTTCTTCAACTGATTACAAAGGAACGTGTGTGAGAATGTTACCTTCCTTATACAGATTTGGTGAGGCCTAAGTCAGATAATCTATATAAAGTGCTTAGCCCAGGGCCTAGTACATAATAGTGAGTAGACATTTTCAGTGAGCACTTACTCTAATACATACCTAATTGTGTAGTTTCCTTACCTGGTTTTTTTAATTTAGGGAAAAAATTTGGAGAATTTGGTGGGATTAATTGGTAACTTGTGGATATTCACTCAGAACATCTCAATTCAAAGTGCCTGACTGAAATTTAACTCTTGTAACTAGCGGCCTAGATATGCTCTGAAGTGTTCATGGTATAGTATATCAGCCCGACCTCAGATTGGCTTACTGTTGAGCATTGTTGAGTTTGCTCTTAATCAAGAACTTAAAGTGTCCAAATTTTTTAGCCATCTGAGCCCCTTTATTTAATTGAAATCTTTTGCAGAAACCAGGTATGTGAAAACACCAAAAATGAACTATTCTATTTGAAGCAGAAATTTGTAACCCATTCTGCCTTCTCAGTCTGCTTTCTCCCTACCCTTTTCCTCTGCCTCAGCAATCTTTGATAGAACAAAAGCAGACACTTAGGAGAAATAAACTTTATGAAGGATTGCCTAAATGATAAGCCTGAATGATAAGTTCATTATTATTATTGTTTTTTTAAGAAACAAGAGTCTTGCTCTGTCACCTATGCAGGGGTGTAGTGGTGTGATCTCAGCTCACTGCAGCCTCAATTTCCTAGGCTCAGACGGTTCTCCCACCATAGGCTCCTGAGTAGCTGGGACCACAGCTGTGCACCACCACACCCAGATAATTTTCTTATTCTTTGTAGAGACGGGGATCTCACTGTGTTGTCCAGGCTGGTCTTGAACTCAAGCAATCCTCTCGCCTTGGTCTCCCAGAATGTTGGGATTACACACGTGAGCCACCGCCCCTGGCCGGATTTTATTTTTAACTCTGGCTCCACTCCATGAAGACTGGCTGTTAACTGAAGGTGGCCATGAGACTATTGATTTATATTAGAACTAAATAGCCAGAGGCTGGGTGGGCGGTTCACGCCTTATAATCCCAGCACTTTGGGAGGCTGAGGCAAGTGGATCATTTGAGGTCAGGAGTTCAAGACCAGCCTTGGCCAGTATGGTGAAACCCCGTCTCTTCTAAAAATACAAAAATTAGGTATGGTGGTGTGTGCCTGTAATCCCAGCTACTTGGGAAGCTGAGGCAGGAGAATCGCTTGATCCTGGGAGGTAGAGGTTGCAGTGAGCCGAGATCGCACCACTGCACTCCAGCCTGGGCGACAGAGTGAGACCCTGTCTCAAATCAGTCAGTCAGTCAATCCATCCATCCATCCATCCATCCATCCCAGAAACTTACATTTTACTTTTCAGGTATTATTGACCATATCATTTTGTGTTTTACTTGTTGTAAACTATAGATGAAATCCTCTTATGTTATCTGGGGTAATATTTCATTGTACTTTTCTTGAGTCGCTGATTTTGTTTTTCTTAAGTAGTCATATTCTTCTTTGCATTAGCTCCTTGAAAGAATAGAGTTGAATGGCTTCCAATTAGCAAATAGGCCTTTATGGGCATACATTTTATTTATTGACAGTATTTCTAACTTATTTTTTTTTAACCATTTTTACTTGGATTGACTATTTTTGCCTACTTTTGATATCATACAGCATGCATTTTTAAAGTCACCTAGAATTCTTTTCAGAGCAATTTAAAGTATATAAAAAACAGTAATATTTAGTGAACAGCACTTGTTCTAAAAAGCTCCCCTTTTCATTCTAAGGTGGTGGGATTCCCTGTTGCTTGTGGGTTTAAGTTCAGACTCCTTATCATGGAAACACAGATTTTGTGATGTGGCCTTATTCTAAGATCATTTCCCACTATCCTGTAGTCTAGGCACACAGAAGTCTCCCCTGGTAGACCACATACTTGCTTTTATCCTTCCTTTACAGTTATAAATATTGAGCGTAAGCACATAGTAAATTTTTGTTGCCAGTTATCCAGAGTAATTGATACATCATTTTATAAACTTTTGAGAGGAGGATGTTAGAAACCATTCCATCACACTTTTAATAAAAAACGGTATCATCTCAGGTGGAAGTGAGGCCTATTCACAGATCTCCTAACAGGTGATTACTGTCTCTGTGGCAAGGAGAACTTTTATGAACCTGCCCTTTGTGAGCTATGGGTAAATAAGGAGTCTTGGATTTATGACTGCAGCTACTATTAAATAGTGGACAGTTTGAACCTCTCTCTCTCATGATGAACTGCAGATATGTGACTTAAATAAGCCACCCAATTCTGAACTGAGCTTTATATTGCAACTTACGGGTTAAAGTATTTTCACAATCACCGTCCCAGTTGACCCCCTCAAAATTCTATGAGTTAGAAAGGACAGGCATCATAACTATCTTAAATGAAGTACTTCAGGCTAAGCACTTATCTAAGTAGGAAGTTTATATTCACAACCAACTTGAAGATGAGTCAGTTCTTTTTTCTTTTTACTACATATCAAGTTGTCCCTGTATATATAACAGTTGTTTTGCAGTGATTTGTAGTTAAACTTCCTTTCATGATGCATTTGTTAGTCATCCCTACAAGGTGTGTTACGTTTTAACTGAAAGAAAATCAGTTTCTGAAGTATCTTGCAATCATTTCTGGCATCCATTTTTATATACCTCTATGAAGTGAGAGTGGTGTATTCTAAAACTTTGTGGTTTTGATACTTAACATTTTGTGGTTTTGTGGCTAATAAAGTTGTAATTTTGGAGTTAGATGTGATGTTTGTGCAGATACGTGAAAATCAGACATTAGTATTTCTGTTCTTGTACCTACATTGATGAGAGCAGAACTGTGTGTCCTAAATATCTTTTACAGTGTTTAATAGCTAGCGGAGTGATAGGTACGATAAGTTTATCAAGATATCCTTGAACAAAGAGCTATGACAAAAGAAAGTACTTGCTTATAGTCATGGAATTTTGCTATGTCTTTCCTGATAATATCTCTAACCAAAATAGTTGTGAAATCATTTATTCATCCAGCATGTATTTGAGTACCTCCTATGTGCCTGGCATTAATCTAGAGCGGGAATTGGCCAACTATGACCCACTCACCAAATCCATTCTAGTCACCCCTTATTGTAAATAAAAGTTTTATTGAAACACAGCCATTCCTATTCATTTACTTATTGTCTGTGGCTTCTTTTTTACTGTAAAGGCGAAATTGAGCAGTTATGACAGACTCTATGGCCCACAAAGCCTAGAATAATTGCTCTCTGGTGCTTTAGAGAAAAAATTTGCCAGCCCTAATCTAGAGTGCTGGGAATATAACTCTGAAAAAACCAAATAATTTTTTCAGTATGTTAAATTTGTTTTTTTTTTTTTTGCTTCCATATTATAGGCTCTTTGTGCCTAGAAACTTATTATTTGCTCATTATGCATATTTTAATTCATGTTGAAGGACAGTGTTATTACAAGTAAGTTGTTTTCCTCTGAATTTGTGTAGGTATCTTTTTCCTCAGTAACCCTTTTCCCTGAAATGGGAGACTAATTAAGAACTGTGTGCCAAAAACCTCTGCAAGGATAGAGACTTCAGTTTCCAGTATGTGGATAAGAAACTAGATTGAGGAAGGCTTTACTCTGGGGTGACGTATCTCAAAATAGGTGAAAGAGGAAAAATACAATGAAGTGTAATCAGAATCAAGATTTAATAAAAGGGCCGGGCGCAGTGGCTCACGCCTGTAATCTCAGCACTTTGGGAGGCTGAGGTGGGTGGATCACCTGAGGTCAGGAGTTCAAGACCAGCCTGATGAACATGGTGAAACCCCGTCTCTACTAAAAATACAAAAAAATCAGCCAGGCATGGTGGCGGACGCCAGTAATCTCAGCTAGTCGGGAGGCTGAGGTAGGAGAATCACTTGAACCCAGGAGGCAAAGGTTGCAGGGAGCCAAGATTGCGCCACTGCGCTCCAGCCTGTGCAACAAGAGCAAAATTCCGTGTCAAAAAAAAAATAGATTTAGTAAAAATAATTTGTTTCATCAGGAATACTCAGCAAGTGAAACTGGTTTTTTGTTTTTTAACTGTGAGAGTATGGTGATGAATATAATGACTACTATTAGGTAGTCATTACATAATGACATCACCATATTATGTGACATCTCCTTGTCATATAACGACAACTGTACTATTATAGTATGGTTTGGTGCCGCTGTCTTGATGGCATGTTAAAGCTCTAGCTGTTTTACCCTTCATTGCTTTTACACTGCCAATGCAAATGTCAACACAGTGAATAAGACGAATAACAAGTTCTTGTTATTATGAAAATAGGGGCTGGGCGCAGTGTTTCATGCCTGTAATCCCAGCTCTTTGGGAGGCTGAAGCGGGTGGGTCACCTGAGGTCAGGAGTTCAAGACCAGTCTGGCCAACATGGTGAAACCCTGTCTCTCCTAAAAACACAAAAAGTCATGATGATAGGCACCTGTAAATCCCAGCTACTCAGGAGGCTGAAGCAGGGGAATCACTTGAACCTGGGAGGCGGAGGTTGCAGTGAGCCAAGATCGTGCCACTGCACTCCAGCCTGGGCAACAAGAGCAAAACTCTGTCGAAAAGAGGAGAGGAGAGGGGAGAGGGGAAGGGAGGGGAGAAGATGGGGTTGGGAGGGCAGCGGGGAGGGGGAAGGACCTCTGAAAGGATCTCAAGAATCCCCAGGAGTCCACAGATACGCTTTGGGAACTACTGATTTAGAGTGTGGACTCCAGCCAACTGCTTGGGTTGAATCCCAGCTCCTCACTTACTAGCTGTGTGTCCTTGAACAGTTTATTTCTCTGTAAAATGAGAGTGCTAATAGTACCTACTTAATAGGACTATTATGAGGATTAAAGGGATTGGTATTTATAAGTGCTTGGCACATAAAGTTCTATATAAGTATTGCTCAGTAAATGGTAAAGCAAGTTTTCTTCTGTAAAAAATGTGCAGTTTCATGAGCAGAAAAGATATAAATTTAGAGAATGACCATATATTAAACTTTAAAATTAGGGAAGGACATTCATTTACAATTGAAGATTTACCTTAGGGGGAGAAGAGATTTTTTAAAAGGTTTTGGGTGGAGGGGTTGGGGGGAAGTACAAAGTCTACATAGTTGAATTAAAAGCTTTAAGGGCAAAGAGGGAATAAAAAGCCATAGATAGATCGATCAATCTGTGGTAATCGTGAGAAGAAAGAGAATGAATGTCCATGAATGTGGAAGCCAGTGGGAAAATTTGAACGGGTTCCTCTTTTTGCAAATAAGAATATTGGGTGGCCTTGTGCTGGTAAAAACTGTGCCTTGTTCTTTAAGGTATGTGATATGAAACCTAGGTCAGTTTGAGAATATGAAATTCACTGCAACTTAATTTTACTAATAGAATTACTGTTTGGTATGCTAAATTAGTCACATTGCTAAATGAACCTCTTTCTGAGTAGGCTGAATGGAAAAGATGCCCAAAAGCTTGGAGCATGAGGCCAGGCATCCTTGTTTTTTTGTTTTTTTTCTTTTTTTTTGGAGTCTCACTCTGTTGCCCAGGCTGGAGTGCAGTGGTGCAATCATGGCTCACTGCAGCCTCCGCCTCCTGGGTTCAAGCACTTCTGCCTTAGCCTCCAGAGTAGCTGGGATTACAGACGCCTGCCACCACGCCTGGCTAATTTTTGTATTTTTAGTAGAGACAGGATTTCACCATGTTGACTAGGCTGGTCTTGAACTCCTGACCTCAAGTGATCTGCCTGTCTCGGCCTCCCAAAGTGCTGGGATTACAGGTGTGAGCCACCGCGCCTGCAGGCATCTTTGTTCAGTGCATGAACTGTATAGTCATAGGTGGCACACCTTGCTGACAGATCTAGATCTCTTCTTAAACAGCAAATTCAATTTCTTTAAAAGGAGCCTTTCTCGTTTTTTGCCTTGGGATAAATCCTTGGCTACTAGTGGTGGTGTGCAGGTAAGGTGGCAGGGCAGTTTCATTCATACATTCAATCAATATTGAATGCCTGCCATTTACCAAGCATTATTCAAAGCATCAGTGAACAAAATGGACAAAATCCCTGCCATTAGGGAGGTAACATTTTAGCAAAGGGGAGACACAATATAATAGTAAATTAAGATTAGGATAAGGACGTTGAAGAAAAATAAAACCGGAATTGATGCTGGGGACAATTTTAAATAAGTGGCAAGGGAATTCCTCCTTGAAAAAGGTAACATTTGAGCAGAGACCTGAAGGAGGTGAAGAACCTAGTCATAAGGATTTCTGGAAAGTAGAAGGAATAGCAAGTACAAAGGCCTCAGACAGGAAAATACCTGTCATACCCAGCAACGTGTATGGTAGGAAGGGGAGTAAAAGAGGAAGTCATGTAATGGGGGACCAGATCATGAAGAGCCTTTAAGTCAAGGTAAAGAATTTGTCTTTTAACGCTTTGTAAGTTGGGAAGCCACTGGAAGATTTTGAGTAAGCAGGCAGTGTGATTGATTTAGATTTTAATAGGATCACTGGCTGCTGTGTTGAAAATAAAGTATAGCGGGGCAAGAAGCAGGGAGATATATATACCAGAAGCTGTGTTATCAATTGCTGCATAAGAAACTAACCCAAAATTCACTGGCTTAAACAACAAATATTTATTATCTCACACAGTTTCTGTTGGGAATATAGAAGGGCCTCAGCTGTATGGTTTTGGCCCAGAGTGTTTCATGAGGTTGCAGTTCACATGTCAGCTAAGGCTGCAGTCATTCAAAGATTTGATCAGGGCTAGAGAAGATCGGCTTCCTGGTTCACTCATATAGCTGTTGGCCAGAGACCTCAGCTACTCGTCACATGAGCCTTTCTCTGTGAAATGGCCCTCAGCTTCTCCAGAGTGAGTTACCAAGAGAGAAAGCAAAGCAGAAACCACAGTGTCTCTTATGCCCTAGACTTGGAAGATATGCCATTACTTCCATGGTATTCTGTTGATCTCCCAGACCAACACTGATAAAATGTGGGAAGGAACTGCATGAGGCCTGACTACCAGGAGGCTCAGGGAATTGGGGCAGACCACCTAGGAGGCTGGAACAAACAGACAGAAAATGACATTTAAAAATAAGATACACCATTTATAGTAGATTTTAAACAAATACCTAGGAATATCCAAAAGATATGCAAGACCTCATCACAGAACACTATAAAACATTATGAATCTAAAGGAGAACTAAATAAACTGAGAGATATACAGTAGTATTAGCACATCTGTAGATTCAACACAATTCCAATAAAAATCCTATTGGTTTTTACTTTTTAAGTGGAAATTGACAAACTGAATCTAAAATTTATGTGGAAATGCAAAGAGCCAAGAATAGCCAACACAATCATGAGGAAGATTAAAACTGATACTAGATATCAAAAAAAACTGTATAATTTAGAATAGGATAGAGAAATAAACCAGTAGAATAGAATAGAGAGCCTAGGAAAAGACCCATACATGTATGAGGCCTAATGTGTGGGCAAAGATGAGACTGTAGGGAAAAGATGATCATTTTAGTAAATGGTTTGGGGTTAATTAGATATCCATATGGAGAAAAGCATTAATCTTAACTCTTAACCTCATTCCATACCAAGAAAATCAACTCTAGATGGATTGCAGATCTAAAAGTGAAAGGCTTAGCTTCTCACATGCCCAGCCTTGGCTCAGGTATTCAGCCCTGAGACAGGCCTGGCCCTGGGATGGGAGGGGTCAGGCCTACCCAAGCAAATGAAATGGTCTTCCTGCAAGAAATAGATGTTCTATTATCTAAAAGAGCAAGGAAAGAAAACATAGTAGGCAGATTGAAGCTGTCAGCTTCAGTAATACAGATACCCTTCAGATTCAATTGTTGAGTAATTTCATAATTAAGACACCACAGATATATTTAGCTTGGTGTTCTAAGTGGAGATGGGATTGTACCAAAAGTGTTACTATCATTTATCACATCATGGTTATAACTCCATATAAATCATGTCTGGGGATACACATTTGGATGAGACATATATTGCCTTTCTAATCCTTTCCCTTCATTGGGTGATGAACATATATCAGTCATCCCTCAGTATCTGCAGGTATTGGTTCCAGGACCCCCCTCATCCCACCCCTGCAGACACCAGAATTTGTGGGTTCTTAACTCTTGCAGTCAACCCTGCCAATCATTTGGGTATGAAAAGTCAGTCTTCCTTATTGACAGGTTTCACATCCTGGGAATACTGTATTTTCAATCTGAGGTTGGTGGAGTCGCCGGTAGCCACCTAAGATAGGAATGTCAATCAGAAGTTTTCTAGAATCTATCTTCAGATGCAAACAATACAGTGGCCTCTTGGTGAGATTTATTTTACCAGTATAACTATATAGCAATATAGGATAAGTATATAGTGATATATTGCTATAAGGAAATTTTTCTCATAAGTTTTTAATAAAGTTTTCTTATAAGTGGGAGGGGCTCATCTTACCACTTTGTGCTGTGGTACTAGTTCAAAGTTTAATGTGCATTCTTATTTAACTAAACGTGTATTTTTTCTTCTCTTGAAACTAATAGTGAAGATTCCCAAATTGAAAAGGCCAAAGATTGCTTATAAGATCAGTCAGGTAGCTAAAATTGAAGGTGGTCTTGAATCGGAGAGTACAGGCTCTGCCTAATAGGGCCTTAGCTGATGGGTTTTAATTTGGGGAACATGAGTCCAGTATTGTCAGATCTTCCTATTTTTCAACAGAAGAAATCTGGAAAAAACTGCTGTATAGGCCAGGCATGGTGACTCACACCTGTAATCTCAGCACTTAGGGAGGCCGAGGGAGGTGAATCACCTGAGGTCAGCAGTTCGAGACCAGCCTGGCCAACATGGTGAAACCCCCATCTCTACTAAAAATAAAGAATTAGCTGGGCATGGTGGCACATGCCTGTATTCCCAGCTACATGGGAGGCTGAGGTAGGAGAATTGCTTGAACCTGGGAGGCAGAGGTTGCAGTGAGCCGAGACTGCGCCACTGCGCTCCAGCCTGGGCAACAAGAGCGAAACTCCATCTCAAAAAACTGCTATGCAGAGAAACTACAAAGCACAGTCAGTACAGTAGTCCAAAATCCCTATACTTTTATCAGAGTGACTAGCATTCATCCCAAGTGTTTTGTATCAAGTCATACTTTCTGATCTGTTGGCTTTATGAGCATTCCTGGATTTTTTTGAGACAGAGTCTTGCTCTGTTGCCCAGGCTGGATTGCAGTGGCGTGATCTTGGCTCACTGCAACCTCCGCCTCTTGGGTTCAAACAATGCTCCTGCCTCAGTCTCCTGAGTAGCTGGGATTACAGGCATGTGCCACCACGCCCAGCTGATTTTTGTATTTTTAGTAGAGATAAGGTTTCACCATGTTGGTCAGGCTGGTCTCAAACTCCTGACCTTGGGAGCTGCCTGCCTTGGCCACCCAAAGTGCTGGGATTACAGGCGTGAGCCCCTGCACCTGGCCAGATTTTTTTTATCATCTCTGCAAAAAGGTTACTGCTGCTCCTTACCATCCCTCATGTCTCTTTATTACCCATGTGATAGTTGGAGATCCAAAGGCTCAGAACTCGGAATTACTGTATGCAACAGGAAACACTAATCTCAAGCACCTATGCCAAGTTAGGTAATTCCTCTTTTGGTCAGTTAATAAGAAAAAATTAGAGTGTACCACAAATCCTATTTTGCACTCTTCTGGGATCCATTTGATACAATTGCAAAGAGAATTCACCCATTCTGAGCAGTTAGTTTTCCAGTGATTTGAAAAAAGGCGGAGTGTGACAGGAGCTCGTCTTACCTTTGTGTAACACTTTGTGTTGCGGTGTCGTACTAGTTCAAAGCTTAATGTGCATTCTTATTTAACCAGACATATTATGTGTATTTTTTTCTTTTCTTGAAATTATTAGTGAAGGTCCCAAAATGAAAAGGCCAAAGATAACTTATAAGATCAGTCAGATAACTAAAATTGAAGGTGGTCTTGAATTGGAGAGTACAGGCTCTGCCCAGTAGGGCCCTAGCTGATGGGTTTTAATTTGAGGAACATGAGTCCAATATTGTCAGATCTTCCTATTTTTCAACAGAAGAAATCTGGAATTACGTGACATTCCCCAATTTTTGAATGCTAGCAACTAATTTTTTTAAAAAATAATAGGTACTGGCCAATCAAATATGGCTATGGGTCAGATTTAACTGAGGTTTGCTAGTTCACAACTTCTTTGGACTAATTCATCATTATAAATTATATTTTCTCCCTATTTTTTTCGGGAGGAGGGAGAAAAAGAATGAAGTGAAAAAAAGTATGCATTTTATAACTGCCTTGGGCTGTTGGTCATTCTTGCTGAATAACTGTTTCATTTTATAAATTATGAATATTGCAGTGTGAAACATTCTACATCAGTTTTCTCCCCTTTTCAACAGAATATAGCCGTTTTTTGCCTGACATGAATACTTGTGACAATAATGAAGTGTGTTTACTCAACAAAATATTTTGTGGGGTTCATGTTAGGCATAAAGAGGGTTTGAAGAAGAAACTTAGAGTTTAGCTGGGAACAGAGTTGTATACCAGTGAGAAGAAACTTAGAGTTTAGCTGGGAACAGAGTTGTATACCAGTGAAGTATTTGAGTAATGGTACAATTAAGTGCCCCAAAAGAGTGGTACAAGCAGCTTCCTTAGGAATATAGAGTAGAAGAGGCTTGAGGTGGTCAGAAAGGGGCCCAGAAGAAATAGAATTTAAGCTGATTTCCTGAAGTAGATAGGATTATTACAAGCAGAGTACAAAGGTAGATGGGATATACTAAAAAAGGCGCAATATGAGCTAGAAGCTTGTTTCCAAGAGTGAGCATGATTTGTTTCAATCAGATGGAAGCAAAAGACCCTCTGCTTTTAGGAAGAATAGAGTAAGAACAGTTATTGAAATTTTGCTATGTGCCACACACTATTTGGATGCTTTTCATATGCATTATTTAATCTGGTTAGATAAGTGATGTAAGTGCCCTCTTAGTTGAAACCAGGGAAATTTAGTAACAAGTCCAAGCTTTTACAGGTAATAAAATGGCAAAGCTGGGATTCCAGCTGCTGCCGACCTGACTCCAAGCCCATTCTGTTTACATACAGCATAGTTTCTAGGGAAATTAGGCTGCTCGGGTTAAATTATGTGAAGGACGAATGCTAGGTTGAGTACTCCTCTCTGGGACAATTATTATACAAACTAAAACCGAAGTAATATGATGAGAACTGGGTGTTTTAGGAGAATTTCAATAAATGTATTAGGAGGAGGGGCAGTAAACTGTTAAAAATAACCCAGGTATGAAAAGCAATGAGAACCACAGTTGGGATGGAAAATAAAAGAGGGTGAAGCATTTCAAAATAAAAATTATTGGAACATGGTGACTTACCTTTAGGGAAGGAAGCACAGGAAAGTAGGTTTAAATGACATGTGTGTGCTGTTATAATTGAGTTTATGTTGCCATCATTACTATTCTTTTGTCAGAATTTTAATAATTGGTAATGAATTTTCTTTACAGTCTTAAAGCATTTAATCTTGAATTTTTAATCCTGCTAAGAACTTCCTAGGTAAAAAGACATAAAGGAAAAACAAATTTTTTCAAGAGCATGGTTTTAGCTAATTAAAGCTGCATAATATGTTAACATTGAATAAATAAATGGAATTTAAAAGGTATACTTAAATGAAACTAATAAGAATTAATGAATGCTCAGAAAATTATAGGTTTTCAGGGATATGATGGACTTTGACAGTTCTCTTTTTTGTTGTTGGTTTTGTTTTGTTTTGTTTTTTAGATCAAAAGACACTGACTTAGCTGCTTACCAGAAGGGGAACTTGGGCAAGTTACTAAGTCTTTTTGAGTATCATTTTTTTTTGTTTTTAAAATAGGGATATCAACAGCACCAACATCATAGTGTTCTTGAGAGGATTAAATGAGATATAAATAAACAATAAAAAGAGTTCCTGGCACATAGTAAACTCTGAATAACTGTTAAGTATTGTCTGGGATGTTAGAGGGAGTAATAGGTTGGGGATTTGACTACGAATGTTATGAACAGTCAAAAGTCACATTTTATGAATTCTCTTCAATTCATAGGCTTTTGTTTATTATACCATGCTAATCATTTTTAAAGTATCTGGTAGAGTGATCTTACTCTCTGTCTCTGGATTTGTGGTTTTATAATTCCACAGTGCAGCAGTTAAGGAATTGTTCTGCCTTTTCTCCCCTTATCCCTTTTCCTCCCTGATCATTTGAATGCCAGACTGATTGCCCCAAAAAGGTATAGTAGCAAAGGGAGGGAGGCAGGACTTCCAGTTTCTTCATAGCTACCCCATCTATGCCATTACACATTCAGATAAACTAAATTACTCTTTATGGTTTTTTGTCTTTTTCAGTCTTTCTGACTCTTCATGTAAAGGTACATTTTATGGCCTAACGATTAATAAATAAGACTGATTCTTTTTTTTTTTTAAGAATCCTGTGAGAAACCCTTTGTGCCTCTTGAGTTATGAAAATCATTGTTAATTTGATGCCGTGCAGGCAGTTTGACTTGGGAAAATTGGTAGTGTTACAAGTTTTCAAACTTTAATCTTAATGTTTTGAAGTAATTGTAATGAAAAGCTTAGTGGTCATATTGTACTTTCATCTATGACTTTTTACTTGAGTTTTTATGGAAATATATTTATCCTTTTACTGTTTGGTTGCTAGCCATATATTTACCAGTATCATTGGGAGAGTTCCTTTAATTCCTCTCTTACACTTTAATGTTGTTAATAAGCAGTATAGCATAGTTGGTGGTTTAGACCCGAGTTCCTCAGTCTTTTTTCTCTATTTTTTCCCTAAGGAGCCTTTTTAGGTTTTTTTTTTGTTTTTTTTTTTCTTAAGTGGCCCCCACCTCCAGAAGATTTTAACTCCAGAGAGATATTGCAGGTCTGTTTATGTATTTTATGTATATCTGTGTTTTATACAAGAGTAAGGGTTTTTGTGACCCTTTCCTCCAAAAATCAGTGTTTTCTCCCTTGAGGGGCAAACTGTCTATACTGAGAGTGCACGTTTTATAAGCAGTGGATTCTCAAAATTTTGGTGTAAATATCCCGAAGGGCTTTTGTGTGTGAGAGTTATATCTAGTGAAATCATATTAAAAATTAAAGCTGAGAAAATGTTTTAAGTACTAGTTTATTTTAAAATATTTTAGGAAAATAACCACTTTCCTCTCCCCCACACTTGTTAATGAGAAGAGTGGCATTGTTAACACATTTTTGCAGATTTTTTAAAAAGTCTGCCTTAATAACAACATTCTAGTAGTTGCTTTGGCATTCAATCTGTTATAGTGTTATAAAGAAAATCTGGGCTCATATGTATTTGGAAAGAATATTTTAATAACATTATCAGATAATAGAGGTTCTTTGATATTACACTAAAACTTGACGATAGTTTCTTAAAGGATAGTTGCAGTGTGAAATTGAAACCATACAAGACAAGCTTGTTCAATCTGTGGCCCAACACAAATTCATAAACTTTCTTAAAGCATTATTTATATATTTATTTATTTTAGTTCATCCACTGTCGTTAGTATTAATGTATTTTATATGTGGCCTAAGACAATTATTCTTCCACTGTGGCCCAGGGAAGCCAAAAGATTGGATACCCTGATATAAAACTTTTTGTCCTGTTACATTAAAATTCATTGGCTTTTCACTTTGAATGGATCTTCTGTTCATGAGTAATTTCTTACTATTTCTTGCTAAGCAACCAACATTGGTTGCTTAGAAAATACTGATTCAGTGTCTTAGGATGATATTTCAAATATTGATATAGTAGCAACTAATCACATTTAATTAATATCACCATGAATCTTATCAGAAACTCTCAGAATATTGGAGATGCTTGTCAAGGTTTTTTTCACTTGACTGTTGTCTTTGATAACAGATACTATTAGATGTTTGAAGTGATGAGTGCACTTTGTTCATTTACAAAAATATCTACTGAATACTCTTTTTTTTTTTTTGAGACGGAGTCTCGCTCTGTTGCCCAGGCTGGAGTGCAGTGGCACGATCTTGGCTCACTGCAAGCTCCGCCCCCTGGCTTCATGCCATTCTCCTGCCTCAGCCTCCTGAGGAGCTGGGATTACAGGCTCCTGCCGCTATGCCTGGCTGATTTTTTGTATTTTTAGTAGAGACGGGGTTTCAATGTCTTAGCCAGGATGGCCTCTATCTCCAGACCTCGTGATCCTCCTGACTTGGCCTCCCAAAGTGCTGGGATTACAGGCATGAGCCACCGTGCCCAGCCTGAATACTCAGGTCTTAATAACCAGTTTATTAGTCATTCTTTCAAATAAGAAACGTGTTCCATGAAAAAGGCAGTTCAGTCAGCTCACAACTCAAACAATTGCACAGTGCTTTTTCTTCAGTCTTCATACTTCTTTACACAACAGGAGTGCTTCATGCATGCTTCCCGGTTTGTCATGTAAAATGTTAAGATGTGTATTCAGGGTCAAGATTTAGTAAAATTAATAATTTTTACTGTGAGAGCATGGTGATGAAGAGTTGACTACTAGTACAGTTGGGTGCCACTGCTTTGATTTGGCCCCTTGATAAGGCTTCATCTATTTTTTTCCCCCACAATTGCTATAGCAGCATTTGTCCATATGGTGAAAAAGGCAAATAACTCACTAGTATTATTATGAAAACAATTTTGACCTCTATAGGGGTATGTGAACCATACTTTGAGAATCATTGACGACTTAATAAGTGATGGAGCTGGGATTCAATCCAGGTATTGAATTGTGTGTGTGTGTGTGTGTATATGTATGTATATACATATATGTATACATATGTATACATACTATATATACACACATTATACATAGAATCCCAGCTCCATCACTTATTTTATTTATTTATTTTTGAGACAGAGTCTTGCTCTGTTGCCCAGGCTGGAGTGTAGTGGTGCGATCCCGGCTCACTGCAACCTCCGCCTTCCCAGGTTCAAGCGATCCTCCTGCCTCAGCCTCCCAAGTAGCTGGGACTACAGGCACACGCCGCCACACCCGGCTAGTTTTTTTGTATTTTTAGTAGAGATGGGGTTTCACCATGTTAGCCAGGATGGCTCTAGCTCCTGACCTCGTGAGCCACCGTGCCCGGCCTCCATCACTTATTAATTAGCTACAGGACCTTGAGCAATTACTCTGATACCAAAATCAGATAAACATAAAGAAAGCTGCAGACCAGTATTCTTCATAAAATAGGCAAAAAAGGGGAAAAACCCCAAAATATTTGACATTAGCATTTCTATACTGTGCTTGTTATTTTTTAATGTGATATGTGTGTGTATGTATGTATATATACATATGTATATATTTTACAGGGCTGTAGAAGAAAGAGGGTTCTAAAGTAGCATTTATAAAAAGAAAGGTGGCAAAGGTGGGATTCTGAAATGACTTGTCATCATGGAATAAGAAAGATGCTTGCCAAAATCCCAAATTGTGTTCATAGGCTAAAGGTTTAACTATCCTCAACAGTTTTAGGACTTTTTTTTTTTAAAGGCAGCTGCTAAGCCTGCATCATAATTCAGTCAAGTGCATTATTGCTCTTGGTTCTGAAATACGTATAAATCCTCACTACCCATCAACAGTCTTCAGATAATGTAGAGGAAGAGAAATCTAGTTGGTGACAGTAAACTGTGAATGCTTTTCTTGGGTGTTTACCAGTTCAAGGAAATTTCAGTGGCAAAACATTTTCCTTCTTTGGTTAGTCTCATTCTTCATGATCTTTGAAATAGACTCATCTGTAATACATATACACCCATTTCGGAGTAACCTTCACTTAGGAGATTGTTGTTTTTTAATAAGAAAGAGAGCCCGTTAGTACTTCTGTCATGTTATTCATGCCAAAGAACCAGTTGCTTTATGGGAGAAATGGCACATGGGGTTCTTCCATCTGCTGTAATTGATTATTGCTTTCATGTGGTTCCCAAACAATTCCCTCAGTCCCAGCATCACTTGCCTGTCTGACTAATGCCTCTGTCCTGTTAGTTTTTAGTATTTTTTAGTTATAAATACTTAAAAAAATAAAAATTTCCACCAATTATGCAAGTAATATCTTCATTTTAGAAAATTTAAAAAGTAAAGGTACAAATCAGGGAAAAACACTAGCTTCACCATCCTGGGATATGCTCATTACTGTCCTTTTTGATGATTAATGGGTGCTCCTTTTTTCCTAATTGGCAAAATATAGTATACGCATTTCATATTGTGCCTTTTCATTTATTATCGGTATTTCCCTCAATCAAAAAATATTCTAAAATATTTTTAATGACTGCATAACTTTTGTCATTTATATATCATGCTTTTTTAAAAAAAAACTGCATACATTCTAATGTTATTGTCTGTTTATAAAAATTATAAATAACGCTGTGAAGCACATCCCTTATATTTTATTATTCTTTTTCTGATTATACTCTAGTCATTTTGTTGAAGACCCTTAAAGGGGAATGACTGGTTCAGATAGCAATATTTGTTTTTTACAGGGTTCTTGAAGTGAATTGCTAACTTGCTTTCCAAAAAGATTGAACCAATTTATTATCATTTTACAAGCATTCAGCCCAGTTCTCCATATCTTCACCAGAAATGATACTATGTGAAATGCTTTTGAAACAGAATAAATAACACACATTAGCACATGAACTTCCAGCAAAAGTTTAAATGCTTAGATATTAGATAATATAACATACATCAAAACTTATAATGTATATCTCTTATTACTAGGAGGGTCCAAACTGAGCTAGACTTAATAAGTTATCCTTGACCTTCTGGGGGTAGAGTCTTCAAAACAGATTTCTTTCTCTAGGAGTTCTTTATACTTTCTGAGCCTGTACAGACTTGGCTTATGTAGAGTGGGTTGGAGATAAAAAGTTCAATGTGTGTCCTTTTGGTTTTTATATTTTTCTCTCCTTTTTAGCCCTATGTCTTGGGACAGTTATGTAGAATAGTTTGATATATGTGGGCTTTTTTCTTTATCATATAAAAGCAGTTTTGGATAATGTGTGATTGGAAGTTACGTGTCTGAGTTCTTTGCTAATTTTATGTAATTTTCAGGTGTGCAACTGAGGAACATGGCTCAAGAAACTAATCACAGCCAAGTGCCTATGCTTTGTTCCACTGGCTGTGGATTTTATGGAAACCCTCGTACAAATGGCATGTGTTCAGTATGCTATAAAGAACATCTTCAAAGACAGAATAGTAGTAATGGTAGAATAAGCCCACCTGGTAAGTAATTCTAGTGAAACCCGTCTATATTCATAATTGAAATACAAGTGGATATTTCGGTATACCCAATACCTTTTTCTGCTCTCACATTATATTTATATTACCATATTCATATCAGTAAAATTTCTCATTACACATTGTGATTATAATCAGTAGTGAGGAGTTAGGAATGAGTATCATCACTCATTGAAAATACTGTAAATTCATACCATAATCTTATTTCTGTGGCTGTGGAATTCTGTTACTTTATTTAGAGGGGACACCTCAAGTGTCTTGGAAAGTAAGGGAAGAGAGTGATAAAAGAACCTTTGTTCTTTTATCTGGTGTGACTTACAGCTCAAGTAGTTGTTGAAGGAAGGAGTGGATTATTGATAACCACAGCTCAGTGGACTTGAGAGGAAGCTTTACTCCATTAGGAAGGAGGAGTATCGTGGATTAACTCATAGTAAGGGATGTTCAACCCCAGTTCACTAGGGTTTTTTATGCCTTTTTGTGTCAAAGGATATTCTTGGAATTGAGGTGGTCTTTTGTTTCAGTAGTTGTATAAGAAGGATCATGCGGATTCCAAGTATAAGCTTTGCAAAAAGGAAAGTGTTTAGTGTATTCATTTAGGATAGATCTCATGTAGGTTAATGCCTGCATGTATAGATTTTTGTGGTTAATGAAAGTGTAGGCTATTACTTAGTTCATTTAATATTGTGTGTGAGATCTTGTCTGTTTTTGTTCAAGCCAAAACCTACAACCATTTAACCAAAACTCCAAATTTGCTTAAGGCTAAGATCAAATGAGTATAAATTGTTTTAAAATTAAGTCATCATCTACATTTATAACCTAATGTACTGAGCATAGATTTTAATTCTGAACCTATATTCTTCACTGCTATGTCATCTTATTTAAATATCTCATTTGTTCTCTAGTACTTGGAAGATGTTTTTGAATTAAAGCATTTGGGCTTGGGTGCTATTCAGTCCTAAGAAATAGGAGTTTATTAATGTATACAATTTGCAGATGGTTTCCTTCTTGGTTTAAAATTAACATATTTTTCACTGGCAAACCGTTGAAAAATTTTTTAAAAATAATGAACCAACATACTACATATTAAAAGAAAACCTCTATACTGTGTTCTGTGGAAAATGGATTTTGATTTTTTTAGATAAGGTCTTAGACTGCTGAGCATATAGAATCACTAATACGCAATGTGGTACTGTTACAGCAACCTCTGTCAGTAGTCTGTCTGAATCTTTACCAGTTCAATGCACAGATGGCAGTGTGCCAGAAGCCCAGTCAGCATTAGACTCTACATCTTCATCTATGCAGCCCAGGTAAGATGTACTCTCTGAATTCTAATGAGAATGCTAATAAAAACTAAAGAGTATATTCTGTGTTTGATTAATAAGGAAAACTACGTAAAGCTACTTTTAGATTAACTGGCCTAAAATTTTATCGTCTGATTATAACTAGTTAGAAAAAGCGATTTCTTGCTTTTACCTTGAGGGATCGGGGGTTATCGTTTAAGTCTTAGATTTCTTTTTCAGGCATCTTTTTCTTTCTCATAATATATCCTGACCTACTCCTGAAGTCCTTTGGAAGCATGTTAAGTGAAATGTTAGTCTTATTCTGCAAGTATTACTACCGTGTATTAAAAAAATACAGTCTTGTCACACATTATCTTTGTTTAATATCATGATGTAGTACTCATATTTGTTTATATTGTAATGTGTATATATATATTTTTTAACTCTGAAGTCACATCATTTAGAAGCCTGCATACAGCAATACTGGTTTCATTTTTATTCTGCTTTTAGGAACCAATATATTAAGTTCCTACACTGGGGTTCCTTTTTTCCAGTTCATGATAAGATATGTTCAGTTTTGCTATGCCAGAATATCATTTACAGCTTTGTCTTAGGGTTCTTTAAGCATGTCTTTATCATGCTAGTTTTCATTTAGTGAATTCATGTGGTACTTGAAATACACAAAGGACATATACACTGTTGCTTTGTTTCCAAGGCAGTAAAATTCTGGTCCAAATTAGTCTCTAGTTTTAAAGCTCTATGATTATGTTTAAGTTATTAAAAAAAAGTATGTCTGTGTTCTCATCTTAATTATCTACTTAGATATGTTGAACTCTTACTGTGTCACATTAGTTAATATTCATGTGTAGAGATCACCTTTTAAAATGAAATATTTTGCTTTTCTAGCCCTGTATCAAATCAGTCACTTTTATCAGAATCTGTAGCATCTTCTCAATTGGACAGTACATCTGTGGACAAAGCAGTACCTGAAACAGAAGATGTGCAGGGTTTGTATATGAACTAGCATGTATTTTGTTATTTGAGTATTATAGGCCAGACACTATCCTAGGTGCATGTATAAAAAAATTGCCAGCTTAAAATACATGTTTTTCTGTTTTCCCTATGAACACAATACTTTATATCTTTAAGTATTTAATTAACATGTTGGGGAGCCATTTCACACTTACATGTAATTTTATCATCAGCATAAATGTTGCAAATTCAAAATTTGTTTAGTTTGGAAAATATAATTAAATGAATGTGTGGCAGTGTTACACTGTTCTCTTTTACTATTTTGGCCGTTTCAGTCTATATACTACTCTGTAAGAAAACTGGGGCTGCTGGTTTGAGGGGCATCTCTTTCTTTTGTGTTTTGACTCATTATCTGAGAGACTGTGTCCATCGTGCCTGGCAGTTCTCCTTTTTTCTTCCCCATGTGTGCAATAGTCACATTCAGTTGCTCGTATTCACAGCATGGTATCTATCGTGTCTTGCCCATGCTCTTCATATCCCCATTATGAAGCTCAAAGTGATCTAGGAAGACTTGAAAATTTGTATGAAGGCTTTCGTAGTAGGGAGAGAGAATGCGGAGTAGGCCATTTTGGAGGCTATTAAATAATCTCTGCTTAATTAGTTGTATTCTAGCAGTGTGTGGAAATAACATGGTAACAAGGAAGGATCTCTGGAAAGATAAGCCTAATGAAGAGCAGTGTGTCATTCTGCCTGTGAGATGATTTACCAGTGAAACTTCATTGCACATGGTGTTCACATGATGGTAACAGATACATCTGCCAATCCTAGTTTAAGATGGCTAAATTTTTAATTTAGGCCAGGCACTGTGGCTTGTGCCTATAATCCCTACCTACTTGAGAGGCTAAGGCAGGAGGATCGCTTGAGTCTGGGAGTTTGAGACTAGCCTGGACAACAAAAAATTAGCCAGGTGAGGCGGCACATACCTGTAGTCACAACTACTCAGGAAGCTGACGTGGGAGGATTGCTTGAGCCCAGGAATTCAGGCTGCGGTGAGCTATGATCGTGCCACTGCACTCCAGCCTGGGTGGGCACCAGAGCAATTCCCCCACACCCGGTCTCAAGAATTAAATAAACAAATTTAAATAAGCTAGGTAGTTCCTCTTGCTTTTTTTTCATACCCAGCAAATACTTGAACCAGTTTGCTTGTTTGTGTAGATTTTGCCGTAACAAAAGAATATTCTGTGTGGTCAACGTAAATATTCTAGTCCCATCTAGCATATTGTGATAAATTCTTAAATGTTTTAAGTGAATAATTCTTATTTCTTAGTTACATCAAAAAATTTAAGGAAGGGCAGAAATGAGGAATCTTTAAAGAAATAAGGAAAAGACTGGGCGCGGTGGCTCACGCCTGTAATCCCAGCACTTTGGGAGGCTGAAGCGGGTGGATCACGAGGTCAGGAGATCGAGACCATCCTGGCTAACACGGTGAAACCCTGTCTCTACTAAAAATACAAAAAATTAGCTGGGCGTGGTGGCGGGCATCTGTAGTCCTAGCTACTGGGGAGGCTGAGGCAGGAGAATGGCATGAACCTGGGAGGCGGAGCTTGCGGTGAGCCGAGATGGCGCCACTGCACTCCAGCCTGGGCAACAGAGCGAGACTCCGTCTCAAAAAAAAAAAAAATTTAGAATGTTGGCAGTGAAAAAAATGTATAAAGCTTAAGAATACAATAGTATTTACAGAAGTTTGACAAAGAATAAAGGTCATAGATTGGTGAACTATCATAACACATAGGAAGTGTTTTTATACCATTTATTTATAAAAGTGTTTTTATTTCCATTTGTGGTGTATGGAAAACAATACCGTTTTCTCCACTTAGCCCTGAGTATATCACTTCAAAAGGTGGTCCTGATGCCATATTAGGAGAAATTGTATAGGCCCCATTTTTCATACATGATTTGAATGACTTTTAGGTTAAACCAGTATTAACTTGTAAGTACCTTTAAAAAACTTAGCATTCGTAATATCAGCAGCAAATCTTTGATAAATTAGGTATAAGTTTCATCTCAGTTTTAAGAGAGGAGGGTTAGGTTCCAGTATGTAAAATCTCTTAACAACCTAGTTTTTAAAAAAAATTTAACATATTATTGAATTAAGAATACCCTTTTTATTATAAACATACACAAATATAAACATGTATGTTTGTATATATGTACGTGTATATTCTGTATGTGCACACACTCATACACTTACATGCAATTACGATTTCCCTATTGATCAAATTCAAATAACTTTTTTTCCATTTATTTAATAGATGGATGAAAAGAGACAGAAAAAGTCTCTTTGAGTCAGTCATATGGTCATAAAAGCTGGAACTGGAATCCAGGGACCTAACTCATAGAGGCCAGTATTCTTATGATTAGACAGTTGTGGAGCTTGTTGGACTAGGATGTGGATATGTGTATTCCTGTTAACACATACATCTCCCTCAGTTCTCAGGGTAGGATCAACTCGTTTAGCAAACTACCCAGGTATCAGTTTTCTTCTTCCTCACTCCATATGCTTCCCTCAAGGGAAATTTATATAGATAGGAAAACCATCCCAAATGGAAGAAGGTATATGAGTAGCAGCTATATGTCTAAGCCAGAAGTTTGTAACATTTTGTAATTGGAACATTCAGAACAACTTTTTCTCTACATGTATTCTGCTTATAATTAGGATATGCTGCCACCAGGTTGGTGGTACTGCTTTCATATTGGCCACATGGCTCTGAAGAATTTTTATGTTTCATTGAGAATTTAGCATATTGAAGCATGTTTCTTAGTTGTTCTTTTTGATTTAAAAATATAGCAGTACCTTACTTACATAGTGTCACTCAGGAGTATAAGTCAAATTTCCAGTTCACAAATGCTAGCTTTTAAAAGAACTACTTTAAGCATTTTGGTACACTCTAAAACTGTTGAAGAATATGCTTAAATTTGGTCAACCTCTTAGTCCCTCAGATCTTGGGTCATAGTAGAAAAATACTGAATTTGGATTCATAAGTTCTATTTTCCTATCTTGGTATGCCTGCTTAACTTCACTGAGCCTTACTTTCATTACTCTTAAAAGAGAATAAGAATGTCCCTCTTACAGGGTATTAAAAGATACTGAGATAATGGAGGTTGGATGAGCTTTGTAAGCTGCAGAAGATATTCTTTATATTGCCCAAGTGATTTGGGAGTTGTAGGAGGCCTAGAGTAAGAGAGAATTTTGAAGCTTTCCAACACTCGAATGATGTCATATGTTAAGATGGTAAGGTCTACATCACTGAAGCATTCTAGGAAAGATGAGTTGATGTTAGAGACCATATAGAGAGAGGAATGCTGTGCTTAGTGACAGGATGAACTAGAATTCTCAGGCTCTTTCCTACTCTGAGGGTTTCTGACTTTATACAAAGTTGAATTGTCAAATCATTGGTTCAGAAAAATCAGAGGGGGACAGTCTCTTTGGACTGATTTAGGAAAGCTGTATGGGTTTTAAAAATCAGGCATTTCTTCTGATTCTAAAGAATGAGTGAGAATAGCCAAAGGTATCTTGAAAAATAACAAAGTTGGAGGACTAACAATTCCTGGCTTCAAAATTGAGTACAAGCTACAGTAATCAAGACTGTGTTGTACCGGCATGAGGATAGTCATGAAGGTAAGTGGAATAAAAAATTGAGAGTCCAGAAATAAACTCTTATTATATTTATGGGCCATTGACTTTCAACAATGGTGCCAAAATCATTTGATGGGAAAAGAGTAATCTTTTAAACAAATGATGCAGGAACAACTTCATATCCACATTCGAAAGAATGAATTGGACTCCTATGTCATACCATATGCAAAAATTCACCCGAAATACATCAAAGACCTAAAACGAATATAAGAGAACTATAAAACTCTTAAAGCAGGTATACATTTTTGTGATCTTGGTTTAGGCAGTGGTTTCTTAGATATGACACCTTAACCACAAGCAGCCAAAGAAATTATAGATAAATTGAGCTACATCAAAATAAAGATTTTTGCTTAAAAGAGTGGAAAAACAGCCAGGTGCAGTGACTTATGCCTGTAATCCCAGCACTTTGGGAGGCCAAGGTGGGCAGATCACTTGAGCTCAAGAGTTTGAAACCAGCCTGGGCAACATGGCAAAACCCCATCTGTACAAAAAATAGCCGAGTGTGGTGGCGCACGCTTGTAGTCCCAGCTACTGGGTAGGGAGGCTGAGGTGGGAGGATCACTTGAACTTGGGATGTTGAGGCTGCAGTGAGCCATTAACGCACCACTGCACTTCAGCCTGGGTCACAGAATGAGACCCTCTCTCAAAAAATAAAAGAGTGGAAAACCAGCCTACAGAATGAGAGAAAAAATACTTTGAAATCATATATGTGATAAGGATATATAAATAATTACAATTCAACAATAGAAAACCCATTTTAAAAATAAGCAAAGGATTTGAGTGGACATTTCTCCAGAAAAGATATACAAGTTTCCAATAAACACATGAAAAGATGCTCAACAGGGCCGGGTGCGGTGGTTCACATCTGTAATCCCAGCACTTTGGGAGGCTGAGGCGGGCGGATCACCTTAAGTCAGGAGTTGGAGACCAGCTTGGCCAACATGGTGAAACCCCATCTCTACTAAAAATATGAAACTTAGCTGGCTGTGATGTCATGCGCCTGTAGTCTCAGATACTCGTGAGGCTGAGGCAGAGGAGAATTGCTTGAACTTGGGAGGTGGAGGTTGCAGTGAGCTGAGATTGTGCCACTGCACTCCAGCCTGGGCAAAAGGGCAAAACTCCATCTCAAAAAAAAAAAAAAAAAAAAAAAAAACCATGCTCAACTTCATTAGATATGAGGGAAATGGAAGTCATGGGACACCACTTCGTATCCACTAGGATGGCTCTAATCAATAACAAAGTATTGTCAAGGATGTAGAAAAATTGGAGCCCTCCTGCCTTGGTGGGAGTGTAATATGGTGCCAGATACTCTGGAAAACAATCTCCTAGCTCCACAAAAAATTAAAAAGAATTGTCATATGACCCAGCATTTTTCTCCTGATTGCCAGGAGAATTGAAAACATACGTCCACACAAAAACGTGTACACAAGTGTTCGTAGCAGTATTATCTATAATAAAAAATAGAAACTACTGAGATGGCTGTAAATAGATCATTGGATAAAAAAAAATGTGGTATATCCGTACAGTAGAATATTCAGTCACAAAGAGGAAGGAAATTCTGATACATGCCACAGTATGAGTGATCCTTGAAAATATGCTGAATAAAAGAAGTTAGGTACAAAAGGCTACATGTTGTATGATTTTATTTATATAGAATGTCTAAAACAGGCTAGTCATACAGAAAGATTAGTGGTTGCCAGAAACCGTGGGAAGTGGGGAGTAATTGCTAATGAGTACAGAGTTTTCCCTTAATGTGACTTAAATGTTCTGAAAGTAGATAGTGGTAATAGTTTTATAACCTTGTGAATATAATAAAAACCACTGAATTGTATACTTTAAAGAGTGAATTTTATGGTATGTGAAATCTCCCCACCACCCCAAGACAGTGAAGAGGGCTTTTGCTGGAGGATGACTTGTGAGTGCAAACGCATACAGGTAGGAAAAATGAAATTTGAGAAAGAGTGAAAAGACTGTTTGCTGAAGTGATCAGTTCAGGCAGTTATATGTTGAAACTAAAGCTAGAAAGGTTGTTTGGAAGTTGATAAGGTATTCCTTGGTCTTAAAACTCACATAAAAACTGAGGAAACAGGATGATTTCTGGGAATCATAGACTTTTAAAAATAGTACTATATCATCTTGTCCGTGAATTCATTTGGTGACTGTTGAAATTCAGGTTGTCAGCTATTAGTTTCAAGTAAGCTGAGGTTACCTTAGCCTCATGGGTATATAATCGACATTTATTGGTCCCACATTTGAGTTATAGCATATAAGCTTTTAGATAGCCTTCTGATCCTTCACTTTAAAGACTGCATTTGCCTCAGTTAAAAAGAAACCATTGGCCTTCTTTGGGGCTTTAGGGTTAATACTGTGAAATGTCTTTTGAGATATGCAGTAGTATTTGTATGCATAGAAGATAGATGTATTTTCACTCTTCTCCATTTCCAGATCCCATTCAAATTTGTGTCTCAGTAGTTAGACCAGTTTTGTTAAAAACTATAATCTTGTGATAATGTTACTGCCATTAAATGGGTTTTTTTGAATTTTTCTGGAGAACAGGTTAGATATGGCTTACAGGTTTCAAAACCAATAAATACTGTAGGTTCATTTCTGATTGCAAGGTAAGCTGTTTTTGAGTCCATATGCATAGCCAGATAGGCTTATCTGATACTGTTCTAGGAGCTGGAGATAAACAGTAAACAAGACATTCAGCCCCTGCCCTCTTGGAGCTTACATTCTAGGGATATTTATTCATTGAAAATAAAAGGTTTGATGTGTCTATATTCTGTTTCAAAAATAGTATGTTCACAGTATTATTAATAGAACTGTCCCCTGTCTGGTTTCAGCATGTCTGAGTGGAGTAACATGCTATAGAGTTTGTCATTAGCACATATTTACTTGTTTGTGGCATTCTGCCTTTTGTCATCTTTTGTTAAAATATGAGATAATGATGGTAGCATAAGCAGGTTAGAATCACAGCAAATGTCTGAGCATGTATTACAATGTGTAGTTCACTGTGATAGGACTGGAGGTTCAGATGGGGAATAAGGTAACCATCCTTCTCAATGGCCTTACGGTGTAGTTGGGGAAATGAGGCACATAAATAAAATAGGTAAGTAATTCAATTCAACAGATACTTATTGTCGAATGTCTGCTATGTGGTTGGAGACACTGGGATAGGCACTGATAATGGGATAAATAGGACCGATGTCTCCCCTCAAAGAATTCAAAGTTAAACCAAGTTAAGCCAATGAGGGAATTTTAATATGAAAAGTGCTATACACAGGGTTTCCCACCCCAAGGTTGTTGGAGAGGCAGTGGAGGAAGAGCTGATTATATAAGCTTAAACAAGAAAAACAAGTTAGAGTTAGCCTGATAAAAAGAGGGACAGGAGGGGCATAGAAAGAGTATTTTGTATGGAAAGCACAACTTATACAAGAGCCCAGAGGCAAAAGAGAGTTTGATATGTCCAGGGAAACTGCAAGTCCTTCAGTATGGCTGAATCATGGAGTACTGTTGAGGAATAGTGAGAGATGAGGCTAGAGAAAGAAGGATGAAGAAAATCATGAAGGACCTCTGGGCTTTATCCTGGGGGGTAGTTGGGAGCCATTGAGGAATTCTAAACATCAGAGGGAACACCATTAGATTTTCACTTAAGGCAGATGATTGGATGCAATGTGTGAAGCATGGATTGTAGAGGGAACTCATGAGGTGCCCAGTATTTGGAAAAGGTGTTAAGGAAAATCAGAGTGAGAAGCTACAGAGAATTGAGACAAGGAAAGGGTATTTGACCTTGGTCTTGAAAAAGAGGAGGACCTAGATCAAATGGGGAAAAAGGAAACCCTTTGGAATAGATTCTAAGAAGTGTGAGCAAAGGTACATGGCATATTCCCAGTGTAGATTAATGGAGCAGTGGATCCCTGGGGAAAGTCTAGTTGGGGATAAAACTGGAGAGGTTAAGAATTTGATCCATGGGAAATTCCACCATTTTAGAGCAAAATGTCACGTCTGCAAGGTCATATTATATGATTCTGACTCTGGCGACAGCATTCATGAGGGCTAGAGTAGTTAGCAACTGGAGGGAGGCATGTTAAGATTTCAGAGTAGTAATTTAACCCGAATCTTGGTAAATCTGGCTTTGGTTTCCATACATAAATGCATCAACTTATTATCTTACAACATTTTAAAGCTTCTTTGCTTCAATTTGCCTTATTTCTAACATTTAAAGTGCTTTTATGTGAAACATTCTGGGAACTTTAAACATACTTAATATTCCACAGAATCTTGGTTTCACCTTTTCCCTCCTCGTTCTCTGAGAGACCTATGTCATTCTGACCCCGAACAATATTAAGAACTATGCATATGGCTATTGTCTTGCACACTCCCTTAGAATATTCAAGTAGTATTTGTTTATGTGCCTTTTATTGATTAAATTTGTAGTTACTAGAAAAATTAGAAAGTACAGTTAAAACCTAAAGAAAGTCTATAAAACCACTGTTAACATATCATTACATATTCTAGATTATTTTCTACATGCATATATACATACATTTAACAAAAAGGGGTCATATTTTTGTAAACAACTTTGTAATTTAATGACTAGTTTTCTGTGCTAATAAATTCCTCAGTATCCTCTGAATAATAGACTAGGGAGGGTGGGATGAGGAATAGCAAAATCTTACAGAATAATTAAATTTTGCCACCTTCGTATTTTTGTTAGCTTCAGTATCAGACACAGCACAGCAGCCATCTGAAGAGCAAAGCAAGTCTCTTGAAAAACCGAAACAAAAAAAGAATCGCTGTTTCATGTGCAGGAAGAAAGTGGGACTTACTGGTAAGGACCTAAATCAAATGTTTAAAATTAAAATGATGTTTTATAATAATGCATAGCTTACTGTTGTTGACTTCAATTAAGATTGTTCCTGTTCCCTTGAGAGTTAATATTGGATATACTTCACCTTCTGAATTTTCTTAAGGAAATAAAAATAGCTTTGATTATACACCTAAAAGTGAAATGAATAGCTTTTTTAAAAAAAGTTTTATTTCAGTTGAATTTAGAAGTATTAGACAAATAAGGTTAGTGTGCCAGATTCTGTGAAAGGTCAAAGATGTGGCTCCTGCTTTTAAGGAGAGAATATTTTGAAGTACTTGGTAAACTGGAAGTACTTTCTATATATAAAATAGGGCTAATCATACGTTGTTGTGTGGGTTCAGTGAGTTAAGACATGTAAGCAGTTAGCCCAGTGCTGCCACACAGTAAGTAATTAATATATGTTGGCTACTGTAACATAGCTATCAGATGCAGATGGTGGTGGGAGGGAGAAAGAAATGTTCAAAAGCATTTAGCAAAGAAAGTACATGAAGTGCAGTCAGATTGCTCTGGGAATTCAGGGATGAGAGTAACTAATTTACATTTTAAAATGGTAGTTCTTAGAGGCCCAGCAAGGAAAGGACCATGAAGGCAGAATGTTTCAGTGTGTCTTGAACAGTGAGTAGGACTTATAACTGATGGAAATAGGGGCATTTCAGGCAGAAAGAATAACTTGAAGAAAATGAATAGGGCATGTGCAGGGACCATGAATAGGGGAATGTCGCTGTGTAGCACATAATACGTGAACAAGACTGTTGTGTACTGCAGTCCAACAGGAATAAAGAAATAAGACTAAAAACTTATACAGTTGACTCTTGAACAACATGGGACTGTAGGGGTCCACTTAGAGTTTTTTCTAATACATTGGAAAATTTTTTGGAGATTTGCAGCAATTGGAAAAAACTCACAGATGAACTGTATAGCCTAGAAATATATTTTTTTAATTAAGAAGAGTTAGGCATGTCTTGAATGTGTAAAACATGTGTAGATACTTGTGTATTTTATCATTTACTACCACAGAATATGCACAAATCTATTATAAAAAATTAAAATTTTATCAAAACTTGCCTATACAATATGCAGATCATACATGAAGCCATTCATAGTCAAGAGAAATGTAAACAAATGTAAAGATGCAGTATTAAGTGAGAGTGGCAAAAAGTTACTGTGGTATATACTATACTTCTCTAATAATTTCATAGCCACCTCCTATTGCTATTGCAGTGAGTTCAGGTGCTGCAAGTATCCACTTAAAATGCCACACATTTTAATCGGCACTGATCACCTCTGTTTCAGCAGTTTGTCTCTGTAGTAAATTGCCTACCACAGTAAAAGGTAATCTCTTGTGGTTCTCATGTATTTTTCATCGTGTTTAATGCAATACTGTAAACTTTGAATAATACCATAAGACTCGTATAAAGTGATGCCACTAGCACTAGTGATACTGGAAGTGCTCCCAAGAAGAAGAGAAAAGTCTGACATTACAAGAAAAAGTTGAATTGCTTGGTATGTACCATAGATTAATGTCTGCAGCTGCTATTCTGCCATTTCAAGAAAAATGAATGATGTCTGCCATTTCAGGATAAATGAATTCAGTGTAAGGACTATTGTTAAAAAAAAAAAAAAGGAAATTTGTGAAGCCATCTCTGCAGCTATGCCAGCAGGCACAACAACTTTGTACTTTTTTATGAAATACCTTTTTATTTTGTATTGACAATGCAGCTTTTATGTGGGTGCAGGATTGCTATAAAAAAAGGCATACTATGATTCAAGAAAAAGTGAAGTCATTATATCACAGCTTTTAGATTCTAAAGCTGGAGACTTTAATGCCAGCAAAGGATGGTGTTTTTTTTTGTTTGTTTGTTTTTTGTTTTTTTTTTTGAAATGGAGTCTTGCTCTGTCATCCAGACTGGAGTACAGTGGCACTATCTCGGCTCACTGTAACCTCCGCCTCCTGGGTTCAAGCAATTCTCCTGCCCCAGCCTCCCAAGTAGTTGTGATTACAGGTGTGTGCCACCATGCCCGGCTAATTTTTGTATTTCTTTAGTAGAGATGGGGTTTCACCACGTTGGCCAGGCTGCTCTCAAACTCCTGACCTCAGGTGATCCACCCACCTCAGCCTCCCAAAGTGCTGGGATTATAGAGTGGAACCGCCACACCTGGCCGGTTTGGTAATTTTAGAAAAAGGTTTGGCTTTGAAAAAGTCAAGATAACAGGAGAAACAGCTTCTGCCAGAAAAGAGGCAGTAGGTTCCCAAACTACATTAAGAAAGTTCCCAAACTATATTAAGTTGTTGGAGAAAGAGTATCTGCCTGAACAAGTTTTTAATGCAGACAAAAGTGCCCTATTCTGGAAGAAAAAGGTCACAAAGATCTAAGGAAGAAAAGTGAATACTAGGACTTAAGGCAGGAGGAGATCGTCTAACTTTACTGTTTTGCGCAAATGCAGTTGGGTTTATGATCAGAACTGCCATTACCTATAAAGCTGCTAACCCGAGTCTTGAAGGGAAAAAGATAAACACCAGCTGCCAGTCTTTTGGTTGTACAACAGGAACGCTTAAACAATATGAACCCTTTTTCGTGATCGGTTACATTAATGCTTTGTCCCTGAAATCAGAAAGTATCTTGCTAGTAAGGGACTGCCTTTTAAAGTTGTTGGGTTTTTTTTTTTTTTTTGAGATGGAGTTTCACTCTTTTCGCCTAGGCTGGAGTGCAGTGGCGCACTCTCCACTCACTGCAACCTCCTCCTCCTGGGTTCTAGCGATTCTCCTGCCTCAGCCTCCCTAGTAGCTGGGATTACAGGCGTACTCCACCATGCCCAACTAATTTCTTTGTATCTTTAGTAGAGACGGGGTTTCGCCCTGTTGGCCAAGCTGGTCCCAAACTCCTGATCGCAGGTGATCCGTCCACCTCAGCCTCCCAAAGTGCTGGGATTACAGGCACGAGCCACAGCTCCTGGCCTAAAGTTGTTTTGATATTGGACAATGCCCCTGGCCACCCAGAACCTCATGAGTTCAGCACTGAAGGCGTCGAAGTGATAAATGCTTGCTCCCAGAGAAGCATCTCTAATTCAGCCTCTAGGTCAGGGGTCGTAAAGACCTTTCAGGCTCATTACACATGGTACTCTTTGGAAAAGATTGTCAGTGCTATGGAAGAGAACCCCAATAGAGGGAACATCATATCATTGAAGATACCATTATTGTTTAGAAAAAGATGTGAAAGCTCTCAAGCCTGAAACAACAAATTTTTGCAGGAGAAAACTCCAGATGTTGTGTGACTTCACAGGATGGAAATCATGATAGAGATTGTGGATATGGCAAGAAAGGTTGGGGGTTAAGGATTTCAAGATAGGGATCTTGGAGATATTCAGGAGCTAATAGACACCAAACCAGAAGAATTAACAGAAGATGACTTGATGGAGATGACTGCTTCCAAACCACTGCCAGACAGTGAGGAAGAAGACATAGAAAAAGAGAAAAAGCGTGCAAGAAAACAGATTGACACTAGACAGTCTGACAGAAGGGGTCTGATTATTCAAGACTGCTTTTCACTTCGTTTGCAACGTGGACCGTTTGGTGATATGAGAACTGAAACTAAAGCAAATGGTGGAAGAAGGATTGGTACCATATGGAAACAATTTAGAGAACAAAAAAGCAGAAAAGTCAGAAATTACATTGTATTTCCATAAAGTTACACCAAGTATGCCTGCCTCTCCAGCCTCCCCTTTTACCTTCTCCACCTCTGCTAACCCTGAGACAGCAAGACCAACCCCTCTTCTACCTATTCAATGTAAAGACAAGGATGAAGACTTTTATGATGATCGACTTTCACTTAATGAATAGTAAATATATTTTCTCTTCCTTGTGATTTTCTGAATAACATTTCCTTTTCTCTAGCTTACTTTATTATAAGAATACATTATATATTAATAATATACAAACATACAACACAAAATATGTGTTAGTCGACTATGTTACCAGTAAAGCTTCTGGTTAATAAGCTATTAATAGCTCAAATTTTGAGGGAACATAAAATTATACATGGATTTTTGACTTGTAGAGGGGTCTGCATGCCTAAATCTGGCATCCTTTAAGAGTCAACTGTACTGTGGTTAGTTGGAAAGTAGTTGCAGCTATAGATAGTCAAAATGTATTGTTTACCATGTGCCAGGCACTGTGCTGAACACTGCATAAAAATTGGACTTACAGAAAAGAGTAGATAAGATTTTGAGCAGAGCTTTGCTTTAGGAAGATTATTTCTGGTTAAGGAATGGTTTGGAGATGAAAAAGAAAGGAAGTTAGAGTTTAATATCAAAGATGCTTCAAGATCAGGTATGGTGGCTCACACCTATAATCCCAGCACTTGGGAGGCCAAGGTGGGAGGATTGCTTCAGGCCAGGAATTCGGGACCAGCCTGGGCAACATAATGAGACCTCATCTTTAAAAGAGAAAATTTAAAAAGATGTTTCAGATTTGCCCATACCTTAGCACATGTACATTTAAAGAATACAAACATGGCCCAGTGCAGTGTCTCACACCTGTATTCCCAGCACTGGGAGGCCAAGGTGGGAGGATCACCTGAGGCCAGGAGTTGAAGACCAACCTGGACTACATAGTGAGACTCAGTCTGTACAAAAAAATTTTTAAAATTAGCTGATCATGATGGCATGTGCCTGTAGTCCCAGCTACTCAGAAGGCTGAGGTGGAAGGATTGCTTGAGCCCAGGAGGTCAAGGCTGCAGTGAGCTATGATTGCACCACTTCATACCAGCCTGAGTGACAGTGAGACCCTGTGTCAAAAAAAAAAAAAAAGACATTTTAAAATATACATATTTAATATTAAAGATAGCCTTTCTAGGGCTGGGCATGGTGGCTCATGCCTGTAGTCCCAGCACTTCGGGAGGCCTAGGCAGGCAGATCACAAGGTCAGGAGATCTAGACCATCCTGGCCAACATGGTGAAACTCAGTCTCTACTAAAAATACAAAAATTAGCTGGGTGTGGTGGCGTGCACCTGTAATCCCAGCTACTCGGGAGACTGAGGCAGGAGAATGGCTTGAACGCAGGAGGCGGAGATTGTGGTGAGCCGAGATCATGCCACTGCACTGCAGCCTGGTGACAAAGTGAGACTCCGTGTCAAAAAAAAAAAGGAAAAAAGATAGCCTTTCTAAATCTCACAAACCCTCAGACTTCAAGATTAGAAGGGTGAGATTTAATAATTTTCATCTTGTCCAGTCTGTCTAATACAGTGCTGTTTGCTTCATTTTTCATTCATTATTATGAAGTTACAAATATGTCTTTGAAGTTAAAAATGTGGCAATGGAGGTTAACATCAAATATTAATGTTTAAAATATTGATTCCTGTGCTCCATTTCTAACAATTGTATCATACCATAAAATTCTAATTTGGGGGAGCAGGACCAGTTTTATTTAAAGACTGGCTGCACCCATTACATCTCGATTTTGGTTTTAACTCCAGGCATTTTCTTAAAATTAAGTAGCATTTATTGTGTGTTTTACCATATGTTCAGAATTAAATTCCTTCCTCATTTAATCCTTACTTATTATTATTCCAAAATTACAGATGCAGAAACTCAAGCTCAGAGAGGCTAATTTGCCTTCATTAGTAAGTAGATTGACACTGAGGCAGGCAGGCTCTAGATCCCGTGCTCTTCACCTCTCAACTGCAGTACAGTTCACATCTCCATGGGAGGTTAGCAGAGAAAAGCAAATATCGAAGCTGTGTTCTTTGTTAACAGTTCTTTCAGAGGTATTATTTGATCTTTCTTAAATAAATGCCAAGACTGCCTTCTGACAGTAGGCTTATTCTCACATCGTAGTGTTTGGATTTGAAAAATGTTTTACATTTTCAACCTAGCAACTGTGTTTTTGTTAAGAAGTAATTGTTGCCATATCACAGGTGAAGAAACAAGCTCAGAGGACTTTCTCTAGGGCAAACCTGCGTTTGTAGATAGGAATAAGAAATGAAGCTCTCAGGTAGTGAATAAGAATGTAGTTTGTGAGACAGTGTATTTAGAATGATTCTTTAGTTTACATTGCTGCCCTAAATATATTGTGCTGTTCAGTATTAATTATGCCAAAGACCTTAATATTTCATCCTTCAACTCATGTATGTGTATTACTCCATTTCCAGGGTTTGAATGCCGGTGTGGAAATGTTTACTGTGGTGTACACCGTTACTCAGATGTACACAATTGCTCTTACAATTACAAAGCCGATGCTGCTGAGAAAATCAGAAAAGAAAATCCAGTAGTTGTTGGTGAAAAGATCCAAAAGATTTGAACTCCTGCTGGAATACAAAATTCTTGAGCATCTGCAAACTAAAAATTGACTTGAGGTTTTTTTTTTCCTAGTCATTGGGAATGTAGAGCAGTGTATCTTGCATGTCATCGGAAGAATAGATTTTTGTTTTGGTTTTGTTTTGAAAATGACTCTGAACATTTATTTCCATTGCAATTTCTGTGGCTGAGGAGACTTAAACTTTACAAGTATTATCCTTTTAAGATCATTTTAATTTTAGTTGAGTGCAGAGGGCTTTTATAACAAACGTGCAGAAATTTTGGAGGGCTGTGATTTTTCCAGTATTAAACATGCATGCATTAATCTTGCAGTTTATTTTCTCATTGTGTATGTATATATCGCTTTTCTCTGCAGCACGATTTCTCTTTTGATAATGCCCTTTAGGGCACAACTAGTTATCAGTAACTGAATGTATCTTAATCATTATGGCTGCTTCTGTTTTTTCATTAACAAAGGTTATTCATATGTTAGCATATAGTTTCTTTGCACCCACTATTTATGTCTGAATCATTTGTCACAAGAGAGTGTGTGCTGATGAGATTGTAAGTTTGTGTGTTTAAACTTTTTTTTGAGCGAGGGAAGAAAAAGCTGTATGCATTTCATTGCTGTCTACAGGTTTCTTTCAGATTATGTTCATGGGTTTGTGTGTATACAATATGAAGAATGATCTGAAGTAATTGTGCTGTATTTATGTTTATTCACCAGTCTTTGATTAAATAAAAAGGAAAACCAGAATGCTCCCTTGTATTACTTTTTCTCTTATTCTTTCTGGTAGTTAATTTTATTTTTTGGTCTTTTAGTTTTCTACTTTCCTAATTTTGTAAGAGAACTACCATTATTTGTCTTGCATCTATTTGTGACTAAGCTTATGATCATGAATTGTAATTTTGTATTCCTCTGAGTTGAAGACCTGAGCATATCTTCAGAGGCAAGCACTCCTCTCTGTTACTTAAATGTATTTTTTAGTCCTTGTCTGATTCCCTTTTCTACACTGTCACACTCAATTAACATCTAATAGAAGCTTTTTCTTGTAGGATTGGAGAAATTTTAAGAGTATAATTCAAACTGCAGGGCAATTGTAGAATTGCGGAGTAGAAAGACCCTTGAAAGATCATTTGTCCTGTGGTTTTCAAATGTGTCTGGTAGCCAAACGTTTTTAAACATGAAATGTCATATAAAACAGATGAAGGCAATAATTTTACAATATAAATTTCTCAGTTTAAAATTATTTACTTACTTGCATGTTCTATTTAAATAAAGGATGGTTTAATTATCAAAATCTGTAAATTGATCACATTAACAGATTATAAAGAGAATAAACCGTTATGACTGTCTTAATAGATTCAGGTAGAGTAATAGAATTTAACAGCCATTCGTGATAAGAAAAATTAAACTTGACAAATTAAGACTAGAAAGGAATTTCCTTAAGCTGATAGTTCTATGTGAAATCAACAGCCAAACAAACAAAACCAAGCATCAGCTAAAAAGAGGAAACTTACTTCCTTTTAAAGTCAGAAACAAAGATGACTGCCCACTATTACTGCTTACTATTCAAAATTGTGTTGGAGATTATAATCAGTGGAGCAAGACAAGACAGAAAAATGATAAGAAAAGAGGTAGCACTCATTATTTGCACATTGTTTTTATAGAAAAATCATTACTAGAAATAATAGGGTTTAGTTAGGTAGCTAGATACAACATTCGTTTTTAGAAGACAGTTGCATTTCTTTACACCAGTTACCTAGAAAACCAGGAAACACCATTTGACAATAATACCAGAATCTTGGTTACCTAGGAAATTGACAATATATGTGGATGGCCTCCTCAAGAAAGAATTCTAAAACATTAAGGGATAATAGGAATTCAGTAAATAGATGTTAGTGGATAGGAAGACAGTATCAAAAAATGTCATCTGTCCCTCAGTAGGCATAGATTCAAGGTAATCCCAATCAAAATTCCACTTGATTTTTTTTCATGGAGCTTGTTTAGTTGATTGTAAAAGTAAAAGTTAAAAAGAGCAAAAGGCTAGAACATTTCAGAAGAGAGCAGGGAGACAGGGACTTGTCCTAAATGTCAGGACTCACTGTGAAGCCTTGTTAGTTAAAATAGCATGTTATTAGCTGATAGGGACAGACAGATACCTGAATTGAATAGATTGCCCAGAGAACTCTGCACGGACTGAACTTTGGTGTAAGAGAGAGGTGGCACATTGCATTCAGGAAAGGAGACTTCGATAATTAGAGCTAGAAGAATTGGTTTTCTGTATGAAAAAGGAAAAAACCCGTATGTTATGCCATAGGAAAAAAGGACTTAAAACAAAATTTGAAAACTCTCAGAAGAAAGATGGCTGCCTGTTAGGTCTTAGGATAGAGAGACTTCTTGGCCAGGCACAGTGGCTAACGTCGGTAATCCCATCACTTGGAGGCCGAGGCGGGCAGATCACAAGACCTGGCCAACATGGTGAAACCTCGTCTCTACTAAGAAATACAAAAATTAGCCAGGCGCAGTGGCACATGCCTGTAATCCCTACTACTAGGGAGGCTGAGGCAGGAAAATCACTTGAATCCGGAGGCAGAGGTTGCAGTGAGCTAAGATCGCACCACTGCACTCCAGCCTGGGTGACAGAGCAAGACTCCATCTCAAAAAATAAAAATAAAAAAAATAAGACACAAAGCATACTATAAATGTATTATTAATGAATTTATCTATTAAAAGGATATTTTATTCTCAAACACATTAAAGTATCTTCAAAGAATGTGAAAAGACAAAGGTGGGAGAAGTTCCACTGCAAATGAAGACTACCCATTCAAGCAACAAAAAATTAATCTGTCAGTATATAGTGTTGCCAAATTTCTGTGTGTTCTTGCATTGCTGGTGTTAGTGCAGTGGTTCAATCCTTGAGAAAGTTTGATACTGTCTTTTAAAGTGGAACTTTTACATACCCAATAGTCCAGAAATTGCACTCCCAAGTGCATACCTAGGAAAAACTTACACATAGATAAATGGGGGACCGCAGCCAGGAGCGGTGGCTCAAGCCTGTAATCCCAGCACTTTGGGAGGCCAAGGTGGATGGATCATGAGGTCAGGAGTTCGAGACCAGCATGGCCAAAACGGTGAAACCCCATTTCTACTAAAAATACAAAAATTAGCCAGGCACGGTGGCAGGTGCCTGTAATCCCAGCTACTGGGGAGGCTGAGGCAGGAGAATCTCGTGAACCCAAGAGGTGGAGATTGCAGTGAGCCAAGATCGCACCACTGCACTCTAGCCTGGGCAATAGAGTGAGATTCCATCTCAGAAAAAAAAAAAAGACAAATGGGGGACCACTACACGAAGTTTTATAGTGCTGTTTACAGAAGCAAAAGCCCAGAAACAAGTCTTCAAATCCCCAGTGAAGAAGAGTGGATGAATATAATGTGATATATTCATACACTGGAATAATACACTGTAACCAAAACTGCTGATCCATAGTGACACAACAAAATAGAAGCATATTATGCAAAAAAGTCTTCCAGTATAGTAAGCTTTAGAAATACAGGAAGAAGTGCAGTATAGTAAGCAAAACTAGTCTCAAAATATGCAACATGCTCACCTATAAACACTTTAAAATACATTCGCATGTAATAGGTTCCCCCCCCTCCCCCGAGACGGAGCCTTGTTCTGTTGCCCAGGCTGGAGTGCAGTGGCGCGATCTCGGCTCACTGCAAGCTCTGCCTCCCGGGTTCACGCCATTCTCCTGCCACAGCCTCCGGAGTAGCTGGGACTACAGGCGCCTGCCACCACGCCCGGAGACTTTTTTTTTTTTCGTATTTTTAGTGGAGACAGGGTTTCAACATGTTAGCCAGGATGGTCTGGATCTCCTGACCTTGAGATCTGCCCGCCTCGGCCTCCCAAAGTGCTGGGATTACAGGCATGAGCCACCGCGCCCGGCCGATTTTTTTTTTTTTTAGTAAAACGGAGTTTTGCTCTTGTTGCCCAGGCTGGAGTGCAATGGCACAATCTCAGCTCACGGCAACCTCCGCCTCCTGGGTTCAAGCAATTTCTCCTGCCTCAGCCTCCCGAGTAGCTGGGATTATAGGCATCTGCCACCACGCCCAGCTAATTTTGTGTTTTTAGTAGAGACGGTGTTTCACCATGTTGGTCAGGCTGGTCTCGAACTCCCGACCTCAGGTGATCTGCCCTCCTCGGTCTCCCAAAGTGCTGGAATTACAGGCGTGAGTCACCGCGCCCAGCCAATAGATTTTATGTGAAAAGAAAGCAGGATAATGATGATGAAAAAATTCAGAACAATGCCCTTAGATGAGAGGTGGCAAGGGATGCGCTAGTAAGTGGTACTATATGGTCAAAGCTCCAGCTTTCTTGGGGTTAGTAGAGTCAGGATGCTTATATTAGGAAACTAAAAGAGGCCATGTATGAACCAATGCTGAGAGTGTCTTGAACCAGGGATTATGATTAATCCAATATTCTGTACCGGAAGTCCAAAGTATCAAAAGCAGAAAGTTAATTATAAAGCTGTTTTGATGATCACATTTTAGAACTTGAAGGTTATGCAAGGAAAGGTGTTGAATCAGCCTCAGCATTCAATTTGTATTTCTTTTTAAAATTGTCACACATAAAAAACAAACATTCACAGTCTTCCAGTTTCACTACACCTAAATACACTGTTAATCAAGAGTTTTCTCGTACTTCAGTCTTCCATACTAATTTTTCTGGGATGTTTGTGCTCAAGTCTGGTGCAAAGTGTCCTCTCCCCTAGTTATCCTACAATGCTAACTTGTACTGCACAGTGCAGTCTTGAAATCATTCCTTTACTTCAAGCACAACTCAAAAGCCGTGTATTTTCTAATGTGAAAACAGTTTTTACTAAACTAACAATGGCTATACTTCCCCTTTCTCATAGTTTCCAGAACATCTTACCAAGACCAGCTCGGTCATGGAGACCCTAACCCAGTGGCGCTAGAGGAATTAAGACAAAGACACAGAGTGCAGAGTGGGAATCAGGGGGCTGACAGCCTTCAGAGCTGAGAACCCTAAACAGAGTTTGACCTGCATATTTATTGACAGCAAGCCAGTGATGAGAATTATTTCTATAGATTATAGATTAGCTAAAAGCCTTCCTTATGGGAAACAAAGGGACAGGCTCTGGCTTGTTATCCGCAGCTGGAACATGTCCTTAAGGCATAGATCGCTCATGCTATTGTTTGTGGTTTAGGTACGCCTTGAGCGGTTTTCTGCCCTGGGTGGGCCAGGTGTTCCTTGCCCTCATTCCAGTAAACCAGCAACCTCCAGCGTGGGTGTCATAGCCATCACAAGCATGTCACAGTGCTGTAGAGATTTGTTTATGGCCAGTTTCTCATGGCCTGTTTATGGCCAGATTTGGGGGACCTGTTCCCAGCAACATCTAAACAGATATTATTGGGAATTTAGGAAAGGATACTTTGTTGTGGTGTCTTTTCAGAGACTGGCTTCCTGGCCATTTTCCCTTCTTTTTATTAACACATAAGCATCAAGATTAATTCAGAAGGCCAGTAGAATAGAAAGTCAGAATGTGGAGATGGGAGACAGAATGTAACCAATGAAAGATGTTAACATCTGGAATGAAATCAAAGAATCTACGTAAAGACTCTTGAAACTTATAAGCAGTTATAGTAAGATTGCAGGATAAAAGGTTAATACAAAAAAAAAGGTGAATATATAATACAAAAGCCAATTGCTTTGCTATATACCAGCAATGAAAAATTTAAATTTAAAATTAAAAACACCATTCACACCAGGTGCAGTGGCTCACGACTGTAATCCCTGCACTTTGGGAGGCCGAGGCAGGTGGATCACGAGATCAAGAGATCAAGACCATCCTGGCCAAGATGGTGAAACCCTGTCTCTTCTAAAAATACAAAAAATCAGCTGGGCGTGGTGGCATGTGTGCCTATAGTCCCAGCTACTTGGGAGGCTGTGGCAAAAGAATCACTTGAATCCAGGAGGTGGAGGTTGCAGTGAGCCGAGATCATGCCACTGCACTCCAGCCTGGCGACAGAATGAGACTCCATCTCAAAAAAACAAAAAACAAACAAACAAAAACACCATTCACATTAGCCCCAACAAGAGGGAATGCTTAGGTATAAATCTAATAAAATATGACAAGATCTATGTGAAGAAGATGACAAAACTAATCAAGGAAATCAAAGATCATTTCAATAAATAGCTTTCATTTCAGTGCTAGGAAGACTCAATATTGTCAGTTCTTCCCACGTTAGTCTATAAGCTCAATGTGATTTCAGTCAAAATCCTAGCATGTTATTTTGTGGATAGCAACAAAGTAATTCTAAAGTTTATGTGGAGGGGCAAAGGCCCAAAATGGCCAATGCGATACTGAAGAACAAAGACTGATGCTACCCAACTTAAACACCTACTATAAAGCTCCCATAATAAAGACTGGTATTTGCAGAATATATCAGAGAGCCCAGAAATAAACCAATACAAATATAGTCAACTGATCTTTGACAAAGAAGAGAAGACAATTCATGGAGAAAGTCTTTTTCATAGGAATACTTTTTCAAGCAGTAGTGATCAGCTGTACATTTACATGCAAAAAAAGTCAATCTAGACACCTTGAACCTTTCACAAAAGTTAACTCAAAATTTATCATAGACATAAATGTAAAACACAAAAATGTAAAACTTAGAATATAAGAAATTCAAGGTTTGGTTTCGATTTTTCTAAGTAAAACACTAAAAGCATAACTTGGGAAAGAAAAATTATTGATGACTTGGACTCTGTTAAAGTTAAAAACTGCTCTGCAGAAGCTGCTGTTAAGAAAATTAAAAGACAAGCCACAGACTTGGAAAAAATTAGCAAAACACATAAAGGGCTTTCATTTAACATATACAAAAAACTCTTAAAAGCTTAATTGTATGAAAACAGTCCAACCTAAAAATGGGCAAAATATCTGAATAGATATCAAAGAAGATACACTGATAGCAATTAAAAAAAAAAAAGCCTGCAGCCTCAGCTACTCAGGAGGCTGAGGTAGGAGAGTCACTTGAGGCCAGGAGTTTGAGTTTGGTCTGGGCAACATAGTGAGACCCCATTTCTAAAAATTTTTTTTAATGATTTAATAAAGTATACTTGGTTAAAAAGCAAAAGTGTCCACACAAAAACTTGCACACTGACATTTTAGCAGCTTTATCCTTAATTGCCAAAAATTGGGAGCAACCAAGATGTCCTTCAATAGGTGAACAAACAAACTGTGGAACATTTATACAGTGAAACAGTATTCAACAAAAATAGAAAGGAACTTTCAGGGCAGGAAAAGACATAGAAGAATCTTAATGCATATCGCTAAGTGAAAGAACCCAATCTTAAAAGCTACATACTATATGATTCCAATTATATGACATTCTGGAAAAGTCAAGACTACAGAGACAGTAAAGAGATAAGTGGCTGCCAGCGGTCCAGGGGATGAATAGAAGTAGCAGAAGGGATTTTTGGAAATTAAGAAAACAATCTCATTTACAATAGCTACCAAAAAACCCCCAACCAAACAAAACACTTGGGAATAAATTTAACCAAGGAGGTGAAGGACCTGTACACTGATAACTAGAAAACATCAATGAAAGAAATTGAAGAAAACAGAAATAAATGAAAAGATATGGCCAGGCGCGGTGGCTCAAGCCTGTAATTCCAGCACTTTGGGAGGCCGAGGCAGACAGATCACCTGAGTTGGGAGTTCGAAACCACCCTGCCAACATGGAGAAACCCTGTCTCTACTAAAAATACAAAATTAGCCAGGCGTGGTGGCGCATGCCTGTAATCCCAGCTACTCTGGAGGCTGAGGCAGGAGAATCGCTTGAACCTGGGAGGTGGAGGTTGCGGTGAGCAAAGATCGCGCCACTGCACTCCAGCTTGGACAGACAACAAGAGCGAAACTCCGTCTCAAAAAAAAAAAAAACAACATAAAAGATATCCCATGTTCATAGATTGGAAGACTTAATATTGTTAAAATGTCCATACTACCCAAAGCAATCTACAAATTCAATGGAATCCCTGTCAAAATTGTAACGATATTTTTCACAGAAACAAACAAACAAATCCTAAAACATGTATGGAACTGCAAAAGACGCTGAATAGCTAAAGCACTCTTGAGCAAAAAGAACAAAGCTGGAGGCATCACACTATCTGACTTCAACATCTACTACAAAGCAGCCAGATGTGGTGGCTCATGCCTGTAATTCCAGCACTTCGGGAGGCTGAGGCAGGAGGATCACTTGAGCCCAGGAGTTTGAGACCAGCCTACACAACATAGCTAGACTCCATCTCTACATTTTTTTTTTAAATATTGGCCAGGCATGGTGGCAGATGCCTATAGTCCCAGCTATGCAGAAGACTAAGGTGGGAGGATCACTTGAGCCACTGGGAGGTTGAGGCTGCAGTGAGCCGTGATCATATCACTGAATTCCAGCCAGAGAACAGAGCAAAACCCTGTCTCTAAAGCAAAGCAAAACAAAACAAAATGAATCTACTATATAGCTATAGTAATCAAAACAACATGGTGCTGGCATAATAACAGACATATTGAACAGAATAGAGAGCCCAGGAATAAATCCACAGATTTACAGCCAGTTGATTTTTCACAAAAGTGCTGAGAATACGTGATGGGGAAAGGACAGTCTCTTCAATAAATGATGTTGGGAAAATTGGATATCCACATGTGGAAGAATGAAATTAGACCCTTATCTCACACCATATATAAAAATCAACTCAAAATGGATTAAAAACGTAAACTTAAGAAATGAAACTGTAAAACTAGAAGAAAATGGGAAAAGCTCCATGTCATTGGTCTGGGCAATGATTTTTTGGATATGAACCCAAAAGCACAGGCAACAAAAGCAAATACAGACAGATGCGATTATATCAGGCTAAAAAGCTTCTGTATAGCCAAGGAAACAATCGACAAGAAAAAACCTAGGAAGTGGGAGAAAACATTTGCAAACCACACATCTGATATGGAATTAGAATCTAAAATAAATAATGAAGTCAAACAACTCAATAGCAAGAAAACAAGTAACCTAATTCTTAAAAAATGAGTAATGGATATGAATAGACATTTCCCAAAAGACATAAAAATGGCCAACAGGTATGTGAAAAAATGCTCAACATCATTATCAGAAAAATGCAAAATAAAACCACGATGAGATATCATCTCACACCTGTTAGAATGGCTATTATCAAAAAAACAAAAGACAGCAAGTATTGCAGAGGCTGTGGAAAACAGGGAACCCTTGTACTTTGTTGGTGGGAATGTAAATTAGTACCGCCATTATGGACAACATAGGGGTTCCTCAAAAAATTAAAACTAGCGCCACCATATAATTCAGCAATCCCTCTGCTAAGTATATATCCAAAGGATATGAAATCAGTATGTCATAGAGATACCTGCACCTCCATGTTCATTGTAGCATTATTCACAATAGCCAAGATATGAAATCAAACTGAGTGTCCATCAGCAGATGAATGGATAAACAAAAGGTTTGTATACACAATGGAATACTATTCAGCCATAAAAAGAAATCCTGTCATTTATGACAACATGGATGAAGCTGGAAGACATTATATTAAATGAAATAAGCCAGATGCAGAACAACAAATACTGCATGATCTCACTTACATGTGGAATCCCAGAAAAAGTTGAAGTCAGAAGTAGAATAGAATGATGGTTACCAGGGGGTAAGGGCTGGGAGGTTGGGGAGATATTGGTTAAAGCCCACAAAATTTCAGATAGGAGGAATAAGTTCAAGAGATCTATTGGAAAATATGCTGACTATAATTAATAACCGTATTTTTTTTTTTTTTAGTCCAACTGAGTCTTGCTCTGTTGCCCAGGCTGGAGTGCGGTGGCGCAATCTCAGCTCACTGCAACCTCCACCTCCCGGGTTCAAGTGATTCTCCTGCCTCAGCCTCCCGAGTAGCTGGGACTACAGGCACGTGCCACCACACCCAGCTAATCTTTGTATTTTTAGTAGAGAGGGGGTTTCACCGTGTTAGCAAGGATGGTCTCGATCTCCTGACTTTGTGATCCACCCGCCTTGGCCTCCCAAAGTGCTGGGATTACAGGCGTGAGCCACCACGCCTGGCCTTATTATATTCTTGAAAATTGCCAAGAGAGTAGATTTCAAATGTTCTCAGGACAAAAAAAATGAAAAGTGAGGTAATGTTTATGTTAAGTAGCTCAACTTAGCCATTGTGCAATGTGTACCTATTTCAGAATGACATGTTTTACATGATAAATATGTATAATTTTTATTTGTCAGCTAAAAAAGTAAAAAAGAATTCTCCAGGTGTTGTCCCAGACAGCCGCTGAGATGTGGAACACATCTGACAACAACAATCAGAATCCTGGTGAGGAGGGAGGGCAGGACAGAATGCTCTCACACAGGATGTTCTTAGACAGAGTCAATCTACTTCTCATGTTGCATGTTATACTTTTATGTACATTAGTGATGGGGAGGTAAGGAAGAGGAAAACAGGATTGCTGACATTTATTGAGAACTTTCTGTGTGTCCCACAATATGCTGAGAGTTTTTGCAGGGGTTTTCTTATTTGATCTTCTAAACAACCTTACAAGGCAGGTATCGTTTTTATTATTTCATTTTTCCAATGCATGAAATTAAGATTTGGTGAGGTACAGTAACCTAAACCCAAACTCAATATGAACGTTCTAGAAAGAGATTTCAAATCTTTCTTATTTGAAACCTTAACATATATATTCTTACAGCTGGGTGCAGGGGCTCACGCCTGTAATCCCAGCAACTTGGGAGGCTGAGGTGGGCAGATCACGAGGTCAGGAGTTCAAGACGAGCCTGACCAACATGGTGAAACCCCATCTCTACCAAAAATACAAAAATTAGCCAGGTGTGGTGGTGTGAGCCTGTAATCCCAGCTAGTTGGGAGGCTGAGGCAGGAGAATCACTTGAACCTGGGAGGTGGAGGTTGCCGTGAACCGAGATCGTGCTACTGCACTCCAGCCTGGGCAACAGAGCGAGACTTTGTCTCAAAACAAAACAAAACAAAACAAAACAAAACATAACAAAAAACAAACCAACAACAACAACAACAGACATATATATTCTGTTACCACATACTGTTTCCTTTTGTTCAACATCTAGGGAAAGGGCCACAAGGAAAAATCATGCCTAACCAACTTTAGTGTGTGTGTGTGTGTGTGTGTGTGTGTGTGTGTGTGTGTGACAGAGAGAGAGAGAGAGAGAGAGAAAGAGAGAGCGAAAGAGAGACAGGGAAATTTTAGTGTGGATTTATTGTTGACAAACTAAACAATGTTTGCAGAGAGAGGCACTGAGAATGATCTATTCAGCTGTGCCAAACAGGTTGAATACAGAGGTTGTAACTTATGTGTCAACATTCCTCTGTATTTCTGGGAGCAGAGTGGGATCCACAGCTATAGCTCAAAAAGGCACCGAACATTTGGATGGGAAAAAAGGGATAATTCAGATGGGAAAACTATTGAATATGTATTTAGTTATAAGAAAACAAAACAAAATTAGAAGTATTTTGTTGAAATAACAGTGAGGGAGAGTCTAAAAAGTGGCTCCTGCTTTGATAATGGTAACAGAGAACTCATTATATGGTACACATTATTAAGTCAGATGGCAATGACATGTTCTTTATTTAAGGTGCTGCTTGTTATTTGTGAGTCTTGCAAATCCAGCTTAAATCCAAAATGGATTTGAGGTAGTATTCCATCAGAACATAGACACAATAGTACCTGAAACAGACTAAAGACAGAATTAAAGAGGGCAGGAAGAAGAAAATTTATATTGCAGAAAACCTAGCCCTGGTTGAGCTGGTTCACCTAGGACTTCATCCAATCCCCTTCTCCCCACCCTACAACATGCACTTGCACTTGAATTACTTACGTTCAGTTCCAAGATCCTCTAAATTTTGAACTCCTTTGAGAGGACAGAATGTCATGTATATTTGCACATGACATATATTCTTGATACTAAAATGTACTGGACACATGCCAAACCCATGATGCCCACTACAAAATGTGTACCATAAACATCACTGAGCTCAGACCTGAAAAAGAGAGGACACTTACTTTGCTAAAGTGCTTGGCCTTTGACATAGTTTCCTCTTTTTCTTGACGACCATGCAGCAGTGCTGAATGTTGCAAAAAAGGCCACCCCATCCTGCTTCCCAGTGCAGGCAGCGTCCACACCTTGCTTATCTGAATGGCAACTGCCAGCTTCTCAGAGCCGTTGCAAGACATTAGTGTCCTGGATCTGGAAAGTTCTCTCTCAGCTCTCTTGTAAAGGAGTGAGGGACATGCTTTGTGTGAATGAGGGCTGCAGTGCAGTGTGTTGCTTTTTAGCATCAGAGGGAGGCATTAAATATGGTGCTACAGAGACCCAAACCAGCCTTCATTGCTGGAGATGCTGAAACTCACTGCGAGTCCTGAAAGTGTTCATACTCTTTGAGTCAGGAATCTTCCTTAGATAATTGTCAAGGAAAAGGAAAACATTCTGTGCATGCACCTCTTCATTGAACCGTTATTATTACCATCTAAAACATTGCGACTTCCTTAGCTAATGACAATGATCATAATAAAGCCTATTGGGCCTCAAGGAAAAATATTCAAGAGAATAAGGTAGGGAAAGACTGAAAAATTGCATCTATGTAAAGTTTATAAGGATGGAAAAGCCATGTGCATACAAATGGAATGAAAAAAAAACATGAAAATGAGAAGACTACATTGGTGGGATTATGGGCAATCTCTTTGTTTTAAAATTCTTTTTAAATAATTGTTGTGATATACGTGGCCAACACATTCTCTTCCAAAAAATGAGAAAGAAAAAATATAGTATACTTGCAAGTTATTTCAAATGCTGTTTTCCAAATAGAGAACAGCTTTGGCGTTTTCAGACACTGTGTATAATTAGTGGGTTGGTTAAGTCTATTTTAAAACTATGAAATCTTACTCCCTCTTTAGCCATCTCATCCCCACACCCTTTCCTACACATACATCTGCCCCATGTCCTTTCCCTAAAATACTTTGGTTTTCTTTCTCCAAGGGTTTTATCATTTAGGCTTTTGTTAACTTGTATGTATTCAGTAGAAGCTCCTGGCCTAGCATCCCCCACACAACACATGCTCCATAAAAACAGGAATTAAAGATGTGAGTTGCTGGTGTATCCCCATGGCCTGGCATAGGGCATGGGCTTATTAGTTATTGCTTCATTTCCTTTTGGTCAACAGTTTTATATTAATGACATGTATTTATGGAGAACCTATTCTGTGCCAGGTGTTTTGCTGGGTATTGACAGAGTTGCACATGGAATAAGAAAGCTCGTGGTTTTAATGGGAAGGGGCAGGGCAACTACAGAACGTGGAAATAATTCATTGCGTTGCAGCTGAGGACTAGCTTGAATTAGGCAGGTATCAAGTGCTCCCTGGAATGCCTCTTTATAAGGCCACCAAGTTGGGATACTCTCCTCTTCTTTTCCTCTTTCAGGAACCTACCAGAACAAATCAGACCACCTTCATTCCCTCCCCAGGGCTGACTTAAAAGAACTGAAGCCAGTCCTTGGCAGAGCCACTCAGGGCAGGAGATGAGAGCCAAGAGGCTGTGCCCAGATTACACTCCTTACTGGGTGATGATCACTGGTCACGCCTGGTGGACAGGCACCAGAGTGATCTCAGGGGCTAGGAAGGGGGGCTCAACAGCGGGCCCTGCTTGCCGTACTCGCTCCTCTCAAGCCGTCTGGTTTCAAGCCCACTTAGCTCACATTATCCTGCCATCTTCCAGCCTCTTCTCCCTAAGCTGAAATGCGGAGCAGCCTCCCTAACTCAGCAGTCACTGTGTCACATTCCTCAAGGATCTTCAGGGAACCCTTGCCCAGACTATCGTCTACTTTTCTAGATTTCAGCCGGCATCCTGGCTGTTTAAAAGTGTACCTGAATCATTCACACCAACAATAACACAACGACACACTCTCCGGTGTGTTCCAAGTGTCCTGGCTGTGGCATGGTCTCAAAAAACTGCAGCTGACTGCACATGAGTGATTAGATAACACCTTGAACCCACCCTAAGATAGTCTGCCTTTCCCTTCTTTCCTGTCTTCCTTCTTTTCTTTCTCCCTCTCTCTCTTCTCCTATTTCTCTTTTATCTTTCCTTTCCTTTATCCCCCTCCCCTCCTTTCCTCTTTTTCCCTCCCTTCTCTCTCTTTCCACACACACATAACCTGTATATGCCAGGCACTATTCTAGGTGCTTCACAAATATTAATTCATTCCATTCTTATATCAACTTTGTGAAGTAGGAACTATTATCATCAACATTATACAGAGAAGGAAGCTGAGGTAGAGAAAGTTTAAGTAACTTGTCCAAGGTTGAGCATCTTGTCAACGTCATTTTACTACTGGCATGTGAAACAGGTGAGTTATATTTTTTAGAATATTAATTCTCATTAATTGAAGCCTTCCAAACAGGCCTAACTGTCCCCTTCTCTGACATACAAGTGGAAGTGTCATAGCTGGACGGAGCATCATGGTATGAAGGCAGAAAGGACGCGACTGGGTGTTCTTCTGAAGCTCAGGGAGCAGCTCTTGGGGAGAAAGTGTTTCCAGGAAGCGGACAAGAGTTCTGTTGAGCTGAAGAGCAGGGCAGCAGCCGGGGCGAGCGAGGCTGGAGTCATGCAGGGCAGAGCCTTAAATGCTAAGCTGGGGTTTGCTCTCGGTAGGACCAGCTAGCTGCCCCGAGCGGGGGCTGGAACCAGATCTCCCCCACGTGGACTCGCGGACAGGGCGGGGATCAGGACGGGGGCGGGGCCAGGGGAGGGGCGGGGCTCGGGGAGTGAGGCAAGACTGGAGGGCCTGGGACTCTCGGGTACCCGGGCCAGGGGAGGGGCGGGGCTCAGGGAGGGAGGGAGAGACTGGATGACCTGGGGCTTGCAAGGCGGGGCGAGGGGAGGGGCGGGGCGAGGGGAGGGGCGGGGCTCAGGGAGGGAGGGTGAGACTGTGGAGGACCTGGGGCTCGCGGGGTCGGGGCAAGGGGAGGGGCGGGGCTCAGGGAGGGAGGAGAGACTGGAGGACCTGAGGCCCACGGGGGCGGGGCCAGGGGCGGGGCGGGGCTCTGGAAGGGCGGGCGAGACTGTGGAGGACCTGGAGCTGGCGGGGGTCAGGGTAGGGGGGAGGGGCAGGGCTCGGGGTTCGGGGGCGGGGTGTTCACGGTGAGACCAAAAGTCAGGTAGGAGCCTCCGGGGTCCCTGCTGTGTCACCCGGACAGGCCGTGGGGGCGGGCAGGGGGGCGGGGCCGGGCCTGACCACAGCGGCCGAGTTCAGTCCTGCTCTCCGCACGCCACCTTAGGCCCGCAGCCGTGCCGGGTGCTCTTCAGCATGTCCTTCATCCCGGTGGCCGAGGATTCCGACTTCCCCATCCACAACCTGCCCTACGGCGTCTTCTCGACCAGAGGCGACGTGAGCAGTGGGGCTTTGGCGTCCGGGCGCGGGGAGGGAGTGGAGTGGAGTGGAGTGGAGTGGAGTGGAGTGGAGTGGAATGGAGTGGAATGAGGGGCGGGATGGAGGCTTGTGCCATTTTTCTCTTAAGATTCGTTCCGTGAGAGTGCCTATGGGCTCGAGTCCCGCCTCGTAACTTTCTAGCTGTGCACGTTGTTTAACTTTTCAGCCTCATTGTCCGCAGGTTTGCTGAGAATTAAATGCAAAATGAAATGAATCGTGTCACTCTCCCAGACAAGCAGAGCAAGCAGGATTCTGTTACCGGAAGCTGCAGCACACAGGCATGCTGCCTACTCCGAGGTGGTTGCGGTGTGTTTCTCTCGCCCAAGAGGCCAGGTCAGGGCTGGTGGTTCATCTCGCTGGATAGCCCCTAACCCTAGAACCCGGGAAATGATAACCCGGTATGCGTAGCAGGTCAGAGGGGCACGCGCGTTTCTTGGCTTAGAGTTGTGAGATCTAAGATGGCAAGTGTCTCTGCCTATAGCTGAAATTCTTTCAGCTCCTGGTGTGGGCTCCCTGGCATTCCCCTACTGATCAGAAGAAAGAGGGCAGGGAAACAAACTTTGACTAAGTCAGTGTAGTCTGATTGGTAGAAAGAAGTATTTGAAAACTGGGGGTTTATCAGCAAATAGATAATAAGAGGTTCCCTAGGTTGGAAAAGCAGATTCCCTTGGATTTGTTGATGATATTTTTGGCTTAGATTTCTGCTCCCAACTTTAAAGGTAAACTCCTGATTCATCTCTGTAAGCCATAGAACCCCAGAATCAGGAAATGTTTGCTAAACGAGGGGCCTGGCAGTTGGCTTCTTCTTGGAAAGTGGGGTTCCCTCCTTCCCCCATGGCTTGTCATTGGATGCAAGTGGCTGGCCTTTTGTGGGCCTGTCTGCGGTAAGTGCTTTGGTCTAGAAGAGTCAACTTGTGGTTTCACATCTGGCCGGGCTGACCAGATGTTGCAAGGATACAGAAAGTGGACACTCAATCCCCTGGAGGACACAATCTGAGGCACATTAAATCTTAACTTGTGATGGCCAACAACCTTTCTGCAGACAGAGCCCTCCCTCTGCCCTCCTCAAACACTTTGCCCTCGGCAGATGTGTCCTCCCTCACCTTTCCTGGGAGCACAAATCCATTAGACAGAAACATTTGTGAGAGGCAGGCACACCCCAGTAGGGAGCTCTGACTTGCTTTCTCAGGGGAATCGAATTAATATCCGTTAGAGTGTGGCTAGGTGTTTTCAGACACCATGTCCCGCTGTTTCAACATCAGAATGTGCAGGGCAGCCACTACAGATGTCTGGAAGAGAGAGCCCCATTCCGCTGTCCTCTGATACAGTGCTGGGGGTGGAGAGTTGGCCCTTTGGCCTTCCAGCTGAACAAGCCTCTTCTGAAGCTTTCTCTGCAGGCATTGGACATTCCAACCGTGATGGCTGCCTTGCCAGGCAAGACTAGTTGCCAAGGCAAAACCTCCCTTCCCCCATGTCAGCAGTCAGCCTTTCCTAATTTGAGTGGAATAACAATGAATCCTGCCATCACTTTATTCATTTTTTTTTATTCAGCGAATGCTTATGAACCCCAACTCTGGTCCAGATTTTGCCTGGGCTCCGAGTTGGCATCAAAGACACAGGAGACGCCTTCCTTCCATTTCTGGTTGATGGACTAGTAAGGTGTACAGGGGTGCTCTCTGTGAAGGTAGGGGTGGTGGCCTCTGAGAACGGGGTTGTAGTAGTGTGGAGCTGGTTTTGCCGGGTGCCTTGTTAAAGTCCCCGTGGTCTGGCTGTGCTGCTGCCTCCTGGCCTCTGCTTTCTCCAGCCACATTGGCTGCCTTTGAGTCTCTGAGATGTGCTAAGAGCAGCTTCCTGCCTTCAGGCCTTAGCACATGTTGTTCCTTCTGCCTGGAATACTCGTCCTTCTGCTCTCTATATGCTTGGCCCCTTCTCACTCTTTGGGACTCAGCTTAAATGTCACCTCCTAAGCACCCTCTCTGAATGAGCTCCCCGCTGCGGCCCAGCCTTGGTTATCTCTCACCACACCCTGTGTTTCCTTTTGCTTCTGGAGAGAAGGAACCACGTCACTGTTCCCAGGGCCTCAGCAGCCTTTGTGTAATGCTGGTACTGAGAAGATGCTCTCTAAATCTTTGTGGCATGAATAGCGTCTACCCTGTGTCTGTTCTTGTGGTGAGAGATTTACAGATATTAATTAAATTCTCACAATAAACCTACTGTGAAGTTATTGTCCCCATTCTACAGATGAGGAAACTGAGGTCCAGAGAGGCAAAGCATCATGCTCCAGATCTCACAGCCAGTAAGAGGCAGATATGGGGTTGATCCCCACATCTGTCAGCCTCCCAATCTGTAAGGTCCAGCCCTACGGGGCTTAGCGGGTTTTCTCCCTGTGTGCGGAAACGAGAGATTGTAAGAAATAAAGACACAAGACAAAGAGATAAAGAGAGAACAGCTGGGCCCGGGGCACTGCTACCACTGAGACACAGAGACCGGTAGTGGCCCCGAATGGCTGGGCACACTGATATTTATTGCACACAAGACAAGGGGGGCAGGGTAGGGAGGGTGAGTCATCCAAGTGATTGATAAGGTCAAGCAAGTCATGTGATCATGGGACGGGGGCTCTTCCCTCTAAGGTAGCCGAAGCAGAGAGGGAAGGCAGCATAAGTCAGCATTTTCTTCTATGCACTTATAAGAAAGATCAAAGACTTTAAGACTTTCGCTATTTCTTCTACCGCTATCTACTACAAACTTCAAAGAGGAACCAGGAGTACAGGAGGAACATGAAAGTGGACAAGGAGCGTGACCATTGAAGCACAGCACCACAGGGAGGGGTTTAGGCCTCCAGATGACTGCGGGCAGGCCTGGATAATATCCAGCCTCCTACAGGAAGCTGGTGGAGCAGAGTGTTCCCTGACTCCTCCAAGGAAAGGGAGACTCCCTTTTGCGGTCTGCTAAGTAATGGGTGCCTTCCCAGGCACTGGCGTTACCGCTTGACCAAGGAGCGCTCAAGCGGCCCTTATGCGGGTGTGACAGGGCTCACCTCTTGCCTTCTAGGTCACTTCTCAGAATGTCCCTTCAGTACCTGACCCTATACCCACCGGTTATTCCTAGGTTATATTGTACTACAATAAAGAGTAATATTAAAAACTAATGATTAATAATGTTTATACTAATAATCGATAATTGTCCATGATCATCTGTATATCTAATTTGTATTACAACTGTATAGCAGTATAGCTACAGTTTATGCCTTCAGTCTCTTGCCTCGGCACCTGGGTAATCCTTCGCCCACACCAATCCCATGCTTCCCCCTCTATGTCAGGCTGGGAGTTGGGTAATGCTTTCCTTTGGACAACTTTATATCAGATATGACCAACTATTTTAAAACAAAGGCAATGCACATTCATTCTCTTGAAGTTAGACAAATGCGGTCTCCCTCCTTAGTTTGTTTCCCTCAAGTTGCAGATGGGAAACTGAGGCCCAGAGACTTGTCCAAGGTGATAAGATGGTGAATGAGGGAGCAGACTTGGAGCCCAGGAATCCTGGATCTGACCTGTGAGCCCCCTCTAGTTTTGTGCTGAAGAAAATAACTCCCAAGGTTGAAAGTAGAGGGACTCACTCTCTCAGACTTTTTCTGGGTCCTCAGGTCATAGTTTGAAGCACAAGTTTGAAGCTTCTAGGCTTTGTTTGCATTTGAGGCAGCAGGCAGCTGCACTTGTGACCCCATTTTGGAAGTTGCTTACTGGTGGTGACTCCTTCTTGCCTTCAGCTGGGGTGTGGGGACCAGGGTCAGAGATGTGGTCCAAGGGTCTGCCCTGCACATTCCCTGAATGGAAAGCCACTTGGATTCAGGTGGTTCAGCTCTTTGCCTAAAGCAGATTTGCCATTTTCAGGAGGGGAAGACTGAGGCCCAGGGAGTTGGCAGTGGGGCTGAGAATGAGTAACTAAGCTCTCCAGGCAGCCTCTTCTAGGGTAGGCTCTGCTGGGACCTCAGATGAGGAGTATGGCTCTGGTCTACCCCGATTCCAAGAGCTGACATGCGTGGAGAAATGGTCATCTTTTCTCAGCCCACCCCAGTGAGCAGCCAATGGAGATAAGGCCAGCCAATAATCCCACCACTAAGCTCGCTGGCACTGAAATGGCCAAGCTGGTGGTTCAGGAGAGCTGGAAGCCTGGCTCAGGACAGAGCCCTGGGAAGTTGAGTCTGCAAACATGCCCTCGGGTTCTTGTTGACGAGCAAAGCTCAGGGTTGTGGGGACAAAGACCAGGACTTAACAAATATTTAAGACATCTTTGTTGATGCTGGGATTTTGTGGTACAGAAAGGAACTTGCCTTGCATGTTCTGAGCAGTCTGGCTTCCTGCAGCTCCCTTACAACCCGAGCTCTCCTCCATTTGAGCTACAACAGAGCTCATTAATCCAAGCCACCTGGCCCTCAGCACTGTGTGTTGGGCACTCATGCTCCACCGCACAACTGAACTACCCTAGTCAAGGCCTAGAAACCTGGAAAATAATCCAACATCCTGGTAAGGTGGTAAGCTCCTCATCACTGGAGGCATTTATGTAATGCCTAGGGAACTTTGCAGGGGTCTTTGCCCAGGTTAAGTGGCTAGGACCAGGCTGACTGCTCTTCCCCCAGTCCAAGGGATATTTGATTTCTTTCCCATTCAGGGAACACAGATTATTTTTCCTTTTAGTTCTGGAAGCAGAGATGGCACAAGGGAGCTGGGGCAGGATGCTGAGAACATGGTTCTTCAGTCCGCTCTGCATACAGGGCCACCTAAAGGGGGACCTGTGGACTCTTCAATAGATAGGCTTTCTGAGTAAATGAGCCAAGCCCAGCCAGGGGCTTTTTCTGGTGCTGACGGTGTCGTCTTCCTCCTAGCCAAGACCGAGGATAGGTGTGGCCATTGGCGACCAGATCCTGGACCTCAGCATCATCAAGCACCTCTTTACTGGTCCTGTCCTCTCCAAACACCAGGATGTCTTCAATCAGGTAGGACATTGTGAAACGACTTGTCCCTGACCTCAGTGGCACTTACTGTGGATGCCAACAAGAGAATGCTCCTTGCGTTCCATTTCCGATAGAGGTAATGCCATCGAAGGTCTCAGAGGTTATACTTGGATAAGGCTGGGGTTGTTTTGAGACAGACAAACTGGTAGGAGGTGGCCTTGGGACAATTCAGGGTGGCTTCTCACCTCAGGGCGAGTTCCTAGGTGAAAAAAGTGTCAGTGTCTGCAGTCCTGGGTCGTTCCTAGTTGTCTATGAGATGAAGCTCTTCAGGAACTCTGGTTACTTTTCTTGTCAAGCTGTTTGAGCCTCTGCCTGTCCAAGGGCTGTGTGGGCCCCCAAGGGAGGGAGCTACGAGCCCAGCCCTCCAGTTCTGTGGAAGCAGCTACGGAGGAGTCAGCCTGAAGTACATGTTCACATGGGATGGACATGAATTTGCTTCCCTGTAAATGGTCATCTACTTTGATATAGCATCTTCTCATTGCATGGGTCAGGAAGGAGGGTGGGATTTATGGGTACCTCTTGTGTGCCAGGAGCTTCGCACACATCCTCTCCTTCAATCCTCCTGACCACCCTCTGGCATAGGAATTGGAATTCCTATGGGGGCCTGAGCATCTAGATGGGGACCTGAACTTCTGGAATGAGACATGGTTTTCCCAAGCTGCACAGCTAGAAGTATCAGAGCTGGGACTGGAACTCTGACTCTTAGAACCTACAAGGGCTTTTTCTGCTATGCTTCACTGGCTATAAAACCTCTTCCTTTTTTAAATTAAAAAACCTCTCGGCTCACGCCTGTAACCCCAGCACTTTGGGAGGCCGATGTGGGCAGATCACTTGAGGTCAGGAGTTCGAGACCAGCCTGGCCAACATGGTGAAACCCCCTCTCTACTAAAAATACAAAAATTAGCTGGGTGTGGCAGTGCACGCCTGTAATCCCAGCTACTCGGGAGGCTGAGGCAGGAGAACTGCTTGAACCTGGGAAGCAGAGGTTGCAGTGAGCCGAGATCACATCAGTGCACTCCAGCCTGGGTGACAGAATGGGAAAAAAAAAAACAACTTTTTTTTTTTAATAGAGATGAAGTCTCACTATATTGCCCAGGCTGATCTTGAACTCCTGGGCTCAAGTGATCCTCCACCTCGGCCTCCCAATGTGCTGGGATTACAGGCATGAGCCATCACACCTGGCCCAAAACCTCTTCTTAACTGATGTGAAAGGAATTAGTTTAGGCTGTGATCACTCTGCAGACTGGAGTGTGCCTCTACTGGAAGAACATGGCCACCTTCAACTGTGGGCCGGGCCAAGCTTAGCACAGTTGCTGTGCCAGGTAGCAACTCCTGGGCTTGGACAATTGTGTGCAGGTGCACGAGGGCCTGAGGCAACGTCAAGAGAGGATATGCTTTTCTCCAGGTTGATGAATAAATGACAAAACTAAGAGCAGAGGTCCTGAGAGTTTGAGTTAGCGGGAGAGAAGTGGCAAGGGCTGGCAGGCTGGCTGGCCTTCCATTGGAAGGAGGGATACTCCCTGGGTTTTCCTGTACGTGATCTTTTTTCTCCCTGTTTTGGTCTTAGCCTACACTCAACAGCTTCATGGGCCTGGGTCAGGCTGCCTGGAAGGAGGCGAGAGTGTTCTTGCAGAACTTGCTGTCTGTGAGCCAAGCCAGGCTCAGAGATGACACCGAACTTCGGAAGTGGTGAGAAGCACGTGGTCATAGGGGGGATGAGGGGATGCAGCAGGGGAGGTGAAGGCTGTGTGGTTATCAGTGCCATTCTGAGTCACGGCTTGGCAGCCTTAGTGTGGCCAAGTCAGACCTGCCCTCATCCAGCCCCTGCCTGAGCTGCCTATTGATGGGAGGGCTTTGGGAGGACTGGGATTGCCTTGGCGCCTGGAATGGAGCTGCCCAAGCTAGGCCAGGCCAGGCCCATTGGCCCTCTCTCTTACTCAGGCTGTCCTCATTAGCATCATCTGTGACCTCATCTGGTTTCTAGAGTAGGAAAGAGTTTCCACTTGTCTAGTCCCATTTCCTAGGGTAGAATATAGAAACGGCTTCAGTGGGTGGATGTCCTCTCAGCTGTGAAAGGTTCAGCATAGCTCTGGCCCCAGGCCAGCCAGAAGGTGCCCACTGGAGATTGTGGATAATCTTGGGGATGGTCTGGGCTGAGCCCGTGGGTGGGACCGCGCTTTGCTGCCTACTTGACTTTGAAGCCCCTGGTTCTGTGTTTCAGTGCATTCATCTCCCAGGCTTCTGCCACGATGCACCTTCCAGCCACCATAGGTGAGTGCAGTCTCTTCACCAAGATAAGAACGGAGCAGCTTCGTGGGCCAAGAGGGCTGGCCAGGTGCTTTGGTTCTGCATCTGTGTGGAGGGTCCCTGCTGGTGGGGGGAGATGGAGGAGGGGCTCTGGGGCTGTTACCCGCTCCTCATCACTGACCTTTCCCAGCATCCAGGCCCGGCATTCACTCAGGCTATTATCTTGCCTCAGGTAGTGAGTTGCAGACTGCTCAAGTTCATGACTAGCCGCATGGCTCCCTGCACAGCAAATTGCTTTCCTTCCCCCAAAGGCTATGGGACAAATTCTCTGAGCTCAGTCTGTGAGTCAGCAGTTTTGAGGATAGAGGCCAGAGGGCTATGAAGGGCCCCAGTTTGAGCACGTGGCAGGATGTCTGGTTGGAGTGTCATTCAGGAAGTTGGAGCTGTTGAAACTCTCAACCTGAAGCAGAGAGAGAGGCTGGCTCAGCCTGCGGCCCAAAGCACAGCCCTCTTCCTTGTGCACAGGTCTCCTCTGCTGGGCTACCTGGGCACCTGTGAGCTGAGGGGCCAGTTGACCCTGCCCCTGGGGTACACTGCCTCTCTGGAACAGCTCCTGCTGTCCGGGGAGAGTCCTTTGCTGCTGGGCTGCTTGGGCTAAGCTGACTGGAGGATGGGGTTGGGGACAGGGGCCGAGTCACCTGCCTCCTCCCAGCCCCTCTCACTCCCCACTCTCATACACTCATGGGACTGTGCTATGTTTTGGCAAACCAGCTGTTGTGCAAACCATATGTCTTTCAGGGATATCATGTCTGGTTGACTGATGGTGCCCTTTCTTGTTTTTTTTTTTTTTTGTTATGGATTTATTCTTTTGAAAAATCTCTCAGCTATTACTTCTGTGCAATGGGACTGAAGATGGGAAGCAGCAGCTAAGGCTCCACCTGCCCTGTGGACTGTTCTTCCTCTCCTCACCCTTCACCATGACTGTTGCTAGTCTAGGCTGTTGGTATTGATGAATATCCAGCATTTTTTTTTTTTGAGGAGACATTTAGGAAGATAAAACAGGCAGACTGTCCCAACTGGTTTTTCTTTCAGATTTTTAATTCTCCGAATGGTAGATATGCCTACAGCTTGCTGGCTAGCCCATTCAGTTCATCATAATCAACAAGCACTGATATGCATCTGCAGTGTGCAAGCCCTTGTCCTTGGCACTCGGGCAGAGTCCAAGAAAATGAGGACTGGGCTGGGGCTGTCCTGGAATGTCCACAGTCTAGCAAAGATGTGCACACACATAACTGGAGCACCAGTGGGAAGCGAAGCCTGCCCCAGAAGGATTCAGGGGAGGGGATTTGGAGGGGGAAGAGATCCTGCTAGAGAGAGCAGGGAGGGCTTCAGGGAGGAGCGGGCCTCAAAGAGTTGCCAGGATTTGAATACACAGGGACAAGGGAGAAGTCAATCAGTATAGGCGTGGTGAGGGAGCCTGTGGGAACTCGGGAATGGCAGTTGTGTGTGGGAAAAGTGGGGAGCCTGAGAAGGGAGGTGGTATCAGCCACTTGGTGTTCACATTCCACTGTCAGTTTCAGAAAGTCTGGACTCCTGATTTCTTATTTGTTTCTCAGCTGAGGGCTCTAAAAACAAATCTTCAGTGAGGATATTTTATATTGCATTTGGTGCTGCCATTGCTGGCTGCAGGCTGAGCTCTGGATGTGTAAACAGTATTGTGTGCACACTCGTGGCTCCAGTGCTTGGAACAGTCCATTCTTCCTGAGGCATGTGGGTTGCTGATGGGATCTGTTGGGTCTTTCCTCTGCAGGAGACTACACAGACTTCTATTCCTCTCGGCAGCATGCTACCAACGTCGGAATCATGTTCAGGGACAAGGAGAATGCGTTGATGCCAAATTGGTATGAACTGGGCCAAATGTCTGCATAAGTTCAAAGTCTTTCTTTTCATTTCCAGCAGCATATTTGTCTCAGGAGCTGCCAAGTTCTTCTTAAAGTAAACTGGGGAGGAAAAGCAGTTATGATGTTGCAACCTCTGGAAGCAGTGGTCTCAGCTTCTGGTCTCCTGCTCAGCTTGGCTTAGGACTTGCTGTGGGATCGAAGGGCAAGTCCCTTAAACTTCCTTGGACAGCAGGGGTTGGAATTAGATTCCCTTAATCCCTATGCTCCTTCTGGAGTCTTTCATTTATAAGCTGTGTATTATTGTACTATGGGCAAGTCTTAGACTCTAGCATGCTCCATACTTACATTTTCTGATGAATGAGAATCCTCAAATGTGCCCAGTGCTGTATATTCCTCAACATGTGATCGGTTTCATTCATTTGTTTGATCCTCGTAGTAGTTCTCTGATGTCACAAGGCCATGATTGTAAGCCCCATTTTACAGACAGGAAAATGGGCTCAGAGAAGGATCAACTTGCCTGAGCACAACAGGGCCACAGCCTGTCTCCCAGCCCCCAGATCAGGCCATTGACCAAGCTGAGGATGCAGAGCTGGGATCCTTGCCCTTTGTTCTGTGTTGTCCCCTGGATGTGATGGTTCCTTGGAACTGAAGAGGGCCTGGACTCAGTGGCAGGCATACACTCCAGGCCCCAGTGCCATCAGTCACACACAGGAGCTGGGTTAGGGACGGGGCTTTACTCTCTCTCGAGTGAGTGTCTCCAGTAGGCTATGCCATGAGGGGAGGGTCTGTTAGAACCAAGATGAGGAAGAAAGAAAGGGAGAGAGAGCAGTTCCAAGCCAGAGATGTTGAACAACAAGGCCAAGGTTGCAGAATGAGGCAGGGGTGAATCTGAGACCAGAACCCAGGCTCCAGGTTCCAGGCTTCCACGTGAGATGCGCAAATATTTGAGAATCTTGCACTGTACAGGCTCCAGGCTGTATTTGTCCCCAGCCAGCTTCAACTTGTCTATCTGATGGGCTGAGTGTCTATATGAGTGTCCTTGGCAGTGATGACCCAGTGGACTGCCCAGCCCCAGAAGAGCTGGCTGTCACCTGTGTGCCAGGATCCCAGTGGCCAAAGGGCAGGGGCACCAGGAAGTGAGAGGAGAGCCGGGACCTGGGAAATGAGTGTTGACTGTGTCTGAAACCGAGTGTGGGGGCCGCAGCCATCCTTGCCCCATGTCCTTCTGCAGAATAAGAGTAAACAGGCCTTCTCTAGCCATGTTTGATGCAAGATGGCCCACAGCTGTGACTTTTTAGCTTTATGTACATAGTCTTTATTATAAAGGTAACATATATTTACTGGAATTAACCCAAACACTACAGAAAATATGTAAACATTTACAATTAAAAATGTGTCTACTCTTTGACCTGCAATGCTCACTTTCATGCATCTATCCTACAGAAATAAAAGCACCAGTGGGTTGTATCCAAGAGCAAGGATGTTAATTAGCAGAGTTTCTAGTGGCCCAGAACTGGAAGTAATCTGAATGCTTATCGGTGGAGGAATGGTTGAAAAATTGGTCTATTCACAATATGAAATGTTTTGCAGCTAGTGAAAGATTTAGATCAAGAAAGATGTGCACTGATCTGTGTTAAGTGAAATAGGTAAACTATAGGCAATTAGGTAAAGTGTGTCTCACTTTTATAAAAAAAGCACAAAAAATATATATGTACATACACACTGTATTAGTTTTCTGTTGCTGCTGTAACAAATTACCACAAACTTGGTGGCTTAAAACACAAATATATTCTCTTCTAGTTCCGGAGGCCAGAAGTCAAAAATCAGTCTCACTGGCTAAAGTCAAGGTGTCAGCAGGGCTGGTTCCTTCTGGAGGCTCTAGGAGAGAACCCATTTCTTTGACTTTTCAGCTTTAGAGGTTGCCTGTATCCCTTGCCTTTTGACCCCTTCCTCATATCACTCCAACCACTTGCTTCTGCTGTTACATTTCCTACTTCCTCCTTTGACCTTGCCTCTGTCTATAAGGACCCTTGTGATTACATTTAGGGTTCACTCAAATAACCAGGGACAGTATCCCTATCTCAAGATCCCTAACTTAATCACACCTGCAAAACTCTTTTTGCCATGTAATAATATCCACAGGCTCCAGGGATTAGGATCTGGATATCTTTTGGAGGGCTATTTTTCAGCTTAACACACACACACACACACGCATGTACACATGCACACACACACACTTATGCATACATTAGTTCCATAGGCCGGTATGAGCATAGAGAAAGGCAAAAAATATTAGACTCCAGATTAACATTGCTTTCCTCAGGGGAGTGGCCGGGTGGGGAGAGATTACTAACTCCTTTTTTTCATCTGAATTGTTTGAATTATTACATGCCATGTAATTGCATGCAATGGAATTTTATAATTTAATCCAATAAAGGAACCAAGGTGGGTAAAAAAGGGAGCTCTTCCTCAGCCACTCACCAGAGGCAACTACTTTGAACAAGTTGGATGTGCCGCTTCCTGTACTTTGCTCCAGGTTACACATGCATGACCACACGTATGCACGCATACATATGCATTTTATTTCTTTAGTTAACAAAACGAGGGCATGCTGAAATTTGCTTTTTTTACTTCATCATTGACATATCTCCATGTAGATAAGTTTAAATCTATCTCAGTCTTTTACAAAATAAGTTTTTTGGGGTAGGTAATACAAGACAATTACACAGTAAAATATCATTTTTATAAAAAGATACAAAAATACAGTACAGTAGGGCTGGGCGCGGTGGCTCACATCTGTAATCCCAGCACTTTGGGAGGCTGAGGTGGGTGGATCACAAGGTCAGGAGTTTGAGACCAGCCTGGCCAATATGGTGAAACCCTGTCTCTACTAAAAATACAAAAATTAGCAGCCAGGCGTGGTGGCTCACGCCTGTAATCCCACAACTTTGGGAGGCCGAGACGGGCGGATCACCTGAGGTCAGGAGTTTGAGACCAGCCTGGCCAACATGGTGAAACCCTATCTCTACAAAAGTACAAAAATTTGCTGGTCATGATGGCGGGTGCCTGTAATTTCAGCTACTTGGGAGGCTGAGGCAGAAGAATCACTTGAACCTGGGAGGCGGAGGTTGCAGTGAGCTGAGGTTGTGCCGTTGCACTCCAGCCTGGGTGAGAGAGCGAGACTCCATCTCAAAAAAAAAAAAAAAAAATTAGCTGGGTGTGGTGGCGGGCGCCTGTAGTCCCGGCTACTTGGGAGGCTGAGGCAGGAGAATCACTTGAACCTCGGAGGTGGAGGTTGCAGTGAGCTGAGATCACACCACTGCACTCCAGCCTGGGCGACAGAGCGAGACTCTGTCTCAAACCCCACCCCCCACCAAAAAAAAAAAAAGGTACAGTAATAAAAGTGTATAGAAATATAGGGAAATGAGGACCATGCTGGTTTCCTCTAGGGTGAGGGGCAGGAAGGGAGGGAAGGAGAGTGAGACCAGGGAGGGATCCCAAGGATGCATTGGACTGGATAAGTGAACTGTTATTTCTTTAGCTCCTTGGTGGTGCATGGTGACTTGTGTTATTACATGTTTTTGTATATCATAAATATTACAAAATAATTTATCAAACATTTAAAAAATTAAAAGCAACAAAAACAGTCAATATATATATACATGGTTGAGAATTCAAAAGGTACTTAAGGGTAAACAATGAAAAAAACAGAACTCAACCACCTATGGGCCACCATCCAGTTCCCTTCTCCAGAGACAAAACTGTTAATCGGTGTCATACATATATTTTCTTTTTCTTTTTTTTTTGAGACTGGGTCTTACTTGGTCACCCAGGCTGGAGTGCAGTGGCATGACCTTGGCTCACTGCAGCCTTGACCTCCCAGGTGAAGCCATCCTCCTGCCTCAGCCCCCTAAGTAGCTGGGATTAAAGGTGCACACCACCATGCCTGGCTAATTTTTGTATTTTTTGTAGAGATGGGTTTTCGCCATGTTGATCAGGCTGGTCGCAAACTCCTGGACTCAAGTGATCAGCCCACCTTGGCCTGCCTTAGCCCCACAAAGTGCTGGGGTTATAGGCATGAGCCACCGTGCCCGGCCTTCTTATATATTTTTTCACAGATGTTTTTGCATACTCTGCCAGTTTATATATACAGTCATTTCTCTATTATTAGTTTACAAGAGTGTTTTATAAGTGATAGAAATTAACCCTTTGTTGCAATGCATTGCAAATATTTTCTCCCAGTATGTTATCTTTTTTCTTTGTTTGCCAGTCTTTCTAGATACAGAGTTTTGCATTTTCTTTTTTTTTTTTTTTTTTTGAGACAGAGTCTTGCTCTGTCGCCATGGCTAGAGTGCAGTGGCACCATCTCGGCTCACTGCAAGCTTCGCCTCCCAGGTTCACGCCATTCTCCTGCCTCAGCCTCCCGAGTAGCTGGGACCACAGGTGCCTGCCACCACTCCCGCCTAATTTTTTGTATTTTTAGTAGAGACAGGGTTTCACCTGTTAGCCAGGATGGTCTCGATCTCCTGACCTTGTGATCCACCCGCCTCGGCCTCCCAAAGTGCTGGGATTACAGGCCTGAGCCACCGTGCCCGGCCTAGAGTTTTGCATTTTCATAAAGTCAGGCATGCCAATCATTTTCCTTATGGCATTTACTTTTGTGTAATGTTTAGAAAGGCTTTCTCCACCCCAAGAATTTGGAAGTTTTTTGTGTTTTTGTGTTTTTTTTTTCTAGTGCCTGTAATAGCCTTTGTTTGTACATTTAGATCTTGAATCCATCTGGATTTCCTTTTATGTGTGAGGTGTGGTATGGGTCTGTATCCATTTCCTGGGGCTGCTGTAAGAAAAAGCCACAACAACAGGAATTTATCCCCTCAGTTCTGGAGGCCATAAATCTGCAATCAAGGTGTCAGTAAGGCCATCTCCTCCTGAAGCTTCTAGGACCGTCCTTGTCCTTGCTGCTTCCAGCTTCTGGGGGCTGCAGGCGTTCCTTGTGGCTGCATCACTCCAGTCTCTGCCTCTGTCTTCACGTGGCCTTCTCCTCCTTTCTACATCTTCTCTTCTCTTCTGTCTCTTATAAGGACATTTCTAATTGGATTTAGGGCCCACCTGGATAATTCAGGATGATCGTGTCTCAAAATTCTTAACTTGATTACATGTATAAAGACTCTGGGAGTTAGGACATGGCTGTATCTTTTTTTTTTTTTTTTTTTGAGATGGAGTCTTGCTCTGTTGCCTAGGCTGGAGTGCAGTGGTGCGATCTCAGTTCACTGCAACCTCCACCTCTCAGGTTCAAGCGATTCTTCTGCCTCAGCCTCCCGAGTAGCTGGGACTACAGGCGTGCACCACTATGCCTGGCTAATTTTTGTATTTTTAGTAAAGACGGGGTTTCACCATGTTACCCAGGCTGTTCTCGAACTCCTGGCCTCATGTGATCTGCCCACCTCAGCCTCCCAAAGTGCTGGGATTACAGGCGCGAGCCACTGCACCCAGCCCAGAATTTTCTTCCTTTTTGAGGCTGAATAATATTCCACTGTATGTATGTACCACAGTTTGTTTATCCATTCATCTGTGGATGGAAACTTGTAAGCACCTGTTGATTTTTGAGCCATGTGTATGTGGCGACTCTTTGTTTCTAGTTTTTGAAGTTTTTAAAGTTAATTGACAACATATAACAGCTCTGATGCCCTGCATTCTCTTGCCTTCCTTTCTCAGGCTGCACTTACCAGTGGGCTACCATGGCCGTGCCTCCTCTGTCGTGGTGTCTGGCACCCCAATCCGAAGGCCCATGGGACAGATGAAACCTGATGACTGTGAGTGACCGCAGCGTCCAGGCCTTGCTGGTACCCAGCTCTCTGTTCCCACACAGAGAGTTCTGTGGCCTCACTCACAGCACCGTTTTTTTTTTTTTTCTGGTGTTATTCCAGCTAAGCCTCCCGTATATGGTGCCTGCAAGCTCTTGGACATGGAGCTGGAAATGGTAAGTGAGCTTGATGTTTTATTGCCATGGGATCTATAGACACCCGGCAGGAGAGCCCTTTGGGATGGCTCCCCGCACCATGAGCCGCCCACTCCCCTCCTCTTCAGCCACATCGGCAGCCGCTCTGTGTCCCCACCTGGCCATCAGAAGGACAGTTGATCCTTATTACTTGCAGATTCTGTATTTGAGAATTCACAACTACTTGCTAATATTTATTTGTAAGTCCAGAATTAATATTCACAGAGCTTTTGTGGGCATGTGTGGACATGCGCAGGGCAGTGAAACATTTGAGCTGCCTGGTGAGCATGTTCCTAGGTGAGGCTGGACAAGGTGTTACTCTGCCTTCTTGTCTCAGCTTATGCTGTAAACATGTGTCCTTTGTAGTCTATTCGGTGCCATGTTTTTTGCAGATCTGTGCTTTTTTGGCTGTTTCATTGTTTTTTTATAATGACCCCAAGTGCTGTGCTAAAGTGCCGTCTAGTGTCCCTAGCACAGGAAGACTGTGACGTGCCTTATGGAGAGAATATGCGTGTTAGTAAGCTTTGTTCAGGCAAGTTACAGTGCTGCTGCCTCAGCTCAATGTTCATGAATCAACAAAATATATTACATAAAGCATTTTTAAGCAGAAACACACATAAAACAGGCTATATAGTTAGGTTTTGATTAGTTGATAAAAATTTTCTGACCAAAGGCTTGAAGGAACCTAATCCTGTGTTTCCTCTAGGAAGTCATTCTATATTTGCTAATTCTGTGTTCATGGTGACTTTATAAAAAATAATTACCTGGCCGGGTGTGGTGGCTCACACCTGTAATCCCAGCACTTTGGGAGGCTGAGGTGGATGGATCACCTGAGGTCAGGAGTTCAATACCAGCCTGGCCAACATGGTGAAACCCCGTCTCTACTAAAAATACAAAAATTAGCTGGGGATGGTGGTGGGTGCCTGTAATCCCAGCTACTTGGGAGGCTGGGGCAGGAGAATCGCTTGAACTGAGGAGGCGGAGGTTGCAGTGAGCTGAGATCGCGCCACCACACTCCAGCCTGGGTGACAGAGCGAGACTCTGTCTCAAAACAAAAAACAAAAAACAAAAACCCAAAAATAATAATTACCACGAGTGACAAGAGTCAAGTGTATCAGCCCCATGGCTGGGCCCATACAACCTCAGAACTGTGGTCACTTTAGGCTGCATACTTTTTTATTTGTTTTTTGTTTTGTTTTGTTTTGTTTTGTTTTTCTGAGATGGAGTCTCACTCTGTCACCCAGGCTGGAGTGCAGTGGCACTATCTCGGCTCACTGCAAGCTCCGCCTCCTGGGTTCACACCATTCTCCTGCCTCAGCCTCCCGAATAGCTGGGACCACAGGCACCTTCCACCATGCCTGGCTAATTTTTTGTATTTTTAGTAGAGACAGGGTTTCACCATGTTAGCCAGGATGGTCTCGATCTCCTGACCTCGTGATCCACCTGCCTCGGCCTCCCAAAGTGCTTGGATTACAGGCATGAGCCACCGCGCTCGGCCAGGGCTGCACACTTTTTTAAATTAAACTTTTTATTTTGAGGTCATTGTAGACTCACATGCAGTTGTGAGAAATAGTACAGAGATCCCAATACCCTTCACACAGTCTCCCCCAGTGGCAACATCCTTCGTAACCATGGTGCTCTATCACAACCTGGATGTTGATGTTGATACAGTCGGTCCCACCACCTGAGGATCCCTCATGCTGCCCATTTTTCAGAGGGGACACTGAAATCTGGGCAGCCCCCAAGGTGAGGGGACCAGGGAAGTGATGGAAAGGAGGAGCTGACCTGGGGGAGGCAGCGCTCCGGGGACCTGGCAGGGTCTTCAGCATCTGCTGGGTTGTCTGATGCCCAAGGTTGGAGTCAGTCTCCGTGTGGGAAATGCAGACAGGCAGATGGAGGGGGCTTTCCCATAGTCAGCACCTACAGTTTTAGGCGTTGCCTCAGGAAGCTCTGAGTGCCTCATCACTGATGGTGTAGAAGAAGCTGTCATGGGGCCACCGAGTCAGGCTGAGACAGTGGGAAGCCCTGGTTGGTGGAGGCAGGCTGAAAGGCCCGTCTGCTTTTCTGGAGCTCCCTGTCTCTCCTGGGCTTCCCTGTGATTTCTCTGGATTCAGTCCAGAGGAGGGAAATGAGTGGGCACTGCCGAATAGCCCGTGGATAGCAGGGCATTCCCTGCCAGCCCTCTGCCTCCTCCTGCCTTAGCAAGGGTACTATGTGAGACTGCGGGAGGAGGACCCCCAGCTGAGATTCATCAGAGCAGGGCATCTGAGCCCTGGTTTGGGGCCATGGTCTTCTCTCTGGGAGAACTAAGGACTCTGCAGGCAGACACTTCACCTGTTGAGAGGGAGAGAGAAAAGACAGAGAGTCAGCATGTGGAGAAATGGTTGGGGCAGAGAGCCCAGGTCACCTGGACTAGTGCTTTTGGGTTCTTTTTTTCATCTTGATGAAAAATTTGCAATGTTTAACTATTGTCACAGAACAAATAAAATGGTGACTAAGTTTTGCAAATGTCATGGCTGAGTCTATGTTTTTCAAAGAGATTTTCCCAAATTTTTCTTTCTAATGATGCCTGGCTAGTCTGCTGGTTCATGGACATCACGTTGGTGCTGTTTTTCTTTAGAGGTAGTGGGATGACAGATAGGGGTTAGAGGCCGTGGGGTGTGCTCTCTCTGGTACTATTTGCTGCATGAAGGAGGCAGTCTTTTGGTTTTTCATTTTTCATTAAAAAAATTTATTTTTTATTTTTTATTTTTATTTTTAAATTTTATTATTATTATACTTTAAGTTTTAGGGTACATGTGCACAACGTGCAGGTTTGTTACATATGTATACATGTGCCATGTTGGCGTGCTGCACCCATTAAGTCGTCATTTAGCATTAGGTATATCTCCTAATGCTATCCCTCCCTCTTCCCCCCACCCCACAACAGACTGGATTAAGAAAATGTGGCACATATACACCATGGAATACTATGCAGCCATAAAAAATGATGAGTTCATGTCCTTTGTAGGGACATGGATGAAACTGGAAACCATCATTCTCAGCAAACTATTGCAAGGACAAAAAACCAAACACTGCATGTTCTCACTCATAGGTGGGAATTGAGCAATGAAAATTTTTATTTATTTTATTTTTTTATTTTTTGAGACAGGGTCTTGCTCTGTCACCCAGGCTGGAGTGCCGTGGCGTGATCTCGGCCTGCTGCAGCCTTGACCTCCCTGGCTCAAGCAATCTTCCCACATAAGCCTCCCAAGTAGCTGGGACTGCGGACATGTGCCACCATGCCTGGCTAATTTTGTTTATTTTTTGTAGAGGTGGGGTCTCACTATGTTGCTCAGGCTTGTCTCAAACTCCGAGGCTCAAGTGATCCTTCCACCTCAGCCTCCCAAAGTGCTGAGATTATAGACGTGAGCCACAGTGCCTGGCCTGGTTTTTCATGACATGAATACAAACCCTGATAGTTTCAGTTTTACAAGCCTCATGTGGCTGTCAAGTCTTGAAAGGCAAAGGCTGTATGGGATGAAGAGGAAAGAGCAGAGTGGCCTGGGATGCACTGAAGGGAGGGGAGGCTGCTTTGGAGCTCAGGGGAGTGGAAGGAAGGCCGATGGCGGGGGCAGGGCACACCACTGCACTCTGCTTTCCTGAGGCGTCCATCTGACCTCTGACTTAGAAACACAGTGGATTCATGCCAGGCCCCTGTGGCAGTCCTGGTCCATGGCTGGAGTTTGGAAATACCTGACCTTTGCTCTCTAGGTGACAAGTGACCTGGGCGGCAGATCAGCTCCAGATTCTAATGAACTCTCCCCCATGTAAGGCTTTTTTTGTAGGCCCTGGAAACAGATTGGGAGAGCCGATCCCCATTTCCAAGGCCCATGAGCACATTTTTGGAATGGTCCTTATGAACGACTGGAGTGGTAATTACTGGAGCTCTGCTCCTGTAGAGATGACGGGGAGGAGGCTGGGGACTTGGGGCAATTTCATAGAAGCTGAAGATCTGGTGCAGGTCAAAAGTGGCAGGTGATGCAGTGACTGAGAGTGGGGGTCTGGGTATCAAACAGACTTTCAGCTCTAAGAACTCGGGCCACTCACTTAACTCCTCTGAGCTCCAATTTTCTCGAGTGGCTAGGGACACGGCTGACATCATAACTAATATTTACTGAGCACTTATGTGTCAGGCCCTGTGCTTAACACCCTTCGTATATTCTCCCGCTGATCCCTACACGGTATGTGCAATATTATCTTCCCATTTTACAGATGAGGAACTGAGGCACAGGGAGATTTCAGTTAGTTGCTGAACTAAGATTTGAAGCAAAACAGTCCAGCTTCTGAGCCTGAGCTCTCAACCCTTTGCCATACGTGGGAGGAAGATGGCACCATAAGCCCCAGAAAGTGTCTCTCTCATAGTTTGAGAATGAGCTTCCAGCCCCTTCCTGGGAGATATCCTGACCACCGTTTGGTCATCCTTCTCTTTGCTGTAACCTGGCACAGTGCCCTCAAAGGACCTCTGTCCTTGGCATTGAATGCTCTTGCCCCTTTGTCCTGGGGCAGCCTGACTGGGGCTGATCTTTGTGGAGATGGCAGTGCTAGGTGTCTCTGCTCCTTGGTCAAGGGCAGGAGGGGGTCGTTGGGAGATGCCCTGATCAGCCTTTGTAAGTCCTGGCTGTGCCCTTCTTCTGCAGCACGAGACATTCAGAAGTGGGAGTATGTCCCTCTCGGGCCATTCCTTGGGAAGAGTTTTGGGACCACTGTCTCTCCGTGGGTGGTGCCCATGGATGCTCTCATGCCCTTTGCTGTGCCCAACCCGAAGCAGGTAAGCACATTCTCTGCAGGAAGCTCCCAAACCCAGCCCTGCTGCCTCTGAGGCTGCTTGCCCACTGAGTGGACATGCCAGGCATGCAGACCATCAGGAGGGAAGCTCTGTGCCCACGGCATGCCCACAGCAGAGTGCCTGGGAGTTCCTGGCCACGATTACTTCCAGGCAGCCAGGGCATCATTCTCCCTTGTGGTTTCCCTGGCCCTGGCACAGTTCTTGGAGAAAACACAGAATTTTGTAACCTTAAGAATCTTGCAAGACCCGGGGGATCTGGCCAGTTGGCAGGAGGAGTCCCTGCAGGTACCAACATTGCACAACCTCCCAGGTGGCCATCAAATCTTGTTCTGTGCAAATGGCGCCACCTGGACCCCAACTCATAGAATGCAGCTTGGAGCCCAGCAACAGGGAGTCCCTGCAGCCTCTGGTTCCCGGCACCGCTTGGTCTACCACTGGGTCTAGGCCTTGACCCCTGGTTCCAGTCCTCCCTTCTCAGCCTGTTGCAATCTGCCCCACTCCATCACTGGCAACACCTGGCCAGAGTCACCTGTGACCCGATAGTCAGTGTCATGACCTTGTGTCCCCTTCAGCATGGACTTCCTGTGGCCCCTCACTCTTGTTGGCATTCCCTCACCCCTTGGTTTCTGGCATGTGACCTGTCCTCGTTCTCCAGTGTCTCTGAGTCCTCACGATGCCCCTCTCCAATTCTGACCTCCCTGTGGGGATCCAGGCTGAGCTCCCAGCCATTTGCACATCCTCGCTTGAGCATCTCACCACGCATTTGCTGGGGGCCTCTACCAACACCCGGTGCTGGTCCTGCACCCACACTGCTCTCCCATGCTCCTCTGCCTCTGGGGTCATCTCATGTTTGCTGTGCTACAAACAACCCTGAGGTCTTTCCTTGCAAGCCAGTTCTAGTGAAGTCCTGTGGGGCTTTCACCCTCATCCCTTGCTCTCTCCTCGCTGCTCCCTACCACAGCACCCCCTGCCCACCCTGGTCATTTTCAGTCGCCAGGACTTGACTTTCTCTCTAGCTGGCAGCGGCCTTGTCTAGTCTCCCTAGGGCTGCAAGGCCACAGCCTCTCTTTGCTTGTCCTCCAGTCATCTGCCTTCTTCCGGGTCGGTCATCACAGGGTTTTGCCTGCCTTCCTCTGTGCCAGCCCTTCCCCAACACCATTTAGGTACAACACTACTATTCCCCCTCTGAACTATTATTTACTTAATGTTTTCCTTCAGAGTGGCTCCCAGTTTAAACTTAATATATTAAGAAGGGAACTTTATATTCCTACTGGCATCACTAGCTACACTGTTTCATAACCATTAGTATCACCAAAAACGATCTCATGTCCCGTGGGTGACTCATGTACCATGCTTTGGAAAACACTGCTTTTGGCCGGAGTGCAGGCGTTCTGGCCCAGCCATCCAAGCTGCCTCCCTAGCTGGCTCCAGCACCAGCCAGGGCTGTCTACTTCTGTTGTGACCCCTCTGCCTTCCAGGGGCCCTGCAATGCGCTTTCAGGCCCAGCCTTTCCTCACAGGCCAGGCTTTGTTCTCCATCTCGGCCTGTCTGCTGCCCACCTTCCCTTTCTCTCCCCTCCTGTGGCTTTCAGGAACATCTCTGGTTTGGCTCCTGTGACCTTTGACCTGCTGATGCCCCTTCCTTGGCTGCATTTCCTAGAGACCCACAGTATGATCCCCCCTACTGCTATCCAGGGACACAGTGCTGGGTCCCTGGAGAGGGAATGCTCCTGCTGTCTCAGACCCTCTGCCTAGGGGAGCAGGTGCTGCTGGGGGCCTGGCTGGTATGGGGGCCCAGCCGGGTGAGCTCAGCCCACCTGCCAGTGACCTCTGTGCTGTGCTTTGCCCTCTCAGGACCCCAGGCCCCTGCCGTATCTGTGCCATGACGAGCCCTACACATTTGACATCAACCTCTCTGTTAACCTGAAAGGTATGTTGTAGGGGGACTGACATGGCCAGGAGCTCTGAGGCAATGTGTGCCTGTGTGCCTTGTCCTGAAGGCTCCTGAGCTTTGGCAAGGGTGAGGGCACGTGCTACAGCCCTGGAGATGTGTGTGGCTCGTCTAAAGGAAAGAGGAGGGGAGGGGAGGGGACACCCTGGTGCTCACTGGGAACCTAACTGGGCCCATAGGGCATTAACCCTGTCACTGAGCTCTCAGTGGTAGGGCTGAAAGGATGGAGTCCGGGACTTCCATCTTCTGCTTGAATCCCCTCCCCAGCCTCTCCAGGGGCTGCCTGGCTCCTGCTCACATATCGCCACTGACCCTCACTTCCGTGGTGGGTGGCACATTTCATTGAGTGCCTGTTTGAAAGCATGTCCTTGTGGGTCTGTTCGCTTGGCTGAGCCCCTGGGGCCACACAGAGCCAGCGCATCAAGACCCCAGATTCCCACCATGGGCCAGCCCTGAGTGTCTTGCAGACAGACCCGAGATCCCCACCCTGGGCCAGCCCTGACATAGACAGGGCCCACATCTCCCTGTGGCTGCTCAGCCCGCCTCCGCGAACAGGCCCAATGGGGCGTTGGTAATAAAGAGACTGGCTCTGCAGGCCATGACTCTGCTGCTCAGCTGTGGGACTTTGGGCAAGTTGCCAAACCTGGCCATGTCCTCATTTGTCATCTATGAAATGGGATAATAGCGGCGTTGACCTCATGGTGTGTTGTGAGGACCAAACATGTCAATTCATGCAAAGGTCTGGGACAGGGTCTGTACCTAGAAAGAGTCAGGTGTCATTTTCCAATCCCAACGGGGGCCCTCGGATGGGGAGGGTTTGCCTGGTGGCCACACACAGACCTCCTAGCCACACTCTGGCCAAATCTCCTTTTTAGCTCCATTCCATTCCTTTTTCTTTTCTTTTCTTCTTTTTTTTTCCCCCGAGATGGAGTTTCACTCTTCTTGCCCAGGCTGGAGTGCAATGGTGCGATCTTGGCTCACCACAACCTCTGCCCCTGGGTTCAAGCGAGTCTTCTGCCTCAGCCTCCTGTGTAGCTGGGATTACAGGCATGCGCCACCATGCCTGGCTAATTTTGTATTTTTAGTAGAGATGGGGTTTCTTCATGTTGGTCAGGATGGTCTTGAACTCCTAACCTTAGGTGGTCTACCCACCTAGGCCTTCCAAAGTGCTGGGATTACAGGCGTGAGCCACCATGCCCGGCCAGCTCCATTTCTTTCTTCTGTCTGCTCTGTCTGTACACTCCAGGCTTTGCCATGTCTGTCTCACTGTCAGTTCCAGGGTCTCGGCCCTTCATGAGGTGGTTCCTGTCAGGAGGCGCAGTACACTGCAGGAGCTGTCGCCATGGGAGCAGGATGCTCCATGGAGAAAGAGCTGTCACAGAGAGCCTCCTGGCTGCCCAGGGCCCTCTGGGAAGCTGTGCTGGGCCCGCTCTTTCAGGTTCCAGGTCAGGAAGCTGAGGCTCAGAGAGGAAAAGGATTCACCCCGAGCCACCTACCTGGCTAATGGCAGGGCTGGGACTCAATCCAAGTGTGTCACAAGTTCTAGGTTGGCCTCCTGCCACCCACAATGCGTGCTTGGAGTATACTTTCTATCTGGTTTTGTCCTCAGTATTCCTGGCTGCCTAGAGGTGAACCTGCCCGCCCGGGGGAGGCCACTGGTAGAAAAGGGACAAGATTATCCAGAAAGCACAGTGTCCAGAGATGTAGTCCTGCATTTGCAGTTCTGATGTTCTGAGTTGGGATCTGGGCGAAAGGGTCTGGGGAGGAGCAGCCTTGGCAGACCCAGACCTCGCATGGCTGAAGAGCACACCTGTTCTGTGCCACCTCAGAGGGGAAGTTAGGACCAAGGGAGGAAGCCAGGTTTTGAGGGAGCAGAGGAGCTTTCTACTTATTAGTGCTGTTCAGAAGTGGAACGGCAACAGCCCGGTACCTTGCATGTAGTAGATGTTTAGTAAATATTGTTTAGTACGTTGTGAAGTAGCACACTGCCCATCACTGGAGGAGCTCGGCAGGGGACAGATGACCCAGCTATCCAGAGGACTCCTGAGGGGACAGCAGGTTATCCTTGATCAAAGGTCACAAGTAGCTTTCAAATGGCACACTATCTTTAGTGGATTTGCGGGTGCCAGGATCACTGTGTTAAGAAGGATTCTGAGGCTACATATGGACTCAGAGCAAACATGTGCTGTGATCAATTAATGCTGCCTGCTGTAGGCGTGGGAGGAGGAAGTGATGACTTGTGTGCATGTATTGGCCAACCCTGGACCTCCCAGCTCTGATGTCCTAGGAGCTAATTGTTTCACAGACTCTAAGTGAAATCATGTTGGACAATGGGAAGCTTCAGCCACAGAACAATTCTTTTTTTATTTTCCTCCCTGATGCATGGAATTAAGTTTTCATCAATATTGCTTTTCTTTCCAACAGGAGAAGGAATGAGCCAGGCGGCTACCATATGCAAGTCCAATTTTAAGGTAAGCTTTGACGCTGATCAGACTGCTTTTTAGAATTGAGGGAAAGAGAGACTTTTCTTCCTGGCAGGAACAGGAGGAGAGCATTCCTTTTGGGATATGATGATGGGTCAGCCTGTGGGCCTGGAGCTTCCATGGCCTGTCTCTTTTAGGAGTGGCCATGGGGTCACAGAGTTCTCTCGAGATAGAGGCTGCATAAATGTGGCCAGTGATTTTCTTGGGGGAAAATAGGTGTTCCTGTAAAGGTCTAGTTCCTGGTTTATCCTGTCCTGCCAGGGGCTGTATTGATGAGAGTGACTTATTTTTTAAGTGAACTTTTAATTGAAGCATAATATACATAGATAAAAATGCACACATTACTGTAATCCCAGCACTTTGGGAGGCCAAAGTGGGAGGATCGCTTAAGCCTAGGAGTTTGAGACCAGCCTGGGCAACATAATGAGACCTTGTCTCTGCAAAAAGTAAAAAAATTAGCCGGGCGTGGTAGCATGCACCTGTGGTCCCGGCTACTTGGGAGGCTAAGGCAGGAGGATCGCTTGAGCCCAGGAGGTCGAGGCTGCAGTGAGCCATGATCACACCACTGCATTCCAGCATGCGTGACAGAGCAAGACCCTATTTCAAAAAATAAAAATTAAAAAAAGTGCATATTATACATGTACAGCTTGAAGAATTTTCCTAAAATGAACATCCCTGTGCAACCAGCACCCAGATCAGAAATGGAAAATTTCCAGCACCTCAGCAGCCCCGTGGGGCCCTCCAGGTCACTTCATCACTCCCTCCAGCAAAGGTCACTCCTCTCCTGACCTCTGCTACCATGTATTATTTTTTTTCTGTTTTTCAGTTTTATAGAAATGGCATCATAAAGTAGCATGTATTCTTTTGTAGCTGGCATCTTTGTTTTAGTGTTAGATCTGTGAGATTCAACCCTGTTGCTCTTTGCAGTGACAGCTCATTTTTCTCATTGCCTTATAGTGTTGCACTGTATAAATATTCCACAACTGACTTAATTTTTTTTTTTTTTTGAGATGGAGTCTCGCTCGTTGCCCAGGCTGGAGTGCAGTGGCGCGATCTCGGCTCACTGCAAACTCCGCCTCCTGGGTTCATGCCATTCTCCTGCCTCAGCCTCCCGGGTAGCTGGGACTACAGGTGCCCGCCACCACGCCCGGCTAATTTTTTTTTTTGTATTTTTAGTGGAGATGGGGTTTCACCATGTTAGCCAGGATGGTCTCGATCTCCTGACCTTGTGATCCGCCCGCCTCAGCCTCCCAAAGTGCTGGGATTACAGGCATGAGCCACTGCGCCCGGCCAACTGACTTATTTTGTAAGTCACATCAATTCCACAATCGATGGACATTTGGTTGTTTCCGTTGTTTTTGGCTATCACAGAGTTACTGTGAACATTTTAGTACACACCTTTTGGTGCACATATGTGCACATTTCTATTGAGTGTATATCCAGTAATAGGCTTGCTGGGTCATAGAGTACACATAGACTCAGCCTAGGGGTACTTCCAAACAGTTTTTTGAAGTGGTTATACCAGTATATACTCCCACTAGCAGCATGTAAGCATTTTGCCTGCTCCACATCCTCGTCAGCTCTGGTGGTGTTTGCCTTTTCGTTCAAACCGTGCCTGGGATTGTGACTTCAGTTTGCATTTCCCTAATGACTAATGCAGCTGGGCATGTTAGTCATATGTTTATGGTTCATTTGTTTCTTGGCCTTTTGAATATCCTCTGAATCATTGAACTATTTCTAGTTTCCCTAATTTCCCTTCTAATTTAATATTATTCTGGGCTCCTTAGGGCTAGTAAGAAGAAATTAAGGGGCCTCCTTGCAGGGGCTCGTGGGCAAGAATCCATCTTTTGGGTTTCCTATGCCGGGATGTGTGGCTGTAGGAATGGCAATGTGAGAAGCTGTGGCCTGGGACAGGCATGGGCGTGCATTGCATCTGAGCGTCTCGGTGGGCACGTGGTGCCTTGGCCCCCTCTGCCCACAGCCTGACCGCCCACAGCTCTCCCTCGCTCCTTGGCCTGCCCTGACATCGTGTTTGAATCGTTCAGCTCCATTGCCCAGTGTCCATCCCAAGGCCCGGCATGGGAGAATGGGAGCGAGGGCTTTGCTCACGAGAAGCCTCTGCTGTGGTGTGGACTTAGATTCTCCCAATACGGGACTGGAGGGTGTTCCCAGGGCAGAGTGGAGTGTTGTACACAAGGGCATGTTGCAGGCTGAGGGACTGAGCAGTAAGGTCAGCCCTTAGGGGATGCTGCTTGGAGAAGGTGGTCAGTGTGGGCTTGAGGTAGCAGAGGAGCTGAGGTTGGAGTTTGTGAAGGAGATGGAAGAGCTTGGGGGAGGTCTCTGGGCAGCTCCCCAGGAGGACAATGTGTCCTTACTATAAGGGACTGGAGAGAGCTGGCTGGGGGAGCTGGGGACCGGGGAAAGGCCAGGGAAGGCGGTCGTGAGCAGGGCAGGCTGTGCCCAGCTGCCTCCGGGATGCTAGGCTAAGCCTGCCGCTGCTCATTCCACCTCGCGTCCATTGCCTGCAGTACATGTACTGGACGATGCTGCAGCAGCTCACTCACCACTCTGTCAACGGCTGCAACCTGCGGCCGGGGGACCTCCTGGCTTCTGGGACCATCAGCGGGCCGGTGAGTATCTGGCTGCACTGAGGGCTGCCCACGCAGAGCATCCCTGCTCCCCACACAGCCCCAAGGGCCCTCAGCTCAGCCTCGAGAAGAGATTTCAGGCCCGAGGTGGGTGTATCTCACAACTCTGTCTTCCTCGTAGCCTTTCTCTCTGGGTGCAGGAGGGACTTCTCATCCAAATTCAAACCTAAAGAGACTGGTGTGAGAACGGAAGCCTGGGTCTCTGCCTCTGTAGGGGAGCAGCGCAGTGACACGTGGGGAGGAGTCAGGAGACAGTGATAGTGTCTTGGTTGTCACCATCTCACACTACACCCTCCCAGGATGAGGTGGCCATGCTGCTGTGCCCCTTCCCACCCGCTTGTCCCCCTGTAAGCCTGCGGGAGTCACAGAACCTTCAGAGATGATGACCTTGGGGTGGTGCATGTGTCACTCACTTCCTGCAGGGGGCTGGCCGAGCCCTCTTGTTCCTTGAGCTGTCGACAGGAGGGTGTTAAGCATCACGATATCTGGGCAAACTGCAGCCTCCAGAGCAGGGAGGGGATGCTGCAGGGGGCACTGGGCACTCTGGTCAGGGATTCACTGATTCCTAAACAAGCGATGTCCTTAGTGGAACCATTGCTGTCCCCACAGGAAGAAGGGGCAGAGTTCCATGTCTCAAAGGCATCTCTGCAGTGATCCCACCAAGGCCGAGGCAGGGTCTCTGAGGGGCATGAGGGCCCCCTGCCACTTCTCGGGACTCCCAGGTCTTGCTGAGCATGGTCCATGCCAGAGCCAAGGCATAAATTCATGTTATTCTTTCTTCCCTTTCCTGTGATGAAGGAGCCAGAAAACTTCGGCTCCATGTTGGAACTGTCGTGGAAGGGAACGAAGCCCATAGACCTGGGGAATGGTCAGACCAGGAAGTTTCTGCTGGACGGGGATGAAGTCATCATAACAGGTGAGGGCTGCCAAACCCAGCAGCTCGTCTTCCTCCTTGCCCGCCATGCACTGTTCTAGCTGCGGGGCGCTCCTACCTGGCCATGAAGCCATCTGTTCTCACGCATCCTGACTCTGCCTCCCAGAGTCTCTGCCTGCTTGTTCTGTCCTTCCCCACAGCTATGGCTACCCGGGACTTCAAGTGTGAGTCTCCCTAGGCCAGAAAGACTGTAGACATTCTGCTTGGTCTCCCTTCTCCCTGAGCATAGTTATAAAATACTGGCAGGTTCCTCAAGGTCTAGACTTTGCAGCAAACGCCCTGTGCAGACACTTGGTGACCTATGACTAGGATCAAGGAAGGTTCAGCTGAGTTAGTGACTGAGGCTTCGCAGCAGCCTGTTCCAAGGAGGTGAGGGTGCCTCTTAATTCTTCTGGGGGTGCCATTCTGCCTACCACATTTTACTAATAGAGGGAAAGGGCACCATAATGGTTAGCAGCACACTCTTTAGAGCTGGAAAGGTTCAAGTTGAACTCCCAGGTCCCCCACCAGCTGTGTGACCTTCATTAAGTTATTTAGCCTTTCTGAGACTCAGTTTACCTCATCTTTAATTATTTTTTTTGTTTTTGAGTCGGAGTCTTGCTCTCTCATCCAATCTGGAGTGCAGTGGCACAATCTCAGCTCACTGCAACCTCCATCTCCCAGGTTCAAGCGATTCTCCTGTGCCTTAGCCTCCCGAGTAGCTGGGATTACAGGCGCGCTAATTGTGTATGTGTCAGTTTCCGTGCTTAACTAAAAGCTTGTGTTAGTTTCCTGTGGCTGCAGTAACATAGTACCGCAAACTTTGTGGCTTAAAACAACTGAAATGTATTCTCTCACAGCTCTATAAGGTACAAGTTCAAAATCCTCGTGTTGGCAGTGCCATGTTCCTGGAAACTCTGGGGAGCGTCTGTCCCTGGCCTCTTCCAGCTTCTGGTGGAAGCCTCTTTGTCTTGTGGCCACATCACACTGATCTCTGCCTCCACGGTCACATTGTCGCCTCGTCTTCTGTCTCATCTCCTTTACCTCTCTCTTATAACACACATGTGATAGCATTTAGAGCCCACCTAGACAATCTCCTCATTCTAAGATCCCAACTTAATCACATCTCCAGAAAATTTACTATATAAGGTAACATTCACAGGTCCTAGGGATTTGGCCGTAATTTAGTCCACTCCAGAGCTCTTGGAGAGCAAAGTTTAGTCCAAGTAGCAGCCACATAGTGCATGCCCAGTGTGGCTGTTGGTTAGTTCTTTGAATAAAGTGGATTTGGTAGAGAAGATGCAGGCAGAGCTCAAAACAGCAGATGATACCCATTATTAATCAATAAATACCCATTTTGCTCCCATTTCTGCAGCCTAATTATACCTCTCTAATTTGAATTTGACTATTTACTGAACATCTGCTAGGAGCCAACCATATTGCAGGCATGTCCACCTTCCTTATTTCATTTTCTACTCACAATAGCCCTTTGATGATATAATATCATTGCCCCCATTTTGCAGAGTCGAAAACTTAGGCTGATAGAAGGCAGGTTACTTGACAAAAGTCCCACAACTGGGGAAGCCAGTCTGCAACTGAGGTCTTCTGATTCCCCTGCCAAGTTTGTTTCTAGTCTTTCTGCAATGCTTGCCAGACCTACCGCAGGCCTTTGGTCACGGTTCTGTGGATTGAGTGAAAGCATTTTCTGAAGTTTTGATTTGGGGAAAGGAAGGAAAGAGATGGTGGCAGAAGAGAAAATGATGGCTTTAACTCTCTGTTGTCAGTGTGATAAGGGCCCCTGACTAAGCCATGCTAGACCAGGCAGCTGTCCAGGGCCTGGGAGAAAGGAGGCTGGTATCTAGCAGTTGGAATGCACATGTGTTCTTGACATTTGAGCCAGAGAAGGAAGGAGAAAGGAGCCAAGATGCCATGAGAGTCATTTCCATGTTTGTTTGTGTATACAACGCCTTACTCCGGAAGGATTTTTGGAGGCCAGCAGAGGAATTCAGGGAAAGGCAGTTCCTTGGATCTGAAGAAGCACATGTTGGCAAGTGAAGAGGGAAATGGGAACAGATGGGCAAAATCCCCTGGAACCAAGAAAGAAGAATTATAATTTGCTAAGAGGAGAGGCATACATTATGTGTTCATAAAAAGAAAAAAGAGAATTTCATACAGAAGGGGACCACTGAAAAACTCAAAAGAATGCATATTGCTAGAATTTGGGCTAAGCAGGGGGTAAGCAGAGGAGCGGGCAGGTGGAGGTGGTGTGTCAGCTGTGTTACCTTGTGCAAAGGTTCCCCGCATTGGCGGACGGCTCTGCCCTCACCTTCTACGACTTCACTGGTCACGTGGCCCTGCTGAGCTGCTTTCTTGCTTGAAAGCCACACATGGTTTCTTCAGCTCTTCCCGGCTTTCCTCCTCCTTCTCTGCACCTGCTCAGATGCCTTTATGGCTGCCTCTCATTTCCCTGCTTGCTCTTCACGGATGCTCCTTCCCCAAATCAATTTCTAACCATTGGAAACGCGATAGAACATTCAGAAGTGCTGGCATCAGCCAACGCCGCAGCACTTACTGCAGGCCAGACACTGTGCCAAGTGCTTTACCTGCAATACATTTTCTATTCCAAACAAGGCAGCTACTCTTACTGTCTCTATTTTTCAGATGTGGAAACTGAGGCCCAGAAAGATGCATACTTACCCAGGATCACACAGGCGATAAAGGGTAGAGCCAGGGTTTGAACACAGGCAGTTGGGCTCCAGGAGCTGTGCTCTGAACCCTTGTGTCCTGTTGCCTCTTTAAATGGCGCGATGAAATTCTCATTTCTGAGAGAGTCCAAAAACCACAAAATGTTCAGCAAGAGAACAGGTGAAGTAAACAAACCAAAAATATCAACAAAAATCTCTGATCGTCTTGGTTTAACTCATCCATCCCCTAGTCTCGCTCACAAACCCCATCTGGTGTTGAGCTTGCAACTTGCAAGGATGTGTTCTCGCAGGCATTTGCACGGATGGCTCTGCACTGCTGGACACATGCATTTCTCACTCTCCTTCAGATCTTTGATTTGTTGATAGTTATGATTTGTTGTGGATTCTTTCTTGGTATCTGACATTATTTGGAAACAATATCTGAGCAAAAGTCTTTCGTTTCTTGCCCTGCGTCTCTCAGTGGTGGCGTCTTTCACCTGGTGTTCCTGTGTCTCTGTTTATTCCAGTTTCTCTCCCCAGCATTATTGCTTGCCTTGCCTGGCACAGAATTCCTGCGCAAGGCTGACCAGGGGTCCCAGGGTGTAGAAGCAGTGACCCTTCTCCTTCAGGACCATGGTTGGGAGAGACTCTTTAAAAATGCTGCAGTTCCGAGTTAGTTGTTTTGATAGATGTTTAATAAATTTCTGCTGGGAGCCAGTTTTACTTTAATAGGCTTTTTTTTTCACCCCAGTGGTGTGGATATTTCTGAGCATTGAGGTGGAAAAGAGACTGACAGAAAATAATGAAAATGAGCAACAGAATAGGTGAGGTCGTTGCTCTCGACAAAGGGCATCCCTGCATGTTGTCAGCATGTGGGTCACGGGGCTTCTTAGGGCCCCCCAAAGGACAGCCTCACTGAACAGATGTGACAAATGCATCTCGTGCCTGAGTGTCTGAGCCTTTGCACGTGTTCTTCCCTCTGTCTGGAATGGCATTTTCATGTGTCTTCCCTAATGAACTCCTAGCTACCCGTCAAGGCCCAGCTAAGATATCCCCCCTTCCTGCTCCCTTTCCCTCCATGCTGCTCGCTCAGCACCTTGTAAGCATTTCTCTGTATCTCTCGTCTGGACCTCCCACTCCCTCTAAGTGGACCCCTCTCAAGGGCAGAGATGGGCTTCTCTCTGCTTTTCCATCATCCTTGTTGAAATGGAATTAAATGAAGGAAACTAATATTTATTAGTTTCTGAGATGTGCTGGGAATTTCACTGAAATATTTAGTCTAATCCTTACAACCTTGAGAGATAAGCGTTGTTTTTCTTGTTTGCAGATGAGGGAGGTGAGTTCTGAAGTCAAACAGCTTGTTCCCAGCCACCCAGCTCATAATGGTTGTAATGACTGACACTTACAGGGAATTTCAAATAGGGACTGGAGGCTGTTCTCAGAGTTTTCTATGCATTTGCTCCCATCATCCTTGCAGCAGTCCTGTGCGGTGGGCACTATCATAAGATCCATTGCACAGATGAAGAAACTGAGGTCTAGAGGGACCCAAGGTTACAGAGCCAATAAGTAGAGGAGCCAGGCTTTGACCTCAGGCATTCTGGCTTCAGGCTAATTGGCAGAGCGAGGATTTGAACCCAAACCCATGTGGGGAGAGTTGACCACTGTATTAGTCTGTTTTCACACTGCTGATAAAGACATTCCTGAGACTGGGTAATTCATAAAGAAAGAGAGGTTTAATGGACTCACAGTTCCACATGGCTGGGGAGGCCTCACAATCATAGTGGAAGGCAAAAGGCATGTCTTACATGGTGGCAGGCAAGAGAGAATGAGAGCCAAGTGAAAGGAGAAACCGCTTATAAAAACATCAGATCTCATGAGACTTCTTCACTACCATGAGAACAGTATGGAGGAAACCGCTCCATGATTCAATTATCTCCCACTGTGTACCTCCCACAACACATGGGAATTATGGGAGCTATAATTCAAAATGAGGTTTGGCGGGGGACAGAGCCAAACCATATTAGCCACAGGAAAGCTGTTGAGCCTTGCAGTGCCTCTGAGGATCCCTGGCTGTGGGGTGGGCCCGGGTTCTAGTCCAAGGGCTCCTGCGTGCAACTCTGCCCAGCTTCCGTGGAGGGTTATTCTTGTGTTTAAGATATGTGTGTGTGATTCTGATGGCACCTTCCTGCCTCGGGCCAGCTGTGTGCTGACGGGCACTGCCGCTGCCTAGGTGTTGGTTCCGGTGAGCCCAGCAACTTTGTGACTGATCCTTGTCCTCCTCTGTTCCAGGGTACTGCCAGGGGGATGGTTACCGCATCGGCTTTGGCCAGTGTGCTGGAAAAGTGCTGCCTGCTCTCCTGCCATCATGAGATTTTCTCTGCTCTTCTGGAAACAAAGGGCTCAAGCACCCCTTTCAACCCTGTGACTGGGGTCCTCCCTCGGGCTGTAGGCCTGGTCCGCCATTCAGTGACAAATAAAGCCATTGTGCTCTGAGGCCTGCACTGCCGCAGATGCAGCTGTGTCCACTTATGATCGTGATTTGATCCAGTGGGTCAAGGTGTGTAAAGCCTCCCTGCCAGATATTCATTAATATGTTTTCTCACTCTTATTAGTGAGGTCAGGGGTCTTTGTGGGATTTTCTTATTAGACATCCCAGGCCTCCTGGTATTCCATGGAATTTGAAAAGAGACTGGCACCTGTAGTAGTCAGGGCTCTCCAGAGAAATAGAACCAAGGAGAAAGAGATCGATTTATTGATTGATTGATTGATTTTAAGCAAATTGGCTTCTGGGATTCTGGAGGGTGGCAAGCCCAAAACCTGCTGGGTGGGTTGCTGGCTGGAGACCCAAGGAAGAGCTGCAGTTTGAGTCTGAAGCAGTCTGCTGTCAAAATTTCCTCTTCCTCTGGGAAGTGAGTCATTGTTTGGTGAAGGCCATCAACTGATTAGATGAGGCCCAGCCACACTGTGGGGGTCTTCTGCTTTACTCCACTGATTTAAGTTTTATTTCACCTAAAAAGTACTTTCTTAGAAACATGTAGAATAGCATTTGAGCAAATATTTGGGTACCTTAGTCTAGCCAAATTAATACAGAAAACTGCCCATCACAGCACCCTGCATGTCCAGTGTTTCTTGGGGCTAACGGATGAGCACATATGGGTTGTAGGCTTGGTTCATGGGCCCCGTGGCTGCGTCTCCACACTGTAAGCCTTGGGAAGAGCCTCCGAGTCATGGGTGAGCACCTGAACTGTGATGATGGCAGAAAAGGACCTAGCTTTTCACCTCTTGCAAGCCCACCAGAGTCAGGAGAGTGAGCTCTGCCCCATCTCTTCTGTCCCAACCCATTGCACACAGGCAGCCCTGGTTCTACCCTAGTTCCTTGGTGATGACAGCAGGGGAGTATGCCCTGCGACCTTTCCTGGGCCTGATGAGCCTTATACCGGGGCCTAGGGGGATAGTTGAGGATGCAGAGCCCATCCGTCAGATCGCACCATTCATTCATTCACTCAACAAATCTTTATTGAGCACCTTCTGTGTGTTAAGCACTGTTCTAAGGATGAGAGGCACAGCAGTAAACAGAATAGCCCATTTGAAGCTTACATTCGAGTGGAAAGAGATAGACAATAAACAGATAAGGAAAAGACATGTGGTATGACAGATGGTAATAAGTTTTATGGACAATTGGGAGATGTGGATGCTATTGTTAATGTGGTTAGAGAAGGCCTTAATCCCATAGTACATTTCTGCTAGAGAGCTGAAGGAGTGAGGGGAGCAGGCCAGATGGATATCTGGGGACAGAGTCCTCCAGGCACAGGAATCAGCCCGTGCAAAGCCCTGAGGATGGAATATGCTTATCATTTCTAAAGAACATCAAGGAGGCTGGTATTTCTTCCTTACATAAAAGCAACCTGGGGTCAGGAAGGCTGGAGTTAGTGTGGCAGCTGCACAGTGTCATTAAAGATACCTCTGCTCTGCCATCGTCGGTATGTGGTTTTTAGTCTCAGGGTTACATTATGATACAAAATGGCTGCTGGAGCTCCAACTAGTACATCTAAGTTCCAGGCCAGCAGAAAGAGACAACAAAGAGGTGAGGACTGGGAGGATGGAAGGGCAGAAGAGCCCTCCTTCCTCCTGAGTTAGGTCATTTTAAGCAGCTTTCCTGGTAGTCCCATACCACACATGTCTTAGATTTCATTGATGAGACACACCTCATTACAAGAAAGCCTGGAAATGTAGTCTTTCATCTAAACACATTGCTTGCCCTGTGAAAATTAGTTTGATTGCCCTAAAAGAAGGGGAGAATGGATACTGGGGGACAATTAGTAGTCTCTGCTACACACAGGCTGGGAAATATCATGCTCTGAGGCTGAACTGCTCCCCGTGGACTTTACTTCCTAGAGCTATGCTCTAGGGCCATATTCTCCAGTGCTTTGCTGATTTCAGTGGAAATGCTGTATAGGGCAGATGTCAGCAGGATCTCCCAGATGCTACTTTCCAGATCAGTGATGCAAACACTTCTCTGAATTTGGAAGACCAAAGCCTTCCCCAGGATTTTTCTGAATTCCTGGGGCTTATGTTCCCAGGGCTACATCTGCTTCTGTTGACTCAGCTAAAACCCCTGCTCTCTAGGCTGTGTTCTGAGATTGTTCCTAAACCCTTCTCTCCTTGTTCCTAAAGCCTTCTCTCCCGGCATCAACCCACAGGAGTGACTCATCTTTTTCTCAAAGCCCTCACCTGCACATGGATAAAAGGCCCTCGTGCTCTGCACAGTAGGGCTTTACTGGAGATCTCTGGGTCACAGGCAAAGGTCACTTAAAATCATTGTTAATCCACTTGTTCCCACTGGCACCAGAGAATGCTGGTGTCATCAGTAGAGATCACACGCTTATCCCCTTGTTGGGCATTTAATGCACTTAAAGGGCTTGGTGATGTTGGGAAAACCCAATGGACCTGCCCCAGAGTCTGAAACACACACAGGGCAGAAAGAGCCAGAAACGTTCCTGGCATCAGATTCACTTAAGAAACCAAACTCATGGATGTTAATTCTGGGTCCAGCCTGGGCTTTACTTGGCAATTACTTTTCCTTAATCTTCAGCGACAAGAGCCTCTTTGTTTTACTGTCTCCGACTCCAGAAATGCTCACTGCCAGCCCCACATGACAAGTGACTTTAATGGTCTTTAGTTTTGGAGATCTACTTTATTGAAACCTATCTGTGTGTAATAATATGAAATAGACAAGAATGACTTTCAGGGTCAAATTTCCTCTTTTTGACAGTGATATTTTAAGGACTAGAAGCATTTTGACCAGATGAATGGAGCTTTCAGACGGGATGATGAGCATCTCAAGGCAGGTTGGCCATAGTTATCACTATATCTTCCTTATTAATTTGTATTCCATTTATGCTTCCTGTTTTTAACCAGTGGTCCATTCGGAATATGAATGGATGACTGTGAAACTGAGAGTAGAGTTCATTTGAAACTTTACCTGACCAGGAGGAGTCAGTCCAGAGGTGTTTCTGGCAAGATGGGGCCCACTGCTGGTTTTATTGTAGGGTGGCAAGGGAGCTAGGCTCAGGGGCACGCTACTGCCCGGGGCCAGGGCAGGCACTAGGGGTTCCAGGGGCTGGGAGCCCCTGTCCCTATTGCAGAGGGGACTGGAGGAAGAGAAGCCTTGTTGCCCCCACCATGGGACTTCTCTGTCCTGAGGCCTCTCACACACATTGGTTTACCTTTGAAACACTGTACATTGAGAGCTCTCCTGAGGGTGAGTGTAGACTTGAACCAAGACAATGTTTTTGAGGACAAGGGAACTTTAAGGATTTTTTCTGTTTTTTTGTTTCGTTTTGTTTTTTAATTTTGAGAAAGGGTCTCACTCTGTCACCTAGGCTGGAGTGCAGTGGCACAATCTTGGCTCACTGCAGCCTTGACTTCTCTGGCTCAGGTGATCTTCCCACCTCAGCCTCCCAAGTAGCTGAGACTACAGGTGCACACCACCATGGCCAGGTGATTTTTTGATTTTTTATAGAGACGGGATCTCACTATGTTGCCCAGGCTGGTCTTGAACTCCTGTGCTCAAGTGATCTTCCTGCCTTGCCCTCCCAAAGTCCTGGGATTACAGGCATGACACACCATGCCTGGCAATTTTGGGGTGTAAAGTATCACAATTAATATTATCTCAAAGATTCCTGACACCAAAATGGATCTCAAAAGTGGTTCTATTTTCACATTTTCTCCCTTTCTTTAGTTTGGAAGCATATTCCCTTTAACACCCCCAGAAAAAGTAATTTGGCAGGGTTGTATCCTGAAGTACTAATTTGTTTTCTGTGTATCCCCTCTCTTTCTGTCCTCTCAGCAAGATTTCCAGGGCTGTGGGAGTATTTTGCTCTCCTTCCTCCTGCAGAGAGGCAGAAAGAAACTCGTGGGAGAGGGACCAAGACTGGATGCTTGCTTGCAAGCCTGTTTTTGTTTTTTAAAATTCTGCTCTTGAAAACTAAATAAGGCTGAGGCCAGTCTTATTTTCAGACTGTTTGCCAACAGCACACCAAAAAGTTGGAGTGACAATTTCTTTCTTGGAGAGGGAATGGAGTAGCATGGCACATCTATTCCCACCAAGGTCATGATCCTGGAAATAAATAGACCTTTGTTGTCTATGATGATTTGATCAATATCTGCCTTCATTGGATTTTCAGCTCCTTGAGGATAGTCTGCTTTTGCTTACTGAAAGTTCATCAGTACCTAGCACGTAAGAGCCGCTCGATGTATACTCATTCAGTAAGTGAATGAATTCTAGGAGAGCACTGGGAGCAGATTGTGTCTTATTGATAGGTCTACTTCTAGCATTTGCAGGGCCTAAGCTGAGAGTGCTCATGGAGTCTCAGTATTTAGGAGGTATAAACAAGCTATACACTGTTAAATAAAATACTTTCTATTCTCCTACCTAGATATGTTTGCTTTCATAATTGCAAAACAAACATATTTGCAAAGTGATGGCTTTTATGTGATTGAAAATTGGTAAAATATACAACTAAACTTAATTATCACCGCACTTGAAGAAAGTCGATGGGATGGCAATGTTTGGATGAGCATTAAAGACATAAATTCATGAATTTTATACTTTATACATTTTTAAAATCAGACTTTAATTTTTACAATTATTTTTCTTTCTTTAATTTCATTAGAATCATTAATTATGCTCTCCTGAGCTTTTCATATAATGTGTGGTTTATTGATGATATAAAAGATTAAAAAGTACATTGAATTATACTTCAGTGTACAAGAAGTAAATATCTTCATCAAAACTCTGTGTTAAAAATTGAAAAATTAAATTTTTCATATGCATTTTCAAAGTTAGTTTTCTTTGAAAATATTCAAAATTATTAATAATAAAAAGCGAGATACAAATAATTAAAGAGCTTTAATATTTAATCTCAAAATTCTTTAAATCAAAATGAAATGTCTAAATTCATTTTTTGAAAATGTAATAAAATCTGTTTTTGTTTTGTTTTTTGATATGGGGTCTCACTATGCTGCCCAGGCTGGCCTCAAACTCCTGGGCTCAAGGGATCATCCTGCCTCAGCCATCTGAGTAGCTGGAATTACAAGCCCGTGTCACTGCACCCAGCTCAAAAAAATTAATTAAATCTTATTAAATATATTTTATAAAAACAAAACTACTTTGCAGTCTTAGTGTTCACTGTCCACTTAGTTGCCAAAGTAAAGAATTAGTATCACTCTTTGTTTAGGTTATGAGACCCATGTGCCAACGAGGGCACATGTTGTGAGTCCCTTCAGAACCACAGATTGGAAATAAAGTTTGGTTTTAAAAATTTATAAAGTAGGTATGTAGTTGATGAATTTATGTCTTTAATTCTCATCCAAATATTGCCATCCCATCAACTCTCTTCAAGGGCAATGATAATTAAGTTCAGTTGCCTATTTTACCAATTTTCAATCATATAAAAGCCAAAAAAGAAAAAAAAAAAGCAAGAAAGTGGATATTTGATATAAATGGGAAATGTCATTTGTTTGGGGAAGAATCAGTTACATTCTGGCTAGGAGGAAGTGTGTAACAAGTTGAATAATCATTCCTTTCTCTTACCTAAGCGCTTCCACTGACATGTCCACCTCCAGGGTTGGACCTGCCACAGTCCTGCGTGACATTCACACAGTCTCTTTTATTCTGGGGACACAGGGCAGGGATGTAAAGAAGAACTCCCCTGGCTTGGACAGTATTACTCATATTTGCAGTACAGGTTGAGCTGCACCAACCTGAGGCCCGAGGGATAGAGGTGCTTGTATGAATTTGAACAAATTGATTTGTATGTGCGTATCTGTTATAAGCTGGGCCCTCTGTGGCATGAGTTCCAAGGAAGCCCCCACTCCATACCTTACCCCAGCCTAAGGGCAATATTGCTTCTTTACCTCCATCTTTGGACCCCACACGGTCTCTGATATTTGTTTTGTAATAGCAGAGACTTGTTCATTTCACACAACTAGTGAGTGGCAGAGCTGAAACTGGATTCTAGAGCTTTCAGCATCTAGGACAACACTCTCCCCATTTATGGTCTAGTGGTATGTGGACTTTGATTTCGGCCTGTGGAAGCAAGATTCTCAAGGGCAGGGCTGTGCTCTATGCATCTTTGTGTCCAAAGCCCCTGTTAGACAGTAGTTGCTTCTAAATGTGTGTGGCATTGTACTCACAAAGTTCCCCGTTTCGTAGCTATAAGCTCAAGCAAACTCTTCTTTCAAATGATATTAGTGCTGTATTTGGTAATCTAAGAGAAGAAAAAAGGAAAAAAAAAAAAAACCTGTGTGCACCAAGGTTGGTCACTGAAGCACTATTTTTGTAGCCTAACTTTCAGCCTCCTGAATGTCATCAAGTCATTTAGCTTTCTGGGGTCTCTCTTCCCTTAATATATATTCGTGGAAAGCTTGAGCTGCTGTCCTATCTCCAAAGTGAAACCGCATATCTCCCCACTTAATGGGATGACTGCTGTGAAATGGAGGTGGCTTCTAAGGGACAGCGTAATCTTTTTTGGGGGTATATGTTGACCAGCAGCCTCTGTATGGTCAGCTGAAGTATTCTCAATTCTGGGGTCCTTCTTAGTTATGTAGATGAGGCAAGTGGACACTCCTTTCCTTGGAAAAAGGGTATAGTTGGATATAACCAGGGTGCCCCTCTCTTTGGTGCAGAAGGGTGGAGAGGGAGTGGACCAAATTGCATAAGAAGTCCAAGGGATGTGAGAAACTGGTATTCCAATCCTCCCTCCTAAATAGTCAAAGTTAGAAAATTGGTTTGGGTGCACTGGTTGGGTCCTGACTGAGGTCTGTTGGCAGGAAGAACACCCAGGGCCCTCTGCAGATTCATCTCCCTTTGTCCCTCCAGATCTATTCTCCATCCTTCCCTGCCCTGCTGTTTGCGCACCTGGAGGCTGACCTCGTTGGACAACATCACCCAGGCTCATGCTCTCTGGCTGCTGGTTAGGATTGGCCAGTGGAGGTGCAGGCAGAGGTTGGAATATAGAGGAATAAAGCAGCAGAGAGCATCATCCTCCTTACTCTTTCCCTGCTGAGCCATGGTTTGGGCAGTGGCTGTGTCCCACTATGTCCTACTGCTCCTGTGGGCAACATAACCACAGTCTTTGCTAGATTCTGGTGCCACTGTTTTCTCCCCAGGCAAGGGGCAGTAATGGCTTCTTATCATTGTTAACCCTGGATTAATCATCAACCCTTACTGATTCTCTTTACCTTACCTGTCCCTCTGAAAATTGTCCCAAAATTAAACCCTCTTCATTGAACCTTTTGAATTTGCCGCTTAAATCCTGATGAATAAAGTCATTGGTATTAAGGGTGACAATTGGACCCATGGAGTGAGGGCTATTATTGTAGAAGTGGCCCCATGGAAGCCCTTGGAACTGCCTCTTTGTGACAAAATAGTAAACCAAAAGCAATTCTGCATCTTCAGGGCAATTGAATTGTGCCCCCTTCAAAGACTTGAGAGATGCAGGACAGGTGGTTCTAATCACATCACTATTTAAGTCACCTGTCTGGCTTATGCAAAAGCCAGGTGGGTCCTACAGATTTTCATAAACACAATCAGGAATTAATGCCATTTCAGGAGTTGTTCTGGATGTGGTATCTTTATTAGAGAAGATCCGCTCAGCCCCTGACACCTGGTGTGCACCTGGTATTGTACCTGGTGACTAGAACAGTAATTCTCAAAAGGTAGGTCTGGATTAGCAGCTTAACCTTGGAATGTGTTTGATGTACAATTTATAGAACTCCACTGAAGACCACCTGAATTAAAAATTCTAGGGGCTTACCAGCTGTGTTAGAATGAGCCGTCCCGGTGATTCTAATGCATACTGAAGTTTGAGAACTGTCATATTAGAAATAGTTTCCATTGCATCACAATCAATACAGATAATCAGAAGGAGTTCACCTTCACCTGTTACAAGACTGCGGCACACCCTAAATGCATTACCTCAGGGATCTGCCAATTCTCCTGGTTTCTGTCATATGATATGAGACCCTTATCATCTTGACAGCCCATAGAACTTTATGATTGCCTGCTACATTGATAACATTATGCTAATTGGATCTGGTGAATGAGGACTAGCAAGTGCTGTACTGCCACATGCTTGCCAGAGAGGGGAAGAAAACACATGTGGAGGTTCAGTGACCTGACACATTGGTGAAACTTCTTGGGTTCTAGCAGGCTGAGGCCTGTTGGAATATCCCCACTAAGATGAGAAACATGTTGCTTCACCTTGTGTCTTCCACCATAAAGAATGAGGCTCAGCAGTTGATGGATCTCTGGATTTTTGAGGCAATATATAGAACATTTGTGTGTGTGTCTGATGGATTTACTGGTTACATCATAAGATTGCTGGTTTTGAATGGGGCCCAGAATAATACAGGGCTCTAGAAAAGGTATATCCAGACTGTGATGAAAGCTACTCTGCCATTTGGACCTTAAGATCAGCAGATCCAATAGTGCCAGAAGTATCTGTTGCAAATGGAGTGCTGTATGGAATTCCTAACCATCTCCAATAGGAGAATCACAGTGTTGACCCAACTGAACAGGATGGGAAGAGAGGGTCCAAGGCAGTCTTGGGCAGATATGTGTGAAAAGACATCTTTGAAGGGGCCCTGGGTGTCAAGATATTCAAGAGCCATCTAAATGCCTATCAGAGGGCATCCACTGCAGAAAAGACTCTCAACGATCAGCTGGATAAGATGACCCAACCTGGGGGTGTGAGCCTCTTCCTCTGTCTACTCTGGTGTTTGCTCAATGACATCATGAACAGAGTGACCATAGTGGAAGGGATAGAGGCTATCAACACTATGGGCTTTCCCTTGTGAAGGTCCATTGGTTTCCATAACTTCTGGATATGTAGCCTTCCAATGAATGAGACCAATGCCAAGCCCCTGATATGGCACCATTCCCAGAGATGGGTGGTAGGAGACAGACCAACCGCTTACTTGGTAGCAGGTTGATTACACTGAATCCCTTTCATCATAGAGGGCAGTAGGAATAGACACATATTCCAGATATGGATTTGCCATTCCTGCCCCTCCCTGCCATTTGTGGTGTTTCATTCTTTCATTTTGTGCTGCTAAAACAGAACAACACAAACTGGGTAATTTATAATGAATAGAAATTTATTTGGCTCACGATTTTGGAGGCTGCAAAATACAAGATCAAGGAACCAGCATCTGGTGAGGACCTTCTTGTTGCATCATAAACATGGTGGAAGGAATCACATGGGCAAGAGAGAAAAGAGGACCAAACACCCCCTTCATAACAAACCCACTCTTGAGATAACTGCATTAATCCATTCACTCCGCCCTCATGGCCTAATCACCTCTCATTGGGCCCCAGATCTCAACACTGTTGCAATGGGAATCAAGTTTCCAACATATGAACTTTGGGGGACACATTCAAACCACAGCATATTCATCTCAGCATATCCCACAAACATGGCCTTTAACCAAGAAACCTTAGGTTTTGTGGGTTTGGAAATCTCTAGTGACCAAGAGGAACTGCTTCCACCAGGGAATATAGTTATGGGTCTGTTAAATTGGAAGATGATCTTGTGCCATCTGGGGCTCCTTATGTTGAAATATTGGCAGAGAAAGAGATCACTGCACTGTCAGGATGGTTAACCCCAATATCCAAGGGAAAGTGGGGTTTCTGCTACACAATAGGGGCAAGGAGTACTAGCTTTGGAACCCTGGGATTCGCTAGGGCACTTGGTACTCCCTGTATCCCTTGTCCTCATTCTGTAAGCCTGAGGTGGGGGCATGAAATTAGATTTCTAACAAGCTCCCCAGAGATGCCAATGCTGTCCATCCGTGGACCATAGTTTGAGTAGTGTTGCCCTAGAGCACCTGCTATTCTTTCTGATAATTTTACAGAGCTTCCAGGTGAGATCTTCAAGGCCTCTTCATGTTCTTTAGGAATCTGTGGATACTGTGGCAACTCATTGAAGACACGGCACTAAGAATTTGAATCCTCTGTGGATGAAGATTTGGGTCATTCCACCAGATAAAATTCTCCAACAGCTAAGGGACTGCCAGAAAGTAGAGGGGCTATGGAATGGGTGGTGGGAGAACAAGACTGCAGTTACCACTCTGGGCCTCATGACCAGCCACAGAAGGGGGCACTAGCAGTTGTGCTTTACAGGAAGTGTTCCACTTACCCGGGACTGGCTACATTATGATTTAAGTTGCAGGAGGGAGTGGGACTAAATTGCTATCACCCCCAGACAATATGGCTGCTGGTGAGATTTTATGTTTCCCCTGTGCCGGGGACAAAATATTTTTCTCCCATCTAAGCAAAGTTTGTGAATGGCTGCTAAGTGGTAATAAGATGAATTGTGCTGGTTTTTCTTCTTTTGCTCCAGTGTGCTGCCTATGTGGACCGTATCACCCAGGGTCCCCTGACCTTTAGCTTCTGTTGTTTTTGGCCAATGGAAGACCCAGACAGGAGATTGGAGGGCAGGAGGCAAGAGGTCAAGGTATTTATTCCCCCAGCTCTCTTCCTACTGAGCTGCAGTGGGTGCAGGAGTTTTGATCCTCTAGCTGTGGCCAGGGCTTCCATTGGGTGACTCCTTCTCCATGGCTATAGCTCTCCCTGGGTTCTAGATCCTTCTCCTTGTCTCTCTAGGCAAGAGATGGTAACAGTTGGTGGCCTGCCTGTTCCTGGGTAGTTTGTTTTTGTTTTTTATTTTTAGAGACAGCATCTCTCTTTGTCGCCTAGGCTGGAGTGCAGTAGTGTGATCCTAGCTCATTGTAACCTCAAACTCCTGGACTCAAGTGATCCTCCCACCTCAGACTCCTGAGTAGCTGGGACTATAGGTGTGCAACACCACAGCCAGGTAATTTTTTTTTAATTATTTTATTTTTTGTAGATAAACAGATTCTTGCTTATGTTGCCAGGCTGGTTTCAAACTCCTGGGCTCAAGCAATCTGCCTGTGTTGGCCTCCCAAAGTGCTGAGATTACAGACATGAGCTACCTTGCCTTGTCATCCCTGGGTGTTTTACTGTTCCCTGTTGTTTTCCATACCCTTGCCCAACCTCTGTAAATATTCTTTCATTAAACTGTCTTCAATCAGTGCTTCGTGTGTGCCATCTCTTTCCTGCCAAGACACTGAAAAGTCCCAAGGAGAACCCTCCTAAAGGGAGAGAGTCTTTGCTGATGACCATCAAGCTCATAAGTAAGGGCTGGTGTGCCTGAGGCTGTGTGTCCCTCTGGACACAGGCAACCTGTCTTTGTGCTATGATTGGACAGAATAGCTGGGCACATGGATGTGGACCCAGATAACTCTGTTTGGGCACCTCTCCACAGGCTGGGCCACAGGACATTGTGGGTGGTCATTGATCATGCCTGGCAGAACCAGTCCTCAACAGCAAGACCTAGGGGGTATGAAACCACACTAGTGGACACACCAAACTTTGTAGTTCTCTTCACTTGGTGTTTGAAAGCAGGGCCAGCCCCTTTTGGATTGATTTAGCCTCTGAAGTTCTGGAAATTTAATGAGACAGGGAGACACTGATCTTTCAACTCGATAAGAACATGTAGACATTTCAGCAACTAATTGGAAAAAAATGAAATAGCTATGATGGGAATGATATGCCAGGATGGTAAAGCTAGGGTCCTACTATACATATCCACCTGTCTGAGCATCCTTAGAGGCCACATTTCTTCTAGTGACCATCACTCTGAACTCTTGGTTCTGCATATTTCTGCTACCCCACTTGTCTCTGGGACTGTTGGCCCCTTCCAGATTGTATTTCCCTAAGTGACCCACCACCGAGGTGTCTTCATTGTCCCAAAGACCACTGCTGCAGAGTGGTGGATCATTTATCAGACTTTAGAGAGGGCTTGGGGCAACATGAAGGGAGTGTAGCTGAGCACAGTACAAGCAACAACTTAAAACTGGCCACTAGGCACCATTGCCTGGAAAACCCACCACCCATTCTCTGCTTTGGAGAGTTCCTCTCCAGCCTGTGTTCTCCTTAAGTCCTGGGTTGTGGCTACCTTCACAGGCCTCCCATTCTCTAAATGCTTTTCATTTCTTGTCTGCCAACTTCTAGCCTTCAATACTTCTGTGCATTTCTTTTGCAGATCAGTTTATCTTTCTATCCACAACCCCAAAGTTCATCTTAGCTTGCCAGAAACGAGTTGAGACGCTCTGATCACAAAGGACCATCTCCTCTATGCTTCAGCAGCATAATGCAACAACTGAAGCCTGAGATTCCAGTTGCTTTTTTCTCCTTAATATGATCCAGTTCTTAGACAGGTCTCCCTCCCCCATGTGCTCCATGTGTCTCTTAAATGGAGAGAGTGTACTGTAAGTATTTATTCTCCCCTGTCTTAAGCAAGCTCCCCGGCTTCATCATATCTATCTTGATCTTTCTTTTTTTGCTTGGAACATGTACAACAGGGAAAATGGAAGAAATCCAAATATTTAATAATAGGAGTCTACATAATTATATATGTGCACTAGATGTCATGTTTTATGGCCATTAAAATGACAAGTGTGAAGAATGTAGCAGCAACATGAAAGTATACTTGTGATGTAATGTTAGGAGAAAGAGTATGATATAAAATTATGTAGCAGATCATCTTTATGAAAAAAAATCTTGCATGAGGACAATGATTAGAAGGGAATATATGGACACAAAATGAAAATTGCTGTTTTTTGGAGGCTTGGGTTGGGAGTGCTTTTTATATTTTCCACCCTTCCTGAAATGCTACTATTTCCTGTTGCCATCAAACAAGAGTCAAGAGATAAGGTGAAACCCATTAGCAAATCTGAGTGTGGAAAAGAATTAATTAGGACCAAGGGATTCTCAGGCAGTGCTTCTTAAACTTTAACGTGCACATAAACCACCTAGCGAATCTTGCTAATATACATTCTGTACGTAGGTCTGGAGGGGGCTGTGAGTTTGGGTTTCTAACAAGCTCCTCAAGTATTGCAGAGGCTGTTTGTCCTTCAACCACAGTTTAAGTTGCACTGCCCTGGAGCACCCTCTTTTTCACCCCTGAGGGTTCTAAAGTGTGTCGGGGAGGTCTGGAAGACCTTTTCTTTTTCCTGGGGTCTGTTATTAGCTGACTGGGAGTTGGTTCTAGTTTGCATTGTAAATGCATGCTGATGAGCTTTTCACAGAAATGCCTGGCTTCTCAAGGTAGGCTTCAGAGTGAGGGCTGCTGCTGCTGAACCTGAGGCAATGCACAAAAGGCTTTTGCTTTAGATCCTCCCCATCATACAGGGCCTTCCCTGCATCTTGGTTCACTGCCTTTGCCAGCTGTCCCTTCGTGCATTCCACAATAGTGGGGATAGGGGTGGGTAGGAGAGGGGTATGAGAGGGATGACAACTGGATAGCCCCTGAAATGCTGCCTGAAGAGCTGTGGCCTTGTCCACATTCAGGGGTCACCTAGTAGTGATAGTGCTTTGGAACCCATTTTCCAGGTGGCCTGGGCTGTGGTGGGGACTAATGGCTGGGAGGCAGGCAATGAGAAAGAAGTCTTGAGCTTCTTCACAGCTGCAGGTCTCTTGGATGGGGATGGAAGGCCACAGCTTGGAGGGATGGAATAAATGCACTCAGAGGAAGGGGAGCTCAGGTGCTCTCATTTAACTTCGTACCATGTTATGGGAAAACTGATGACAAAGGCAATTATGTAAATTGGTAGACGCCATATCCCTTGAGGTCAGGTGCTGGGAAAGGCTGCTGTGAGTGTTCCTCTGACCAAGTGGTTCCGGCTGGGAGATTTGGCCTGTAGGAAGCAGCCCTCAGAAGTTGAGAAAAGCTGAAGGTGCCAGGCTCTGTAGGGGCAGGGGGCACCCAGAACCTCTGCTCCTCCCAGCTCAGACCCCTGGCTTCTCCTGGGGTGGTGAATTCAAGAACATTCATGTTTGCCCATGTTCTCTCATTTCGTCCTCACAACAACCTTGCGAGGTAGATGTTATTCCCTCACTTTACAGGTGAGGAAATTGGGGCTCAGAGAGGCTGAGTGAGTTATTTGGGGTCCTCTAACAAGGAAGTAGAGGAATTGGGACTTGGGGCCGGTTTTGTAGGCTCTGCTCTAATGATTTTGCTGCAAGGTCATAGATGTAGGTGATGGAGTGGGAGTGGGGTGGAGGGCAGAAAGAGGTGGGAGGAGGGAGGGCCTGAGAAGAGCCATCATCGATGACTTCTTCCTTGCCCCCCAACTCCGACTATAGCACATTCATAGTATATTCACTCCCCTTTCTGTCCTTTCGTTCACATGAGGTATATGCAAAAAATAAAATTTTAAAAATGACAAGGCTTTTCCTATCTTACAATGAGGAAACTGAGGCGCTGGGAGGTGAAGTGACTTGCTCAAGGTCGCATTGTAACCTGACTGGTAAATGCGAGACTAGAACCCAGGTCTCCCCATTCAATATTCATCTCATGGACTGTGCACCCCCAAAAAGGGTACCGGGCGAAATCATTTTGTGTGAGGAAAAAATAGTGGAAAATAATTAAATATGCAACCAAAGGAGATGATTTTTTAACCATGACCTACCCAACCGATGGGATGCCCTTCGGTCACTAAAACTGGCAGCTAAGAAGAGTGTTTGATGTAATGGGGAAGTATTCCTGCTATCATATGAGGCGATACAACATCATGCACAGAGTATGAATTTGACTAAAAAATACAAGTAAAAAGGCTGGAAGAAAATATATCAAAATGGTGGTTTCCGGGAGGTGGGATTATAAGTGTTATTTCCTCCCCCTTTCTTTCTATTTATCTGCATTTTCCCAAGTTTCTAAAATGTACATTTTATTTATAACAGGAAAAATATATCCCTCTATATTTTAGTTTAAAAAAATACTGCTTGGAAGCAGCCCATATCCTGTGCGTTTTGTGAATTTTCAGGTGAGACTCCCTCAACCCGCTTTCCCCCCTCACTGCCACACCACTGCTAGTCCATGGGGAGGGGGCTGGGGTTCAGGTGGGACCTCTTGGTTGGGAGCCTCCATTGCTACTTTGCATTTAAAGGACCGAGAGTCTCCTCAAGACAAGACCACTGTTATGTGATGGATGGGGGGTGTCTGTTGCTGGATCCAGTTCCAAAAGGTGCCCAGGAACCTGGGAAGGTGACTACCCTATCATCTCACAGGGACTCCCCACACTGGAACCCCAGCCTCCTGGGTCCTGGTCCAGGGCTCTTTTCCCCTGGCTGGTCCATGGTTGCGACACCCACGGCACCCGGGCATTCCACGCTGGTGCTCGAGGGAGGGCTGAGAGGGCTAAGCTGCACCTTCTGTTTCCCTGGGTGGCCAGATTCATTCCTTGCCTCTGTGGGATGGCAGGCTGGCAGGGAACACACGGATGCATCCTGGGGCACAGCCACCCACAGAGCGCCAGGTCCAGTCCCCACAGCCGCTGTGCCTCAGTCGTCCAGGTGCTGCTCCTCCCAGGTGGATGTGGGGATGGCGCTGTAAGGGTCCATGATGACCTTGGCACAGCGGATGATCATCACGACAAGGAAGAGGCAGAGGAAGACGAAGCAGGCCAAGGTCAGCCCTTTGTCTACGTCGACATAGACGGGCTCGGGCGTGGGCTCCTCCATCTCGCGGCAGCGACTGCGGGCTGCTCCTCCTCCGCCTCGGGTTTGACTGGTACCATTTTCCACCCCTGCAGAGACAGCCACAGCAGTGGGGAAGGAGGGGCATGGTCAGGTGCCTGGGGTGATTGCAGGGCACCAACCTCTGCTCCCTCTTATCTGCTACCCCTGCACCGAGAGCTTGCTGCTCAGACCACCCTGCAGGAGGGTAGGAGGGGATGGGTACACATGGACCCACATGGTCACAGCCCGAAACCTTGTAGGTAAACCAGAGTCTCTAGCAGGGTGCAGCCAGTGCCTCCCCAGACTGGGGCAGGGGAGGTGACAGATGAGTCCCAGCAGGCATGGGACTAGGGTGGGGCTGAGGGTTGGGTGGGGATAGAGGCCCTGCAGCTGCCTCCACTCCATGAAACCCTTTAGAAAGGCAGTTAGGATAATGCTTTCCATTTAGCCAAGCCACTATCTGAGGGTGATCTGAAAGCATTCCAAAAATTGGGTAATTATTATATTTATACATGTATTTTACAGACAGGGTCTCACTCTGTTGCTCAGGCTGGAGTGCAGTGGTAAAATCATAGCTTACTGCAGCCTCCAACTCCTGGCTCAAGCAATCCTCTTGCCTTGGCCTCCCAAAGCATCAGGATTACAGGCGTGACCACTGTGCCTGGTCTATCATGTTTTGAAAGCATAAGAACCTAGATTTCAAATGAAACCTATTGTGGAAAACCACAGAGGAATAGACTGAGGAGGGGCTGCTGTCATGGAAGAGAGTGAGAGGCTTGGAGGGTCTATATCCCCTTCCCTGCTGCAGGTCCTCACAGGGACTCTCTAGAGACTCCTGCTGACGCCAGCACATGGCCTGAAAACTGTAAGTGTTATGGGAAGAACAGTTTTGGCAGTCACGTGGAAGAGTCCCAGCTCTGCCACCACCCTGCAGGGCAGGTCTGGACAGCTCTCAATTATTGTTAGGACTCCAGCGGTAGTGCCTACACTGACACATCACTCATTCATCTTGGGATGATTTGCAACTTCTCTGGGTCCTAATTTCCTCCCTGCTGAGGAAAGGTGGCCATACCTGCTTCACAGGGATGTGACGACCAAATGCACAGTCCCTGGCTCCAGTGGATGGTCAGTACATACTTTGAGTGAACTGGGAGCTCGAGGAGCTGGCTAGGAGCGAGCAGGCAGCTCCCCAAGTTCAGCTGCCAGGGACAGCTTTAGGAGGAGGGCCGGCTGCTGCTCCCTCTCCCCATACATAGCATTCGTCCCTATCCTCATCCCTGAACTTGTGGAGTGCTTGAACTGTACTCTGTGCTTCGTGTTCTGTCTGTTATTTAAAGCTCATGATACCCCTGGAAGCAAGTTACCCAGGCATCAATAGGCCCATTTTATAAATGTGGAAACTGAGGCACTGAGCAGGGAAATGACGTATCCAAGGTCCCACATCCCACACCCGAGGTCCCTACATGTCTCTGCCTCCTGTAGTGGGGCTCCATCTTCCCCACCCACTCTGGAGCTTCAGGAAGATACCTGTGTGTGCAAGCTTGGAGCCCGCTGGCTGGGGAATATCTGTAACCACAGTCAACCACGCCTTCCCCTCTCTTAGACCTTGTCTCAGCCCTCATCACTCTCGGGGGACACTGACCTGCTGACTGGAGTGGTCACCACTTCATAAGGACCCTGGCTGTTCCAGGAGGCACGAGGAGCGGTCAGGCATCATGGGGGTCACCCAAGGAGAACAGTGGCCTTTCACTGAGAGCAGGCACTGTGCTGGCTCGTGGGGGCGCTGGAGTGTGACTGTAAGAGAAAGAGACAAAGAAGACTAGTTATTTCCTGAGATGCCCAGCCCCAGATTTGATGTGGACTCGCCTGGGTAGCTCCTCCCTGGCATGGGGGTGGGAGCTGCCACACTCTGTTACTTGATGTTGATTTCTTCTCTCTTTTTAAAATATAACAACTTTCAAGTCTGTAATCCCAGCACTTTGGGAGGCTGAGGTGGGAGGATTGCTTGAGCTCAGGAGTTCGAGACCAGCATGGTGAAATCCTGTCTCTACAAAAAGTACAAAAAGTTTAGCCGGGCGTGGTGGTGCATGCCTGTAATCCCAGCTACTCAGGAGGCTGAGGCAAGAGAGTCACTTGAACCCAGGAGGCGGAGGTTGCGCCGCTGCACTCCAGCCTGGGCGACAGAGCAAGACTGTGTCTCAAAAAAAAAAAAAAAAAAAAAAAATATATATATATATATATATATATATATATACACAAACACATACACACATGCACACACACATATATATTTATAAACTTAAAAAAATGTGACCACATACACATAATATAAAATCTACCATCTTGACCATTTTAAAGTGTACAGTGGCATTTATGTGTACTGTTCAGTGGCATTAAGTACATCCACACTGTGGTGCAGCCATTGCTGCCATCCATCTCCAGAACTCTTCATCTTGCAAAACAAACTGTGCGCTCATTAGACCATAACTCCCCATTCCCCTTCCCCCAGCCCGGGGCGGCCACCATTCTACTTTATGTCTCTATGAATCTGACTGCTCTACATACTTCATATAAGTGGAATTGTACAGTATTTGTCTTTTTGTGACTGGCTTATTTCATTACGCATAATGTCCTCCAGCTTCATCCATATTGTAGCATGTCAGAATTTCATTTTTTTTAAGGTCCGAATAATATTCCATTGTATATATATATATATATATATATATACCACATTTTGTTTATCCATTTTTTCATCAATGGACACTCAGGTTGTTTTCACCTTTTGGCTGTGTAAATAGTGCTGCTATGAATGTGGGTGTACAAATCTCTCCTTGAGACTCTGCTTTCAATGCTTTGGGGTATATAAGCAGAAGTGGCATTGCTGGATCATATGGTAATCATGTTTTTAACTTTTTGAGGATTAAATTGAACATTTTGCGTAATTAATAGTTGTACACTTTTCAAAACTCAAAAAGCACAAAAAGAAAACAGTCAAAGCAGTGTTTTTACTACCCCTCTCCCCAGCCATCTAGTTCATCTCCAGAGAGGAAGCTACTGTTGTCAGGTCTTTATACATCCTTCTAATCTGGAGATATTTTATTCTTATACAGGAAAATATGTATGTTTATGTATTTGTTTTTCTAACAAATGCAAGCCTGTTATATAAACTGTTCCACATCTTTTAAAATTTAACATATCTTGGAGATTATTTCATGTCAGTACATAGAAGGTTGCCTCTTTCTTTTTAATGGCTCTATTGTATTTTGTTGTACGGATATCCCATAGTAAATTCAACCGTTCTTCTATCAGTTAGACAGAATTTCCAATCTTTTGTTTTTCATGTATTGATGGAGTAAATGTCCTTGTAGCGATGTCATTTTGCACATGTCTGAGTATGTCCGTAATTAAATTCCTTCAGGTGAAACTGCTGTGTCTAAGGATAAATTCATTTTAATTCTGATTGATAGTATTATTCTTGGAGGTTGTACCTATGTAAGCTTCCATTGGCAAAGGTTGTGAGGGATGGTTGTCCTACAGTTGAAACCAGCCCAGTTGTCCCATAGAACTGATATTTATGGGTTTTTTGAATAAACATAGAAATTGACCCTCCCAGTCTTAAAACTTGAAACTTACATTTGTCTCATCTGAGTTTTTTCCTTAGAAAACTGACTCTCAGGCAAGGGACTGAAATGCACCAGATCCCGGCATCCAGACAACGAGACACCAGACCCCTCGTTCATCTTTCTTACTGTTCCTTACCTTCCTAGTCCAACTTTTCCACATTCTTTCCCTAGTCTATAAACCCCCAATTTTAGTCAGTTGAGGCGATGGATTTGAGACTTCTCTCTCATTCTCCCAGTTGACATCATGAGAATAAAAAGCCTTTTTCCCTGGAAATACTCATTGTTTCAGTTACTGGCTTTCTGTACAGTGAGCAACAGGACCCAGACCAAACCCCTGGTGTTTCAGTCACACAATCTTGAAAATCAAGTTATCCTTTATTTTTGCCAATTTGAAAGAAAATTTGAAAGAAGATGTTACAACATCTTATAGCAAACATTTTCAAACACACAGAGAAGTTGAAAGAATTATACAGTAAACAAATATATACTCACCACCTAGATTCTATAGTTGTTAACGTTTTGCTGCATTTTAAAAATTTCATAGTTACCCACCTATCCATCCTTTTTATTTTTGGAATGCATTTCAAAGTAAGACGCAAACATTAGTACACTTCACTTCAAAGCACTTCAGCGTGTGTATCATTAACTAGAATTCAATATTTGTTTACAGATTTCTTAAAAGGTAAAATTTACATGTAGTGAAATGTACAAATATTAAATGCATCATTTTGAGATTTTACAAATGTATATACCCTTGTAGCACTCAGAGTAATTTTCATTTATCTTCGTGAATGAAGTTAAGCATCTTTGCATGTGTTTAAGATCCATTTGTCCTTCCTTTTTTGTGAACTCTCTGTTAATATCCTTTATCTATTTTTCTATTGGTTTTTTGGTATCTCTCCTTTTTGGCCTTGAAAGCAGAGAGTTGAAGTAAATATACTCATTTTATTTATTTTTATTTTAGTTTATTACTGTTTTTTTCTTTATCCCTGATTCTTACTCTTATTTTCTCTTCCACTACCTAATTTTAGTCACTAGTATTAGCTTTCTAATTGTTTACGTTTGTTCTTTTAAATGTGTGTCAGTTTCTGTAATTTGAATTGTCAACTTTAGATGTATATTTATTCCCAGCTGTAAGATATTAGGAAATTAGGGAGCTTATTTTAACTTTCACCTCCTTTTCCCATTCTCTTTCCATTGTCAGTTAGTTCTGTTATTTCTACACGGTTAGGGGATGTAACATTTATATGTTGTTTTTGCCCTTATGTCTACCTTAGTTTTCATTCTCAGTTTTACAGTGACATCTATTTAAGGCTTCCCACCAGTCCTTTGGCTGAAGTTTTTCTATCATCTCTTGTTTGGCTGTAGATTGTTGTCTACCATGTCCTTCAGGAAGAGGTCATGTGAATAATATTCCCCAAGGTCTTGTCTCCCTTGAAGGGAATGTATATTTTTCTCTGCCTGCCTTAAAGATTTTCTCCTTCTCTTTGGTTTTCAGCAGTTTTCCTGTGAATGTGCCTATGTGTGGTTTTCTCTGGATTTTCTTGCTTAGTGTTTGTACTACTTCTTGAATGTTACTTGATGTCAGCTTCTGAAAATTCTGGGCTCTTTCCCTTTTAAATATTCATCTGTCCCATTTTCTCTCTCTTCCCTTTCTGGTGCTCCAGATACACTTAGACCTTTTCACTGTGTCACAATTTTATTTGTTATGCTTTTTTCCTGTTTTTTTTTTCTTTTTATGCTGTAGTCTGAATATTTTTATGAACTAACTTCAAGTTCATTAATCTTGTCTTTAACTATGTCCCATCAGCTATTAAATCTACCTATTCACATTTCCCTTCAGCCATACTTTTCAGTTTTAGAATTTCCATTTGATGCTTTAAAACAATTTCCAGCCCTCCAGTGCCATTTTCCACCTTGTCACTGATATCATAATTTTTTTGAAGTCCTTATTTGATAACTCCAATATCTAGGTCATCTGTGAGTTTGCTTCTATTGTTTATTTTTTCTTTTGGTTCAGTTTCTTGATATACCTGATAAACATTTCAGTGAGTTACTGAGCACTGATGTAAAACATTGCAGTAGCTCAGGGTGATGTTATTTTTCTGCAGAGAGGATTCACCATTTTCTCTGGTAAGCAACTATTGTGAAGCAGATCACCTCCATTCAATAAGGGGCTAAGCCCACTTCAGGTGGGGTTCACTTATTGTAAACAAGGCTGTGTCTATCTTTGGTTTGACAATATTCCTAGGGTGTTGCACTGTAGGGTTCCAAGTTGAGATCCTGGGATGTTTACTTGAGCTGTTCCTTTCTTGGCATATCTTAGATTCTAGCTTTTCTCCTTAGTGGCTTGAGATAGCTGAAAACTTCCTGGGGGAAATTATTCAGGATTATCCAGCAACTGGTTTTTGATTCTGCGCTGTGGAATGCAAGTTGTGAAACTTAAGAACATTGGCCATTCATTAATAGCCACTCACAACTATGAGGCCAGGCTTGAGGATGAGGAAATAGGTGTTTGGTCAAAGTTCTGCTGTTCTTTTGCCCTGGGATTTTGAAAGACGTTCACTGCAGTATTGTAACAGTGAAAAACTGGGAACAAAATTAACTTCTGTCAATAAGGAATGGTTAAAACAGCCATGGTATATCTGTGTCATGGAATACTCTTACTTCACTGGAAACACACGTGTGCACACACACATATGCACATACACACAATAGAGGGCTAGAAATTTTGTTAAGTGAAAAAGTAAGTTGATGAGCAATATCACAAATATGATATCATTTATGTAAAATAAAAAGAAACTATAAATTTTTTATGTACAATCTGCACATGCTGGGGGTGGAAGGTCAGTGCTCTCTACTCACTGCTAGATCAAGACCTGATCCTGCTTTAATTGCTTTTTTTTGTTTGAGAAATTTAAGACCTAGAAAAGTACAAACAATACTATAACAAGTACTTACATTTCCATGATGCAGAATTTGCAATTATTATGTTATCGTTTTTGCATTGTCTTTTTTTAAAAAATAAATCCTTACATTGTAACTCCTAACCTATAGAACCATTCCTCACACCCTCTCCAGCAGTATCACCATCATTAGTGTGGTATGCACTCTCCACTTTGGACATCCACAAAACCTCTAGGATTCCTTGGACCATGCTTTGAAAACATGGATCTAACCCATCTCCCTCTATTTCATAGATGAAGAGACTGAAGTGTAGGGGGAGGAGGACTTTTGCTCAGAGTCTCAGAGCAATAACACAGCAGAATTTGGAGAAGCCCATGTTTCCGACCCCATGCCTGTGCCCTGGGCCCTGCAGTGTGCATTCCACGTAGTCATTTAGCGGCTGCTAGAGAAAGTTGAATGTGCGAGGGATTCCTGCTCCCATGTTTCACAGCAGGACTCAGCCTAGCCTCTCAAACCTTGATTCTGAAATCTCAGGCTCTGCCTTAAGATAATATCAGATAACTTCATACAGATTGCAGAGGTCAGATCTCACAGGGATCACCTTGTGACCCTCCACTGTCTTGTCTGGAACTGGGATTGGGTCCTATAACCTGGTGACATATCCCAGGGGAGGATTATCACTGTCTCCTGGATCCTTCTGGGTGGGGTGAATGCCAAGAATGTGGACTCAAAAACCAGATTTGCTTTTCTGCCTTGCAGTTGGAATGTGCTCATTAACCTTAATTACCAGGCAGGCATAAGTCCTATCCAACTCTGCTTTGAAGCAAGGACACATATCCAGGAGAGAAGGCAACACTGAACTCAGCTGTGGTTCCCTGGGAGCTGAGCTGCTGGCCTTCCCGGTGGCCAGCTCAGTGGGCCCCAGCATAACTGCATCATCCTTCAACACTGAGCCTGTACGAGCCAAGTGCTCCATCTGCCATGTTCTTGCAGCAGCTGGAGGTGGATTTGCTTCAGAGTCAGGGACTCTGACCTAGGCGAATGAGTGACCCTCAAAGAAAGTGGCCGCTGGGCTGACCCAGTGTACTTGTCAAAGCGTGAAGGTGTAAGGTTGGGTTGTAGCAGATCCAAGTGGAAAAGAGTCCTGCCAAATGCTGTGAGAAAGCCATAGGACACGATGAAGAATCCAAACATAGACCTGGAAACAAGCATCCGAATCAGGATTTTAGGAAAAAACTAGCAGCAAGGCAATCACAATTCAAAGGGTGCACAAATACAGGATTTATGTACAAATTTGTGTACCACACCAGGGCTGGGAGTGAGGTGCTCAGGGAAGGCGCATATATTTGAATAATCTCACCCCGTTCTCTGTTTTACAGCTATGCCTTGGGCAAGCCTAATTTAGACTCACATGTATCTTTGGTAATTTATTAAAATGCCAATCAGGGCAATTTTTCATTTCAAAAATATGACACCTTATTTGTACTTTTAAAGCATACATGTAACTATTAATCTAAATCAAACAAACTCAATTTTAAAAAGTTATAGAAGATTAGAAACCTACTCAATGCAGATAAGAAAATAATGTCCTCAGCATTTTGGCTACATTTGAGGAATTTTGCCCCTGATCATCTGGTAATAGAAACACAGGCCTGGCCAGGCAGACCTTTTCTTCCACTGGCCTCTGAATCTCTCCAGATCCACCTGTTCGCCACCTCCTTAATGTTTTTTCTTTATTCTCTGGGGGCAAGGTGGGCATGAGACATAGCCAGGCTTGTTCTAGCCAGTCCACTGAAGTTTAGTATTAAGCATGGATACTAAATTAAATATTAATACTAGTAAGTATTGGTACTCATTAAATATTTTCCCCAAAATGTAAGACTCTTTCCACCTTCAATCTGCTTTATTTAAACCACAGTAAGCCAGAAGCTGTTTCTCTCTTTTGTGGCTTTCTCTTCCCTCTCGCAGCCAGAGAACTTGGCATGGGTAGGAAGAGAGGGACTTGCCTTTTCTGTCCCACATCTTGACTCTGCTTCTGCTGTGTCACCTTGTTCCCCTGGACCTGTATTTAATGAAATGATGAGACAGTAGACGCTGTATAGTGTGCGGAGCTTTGTTATCTGTTTGGAGGATCTATGAAAGGCACCAGCTTAAGGCCATCCCTTGCCTGAACACTTCAGAATCAGCAGCCTCGCTTTCTATGCTGATGTATTTCCTTATTTCTGTACATGTGTTTCTTAGTCCGCTCAGGCTGCCATAGCAAAATGCCACAGACTGGGTGGATTAAACAGTAGAAATTTATTTCCTCACAGATCTGGAGGCTGGAATTCCCAGGTCAGGGTCCAGTGGGGTTGGCTGCTCCCCAGGGCTCTCTTCCTGGCCTGCAGACGGCTGTCTTCTCACTGTGTGCCCACAAGACCTTTCCTAGGTAGGTGAGTCTTCTTGTAAAGCCACCAATTTGATTTGATTGGGACCCCACCTTATGACTCATGTAACCTTAATTACCTCCTAAAAGCCCTATCTTCAGATACAGTCACATCGGGGGTTAGAGGTTCATGAGTTTGGAGGAGGAGGGAACAAAATTCGGTCCATAGCAATGAGATCCTCGAGGACAGAGTCTGAGTCTGCTGAGGGGCACTGCCTCTGTGGAGCCAGGCCAGGCCCACACCTGTTAGGCCGGCTCACAGTAAATGCCAGAAGGTGAGAGCCAGTTCCTGGCTGGTGCCCACCAGCTCCTGAAAATAGGAAGATGAAGGGACTGAGAGAGCACGCCACTTCTCACTGTGGGGATAAACAGTACGCTGCAGCGACATTATAAATTCACTCAGGGTAAGAAGAATCCGAGTTGACCATGTGCAATCATCAGCTGGTTCTATAAATAGAAGTGCAGCCATTATGAAAGGTGACCTGTCAGAATCACTTCCCCAAACTGACAAATGGGTTAAATGGATGGCATTTGCTCAGGACAGAGAAGATGTTCAGTGTCCTAACCCCTCACCAATCACATCGTTCTGTGGGACTGCACTTGGTGGCCTCACTCCTCTACCAGAACAATTAACAGGCCTGTCAGGGGGAGGTGATGAGTATATGTTAACAGATAATTAAAACGATGACAATCAGCAGGGCGGGGGAGAGGATGGGATTAATGGAATACTGTGTTTAAGACTTGTTATCTTCCGATATGTAAACACCCCCATCCTCTAAGAAAACTCCCAGAGCAAGGAGGCAGTATGAGCTAACACCATTTTAGATAAAAGTAAGAAAAGAGGGGTATTTCTGCTGAGAGAATGCATTGTTATTACTTCATAATTCTAAGAACCACCATACCAATTCTGCTGAATTATGTTACGATAATGCTGATGCTGTTGGTCTCACTCAGATCTCCTGGATTCCCTTTACCATTTGGTATGCACAGCACCCAGGCTCTGAATGTTTTTTATTCTTTTTCTTATAGCAGGTCACACTTACAACTCCGTAGAAGACTATCCTTAGACTACTAGAGCTGCTTCACCCATGTGTATAGAGAGCTGGAAGTGCCTGGGAGTTAGGAGTTATGTTACCCTGGGGTGGCCCATAGCTAATGGCTAACTTGTGCAGGAGTATGAAAGTCTAGCTCACTAGTCCTGAGGGAGGAAAAACTCTGTTGTGTAATTTACACTACAGAGCACCACAGGATCAGGCTGAGACTTGCCCTTCATCTGAAATTGCACCCTTGCTGGGCTTCTTTCCCTTCTAGCCCTGCTTCCTCCAGTCCCGTGTCAGTTTCTCCTAGGAGCCCTTCCCAAATAAATCCTTGCACATGAATCACTGCCTCAGAGTCTGCTTTGGGGTAACCTGATCCAAGGTAGATGAATATCAGTTTTCTGTATTTATTCCATACTTTTAAATTCAAGATATCAAACTTCCACTGAAAGCCACAACAGGAAACATAGTATGTTTTGGATATTCAATGTTAAATCAGACCTAGTCCTTACCCTCAAGGATTCTCTGCATATCTGGGTTGCAAAAGATGCTAAAATTAGGATATTCACTGTTGGGAAAGTATGCTCTGGAGAGAAAGCCAAAGGTGGGACTGGACAATCTTTTGCTAATGCTGTAAAACTTAGATGTGTCACTCGCAGATCCCCTCAGCCATCTCAGCAGAAGTTAGAAATAGAGATACAGTTATCCAGAAAAAAATATTGGAAAACTCTCTGGTCTGAAGGACTAAATCACCACGACATATATGGGAGATCCGCAAAAATTTTTCAAATGTTATATCAGCAGAAACACTGCCAGCTTGGATTAAAAGGGACAGAGACAAAATGAAATAAAAAAAAGCTGTTGGACTCCCAAAATTCTACAGGCAGAAAACATACTGATAAAACTAACCAGCTAAAAATATGTGCTACCCTTCAGGAAAAAAGGGAGGATGACTCTGAGGGAAGAGCTGTGGCCAAGAGGGCAGAGCTGTGGGCAGAAAGGGTGGAGACTTCAAAAATAGAGGATTATTCAGGCTTTGGAAACCAATGGAGTTTTTCTGGTTGGATTTTGAGATTTCTTGGGACTATGATTCTTTTCTTCCTTCTGTTTTTTTCTCTTTTGAAATGAGAATGCATGTAACTGTTATCCTATGCTTGTCCCATGATTTTCAGAGCAGATAACTTGTCTTCCAGGTCCACAGATGGAGAGGAATTTTGTCCCAGGGTGGATCATAGCCAGAGTCTCACACATATCTAATTTAGATGATCTAGATTATGAGATTTTGGACTTTAATGCTATAATGGGTTGAGGCTTTGGAGTAATGTTGGAATGAGGTGAATATATGTAGCATAGGCATGAATCTTTGGGGGCCAAAGAGTGGCCAATGGTAGGTTGAATAATGGCCTCCCAGAAGTTCACCATATAATCCTTGGAACTTGTGAATGTTACCTTATATGGCAAAAAGGACCGTGCAGATGTGATTAAGTTAAGGGTGTTGGGATTGGGGGAATTATCCTGAGTTGTCTGGGTGGGCCCTAGATGTAATCAGAAGTGTCCTTATAAGAGAGAGGCAGTGGGAAATTTGACTATAGGAGAGGAGAAGGCAATGTGACCCACAGAAGCAGAGACTGTAATGATGTGGCCAGGGGCCAAGGAATGCTGGCAGTGACTAAGAGTAGAAGGAGCAAGGATAAGAAAAATCTAAAGACGTAAAGAGAAAGAAACAACAGGTTATCCACATAGGGGAAGAAAATTATGTTAACAGGCTAGCATAGGAGTCTCCTCTATAACAATGAACACCTGAGGACGAGGAGCAACATCTTTAGGATTTTGAAGGGGGAGATTATAAATAATACATTCTATATTCAGTGGTACTATTCAGCTGTGACAGCAACAGAAAGACATTTTCAGACATTAAAGAATTGTATATACCTGTCTGAGATACGCAAAAACCTTTCTAGCAATAAAAAATTGCTTGAAGAGTTACCTCTACCACTAAGAGACGAATCAAAGTGAATAAATGAAGGGAGGAAAGGCATATAGAGAATAATGAGAATAATAAAACTGGTAAGGCAATAACCTACTGTGTTTATATAGGTATAAAACAATATAAACATTAAAAACAATTTTTGAAAAAAATTACCTATAGTAAGAGCTTTATAATAATAATTTGTACCTATGAGCCCATAGTATTTCAATAAAAATTAGTGGGAAAAGGTAGAAGGAAATGAAAGTACAATACATTTTTCACATTATTGGATAATGTCAATAAATATTATTTTATTTTAATATTGATAGAAAAGTGTAAATTCAGATATGTGTTTGAACATTTAAAGATAACATTTAAAGATAACATTTAAAGATATTCAAAATTTGAATAATACAATTAATTAGCTGAATAAATGTTTTTATTACTGGGAGGGAATAGACATTGTTTTCAAATGTTTGTGGAATATTTACAAAAATTGATTTCCAAAGGAGACATCCACAAATTTTAAAAAGTAAAAATTCTGCAGACTGCATTTTTGACCACAAAGTAGTAAACAAAACAACAAACCAACAAGCTTCTTGATTTAAATAACATTAAAAAAAATTATTGAGTCAATGAGAAAATTAAGCTGTAATTACAGAAGATTTAGAAAATTACTATAATAAGAATACTTCCTATTAAAACTTATGGGGTGAGGTGAGTGACAGCTGTTTACTACACTTAGGGGCAAAATCATAACTCTCATCACTGAACAAAGGGAATTAAATGTAGTGAAACAAGGAATCAACTTAGGAAGTTGTATAAACAGCATGAAGAAAATCCAGAAGATGAGATTAGTATAGTTAAAAGTGGAAATTAATAATTCACAAAACACAAAATCAACACAGTTAAAAATAAACCCTAGAGCAAGTTCTTTAAAATAGTTTGAACCTGGGCAAACTTCTGGCAAGTTTAACCTGGTTAAAAAGAGAAAAGGCAAATGCACACCATTAGGAATGAGAAACAGGATATAACCACAGATGCTATACAAAGGAGATCAAAAATATAATGAGGCAGTACTATGAAAACTCTGCCATTACATTGGAAAACTTCAAAGATATGGATGTTTTCCAGAAAAATGTAAATAGTTAAAATTGGCTCAAAATGAAATAGAAAACCCAAATTAAACAATCTCCATGGGGTGTCTGTCAAGAGTGTTTACTTGGCCCAAGTTGGGCTCCAGTCCAGCAGCCAGACCAAGGCCAAGTCCATGAAGCCACCCAATGTTGTCCAGCACATAATGACCTACGCTTGAAACTCCTCCATATTGGGGGTACCATTTCTTCTTCTGAGAGCTGGGGGAATCGTGTTGGCCACCATTGGAGTTCCTCCTTGCCCCTTTGGGGTACAAACACATTTCCTGTTAGTACTTCCATTGAACAGCTCAAACTCCAATATTGACTATTTTGAATGTGTTTATGATGAAAGAAGTCCCCAAGGTGCTTATTTATGACCAAAGAGCCGGTTTATTCATGCCTTCCAGAGGGTATGTCTCCTCTCCTTGAGGACAAAGGATGTCACATCACCAAGAGAAGGTGATTAGGAAGTCTATTCCAGTCCCTGCCACAGTGGCTCTGCATGGGTGGTCCTTCAAGGTGTGGGAAGGGGGCTTCCTGGTCTTCCTCAGCTCTTTGTCAAGAGTTCCAATGTCACAGCTTTTTAGATTTGTTGTCTCATATAGGGCACATTCCTGGGGCATTATCTGGCCTCCAGGATGGCTGGATTGGAAACTGTCCTAGGATCCACAGCATTAGGGATTCAGAACCATTCCTCTCTTAAGAGCCCAACTCAGCAGTGGCCCGCCCCAAGCCTAATGCTTTTTATCTCCAAGATGATTTCATTCCAGGGGCTTCGTTGCTCTTTCCTCCCTCTGGACGTTGCTTAGGGGAGACTGGGCTACTGAAGCCGATTTCTGCAACTTCAATCTTGGGAAGAAGTGGGTGGAGTCTCAATCACTTCCCACTTTCAAGGGTCCTGGGGGCCTCATACAAATGTGCGGCCTCTCCCCAGCATCTTCCAAGGTCTGCTCATTAGTAGTTTTTCTCCCAGAAAGATATGTTAGCTATGTTAGATTTCCACCTTGTTGAACATTCTATGTTAACTGTGTTGACACGGAATATTCAACAATTCACAAAATGGCATTTAAAGATGTTTGTCTTTATCTCATCTTTCAATTGGAAAACTCTGAAGATCATGTCCCCGTTCTCCAGGGCTGGGGCGGCACCAAGCTGCATCAACCATATGTTTTCTGGCTCTACTCCTGCTGGACATATGGCAAAAGGGAACACTTCCTATTGATAGTATTTCCCCTAAATTAATGCAAATCCCCTCTGCGCAGCTACATAAATTGATTTTCTGTGTTTGAAGGGTAAACTGACATACGCTCAAAGTTTTGCAAACTAGGGAAGAGAGGTTTCTTTTCCAAAGAACACATTTCATTTGTTTACAGCCATGAATTGAGATGTTCGCATTTCCTTCCTACAAATTTGACAACTGTTACATAGCAGCAGGGGGACCAACAAACTGTCATTTACTTTGCTGCAATAGCAAAAGTAATTTGAGCCTTGTTTATGGATCATCATTTAATATAGAAACAGAAGTGATGACGCTGGAGATCATCCAGTCCCTTCCATTATTTTATTTATTTATTTATTTATTTTTGAGACGAAGTCTTGCTCTGTTGCTCTCCCAGGCTGGAGTGCAGTGGTGCGATCTTGGCTCATGGCAAACTCTGCCTCCTGGGTTCAAGGGATTCTCCTGCCTCAGCCTCCTGAGTAGCTGGGACTACAGGGGCACGCCACCATGCCCAGCTAATTTTTGTATTTTTAGTAGAGATGGGGTTTCATCATATTGGTCAGGCTGGTCTCGAACTCCTGACCTCAAATGATCCACCTGCCTTGGCCTCTGAAATTTCTAGAATTACGGGTGTGAGCCACCGTGCCTGGCCCCTTCCATTATTTTAGAGTTTGATGGACTAAGGCTCAGATAGGGCAAATGATTTGATCAAAGATTCTTCTTATATGGACCAGAACTCTTGAGTTCTAGTCACTGGTGTGTGCAGCGACTTGACACTATCCATGATAGTGGCAACTAAATCTCTGCTTTCCTTGAATTGGTTCCAACAGCAGAAGGTAGGCTCTAGTGCCAGGACACAAGGGAAAAAACATTCATCTTGGGGTTTTTCTATGCCAATTGCAAGCTGAACCTCACTTCTGCTGTGGGTTGAATAGCAACATATCAAGCCTTGGGGAGTTAAAAAAAATGTCTAGGAAACTGACAAAACTCCCACATGAGTTTGCTTCTTTGTCTACAAATAGATATCTTAATATAGAACCAATTTTACATCCTGAAATAGATCCTACTTTGTATACTATTTTCTAATACACTGTCAGATTCAAATGTTAATATTTTATTTAGGATTCTTACAACAATTACTAAGTAAAATGGAATCTATTTTTTTGTACTATTTTGTTAATTTTGTGTCAAGGTTGTGCTAATTTCTTAGCACAAATTGGGAAGATTTATATATGTGTCTGTGCTCTCCAATAGCTTGCTTATTTATTTATTTATTTATTTATTTATTTATTTATTTATTTAGAGACAGTGTCTGGCTTTGTCACCTGGACTGGAGTGCAGTGGCAAAATCTCAGCTCACTGCAAGTTCCACCTAATGTGTTCAAGCCATCCTCCCACCTCAGCCTCCCAAGTAGCTGGGACTACAGGCGCACACCACCATACCGGGCTAATTCTTGTATTTTTTATAGAGTCAAGGTTTCACCATGTTGCCCAGGCTGGTCTCGAACTCCTGAGCTCGAGCAATCTGCCTACCTCAGCCTCCCAAAGTGTTGGGATTACAGGTGTAGGCCACCATGGCCAGCCCACTAATAGTTTAAGTAAGGGGAATTATCTGTTCCTTAGAAGTTTTTTGAATTGTAAAACACCCTGTGTGACTTGGATCTTTTCTGGAAATAAATGATGGTAAATATTTTTCAATTTCTTCTATGGATGCCGATGTATTTAGATTTTCTACCTTTTCTTATAGGAATCTGGGAAATGTATAACTTCTTGGGAAATTGTCCATATTATGTATTCAACTTCAGTGATAGAAAATTGTATGTAGTATTCTCATTACTGTTTGGTATCCTTCTTGGCTGTAATTATCTGCTTATTAGTATATGTATTTTTAGAGATAGGGTCTTGTTCTGTCCTCCAGGCTGGAGTGCAGTGGCACAATCATAGCTCACTGCAGCCTGGAACTCCTGGGCTCAAGTGACCCTATCACTTCAGCCTCCCAAGTAGCTAGGACTACAGGTGTGTATCACCACACCTGGCAATGTTTTTAAACAGTGTTTTGTAGAAGTGGAGTCTCGCTATGTTGCCTAGGCTGGTCTCAAACTTCTGACCTCAAGCAGTCTTCCCACCTGGCCTCCTAAAGTGCTGGGATTACAGGTGTGAGCCACCGCTCCTGGCCTATTTGCTTATTTCTTATTGCATATATTATTTATTTGTGTTTTCTCTTGGTTAGGCTTTCCAGAACTTTCTGCATTTTGTTGATGTTTTAAAAGTATTGATATTACAGATCAATTGTATGCTTTCCTTGCTTTCCAATGAATTGTTTTCTTATTATTTATTTTACCTTTCTTCTCAATATTATATATATATATTTTCCGTTGATATTTTATTTGAAATAGTTAAACATGTACAAAATCTGAGAGAGTGTCTGTATATCTACTATCCAACTTTAACCAATATTAGTATTTCACCCTGCTTGTTTCCTTTTTAAAAAGGAAAGATATTACAGATGTAAGCGAAGCCCAGTATGTATTTGAACTAGATCCCACTCTCCACTTTCCTTCACCAGAGGTGAGTACCCTCCTGAAGTTGTGGATCATTCCTATGCATATTTTTATATTTTTATTATATAAGAAGAATATATTCATACACCATACTGAGTGTTATTTTCTGTGATTTTTTTTTTTTTTGAGACAGGGTCTTGTGCTGTCGCCCAGGCTGGGGTGCAGTGGTGTCATCATAGCTCACTTCAGCCTCTGCCTCCCAGGCTCAAGGGACCCACCCCACTCAGTGTCCGTAGTAGCTGGGACTACAGGTGCGCACTACCACTCCCAGCTAATTTTTTTTTTTTTTTGTATTTTTTTTGGTAGAGTGAGGGTCTCACTACGTTGCCCAGGCTGGTCTCAAACTCCTGGGCTCAAGCAATCCTCCTACCTCGGCCTCCCAAAGTACTTGGGATTACAGGCATAAGCCACTGTGCCCAGCCTATTTTCTGTGGTTTTTAAAACTTTAAATATTATTGAGTATGTATCATCTTGCTACTTGCTTTTTCATTCAACTCGATGACTTTGAGACTTTTCCTCATGCCAATACATGTAACTTTGTTTCTTTCTTTTCCACTACTGCATAGTATTCTGTGGTTGGAACAAGGTTTGTTCACTGCTCATTTCTTCTCCAACTAATGGGCTTTTATGTTATTTCAAAATTTTAAATTATAAAAACAATTCTTCAGTGAACATTCCTATACAGGTACACTTAGGTGAAGATTTTTCTAGGCTATGTTAATTGGTATGATTCCTGAGTTGTAGAATAGGCATATCTCTAACTTTATTAGACATTGCCAATTTTTCCTCCCAAGTGGTTATTCCTAATCTCACAGTCACCAGCAGTACCTGGGAGCTCCTGCCACTTCATACCCTTGGCATGAGCTGGTATTATCAGATGTGAATTTCTGCCATCATGGGGTGTGTGAATGGTATGTCATTATGGATTTAATTTGCATTCCTCTGCTTTCTAATGATGTGGTGCATCTTTTTATAATTTTATTGGGCATTTAGTTTTCCTCTTTATAAATTACTATGTTAATTTTCTCTTTCTCGTTTGTCTTTTAGGCTTTATCTTTATTCTAAATATCATTTCTTCGCTGGTCTTGTGCTTTGCCATTCTGCAATCCCTCCCGCCCCGCAATCTGTGGCTTGTTTTTCAAATTTGTTCTTAGAATCCTATTTGTTCAGATGTTTCGAATTTTAATGTAGTAAGCCACATTAATCTTTTCTTTTATAATTTTTGCTTTTTGTGACTTCTTAAATCCTTTCCTGTCCTGATGTCAAATATACTCTCATCTATCTATCTATCTATCTATCTATCTATCTATCTATCTATCTATCATCTATCTATCTATCTATCTATCTATTTATCTATCTATCTATATTAGAATTCTACAACTTTGTTTTTCACATTTAGGTTTATAATCCATCTGAGATAGTTTTTTTCATGTGGGGGGTTTATATTTATGTCTCCCTATAGGGATAAACAATTGTCTCATCCCTATTTATTGACGAATCTGTCTTCTCCCAGGGATTTGTAATGCCACTTCTAGTTTCCATCTACATGAGTTCATTTCTGGGCTCTCTATCCTTTTGAATTTGTTTATTGTCTATCTCTGCCAATACCATACTGTGTTAAATTGCATTAAGTGGCTTTATAATACATCTTGTTATATGCTACTCCAACTTCTCCACCTTGTAGTTTTTATTCCAGAGTGCCTTGACTCCTTACACTTTTATATATTAGGATCACCTTGTTGAGTTCATGAAAAACTCTGTTAGGGTGTTGATTGCGATTACATTGCATTTATGATTTAATTAATAATGAATTATCATCTTTATGATATTGAGTCTTCCCATTTGTGATAAAGGTATTCAGACTTTCATTCATGTCCGTTAATCATGTGTTATAATTTTCCCCATGGGAAAACACATTTTCTGTTTGTTTATTTCTAGGTATTTTGTGGTTTATAGTATTGATTTTTTTTTACACCTTATAATTAGTTATTGTTGGTATGGAAGAACAATATAAGTTTTTATGTATGAATTTTAAATCCAGAAAATTTACTGAGCTCTATTATTAATTAATTTATTATTATTATTATTATTTTTTTTTTTTTTGAGACAGAGTCTCGCTCTGTCGCCCAGGCTGGAGTGCAGTGGCGCGATCTCTGCTCACTGCAAGCTCCGCCTCCCGGGTTCACGCCATTCTCCTGCCTCAGCCTCCCGAGTAGCTGGGACTACAGGCACCCGCCACCACGCTCGACTAATTTTTTTGTATTTTTAGTAGAGACGGGGTTTCACCATGTTAGCCAGGATGGTTTCGATTTGCTGACCTCGTGATCCGCCCGCCTCGGCCTCCCAAAGTGCTGGGATTACAGGCGTGAGCCACCACGCCCAGCCTCTATTATTAATTTATTTGTTAGAAGATTTAGATTTAGAAAATCATAATGCCCGCCAAGAACAGTTTTGTCCCTTTCTTTGCACATTGCCACTTTTTTCATTTCCTGTTGAATTGGCTCAGACCACAAGTGAAATAGTGAATAGTAGGGATGATAAAGGGCATCCTTGTCTTGTTCTTTATTGTAAAGAAATATTACTAATCTTTCATTATAAAAATGATTTGTTTGGACTCGACATGGTGGCACGTGCCTTAAATCTCAGTGCTTTTGGAGGCTGAGATGGGAGGATCACTAGAGCCGAGGTGTTCCAGGCTGCAGTGAGGTATGATAGCGCCCCTGCACTCCAGCCTGGGCGACAGAGAGAGACCCTGGCTCTAAAAATAAAAATGATTTTTTTTGGTAAGTCTGATTTAACCTATATTAATCCCTTTGTCCTACTTTTAGTAACTTTTTTGTTCTTTTTCTAGCTTCTAAAGGTGACAGTTTAGTAAATTTATTTTAAATCTTTTTTGCTTAATAGAAAAATAAATATTTTTTAGGGCTTTATATATTTCTTTGAGTATAACTTTGGCTGCATGCCATAGATTTTGGAAACCATTGCTCTAACTGCTATTCATTTCTATGTAGTCTCAAGTTTATATTTTGATTTAAATGTTGTTTGGAAATATGTTTCTCAAAAATTATTAAATAGCTAGAAAATTTTATTTGGGGTTTCTCTTAATTGTTAATTTCTAGTTTCATTGCACCGTGGTCAGAGAATATAGCTTGTATAGGTGTTGCTTTTTGCATTATATGTGTGTATACATAGTCAGTTTCTTGAAATGATTCCATGGACATTTATAAAAACGTAATATTCTGTTTTGGGGGCATATAGGATTTTAGATATATTCATTAAATCAAGATTATTCATTATGCTATTAGAATCCTCTATTTCTTCATGGCTATTTGATCCATCCAATTTTAAGGTTTATATTCTTTTTGTAAGGGAAAATTTGAATTTAAAATTTTATGGAAATTTAAAACATACACAAAGTAGAAATGGCGATATAATAAATCCACATGTACCAATCATCCAGATGATCAATTATGAATATTATACCACTCTTATTTCATCAACATACCCCCCCTTTTTGGAGTATTTTGAAGCAAATCCCAGGTAACATATCATTTTGCCAGTAAAATACTTCAATTTAAAGCTTTAACAATTAATGACTCTTTCTTAAATAGTCATAACTATAATACTTCTATCATAACCAACAAATGTAACCCTAACTCTCTAATATACAATATCCAATTCATGGTCAATTTTCCCCAATTATCTCAAAATTGTTTTCTTAAAATAGGTTTGTTTGAATTAAGATATGAATGAGTTTTACACATTATCTCTTTTAATTGTTATTAACAGTTCCTCCTCTCTTTTTAATGCAATTAATAGGAACGTTTTTGAAATGGGTATAGTTGTAATTCTGCCAAGTTTCTTGTTTTTCTTACAGTTTTGCCTTATCATTATTTTACTTTTATTGTTGTTCTATAATGCTTTTTATTTTTTACTGCATCTTTTTTAAAAAATTATTTCTTTGTTTCACTAAATCTGCCATAGTATTTCCTTGAGTGTGTTTTTCTTTTACAATGGATTCACATATGACAATGTTTCTTAGATATATTTGTTATAAATAAACAAATAAACACAAATACATACAGACACACATTTGTATCCTGTCCCCTAGAAGAAACCACTATTCTGATATCACCACAGATTAGTTTTACCTGTCCTGAAACTTCATATAAATGGAATCATACAGAATGTTTTCTTTTGTGTCTGGCTTCTTTCACTTAACATAAGGTCTATGAGATTTATTCATATTTTTATTTATTTACTTATTTTTTTGAGACAGAGTTTTGCTCTTGTTGCCCAGGCTGGAATCCAATGGCGCGCTCTCGGCCCACCTCAACCTCCGCCTCCTAGGTTCAAGCGATTCTCCAGATTATAGGCATGTGCCACCATGTCCGGCTAATTTTGTATTTTTTTAGTAGGGATGAGGTTTCTCCATGTTGGTTAGGCTGGTCTTGAACTCCCGACCTCAGGTGATCTGCCCGCTTCAGCCTCCCAAAGTGTTGGGATTATAGGCCTGAGCCACCGCGCCCGGCCGAGATTTATTCATATTTTTGCATGTATTAGTAGTTCTTTTTTATTGCTGTGAAGTATTCCATTGTATGAAATGCACGATATCACGATTTATTCACTCTACAACTAGTGGACATTTGGGTTGTTTCTAGTTTGGGACTATGATGAATAGTGCTGCTAAGAAATTCTTGTCTGTCTTTGTTTATCTTTTGGTGGATATATGTATCCATTTCTATTAGTTGTATATCTAGAAGGTTGCTGGACTGTATAGGTGTATGTTTAATTGTTGCAATTATGGGCAGAGTTTTCCATGGTGGATGGACAAATTGACACTCCTATCAACAGTCCCAGTCGCTCTGCATCCTCATCAGCACTTGGTAGGTTGGGCCTTGTAAATTCCAGCCATTCTGGGGGTAGATTGTGGTTTTTATTTGCATTTCTCTGATGTGAAATTAGAACCTTTTAATATGCTTTTTGGCCAAAAAAAAAAAAAATACCCAAAACAAAAAAGCAACCATATGTGAGGGTTGATGTGCTAATTTAAAAATATGTCCACAAATACTTTGAAGAGGTTGAGTCCATGCGTCCCCCCATTGAGCCTGGGTAGGCCTTTGTGACTGCCTCAGTGGATAAAATGAGGTAGAAATGATGCTGTGTGACTTGGCTGAGTTAGAAAAGGCCACATCATTTTTGCTGTTTTCTCTTGGGACACTCACTTTGGGAACCTTGAGCCGCCATGTCAAGAATCAGCTGCTCTGACGATCACTAAGTGGAGAGACTAAAGAGGAAAGAGGGATGCCTGAGGAACCCCAGCAGTTCCAGCCCCAGCTGTGTAAGTCTCCCCAGCTCAGGTGCCAGATATGCAAGTGAAGAAGACTTTCAGAAGACCCCAGCCCAGCTCCAACCACCGACCGACTGCAATCAGCTGAGAGATCCTGAGTGAGAACAGCCTAGCTGAGCCCACTTAACTCCCAGATTTGTGAACAATAAAATAATTGCTATTGTTATAAGCCAAGATTTGGGGTCTTTAGCTACACAGCAACAGGCAACCAGAACAGTCTAGTTATGGAATTATCTATCCATTCTATTCCATTGTCCTTCTTTTCAACAACACCACACTTTCTTAATGATTCTAACTCTATTTAAGTCTTGAAATCTACTAGAGTAAGTTCTTCAGATTTGTTTTCAAGATTGTCTTGGATATTCCTGGCCCTTTGCATTTCCGTATAAATTCAGTTTATCAATTTCCACAAAACATAAGCATGCTGGCATTTTGATTGGGATTGTGTTAAATCTGTATAGATCAACTTGGAGACAATTGACATCTTAGCAATATCAAGTGACCCAAACAATGAACAAGGTATATCTCTCCATTTATTTAGATTTTTCGTATTTTATTTGAGTAGTGTTTTTTGAGTAGTTTTAAATTGAGACAGGCTCTCACTGTGTCACCCAGGCTGGAGTGCAGTGGCTTGATCTTAGCTCACTGCAACCTCTGCCTCCTGGATTCAAGCGATTCTCCTGTCTCAGCCTCCCAAGCAGCCGAGATTACAGGCAGCCGCCACCATGTGGGGCAAATTTTTGTATTTTCAGTAAAGACCAGGTTTCGCCATGTTGGCCAGGCTGGTCTCAAACTCCTTACCTCAGGTGATCTGCCTGCCTTGGCCTCCCAGATTGCTGGGATTACCGGCGTGAACACCATGCCCGGCCTTCTGAACATTTCTGAATGCCTCACAATGCCTTTCTTTTATCCTTATACGTGAAGTGTTGTTTTGCTAACACAGATTTCTAGGTTCAAGATGTTCCTTTCTCAGAACTTTAAAACTATTGATTCATTGTTGTCTGGGATTTTAGCAAGTAGTGTTAGAGATGAAAAAAATTTTATTTTTCTTTCCATTGTTGGCAACAAATATATTATTTACTAGCCTGGAAGCTTATAGGATATAATCTTTATTTTTAATATCCAAAAATTTTACCAAGAGATTTTTAATGTGTGTGTTTTTTTGTGTCTTGTTTTCATTTGTTTTTTCTTCATCTGGTGGGCACCTTTTATTTAAAAATTCAAGTCTTTCTTCAGCTCAAAGAAATTTTTCCCCTTTTTTCCCCACCATTTCCTTGTGTCTGTCTTTCTGGTTTTATTATACAAATATACAGATAGCGAATCTTATGGATTTATCTTCCATATCTCTTATTTCTTTCTCTCATAGGTTGTTACTTTTCCCATCCCTCTGTCCTTGAGGAATTCCTCAAGTTGGTCTTTTAAATCAATAATTTCATTTTCAGCCATGTTTCATGCTGCTACTCACTGCTTCTATGAATCTTTCTGTTTCATCCATTATGCTTTCAATTTCAAGGATTTTTTCCTTTCTTGCTCTCTTTTTATGAAGTGGTATGCTATCACTCCATAAAATCAGTCTTACTGAGCATACCAATTAGAATTTAATCTTTCCCTCTGTTCCTTCATTGCCATTTTTAAATTAGAGGCCATTTGTTCTAATTGCTCAGTTTGTTGAGATGCTGGTTATCCTCATTTTTTTTTCTGCTCACGTTTATAAATGGAGGTATAGATTCATTTATATTGGTAGCTGATGTGGGCTCTTCCAGCAACTGCCTCATTGTTTATACCCTAGCTATCTTTTCCAAGAGCTTAAGGGTCCATGGGCAGGGTTTATCCTGAGCACAGTGACTAGAGGATGAAGCAATAGGTGGGTTTTATTTCAGGGTGCTTGGGCTTGGGCCAGAAACAAAAAGAGGAGGTTAACCTTTCTCTCCTCTCACTCCACCATCAGGGTAAAGTGGGTAGCTCAAAGCTACTATGGAGGAAGTCCCCAATTGTCCAGTTGTAGTCAGTAAAAAGAGAATGAGGTGGGTCCCTGAGCTGGTGGCTCCCTAATGGATTTAAAGCAGAGCTTTATGAAGACTTTCTTTTGTTCGCTAATGTCCATAAGTCAACCTGCCTAAATCTGCTGCTGAGGTCTCAGGAGGGTCTTTTTGCTCAGTTGAAAATATGTTATAGCAGGAAATAAGGAAGTAATTCCAATGAAGGTAAAAAAAAATTAGGACATGTTTCTTTTGTAACTCCCACTCAGTATCTGCTGTAACGGCCCCAAGTTGTCCCTCCCTGATCTCTCTCTGGCCCTCCTGCTAGTGTTAGAAAGCTCCCAGAACAAATGCTCTGCCTCATTTAGGAGTCAGTCCACTCATGAAGCCCTGTGGCAACGAGAAAGCCTTTCAAGTGAAAAGAACACTGTCAAATTGAATTCTCCACTTTCCCCAACTCCCCCACAGCTGAGTGATCCAGGGTCCCCTTGGCCTGACACTCTGACCCTGGCGGCCTTCTGCTGCTCTACTAGGGACAGCCATCCACTCCTCCCCTGACAAGGATCAACCTTTGACATGAGAGTCAAGCCTTCAGCCATTGATTGTCAATCTGGCCCCATCTGCTTTATATCTTCCTGAAATTCCTATACCCGTCTGCTGCATTGAGAATGCCCTGACTTGTTTTCCATGACTGCTACAGACTTTTGAATCTATTTTTTATTTCTTTGGTAATTTCAGTGGGATGTAAAGAGTGAAGAGAAGGAAAAGAGTAATAAATTCACCATTCTGAAATCCTGCCACATGAGCAGGATTTTTTCCCCATCTCTTTGCTCTTTGCCTATTAACTAGTCTTCTCTTCATATCTTATTCATAGGGATCATGGTTTATTGAGTTTTATTGAGTGCACATAGCAGATGCTGTTCAAAATTTATTTCTGTTTTGTAAAGTACATCATTTTCTATGTTTCCTCTGACTCTTGAATTCTAGCATTTTTTTCAAATGCTACAAAGAAAAGCAAATCAAGCAAACAACTGGTACACAAGTAGTGTGTTCACAGTACCTTTGACATTAAAAAAAATGTGCCTCTGTTTCCTATAACAGATTGAAAGTCCTTTATAGGCACCTACCTCATTGAGTAGTGAAGGTAACTTACTAACTAATATCACAGTCTTCCACACTTAAAAGTCTCTTTTCAGTTTAAATAGTCATCCAGTTTTCTCACTAGGGGTGATTTCAATGATAAACATGATTTATTTAGGTAAACATGCAGGCTGTCAGAATTCTGTCTATTCTTTCTCCTCCTCAAGTAGACATCCGGCTATATAAGGGCTTATTATGGGGTCATACGTTGGAGATATTGTGGGTTCGGTTCTAGACCACCACAATTAAGTGACTATCACAATAAAGTGATATTTTTGGTTTTCTAGTGCATATGAAAGGAATTTTTTGGTTTCCTAGTGCATATAAAAGTTATATGTACACTATATTGTACATTAAACATGTAATAGCATTACATCTGAAAAACTTACATACCTTAATTAAAAAATACGTTATTGCTAAAAAATGCTACTGATCATCTGAGGCTTCAGGAAGTTGTAATGTTTTTGCTGGTGGAGGGTCTTGCCTAGTCGTTGAAGGCTACTAACTAATCAGGGTGGCGGTTACTGAAGATTGGGGTAGCCATGGCAATGTCTTCAAATAAGATGATGGTGAAGTTTGCTACATCAATGGACTCTTCCTCTTATGAAAGATTTCTTGCAGCATGCAGTGCTGGTTGTTTGACAGCATTTCACCCACAGTAGAACTTCTTTAAAAATTGGGGTCAGTCCTCTCAAACTCTGCTGCTGCTTTATCAATGAAGTGTATGTAATATTCTAAATCCTTGGATGTCATTTCAACAAGGTTCACATCTTCAAGGAACCACTTTCTTTGCTCATCCATAAGAAGCCACTCATCTGTGCAAGTTTGATCATGAGATTGCAATAATTCAGTCATATCTTCAGGCTCTACTTCTAATTCTAGTTCTCTTGCTATTTCTACCACATCTGCGGTTACTTCCCCCACTGAGTCTTGAACTCCTCAAAGTCATCCATGAGGCTGGAATTAATTTCTTCCAAACTCCTGTCAGCGTCAACACATTGACTTCCTTCCATGAATCATGAATGTTCTTAATGGCATCTAGAATGATAAATTCTTTGCAGAGGTTTTCAATTTACTTTGCCCAAATCCATCAGAGGAATCACAATCTATGGCAGCTAGAGCCTTACAAAATGTATTTCTTAAATAATAAGATGGGAAAGTTGACATTCTCTTTCACATGGTAAGCATAAGCTGGGCTTATCCAAGGGCCCCACAGTTTCCTTCATGTTATGCCAGAAAGGGAGCTACTGGCCCCATATTCTGAGGTCCTCACCTTTAGCAGGGTGCAGGTTGAGTATCCCTAATTTGAAGATTCAAACGCTGAAATGCTACAAAATCTGAAACTTTTTTTTTTGGAGACACAGTCTTGCTCTGTCACCCAGGCTGGAGTGCAGTGGTGCGATCTTGGCTCACTGCAACTTCTGCCTCCCAGGTTCAAGCAATTCTCTGCCTCAGCCTCCCGAGTAGCTGGGAATACAGGTGCCCACCACCATACCCAGCTAATTTTTGTATTTTTAGTTAGAGACGGGGTTTCACCATCTTGGGCAGGCTGGTCTTGAACTCCTGACCTCGTGATCCACCTGCCTCGGCCCCCGAAAGTGCTGGGATTACAGGCGTGAGCCACGGTGCCGGGTTCAAAATCTGAAACTTTTTTGAGTACTGACATGATACTCAAAGAAAAGGCTCATTGGAACATTTTGGATTTTCAGATTAGCGATGCTTAGCTAGTCAGTATAATGCAAACATTTCAAAATCTGAACACTCCTGGTCCCAAGCACTTCAGGTAAAGGACACTCAACCTACATTTTGAAAGCCTGTAAGGTGTATGACCCTGAGCTGGGTAAGGCTGGGAAACAAGATCCTGCCACCTGATATCCCCACTCACCTGGCTCCTGTTTCTTTCCCACAACCCTCCCGCCCGGCCCCGCACCCTGACTGGGGCTGGAAGGGACAGGTTTCAGGGTTTCTGGGTCTTTTACATCAGTGTTTTATGTTCATTCTGGAACTGTGGTTGCTGGTCATACCAAGGTAAATACAGAATTGGGGAATAAGTGTTAGGAAACCTTTAAAGCAATGTGACGCTGCAGTGTGTCTAAATGTGTGAGAATGGACTCCCTTGGAGCAGGGCATAGGCCAGTTATGTGTGAGTCATACGTGGTGCTTGCTGAGTGCTGACCAGGCAAACTATGGTCAGGTCCATGACAGACTGGAAATTTAGGAAGAAAGCCAACAACAGGTCATTCACTGCAAATTCACGCCCTGGCCACCACAAGGGTTCATGTGTGGGCATCCATTCTTACATTGAAACTCTGTGATTTTGATACTCTGATGCAAATTAAAGGATGTTAAAATATCCTTTGTTCCTACGGTATTTTGGCTTTGAAAAGCAATATCGTCTTGACTAAAAAATTCTGATATGGTCCTTGCTAGTCAAAAGCTGAAAAAGCCATTCTTTCTTTTTGCAGTCCTGGTATAGCGTGCTTTGGGCAGACTAGGGAGAAGGTTAGCTGCACAAAAATAGAAAAAATACATTACATGGAGTTCTTAAAAAATCCCTTTTTATGTTGGCCTCAAACAGAGAGAGATCTATCCAGGTTGGAAAATGCTAAGTATTAAAATTCTCCTTTCACCTCAGGCTGGAAGGCCCTGTGTTGAAGTAAGGTAAGAAGAGCAACTAGGGTGACAGGATAAGCATCTGTAAGGATGGGCAGCAGGACTCCTGGTCATGTTCAGAATTATTTGAACGACTTGGAACCAATGTTCTCTAATTAATAAGCTTGGTGAGTTATTTTCTAGATACTTTTATAGACATTCCCCAAATTAATTAATTTCTAGAATGACTTTCTATAATTCTTAAGTTGGTAGGATTGTGTCAGGTAGAAAATCAATTCTGTTTCCAGATCCGCAGCAGTGTAATCATACAGTGCATCTTGCTGTGCAGGCAAGTGTGATGATGGGTCTCTAAATGCCTCTTGGAAGGCGGGGGCGGTGTCTCCATTGATAAGAAGGAGTACTTTTAGTTCCTATTACTTAAATATTCACAATCTCCCACAAACATAAGCACATGCTCACACACTTCTGTGCTGGGATTACAGACGTGAGCCACAACGCCTGGCCAGTCATACCCTTTTTTATTCCTGATATTGGTAATATTCTTTCTCATTTGCTTCATCAGTTTATCAATCTTATTACTCTTTTAAAAGAAACAGTTCTTAACTTTGTTGTATACTTTCTATTTCATAGATTTCCATCCTTATCTTTATTATTTCCTTCTTTTGATTTTCTTTGGGTTTTGTTTGCCATTCTTTTTTTTAACCTTACTAAGTTGGAAGCTTACATCACTGATTTTAGACCTTTCTTCTTTTCTAACATATGCATTTGGAGCTATAAATGTTCCTTTAAGTAGTGTTTTGGCTGTAACCCACAAGTTCAAAGTATGGGTATTTAAAAGTATGGGTATTTAAAAGTGTGTTGCTTAATTTGGCTGGGTGCGGTGGCTCATGCCTATAATCTCAGCAGTCCAAGGACGCTGAGGCAGGTGGATCACCTGAAGTCAGGAGTTTGAGACCAGCCTGGCCAACATGTTGAAACCCCATCTCTACTAAAAATACAAAAATTAGCCGGGCAGGGTGGCACACACCTGTAGTCCCTGCTACTCAGGAGGCCGAGGAAGGAGAATCGCTTGAAGCCTGGAGTCAGAGGTTGCAGTGAGCTGAGATGGTGCCACTGCACTCCAGCCTGGGCCACAGAGCAAGATTCCATCTCAAAAAAAGAAAAAAAAAGTGTGTTGCTTAATTTCCAAGCATTTAGAGATTTTTTTTTTTTGGTGTGTGTGTCTTCTTGTTATTGCTATCTAGCTTAATTCTGCTCTGGAGCCTGACCGCTGCTTCTCTGTGCCTACTTCTCTCCAGGTTCACATGGGTAGTCTTTAAGATGGCTCAGTCCTGCATGGTCAAGCCCTCAATGCTCCCTCATTATCTCATGCACCTTGCCCCATCCAAATCTAAGCTAGGAGAAGAGAAATTGAATGACAGAGCCTTGCCACCTTCTCTCTCTCTTTTACCATCATCTTTGCCTGCCATTTTTATCCTGCATTTAAAAAAAAAGAAAAGAAAAAAAAAAAGAAAAAACTTCTCCTGTGTCAACTTCTTCCTGAATGCAGCTAATACCTCATTAAGGACACAAACATGGCTCTAAACCATGGGAGAAATTTATAAGCCAACTCCTCTAAATTGGTCTTTGATATGCTAAATAAAGAATGAAATAAGGGAGTTTGGAAATTTCTTCTCGAGAAAATAGCTGGCTTGCAAGGCTATTATTCTGCTGTATAATCGTAATTTTGATTGTCAGGAATGGACTATTCCTGTGGCCTTTTTTTCTACATGCCTCCTGTAACAGTCTGATCTCCTTCCAGGCAGAGTGTTGCCCAGGATGAACTAGGCTGAAAGTCACATACCCAGCAATGAGAAAGAGAAAAGCATATTAACTTTTATTAAAAAATTTTCCATCTTACAAAAAGAGAAAAGTCTGTCCACACTGAGAATAGCAGCTGCTATCTGTGCATAATTTATGTTTTGGAAGAGGTTTTTCCATTCACGGTATTGTTTAAGCATGAACAATTGGACTGTTATGGTTATTAAGGCTAAGCAGGTTCACAAAGGTCCCAGGAACCCAGGTCCCAGGAACTTAGGAAGTTGGATGGCGTGGAGCTTCTGGGGCCACAGTGGGACCTGGCCATGGGGATCAGCCATGGTTCTGGTTGTGGTTGGAGAGAAAGACCAGGGATGGGCATAAGCGGAGTGAGGCTATAGGAGTGGTGGGTATCTGACTGTGACAAGCCTGGAATGCTGGCGACGTGCAACTGATCAATGGAGAGATGAGGAGAGTTGTGAACCAGGCAGTGAGGATGTGCTGTGTGGGAAATTCTCCTGAATCAAAAGAGATAACCCTTGGCTTCTGCATACCTCCCTGCCCCCGATCCTTTTGAATCACAGAGGAATCGCTTACAGAGTCTCATGTATTTAGAGATATCCAATTATCTTAGATCAGACTCGTGGCCAAAGAAATGCTCAGGAAATCGAGCTCATGTTTCTAATCTGATTGTAATTTCATCAGTGGCCCCGATGTAATTATTTCCCTTTTAGTTTACTTAACACTAACAAACAGCCTTTAATGATTTTTTGTTGTTGTTTTTAATGGAAAGAATCAATCTTTCTTCTCCAAATAATGAAGTTGAGTGGAACACCATGCATGAGCAGGAGAGTCGTCCTGGCACAAACGCTCTTGCTCAAGGTGCCCTTTCCTTCAAGCCCTTTAAAGCCCCAACAAGAGCCTCAGGCCCAGGCCTCCCTGAACCTGTGTTGCTCTGTCTGTGCCCTGAAGCCCCCAAATAAAACTCTCCATCTCCCCAAAGCACCAGCAGGTAGTTTCTCTTTCACAAGACAGTCAGGTAGACTCAGGTGCTCATGCCTTTGCAATGATTTCCCATCACCATAGTTAAAATCCCAAAGCCCTTCCCAAGTGAAAAACAGAAGCCAGACTACTTGAAGAATGTTCGTTGGAAATTCAGGTCCTGGGCATAATGTCCAGGCTCAGGTTCTGGCTCCTGAACTACCAACAGTGTGATATTAGACGAAAAATGCAACTTCCTTTTTTTTTTTTTTTTTTTGAGACTGAGTCTTGCTCTGTTTCCCAAGCTGGATTGCAGTGGCGCGATCTTGGCCCACTGCAACCTCCGCCTCCCAGGTTCAAGCAATTCTCTGCCTCAGCCTCCTGAGTATCTGGGATTATAGGCGCCCACCACCACGCCTGGCTAATTTTTGTATTTTTAGTAGAGACGGGTTTCACCCTCTTGGCCAGGCTGGTCTTCAACTCCTGACCTTGTGATCCACCCGCCTCAGCCTCCAAAAGTGCTGGGATTACAGGCGTGAGGCACTGTGCCTGGCCAATGCAACTTCTTTAAGTCTCTGTTTCCTTACCTTTAAAATGGAGAAAATAATATCCCAGTGAATTTCACTGGATCTCTGGGAAGAGTAAATGAGAATATATTTCTAAAGTGCTTAGCATAGTTACTCAGCACAGTAACATATTTACTCAATTAAAATATTAGCTGTCATTCTTACTTTTGTTCTTACAGTTTCCCTCTCTAGGTATCCAAGCCTCCAATCTGGCTGCTGGAATACAAGATGCTCCTGTCCTTCAGGCTGCAAACTGCCTGGCTCTTGGTGGCTTCCACAGAAAATAGCCCCTGGTTTCCTCTAATGAGGAGACATCACAGAATGACCAAGTCTCCCAAGGATTCTTCCTCCCTGAACAAAGTGAGCTCAGAGGGCTGGGGGCTACACCACGCCAGGCTCGGATTCTGCCCTACAAAGAGACTGGGGGAGCTAGACAAGCCCACTTCCCCCACAGCGACTCAGACAAACAAAGGCAACCTGCAAGCGACTGACTTTGCTGTCTCGCGGAGTGATTAATCTCCCTGAAATTAATGGCCCCTCAAAGGCAGGCAGCTGCAGTGGCTGTGCGCATCTGAATTGCAGGATTCCTCTGCATGCGTGAAGACATTTAACAGGACAGATGACACGTTGTGGGTGCCCATGGCCCTCAGGAACCCACACAACTTGACCATAGGTTCCATAAGCATGCAGGAATGGGGTCACCACCATGGGGTTCCCTGCCTACCTCCTCCATTCCCATTAACAGAGGTAAAAAAGCTGTCCCTCAGAAGAGGAGCAAGCCTGCGGTGGAGAAGCTAAGTGACCTTGAGCAAGTGAGTGAGCCTGGGTCTTCTCCAGCAAAACCAGCACATTGCTTTGGAGGACTAGGTCCTTTGTGTGCAGAGCATCATGCGGAAATAAGAAAACAAAGAAAGCCCAGCCGTCTTACTTCAATGCATCTACAAACTTATTGGGGGAAGGCTTTGGGGATACGGATTGATTATGGAAACCTGACATTTTAGAGGCTGTTCGTCTGAGACCAGGGGACATTTGGATGAAATTTAGAAAACCAATTATTAAATATGTTTTATTTTCATCCAAGCGATGGGCTAAATCAGTAGAATGATTAGGTTCAGGGATGGGTGGGAATCAGGGGAGAGGTTGGGTCAGGGATAGGGTGAGACAGGGCTGTGTATTATACACAGCATCCTGAAATAACATGTATTATTCCACAATTTGAACATGCCCTTTTTTTTTTTTTTTTTCTGAGAGGAAGTTTCACTCTGTCACCCAGGCTAGAGTGCAGTGGTGCAATCTCAGCTCACTGCAACGTCTACCTCCCGGGTTCAAGTGATTCTCCTGCCTCAGCCTCCTGAGTAGCTGGGAATACCGGTGCATGCCACTGTGCCTGGCTAATGTTTGTATTTTTGGTAGAGATGGGGTTTCACCATGTTGACCAGGCTGGTCTCGAACTCCTGACCACAGGTGATCTGCCAGCCTTGGCCTCCCAAATTGCTGGGATTATAAGCGTGAGCCACTGCTCCTGGCCTCAGCATACTCTTTTGATGGGGCTGTCTTCCATCGCCTGTGTCAAAATGTCCCCTTTATCTAAACAGCTGCACAGTGCACAATCACTCAGGCCAGTTGTGGACAGAAACCTGCCGTGTTTTGTTTCCTGCTTTTGGGGAATGGCCTTCTTCAATGAAGCAGTGACAGCAAGATGCAGAGAGCAGCAGGCTGAGGTTCGGTCCCCAGAGTTTGAGTTATGACTCTGCCCCCCTGGTGGCTGGGTGACCTTGGGCAGGCTGCATGACTTCTCTGTGTCTTGCAACCAGGGCTCTTCCTTTGCCTCTCAGCTGCTCTTCCCTGGAGGGTTGTGGGGGAGGCAAGGAAAGGGGCCCTTGCGGTAGTTCAGCTACTGAGTCACAAGGCAGCCCTCCCAGCCTGGCGGAGCAGATGGAAAACTGGCCTCCTGTGTTCCTCTGTTCAAGATGTCCTATGCAGTCAACCCTTAGGGGCTGGCAGGACCTAATAGATAGCCTGAGCCCCAGAAGCCTAGGGTAAATGTTTTTCTCTCCAGGTACCGAAAGTACATCATAAGGCCAGCTACAGAAGAGATGCAGGTCAAGTGCCCTCCCAATGCAAGGGCCGAGGTGCACACGTGGCCCTGGTGGAGTGCTGGCCAAGATGGCTGGCATCCTTGGCTTAGCATCTCCGAAAGAGCTCGCCCTAAATTATGCTCATTTGCATAACCTAGTTGTGGGCTTGGTTGACAGGGACAGCAAGCATACTGGGAGTGGCATAACGCGACTGTGGAAGACTGCAGGGGAAATCAAGTCCCAGTTACTATTTTCAGCCTTTAACTATCTCCTGAGGGCCAATCTTGCCAGTTGGACATCTTCACTGGGATGTCCTGGGCTGTTGCTCTTGGCTCCATAAAGTTCTTATCGTGTAGTTCTGTAGTTATGACCCAGAACCAACTCCCCTCTACCCACCTGCCACTATCACAGGGCTACCCTACCAATCCCTTCTTCTCCTCAACAGGCTTCAATGTGGCTCTGCCCCTCACTGACTGGGTAGCCTGACACAAATCATTCATTCCTTTGAACCTCAGCTTGCTCATTTGCAAAATGGGGATACTAAATAACTACCTCATGGGATAATGATGAGGACTTAGAGGAATTAATATACATAAAGCACTTAGAAGAGTGTCGGGTTCCTAGTCAGCACTACATAAATATCCCTCAACCAGCTTTCCATCTGGACTTACCTTGTGCTGGGAACCATACTAGATCCTGCAAGTTCAAACTCTTAGCACCACATTTCCCAAAATAATGCTTGATGGAACAGGGTGGGGAACACCCCAGTGATGCTCAGCCTTTTGCGAAACATCCTATGTCATGGTCCTCTCTGGGATATTCTCACTGCATTTGAAAAAGGAACATCTTCCTTTTACTTCCTTTCAAGGTTGGCCCGCTGCTCGTTTCTGTACAGACATAAATAAGAATGGTTTCTACTTTTTTTAATGGTAGGAAACAAAACGATTAAAATCATGACACATGAAAATCATGTGACATTGGGATTTCAGCGAATGTACAGTTCTATGGGAACACAGCAGTGCCTGTTCATTTACACACTGTCTATGGCTGCCTTTGCACTATGACAGGCAGAATTGAGTAGTTGGGACAGACACTACCTAGATTTGCAGTCATGGTAATGCATAATGATGTTTCCATCAACCATAGTGGTCCCGTAAGATTATAATGGAGCTGAGCCAGGTGCGGTGGCTCACGCCTATAATCCCAGCACTTTGGGAGGCTGAGGCGGGTGGATCACCTGAGGTCAGGAGATCGAGACCAGCCTGGGCAACATGGTGGAACGCCATCTCTACTAAACATACAAATATTAGCCAGGTGTGGTGGTGTGCACCTGTAGTCCTAGCTACTTGGGAGGCTGAGACAGGAGAATTACTTGAACTGGGGAGGGAGAGGTTGCAGTAAGCCGATATTGTGCCACTGCACTCCAGCCTGGGTGATACAACAGGACTCGGTCTAAAAAAAAAAAAAAATTATAATGGAGCTGAAAAATTCCTATCACTTAGTGCTTAGTGGCATGGTAGCCCTCTTAACATCATAGTGCAATGTATTACTCACGTGTTTGTGGCAATGCTGTTGTAAACAAACCCACAGCACAGTCAGTTATATAAAAGCATCACACTTACAATTATGTCTAGCACATATACAAAAATTTTACTGGCTTATGTATTTGGTATATTATTTATTGTTATTTAAGAGGATACTCCTTCTGTTTATTAAAAAAACAGTTGGCCAGGCGCGGTGGCTCATGCCTGTGATCCCAGCACTTTGGGACGCCAAGGATGGCAGATCACGAGATCAGCAGATAGAGACCATCCTGGCTAACACAGTGAAACCTCGTCTCTACTAAAAATATAAAAAATTAGCTGGGCGTGGTGGCAGGTGCCTGTAGTCCCAGCTACTTGGGAGGCTGAGGCAGGAGAATGTCCTGAACCTGGGAGGTGGAGCTTGCAGTGAGCCAAGATCGCGCCACTGCACTCCAACCTGGGCGACAGAGCGAGACAGTGTCTCAGAAAAAAAAAAAAAAAAAAAAAGAAAGAAAAAGAAAACAGTGAATTATACAATAGCTTCAGGCAGGTCCTTCAGGAAGTATTCCAGAAGCAGGTATTGTTATCTTAGGAGATGGCAGCTCCATGTGTGTTACTGCCCCTGAAGCCCTTCCAGTGGGATAAGGTAAGTGAAAGACAGATATATTGATGCTCTTGTAGGCTCAGGCTCATGTGATTGTTTGTGTCTTAGTTTTTAACAAAAAAATTTAAAGGTTATAAAATAAAAATAAATTTAAGTAGAAAACACCTTACAGAATAAGGCTATAAGAAAGAAAATATTTTTGTGCAATATTTTGTACACTATGTTTGTGTTTCAAGCTAATATTTTTACAAAACAGTCAAAAAGTTAAAACACACTGGGTGCAGTGGCTCACGCCTGTAATCCCAGCACTTTGGAAGGCTGAGGCAGACAGATCACCTGAGGTCAGGAGTTCGAGACCAGCCTGGCCAACATGGCAAAATCCCATCTCTACTAAAAATACAAAAATTAGCTGGATGTGGTGGCATGCATCTATAATCCCAGCTACTCAGGAGACTGAGGCAGGTGAATCGCCTGAACCCAGGAGGTGGATGTTGCAGTAAGCTGAGATCGTGCCACTGCACTCCAGCCTGGGAGACAGAGTGAGACTCCATCTCAAAAAAAAAAAAAAAAAAAAAATTAAAACAATTTAAGTTTATAAAGCAAAACACTATAGTAAGCTGTTAATTTATTACGGAAGAAACAAAAATTTTAAAATAAACTTAGTGTGGCCTAAGTGTACAGTATTTATAAAGCCTATACTAGTACACGGTAATGTCCTAGGCCAAACTCACCCACCACTCAGTCAATGACTCACCCAGAGCAACTTCCAGTCCTGCAAGTTCCATTTATGGTAAGTGTCCTGCACAGGTGTACCACTTATCTTTTATGCCATATTTTTACTGTACCTTTTCTATGTTTAGATATGTTCAGATATATAAAACTTAACTTTGTGCTATAATTGTGTCATATGATTTTTATGTGTCATGATTTCGATCTTTTATTGTTTTCAATAATTTAAACATGTAGAAACCATTCTTCTTTCATGGGCTGTACAATAAGAAGCAGCGGGCAGACTTTGCCCAACCATGTTTGTTTTTTTTTTTTTTTTGAGACGGAGTCTTGCTCTGTTGCCCAGGCTGGAGTGCAGTGGCGATTTCTCGGCTCACTGCAAGCTCCACCTCCCAGGTTCACGCCATTCTCCTGCCTCAGCCTCCCGAGTAGCTAGGACTACAGGTGCCCGCCTCCACGCCCAGCTAATTTTTAGTAGAAATGGAGTTTCACCTTGTTAGCCAGGATGGTCTCGATCTCCTGACCTCGTGATCCACCCGCCTTGGCCTCCCAAAGTGCTGGGATTACAGGCGTGAGCCACCGTGCCTGGCCTGCCCAACCATGTTAAACTCAGGGAACAAGTTCTACCATTGCCTACAGTATTCAGTACAATAACATACCGCCCAGGCCTGTAGCCTAGGAGCAATCAGCTACACTGTATAGCCTAGGTGTGTGGTAGGCTCTGCCATCTAGGTCTGTGTAAGCACATGCTATGATGTTCACATAAGAACGACATCCCCTAAGAATGCATTTCTCAGAATGGATCCCCGTTGTTAAGCACCACATGACTGAACTGAACTGAATCTTCCGTTTTCTTCCAAGTCACACCTGCTGGCATCCCGAGCAGTCAGCGACAGAGCAGCACAGTGTCAGAGCTCTCCTTGACCTCTCGATTTCTGCCCACACCTACTCACGCCAGCCCTGGAGGCTCTGCCGTCTGAAGCCCTTCCCACCAGCTCTGGCTTTCCAGGCCCTCCCTGAGCCCCACAGTCCTCTGTGCCTGGGTCCCTTATATGGTCTCTTGCTCCCCACCTCTCCATCCTATGCCCTCTGGTTACCACCCACCCCAAATGGCTGCATTAATTACTGTGATGGTTAATACTGAGTGTCAACTTGATTGGATTAAAGGATACAAAGTATTGATCCTAGGTGTGTCTGTAAGGGTGTTGCCAAAAGAGATTAACATTTGAGTCAGTGGGCTGGGGAAGGCAGATCCACCCACAATCTAATCAGCTGCCAGCGAATATGAAGCAGGCAGAAAAATGTGAAAAGGAGAGACAGGCGCAGCCTCCCTGCCTACATCTTTCTCCCATGCTGGATGCTTCCTGCCCTCGAACATCTGACTCCATGTTCTTCAGTTTTGGGACTCGGACTGGCTCTCCTTGTTCCTCGGCTTGCAGACAGCCTATTGTGGGACCTTATGATTGTGTAAGTTAATACTTAATAAACTCTTTATATATATATCCTATTAGTTCTATCCTTCTAAGAGAACCCTAATACAATCACCAACTCGCTACAGCTCCCCATTGTCCACAGAGTCCAGTCCCTTCAGCCAAGCATTCAAGGATCACCATGCTCAGGCTCACTCAAGCCTCCCTGTCTCCTTGTGATGTCTATGGTATTTTTATCTTGTTTGACTGTTAAAAAAAATTAAGTCTTTTTTATTATTGATCATTTGCTGTTATTTTCTCATCCCAAATATTCACTTTTGTGCTTACTTTTGTTTTCATAATTTTGTATTACTTTATTTATTTATTTTTGAGACGGAGTTTTGCTCTTGTTGCCCAGGCTGGAGTGCAATGGCACGATCTCAGCCCACCGCAACCTCCGTCTCCCAGGTTCAAGTGATTCTCCTGCCTCAGCCTCCCGAGTAGCTGGGATTACGGACATGCACCAACACGCTCGGCTAATTTTGTATTTTTAGTAGAGACGAGGTTTCTCCATGTTGGTCAGGCTGGTCTTGAACTCCTGACCTCAGGTGATCCGCCTGCCTCGGCCTCCCAAAGTGGTGGGATTACAGGCATCAGCCACCACACCCCACCTATATTACTTTATTAAGGGGGGTCCCAAAATTGCATAAACCTTAGGACCCATAAAACCTGAATTTGCCCCTGTCCCTCATCTCCAAGGAAGACCAAGGTCTCCCTCTCTCTACCACTCTGTTTTCCTGTTCTGCCAGGCGTCCCAGATTGGAACATGGCGTAGGTCCCCTGGCCAATCTACAAGCCTGCACTATTTGTTAAATTGAATTGCATGCTTGACTTACTGTTGTGTGCCTGCCAACACTCCCCCCCCACCACCCAACAAATAAAAAGCTGTTAGCAATGGAATCAGTTCCTAATCACTGTGTAGAGCGGAAAGCCTCTCCCGAAGACTCTTCTGGAAGTCCTAAGAACTTTCCAGACATCTGTTAAAAGGAACAGGATTTTGGAAGCTAATTTGTTTAATTGATTCATTGATAAGAGCTCTTGAAAATGCATCTGCTTATTGGAGACACTTTGTACAAGACATAAAAATCAGTGGCAAATGTCACATTCAAGGGAAGATAAATCCAGTGAATAAAGACTTAAGTAGCTGTTAATGAGGGATGTTATTTCCTTATAACCAGGCAGCCATATGAATCTCAGTCAAAGCATCCGGATATCCTGGTACCTAGAGAATCCCCAGGACAAAGCTGGCTTCCTTTGCCTTTTCATCCTGCTCTGTGCCAGGCTGTGAGGGGGACCCACTCGGGAGACAAGTTCTACAGAGACAAGCTCTACTGCAGAGAAAGTGTGGAAATGCTGCTGCTCACGGAATCCTTAAACTGGCATGTGATACACATTTTGTTGATGCTCATTGCACCCTCACCTTCCCTTGTGAATGAAGTCTGTTATCCCTGTGTTATAAACAAAGAGATGGGGGCAACTACCGGCCAACAAGAGCTAAGCGATGGAGGTGGGAGCTGTGTGTGCATCTGTGGGCAGAAAACAGAAAAGCCCCATGTGTGACTCCCTAGACCACTCTCCAGGGTCAGGATTCAGGAGCTCAGGGAAAAAGGGGCCCTGCAGCACCATTGTCTGAGAAGGATTCTCTTCCTTTCCTGCCTCCTGTTCCTTCTTTTCTCATATATTATTCTCCAAACGCTGGGCTTCTCAAATGAAATAGGAACTTTTCCCCTTTTCATGACTTTGTTCAACAGACCTTTCTATGTCGAGAGCCCACGGCCCCTAGGAAATCTTTCAGGACGACCTTCAAGTATCACCTGCTATGATCTGAACTGAGGACCCCCTTTTGGGTTTCTGATGCCTCTTGGCATCAGAAACATGCTCAGACATGTAAGGGCTTCAGCTGCCATGAGGGCAGGGGCCCCCATTCTCCTTTGCTTTGCTCTGCAGGGCAGGGTGGGTGCTCAGTAACCATGCACAGTGAGGACAGCAAGCTCAGCTCTGCGTTCCACCCTCCCCCACAGAGCTGAGATGATGGAACGGGGCCTCATGACTGTAGAGACCCCAGGTGCCCACGGAAGTCAGGCGCACTGGCCCTTGGGGGAAACAGCTGCTCGTTGGCCTACCCTCCCTTCCACCCACAGCACAATTTCCTGGAAACCTGCCTAGTGCAGATTGAAGAAAGAGAAGCAGAAATACCAAAGTCCAATTCTTCCCATCCCACCCATAGAAAAACCCACATATGCAAAATGATAAGCCCTTTCCCCTGCCTGACTTCACCTTCCAAAACACTTTCATGTCCGTATCCCACTTTTTCACTCCAATAACATCCTTGTGAGGTGGGCAGAGCAGTGAGCATTCCTGTTTTATAGATGAGGAGACCGAGGCTCAGAGAGGCTACCTGGTCTGGACAGGACATTCCTGTTTTATAGAAGAGAAACTGAGTCTCTTTATTCTATGTTATGTAGGTTGAGAGAGACACCCTAAGAGAGACAGAGAGGCTGCACTTTGACCTGCATCGTGGTCACTCTGAGTGACCGTCCCCTATGTTGAAAGGCAGGAAGGAGAGGAGAGGCCCTAAAACGAGTTCCTGCACCCCAGGTGTCCACTCTGTGCTTTCAGGACTTGATGGCAAGTTAGATGTCTTTGAAATCTGCAGAAACTCTCCTGGCCCGCAAGGGGGCTCCTGTGAGCCCGGGCAAGAAGTTAAACAACGTGGAAGCCTTTCAGGCATGCTGGGCAGGAAGGGGAGGCAGAGATATGGCCCCGTCTGGCGCCTCCTCAACCAGAATGGCTCTGAATTATCTGTTTTCTAGATTGGGGTATCACAGGGGACTGTGTTTGAAACAAGTTCCACCTCCCCTGGAGTTTGCAAATTTGCATGAACAATGCCTCACTAGTCAATGCCGAGGGAGGAGCCTGTAAATCCCAGGTCACAACACGGGGCCCTCTGGTAGATCGGGGCAAAGCTATGCTATGTTTGGGCTGCAGACTGGCTTTATGTTTAATTTTGTTTTACCTTGAAAAAGTTGGCCCTTGGAGAATTTCACATAAAATTCAGGATTTCTGCTTTTGGAAGATTGGCTACACTGGGGCTGCCTTTCTGCCCTACAATGTGCAGGTGGAGCTGAGCTGCCAGAGTCCCCTTTACACTGCTCATGGAGTTGGTTTTTCACAGCCTCCACCACTCCCTATGGCTCAGACCCAGCCAGCTTTGGTCATTGATGTCATCTGCCCAGCCCCTGGAGGCATCTGATTTTACCATCTCATGCATGTGTGGCTTTAAAGAAGTAGGCTGTGAGTTAGAATTTCCAAACTTTGTTGCACAGGCAGGTCAGGAGGCTTGGATTTGTGAAAGACTTGATCTGTGACCACATGAGCTGCAGCTTCGGTCTGCCAACCCTCTGATTCCTTTGAACTACCTCCTCTTCATTCAGGAAGGAAGCCGTGCCAAGTGCATCTGCCCGGTTCCCTTGACCTGCCACCCAGAACAGATGCCAGTCAGTGCTGCCAGCCAGGCCCAGCTTTGGGAGTCTCAGGGTCTCCTACAGGGCCTAGTTGTTGAGGGCTGTGTTAAGCCATCCCAGGCTGGTGAACACAAAGTTACATTCCCAAGTTATACCTACCAAGCCTGGGGTATGGTGTAAGCTGTACATTAGGCAGTGGCTACTCTAATGGGCATTAAGATACTTTCCTGCACAGGGAACTCCCTTTGCCAGTTGTCACCTTAGCATATTCTCTGGGTCAGGCCCCAAGAGCCCTAAAAGGGAAGGCATGACGGCCACTCACGGGGTGAGTGGTGAGAGGTGGGGGCAGGTAGAACCTTGCAATGGTAGAGTCTTCACAGGGTGGTGTCCCAGTAGCTATAGCAGATGCCTTGGACAAGAGGTCAGAGTTATTTTCTAGGGCTAGGCAGGTAGCAACACACTAAGAGAATCCAGATTATTTACCATCGTCATTTTCCCTCCTTTCTTCCTGCAAAATTCAGATGCAAAGCCATCTTTCTCCTTGTACCCCAAGGGTAAATGATGCCTCCCAGCTGAGAGCCAGAGAGATGAGGCAGACAGAGTGTGCAGATGTGGCTGTCTCACATTGGACTTAGTCCACCAGTCACAGTGAGATGAGTCCCTTCAGTCGTTGAGTCTCTGTACCCTTCTCATGATAATGGAGCAATGACACCCCTTCTTTTGGGGCTACCAGCTTAGATGGTGTAGTCAACATGGAAGAGCATTTTGAATAAGTGGAAAGAGCTGTGTTAACAGCTCCTGGGAGGAGACCAGGGGATGTTGGAGGAGTATGATGCTCTGGGCCATCTGGAAGGCAACAAGCAGTCAGGCTCTGCTGAAGTCCACTGTGGAGCCCAGGGCTCAGCCATCCTGCCCATCTCCTCCATCTCCTGCATCTCTGCATCCATGGAGGGAAGATTGACTTTTCCCATCCTGCTCACCAAGGAGGTGGGAAATGGGAAGATCAACCAAGCCATTGTTATTACCTTTCTCTCTTTAGAGTCCTTGAAACTGTCTGCTTGTTTTCTGCTGAACGTAAGTAATCCTACTTATACTCTGCTAATGCCTTCTTTCCTCTGAGCCTAGCAAGTGAGATTTAAATGAACAGATGAGGTCTGAAAATTTATGTGCAAAGCCCATGTTCAGGACAGTGAGGGATATGCTGTCAAAGGATGTATCAAAGTCAGCTGAAGCTATAATGATCCTTACATTATTCTTGAAAAATTGAACCACGAGGAGGCACAGCCCAACACAGGGTTGGTCATGGGAGGCTGAGCTCCTCAGGTGCGTCACTGGCTGGACTCCATTCTTCCAGGGGGATGTGCAACATGTGATGAGATCTCTAGTTTGGAAAAAGTAAAGGAGCTCTCTGATTGAAGATCAGGCAGAGTTTCCTTTGAGTCTGTGCAGAAGGCCTCACACCAGAGTGGTGCAGGGTGAACCCGTCAGCAAGGACTTGGGTGGCTTTGTATAGTTCTGGCTGCAAGAAAGAGTGAATCAGCCCCAGACACTGCCCTCTGTGGTTGAGGCAAAGAAGACACAAATGACTAGAAATTGTGTTTCTAATAAGTTTCCTGAGGATGCTGATGCTGCTGGTCTGTGACCCTGTGGGCTAGATCTTTCCCACAGAGAAGGGCAAGTTCAGCCCCCTAACACCGTCGGCACCTTAAACCATATAAAGCACTATCAGGTACACAATCTCATCATCTCATCTGCATTCCAACAGCCTCCAGTGAGCTGGAACTGAGTGTAAGGGTTGAGAGTTGGGCCTGGAGCTAGTCCTTGGGTTTTGAATCTCAGCCCAAATCCCATTTATCAGCAACATGACTTGGGTGAATTCATTCACCAATTTGTGCCTTGGACTTCTCATGGGTAAAATAGGGGTGAGGATTAGGGTACCAGCCTCACAGAGTCGGTGTGAGGATCAGAGGCATGACTTTGTGGAATGCACTGAGGACAGTATTACACAGAGGGATCGTAAGACTAACACCAGCGGCTATCGTGATCATGCAATCCCTCTATGGGCAACAGCTCATAGCTGAACAGTTTGGGGCCTGTGATACCTCTCAGCGCTGCAGGCATCAAGACCTCTAGGTTCTGCCCCAACCAGCCTCACCAGGCACCTTGACAGTAGCAAGTTTGTGTTTACATCGAGACTGATGTAAACACTGTTCCCGAAGAGACAGTTCTGGTTCTTTATTCATAAATCACTAACAATCATTTATTTTGCTTACAAATCTGGAGGGTGACTGGGTTCAGCTGGGCAGCTCTTGCATGGAGCTCTATCATGCAGTTACCTTCAGATCCTGGTTGGGACAGCTGGCTCCTGATATGGCGGCCCAAGGCTCCCAGAGCACATGTCCCAAGATTGCCTGGCAGAAGCCACGTGGCCTTTTCTATCCCAGCCTTGAAGTCATACAACATCACTTCCACCTCATTTTATACATTGAGGCAGCCACAGAGGCCCACCCAGTTTCAAGGACAGGGGGCATGGACTCTACCTCTTTGTGGATTGATTATCAAGGAACTTGTGGACGTATTTTAAAGCCACTCTGAGGCTCTCACCCTTCCCACCCCTTTCTGCCACCACCCTCTCCCTGTGAAATGCCACCTGCCTACCTCTGCTGCCCAAATCTGTCCATTGCTCAAAGTCTCATCAAACTCCACTCTCACCACGATCTTTCCTGGCCAGCCCCCATGCTACTGATGGACAACCCCCAACCCCGCAAGCCTCATGAACACAATTTATTAGGTGTCATTCTCACAGATTCCACTTTTGTAATGAAAATCAAATCAACAACAACACCAGAAAAACACCAGGGAGACAAAACTGGAGGAAATACTAACATGGTAATTATGTGTCTGAGATCATAGGTAGTTTTTATTTTCTTCTTTTATAATTTTCAGTATTCCAAAATTTCCACCTAGCACATCTGTAATTTGTATAATGAGAAAAACATTTTCCTCCCAAAAAGTACACTTAAAAAATAAATGGTAAACATTTCTTGCTCTGAATTCAAAGGACTCAGCTGTTAAGCTACTAAAATCTTTGTCTTCCAAAGAAGCAAATTTTCTGTAATTCCAAAGTTCAATTCATATAAAGGTGGAAAAAATACTATGAGATCAAGTAAGAATAGAGAGAAACTTCCTAGTGTATAGGTTGAAATTGGAGTAATTATGGACTTTTGTTGTGGAAGAGTCATGGTTAAAAGGCACCTGGCCTCAGATCTGGGCTTTGCTGTTTATCCGTTTGTGATTTTTCCTGGGTTGGTACGATGAAGATCGGAGCCACATAAGCCTGGACAGGGAAGCTTTGGCTACTGGCAGTGCTGACAGCCGACTGCGTCATGACATTGGAGGCAGCAGGAAATTATGAAGTGCCCTTGTGTGAAACCCGTTGTGGGAGTTAATGTGTGTCTCTCTATGTTTAGAAGGAGAAAGAGGGCATTCATTTTTCTGCCCAGGCAGAATGAACTGTGGACTTTGGGGATTTGGAGTTTGAGTCAAGCAAGTATGCAAACTGCTAATTTGCCCAAGCTGGGTCAGTGATTCTCAGATTTTAGACTCTAATGTTTATCGTGCCTAATAATCTCTCATAGAGTTTGTTTAAAAATGTCTGTTATCAGCTCTGTGCCAGGAAGTTGCGGTTCAGGGATCTGAGGTTGGGTCCCTGAATCTGCATTTTACAATGAGCCTTACAGTTGATTCTTTGGCCATTTCTGTGCTGCCCACTTAGGGACACTGAAAGGTTTGTCCTCGCAGTCGGATTCAGATGTCACATACATTTTCCCAGGCCTGCTGTGTGACAAGCACGGTGCTGGTTAATTTCATATAGTCTCCTCTGTCAGCCTGTCTTAAAACTTAGGAGGTCAGTATTCCGCTTTCCATTTTACCCATGAGAAAATTGAGGCTCAAAGCAGTCGGGTGGTGTGTCTGTGGTCTCGCAGCTGGAAGTGGTGGAGTTAAGATTTGAAGACAGGTCAGGTGAATTTGACACCAGGAGGTCCCCATGCTCCCCTAGGAGAATATCTCCAAGGCTCCATAATTTGTGAATCCAACTGCTAAGGTGTTGATGACTAGATCTCTCCCTTCCCCATCCTCCCACCACCTTAGCAACATTCCACGTGTAGGAGCTTCCTCAAATTGTCCCTCATCCCCATCAACTATGCTTGTGAGGTGCATAGTTGCACCCCTAAGAGGGGTGCCTTTTGTCTTGTGTGAATAGTCAAAGGGTTAAAGTAAAAGGCTTTGTTGCTGGTCTCCATTGGAGGCAGAAGTCCCCTCCTTGGAATGACAGATGAAGAATGCCTCTTCTGAATTGCAGGGGTTGGGTGCTCCTGGGGAGGGTGGGGAGTGGGAGTGGTAAGGGAGGAATTTAGTCATAGGTCGAGATCTGACCCTTGGAACACTCAAATCCACCCTCCTCACACTAACATAGAAACCCATTATCTTGCTGAGGAGTATCCTCAGAAACCAGAAAAACTGCTGAACAAGAAGACAAATTTTAGGAGAGTTAGATTTCACTGGGCATGCATATTGATTAACAATAATTTCCTTGTTCACATGGAAATGTGGACACCAGGGAGAGGCAGGATTTCACAGTTTAGTTTCCTAAAGGTAGCAACTTTTCTCTGTTCTTCTGCAGACACTGAGAATGAATATATTAACATTTTAACTGGGCCCAGGGAAAGGGAACATGCTTTGACTATCACCGCACAATTCTGCCATACTGTTAATGCTGTTGGAACCCAGGTCACTACTTGGGAGCTGAATCTATAATGACAATTTGTCAAGTCAATTGACCTAGCGAAAAAGTGCACCCCTCTGAAACATCAGCTATCGTAGAGGGCACCAGACTTATCTTCCAAGAGGAGGGTCATCTTGGGAGCTGAACAGCCTACTCTCAATGGAGAGGATGCCCTCCCATGCCCTCCAGGGACCTGAGGCTTGTGGCTCTTCCCGTGCATGGGCCTCATTGCTGTGCCAGCCTAGACTACGCCCTCTCACATACAAATGAACCAACTCTAAAGTCTCATTGTCTTTGATGTCCTGGTCGTACAAGTCATACCTGATTCGATGCAGGCAGCCCAACCTGGGAACAGACCTGTTCCCTCAGGCCTAGTAGCAATGCATCAAGATAGCCTGCGTCTGATGTGGGGAATCTTGGGGCAGGTTTGCCTGCACAGGGGTCATTTCTACAGATGATCCTACGGCTTATAGGAGACGCAGCGGAAAGGGTAAGGAGAGAAAGAAAGGTACATTAGGGAAACAATTTCAGGAGTTTTGCCATCACATTACTCTCCTGGCTTAAAACTCCTCAATCTCTCCCCATTGTCTACAGTACCTAACTAGATACCATTTCCTAAGCCAACTCCAGGCAGTTGTAGAAAAGGATTCTGAGGCCTCGTTCTGGCTCCATGGGAAAGAATATCATAATTGATTAGCAATGTCTGCTCTAGGCAAGAGAGGGAGGTGCGACAAATGTATGCCATTAATTTGCAGTTTTCTAGAACACAGGGAGCTCCGTCTGAGTCAAGAAGCCAGGGTAGCCGGAGGGAACTGGATGTGATCATAAAGGCCATGCAGTGTCAGGCCACTTGTCAGCTATTAATAATATCAGCCTCTAAATAACAGACAGGTGTCAGTATGCCTGCTGCCTCTGGTCAACTCGTGGTAACCACCTGGGCATAGAGATTCATGTCTATGGAAAGAACATTGTATTTTAATTACCCATGTCTGCCACCAGGCTGGGTTGCAGGAGTGGCAGCACAGTTCTCTTTCTTTCTTTTTTTGATTTTTTTTTTTTAATTTGGTAGAGACAGGGTCTCACTATGTTGCCCAGGCTGGAGTATAGTGGTGCAATCACAGTTCACTGCAGCCTTGAACTCCTGGGCTCAAGTCATCCTCCTGCCTCAGCTTCCCAAGTAGCTGGGACTATAGGCATACCACCATGCCTGGCTAATTTTTAAAATTTTTTTGTGGAGATAAGTTCTCACTCTGTTGCCTAGGCTGGTCTCAAACTCCTGGCTTCAAGCGATTCTCTTGCTTTGGCCTCTGAAAGTGCTGAGCCACTGTGCCCAGCCTCAATTCCCTGTCTTTCTGACCCTGCTCCAGTCTCAGGGGAACTCAGCTCTTTTCCATCACGCCATCCTAAGGACAGGGATAGAATGCCATTTTGGGGTCTGTGGGATTCTAACGGGACAAGGGCACTAGGAGTCAGATCTTTTAGAGGAAGAACCCTACTCAGAATCCCAGTTTTCCTACCTCATTTAACCTTGAGTAATTCAAGTTGCTTCTCTGATCATTAATTTCCTTGTCAGGAAAATGGGGATAATAAACCTGATAATTAAATGATGGAATATATAAAATGCTTAGTATATACTAAGGGCTTAATAAATGGAACTGACTTTTAGTAATTGATGATTCTGGGGTTTTACAAATAAGAACTGAAGATAAAAAAGGTGGCTTGCTTAAGGTCATCTGACTTAGTGGCAGAGCCAGGACTAAACACTGATTTGTCCCCCACAAATGCCAGTGTTCTTCTCCCCGGTGTCCACAAGGCAACTGATATTCACAGTGCTGATCTTGAGTTGTCAGGAAACACACAAATTCCCATTCGCTGACTCTCTGATTGTAGAAAGCATGTAATGTGCTTTAGAAATATTTCCATCCCAAACAGTTCTAAATGTTGTCACTTTTAATAGCAAACTTAAGCTATCTAAAAAATTTGCAGACACGGACCGGTTCCAGAGCCTTCAATGTCAAAATTCACAGTCATTATGGTCTTCTTCTACATCAGAACTTATTAGGAGCATTAACCTCAGTCTAGGAACCATGTCAGTTTTATAAACACTGTTCTTTCTATTATGGCAAGACAGGATACTTAAAGGACATTTTCCTTGATACCATTTCATTTTCTATTTACGTCATGAAAATAGTATTGAATTTGGGCAATACTACACACAAACTATTTTAGGGTTGCAGATTTTGAGTCTGTGCTGTAATAGTGTGGCCAGGTAGTGTAAATATTTGTTGGAGAAAGATTAACTAGCAAGGCAGTATATTCAGAATGGCTGCCTCTTTCATTAACCCTGTAAGGAAAGGAACTGGAAAGACACACGCAATTCTGTAAATCACAATTTATAAGCAAGCAGCAATTGAACTTCTAGTTGAGCTAGTTTTTTTTTTTCAGGCCAATTAAAGTTCATATTATTTTTTAAACAACTCCTATTCTGCCATAACTTTATTTTAAATCTGCATCTTAAACATGTAATGGCGAGAAATTTGCTATAATTTTCCACATGTATTTGGGTTAGAGATACATTATGCTCTATGCATTCATTACTTGCATGCCGTTCAAAAATCATAAACAGTGTTACTGGGAAAACTGATTGGGAAATTAATCCTTTGAAACAACAACATATGAATGCAATGATTACACAGAATAAATAAACAGCTTCCCCACAATTTCTCTTTTGGATAAATGTAAAGTCATTAGTTTCAGAACAGTTTTCCCAAGGACGTAAGGTTTTGCTTTTCCTCCGTAATGCCTCCTCAAAGCTGGTACATATCTTATGCTGAGCCATCCCTGAAAAGGTAGCCTTAATCAAAATCTAATCTATAAATCACCTTTAAAGCCTTGAATGTTTGGCTTTATGAGGTCTTACACACACTTTGCAGGTTCGCAAAGACCACAGATCAGATTATTACAATTCCTCTCAAGATGTGGCTTAATGAGGGTGAGGGAAGTATAGAAGACTTCAACTCCAGACCCTCGGAACTAGATCCCCTAGTTCACTGGATACATATTTTATGGAAAAGGGTAAGATTGTATCACAGTGTTAATCCAGAAACTCGAATCCTCTGATTAGAATCAGAGGAGAACTGAGAAGAACCTGCCGGCGGATGCACGAGTGGGTTAGAATGGAACTTCTCCCCACGAAGGCAGCACAGGCTTCGATGGAGCTTTTTTCCTGGGTCCCGAGCCACATCCTGACAGGCCACTGTGGCCCTATTGCACGCCTGGTGAGGCGGTGCATCAGCTTGGATTTTCTAACAGGTTCTTTTCCAGAACTTTTGCTGCGGGCACGGAGACTCTTACCAAATTCGGCTCCATAATACATTCCCCAAAACATTAGAACCCAGGATAGGTCTACGCCTCCACTGATACGGAAAAATATATGAAAGCGTGGATTAGGGTTTTTGCCACAGATGAGAACAAAATCCAACGGAGACTTGACATTTCTTTAGAAAGGCTGCCACCAGCAGAACTTTCCCCAGAAGTTACATCCGTGCTGACCTTCATCAGTTACATTGAGAAAAAATCTGTTCTATGTGACTGTCAGCCACAGGAGAGGGAATTTTAGGCACTGAACGTGACGAGAAGGACTTTCTAACTTTGATTCAGTTTCAACTCACACTCCCCAAACCCCTCAATGGCAGAGAGGCCGAGGATCCCCGAATGGGGAGGTGAGGCTCAGAACAGCGAGGGTGCCTGAGCACAGCACCACACTCTCCCGGTTTCTGAGCCCCGAGCCCCGCAGTGGAACTCGGGCCGCTGCGACGCGGCTCCCGTGCGGCTCCCACCGAGGCTGCTGTCCCCTGCCGCGCGGGTCCGGCCCTCCCCGCCGACCGAGGCGCGCCCCGGGCGCAGTGCCGCCGAGGAGGGGATCGGTCCCAGTGTCCACGCGGGTCTCCTCGCCGCCGCGGCAGGGCTCGGCCCGACTTCAGCGAGCAGATCCTCCGCCTGCGGCCGGTGACCCGCGCGACGCCCCGGCGGCACCGACAATGCTGTGCTCCAGCCCCGCAGGCGCCGCGGCAGCGGGTCCCGGGATGCTCCCGCGGTCCTTACCTGGCGAGGCCCGTCCCGTGCGCTCCCGGGGTCCTGGCTGGGCCGGCGCCGAGCCCAGGGCGACCGCGGATCGCCGGCTACGGCGTTTCCCGGTGACGGGGGCGCGGGCTCGCGGGGCGCGGGGGGCGCTGCCCAGGCCCGGCTCGGCAGGAGTCAGAGCCCCCAGCGGCGCGGGCGAGCCCGGGCCAGCAGCCGAGAGGGGGCTCTGAGCGGAGCCGCGGCCGTCCTGGCATTTTAAAGGCGAGGCAGCTGGACGCTGTTCAAGCGGAAACGCAGAGAGAAACTTCAGCCCCCGGGGCAGAGCGTTGGCAGCGAGGGGAGGGGGCCCAAGAGCTCCTTGCAGGCGCACAAACCAATCTGGGCTATTCCAATATGCTCTTCAAATGCATTTTCTTCAGATATTCTCTTTACAGTTAAAAAAAAAAATCCCCCCAAACAACAACGACAGCAAAACCCTCTCAAAGCCTTCTCCTGCAGTATGCTTCATAGCAAGCCAAACATTTCCATTAAAGTTAGGGGCAAGAGCAGGGGGCCGGTTTGGGACGTCTGGTCAATGCAATCAGACAAGAGAAGGAAATAAGGTGTAAAAATACTGAAGTTGTGCCTTTGTTAAAAAAATATATATTCTATATGTGTGTATATATGTATATATATTATATATATGTGAAGCGGGAGAAAAATGATTACTGTTTGCAGCGGATGTGATTGTGTAGTTGGAAAGTGCAAACTGAAGATTGTTGAAATAATAGCCTTTCCAAGGAATTGGCAGGCTACAAAATAAACATACCAAATTAACGGTGTTCTTGTGCACTTACTAACCATTTTGAAAGGCAAATAAAAAATCCCATTCTCACTAATAGCCAAGCCACAGTAGCTAGGAAAAATAAACTTATCATGAAATGTGAAAGAAAAAAAAAAAAAAACAACCTTCTCTACTAGGGGACTAGAGAAGACTTGAATCTATTATGACGCACGCCTTATTCTTGGGCAAGAAGAAGTAAACACTGTAATCCCATCATGTCCTCTTTATCTGTCAATTCAATGCCATCTCTATCAAATTCCAAGTAGAATTTTCTTTTTAACTTGACATGATTCTCAGTGTCATGTGGAAGAATAAAGAGACCAGGCAACAAAATGTTGATAAGGAAGAGCATAAGGGAAGCTAGCCCTGCTGGATATTAAAATGAAGAAATGCTTGCATGCATAAATGAATAAATGAATAAATAAAATACATTGTTTGAGTGCTTACTATTTAAGGAAGTGCTCTACGTGGATTAATGCATTTTATTCATCACAACAAGCTATGATGCAGGTACTGATACTGCTGCCATTTTCAGATAGGAAATGGAAGCCCAAAAGTGTAAGTATCACACTTACACTTTTGTGTAAGGTCACACAAGTAGGAGTAGGGGATCAGGGGTTTGATGCAGGCGTTCTGCCTGCAAAAACTATGCATCTATGTGCTTCAACCCCATCACACGACACCGCCTCTGTCACAAGGCAAAAACCAGCACATTACTGGTCCGGACATGACTGTTCAATGGAATGGGATGAAGAGCCCAGAATTAGAAGTACATGAGAAACTGTGGTGTTTAAGGTGGTACTTCATGTTAATCAGATAGATAGTTTTTATTTTATTTTATTTTATGTTTGAGACGGAGTTTTGCTCTTGTTGCCCAGGCTGGAGTGCAATGGCACGATCTCGGCTCTCTGCAACCCTCTGCCTCCTGTGTTCAAGCAATTCTCCTTCCTCAGCCTCCCAAGTAGTTGGGATTACAGGCATGCGCCACCACACCTGGGAAATTTTTGTTAGGTACAGGGTTTCACCATGTTGGCCAGGCTGGTCTCGAACTCCTGACTTCAGGTGATCTACCCACCTCTGCCTCCCAAAGTGCTGGGATTACAGGCGTGAGTCACCACGCCTGGCCCAGATAAATAGATGTTTAAATAAATGATATTGGAATAACTAGATAGTGAAAGTGTGGGGATCTCATTTTCTACCTAGTTCCCCAGACCAAAACAAATTCCAGATCCGTCATAAATTGAACATAAAAAACTGAAGTCAAAAAATAATTAGATGAATATATACATAAAAGTCATCATAAACCTAGAATTCTGAAAGCCTTTCTAAATATATCATAAAAGCATAAAGGAAAAGACTGATATATATGATTATAAAATATGCAAATAAATGTCTTCATGGAAAAAGACACCGTAAACGGAATTCAAAAATAAACAACAAACTGGAAAAATATTTGCTATCCATATGAGATGGGGTTACTAAGTTTAACAGAGATATAAACCTGGTTGAATTGGAATTTCAGATAGGCTATGAATAATTTTTTAGTATGATTATGTCCCATTCATCATTTGTCTGAAAGTCAAATTTAACTTGATGTCCTGCATTTTAATCTGAAAGCCCTAACATAACAGCAACATTTTAATGTAGATATCTTACAAAGAACGCTTATAATCATTTTTTTTAAAAAGATGATCACCACAATAGAACAAAGAATAAAAGAGATGAGCGGCCAGTTCACAAAAAAAGAAATATAAATGTCCCAAACAAGAGAAAATAACTGTCCTCTCTAGCAGTGAAATAAATGCAAATAAAAAATTTAGGAAGTTGTACTTTTTACCTACTAGCTGGCAAATTTTAAAATATTGAACAAATTCAGTGCTGCTGAAGGGTCTGGAAAAATGGGCATTCTCTCTCACTGTTTATGAGAATGTAATTTGGTACAATATTTCTAGAAAGCAGTTTGAGGACAAATATCAAATTGAATACTTTATGTACAAGCAAATTCATTTTCAAGAACTTATCTAAAGACATCATCTGACAAGTGGACAAAATATATATAGCAGATGTTTGTTGCTTTGCAGAAATAATTTATAATAGTAGAATATTGGAAACAACCCAAATATCTGTCAATAGGGGATTAGTTATTGAAATATAATTAAATCATAATACTATGCAATGAGACTTACTGTGATGTGTGATGCAGGCATTATTCTTTTTTATTCTTTGTTTTTGAGACAGGGTCTCTCTCTGTCATCCAGGCTGGAGTACAGTGGTGTGATCTCAGTTTACTGCGGCTTGGATCTCTTGGACTCAAGCGATCCTTCCACCTCAACTTCCCAAGTAGCTGGGACTACAGGTGCATGCCAGCACATCTGGCTAATTTTTGTTTTGTTTTGTTTTGTTTGTTTGTTTTTGGTAGAGACATGGTTTGCCATGTTGCCTGGGCTGGTCTCAAACTCTTAAGCTCAAGTGATCCTCCTGGCTTGGCCTCCCAAAGGGCTGGGATTACTGGCATGAGCCACAGTGCTGGGCCGATGCAGGCATTATTCTAAACACTGCCTGTGTAATAACTTGTTTAATCATCAGAACAAAACAAAACAGAAACACTGTAAGAAAGTACTATTAGCATCTCCATTCTGCAGAAGACAAAACACACAGAGAGGCAAGCAACTTTCTCAAGGTCTTATAGCTGGAAAATTGAGGACTAGGATTTAAAGCAAGGTGTTGTCGCTCCAGAGACCACACTCTCAGCTGTTATGCAATGTTGTGTACTGAATGGAATCCCATGATAGCATGCCAGAATAAATGCATCCATAGGGTAGAATACCAAATAGGTGTTAAAAATGACAATATGATTCTGTACTTACTGACATAGAAGATATTTATAACATATTGTTAAGTGAAAAAAGAAAATTTCAAAACCACATACTTATATGATTCCATTTGCATAATGTTGAATCTATTTATATGTGGTTATACATATAGACAGAGAGAAATATCTGGATGAATAATCACTAGCATATTAACAGCCTTCCTTTCTGAGTGATGGGATTTCAGGAGAGTTTTTACTTTCTTCATTGTACTTTTCTAAATGGCTTAGGTTTTGGTATTATGAATATACTTTTTTTTGTTTGTTTGTTTTTGTTTTTTGAGACAGAGACTCTCTCTGTCACCCAGGCTGGAGTGCAGTGCCGCAATCTTGGCTCACTGCAAGCTCCACCTCTCGGGTTCAGGCCATTCTCCTGCCTCAGTCTCCCGAGTAGCTGGGACTACAGGTGCCTGCAACCACACCCGGTTAATTTTTTGTATTTTTAGTAGAGACGGGGTTTCACCATGTTAGCCAGGATGGTCTCGATCTCCTGACCTGGTGATCCACCCGCCTCGGCCTCCCAAAGTGCTGGGATTACAGGCGTGAGCCACCGTGCCTGGCCATGTTTTTTAAATATTTAGAAAAACAGGAAAACAAAATCCTGGGGGGAATTCCCATTTTATGATTCCATGCCTTAGTGTCTTGATAGTCTAGGTTTTCTGCAAGCTTGTTATTTCTCCCTTCAAATTCTGACAGCTGAGATACCTGGCTAGGACTCAGCCTGAAGGATCATGGGAGTTCCCAGCAGCAGGTAAACCCCAAGTATCCCCCATGCACCTCCTGCTGCCTCTGGCTGAATGAAGATCGTGCACTGGGCTATGTCAAGTGAATCTTGCTGCTATCAAAAGGGGTGCTGAGAACATGGGCAGGTCCCACCCATTCTTCATGACTAGTGTCTCATCTGTAATGTTAGATATATAGGTTAGGGCTCTAATTGCAAAATACAGAAATTATTTAATACAACTTACACTGGTTTAAAAAATAAGGCATATTCTCTTGAAGGTTTAGAGAATCCAGAGAGAGTAAGACAACCAAGGCACAGTAAGAACCAAGATGCAATTTACTCTAAAGAACTGCTGTCATCATCACCTCTAAGGATTCTCTGTCTACTCCCTGTTTCTGCTTCTGTCTGGGCATCAGTTTCATCTGTTTAATTCTACACTGGTGTCCTCTCCTCCTCAATCCATGAAAATATGGCAGTCACCTGAGTTTTATGTAACGTCTTCAGTCACCCAAATAAATTAATTTTTTTGGTCCTTAGGTTTAAAATTTCCAGACCAGGGCTTCCTTAACCCAGCTTGGGAGAATATCTATTCCCTTGGGCATCAGTCAGGATAGGCTGGGTTATGCTGTAGTAACAAACAGTTCCTAAATCTCAGTACCTGACAACAACAGAGTTTACCTCTTGCATGTGCTTCATGTCCATTGTGGGTTGGCTGTGGCTTGGCTCCATGTTGGGAACTTTACTTGGGAAGAAGTAATTTACAACTGGAGGATTTTGGTCTCATGGCAGATAAAAAGAGAAGACACAGGAAACCATGGGCTAACTCTTAAAGCTGCTGCCAGAGTAATTCACATGGCCAAGTCTAATACCACTGGGATAGGGAAGTCTACAGCTCTGCCAGAGTAACAATACAGCCAACAATATAGCTTCATACACCAGTAAACTGTGGCCAAGGGGATGGGGTCCTAACAGAATCTGACATTGATCACCACAACCACTGGATGGGACAGACAAAGATGCCATGTTCTGATACAGCTCTGTGTAGAAAAAGGTGGCAGGAACATTGGGAAGACAATTGCATCAATCTTGACCAGAGTCATCATTCAGTTAACGGATTCTGTGAAACTGCAAAATAGGCTAAATCGTCCTTGGGGATAACTGGGATACACTGGAAAGAAAGCTGGACTTGGAGTCAGACAGGTCTGGGTTCAAGTTCTGGCTCTGCAACTCACTATGTGTATAATCAGGGCCAAGTCATGGTACAGATTGAGTGCCCCTCATCTAAAATGCTTGAGACCAGAAGTGTTTTGGATTTCAGATGTTTTCAGATTTTGGAATATTTGCATATACATAATGAGATAACTTGGAGATGAAACTCAAGTGTAAACATGAAATTCATTTATGTTTCATATACACCTTATACACAAAAGCTGAGGTAATGTTATATAAATTTTAAAACAATTTTATACATCTAACAAAGATTTGGCTGTGTTTTGACTGAGACCCATCACATGAGTGTGGAATTTTGGTGCTCAAAAGGTTTCAGATTTTGGATTTCAGATGTTTTTTGTTTTTTTGTTTTTTGGGGACAGAGTCTCGCTCTGCCATCCAGGCTGGAGTGCAGCGGTACAATGTCGGCTCACTGCAACCTCCGTCTTCCAGGTTCAAGCAATTCTCCTGCCTCAGTCTCCCCAGTAGTTGGAATTGCAGGCATGTGCCACTACACCCGGCTAATTTTTGTATTTTTGTAGAGGTGGGGTTTTGCCATGTTGGCCAGGCCAGTCTTGAACTCCTGATCCCAAGTGATCCACCTGCTTTGGCCTCCCAAAGTGCTGGGATTACAGGCATGAGCCACTGTGCCCGGCCAGACTTCAGATTTTTAGGTTAGGATGCTCAACCCATATTTAATGTCTTCTCAGTCATGAAACAGGGATAGCAATGTTTGCAGGATTGTTGTAGGGATCAAATGCAACTTTGAATATAAGCCATCTAGAAGAATGTCATAGGTGAGCTCAGCTCTTATTATTAACCTTTAAAAAGAGATAAAGTTTCCTACCTGTTTCTGTTTAGTGTCCACTGGGAGTAAACGAATGTAATCCCTCCAATTTATGTCTGAGTTATTAACTGTGGCACTTCCTTTGTCACTCCCAAAGTTCAAAACACAGGTCGCCTTCAACAGAATTAGTTAAGTCTCACTCACTTGCACCTGGTTTCTGTGGGTATTTGAGCTGCCGAGCCAGCTTATGTAGAAGCCTACTTTCTTTGTGGTAAGGACAAAAAGCCCTAGAATGGCACCAACTGTAGCTTCCAGACCAATCTACTTGCTCTGTCCTGCACAGAAGTGTTGCCTTTGTCATGAGCTTGTACCCAGAGATACCATCAAAAGCCCAGAGTCTTTATCTGTGGGATCCTGATACATTCATAGGTATTGGCACCTTCTACGCAGCAGGTGACTTGCATCTGTGACCACCATGTCACAAAGCAGGCATGTCCTTCTAACTTATTCATGCCGAATTCCTGCCAAAGGCTCAGGGGTTTATTTCAACAGTGAAATTCACAAGAAGCCAGTTGGTAAAAAATTTTCCCAAGCACTTGGCTGGGATGGATGATGACTGACTGCAGTAGGCTTTCTGTATGAGGAGATAGGTAGCCAGAGGATGGAGGGCATTAATGCCCTATGGCCAGCTTGTACTAGCTTGTAGAACACAGTTGTTCAGTTATCAGGAATTTTGCCGGGTGGTTTTTAAGCCATTGGTAGCTTGAAATCAGCCATAGTGGGAGTATTTACACTACAGAATTTGGTAAATGCTACAGATCAGAGTCCCCCACCCCTACCCCAAACCAGCTGTTAAACATTTCCCAGCATAGCCTTGGTGAATGGCCACTCTCTGGAGGGCTGCTGAGGGACTTCAGCTCTGGTACTGGGTGAGAAAGTTGTCCCAGGAGATCTATGACATTTCTTCCAGACCTGAGGCTCCTGACTGCCCTGCAGAAAGGGGACTTGTTGCCTGTGGCTGGCAGACTCATGATTCTGGCCAACCAGGGTCCTCTCTTGAGTCTCACAAGGGGAGGACATCCAGACAGACTAGTTTTGCCACGTGTAAGGAGGTTCGGGCAGCAAATTTCTTTCTGCCTCAAATCTACGTTTTGATGCTCTTTTTCTTACTCCCATTTACAACTACTAGTTAATTAAATTGGCTCTATAAAATACATTCTGAAAGCCACCATTCTTCCAAACAGCAGCCAGAGTTACTCCTTTAAAATCGAAGTCAGAAAATATCACTTCTTTGCACAGAAAATAAACAAACAAACAAACAGCAGTTTTTACTTTCACTCAGGTTGAAATTCAGTCTTTCAATATGACATATACCCTGGAAAAGATCACTCCCATTCTTCTCTGACCTCCTCTGGCTCCCTTGTTCATGCTTCCTCAGCCAGGACAGCCAATGAGTGATTCTCCTGGCACACCTGGTTCATTCCGATCCTGGCTTTTACACATTCTGCTGCTTCTGTTCACACTGTTCTTTCTCCAGAGATCTGCAAGGACTGCCTTCTTCCTTCTTCTTGGGCTCCCCTATCAAGTAACTTCCATGATTGTTTTGTACAAAACAATAACTCTCCCCTTTTCACTCTGTCTCACTGGCTTTGCTTTATCTGTTTATAGCATTTAGAGCCTCTCTCCTCCCCTGCCATGTGAGGTGCTTAATTGTGGAATCATTAGTGGTCTGTTTCTACCTGCCAGATTGCATAATCATGAGGGCATGGACTTTGTTTTCCTGGATTCTGTGTCATGGGTAGTTGGCCCCAGTTGGGGGCATGGATGCTCAGATGGGGTGCCTGGCACAGCTGTCTCCTAAGGATGGATGGGCCCCTGCCTTGGCATGCTGGGTGGTGGGTGCTGGCTCCTAGGAGAGGGTCTCCCCATGAAAGCTCAGCCTTGGGCTCCTGCCCTGGTTGGCCAGTTCCTAACCTAATCCCAGCCTGAGAGCCTCATAGACCCAGGGAAAAGAGACCTAAGACCCTCAGAAAAGATCTCAGAGGCTACTTCAGGAGGCGGCTTGGAAAGGGCACACTGGACAGAGTTCCTTTGGAAGTGACTTTGAGGCAGCCCTTTGCTCTCTCTCTCTCTCTCTCTCTCTCGCCTCCTTTTCTCCACTGGACCAGGGCATGGGGAGCCCTGAGCTTTCTGCCCGCTTTGACATTTCCTATTCCATCCCTAGATGGGCCGAGGAGGCAGCTTTTGAGGGAAAGCTTTGGAAAATTCCCAGCTGTTGACTGTTGTTTACATCTCAGTTGCTGTTTATGCTTCTCCTCTGGGCTCCCTGCCTCTGCAGATGACACAGCATGGCCACTGTGGGGTCAGCTCCTCCTCCCACCCTTTGCCCTGCACTTCAGGGCCACAGCCTGCAGGCTGATTCATGCCCTTAAGAGGCTAGAAAGGTGGCAGGGAAGCAAGCATTGGTCCCTCCTCTTTGCATTTTGGGGAGGGCTGATGGATGACCCCATCCTAAATGAAGATACTCAAGGGAAGAAGATGTTTCCTGCCAGCTGGACCAGCCTCAGGGTGTGCAAAGCCCTTTCTCATACATCGTCTGCATTTCCAACCACTGCTTTATAGGCAGGGCAGGGCAGGCAGTGCTTAGGGCTTATGCTTGTTTTGCAGATGAGGAAACTGAGGACAAAGACCAGTTGAGTAGCTGGTCCAAAGTCTTAAGACTTCAGCACCAAATTCTGGAACTAGCACCCAAGTCTCTGGAGTCCTTGCCTGGTGCAGTTTCTGCCATATCCAACTGCCTCACATGGCACATTGTCAAATTGAACACCTGATATTGGAGTTGTTACTGTGTGGCTGAGTAGCATCATACCCCCTGCTCTAATGCCTGATATTGTTTGGATGTGTGTCGCCTCCAAATCTCATGTTGAAATGTGATCCCCAGTGTTGGAGGTGGCCTCCTTCAGGAACAGCTTTGCACCCCACGAATAGCTTGGCATCCTCCCCACCGCAATGAGTTCACTTGAGATCTGGTTGTTTAAGAGAATCTGGCACCTCCCTTCTCTCTCTTGATTCCTCTCTCACCATCTGACACACTAGGTTCCCCCTTTGCCTTCTGCCATGATTGAAAGCTACTTGAGGCCTCACCAGAAGCAAATGCTAGCACCATACTTCCTGTACAGTCTGCAGAACAGTGAGCCAAAATAAACCTCTTTTTTTGTAATTATCCAGCTTCAGGTATTTCTTTATAGCAATGCAAAAACGGACTGACATAATGCCTCCCTAGGTTCTGCCATTCCAAGGGCTTAGGACATTTGGCTGGAAAAGAAAACTCAAGGTTTTCTCTGCTCTGGGTCCCTGAGGGCTTGTGGTGCAGAGAAGGGGGCTAGATCCAGCAAGAGGAGGTACCGGGAGGCGGGTTTCAGCTCAGCTCAGGAATGCTCTCCCTCATACCTGCAGTCACCTGCAGTCACCTGAAAAGGGATGTGCTGCTCTTCTATGCCCTGTTTCCACATGGGTGTGCCCTAAGGAAAAACACAAAGTATGAGGGAAAAGACATGACTGAAAAAATGCCCGTTTAGCTTATAAACATGTGCACTGCCCTCTGTCACCTTCTAAAGAGGAAGGACTCTTAGCTGGTCTGCATCTTGGGTTTGCATCTAGGATCACATCATGCTGAATGGAGCATGGAGAAGAGAGCTGGAGAGCCAAGATAGGGACAAGTAGTTCTGTTTAAGGAAAGAGACAGTCAGCAGAAACTCTCTGGAAGAGGAATGGGAAGCAGAGGAGAAGCCTGTTCCAGGGCAGGTGGCCCTGAGGGAGGTTTGGGAGCTGAGGCTGGAGCACGGCAAGAAGGGGGACTTTGGAGGGAGGCAGTGGGGGAGAGGGAGGCAGGGAGGGAGCAAAGGGGCAGAGGGAGGAAGCTAGGTGGGAGAGAGGGAATTTTAAGTAGCTGTGTGTGTGTGACATTTTGTAAGACAGAAAGACACAATTTTGTCAAGAGAGAAAGACACAATTAAAACACACTTTAGGAAGTCCTGCTGAGTGGTACACAATGTCACCGTCTCTTGTCTACCCTCACAACCTTCAGTAAAGAGCCACATTACCTTGAGTGCTTTGGGAGCCTGTTCTGGGGAGGGTCTTACTGTGCCAGTGAGTTGGGGTCGTGGAGGTGCCAGGAAGGACAAGGGGTCTGGGAGGCATGAAGCCCTAGATGGGCTTCTGAAAGCAATGATGACCCACCATAGAGAAAACCTGGCTACCATCATGGGTTCAAATTCTGTCTCCCCTACCTATTGTTTAAGAAGGTTTGGGCTCTTTATTCACCAACTCTGAGTCCCGCATTCCTCGCTTTTAAATGGGGATATGATGGGGTCTGATTTTAGGGATGCTGTGAGGATTAAGCCAGGTGACACATGAAAAGCTTCAGTGCTGAGCCTGGTGTTCAGTGAGAGCCCAGTGCCAACAGTGAGGGAGCTATTAAATCATGGAAGGTGGACCCACAAATGCAAAGAGTTGACTGTCATTAGAGAATGCTAATGGAGATCATAGAGCAATGTGGAAAAATGTTTGGCTTATAATATTGGGTAACACATAAAAAAGCACTAAATCATGTAAAATTATTTACACAGGTGGATAGAGCATGGAAAAGAAACAATGAAAAACAAAAGCAGTTGATTTGTTAGAGTGATGGAATTGCGGAGGGCTTCCTTTCCATTTTTATTCCTTGTATTGTTATAATATTTTTGTACAGTAAATATGCAGGAAGAAACGAGTGGTCTCAGAAGGGGAGGAGGACTCATCCATAGCAGGGACTGTGGCAGAATCTTCTAGTGCTCAGCCACAGCCAGCTCTTCCTTTTTTTTGGGGACCATCACTTTTGACTATTTCTGATTAATAGATTGTGAAAGGAAATGAGTGTGTCCCTTCTAGGCTGCAGCATTTAATTGCCAGTCCAAAGGCTCCTCATCTCCTCCTTTCCCTGCCAGGTGACCCAGAAGGCCATGGATTCCAGACGGTGCAGCCATGCTGTGGTAGAACCTCCATCAGCCTCCATCAGGGTCCTTGAAAGACATGTGGAGAAGAGCCCCCTGCTGACCCCCTACTGGTCATGTAAGACTTGAGCAAGAAGTGGATTTTGTAGCATTCAGCCACCGACATGTGTTGGTTAAATTATGCACAGTATAACAGCCCATCCCATGTCCAAACCTCTGCTTGCTGCAGCAATGTGTGCTGAGTTTTCCTTAGATTGATGCGGACAGGCAGACGCCTGAGTCTCTTGTGTCTTAATAGCTCAGTTATGCTTGACTGAAAAGCCTGGTCCTTGCTTCTCCCTGGTATAGCTTCTCAATGCTGCTCACAGAATTTTTTGAAATCTGGTTTCTAGCTTCGGCTCAAGGTCTAAAGAAACCCCCACACCCCATGCACAGGATTTAGCTGAAATGGTGCAAAAGAGCAAAGGAGTGACTCAAACTACAACTAAGCAGGAGAGCCCACTGTGGCATCCAAGCCTTGCTCTGAGGCTCAGACATCACAGTGGGATTCTGAGGAAGTCAGAGTCTACCTGGGATCTGAGAATTCGGAGTTATGGTGTGAATATTTGCTGTTAGCTCTGATGTGGGTCCAGTTACTTCCTGCTGCCCACAGTGCAGCTTTCCCCTTAGCCTTGTCATCTGAGTACCTTGTCCTTGGTACCCTTCAACTCTCACTGGTTTATCTGAGCCAGGGGCACACTCTCCTTCCTAGAATTGAGATGACCTTGGTTAAAGAGAGATGTTAAGAATCAGTTAGCCCTAACCAGGCTTTCTCTCAAGTCAGTTCTACCAGGAGAGAATGAGGAGGCTGCTGTCCAAAGTTTTGGGTGCTGAAACCAAATATGCCTAGATCTTGGAAACCAAATATTTCTGAATCTCTCATCTTATAAATCTGAGATTCTTCTTCTTCTTCTTCTTTTAGATGGAGTCTCACTCTGTTGACTAGTCTAGAGTGGAGTGAAGTAGCTCAATCTCTGCTCACTGCAACCTCCACCTCCCAGGTTCAAGTGATTCTTGTGCCTCAGTTTCCAGAGCAGCTGGGATTATATGCACACACCAGCATGCCTGGCTAATTTTTGTATTTTTGTAGAGACAGGGTTTCACCATGTTGGCCAGGCTGGTCTCAAACTCCTAATCTCAGGTAATCTGCCCACCTTGATTTCCCAAAGTGCTGGGATTACAGTTGTGAGCCACTGTGCCTGGCTGAGATTCTTTTTAAAGTATAATTTACTTCAAGTTATTTAAGTTATTATTTTACTTCACATCCAGAGGGATAAGGAAGGAAACAAATAGCATGTTTCTAAGAACCCTAGAATCATTATTGTATTATGTCCAAAGGGCATCCCATGGTTTAGAATGAATAAAAACAAACTAAATTTATAAAAATTGCTTACAATGGCTTATTTATTTTTTAACAATGAATTTTGCCAAAGAGCTATATTTTTGAAGAACTCAGTGAATCTGATGACTAGTGCAACATTATAAACTGAGTTAAATGAAATGTTATGACATTTATTCAGCAAGTCATGAGACTTTCATATCAGATAAAGAAACCAAGACACAGAGGAGTAAGTGACATCACCAGGTTACAGCAGTAACAGATGTGGAACCTTACCCAAGATCCAGGCTCTCCAGCAGGGGGGTGGCATTGAAGGGGTAGCCCTGACTGGACTGGAAGCTCCTTGAGGGCAGGGGCCCTGTCCTATCTATTGCTGGAGCAGCGGCCATGACAGTGCCTGACACATAGAGGTATATGCTGACTGAGATAATGAGTGAATGAAGGAGGACGTGGTCCCTTCCAGGTTCAGTGACTCAGTTAAGCCAGTGACTCAGTGCCTCTGGTGGGGGCAGAGATGAGAGTGAAGGGAAGTCTGTGTTGTCTGTTGAATCCACTCCAGGCTGCATTGTCACTGATGCTAGTGGCCATCTGCCCATCCTCCTACTGACTCCATGTACCAGGCAGCATTGGTCCCTTCACGGCACTGATTAGGAGCAAGCCTGCTGTTTGTAAGGTAGGTTTGCTTCCACCTTTAGAGGCTTGAGAGAAGGAAGTTTGCATTCTCCTTCTGTATAATATGAGCTGTGTTACATGGGATGGAGGCAATCATTCTTCCTTCCCAAATGCTATAGGAGTAGGAGCTACTGAGCCAAAGTAAATGAATGCAAGGCTCTCATTCTGAGGTACTTCCCTCGAAGTGTCTGTCCTTTTCTGTGTGATTGCTCCTCAGTAAGTCCTGGATTCAAGCTTAGCCCTCCTGAATGGGATCTAGACAGAAGATGTAAGCAGATACTTAAAATATGTTTTTATCGAGGTAAAATATACGTAACATAAAATCGCCATTTTAAGTATTTTAAAGTATACATCCCAGTGGCTTTTAGTAAATTTGCAATGATGTGCAACTATTGCCATTATCTAATTCAGAATATTTTCATCACCCCTCAACAAAACCCCATAACCATTAAACAATCACACCCTATTCCTTCCTCCCTAAGCCCTAGCCTCTGGAAACCACAACTCTGCATTTTGCCTCTATGCATTTGCCTGTTCTGGACATTTCATATAAATAGAATCATACAATATGTGGCCTTTTGTGCCTGGCTTCTTTCACTTAGTATAACGTTTTCAAGATTGATGCATATTATAGCAGGTATCATTCCTTTTTATGGATGAATAATATTTTATTGTATGGATATGTCATATTTTGTTTATCCATGCATCACTTGGTGGACATTTGGGTTGTTTCCCCTTTTTGACTATTATGAACAAAGCTGCTGTAAACATTCGTGTACTGGTTTTTGTGTGGACACCTCTTCTCCATTCTCTTGAATCTATACCTATGCGTGGAGTTTCTGAGTCATATGGTAACTGTATGTTTAATTTTTGAGGAACAGAAACAGGTTCTTAGGGAGTATAAAGGCCCTTCTGGCTGGTGGAGCCTCAGGGGCTATTTAGAGCCTTCCAGTGAAAGGAACTTAATCTCCATCCGACCCCTCTCATTCATTCCTGCTTCAATATCTTTGTTAAGGCCCCTTCCCAGATGTCAGATGTCAGTTGCCATGACTGCTTTCTGTACCAGGCTCTCCCAGGGCCACTCCCACAGTGATCTTCCTATAGACTGACCATAAAAGTCTCTGAGAACTCAAAGTGTGTGTCCTGAGACCTTAGCATCAGCTTCAACATCACCTGGGAATTTTCAATTTTGTCTGCAATGCCATTTCATGAGCTGCACCCCAGATCTGCTGAATCAGAATCTCTGGGAAGGTTGGGCTTGGGCCATCTTTGTTCTAACACAACCTCAGAGGATTTGCATGCACCATGAAGTTTGAGAAGCTTGGCTCTGAGGAGTCTGTGCTCTTTGGGATCTGTGCCACTTGAGGCAGAGAAAGCTCAGATCACTGGGATCTCATTTCCCACTTCAGCCCAGAATAGGTGACCACATTAGTGTGCATGTTTGTGTGTGTGTGCGTGCAGGGCATGGGGGGATTCTGTTGAGAGGTGGTGCTGAGATGCACCTGCTCCCAGGAGAGATGACGCGGGTTGCTGACACCACAGGAGCTCTGATGCTGCAGAGCCCTAGTCTACTGCGGACTCTCCTTCCTGCTGGAGTCTGCAGTTGCTCCTACTTCTCTGGGACCTCAGTCCCATCATAACTCTGTCTCTTGGGGTTTCTCTTGGAGTGGGAGATCCCTTGGCTTCCCTCCTGCATCACCTCCAGAGACAAACATGCTGGCTGTTTGCTTTAAGGAGCTTCCTTTGATCCTCTGGGTAAGCAGAAGGCAGTGACAAATGGCAGGGGGCAAGTGGAGTGGTGGTTTCCAGAGCTCATGGAGTCCTTGTAGTCCAAGCCCTGGGACTGTGGTTCCTGACTGTCCTCCTTGTGTGTGGGTCAGGACGGGTGCCTCTGCCTGCCTGAAGCCCCGTGCTACACTGAAAAGCCCTGACAGACCCCACTCTGAGAAGGACCCTTTTCCTATTTGCTCCTCATCCATCCTCCTGATTGTCACATTGCAGCTCCAGGCACTGCTGGCATCTCCCCAGATCGTCTAACTCCAGGCTCTAGACCTCAGCTTTTTCTACCTGATGGGACGCACTTCTAATCCAAACAAGCTGTGTCCCATGAAGGAAAGACCAGAGAGAAGAGAGGAAAAACTGGGAGATGAGATTTATAAAAAGCTTTGAACCTGAGACAGAAAGGGAGAGGAACTGAAATGAAATCTCAAGCCACTCAATCTCTGTTTGTGATCCATCCCTGTCTTCTCCCCTAAGGTTAATGAATGCCATTGAAAAGGGTTAACCAGGCAGTGGGAGGGTGAGTGTCATAGGTGTTCTTTACTGTGAGTCCCACAACCACTGCTGATGTCCTCAGGATGACCTGCCCCAGGAGCCGGGCTTTCCAGACTGCAGGATAACACCCTGCCATCTCCAGCCAGGGAAGAGGGCAGGAACCCTATTTGTGTGTATCTGCTATTTCCTGTCACCACGCCCAGTAATGCTTTATTCCCCGCAAGCCTACAAAGGGATGATAAAGACTTTCCTCACTCTCATTTTATCTTTTTCTTCCCTAGCCACACACATATGTATCTGTTCCCCAGCCCCCATTCAATGAGTATCTACTGAGTTCCCATTGCACATTTGGCAAATAAAGAAGGCACTGTCTCTGCTCTCATGGAACTTCCAACCCACTGGGTTAGAGTGATATTCAAGAAACATTTACACACTATCTGGTTACAATTGCATTAAGTGGGTGATGGAGAAGAACGGGGTGCTGGGGGAGGATATGTTAGGAGATCCGACCAAATCTGGGCATTCGTGGACGTCTCCTGGAGGAAGCAACATTCATACTGAGACTTGCAGCGTGAGCAGGAGCCAGGACAGCAATGGGGAAAGGGCAGATGCACAAAGGACTGTGTGCAAAGGGCAGATGCACATAGGAGTGTGTGCAAAGACCCCGAAGTAATGACGAGTTTGGGGTAAAGGAAGAACTGAAGGAGGTCTAAGCTGGGGTGGGTGTGGCAGGAAACAAAGTCAGAGTGGTGAGCAGGAGTCAAATGCCAATCACCATGGAGACCTTGACCCTATTCTAAGAATAATGGGTGGCCCGAGACCATTTCTAAGGAAGAAGCAACATCTTAAACTAGCATAGAGAGAATGTACTAGTTAGCATGATGGATGCAGAGGTCAACGCAGAGGCAGAAGATGGGCCTGGACTTGGATGGTGATGGGGACAGATGACACAGACGGAGGGATGTGTGGGAGTGAAGCCAACTTACCAATGACTACTTGTAGGGGTCTCAGGACAGGGGCCTCTCAGGGACAGTGCTCAGGTTTGTAGCTTGAGCAATTGGGCAAGGGTGAGGCAAGGACAAGAGGGACTCATTTGCTGACTCAGGAGCAGGCTTGAGGGGCATTGCACCATGAATTCAGACTTAATATGTCAAGCTTGAGATGTCTGTGAGATGTTCAGGTGGAGATTTTATGGATATGGTTAGATGCACAGAGCTAGAGCTCAGGAGAGAGAGAAAACTAGAGGATGCTGTGGGTAGCTGAAGTCATGCACCAGGCTGGGATTGCAGGGAAGGGAGCAGAGCCTACAAGGAGGGGTGGCCGAAGGGCTAATGGGTAGACAGGGAAGAACTGGCTAAGAAGATGGGCTGGGAGTGGCATTGAGGAGTCAGGGGAACCTTGAGAGAAAAGCATTGCCCAGAACAACGGAGCCTCCTGCAAGAAGGAAGGTGTGGCGAATGCAATAGAAACCTGAGCAAATCTAGTATCAAGGGGACCGGAAAGCAGCCCGGAATTTAGCAACATTAAGGTCAAGGATGACCTTCACAAGAACAGGTACCTGCCATGGAGTGATTGGAGGGAATCAGATAAAGGCAGGTTTGTGGATGATGTAGCAGGATGCTAAGGGGTGTCCTGTCTGGTGGCTTCTATCTTCTCTGTGAAGAATGAGGCAAGTTTATCCTCTAAGAGTGAGGGAGGCAGAGGAGAGGTCAGAGATTCAAAAGGGTGACAAAGGTTTCAAATATGTATTAGCAAGAGGTGTTTGTCAGAGGTTAGTGTTTTTGGCAACAAGGTTTGGGGATAATGAACAGATTCCCCATCAATGGCCCTCAGCCACCATACACTAGGCATACCCAAACCAAACAGACCCCTTTCTCTTTTCACCCACCCTTCCCAGTTTCTTATCTCTATCCTTGGCACCACAACCCAAACCAGGTTTCTAAGGCATACACTGCAGAGTGAGCCTAGATTCACACCTCCCTAACATCCTGATTGCCATCAGACCCCAAGGGCAGTTGACATGAATATCACCACCCACCATCCCAGCTCTCCCTCTGCTGTATCCCATACCACTGCTGTATCCACCCACTTCCTTCTCCACTACGTCAGGATGCTGAAAAAAAAATCACAGGGAAGTACAGAGCTTTTTGTAACAGATACCCATGTACCTGCCACTTATTTAATGACTACTAACATTTCGTCTTATTTCTCTTAATTTTTACTTCTTTAAAAAAAATGCAGTAAGTACACTGACATCCTTGCCTTCACAACATTTGTGTTTCATCTGATTCATATTTTTAATAGGTAAAAGTCATATCGTACAAGACTTAAAGAGTATGAGAATTTGCCCCTTTGTCATGTCCCGATTGTGTCATCTGATGCTGTGAGCATAGTTCAGCTGTTCTGTAATGGGGAAGGGGAAGAGGCAGTGAGACACCATGCCGCCAGAAATCCCCAGATTCTTCATCCTTCCATATGCCTCAGTTAAAGAATCCACAGACCCAATCTTCTGTTGACAATTCAGTTTGGGTGTAATTTAGACTCAGAGTTGGGGCCTGCTTGGTTCCCAGACCCACGCTCTTTCCTGTCTCTACCAGACCACCCAGGAGAATGACATGGCAACCCCTCACAGTCTCAGCTGCCTTCAAGGTTGCAAAAATTATGAGTAAGGTATGCAAAGGGACCTGGCTGCTATTTCCACAGAGCTTCTGGGCCAGTGGAGCAGGGCCTCAGGTCCCACCACCCTGGTGAGCACAGAGGTCAATGTTTCCATATGACAATGGAAGCATCCCTAGGGTCTATGGGTTTTGTTGCCATTGCAGGATGATTAGATATTTAGGATCTGAACTAGGCAAGATGCAAAACTCCTTCCAGCTCTCACTGTGTTATAGCCCTCAGTTTGCACCTCTTCTTGCGTATTCTGGGGCTCATGGGAGCTGGAAGCCTCTACTCCCAGTTGTTGTCAGCACCAGACCATATGGTGGAAGGAACAACAAATTCCCAGCATGGCTGAGCCAGCACAATATGCTTTTTGCTCAAGTGGAGGAACTTCCATCCTTCCAAATTCCACAGAAGCAAGTCATGTAATACATATTTCACCCTGTGGGTAGGCACAGGTTGGTCTAACCCAGGTACTACCTGTCATTCAGAAAATAGAAACTAAAATCCCCAAACTTTTATTGAGTAGCTCTTGTATGTTAGGTGCTTCTAGGGCCATAAATATGAATAATACTTGCCCTGGGTTTGAGGTGTTCAGGGGCCAGCTGGAGAGGCAGACACACAAAATCAAACAACATTTAGCAGCAAGGCAGTAAATTCTGGACAATGCAGAAAATAGAGCACAAGCCTGTATATTACCAATCCCCTAGCTGCATCTCTCCAGCTGCCCCATAACTCTGTTCCTTCCCTTGCTAATGTTGTCTACATCTTCCACACACTACTCACTTTACTAAAATCTTGCTTCCCACTCATACCACTTCAAAAAGCTAATTCCACAGAGGATATCAGTGATTCTAAATGTCTCTAAATCCTATGGGCATTTCCCTCTCTCCCTTCCTTCCTTCTGTTCTTTCTTTACCTCCTGTCAATATTTAGCTCAGTTTCCCTGTCCTCTTTCTTCCACTGATCTCGTGCTGTCTGTCTCCTGTGGCTTGCTTGCTTCCTTCTCTGATCTCTCTTTTAGCCTCCTTGGTTGGTGTGTCCTTTTCCGTAGGGCTCGATGGTCCCAGGGCTCTGTTCGCTGCACACTCTTCCTGCCTTGCCAGCTCACCATCGCTTGGTCACTTCATTCATTCTCAAGGCTCCAATGACCATCTCTGTGCTGAGAATTCCCCAACCCCCAGCCTGAGACTCCCATCTGGTGAACAGCAGGCCCACATACCCAATGACCACTTGGATGAATGTGGGGCAGCTCTACCTCCACTTGTTTCAGACCCAACTCATCATCTTCTCTACACCTGCTCCTCTTCCTGTATTTCTTATCTTTGCGGGTGGCACCACTCCCCACACAATTTCTCAAGTCAGAAGTGTAGGAGTCATTCATGAGACCTATTTTGCACTTACTCCACAGGACCCACAACCAAGCCCTCCAATTTATCCACTCCTCTCTGAACCATCAAGGTCCCTCACCTGCCTCATTGACCCCAGCTGTTTTCTTATTTGCAGACTGGCCCCTCTCCATTCCTTTCTTCACTGGGAAGTTGAAGCAATTTTTAAGAATGGAAATTAGATAATATTATTCCCCTGCTTAAGGTCTTTAAATGGCTCCATTCTCCATTGCGGTAAAGTAAAATCAATTAATATAGAAGCATTTTAGGATCTTACTGAAATCAATGTCAAGTCCTTTTTTTCATGCCTAATTTTGATTCTTTTATGATAAAGTCATAAGGAGAAAATTTCAAGACATGGAGATACAGAGATGAATCCAAGGAGTTTTCTACCATCCTCTTTACCTTCTGCCCTAAACAGCTTCAAATGACATTCAGATATTGCCCACCCTGGCTTTGGTCAGCTGTGCTAATTTGATTCAGTTGTTCTGAAATAATTTTTTTTAAGTCTGAGCAATTCTGGATACATATCTTTTGTTTCTGGAGGGGATAGTTGCCCACCCAGAAGGTTTTGCCTGCAACTGGACAACTGCCTCAAAAATAGAAGGTATTTTAACTCCTTCATTACCTTCCTGGCAAAAATGGTTGATTATCCGTGATGACATTTAATGATACCTTCATTACTTCATAGGAGGTGGGTTCGGTGGGAAGGGTCTATTCCAGGGTTTATAATAAACAGAAAGCTAACATAATTTCTACACAAAAAGGTTTCCTCCTGGTATTTTGTAAACATTGCATGCTATATTTGCTGCAATATGTAAAATATATCTTTCCTAAAAAGGTATACACATATTTTGTCATGTGATATGGTTTGGCTGTGTTCCCTCCCAAATCCCATCTTGAATTGTAGTTCTCATAATATCCACATGTCGTGGGAGGGACCTGGTGGGAGGTAATTGAATCATGGGGGCAGTTATCACTCACAGTGATAGTGAGTGGGTTCTCATGAGATCTGATGGTTTTATAAGGGGCTTTCCCCCTTTTTGCTCATACTTTTTGCCCCCTTTTTGCTCATACTTCTCCAAGTGAAGAAGGACATGTTTGCTTCCCCTTCTGCCATGATAGTAAGTTTCCTGAGGCCTCCCTAGCCCTGCAGAACTGTGAGTCAATTAAACCTCTTTTATTTATAAATTACCCAGCCTCGGGTATGTCTTTATTAGCACATGAGAACAAATGAATACACCATGCCTTAAGTTCAATGACACAAATCAATAATGTCTTTTCACAGGAGAGAGAAAACATTATTAACAGCATGGTGAGTGCTGGGGGACACAGGCCCATGGGAAGCTGATTGCTGGTGCCCCTGGAGGAGCTTCAGGCTTTTCCACAATCTGGCTGCTGCCACCTCTCTGACCCCATCTGCTGCCTCTTTTTCACTTCCACTCTCTGCTCTTGCCACAGCCATGTGGGCCTTCTTTCAATTCCCATGAGAGAAGCCGTGCTTTCTGCCCTCTAGATCCCCCTGCATGTGCTCACCAACTCCGCTCATCCCTTAGGTGTCAGCTGAAGTGCCTCTTCTTCAAGGAGACATATCTGAGCCCTGCTCCCATGGAGAAAGAGAGAATGCCCAAGAGTCAAGCCCTCCCAGTCGGACCTGGCATAGGGTAAGCACTCACCATGTTATAATCACCATCGTAGCACTTGAGCCACTCACTTTAATTATGTGTCTCAATTTTGCTAGATGGGAAGCTCCCAGAGGGCAAAGTGCATGTTTCTCTTTTTCAAGGCTACGTCCTTCATGAAACACAGCAATTAGAACATAGAAGGTGCTCAATGCATAGTTTTTGAATAAACATAATAAATACACAAGCAAATGAATAAATAAATAATTGAATAAATTATTGTGGGTATGCCAGAGTGTAGGAAAGGATTTGTGGTTACCCTGGTCAAAAAAGACATCTTGGAGAAGCTGAAATTCAGCTGAGTCTTAAAGGGTAAGCAGAATTCACACAAAGAGAAAGTGAAAAGATGCTTGCAGAATGGGAGAAAATGTTTGCAAATTATACTTCAGATAAGGAACTTGTAACCAAAATACACAAAGAACTCACAACTCTACAATAAAAGGACAGACAGCCCAATTTAAAAATGGACAAAGGGTTTGAATAAACACTTCTCCAAAGATATATGTATGTGTACATTCACACAAGCTAGACAAGATGAACAAGAAGCACACGAAAAGATGCTTTCATCATTAGGTATTAGGGAAATCCAAATCAAAATCACAATAAGATGCCAGTTATTTTGGCATCAGTGAGATGCCAAAATAAGAAAAGACAGACAGTAAGTTTTGGCAAGGATGTGAAGAAATTGAAACCCTCATGAACTATTGGTGGGAACGTACAATGGTGCATTCACTTTGATAAACAATTTTGCAGTTTCCCAAAATGTTGAACATAAGAGTCAACATCTGACAAGAAATTCCATGCTTAGGAATATACCTGAGAAAACTGAAAACATACCTCCACACAAAAAAACTTGTACAAGGTTGTTCATAGTAGCATTACTGATATGGTTTGGATGTGTGTCCCTTCTAAATCTCATATTGAAAGATGATCTCCAATGTTGGAAGTGGGGCCTGTTGGGAGGTGCTGGGTCATGGGGCCAGATCCCTTATGAATGGCTTGGTGCCTCCCTTCTGGTAATGAGTGAATTCTCTATTCATTCACACAAGATCTGGTTGTTTAAAAGAGCCTGGAACCTCTGCTCCCTCTCTTGTCATGTGACATATCTGTTCCCCCTTCGCCTTCTGCCATAATTAAAAGCTTCCTGAGGCCTCACTAGAAGTGATGCCAGCACCATGCTTCCTGTACAGCCCGCATAACTGTGAGCCAATTAAACTTCTTTTATTTGTAAGTTACCCAGCCTCAGGTATTCCCTTATAGCAACACAAAATGGACTAAGACAATTATTAACACTAGTCCACACAGTGGAAACAACCCAAAGTCCATCAGCTGATGAATGGAAAAACGAATGTAGTGTATCCATACAATGGAATGTTTGGCCACAAAAAATGTATGAATTACCAATACATACTACAACATGGATGAATGTTGAAAACATTCTCTGTTAAATAAGCCAGTCACAGAAGGCCACATATTGTGTGACTCAATTTATATGAATTGTCCAGAATAGGAAAATCTGTAGAGATAGAAAGTAGATCAGTGGTTTCCAGGAGCTGGGGAAGTGGGGAGTGACTGCCAGTGGGTATGGGGTTACCTTTTGTGGTAATGAAAATAAACCGAAATTAAATAGTGGCAATGAAACTGTCCCTAATAAAATTTTATAAAATCAACTAAGGAAAAAAAATCCTACTAGGCTTGCAGCACAATCAGCAGTTATCAGCAATCCACCTTACCCTTTGGCCTGCTTCCTTGTAGCTAGCTGCTTCTTACTATCCCAGGATAACATAGCCCTGTCACAAGGCTCTTTGCTCCTTTTCTGTTCTGTAAAGTCTAAGACATTATAAAATAATAAGCTTTCTGTTTGAGTTTCTCATTTGGGTTCTGTACACTGATAAAACTACCAGTGCCAACAGGGCTGAAGGACCCAGTAAGGAGCTGACTTATGGGAAAATGCAGTTTCCACATTCTAATAATTTTATCCCCCTTACCCCAACCAATCAATAACCCCAACTTTCCAGCCCCTTTCCTTCCATGATCTCCTTATAAACCTTTGCCCAGAACTCCCTGGAGAGATGGATTTGAGGCTTGAGGATTCCTCCCATCTCCTCACTCAGCGGCCTGGAGATTATTCAACTCTTTGCTGCAAGCCCTGTTGTCTCGGTGTATTGGTCTGTTGCTGCACAATGGATATTCAGACCACCCACTGGATGCAAACGGGATGCAGTGGAAAGATGAACTTCACAGTCCTGTAACAGTGATGGCTGAACAACTCTACGAATAGACTAAAAACCACTTACCTGTATACTTTAAAAGGGCAAATTTCATGGTGTGTGAATTATATCTCAACAAAGCTGTTACACACAAAAAGAAACAGTGATTAGGACAGTGTGGCTGTTATGGTATGGGATGAGCTTGGAACCAACTCATAGAGTGTTGGGGTCTGTGAAGTCCCTTGAAGCATCTTATTATGACAGTGATAACAGTTGAGTGTGGCCTGGCAAGACACACTTGACACACTTGATCAGGATGCATAGGGAGGGTTTGGAATGGGAGGAAATGAGGACCATCTTTTAGTGACTAAGGATATCTATTTGTAATCAGCTGGGCTGGAGTTTGAGTGGCATCTGTGTTTATGGAACTGAATAACTTCCTGGTTTGGCCTTAGCACCATCTGCCATGTGCCAGACTAAAAAGGCCTCCCAGGCACTGAAAGATGACTCACCCCTCCCCAGTCCTCACGATCCTAGAGAAGTTCTATTATTTCTTAGCTCATTTCTCATCAGCACCATCTGGGAGTGGCCTGGCTTACAGCCATTTTCCCTTGAGAAGGACCCTGGCAGGGTGTCGATCCCATGGGACCTGGCCCCTGGCCACAGGCTGATTGGTCACCGCTGACCCCAGCTGGGGCACCTGATTCTGTGTCTTGGGATTCTGAGGCACAGAGAGAGTCACAGGTCTGGTCTGTCTGTGGCAGTGGCATCGAAAGGAGTCCCAGGCTGCAGCCCCCAGGCCTCTGACACCACCCGGGCTCCCCTCTTCCTGAAGCTGGATATTCAGCTCTCCCTTGGATGTCATGAGCTGCCTTCAATTCCTCCACTTTGGCTGCATGGGCTAGAGAGGTTTCTGAGGCTTCCAACAGGAGCCACTGTTGGAGCCCTGTGTGGACAGAGGGACAAGCTCAGTCACCAAGGAAGCCCAATCTCAGGGACTAGGGCTACCAAGGAGTCACCTCTGCCCTCAGTGAAGATACAGGTGACAAACAGTATGTTTTTGGAAGATCCCTCGAGTTCTGTTTCTCTCTAAGGTGCTTTCTATCTCTGCATTGGTCACCAGGAGGGATAAGGGTCAGTGTGACACCACCTCAGGAAGGGGGGATTTGGGGGTAGCTGTCCCTTCTGGTCGGGGCATCGTGGAAGGGACAAAGGGGACATGTGGCTGACTTGTTGGTCATCATTTCCTTTCTCCAGGCTCAAATCCTGGATCTGGGGGAGGGAGGAGGTCCTGAAATCTAAGGGGTTCCTGCTTCTCTTCCTGTCTGAGGGTCTGACAGGAGACTGTGCCCAAACATCTCCCATGCCGACATCCCAGGCTCTCCATCGTGAGGGAAGTTTGCCCCAGCACCAGCATAGCAGGAATTTCATAGGCCAGTGTGCCAGATGCAGACACGGATGCTGGGATACCTTTGGGGAGGGTCTGCTGCCCACCTCTGCAATGTGGCCACTGCTGTTGGCCCCTCGGGGACAGCCTCAGCCTCAGAGACCCACCTCACCAAAGGTACAAAGACCCAGCCATGTCAGCCTGATGCTGTACAACTCTGATGATACTTCTCACTCTGTAGTGACCAGCTCGGTTGGCAGGGGCTGCGCTGGGCCCCCAGCACAGGATGACTTCCCTCGGTCTGTGCCTGTGGCACCTTCCTTTCTCAGATGTGACCCCTTATCAGCATCGTGTGAGCCCAGCTCCATTTCAGCATCTGCTTCTGGAGAACTCACTGGCGGCATCAGAGTGTAGGCATGTGGTGTGGATGCACAGATGCCTGGGCACAGAATGTCTGCCACACACAGACATCAGCTATTACTGGGGCTGACATGGATGGAGAAGGGGGACAATATTACCACTCTTGTTCTTCTAACCCAGCACAGCATTCCCTCTGTTCAGGCTGCCAAGACCTCTGACTGCCAGTGTCCAGCAGAAGGAGGGCACAGGAGTGAGATCTGCAAGGCTGAGATTCACCTACTAGGCTCTGTTATAAGAGATGAATGGGGATTGCTTAAAGGGACATCAATGTCACTGACATCACCCTGCCATGGGAGGCTCATAAGGAAGATTAAATCATACAGTGTGAAGAGACAGATGTTCTTTGCACATCTGAGAGACCCCAACAGATATTCAACCATGTAAACTTATATTTTGAGCCATTTTTCATGAGATTTTAAACAATTTTATCTACTGTAAAGTACATATGTGCTGTGAGACATCTCTGGCATAATTTTCCTCCTGTTTCTCTAGGGAACGTGCAAATAGATAAAAACTTCAGGCTTCATGTCCCTTGCCCACACTAGAGGCCTGGGGCCTCTCAGACAGGTCACCTACAGTATTTCTGTTGACTCATTGCCATTACTTGCTTTCAGAGATAGAGAGAGAGAGATTGAGAGAGATTGAAAGAGAAGAAGGAGTCAAGTTATTCCCCAGTGATATAAAGACTTGGGCAAGCACGTGGTTCTTGCAACCCAGGGGAAGGGGACATGGAAGGATGCTACCAAGGCCAGCCCTGGCAAGCCCAATGCCCATTTCACGGTGAAACTTTGCATATTTGTGACTTTCTTTTTTCGCAAATCTCCCAAGGCTAGGTCCCCTGGGAGGAAGGGCCATGGACCCATCATGATAAAGCGTGATGGTGCTGCATGTGGCCTCCCTGCCATCCTTCTTGGGCATGCATTTGCACCTGTCTGATGGAGTCTTTGCAGGAGGCTGGCCCACCCTGTCCCTTCTGTCTCACTCTCAGAAAGGGCGTCCCCCTCTGCACCACAAATCCAATATCTGCAGGGAGCTGCCGTGACCCACAGTGGACTTGCTATAGATGTGGTGAGAGAAAGAGGCAAAGCAAGGCTGTTCATGGGGATGAGGGGGAGAAAATTTGACCGAAGGCTTAGATTGACCTCTATAAAACCAGCTCTGTGGTGTGTGTGGAATTAAAATTCTTGACGAAGAAGCCAAATTAAAATTCTTGATGAAAAAGCCTATCAGGAGTCAAAAGTGAACTTAGTTACGTTGCTGGGGTTCATCGAAAGGCAATCCTTTCCTTTTCCAGGCCCAGGGAATACGCTGCCCAAAGTGACGCGTTGAGGGAGGAACAAAGTTGAGGGTGGGGAGTCATGCTTGGTCTTCTGATGGCCGATCTGGTAAGAGTTTTAGCTGGAGGATTTGTAGCCAAACTGTAAGATGTAAATAACAGACCCTGACATGTAGGGGAGGATGAATGTCAGGACCAGGGTCACCAAGGACCTCACAGAGGACCTTGGACACGGACTCCAAATGAGGCTTATACATAAGATGTGTTGCGTTTGTGTGTCGTTTTGGTAAATGTAAACATTTAAGATGTAGTATAATTATCCTAAACTCATTCTGAAACTTTTTTACTTTCTTCCATATATGGGGTAAGAAAAAAAAAGGCAGTTCGTTCAAACCCTTCTCAACAGTGAAGGGTCCTGGCAAATTATATTCTATTAATCAGTCATCAAGTATTCAAATATTCATATAACCACCCACTGGGTGCAAATATGAACAAGAAACATAGATTATGTAAATTAGACATTTGAGTCCATTTAAAATAATTTCCTATCCATATGGGTCCTGTTGTTTGAAGTTTCAACCAAATTATATAACTTGTCATTGGCCCATTATGCTATTTCCTTTCTCTGTGAGTTGCAGCAGCTCAGGAGCTGGTTAAAGGCCAAAAAAGCTTCAGGGTCTCCATGTGCAGTTGGCAGCTCTGTCCTGGTGGGAGCTACCTGGTCCAGACTAGACCCCCCAGCACACCTGTTCATGACATTCAAGCAGGGCCAGGCAATCTCTCTTCTTGGGAAGTGAGAGAAGAGGGTTTGGTAGAGAGATGATCTTGCCTAATCTCATCCTTTGAGAGGCATGTTCAAGTGTCATCTGATGATGGATTTGGTGGCAAGAAAGGGACTCAAACTCAGGTTTCCTGATTCCTGTTCCCGAGTACTTTCCAGGAAACATCACACAGGTTCTTATAGCTCTTATGAACTTCTCAGCTAAGAATGCATGTGCTATCCTCTGACTTCAGTTCTCTGAGCAGCAGAGCCCAAGTCTGTCATTTGTTAATGGTGTGCCCAAGGTGTTGTTACTCTAAAGGGGACACTTCCTTCCCTGGATGGAAATTATATTCCAATTCTCACCTTTCAACCACCACCTCCACGAGCTTGCCTGCCCTTGTTCCCACACGTTCTGCTCTCTGGCCTGGTAGAAGGAGGTGACCCTCGCCCCCTGAGGACTTTGTGTCTTGAGTCTTCTTCTCTTTCCTGCATTGTCACTCTTCCCCTCTTCATGGACAGTTGCTGCCAGCATCAAGCTGTCATGATGCTTCCTGAGGGTGACAGCATGGGAGTGTGCGTGGAAATGGTGGAGTGGGTTTCACGGGGGAGGGACCGAGGCAGTCTGAGGGTCCAGGGAGCAGACATTTCTATGTGTGGCAGCCGAGTCTGCAGTCAGAGAGTCTCTTCTGCATACCCAGTCCGTCCACGTGCCCTCCATCCGTGGAGTCAGCTGGTGTTTATCTCGTGCTTGTTATCTGCCAGGCTCCATTTTAGGGGCTGGGGATACAGCAGTGGACAAAAGCAATCAGTGTCCTACTGTCTTGGAACTTAGAGTTTATCAGGGGATAGAGGGCCAGCTAGGGGCAAATCAATAATTAAAGAATTTTCAGGAAGTGAGAAGTGATTTGAGAATAAACAGGACAAGGGGGATGGAGAATGATGGAACAAAGGGGCGAGAGTGGGGTTGCTGTTTATATGGACTCATCAGGGAAGGTCAGTGTCAGGGACTCTTCCCCAGATGCCGCATCATCATTAGATCTCGGCTCCGATATCACCTCTCCCAGAAAGATTTGTTGACTTCCTTGACCCCGTCACCACCCTGCTGCCCCCATTGTAAGCTCTCGTAGCACCCAGTTTCCTCTCTTCTTAAAATGTATAAACTTTCAGTTTTACATTAGTTAAGTGGTTTTTTGTTTGCAAGGCAGGTGAGCTGAGTTCACTCACTAAGCGTCTCTACTGCCTAGAAACGGTGTCAGTGGTGGTTCAGTGAATGAATGGATGGGTGGCGGTGGCATCTCTTCCCCAGACCTGCTCTTCTGGTTGGGTTTGTTAACTTGGTACACGATGCTACTTACCTGGGGATCACTCTGAAGTCTTTCTTTTTCTCAGCCTTGGCCTCACAACACATTACTGGTCCTACTTCCCCTTCCTCCCTTTGTGAGACAAAGTAGCAAACAAAAGAAGCCACGCCTGCTCATTTCTGCTTGCCCGCATAACTCCACAAAGGCCCCGACTCTGTGACAATGTGCGGCGCTCCGGAAAGATGCTTTGAAGACAAAGCAGGCCAGAGCACATAGCCCCCCAGGTCTCTTGCCTGAGTCTCTATTCTCCCTACAAGATAAATGACCCTTATCCTTGCCTTTCCCTACACATAAGGTGACATCTGCTGGGGTTAGTGAGGATGCCTCTGTAATCTCTAACCAGATGCACTCTCAGGCCCAAACCTTGATGTGATTCTGCTTCAATGTCACTTCTCAGCAAGACAGATGCGATTTTGCAGGTACCTGACCCCGCCACCTGCATTTAAGCTGTGGCTAAAACACTGTACCGAGAACTGACAGGACCCCCACCGAAGGGCGGCTCTTGGGCTACCGGCCTCTGTCTACAGTCCTACAGGCTTCTGAAGGAAACCAACTTGAATTCTTTAAAAGCTTGGCTTTTTTGCCTTTAGTCAACACCTTCTATCATTGTCTGAGTTCAAACCCTCATTTTTTTCAGAACCCCTCTTCTCTGTATACATTTTCCGGATATATATATTTTGGCCCTTCCTCTATGTGGAATCACCAGGGCATTTTGCTTCTAGGTGTGTCCATTGTTAACATGAGCATTGGATTTGTCGCTGTTTGTTTGTTGTTGTGCATAGCTTGCTTAGAATGTCTTTTACTAGGAGACGAGAGCTGGGCGCAGTGGCTCATGCCTGTAATCCTAGCACTTTGGGAGGCTGAGGCAGGCAGATCACAAGATCAGGAGATCAAGACCATCCTGGCTAACACGGTGGAACCCCATCTCTACTAAAAACACAAAAAATTAGCCGGGCGTGGTAGCAGGCGCCTGTAGTCCCAGCTACTCGGGAGGCTGAGGCAGGAGAATGGCGTAAACCCGGGAGGCGGAGCTTGCAGTGAGCCAAGATGGCGCCACTGCACTCCAGCCTGGGCAACAGAGCGAGAGACCGTCTCAAAAAAAAAAAAAAAAAAAAAAATAGGAGAGGAGAAGCAATTCAGACTTAATGTGATCATTGATAAGCTAAGGTAATAAAGGGTAAATTAATGTGATGACCAGCAAGTCAACAATTGGAATAGTGGATTTTAAGAGCTTGGGGGCTGGGCACGGTGGCTCATGCCTGTAATCCCAGCACTTTAGGAGGTTGACGCCAGCAGATCACTTGAGCCCACGAGTTCCAGACCAGCATGCGCAACATGGTGAAACCCTGTTTCTACAAAAAATACAAAAACTACCCAGGTGTGGTAGCACGCACCTGTAGTCCCAGCTACACTGGAGGCTGAGCCTGGGAGATCGAGGCTACAGTAAGCCATGGTGGCACCACTGGTACTTCAACCTGGGCAACAGAGTCTCAAAACAAAACAAAACAAGAAAAGAAAAAAGAAAAAAAATACATCAGATGAAATGGCTCATGCCTATAGTCCTACCTACTCAGGAGGCTGAGGTGGTAGGATCGCTTGAGGGCAGGAGTTCAAGACCAGCCTGGGCAATGTAGAGAGACTTTGTCTCTTTAAAAAAAATTAGCTGGGCATGGTAGAGCATGCCTGTGGTCCCAGCTACTTGGGAGGCTGAGGCAGGAGGATCGCTTGACCTTGGAGTTGGAGGTGGCAGTGGACTATGAGTGTGCCACTGCACTCTAGCCTAGGCAACAAAGTGAGACCTCATCTGTAAAATAAATAAATACCTCTCTGTAAGAAAATAAGAAATTTAATATGCTTTTAAATATTCCATTTAACATTCATTCTCCCCTCCATTTAACACTGTATTTTGCTGAGAAATCAAGGCTTTTAGATCCAGACTATTATTAGCAGGCTTTTTGTTCTATGACATTTTTGGAGGCTATAGTTGTCTACATTAAGTTAACATTCATGTTAATGAACATTATTTCAACACTAACTATTCATTTTACAGGTTTAACTTTTATAATTTGTCTCTGCCATTCTTGCAGTCTTTAATTTGATCATTTTTGGGGGTTGCATGGAGTGTGATGTGCATTGCAGCTTGGCCTCAGTTCTCCCCGGCCCCATCCACACCTCTGCCACAGCTTCATTGGGAGCAGAGTGCATTTCCCCTTCCCTTGACCTTGGCCTTGGCCTTGGCTATGGGACTTGTGTTGGCTGGTGGTACATTGGCAGAAATGCTGAGTTTGAACTACAAAAGCCCTTAGCTGTTTCTACTTGCCCACTTCTCCCATCTGCCCCCACTATCAGCAGGAGAGAAGCCCTTGCTCACCTGCTGGTCCCAGGTGGGAGATGAGACACATGGAACAGACCTCCCAGCCCACCTACAGACCACAGAGAGAAACCATGCTGTCCTGCCCCATCCCTCCTAGATCTGCCAGGCCCAGCACCTACAAATGCATGAGTGCTAACAAGTGACTGTGTGTGATGGTCAGTTTTACATTGTCAACCTGAGTGCACCACGGGTGCCCAGATTAAACACAGTTTCTGTGTCTATTTGCATTCTCATTGGTGGATCCAGTAAAGTAGACGGTCCTCCCCAGTGTGGATGGGTATCATCAATCCATTGAGGGCCTGAATAGAACAAAAGACGGAGGAAGGAGAAACGAAATTTGCCCCTTCTTTTTGCCTCATTGCCCGAGCTGGGACTTCTCATTTATCTTTTCCTGCCTTCAGGCTGGGATTTACACCATTGGCATCCTTGGTTCTCAGGCCTTTGGACTTGGACTGAATTACAGCACTAGCTTTCCTGGGTCTCCAGCTTGCAGATAGCAGATCATGGGACTTCTCAGCCTCCATAATTGTGTTACCCAATGAACCATAAACCTCATTTCATGTCTGCCTGTATCTATCTGTCTATTTCTATATCTATATCCCCTATTGGTTCTCTTTCTCTGGAGAACTCTAATGGCACTGTGGTTGGGGGTAGTTTGTTAAGAACTAATAGGTTAACAATACAGAGGAATTCCTAAGTCACCTTTTTCTAGGAAGGATAAATAAATGTCATATTTTTGGTGCTCTTTCACATTAGAAAAATCTCACGCTCTCGTCTTGCAGCATTTAGCACTGTGGAGCAATACCCTGATTTCACCTTTCACCCTTGACAGTTAATTTTATCCCAGCTTCCCTCCCTTCCAAACTGAGTGCTTGTACATTTATTTTTTTATTTTGGATATGTCTGGGTATTAGTCTATTTTCATTGTCTTTGTTTTTTTAATCTTGCCTTTTTTTTTTTTCCAGGGCAGCAATTTTTTTTTTTTTTTTGGTGTGTGTGTGTGTTTTGTTTTTTCTTTTACGATTGTTCCTTCCCCATCCCTTCTGTTCTCTATTTCTGGGATTACTTTCGTCTATTTGCTGGAGCTATAAATACCCAGTCTTATACCTTTATCTTTACATCTTGCATCGGTTCTTTTCTCTTACATTGTGGGAAATGTGACTGTGTTCATCTTATTATTCTGCGATGCTGTTTCTGCAGAACCCAATCTGTTCTCTCTCCCCACTGAATGTTTTCCCTAACTTTTCTTCTTCTTTTTTTTTTTTTTGGTCTTCTTCTGTCTCCCATACTGGAGTGCAGTGGTGTGATCTTGGCTCACTGCAACCTCTGCCTCCTGGGTTCAAGCAATTCTTCTGCCTCAGCCTCCTGAGTAGCTGGGATTACAGGGGCGTGCCACCACATCCAACTAATTTTTGTATTTTTAGTAGAGATGGGGTTTCACCATATTGGCCAGGCTGATCTCAAACCCCTGACCTCAGGTGATCCACCCGCCTCAGCCTCCTAAAGTGTTGGGATAGCAGGTGTGAGCCACCTCGCCCGGCCTGTTTTCCCTAACTTTGCTCATCTCTGCATTTTAAAATTCGACCATGTATTTTGCATCTAAATCTTTCTTGTTGTCAGATTCTTTTCTCTGCATATTTACATATATATTTTTCTATTATGTATTATCATCAAAAAGAGAAATTGGAGATTTAGGGAAGATATTTTCCTATTTTAAAAAAAATAAATCTGTTTTATTGGGGGGAGGGGGGGATTGTGCTTTTATCTATCAGATTGGTTCCTGCTTAGGGAAGCAGCATGTATGAGGGTGAACGGCACAGGCTCTGTGGCCAGACTAACTCCCTGGTCTCAAGACCAATCCCACCATGTGGAGCTGTGTGGCCTTGGGCAAGTGACTTAACTGCTCTGAGTCTCAGCTACCACATCTGTAAAATGGGGACCACCATAGCACCTGCCTCACAGGGCTGTCATTGTAAATAGATGAGTTTAATATTCATGTAGACTTTAAAACAATCCTGACTCTTGCATCACCACGTCAGTATTTGATACATGAAATGGTGGCATCTGTCCATTTTTCTCTTTGCTCATCTTCATTTTGTCCAGTACTGAGGGTTCATATGGGATCTCTCTGGCATAAAACGGGAAGGGAAGCTCATGTTTTGTGTGTGTGTGTGTTTTTAGGTTGCTTCTTGGAGGTCTGGTGGGCCAAGAGCAGGAGTAGGAACGCAGAGCCTTGTGGCAGAGAAGTGTCCTCAGCAGGATGGGCAGTTGCTTTTCTGATAGCTGTGGTGGCTCATGGTGAGGCGAATGGGACATCCTGCCTCAGCAGGGCCCCCGCGTTACCCAGCTCATGCCTGCACAAGGGGCAGGCTCCAGGGAGCCTCGTGGCCTTCACCATGAGAGCAGGCCCTGGGCTGTTCTGAAGACTTCGATCTGCTCCATGCCACCCTCACTCCAGCCTCCACCGTGCCTCCTTGGGAGAAGGAAGCCGTGGGTAAAGAATCCTGGACAGGTGGACACATTATTAGTCTCTAGCAACACCTGAAGAAGTTTCCTTTCTTTCTGGCTTATTGATGACACCTTTTCATTTTTATCTGGCATATATGCAGAGTTTGTTTTTTTCTTTTAAGAACTTTAAAAAATATATCTTAAAATTCAACAAGAATTTGGGAGGAAGCAGAGTTTACTCTCTGGATTCAATGACTAGGTTGAAATGGAGTCTGTCATAGTCTCCTAACTGGTCCTCCTGGTTCCAGTCTCCCTGACCCCTCTGTCTGTCCTCCTACAGTTGGAAGGAACTTCTCCGTCAAGTCTGACATTGGGCCCCTTCTTTAGCAGCATCTACCACGTGGCAACCCAACACCCCTCAAGGACACCCACACTGCGCTCTGATCTGCTGCAGCTCCCATCTTGCCATTTCTGTCTTGGCCCCTTCTCTCCAGGCACATGGCGTCATCGCTGTGCCTCTTTGTGCATTTTTGACTTCTCATATGCTCTCCCCTCTGTCGGAAATCCTTCCAGCCATCCTCTCAGGCCTGCCAAACTCCTACCCTGCCAAGGCCCCAGGCCAGGGAAGTAGTCTAGCCCGGGTCTTCCCATCCTGCAACAGCTCCTTCCTGAGTGACACTTAGTGTCTTGCAGTTGTTTAGTTACAAGCCTGTTCCCTCCATGGACTGTTAGTTCTTCGGTAGCAGGAACTATGCCCTTTTTACTTTTGGGCTCTTAGTACCTGGCATAGGACTTAATACCTAGTGGATGTTTTCTGAATACTTTATTGGCCCCTAGAGTCTCCAGTGTGAGCCATGCTGTCTTGGTTGCACCATCTGGCTTTCACTATTCCTGGAAGTAGGGATGAGATGATCTACTCCCTCTGACACTGGGTCCTGGCCACTGGGCCACTCTCCCTGGTTAGTTCCCCCACTATTCTCTCTCTGGATCTAACGGAGCACCCCTCCCATAGACGTTGGATAATGACCTGAGACCACAGGGATGCCCAATCACCAGAAGCCATTCCCCACAGAGAGTTTGGGAGAAGGGGGACTCATTTACAATTCTCGTGAAGGGCATCAGATGCACTGCTTTTCCGCAGCCCTCATGTCTGCATTTAACCCTCACCCTCACGATCTCTGAGGACACTGTCACCTGTCCATTTATGGAGCCCAAGCAAAATCAGAAAAGGAGAAGAATATTAGAGTATGATGTTGCCCTTCATTTTAAATGCAATTCATTGTTGCTTGTGTGTGGGGACAATCGCCCATCTCCCTGTGGAGGACCAAACAGAGGGTCATCACCCAGTGTGGGACATGCAAATGGTCAGAGCTAGTTAATTGACCTGGTTATGAGTTCAGGAATGAAAGTTTGGGCTTAAGGTGCTGGTGCACAGGTGTGTGTGAAAAGGTGAAGTCAGGGAAAAGAGAAGGCAGGCTGCATAGAAGCCAAGAGGTGGGAGCACCCATATGTCCTAGGGATGAATAGATGGACAAAATGTGGTAGATATTAATAGATACAATAGAATACCATTCAGCCTTAAAAATGACATTATGACATAAGCTACAATGTGGAAGAACCTTGAAGACATTATGTTAAGTGACATACATGAATCACAAAAGGGCAAATACTACATGATTACATCACATGAGGTACCTAGAGTAGTTAAATTCACAGAATGGTGGTTGCGAGGGCATGGGGAAAGAGGGAATGAGGAGCTGTTGTTTAACAGGTACTGAGTTTCAGTTTTACAAGAGAAAAAGTTCTGGAGATTGGCTGTGTGACAGTGGAAATCTACTTAACACTACTGAATGGTATACTTAAACTGGTTAGGGTGGCAAATTTTATGTTACCTTTTTTTAAATAGAAGATAAAACAATCAAGTAGGCTGATTTAGAGAGTGGGGCATGGCATATGACCAAGGAGTAAATATTTGAGATCTAGAAGGAACTTGGGGAATTATGCTGGGTCTTAAGTTTGTCTAAGGATGTGAGAAACTATCATTATTGGAGTAATGGCAACTTCTTAGAGTAGCATGGTGCTGTAATGTTTACAAATGATTTTACTTCTAAGATCTAATTGTAAAATGTACTTACCTCTCTCCACAAAGCATTCAACTCGGCTTACAAATATACCTATAAAATATAAAATGTATAATAAATAAATTTGTGTAAATACAAAATAAAACAGAGCTAAGGAAAAATGGAAATTCAAATAGAAGGATTTTTCTATAGAGGGATTTTCTATTAGAACACATGTGTATTACTTGGAAAATAAGCTCAACTGCATATAACAGACACCCCAAACAACAGAGATGTAAAACAAAGATGCAGAATGACAGAGACTTATTTTGCTCTCCAAAAAGTCTAGGCCATTATGGTGGCTCTGGTCACAAGGCCATTATGCTAACAAGTCTCTTGTCAACACATTCTGTTGATGCTGTCCTGGGACTCTCTTTAACCAGTAAAATCAGGTGACGTTTCTAGACCTAGCCCTTAAGAGGCCTGGCAGCTTTCTCTGTCACTATTCTGGGATCCAGCTCCATATAAATAAGCTCAGACAAGATGATTGAATGATGAGAGACTGCCGAGAGAGAGAGAGAGAGACAGAGAGAGAGAGAGAGAGAGAAAGAGGAGGGCCAGAGAGCTCCGACCTATTCTAGCCACTGCAGCTAAGGCACCAGATTTAGCTACTAGCTAAGTGTAACTGCATGAGTGTCTGCTGTCCATACCACATTCTGCAGAACAGCCTAGCTGAGCCCAGCCAGCCCACTGAACCGTGAGAAATTCTAAATTCTTGTTTTAAGCCACTAAGTTTTAGAGTGGGCTGTCACACAGCAATAGACAGTTGTTAAAGGGAGAACAAATAGTGGGGGACAATTAACACTCTCAGCCATAACATTTCATGAGCTCTTCTGCACTGAATAGCTGCCTGGGGTAGATAGTGCCTATGAGAAGTCACACACTTCAAGCTGATAGTTTACCATGACCCTGAGTCAGCTGCAGGTATGAAGCAGCCATCCTCACACAAAGTCCCCAGTACATCTTTCAGCAAACATGCATTTGAGGACTAGGAATGAGTCTCTGGATGTGTGATGCGAACAGGTGTCTAGTGAGCAGATTCCGACTTGCCTTGATGACTTGCCACTAAAATACTTGCAGACTAAACCAGAGAGATCGAGAACCCAGCACTAACTACCCATTGAGAAAATAAGTCTGAAGGTCAACCTATTTCTAAAATTCTAGAAGGAATCCCAATATTAATAAGTATAATTGGAAGGGGAAAATAAACTTGTTAAAAAAAAAATCCTGGCTGGGCCCGGTGGCTCATGCCTGTAATCTCAGCACTTTGAGAGGCTGAGGTGGGTGGATCACGAGGTCAGGAGATCAAGACTATTCTGGCTAACATGGTGAAACCCCCTTCTCTACTAAAATACAAAAAATTAGATGGATGTGGTGGTGTGCACCTGTAGTCCCAGCTACTCCGGAGGCTGAGGCAGGAGAATCACTTGAACCCGGGAGGCGGAGATTGCAGTGAGCCGAGATCACGCTACTGCACTCCAGCCTGGCGACAGAGCGAGACTCCACCAAAAAGCAAACAAACAAACAAACAACAACAACAACAAAACCCTTAAGCTGCTGGGGACACCTAGAAGGTGTCTAGGGCAGTGGGAAGAGTCTTTGCTGAGGTTGAGAGTTCTTTTATTTAAGTCAAGATCTTGTGGGCTATGTTAGGTTTTGCAAAGCCTGGATGAGCCTGCCCTGTGACAGCAGAAATGAGGAGGACTTTGGAGCTTGTGGGAAAGTCTTTGGGGAGACATGGATTTGAAAAACAGAGGGAAGTGGTGATGTCAAGACAGAGAAAGAGCAAAGTAGACACGGCTCAAATTCTGAATGAGAAATGCCCTGTCAGGAGTCACTGAAGAATCTTAGAGCAAGGATATAATATTCTGTTTGAGTTGTTTACTTTTGCAGGAAGCAATCTTCCCTCCCACACGCCAAGCCTGCAGGGAAAGCCTGCTGAATACAGACTAGGTTCAGGTCGACTATACACTAGGGAGGAGAAGCAGGAGGGGGTGACCTCTCACTGAGACCAGAGCGGCTTGGAGGCAAGAGGAGCTCTGTAGCAGGTAAGAGGCAAATGTCAGGTCAGTTCATAAAGGAGCGGCAGATCCAGTCAAAAAAGTCTCAACCAGCCAAAAAAGAAATAGGCAAGAAAGTGGAGACTTCTGGGTGACCTGAGGCAGATGCAGCTGGACTGAAGAAACGCCCATCCAGGGTTTCCTTCCAGTAAACTGAGAGCTCCGAAAGAGGTGAGCACTTTCCACCTCTCCCTGTCTCTGTGTCATGTGACCAGAGCCTCTGCCCAACCAGCCATACCCTCTGGCAGGCTTTCCTTTGTCCACAGGTGCTGTCAGGGAGGTGGTCTGGGTCCTAGCCTAATTTTTGCCATAATTCTACATCCAGTATCTTCAGAGCACTGAAGGAGGTGCAGGAAGTGCAGAAAATGCAGAAAACAAAGGAAATGCAGTGGGGAGGGGCCTGGCTTCTGCACATTGCATTCACTGCTGTCTCCCCAAGGAAAGCTGTGAGAGCTGGACTGGAGATTGGACGCATCTGGAAGGAAAAGGATTCTTCAGCACAAGGGGGAATAACTCTCAAAACCGACAGGAATGTATGATGGCTCTCTCCTTAAAGCCAGAAACAAAAGAAAGATGACTGTTATCAATACTCTGTTCTTGAAAGTTCTCTATCAATCAGCTAAGAAAGTGAAAGAAGTGTGATCGTGAAGAAGTAGGAAAAAGTACCAAGACTTGCTGACAGGTAATTTAATTGCCTACCTAGAAAATTGAGAGAAGTAGAAAAACTAGAAGAGTTAATATAAAGTGGCTGGTTACAAAGTAAACATTCAAAAATCCATAGTTGTTCTAGGAATAACTAGATAGAAAATGTAATAGACTCTATCAACAGATAGCAATGCAATTTAGAAAATACATAGGAGCAAATTTAACATGAAATTGGCTGGGTATTTTTAACAGTGGTATGTTTTTTTACAGAGGGACATAAAAATCCACTTGAATAATTAAAGAGATATACATAGGCAATGGAACAGTTATTGCCAAGATAATCAATTCTCCCAAAACTAATTTACAAATTGAATGTGATTTTAATGAAAACACAAGATTATTTTTTGAACTTGCGAAATAGACCCTAAGTTCATCTGAAAGAATAAGTGCCCAAAGAGAGCCAAGAAATTTTTGAGGAAACAGAAATAATATCAGTGTGTCTGGAGGTGGTTCCTTCTGGTGGGTTTGTGGTCTTGCTGACTTCAAGAATGAAGCCATGGACCTTTGCGGTGAGTGTTACAGCTCTTAAAGGTGGCACGGACCCAAAGAGTGTGTAGCAGCAAGATTTATTGTGAAAAGCGAAAGAACAAAGCTTCCACAGCATGGAAGGGGACCCGACCAGGTTGCAGCTGTTGGCTGGGGGTGGTCAGCTTTTCTTTCCTTATGTGTCCCTGCCCATGTCCTGCTGATTGGTCCATTTTACAGAGTGCTGATTGGTCCATTTTACAGAGTGCTGATTGGTCCATTTTACAGAGTGCTGATTGGTCCATTTTACAAACCTCTAGCTAGCTATAGAGCACTGATTGGTGCATTTTTACAGAGCACTGATTGGTGCATTTTACAAACCTCTAGTGAGCTACAGAGCGCCAACTGCTGCGTTTTTACAGAGCACTGATTGGTGCATTTTACAAGCCTCTGGTAAGACAGAAAAGTTCTCCAAGTCCCCATTCGACCCAGGAAGTCCAGCTGGCTTCACCTCTCACCAGTACTTGTGTTACAAATACTGATTCAAAGCTACAATAATTTGATTATGGTTCAGGAATAGGCAGATAAACAGAAAAGAAACTAAATATTTTAAAGAAATTAGTATATATTAAAGATGGCATTTCACAGCAGTAAGTAAAATAAGATGAATTTTAAAAAATCAAAAAGAAAACGCTAGAACCTCAGACATATATGTCAATATTAATTCCAGGTGGAGGGAATATTTATATGTTAAAATAAGTAAAAATGTTAAAAAGAAAACCACAGAAGCACTAGGAGGAAACGTTGCTATTTGTATTAGTGACGTGGTCACTGGAGTGCAGTTTCCATGGTTCCTGCTCCGTCTGGTCCAGTATCTAGAGCAGTAACAATACAGTATCTATTTTTCCAAGAATAAATGAATAAACTTCAGTACATATACTTCTAAAGCTTTTTCTGCTTTTGAAACAATTTTGTTACACAAAACATTTTAGTCCCCACTGGAAAAGATATTTGCAGCATATGCAATAAAGAAATAATATCTTTAGTTTATAAAGAACACTTTCAAATCAACAAGGGAATGATAATCCTTCCCCAGTAAAAATGAGCAATTCACAAAGGAAGTATTAAAATGGTCGATAATAGGAGAGTATGCTCAGGCTTCTTGAATATTCAAATTTAAACAACAAAACACCAGTGGGAAGATATTAAGGGCTGGTGAAGTCATGGGAACACAAGGCCTCTTAAACGCTGGGTGGAGATGGGAGACTCATTTTCTGGGAGGTCATCTGGTATTTCGTGAAGTGTCACTGAAATCTGTGTATGTGCACATCATTTGACTCAGCATTTCTTCTTTCGGGAATTTTATCTACCCTCATAGGTGTGCCCAAAGATTTAACTACAAGCATATTCATGGGAATAAGCCACCTAAAAGCCCAGCAATGAAATATTGACTATGTACACGATGGCAGATCCGTTTAAGGAAAGAACATGCCATCATTAAAAATGGTGCTGCAAAAGAAAACTTAATGTTCTAGAAAAAGTGGTCTAGATAAATCTCTAAGTACAACAAGGGGCTCGGTGTACATGTTGAACTTATCCTATTACTATAAAAATTACATATATATATGTAAATATATATATATACTGAAATAGGGTGAATGGTTAGGTGCCTTATCTATGCATAGTGGGATTATAGATGATTTTAAATTTCTTCTTTTTGCTTTTCTGTAAATTTCTAAATTTTCTACAATTTGTGCAATAAGGTGTATGTGATTAGGAAAAAATTATGTGGCCAAAGGAGCTCCCCATGTAAGGAGAAGCAGACCGTGAAGAGACACCACTGACATCTGGGAACAAGGCTGCAGGAGAGGCCAAGTGTCCAGCACCCAGTGGAAGGGCCCAGGCTTCCTAACCCTGGTCTCCCTCAGCAGTGTGTGGGGGGGTCTGGCCTCCATGCCCTCTTTAGCCTGGCTCCCCTACTGGCCCTTGCCCCTGAGGCCTATTCACAAGACATCTTAGGACCTGACCAGGACAGTTTTCCAGAGCTTTCCTAGTTCACCCACACAACATCCTCCTGCCTGAGGACTTCTGGCCACCTGAGACTGTTTTTCTTTTTGAGACGGAGTCTTGCTCTGTTGCCCAAGCTGGAGTGCAGTGTTGTGATCTCGGCTAACTGCAACCTCTGCCTGCTGGGCTCAAGCAATTCTCATGCCTCAGCCTCCCCAGTAGCTAGGATTACAGGCGTGTGCCACCATGCCTGGCTACTTTTTGTATTTTTAGTAGAGATGGGGTTTCACCATGTTGGCCAGGCTGGTCTCGAACTCCTGACCTCAAATGATCCGCCTGCCTCGGCCTCCCAAAGTGCTGGGATTATAGGTGTGAGCCACCGTGCCCGGCCCACCTGAGACTGTTTAACCTTATGCCAAGCTGAAGGTATTCTGTCATTTCCTACTTTTGAAATGAGAAAGGATTTGTCATTTAACAGAAGAATTAAAGAATGTGCCACATGCCATATATTTTCTTCTCATTGCAGATTTAGTTTTGCCTCTTTAAATAATTACTCATTGTAATTTCCAATGGAATCCCCCAAAATGTATTTCTGCCTTTGATAGCATTTGTCTCTAATAAACTTTGTTAATGCTCTTTTCTTTCATTTATCCATTCTTTTTTTAAACAGTGGGGAATGAGATTTCCAGGAATATGATAGAGAACCATGCACCTTGAGTGTTGCAGGAAGGGATCTGAAAGCCGTGTGGTTCAAATTCCATTTTTGGCACTGGACATTGAAGCCCAGACACTGGTGTTAATTTCTTATCGTCCCAGTTGGTGGCTGAATGAGGGTGACCCCAGGCTAGGTTTTGCCTGTGTTTCCTCTGAAGCAGGTGCTGCTTCTCTGCTCCTGTCCCTTTCTACCTCTCCCTTCCTTTTCCACTTTAAGTTGCTCCTTGACTAGAATGTCCCATCAGCTGTCTCCCTGACAGCTCTTCTTTTTTTATTTTTGAGACAGGGTCTCACTCTGTCTCCCAGACGAGTGCAGTGGCACAATCTCGGCTCATCGCAACCTCCGCCTCCCCACAACCTCTGCCTCCCAGGCTCAGGTGATTCTCCTGCCTCAGCCTCCCGAGTAGCTGGGATTACAGGCGTGTGCCATTATGCCCGGCTAATTTTTGCATTTTTAGTAGAGACGGGGTTTCACATGTTGGCCAGGCTGGTCTCAAACTCCTGACCTCAAAATGATCCACCTGCCTCAGCCTCCCAAAGTGCTGGGATTACAGGTGTGAGCCACCACGCCCGGCCCCTGACAGGTCTTCTAAACAGCCAGTATCCCAGGTACTTTATCTTTTCTCCTCCTTCCTCCTTCTTTTCCCTAACAAGAAACTAGATAAAAATGATCACTGGTGCTGAGCTTTAAAGGACTTTGAATCACAGCATGTAAGTTCACATTATCAGTCCAGCATCACATGTTCCAGCCCCTTCAAATACGTGTGTATACAGGGAAGAAGTGACTTGTTTAAAGCATCAGGGCTGGATCTGATCTCACATCTTGTTTTTAGTTAGGGTTCTTCAGAGAGACAGAGTGAACAACATATATATGTATGTGTGTTACGGGATCTCTGAGGTGTTGATTTTTCTGGCCAGAAACCTCTGTGGCGGATGCCTTTGGCTGTGGCGCCTTTACCCGAGTTCTTTGTCCAAGTTCTTGTCCTGTGTGCAGGAGGCACACAGACAAGTGAAGGGCAAAGAAGAAGAGTTTTATTTAGTGTTAGAACAGCTCAGAGGAGTGTGCAGCTCCTCTCTGTAGGGAGGTCATCCTGTCGAGTGTTCAGCCCTCAGCAGAGAGGAGGCCCCAGAGAGGGTGGCTCCTCTCCGCAGGCAAGCCATTCAGTCTTCTCTGCAGGTCTCTGAAGCTCTCAGTGGAGAGGGTACTCCTCTCTGCTGCTGGGTGTTCCCATCACCTCCAGCTATCAGAAGAGAGGGTACTCCTCTCTGCAGCTGGTCATCCTATTGTCTTTCTGCCTTCTTCATCCTCTGGCTGTCTTCTGCCATGCTCTGGCTGAGCCCAGGGTTTTATGGACCTCAGAGGGGAAGAAATGTGTGCTGATTGGTCCATGGGCAGCCATGGGTAGCCCAGAAGAGGCACCATGAGTCCCCACTCTAGTCCGGGGACTGGCAGCCCATCCCCTAGCCTTCAGTCCCTCCTTGGTCTGAAGGTGGGGCCTTACTGAGGACCCACCCCCTTCAGCCAAAGACTCTGCCTCCTGCTATTCAAAGCCCTGGGGCTAGGCCCCAACCCTGCTACCAGATTGGAGCGGGTGCATGTAGAGAGAGACCAGGCAGCCTAACAGACATCCTGGAGCTAGGAAAGAAGGGGTAGGAGGGAGGCGGGGGGCCCTTCCTGGCCAGAAGATGTAGGCAGAGATGCTTAGGTCCTGTGCCTGGGAGAGCAGCTGCAGCTACACTCGGGGAGCTCTGGCCCCTGCAACTCAGAAGGGGCAGGGTTCCTGTTTGTCCTAGCTCCTGCCTGCTCCGTGGAGCAAAAGGCCCAGGTCTGCAGCCACGGATCAGGCGGTTGCAGCTGCACCGAGGAGGGCAGATCCTGTCTGCTTCTGCCCCTCTCCAAGTGTGTCCGGAGTTGGTTCTTTCCTGTGGGTTCATGGTCTTGCTGACTTCAAGAATGTAGTCTCGGACCTTAGCGGTGAATATTACAGCTCTCAAAAGGGGCACGGATCCAAAGAGTGACCAGCAGCAAGTTATTGTGAAGAGAAAAAAGAACAAAAGAACAAAGCTCCCACAATATGGAAGTGGATCCAAAAGGGTTGCCGCTGCCGGCTCGCGTGGCCAGCCTTTATTCCTTTATTTCTCCCTGCCCATGTCCTGCTGATTGGTCTATTTTACACAGTGCTGATTGGTCCATTTTATAAACCTCTAGCTAGCTACAAAGTGCTGATTGGTGCATTTTACAATCCTAGCTACAGAGTGCTGATTGGTGCATTTTACAATCCTAGCTACAGAGTGCTGATTGGTGCATTTTACAATCCTAGCTGCAGAGTGCTGATTGGTGCATTTTACAATCCTCTTGTAAGACAGAAAAGTTCTCCAAGTCCTCATTCCACCTGGGAAGTCCAACTGGCTTCACCTCTCACAAGAGCACAGGGAGGCTGGGACCCACAGCCACAGTTTGGGCGGCCATAGCCCCACCCAGGAGAGCGGGGCACCAGCTCCATGGAGTGTGCAGCCCCAGTTGCCCCTCCCTGCTGCAGTTGGCGTGATGGCAGCAGCCACTGATGTCATACGGAGAGAGAGGAGAGAGGGAGAGGGATAGTGAGAGAGAGAGACGGAGAGAGGGGGAGAGGGAGAGAGGGAGGAGAAAGGATTTAATAGAGGAATTGGCTCACTCAATTATGGAGGCTGAGAAGTCCACACAAGTGGACTTGTGTGATTGGCGAGTTGGAGAACCAGGGAAGCTGGTAGCATGGCTCAGGTCAAGTCTGAAGGCCTTGAACCAGGGAAACGGATGGTGTGTAACTGTCAGACTGAGGCAGAAGGCCTGAGAGCCTAGAGGGCTGCTGACACGACTTCCAGAGTGCAAAAACCAGAAAAGCTGGAGTTCTGATGTCCAAGGGCAGGAGAGGAAGGGCGTCACAGCTCCCCTTCCTCCGCCTTTTTGTTTCATCTGGGCCCCTAGCTGACTGGATGATGGCTGCCCACATTGAGGGTGGATCTTCCTCACTCAGTCCGCCAACTCACTTGCCAGTCTCCTCTGCAAATACACTCAAAGACACACTGGGGCAGCCCAGTTATTTTAATCAAATGCCAAACCACCTGTGTTTCCTTTCAGCAGAAGAGGAATGGGCTCAGTACCTACTGAAGTATTGAGAATAAATAATGCTTTACCAACTATCTGGGTATCCTTTAATCCAGTCAAGTTGACACCCAAATCAACCATCACACCTCCTATTTCACTGATCTTTCATTTTATTTTTCTCTATTAATGGCACTATCCTGTAATTTATAAAAACAAAAGAAAAATACTGCTTCTATGTCTCTTAAATGATTATTCATTGTAATTCTCATTGGAGTTATATATTGTGGAAAGTATTTGAATGTGTGCCAGACCAAAAAAGGTATTTCTTTGCATTCTTGCTGAATCCTTTTAATGTGCTATAAACTTGATCTAATTCCAGTGTGTTATTTGACAGTCTCAATGTTTTCTAAAGTCCCTATAACTCATGATAGGATTCTCATGGCTGCCATCTTCATAATTTTACCTGTCATCATTCTTTCATGTTCTGTGTAAAACAAGTCCAAGAAGTCCAAGAATTTGGATAGGGAATATATAAGTTTTGTATCTGCATTAAAGCATATGGCTCTCCATCCCTCTAGTGACTTTCAATTATTCATTCAACAAATATTGATTAGGTTCCAGAAAATATAACAGAGGACTTGGTGAGTGGTTTGATGTGTGGTGTGGGATATGCCAAGAGTGAATGCTGGATCTCTGAAGCTTTTGGTGGTGTGAAATACTGACACTGGGAAGACAGGTGATGGAGCAGGTGGAGGTGTGGGGGATTTCAAGTTCAAGTTTAGTTGTGCTAAGCTTGAGGCACTTAGGGTATCTTCAGGGAGACACGTCAGATTGACAATTGCATAAGTAAGTTAGGAATTCAGAAAAGGGGAAATTTGGGGGTCACTAGCACATAGATGGCAGTGGAGGATGAGAAAAGAGGGGAAGGGGAAGAGGGGTGGGAGGGAAGACAGAGAGAGGGAGGAGATATTCAGAGGAACTCTAGCCTTTAATGCCTCATCAGAAGGAACCATAAAAGAGTGTGCAGAAGGAATAGGAGAGAAACCAGCAGCGCCTGAAGGCAGAGAGACCAAGAGAGGAGGGGGATTCAATGTGAGGTCGAGGTTGCTCAAGACTTAGCATGCATAGTTAATAAACATTAGAGGTAAACAGCTCCAGAGGAGTAATGGGGGTAGAAACCACGAGTCAAGTCTGGTGGGCTGTCTGTATTTGAAAATAAAGTTTCATGGGGACACAACCACACGCATTCATTTCTGTGTTGTTTATGGCTCTGCTGTGATGCAACAGCAGAACTGAGTAGACTACAGCCACAGAGACTGCATGGCCCACAAAACCTCAGCTATTGGCTATCTGGCCTTTATAGGAAGAGTTTCCCACACCTGAGCTAGTGGTTTGAGAAGTGAATGAATGGAAAGGGAGAAAGGGAGGCAGACTGTGAATGACAATCTTTTTTTTTTTTTTTTTTTTGAGATGGAGTCTTGCTCTGTCACCCAGGCTGGAGTGCAGTGGTGTGATCTCAGCTCACTGCAACCTCTACCTCCCAAGTTCAAGTGATCCTCCTGCCTCAGCCTCCCAAGTAGCCGGGATTACAGGAGCGCCCCAGCACACCCAGCTAATTTTTGCATTTTCAGTAGGGATGGGGTTTCTCCATGTTGGCCAGGTTGGTCTCGAGCTCCTGACCTCAAGGGATCTGCCCACATTGGCTTCCCAAATTGCTGGGATTGCAGGTTTAAGCCAATTGACAATTTTTTAAAGAGATTCAAGAAGGAGAAGAGAGAAATTGGATAGTAGTCCTAGAGGAATGACAGGAGATCAGTAAGAGGATTTTGTTGTTTTCTCTTTGCTTTTTAGATGGGAAGAATTTAAACATACATAGTTGTTAATCGAATGAGGCTAGAAGAGAGGGAGATATTGAAGCCACATAGGAGGGTAAAGAAACTCGGTGGATGGTTTCCTGAGAAGGAAGAATGGGAGAAGGTCCCATGCAAGGTGGAAGGGAGTGGATGGAAGAGGAATGTCCCCCATGCAACAGTGGGAAGTGGGGACAAGGTAGGTGCCAAGGCTGGGATGTTTAAAGATTTAGGAGCAAGATGTTGAGAAAATTTCTTTTGGGATTGTTCCATTTTCTCTGTAAAGTAGGAGATGAGAGAGATGAGATCACGTGTTAAGAATGAAGAGGTAGGAGGGGGCGAGGAGAGTTGAGCCCTTGTCCTTACTTCATCATCTCCACCAAGGTCACCTCTGTTGACGTCAGTTAATGACCTACGGCTCCTGGTGAGAAGTGGCCCTTATCAGGAAAGGCAGAGGTGACCTTTGGGTTTGCCTGGAGTTCACCCATCCAGCAAATGGCAAAAGTGACACTCAAATCCAGCACTGGGGAACAGACCTGTGCTCATAACATCTACGCCAAACTGCCTTGGTTGGTTATAAATTGCAGTGTATTATTTATTTCTCCTAATTTTTTTTAATCTCATAACATCCTCCCAGAAATTGTGGGTTTCTAATTTTGTTAGATTCCGGAAAGGAAAGCGTGTGATTCTTCACAGTGTCCTCCATGAGGGTCTGCCTCTTTTCTGATAACTTAGCCTGTTTTCATCTCTGTGCTCCCACTACCTCCCTCGCCCAGCCTTTTGGTAACAATACTCTTTACAAATATATATATATTTTTCTTAATGTGATCACTTTCTGTAATGCTTTTTTAGTAACAACCCCATTGAGATTTCATATACCATATAATACCATACAATACACCCTTTTAAAGTGTTCAATTCAATGGTTTTTAGTAGAGGCACAGTTATGCAATCATCACTACAATCAATTTTTATCACTCCCCTCTCAAACCCACCCACTTGTAGTCACTCCCCATTTTCCCCTCAAATCTTCAAGTCCTAGACAATAAGTTAACTGTGTTCTATTTCCGTAGATTTGCTTAATCTAGACATTTCACAGAAGAGAAATCATACAATATGCGGTCTTTTGTGACTGCCTTCTTTCACTTAGGATAATGTTTTCACGATATATTCATGTTGTACCTTGGTGTATCTTGGTGTGTGTTAGTACTTCATTCCTTTTTGGTGCTAAGTAATATTCCACTGTAGTAATATACCACATTATGTTTATTCATTCATTAGTTGATAGACATTTTTTTCCCCATTTATTGGCTATTATGGAACAATACTGCTATAAACACCTGCGCCATTTTACATTCCTACTAACAATATATGAGGGTTCCAATTTCTCCACATCCTTGCCAAAACCTGTTATCATCTGTCTTTTTTATTATGATCATCCTAAAGAGTGTGAAGTGGCTAATGTTATGACATCTTTTCATGTGCTTATTGGCCATTCATATATATTTTTGAAGGACTGTCTATCAAACTCTTTGCCCATTATTTAATGGGGTTGTCTTTTGCTATTGAGTATTAAGAGTTTTTTATATGCTCTAGATATAAGTCCCTTATTAGATAAATGGTTTGCAAATATGTTATCCTATTCAGTGGATTGCCTTTTCACTTTGTGGATGGTGTCCTTTCAAACATAAAGTTTTTAAATTTTATGAAGTCTGATTTATCTGTTTTTTTCTTTTGTTGCCTGTTATTTTAGTGCCACATCTAAGAAATCACTTCTAATCCAAGTCACAAAGGTTAATGCATATGTTATCTTGTAAAAGTGTTGTAGGTGAGCTCCTATGTTTAGGCCTTCAATTCATTTTGAGTTATTTTTTGTACATGATGTAAGGTAGGGGGTCCAACTTCATTCTTTTGTAGTTTTTTTATGTCTAGAATTTTAAAAAATATTTTAACTTTTATTTTAGGTTCAGGGGTACACGTGTAGTTCTGTTACATGGGTAAACTCATGACTCAGGGGTTCGTTGTACAGATTATTTCATCACTCAGGTAGTAAGCATAGTGCTGGACACTTTTCTTTTTTCTGAACCTCTTCCTCCTCCTAATCTCCTCCCTTAATTAGGCCCCATTGTCTGTGGTTCTGCTCTTTCTGTCCATGTATTCTCATTAGTTATCTCCCACTTATAAGTGAGAACATGCGGGATTTGGTTTTCTGTTCTTGGGTTAGTTTGCTACTCATAATGGCCTCCAGTTCCCTCCATGTTCCTGCAAAGGACATGATCTTTGCTCTTTTTTATGCTGCATAGTATTCCATGGTGTATATGTGTCACATTTTCTTTATCCACTCTCTCATTGATGTATATTTAATGTTAATTTTTATATATGGTGTAAGGAAGGGGTCTAGTTTCAATCTTCTACACACGGCTAGACAATCATCCCAGCACCATTTATCGAATAGGGAGTCTTTTAACCATTGCTTGTTTTTGTCAGTTTTGTCAAAGATCGGGTGGTTGTAGGTGTGTGGCTTTATTTCTGGGCTCTCTATTCTGTTTCACTGGTCTATGTGTCCGTTTTTGTACCAGTACTTTGCTTGTAGTACAGTTTGTAGCCTTGTGGTACAGTTTGAAGTCAGGCAATATGATTCCTCCAGTTTGTTCTTTTTGCTTAGGATTGCCTTGGCTATTTGGGCTCTTTTTTTTTGTTTCATATAAATTTTACAATAGTTTTGTATTAGTTCTGTGAAGAATGTCATTGGTAATTTGATAGGAATCGCATTGAATCTGCAAATTGCTATGGACAGTATGGCCATTTTAATGATATTGATTCTTCCTATGAGCATGAAATGTTTTTCCACTTGTGTCATCTCTGCTTTGAGCAGTGTTTTGTACTTTTCATTGTAGAGATCTTTCACCTCCCTGGCTAGCAGTATTCTTGGGTGTTTTATTCCTGGGTATTCCTTATTCTGGCAGTTATGAATGGGACTGTGTTCCTGATTTGCCTCTCAGCTTGGGTGCTGTTAGTGTTCAGGAATGCAGTGTACAGGAATGCTATTGATTTTTGTGCCTTGATTTTATATCCTGAAACTTTGTTGAAGTTGCTTATCAGCTTCAAGGAGCTTTTGGGCAGATACTATGGGGTTTTGTAGATATGGAATCATGTCGTCTATAAACAGAGACATTTTGACTTCCTCTCTTCCTATTTGGATGCCGTTTAATTATTTCTCTTGCCTGATTGCTCTGGCCAGGTCTTCCAATACTATGTTGAATAGGGGTGGTGAGAATGGGCATCCTTGTCTTGTTCTAATTTTAAAGGAAAATGCTTATAGCTTTTGACTGTTCAGTATGATGTTGGCTGTGGGTTTGTCATAGACAGCTCTTATTATTTTGAAGTATGTTCCTTCAATGCCTAGTTTATTGAGGATTTTTAACATAAAAGGAAATTAAATTTTATTGAAAGTATTTTTTTACATCTATTGAGATAGTCATGTGTTTTTTTCTTTAGTTCTGTTTATGTGATGAATAATATTTATTTATTTATTTGCATATATTGAGCCAACCTTGCATCCCAGGGGTGAAGCCTACTTGATCATGATGGATTAGCTTTTTGATGTCCCACTGAATTTTGTTTGCTAGTATTTTGTTGAGGATTTCTGCATCTATGTTATTCAAGGATATTGGCCTGAAGTTTTCTTTTATTGTTGTGTCTCTGCCAGGTTTTGGTATCAGGATGATGCTGGCCTCATAGAATGAGTTGGGTGATGAGTCCCTGCTCCTCAATTTTTTGGAACAGCTTCACTAGGAATGGTATCAACTCCTCTTTGTACATCTGGCAGAATTTGGCTGTGAATCCATCTAGTCCTGGGTTTTTTGCTTGGTAGGCTATTTATTACTGATTCCATTTCAGAGCTCATCATTGGCCTGTTCAGGGATTCAGTTTCTTCCTGGTTCAGTCTTGGGAGGATGTACATGTCCAGGAATTTATCTATTTCTTCTAGATTTTCTAGTTTGTGTGCATAGAGCTGTTCAGTTATTTGTATTTATGTGGGGTCAGTGGTAACATCCTCTTCATCATTCTAATTGTGTTTATTTATATCTTCTCTCTTTTCTTCTTTACTAGTCTAGCTAGTAGTCTATATATCTTATCAATTTTTTCAAAAAAGCAACTCCTGGATTCATTGATCTTTTTTATGTTTTTTTGTGTGTGTGTGTCTCTATCTCCTTCACTTCAGCTCTGATTTGGTTATTTCTTGTCTTCTGCCGACTTCATTCTTTCCAATGTGAATATACAGTTGCCTCAATGCTGCTTGCTGAAAGACTATCCTTTCTCCATTAAATTGTCTCGTCCAAAATTAATTGACCATAAATGTAAGGGTTTATTAATGGACTTCTTTCACTTAACATAATATAAATGCTAAGTGAATAGATCAATTATATTCCATTGATCTATATGCCTGTTCTTATGCCAGTACCACACTATCTTCATTACTATAGTTTTGTAGTAAGTTTTGAAATCAGGAAGTCTGAGTCTTCCAACTTTATTCTTCTTTTTCAAGACTGTTTTGCCTATTCTGGATCCCTCGTGATTCCATATGAATTTTAAGATCAGCTTGTTAATTTCTGCAGATAAGCTAGCTAGCATTTTGGGAGGGATTTTTTTGAAACTGTGGATGAATTTGGGGTGTACTGCCATCTTAACAATATTAAGCCTTCCAATCATGAACACGAATTGCATTTTCATTTATGCCTGCCTTCTTTAATTTATTTCAACAATGTTTCATAGTTTTTAGAGTATGTTTTACACTTCTTTTGTCAAATTTATTCCAAGTATTTTATTCTTTTTAATGTTATTGTCAATGAAATTGTTTTCTTAATTTCATTTTCAGAGTGTTCATTCCAAGTGTATAGAAATGCAACTAAATTTTGTATATTGATATTGCACTGCGTAACTCTGCTGAACTTGTGTACTACTTCTTATAATGCTTTTTAAAATTATATTTCCTGGTCTACTTCATGTACTGTTATAAAAGCCTCTCTTCTATTCTTCTACTATTTCTCTAAGACATGTGTTAGGTTGCAGCCAAATTCACCTCTTCTTTAAAAGAAGACAAAGTCAAATAAGCAGGCCAAATATTTCATTTCCTCTTGCAAATGAAACTAAAGGGGACTAAAGTATTGAGATCTTCATAGAGATAGAAATAGCTCAAATTGCAGTTACTTCTGGTACAGTAAGGATTGTGGTTGCTTTAAAAATCCCTAAAATCAAACTTATTTTTAATCAATGATGTTTCAAGGAAATACAGAAATAAGAGCTTCAGTGCTTTTTATGCTAATGAAAATGTTTATTTCCCTGAAAAACATGCAGTTACAACAAAATAGTGGATACTATTGGAAATTGTTGCTTATTTTCATCCAAGATGATTTTTTTTTCTACTTTCAGTGCCTGACCTAATGGTGATACTTTCCAAGATTCTTTTTTTTTCTTTTTTTTAAATTATACTTTAAGTTTTAGGGTACATGTGCACAACGTGCAGGTTTGTTACATATGTATACATGTGCCATGTTGGTGTGCTGCACCCATTAACTCGTCATTTAGCATTAGGTGTATCTCCTAAATCCTAATGCTATCCCTCCCCCCTCCCCCTACCCCACAACAGGCCCGGGTGTGTGATGTTCCCCTTCCTGTGTCCATGTGTTCTCATTGTTCAATTCCCACCTATGAGTGAGAACATGCGGTGTTTGGTTTTTCGTCCTTGCGATAGTTTGCTGAGAATGATGGTTTCCAGCTTCATCCGTGTCCCTACAAAGGACATGAACTCATCATTTTTTATGGCTGCATAGTATTTCATGGTGTATATGTGCCACATTTTCTTAATCCAGTCTATCATTGTTAGACATTTGTGTTGGTTCCGAGTCTTTGCTATTGTGAATAGTGCCGCAATAATCATACATGTGCATGTGTCTTTATAGCAGCATGATTTATAATCCTTTGGGTATATACCCAGTAATGGGATGGCTGGGTCAAATGGTATTTCTAGATCTAGATCCCTGAGGAATCGCCATGCTGACTTCCACAATGGTTGAACTAGTTTACACTCCCACCAACAGTGTAAAAGTGTTCCTATCTCTCCACATCCTCTCCAGCACCTGTTGTTTCCTGACTTTTTAATTATCGCCATTCTGACGTGTGAGATGGTATCTCATTGTGGTTTTGATTTGCATTTCTCTGATGGCCCGTGATGATGAGCATTTTTTCATGTGTCTGTTGGCTGCATAAATGTCTTCTTTTGAGAAGTGTCTGCTCATATCCTTCGCCCACTTTTTGATGGGGTTGTTTGTTTTTTTCTTGTGAATTTGTTTGAGTTCATTGTAGATTCTGGATATTAGCCCTCTGTCAGATGAGTAGATTGCAAAAATTTTCTCCCATTCTGTAGGTTGCCTGTTCACTCTGCTGGTAGTTTCTTTTGCTGTGCAGAAGCTCTTTAGTTTAATTAGATCCCATTTGTCAATTTTGGCTTTTGTTGCCATTGCTTTTGGTGTTTTAGTCATGAAGTCCTTGCCCAGGCCTATGTCCTGAATGGCATTGCCTAGGTTTTCTTCTAGGGTTTTTATGGTTTTAGGTCTAACGTTTAAGTCTTTCATCCATCTTGAATTAATTTTTGTATAAGGTGTAAGGTAGGGATCCAGTTTCAGCTTTCTACAGATGGCTAGCCAGTTTTCCCAGCACCATTTATTAAATAGGGAATCCGTTCCCCATTGCTTGTTTTTGTCAGGTTTGTCAAAGATCAGATAGTTGTAGATATGCAGTATTATTTCTGAGGGCTCTGTTCTGTTCCATTGGTCTATATCTCTGTTTTGGTACCAGTACCATGCTGTTTTGGTTACTGTAGCCTTGTAGTATAGTTTGAAGTCAGGTAGCATGATGCCTCCAGCTTTGTTCTTTTGGCTTAGGATTGACTTGGCAATGTGGGCTCTTTTTTGGTTCCATATGAACTTTAAAGTAGTTTTTTCCAATTCTGTGAAGAAAGTCATTGGTAGCTTGATGGGGATAACATTGAATCTATAAATTACCTTGGGCAGTATGGCCATTTTCACGATATTGATTCTTCCTACCCATGAGCATGGAATGTTCTTCCATTTGTTTGTATCCTCTTTTATTTCATTGAGCAGTGGTTTGTAGTTCTCCTTGAAGAGGTCCTTCACATCCCTTGTAAGTTGGATTCCTAGGTATTTTATTCTCTTTGAAGCAATTGTGAATGGGATTTCACTCATGATTTGGCTGTTTGTCTGTTATTGGTGTATAAGAATGCTTGTGATTTTTGCTCATTGATTTTGTATCCTGAGACTTTGCTGAAGTTGCTTATCAGCTTAAGGAGTTTTTGGGCTGAGACGATGGGGTTTTCTAGATATACAATCATGTCATCCGCAAACAGGGACAATATTTGACTTCCTCTTTTCCTAATTGAATACCCTTTATTTCCTTCTCCTGCCTGATTGCCCTGGCCAGAACTTCCAACGCTATGTTGAATAGGAGTGGTGAGAGAGGGCATCCCTGTCTTGTGCCAGTTTTCAAAGGGAATGCTTCCAGTTTTTGCCCATTCAGTATGATATTGGCTGTAGGTTTGTCATAGATAGCTCTTATTATTTTGAGATACGTCCCATCAATACCTAATTTATTGAGAGTTTTTAGCATGAAGCGTTGTTGAATTTTGTCAAAGGCCTTTTCTGCATCTATTGAGATAATCATGTGGTTTTTGTTATTGGTTCTGTTTATATGCTGGAATACGTTTATTGATTTGCGTATGTTGAACCAGCCTTGCATCCCAGGGATGAAGCCCACTGATACTTTCCAAGATTCTATAACAAATTTGCAGTCTTCTGAAATCATCCTCTCTAAAGGGCCCTCTCTGTCCTTTAGGCAAACATGAAACTGTGACCAATGTTATATTTACTTTCAGTCATATATGAACATAACCAAACACCTGAGTTAACAGGATTTGATCTTTTTTAGCACCTGCTACTCTCATTTGCCTTACTTCTGTTTTTGGAAGCATTTGAATTCCATGCCGACTCTCAACCTGCTCATACAGATGTATAGATAAAATGCAATTAGCCTCAGCCAGCTAGAATAGCTGAGGACAACAATGGAAAATCTTTTTGTACAATGCAATGAATTATCAATAATGGATGATTACATGTCCCACTGGTCTGAAGGGAATACTGATTCTGCTGTATCATAAGAAGCAATTTCTGGTGTCAAATGAGGTGGAGAATGTGAGCTTTCATCTATAGTTTACATTTTTGTACTGAGCCCATCAGTGTTGATTTATGGGAAGTGATAGGGACATTTCCAAGTTTGTGAAAGGAGGGTTAAATTCATTTGTCAGAAAGACAAACCAAATGGGTTCCTAATTAAAAACACAAACTCAAAAGATAAAAATGTATGCCCGCTATTTATCTGTGCCATGTATTCAGTATGGCAAAGCAATCCTATGCTGAAAGTTGTTAAATTACTAATATACAGGTTGCTCATTTGATTTGGTAGAATTTGTGATGTTCTGCAAAGAGAAAGCCTGAGATGCAAGTTGTTTAACTGATTTATGTCAAGAAGACCTGAGGATGCTAATCTTTCTTGCTAGGTTGGGGAAGTTCTCCTGGATAATACCCTGAAGTATGTTTTCCAACTTGGTTCTGTTGTCCCTCTCTCTTTCAGGTACCATGGTCAGTTGTAGGTTCGGTCTTTTTGTGCAATCCCATAGTTCTCGGAGGTTTTGTTTGCCCCTTTTCATTCTTTTTTCTCTAATCTTGAGTGCCTGCCTTATTTTAGCAAGATAGTCTTCAAGCTCTGAGCTTCTCTCCTGTTTGGTCTATTCATCTACTGATACTTGTGGTTGCATTGTGAAGTTCTCGTGTTGTGTTTTTCAGCTCCATCTAGTCATTTATGTTCCTCTCTAAACTGGTTATTCTGGTTAACAGCTCCTGTAATGTTTTATCATGGGTCTTACCTTTTTTGCATTGGGTTAGAACATACTCCTTTAGCTCAGCGAAGTTCATTATTACCCACCTTCTGTTAGTTCATCCATCTTAGCCTCAGCCCAGTTTTGTGCCCTTGTTGGAGAGGTGTTGCAATCATTTGGAGGAGAAGAGACACTCTAGCTTTTTGAATTTGCAGTGTTTTTGCATTGATTTTTTTCTCATTTTCGTGGGTTTATCTCCCTTCCATTTTTGAGACTGCCTACATTTGGATGGGGTTTTGGTGGGGTCATTTTGTTGATGTTGTTGTTGTTGCTTTCTGTTTGTTTGTTTTTAACTGTCAGACCCCCCTTCCATAGGGCTGCTGCAGTTTGCTGGGGGTCCACTGCGGAGGCTATTAACCTGGGTCCCTTCTGCACCTGGAGGTATCACCAGTGGAGGCTGCAGAACAGCAAAGATGGCTGCCTGCTTCTTCCTCTGGGAGCTCTGTCCCGGAGGGACACCTACTTGATGCTGGCGGGAGCTCTCCTGTGTGAGGTGTCTGGCGACCCCTGTTGGGAGGTCTCACTCAGTCAGGAGGCACGAGATCAGGGACCCGCTTGAAGCAGCCTGGCTACCCCTTGGTGGAGCGGGTGTGCTGTGCTGAGCGGAATCTCCTCATCCGGACTGCCCAGCCTCTCCAGAGCCAGCAGAGGGGAAAGACTAGGTCCGCTGAACTGCAGAGACAGCGGCCACCCCTTCCCCCAGGGGCTCCGCCCCAGGGAGATCAGAGCTCTGTCTGTAAATCCCTGGCTGGAGCTGCTGAAGTTCCCGCAGGGAGGCCCTGTCTAGCGAGGAGGGATGAATGTGGGTCCCACGTAAAGAAAGAATCCGGCCACAATCTGCCACAGCCACTGTGTTGCGCTATGAGAAATTTCTCTCAGTCCAAACTGCCCAGTCTCCCTGGCCCAGCAGGGAAAATGGCCCACTGGGGCCACAGTGATGGTGGCCGCCCCTCTCGTTGGGAATATGGTCATCTTAGGTAGTTTCCAGCATGCTGCTGCTGGCCTCCCGAGTGGCCACCAAGAGTTTGCACAGTTCTGTGCTTGGGACCCAAGGTCCTGGTGGCATGGGCTCACAAGGGGATCTCTGATCAGTGGGTTCCACAGATCTGTGGCAAATGCGTGGTTTCCCTGGCAGGGTAGCACAATCACTCACTGCCTCCCTTGGCTGGGGGTGGGAATTCCTCTTACCTCGTGCAGGTCCCGGGTGGGCTGTCGCTCCACCCTGCTTTTCGTCACTCGCCATGGGTTGAGCCAACCTCCTGGTCAGTCCCAATGAGAGAACCTGGACACCTCGGCTGGAGGTGCAGGATTCACTCACTGTTTTCATTCTTCTTGGTGGGAGCCGCAGACCAGAGCTCCTTCTAATTGGTCATCTTGGCCCCTTGATTCTGCTAATCTTTCAAGGACAAGACTAGTGGACTTCCTTTAGGAACCTCCAAGTTTGAGTAAAATCACTTGAGCTTCAAAACATAGAGCAAGTGCTGAGTTGACTTCATTCTCATTGTTGCTCCCTTCCTCTCTTTCTCTTTCTCCCGTTTCAGACATTGAGCTGAGTGTCAGCGCTACTTGTTGCAACTCCAGCCTAAAGGTTCTAAATTTATCCTTTGGAGACACATGGAACAAGTATGAAGTAAATAGCTTTGCATAGAAATGAAGATATCTCATACATCTCTTCTGATATTTCTTTCTTTTTGAATATCTACCTATGTATCTTTCTATGATCCATCTAACTCTTCATTCTTTCATCCATCCATTACTATTTCTATCTCATATCCACCTCCACTGTCACTAATGTCTTACACATCTCTCCAAAGTGCAGATAAAAACAAATATAAATGTAAGTTCATATTTTTCTTTTCTTTTATATAAAAGGTAGCTTATTAGTCACACTATTTTGCATGATTTTGTTGTTTTTAACTCTCTAATTCAGCAAGAAGATTTATTTTCATCCTTCAGAGGCAGAGTATTCCATCATATGGACACAACACATTTTCCATGTTTTATTTTTCAGAAAAAAAAACTATGTTGGTTGGACATTTGGGTCATTCCCAATCTTTTTGTGTTACAAACTTAATGCTACAGTGAATAACTTGGTGTATATGTTATTTTGTGCATGTGTATCTGTAGTGTGACATCTCAGAGGTGAATTGCTGGATGAAAGAGTGAATACATTTATAAGTTGGATAGATAGTGCCACATTCTTTTCCAGAGGAGCATTTTATGGATGTTTACTCCCTCCTGGCAGCATACAGAGGGCAGGGACGCAGAGGAAGACTGCCCCCTGGTGCAGGTAACAAGGCATTATTTGTACAAAACAACATGGATGAAGCTGGAAACCACCATTCTCAGCAAACTAACACAAGAACAGAAAACCAAACACCCCATATTCTCACTCATAAGTGGGAGTTGAACAATGAGAACACATGGACACAGGGAGGGGAACATCACACACCAGGGCCTGTCGGGGGGTCGGGGGTTAGGGGAGGGATAGCAATAGGAGAAATACCTAACGTAGATGATGGGTTGATGGGTACAGCAAACCACCATGGCACGTGTATGTATACCTATGTAACAAACCTGCACGTTCTGCACATGTATCCCAAAACCAACTGAAAATTGGTGTGCTTGTTATTGATACCATGAATGGGAAATTCTACAGTCAATGATAAAATATTTCTTACCAACCCCCAAAGTATTTGATTAGCCTAAATTCTAGGTAATTGCTGCAGTCACTGTTGGGTTTCAATAATCTACATGCAATCAGTACATGGAAGTTAATTGGGAGAACCAATAGTCATACAGTTGGCCCCTTCAGACTCGGGTACATTTTTGTGTTGTGGAGTAAGAGTGAGAAGGCTCTGGAATCAGACCAGACAGGTTCCTGGGGGCTCACTTCAAGTGCAGTTCATGTCTTCATGTAACCAGCTCAAATCCAGCTGCGCACCGCTCAGAAGCCGAAAACAGGAGAAACAAGGTGTGGTGAAAGGAAAGCAACTTTATTCAAATGCTAGCAATTGGGGAAGGGCCAGGCTCATGCCTTTAACAGACTATGTTAGTCCATTCTCACGCTGCTGTAAGGACATACCCGAGACTAGGTAATTTATAAAGGAAAGAGATTTAATTGACTCACAGTTCTGCAAGGCTGGGGAGGCGTTCAGAAAACTTACAATCATGGTGGAAGGGGAAGCAAACACAGTCCTTCTTCACAGAGCAGCAGGGAGAAGAAGAACGAGTGCCCAGTGAAGGGGGAAGCCTTTTATAAAACCACCAGATCTTGTGAGAACTGACTCACTATCACGAGAACAGGATGCGGGAAACCGCCTCCATGATTCAAATATCTCCACCTGGTCCTTCCCACAACACGTGGGGATTATGGGAACTATTAATACAATTCCTGATGAGATTGGGCTGGGGACACAGCCAAATCATATCACAGACCATCCCCACTTTTTGGGCCAAGTGAAAGGGTTTAAGAAGGAAGAAGGTGTGGGGAATACTCAGGGGTGGTGCAGGAGTGTGTAGGCCTGCGTGCCTCATTCCCATAGCTATCTTGAGTAATCACCTGTCTGGAGGTCCGCATTACCTCATTCTGACTCCGCCCAGTAGTGGTGGGCTAACTTCGTAATTCTCCTGGAGAAGGAGGATTCAGCAATTGGGTCTCTCTGCCTGGTTTGTTTCAATGTTGGCCCCTGGAATTTCTAAGCAAGCCCATAATTAGATAAGAGAGCACTGTGAACTGAAGTGGCTGGTGGGAAAGGGAGGAACAAAGAGTTTCAGTCTGTTTCAAGGCTGAAAGCAAGAAAGGAAAGAAAAAGTTTTAAAATGCATTTTGAGGCTGAGATACTCAGTTACATTAGCAACTTCTTCAACTATTGACTGATACTAAATTTTGAATTGGCCTAAACCCCTTTGAATGGTGGCCTCGGTTGGCTATGACATCCACATTTTGCCACAAGAAAAATCAGATTTTTGTACTCAATTAAGAGTACATTATTTCATGTGTACATTTTGTTTTATTAGATTTCTGCCATCATTCTGGCTTGTTGAGATTATTTTGGCTTTTGTTTCTGGCACCTGCAGTAGCCTCTAAGGGTTTCAGCATCATATTAGTGGCAAATTTGGAAGGTCAGAATTACCCATCCTCATTTTGATCACTGAAAAAAGAAAACTGAATGCCAAGGCCAGAACCTTGGGGCAGATCAGGAGATATTTTCCAACAGCTGGCATTATCCCATTAGTCAGAACTCTATGGGAAGGGCCCTTAACACACCTTTTAGTGCTTTATCATTATTTGGGAAGAAATACATGCTCATTATAGAAAATTTACAAGATATAGGAAAATATGAAAGAAAAAATAAAATCCTCCCTCCAGAAAAGACACTGTTAACATTTTCCTTTTTTTTTCCCCCAGACAGAGTCTCGCTCTGTCACCCAGGCTAGAGTGTAGTGGTACAATCTTAGCTCACTGCAACCTCTGCCTCCTGGGTTCAAGTAATTTTCGTGCCTCAGCCTCTCAAGCAGCTGGGACTAGAGGTGCATACAACCATGCCTGGCTAATTTTTTGTATTTTTACTAGACATGGGGTTTCACCATGTTGGCCAGGCTGGTCTCGAACTCCTGACCTAAAGTGATCCTCCTGCCTCGGCCTCCCAAAGTGCTGGGATTGCAGGTGTGAGCCACTGCACCCAGATGACACTGTTATCATTTCAGTGTCTTCTTCATAATATGTACCAGCATTGTCTAACACACTAACTAGTAGCCATGTGTGGCTATTAAGCTCTTGAAAACATGGCTTGTCAAAATTGAGATATGCTATAAATGCAAAATACACACTGGAGTTTGAAGATTTAGCATGAAAAAATGTAAAATAGCTCAAAAATATTATATTGATTCCATGTTGAAACAATAATAAATTACATTATTAAAATTAACCTGAGTTGTTTCTTTTTACTTTTTAAATGTGGCTGCTAGAAAAATTAAAATTACATGTGTGGCTCATATTATATTTCGTTTGGACACACACTCATTCTCTATTGTCTATACATTAGACCTTCAGGGTTTGTCTATATCTCAGTGATCCTGAAGGCCCTTGACATGGATGGGAGCATCTATGTGCTTATTTAGGTATGTGTCTGTGCCTCAGGGAGCAATGTAAAAAAAAAAAATCAAACCCCACCCCCCAAGGAAGAACCTCCCCACCATCGTAGTCTGTGTGACTCTGGTAGAGCTGAATCCACACCTGGCTCACAAGTCATCCATACCTGGCCAATTGGCATAGTCCACTCTCCAATCAGCACTGGGCGTGTGACCAAAGTGGGTTAATTACAGCCGGTTCTTGGACTTCACCAACTGCTGGAGAAGAGACATGCTTTTTCTACTGTGGTAGCCTACAGAATAAAAGTCTGCATCTGCTGCTGACCATTGCTAACCACACATGGAGGGTGGCTGCCTAAGAAAGAAGCCAACAGAGAGGGAAGCAGGGCAAGAGATGGAAGGGGACAGACCACCTTGTCTGGGCACCTGGATACAGCTCTGCCTGAGGCTGGAAGTCTCTGGACTTTTCATTATAAGAATCAACATATTCTACTTTCTGCCATTTTCCACCCATAATTTCATTTCTGTCGCTTGCAACCAGAAGAGTCCTGACTAGTACATACACTATGAGGCGTTTGTGTGAGACCAAATGTTTTAGCTGGTAAGAGAGCATGGCAATGGCCCAGCATCTGTAGGTCATTGACATTGACTCTCTTTACTCATTTTGCTCATGCTGCTAACTGCTCAGAAGTAACAAAGACGTCATTTCCTGGTAATTGTTCCCTCCCCATACACCTGACCCAAACCAATTGCTACACTGATGACATGAGTGAGGAAAAAGTAAAGTGTTCTAATGTTGTATTATATCTTTATGCAGTTATTAAATATTATCAGCAGAGATGGAAGCTACTGAAGATATTAGGCCATGTCCCTCAACCAAGTTAAGGGTCCACTTTACCATTACTTGTTTCTATTTGTACCCATATGCATATTATATCCATATTATCATGTCTAGATCTATTTGAGGCATGTTGTCTGTAAAGGATATTTATGAATTTTTAATTCACAGTTGTATTATGAACATTTTCCCATATCAAAAACATTTGAAAATGTAATTTGTAATGACTGATGCTATTCAATTATGTTAACCTAGTAACATTTCTCCTCCTTCAGTAGATTTTGGAAGAGTATTTCTTAATATCCAGTTGAATTTTTAATTGTACATTTTATAGTTTCATTGCATCAAGAGTGTTAAGTGTGGCTCCTGTGATTCCTACTTTTTGGATCTTAAAGTTTAAGATGAATTTTTACAACTGATTGTAACTTGAAAATACGGATGTTATCCTGCAAAGGACAAAGTTTGGTATGTATATTTGTCTACTTGCACACACAGACATAGAGATCTGTTGATTCAATAATTATTTCAACTCCTTAAAGTCTCTTATTTAGTGGTCGTATCTGTAATGCATCGGGAGTGCTGCGTTAAAATCTCACAGTATTAAGGGCAGTGCCAATGCGTAGCTTTGGGAAGGGCTTTTATTCCTTTCTATCCTCTATCAGCCACTGACTTCCGAAATTCCAAAGAAACGTACAACCTAAATAAAAAACCTGCTTTGCTGTGCACATACAGCTTCAAGATAAGTCCCCCAGGCTCTTCTTCCAACTATAATGCTACTGTCAAAACCCTTCTTTATGGATAATCTGAAGCCCATTGCAATTGTGATTCTGCAAATTGTTGAAAAATCATTGAAGAAATAGCTATTGAACACCTGCTATATTTTAGCCAATGGACAAGATTTAATTCCTCTTTATTTGCCAAATAAATTTAGCTTTATATATTTTTTGTCATTTTGCATATAGTTTCATGACTATGTCCTTTGTTGTTCATTATACCTCTCAATTTAAGTGGCTTTCCACCTCCTCAATTAATTGTACCAGTTATCAATATTATTGATATTATTATTAAATATAAAATATTAGTTTTTTCCTCTGAACTCCCAATATATTCTTCATCATTCTGCTTTATGTTATGAGAAGACCCTGTCAACATCTGTAGGTAATATGTATTTGGTGCTGCTGTTTTAATGAAAAATTTTTCCATCTTTATTAAACATCCTGCCGCGTACTCAGCGGTTTTCCTTTCAGCAACACAGCCGATATGATCTGACTCCATTCAAAGCCCTTGCTGTCACTGTAATACCCTTGGTATTCACTAACTGGAGACTTCTACTGAATAAGTAACCAACAAATATTTATTGAGGTCCTTACATGTGCAGAGCACTATTTGGGGGAAACGCGGGACATGATATAAATTCATTGATTCTCAAGGATTTACTATCTGCCAGCCTCTAACCTTGGTATTGTGGATACCAAGGTGAAGACAGGCATGCTACTTTGAGGATCTGAGGGAAGGGTGAGGACAGGAACTAAACTCCCCACAGGCTCTCTTGTCACCAGGAGAACAAAGAATGATGAGGATGGAAAGGGAAAAGGGAAGGCTTTCCTGTTGCAGGGAGCTTCTCAGCCTGCCTGTGGCCTTTGAGGGTGGGGATGGCTCCTCATCTCTGGGGTCTTGGTGGCCAGCACAGAGCTCAGCAGGAGCAGATCCTTGGTATTGTTACCATATCAGGCCAGAAACGAAAGTGTCACATGGTGAACCGAATGCCTCTTGCTGGGCAAGTGGGACTTGGACCCTTCTAAGAGAAGTACGAGGGACATCCAGGTGGGACACACCCCACTGCGTCCCCAGAGAGTACACTGCTGTATGCCAGTCTCTGGAAACTGACTGACCGAACACTGTGACCAAACAGGCAGACTCGACAGGCATACGACAGATTATGACAGGTCAAAGGTAGTGGAATGATTTGGGTTTTACAGCCTTTTATTCCTTTAGATGAGTGATTTCAAAATCAGAGGGTCATAACTTGAAAAGCGATTGAGATAGAAAATGGAAAATGTAAAAGAAATGATTTGTGCCTGAATGGGAGTGATTCATGGGCTGCTATTTAGTTTTTAATTTCCAGCAAGCTTGCCTAATCTAACTTCCTCTGCCATCAACTGAAATATTAAGTGTAATTACATCACATTTATTCCTAGAGATATTAAATAAAATGGAGAGCTCGAGAGCACGTTAATATGCACTCAGAGTGTGGTCTGCAGTTTAATAAGCCTAATTTAAAAGTACTCAGGCCGTGGCATTTATTTTTTAATTAAGTAAAAGAAGAACTTGGATGTATTCTCTTCAGCAAATGCATGTCCTTCTTCAAATAAACCTGTATGGTCCACTCCAGCTGTATGCTATAAAAATGCATACCTCCTAATATTTAATACTTTAGTTTCTCATTCTGTGAACAATAATACACAAAAATAAGGCTGAGAGATTGTCTAGATGGAAAATCACAAAATCCCTAAATGTCAGAGCTGGAAGGGGCTGAGATATCATTTCATTTCCTCCCAATACTCCCAACCCCCATTTCACAGAGGAAGGGTTGAACCTGGATGTGAGAAGTGACTGACTCAAAGTGGACAGAATCCAGCTCTGCAAGGCCCATGCAAAATGAGAGGGGGAAAAAAAAGGGATTTGGAGAACAACAAAATTCTCAGTTCAAACGAAAGCAAGAACAAAACAGGGCTTCTAATTCAAACCCTGAAACGTTTTGTTGAAGATTAGTTGTTAGAGCAACTCAAGAAGAATTTTCTTTTAGAAATCATTGATTTCATTTGAGGCCATTTGTTTTCCTTCTTTAATGCTCTCAAGCATGAATTTAATATCTTTACTCTAAAACAAATAGCTTCTGTAAGGCTCAAAGGACAAGGAGATATTGCAATCCACTGAGTCCAATAAGATCATTAATTATTTTGCTGACCATTAAGCACTGGTCCTCTGAGTTGATTGAAAAATTATGGGCTGCAGAACGTAATCTTCAGCACATCCTGTGTTACAGGAATCTGTTACCCATTCGCTGAGTGGATTGCCAGTCTTCAGCAGACCCTTCACCCACCTGTTCCTCAGTGTCATTTCTGAGCACTGTTTGAAACTTCATCTTTCCTTTAGCTTGTCCAGGTGCTCAGCCTTCAGGATTTGTCAGTATTTCCCGGGCTCTGGGTGTTTCTCCCTGGTCTTCACTTGGGCTCCTACTTCCTGGTCTGACATTCACTTCTGACTGTCCACACAATCCCAACAGCCCAGGCTTCAGAAGAACTTTTCCTTAAAACCCTGTGAGCACCTTAGAAGAGAAAGTCTGTCCCTCCAAGCTCCGTACCTGCCCTCCCTGACCCCAGCTCTGTTCCCAAATGACTATTACAGACATATGTAGACGGTCACAGTGAATTAGCAGGTGGGGAGTTGGGAGCATTCTTGTGAATTGCCTCTTATTTTTTATCTTTCTACAGTACAGATATTACAATCACACCCCAGGATGCCTGATTGCTTTAGAATAGCCCACAGATAGTGGCTCCAACACTGAAAGCTTCACAACAAGCCCTCAATCTTAAAGAAGCTCAGGGACTTTTTAGAGAGAAATAAAACAGAATCAGAGAAGAAAGACTGTCTGAGTAATCACAGGGATTCTTCCAGGAAGCACTCAGCCCCAGATACACAATTTTTCCTTCTTTAAATCAAATGAGAGAAATGTCTTCCTCCATAGAAGTAGGAATTCTAGCACAATGCAAGTGAAGACAACCAAGACCCCATCACACTGAGTCATGAACAGCTAAGAGCAAGAGAAATTCAGCTGGGGAAACCTACACGGCCGAGGCAGTTTCTGTTCTTGGATCAGATCATACTTAGCTCATGTGCTGAGCAAAAGGCTGAGAATGCTCTGTCACCAAATGATCAGTTCTGATGCTGCCAGCCCATTAGGCCAGCTTGGGAAGCAGGAGCAGATGACGTGGGTGGAAGAAGAGTCATTCAGAACAAGGGTGATGCAATAAGCCAAGGGCCATGAACAGAGCTACTGTCTGAACCTCCCCTGGGTGAGAGGACAAGAATTCCCCAAGGAGGAGGGATTGCGAGACCAATGCTGCCGCTGTCTGGCAACAGGGTCTCCTCAAATGAATTCCACATCACCCAGCACAAGTTTAGGAATAGGCTTTATTTTGGAAAGGAGGAACTTACAAAGGTAAGATCAGTAAGAGAAGAGGCTGGACGTCCCCTCTCCTCCCAAGGCCCTGGCGGAGAGGGTTCTGGGCAGGGTGCTTTGCCAGGCACACACACACAGTGAGGTGGGGGGTGTGTTCCTCAGGCTCCTGCTGGCCTCTTGTGTAGGACATGGGCGAGCAGCCTTGGAGCAAAGGACTCACACACTGCTTTGACCAGCACTGTGGATTGGGTGTAGCTGTCAGAGGAGTTGTTTCAGTTCATTTGGGCTGCTGCAACAAAATACCATAGACTGGGTGGCTTATAAACAATAGAAATTTATTTTTCACAGTTCTCTAGGCTGGGAAGTCCTAGATCAAAGTACCAGCAGATTCTACGCCTGGTGAGGGCCCCCTCCCAGGTTTGGCTGTCTTCTCGCTGTGCCCTCAGGTGGTAGAAGGGGCATGGCAGTTTTCTGAGGCTTCTTTAATAAGGGCATGAATCCCATTCATGAGAGCTCTGCCTTCCAATGTCCCCTCCTTTAAATGCCATTGCCTTGAGGACTAGGATTTAACATATGAATTTCAGAGGAGCATAAACATTTAGTCTACAGCAGCAGTTGTCTGGAAATGTGGCTCCTAGAACCTGGGAATCTTAGATCCCATGGAAGCTGAAGCCGCCTGTTCTGCATACAGCTCCCAGTGGACCCTGGTCCTAGTTCTGGGCAATCAGAGTGAGTCCTTGGATCATTTCCTGACCCTCCCTGTCCCTATATCAGTAAGTCAGGGTAGCCACCTAGAGTGATGGCAGTTGCCAGGCAGGTGATTTGACAAAGAGCCCTTGTAGGAAGCATGGGGATTGGAAAGCGTGAGTTCTGGTCAAAGGGGACAGTCACAAAGAAGCTTGGGCTCATTTTTGTCATGTGCAAATGTGTGCCCAATGTCTCCAGAAAATTGGGTTTTACAAAAGAAAGCTTATTTCCAGATATTTTTTAAAAAGTGGACTCAATTGAGACCATCCTGGCCAACATGATGAAACCCCGTCTCTACTAAAAATACAAAAATTAGCTGGGTGTGGTGGCATGTGTCTGTAATCCCAGCTACTCAAGGGGCTGAGGCAGGAGAATCACTTGAACCCAGGAGGCGGAGGTTGCAGTGAGCCAAGATGGCACCACTGCACCCCAGCCTGGCGACAGAGAGAGATTCTGTCTCAAAATAAAATAAAATATAATATAATACAAATAAAAAGTAAAAAGAGTGGACTCTACTAACTTTGTATGTTATTAATGAATTCATTTTTTGTAGCACGGTGTGGGCCTAACAGACTCATCTGTGAGCTGGATGCAGCCTCTGGCTGCCAGTTTCAGCCTGTCTTGTAAATTGTCATTTGCAATGTGTTTTAATTCAACAAGCATTTGCTTATTATTCATTTTTGCAAATTTCATTTTTCTCCTGCAAACAGAGATACTAATCTATTCTGCAATTCCATAGGCTTGAGGGTGAGGGAGAAAGTTGGTATTGTCTAGAGCAGAGTTTGGCAAACATTTTTTGTGGTGTAACTCTTTTTTTTTTTTTAATGAAATCTTCTTCACTTGAGACTCCAATACATAAAGCACATAAAAGTGATAAATGGGCTCTTTTATTTCCATAGTGGAAATTGACTTTTTTCTCTCCCCCGTTATATAAATAATACATGTTTGTTGGGGGAAAAATAAAACAATACATAACAGTATAAAGAAAAAAGGGGGATGGGGCAAGCCCGTGAAATCAGACCTCCTGGCAGGGTCACCATTAACCCTTCCAACCATCATGATTTTGTGTATGTCCTCATGCACACACATATCTGTGTACACACACACATAACATTTACACAAGTGGGATTGTGCTGCATTTACTGTAGACTTCATTTTAAATGCTCATTTAGGTTCTCATTTTTTTTTTGCTTGTTTCTCCCCCTCCTCTCTTCTATCTCTTCACTCACTCTCCCCACTTCTCTCTTTACACCCCATGCCCAATATATGTTAAGAACCTAATGGGTATTTTTCCATTCTGCTCTCTATGTCTATGGTGTCTATGTCTATGTCTGTGTCTGTGTCTGTGTCTATGTCCCTATGTCTATGTATCTATGCATCTATCTGATCTATTTACGTATACCACGTGTGTGAGTAAAATCAGATTTGAGGGATCATTGCTTTTGAAAAACAAATGAGATAGCCTCATGCATACTACCCTGAACATTGCTGTCCTCAGTCAACATGGAAACTGATGCACAAACTCATTTGCTGCTACACAGGTATTGTATCCTGCATAGTATATTGATGCACCTTATTCAACATCCCCTTTACTGACACACATGCAAGTTGTTTCTGGTTTGGAGCCACTACAAATACACTGTAATAAACATTCTTGTCCATAAAATTTTATGTTTTGGTGCATTTTTTTCTAAGGTTAGAATCCGAGAAGTGAGATTATAGGATCAAAGAGTATGTTTTTAGTTTTAAAACATATAGTCAGATTGTTTTCTAATGATTTAAAACAATTCCCTGGCTTCCCTGAATGCTTACCAGAAAGATGGTTTACAATTCATTTTAATTTTCTCAGTCTGGTGGGCTGAAAATGATAATACACTATTTGTCTTGCAATTCTCTGACTTCAAAGGGTTTTGAATATCTCTTCGTAGGCTGATTAGCCATTTGGCTATGCTTTTCTGTAATGGGTATTCTTAGCCTTTTAAAAATTAATTTGTACATTATAGATATTAATTTACTATCTACCATATGCATTGAATTTTCTCTAGTCTACCATTCATCTGCTGAATTTATGATATCCAGCTTCTCTGTGAAATTGCAAATAGAAATCAGTTGCTTTCAGTTTGAAATATTTTACCATGTAAAATTAAAATGTATATTTAAAGGAATTTGCTTATCTTTTATTAGTTCTGATTCTTTGTCTCATTTAAAGAGGTTTCCTCATGACTATATGGATATGTGGTGAGAAACAATAGGAGCAATAGTGGTTATTGATAACTAGCTGGCTATTGCTATACAACAAATTATGTCAAAACTCTGCAGCTGAAAAGCAACAGCACTAGTTGTCTTGAAGTTCTGTGGGACAGAATTCTGGCTGTGGCTTAGCTGAGTCCTGCTTGTGGGTGTCTCACGATGCTGCAATGAAGCTGGAGGCTGGGGCTGTATTCATCTCCTGGCTTTACTGGGGAAGGATCTCCTTCCAAGCTCATGTGGTTGTAAACAGGATTTAGTTCCTTGCTGGCTGTTGGCCACAGATCACCCCCACCCAGGCCACCCTACATGGGCCTCTTCATAGGGCAGCTCAGTACAAGCAAGCAGGAAGGGTTAGCGAGAATGCTAGCCAAGAGGAAAGTCATAGTCATAGTCTTCTATAGCTGAATCTTGGAGGTGACATCAATCACTTTTGCTATATTCTATTCACTGGAAGCAAGTCACCAGGTCCAGCCCACACTGGGGAGGAGATTACATAGGATGTGAATACGAGGAGGTAGGACCCATCGGTGGCTGTCTTAGAAACCTGTCTGCCAGAGAGAGAGAATTACGTCAGTGTATGCGCTTCTGTTTTTAGAGGAAGATAGTTTTGTCCTAAAGTAGTTGTTCATGTTTGGCTTTTTGTTTGTTTGTAGACCTCTAGACTTTAAATTGAGTCACTTTTTAAAAAAAATTTATTTATTTTTAGAAACAGGGTCTTGCTCTGTCACTCAGGCTGGAGTGCAGTGGTGCAATCATAGCTCACTGCAGCCTCGAACTCCTGGGCTCAAGAGATTCTCTTGCCTCAGCCTCCTGAGTACCTGGGGCTACAGACACATGCCACCACTCCCAGCTAATTTTTTAATTTTTTAGTAGAGATTGGGGTCTTGCTATATTGCCCAGGCTGGTCTCAAACTCCTAGCCTCAAATGATCCTTCTGCCTTGTTAGGATTATAGGCGAGAGCCACCACGCTCGGTCTCAATTTATTTTTATGATAAATTATTGCACTTCTTTCTATCTATGTTAATAAACATGCCTTTAGGCACCTACATTAATCCAAAGGCTGAGTTTGAGAACCCTTGGACTAGAAGTTTCTTTCTGGTTTTCAAACTCTGCAGCACTTTTCCAACCAGAAATTGACTTTCAGATGCAGCGGTGCCCAACAAAGTGCACTTCATCCATTACAAACGCGTCTTTATCATCTAATTAAGCTGCTTAGGATTTAGTGAACAGAAAACCCATAACTGTGCTTTATTCCCGCATTCATTACGCAGATGCTGCCTGATACGCTTTTTGAAGCTGATTCACTGACTCTATATTTTCATTTCAAAAAAAAGGCTTTAGCCTTGTGGAAACTACATCAAAATAAAAACTCAGCTTAGCAATAGGCACAGAAACGTGAGACTTAAACTCCAATGAAATCAAAGATTGCAGTTAACACAGATATTTTCTTGGGAATTAAATGTTTACTCAAAAGCACAAAATTAACATGGAAGGGCATTATTATGTATTTATAATTGTGTTTATATGCATGTTTTTATCTCTGTTTTACTTGATGAAAATACAAATAACCAATATAAAATGTTATTTGGAAGCTACCTAGAGTACCAAGAAGAGAAGAGAGAATTTCCTTTTAAGGGAGAAAAAGCATCCATATTTAGGATGGTTTATGCTATACTGGAAGGGAAAACAAAAGATTCGTGAAACATATGATGGGAAATGTTTTATCATAAAAAGCAGTCTTTGTTCATTGAAATCAATTATGCTACTTTAAATCATTTCAAAAATATATCATTTGCATAATTAAGCTAGTAGTATAGACATCAGATAAACAGAGAGGTGACAGATGTATTTCAGAATTAAAGTAATCAGAAGCTAAAAAGTCATGTTAGAAATTTTCATAAACGTGTGTTTTCTTGTTACTCACAGAATACCTGACCAACGAATGCTGTCAAATGCATATACTCAATATTCATTCTTTTTTACAATTACAGCTTTATTGAACTATAACTGATGAACAATCAATTTTACATTCTGAAGTGTACAATTAGATGTTTGACATACACACACAAAACCAACAGCACAATAAAAATAATACATTTTTATATCAACCCCCAAAGTTTTTTTGTGCCCTTTGTATTTATCCTCCTTCAATTGCCCTGGTCCTCCACCCCACTCTGTCTCCAGACAGCCACTGATCTGCTTTCTGACATCATAGATTGGTTTGCATTTTCCAGAATTTTCTAGGAATTATTCCATATGTATTACTTTTAATGGCAAAACCCGCAATTACTTCTGCACCAACCTAATATTTTGTTGTTATTGTCTGGCTTATTTCACCAGCATAATTATTTTGAGATACAACCGTGCTATTGTGTTTATCAATACCTTTGTTCCTATTTTATTGCTGAGTCTATAGTAAGAATATTCCAAAATTTATTTAGGTATTTGCCTGTTGAACATTTGGGTTGTTTCCAGTTTTCAGCTATAAATAAATAGAACTGCCATTAACATTCATATACAAGTGTTTGGTGGACATGTGCTTTCATTTCTTTTGGGTAAATATTTAACAGTGGGATGGGTGGATTGTACGGTGGAAACAGGTTTAACTTTTTACTAAACTGTCAAACTCCATTTTCTAAAGTGGTTGCACCATTTCACATTCCTACCAGCAGGGTATGAGAGTTCTAGTTTCTCCATATCCCTGCCAACATTCATGGAATAAATTACAGCAATGTATATTTCTTGGTGTATATAGAATATCTTACCAACTAATGTTGTCAAATGCACACAGTCCCCTTTTATTTTTAATTCAGTGAGGCTCAAAAGGGTCCTATTTTAATTTGAAGAGTTTCTTTTTTGCAAACCAGCACCACAGATTTAGTGAGTGTGAGTATGGGAGTTGCATTAAGAGTGTGGGCTTTGAAATCAGATTGTCTGTCAAAATTCGAGTTCTGTTACTAATAACTGTCTCACCTCACTTTCCTCAGCTTTAAAACTCATTTAATAACAGTGTCTATCTTACAGGGTTTGGGAGAAGATAAATATTTTAATGCATGTAAGCCACCGTGCACTGGGCATATGGCAATTAATAAATGTTACATATAATGCAAATGAGCTATATATAGACCTTTGCAGTTACTAGGAAAAAAATAGTTCTTGAGCTCTCATCTTAGGGATTATGAGATTATTTGTAAAGTAATTTGATCTCAATTTTTACAAATAACTGTTTACTGACTTTAAATAATATATGTTCATTGCAGAGAATTTGGAAAGCAAGGTTTTGGCAACACATCAGGCTGAGCAGACATGGAGATATTCCTCCTGTTACAACGACATACAAATGGTGGATAAAAGAGAACAAAACGACTAGGTGCAGTGGCTCATGCCTGTAATCCCAGCACTTTGGGAGGCCGAGGCGGGCGGATCACGAGGTCAAGAGATCGAGACCATCCTGGCTAACATGGTGAAACCCCGTCTCTACTAAAACAAATACAAAAAATTAGCCTGGTGTGGTGGTGGGTGCCTGCAGTCCCAGCTACTCTGGAGGCTGAGGCAGGAGAATGGCGTGAACCCAGGAGGCAGAGCTTGCAGTGAGCCGAGATCACGCCACTGCACTGCAGCCTGGGTGACAGAGCGAGACTCCGTCTCAAAAAAAAAAAAAAAAAAAAAAAAAGAGAGAACAACTTTGAAAAATGCAGAGCTAAGCCCCCGCTAATGGTGAGCTAGGAGATTCTGATCAATATTCTTGTTGGGAACTATAAAAGCTGCACAAAATAGTAAAATCAAAACAGAAACATCAACTTAAGGCTTCAGATTGCTAAGAAGATAAAGAATTTCTGGGCCGTGATCTGGGGAGGATGAAACCCTGGTAAGCACCCCTTGTTTGGGATTGGGCCTTCAAGGACTGTGAGACGGAAGTGAGTGCTGGCAGCAGACAGGCTGTCATTAGAACTGAGCTCAGCTCCAAATCATGTCAGTGCTTATGCCTGTCTGAAGGGATATTGGATTGATATTAATCCTAAGGAGCTGGCAGAAGCAAACAAATCCTCTCCAGAGGAAGATAAGAACGCTTTAGACCCCAAATGGTTTCCATAAACAATTTCACAAAGACAACCATTGGCACCAACAAGTAATAAGCAGGCCAGGAGGGAGATACAGCAACATGAACAAAACACCACAGAAACAATAGACAGTGGAGACAGACTCAGAAGTTTCCTTACTGGTATTATCAGAGATGGCTTTAAAATATCTATGCTTGTTATGTCCAAGGAGAAACAAGACCAAGATGGAGAAAATCTGCAGAGAACTTGAAACTGTGAAATAGAAAAAAACAAATTAAATTCTACCTCCATGGGTGGGTTTAATAGTGGACCAGACACAACTGAAGAGAAAATTAGAGACTTACAAGAAAGTCAGAGAATAGGATTGAATAGACACAGATAAGACTTTGTCTGACACATTGCAGGCAAGGCCATGCCACGTACAGTGAAGGTTGTGCCCTGGAAGTGTCATTTGCACAGACTGTGAGAAAATAACCCTTGGAGTCGTGCAGCACCGTGGTCGTGGTCAAAGGCATGCAGTTAATGACCGCAGAAAATCACTTCCGCCCTCTCTTTCACAATTTACAGATCTGCTCATTCTTCATAATGCTAAAACTGCCTCTTGGGCTCTCTTCTGTCCCGAAACTGGAAGTTAGAATATGTAGAGATTATACTGCTCTCAGATATTCTTTGTTTATCCATTTAAAAAACTTCTTAGGGCCAATGCGTGAGCTGGAGAAGGATTTTTTTTTTAATTGAATGACTTTGTGTATTTATACATACAACCAAGTCAAGGGACCCTAGTGCTCGAATATCCTACAATGTGAGTGTAAGAAGCAGTGTGTCTCCCTCCAAAGCAAAGCAAAGCAAAGAGTGGCTGTCAATTAACGCAGACAGAAAATTTTAATTTTTTCTACCTCTCCATTATACAGGCCCTTTTCTCACTGTATTGAATCCTGAATTTATGAGTTTTTGTCCCCCTTTCCTTGTCTCTGTTTTTATGAATGTGAATAAAGAGCAGTGCAAAGTTAACAAACCCACAAACATTCACTCATTCAACAAATAGTTTTGAGCATTTCCTACCTGGGAGCCAGGCACTGTTCCACATATCAGGAAATACATTGAGAAACAGATCAGACAAGTTACTGTCCTCATGGACCTTCCATTTATGTGAAGGAGGTGGATGCTACCCAAAGAAAACAGCAAACACATAATATAACATCAGGGAAGGACACATATTGTTTTAGAGGTGTCCCAAGCTGTCTCTCCCTCACCAAGAGTCCTCTCTTCACTGTGAACCTGAATAAGCTATTTTAAACAGACTCTGTAAGCTCAAAAACAGGAAAAAGAAATTTCATTTCAGTTTTAGTTTATTGATTTTACCTAGCCCCCTGTCAGATTTCTCTGGCTTTTAAAAAATATAATTTTGCAGCTAATGCAGCTGGCAGTGAACGCAAAGCTACTGTTTGAAGGAATCTGAAAAATGCTGTTTGTGGAAGTGTGAGGGACTAACTAATATTTCCAGTGGCTTCCAAGGGAGTAGAATGTGTTAGGGAAGATGCCAGGAGGAATGGATGGGGAGCTATTCCAGAAGCTTCATGTGGAGCTGCCTCTGTTCTTTGAATTCTTCCCCATAGATTACGACACAATTAAAAATTCTGTTTCCATCCTCTTGCAACTTGTAAGAGGCCTGAGGGGACTCTTCTACAGGGCACTTTGAACATATATGGCAAGATAATTTATTGAAACATGAAAATTGCACATAAAATCTTCCTATGTTTTTTTTGTGCCCAATTTGATTTCAGGAAGGTAGTTGGGCTAGCAAGGCAGAAGCTGCCTAAGTGCATGGCTCTCAGGGTGTCCGTTGTAAAAGTCGCAGCTCACTGACGTGATCGCACAGAGTGAATGGGAGGCTGAGGGGCATGGGGGAGTTGGGAGAGGGAGGAGAGTTCTAGACATTGGGAAGGGGTGGGCCCTGTCTCTGGGCAGTGCCCTGGCATAGGTGGCAGCACCTCATAGTGCAATGGCAGCACCCAGGTAGGCCAAACCCTGTGAGAATTCTCTGACCCCTGCCACTGGGCTTGTGCCCAAGCAGGAAATGGAAGCTGCAGGACCAGCCCTTCTGGAGGCCCCACGGGTTTGGGCAATGGCTGTGTTAAGGCCCTTCTCCAATGCCTGGGTCATTTGTCAGACCCTGGCAATCATTGCACAACACTAGGGGGGGTACCCTAAGAATAATGGACTTAAATTTCCTACCTACTGGGGAAGCAAGAAGATCTAAAATGGAATTATTTTATTTAATATCATAAACAAGATAGTTTTTGCACTACTGATTTTATGCATGAATTCTTATTTGCATATTCATATCATTCACTCATCCATTCACTCAGGATAGAGTTAATCTATAATGGCTACATACCAGCCCCTACAACAGATGTCCTTGATTCAGAAATGACTAAGAGAAGGTTTCTTATCCTAAGTGAGAAACAGCCAAATTAACAAGTGTATCAGTTATCTAACGCTGTGTAACAAATGACACCAAAATGTAGTGGTTTTAAACAATAACCATTTAGAGCTCACAGTTTTGGAGGTTGATATTTTGGGGTTCTTTAGGTCTGTGTCATGCTCAGTTGCTATCAGCTGGACTTGCTTATGTGTCTGCAGTCAGCTGCCAGGGCAGGTGGGGATGGGGTCAGCTAGGAATTGGCTGTTCAAAAAATAACTCAGCTCCAACCACTGGATCTTGTTCCTACATGTTTCCTTATCAACAACAGGGCTGCCCTGGGCTTGATTCTCCAAGTTTGAAGAGCAGCAGAGGCAATCCAAATGGACAAACTAATTTCTCTCTCTCTTTTTTTTTTTTTTTTTTTGGTGGTGGAGTCTCGCTTTGTCACCCAGGCTGGAGTGCAGTGGCGTGATCTCGGCTCACTGCAAGCTCCGCCTCCTGGGTTCACGCCATTCTCCTGCCTCAGCCTCCAGAGTAGCTGGGACTGCAAGCACCCACAACCACGCCTGGCTAATTTTTTTTTGTATTTTTAGTAGAGACGGGGTTTCACTGTGTTAGCCAGGATGGTCTCCATCTCCTGACCTCGTGATCCGCCCGCCTCGGCCTCCCAAAGTGCCGGGATTATAGGCGTGAGCCACCTCGCCCGGCCAACAAACTCATTTCCAATCTCTGCTTGCCTAAGACTTACTATACTGTCCCAGTAGCCAAAGCAATCACGAGGCCAGCCGCAACTCAGGAGGGAGAGAAAGACTCCTGCTCTTGAAAAGAGTTGAACAGGGATATTAGAGGGAAGAGGATACAGGGCAAGAAGACTGTGTGGTCAATCTCGCAAACAATTACAAGAAGTGAATGAAATCAAAGGTGTTCTGAGATATAGCAAAGTATTATTTTAGTATAAGGGAGTAGAGAGTAGCAGATAGAAAATTGTACCTGGAGTAGGTTCAAGAAGGGCTTCCACCAGGAAGTGATGCTTGGCCCAGATTTGGAAATGCAAGTCGATGACGAGGACAGGGAAATGGCCTGGTGCATTCAGGAAGTGCCAAGAGTTCTCCTGAGGGTGCAGTGCAAGGTGAGGGGTGCCATGGGGGGGAAGAGCCCGAGGAGAAGGAGGGGCCACTGGGGAATTTCTCTGCATTTCTGACGAAGCCCAGATCTTCCCGGTTCTACTGTGATTCCAACCACTTGTCCCTGTTCTGCCTTCTGGAGTCACACGAATCACACCCCTCTCTTCTCTGGAGAGAGCATGCATTTTCCTCTATGTATTCAGCCTCTCCCTCCCACCACCTCAACATTATAAACCCTTCCTCAAAGGGTTCCCTGTTCCTGTTTTTGCTGCTTCCTGTTCTAAATGGCCTCCAAAACAGAAGCAGATCTGACTCAAGCAGAGCTCAGTGGGCTTTCCCCAAGTGTCTTCCTAACCCCTAGGACAGGTCAAGAACAGGGATGCTGAGCCCCAGTACTTTGTTGTGAGGCCGTGGTGCCATCAATGTCACAGTGGCCCCAAGGAAAAGCATGGGCGTGCTCATTGGACCTTCACAGTGACCCTTCCTGGGGTTCAGGGATGGGGATGGGGAGGTGGAGGGACAGTGGCCCTGGATCCATCCTTAAGGAACAGCAACTCAGGTGGCTGATCACACAGCCCCTTTCTCCACCAATGCCCATAAGGGCAGGTCTTGCGTGGGATTGCTATTCATTCACTTATTCAACAAATGCACACTGATACCTGCTCTGTGTTAGGCATCGCCGTACTGTCTGGGACTAAGGCATGAAGCAGACCTGATCTCTGCCCCAAAGTTCATTCCAGTCCTTTAAGAGGAAGGGACAGGTTTGTAAAGAAGCCTCCCCAGTGACCCTTGAGTGACATCATGACCACTTATCAGGCTCTGAATCCATAGGGCAAGGGACATCACCGCATCTGGGCACCCTCAGCAAGCTGTGACCTTCAGGGTTAACAACAGTGAGTGTTCTCATGGATGTGTCCTGTAGCAGCCACTGTCCTAGATGCTTTCCACGGGTCCACTGATGCAGCCTCTTACAACCCTGTGAGGTGGGTGGAGTCCTCCCCATTGTATGATGTGGGGAGGTAGCAGGGAGAGGACTCTTAGGGGTCCCAGACTTCCTGGGCAGCAGGGTGCTGTTGGGTGCTGATTAGAAGAAAACATAGGGGAAAATCTCCATGGCATTGGTCTGGGTAGTGATTTCTTGGATATGACCCCAAAAGCATAGGCAATGAAAGCAAAAAGAGAAAAGTGGGATTGCACCAAACTAAAAGCATATGTGTGCACAGTCAAGCAAGCAATCAACAGATTGTTTGGGAATGAGAGCAAGAGGAGTTTTAAAAAAATAAAGTAAAAAAAAAAAAAAAGAGCAAAGAGACAACCCACAAATTAGGAGAAAAAAATGGATAAAGGGCTAATATCCAAAATATACAAGAAACTCAAACAATTCAATTAAAAAACCCTATTTAAACATGAGCAAAAGACCTGAATAAACATTTCTGATAAGAAGACATTATAAAATGACCAACAGGTATATGAAGAAATGCTCAACATCTCTAATCATCAGAGAAATGCAAATCAAAACCCAATGAGATATCACCTCACATTTGTTTGATTGGCTATTGTTAAAAAGATGAAAATAGCAAGTGTTGGTGTGGATGGGAAGAAAAGAGAACCCTTGTGGATTGTATCTTTTTTATCCTTACTTAAAAATAAAACACATATATAAATAGACACATCTCTTTTATGCATACATAATACATATACATATATTCAAATAACTTCAGGTTTTGTTATTATTTTCACCCAGATTTACTCATCTTATATACTCTGCATCTTGATTTTATCCTTCAATAATAAATACTTTATGGGAGTTCTCTTACTCAACTTCTGTACCCCTATTTATTTCTAATGACTACCAACTTTTATTACATGATGTAGCTGTACTGTAGATTATTCCATTATCCTATTAGTATGACCATCAAAGGGCACTCATTTTATTTTTCCTTTTTTTGTCACATTAACAATACAATAGTAAACATCCTTGTGTATATTATAGCATTTATTTCTGTGAGATTGTTTCCCAGCAGTGAGATTTTCAGTTAAAAGAATGTTTTAAAATTTTAGAGCTATTTCAAGTTGCTTACCCTAAAAGGCTATAATAATGTCTGTTTCTAACTATTTCTAAGGATATCCTTTTCCCCACAATCCAGCCAACAATAGATGTAATTAATTTTTAAATTTTGGCAATTTCATGGATACTGTTGCTGAATATTTTCTTGACTACTGTGTTCAAATAACTTTGATTATGCTTCTTGGGCATTTGGATTTGCTTTGAATTGTCTGCTTAAGTTCCTTGCTCATTTTTCAAGTGCTTAATGTTTGTCTTCTTCATATAAAATAGAAATGATTATTAATCCTTTGTCATCTCCATTACAAAGAATTTGCCAAATCTATTGTGTATATCACATTTGACAAGCTTTTTTCATTTCCTCTTCAACAGTTTAAATGTTTTATAGATAATTCTGTTTTCTCATAGTTTCTGGATTTTCTCTTATAAAAATTATAGATTTTTAAGTCATTTGGTACAATAAAATTGCAGAGCAAAAGGGATAATCTATATATCTTACCCCATTTCCACTTTTGAGTGCTTAGTTGTAGGTTAGAGGGAATCCATTGATTTGGTATATTTGTCTTGTATCTAGCCACATTATTCAAATTTTCATTTTAGTTTTCTAAGTATGCCATTATATAATCACTAAACTTTTCAAAAAAATCTCTTAATGCTTAACAATTGGTATGCAAATTTTCTGGCTTATTAATTCATGAAGATTATGTTGAGAGATAAACATAACCACATGTTTAGTTCCAAATTTTATTTTAAAATGTTGAATACTTTGCAATTGATCCCATATCTCCTAAGTTTTGGGCTAATTTGTTATGTACCAGTAGATAACTAATTTATCTACTTATCTATTAACTAATGCACCAGTAGATAATACTAACCTTGCCAAACATGGTTAGCCTTATAGTACAAATTGGGGACCATTTTCTCTAATTTCTATTCTTTGATGAACTTTGTATAAGATTAAAATAATTTATTCTATGCATGTTTGGTGAAAACTGTCAGAGAATGGTATTGGCCTTTTCTTTTTGTTGTAGCAGATTTTTAACTGTTGCTCCATTTTGTTGAATGGTTAAAGGACTCTTCTGGTAATAATTAAGAAGGTTGTCTTGCTGACTTTAGCCTGCTATATCCCATCTTTAGATATTTTGTGGGTTGTTACTGTTAGCCCTATCCACACTAATTAACCAATCAATCAGAGGTTGGTAACCACTCCCGGTACCAAGTCAATTATTTCAGACTTACTCACTGGGAAGTAATGAATATAGGATATCAGAGCAGTTTTGTGTCTACAAACCTCCTTGAGTTCAGAATGTAGGAAAGATATATTTTGATTTTTTTCCAATTTACTTTTTACTTTTTAAATTATATTTTTATGTTTTCTCCTTTATTGTTTCAAATTTTGCTTTTCAGATTCAGGTCTTTAGTCCAGCTGGAATTAATCTTCCGCATGCTGTGGAAAACGTGAACAGTTGCATTTGTACATTTGAAGAAAATGCACTACCTGAGTGAACACTCAGGGAGGGCGGCGGCTGGGGCGGTTTCAGCAGTGGGGTCCTCGCGGGGTCCAAGGCCTGTCCCTGTGCCCAGTGCCAGCCCGGTGCGGGGCAGGACCGGAACTCATTCTCTAGCACCGCTGGCGACTGGCCCAGCCCTCCAGTACCACCGCCCCGTCCCCTCCCCAACCAGTTCCCGCGGGGACCAACAGGACAGAAGAAGCTGGCAGCTGCGGGGGGCAAGGCTGGGGACTCAGATTCCAGGTGTTTCAGGTTGTAGCTGCCCAGCCGGCAAGGTAGGCGCTGAGAGGTGCGGCAGACGGTGGAGAGTCGTCAAGCGTCGGGTATCACCCAGGAAGGGTGAGGGTGGCTCCGTGGCACACGTGCCCCGGATCAGCCCATGCAAGAAGCCCTCGGATTTTATGTCTGGAGTAGAAGGCAAAGCCACAGAGGCCACACCGCAATGTGGACCACTGCCTCCAGACTGCCTGCACGGTCCTCTGAGGAAACCTCCCAGGGCGCTCACCCATCGTTGGGGACACTATGACCGGGCAGCAGTGATCTCGAGGCTCCCAGAGCTGCTGCATGTCTAAGGGACAGTGTGGAGATGGGCCTGGCCGTCTGCTTGCCGCAATTCTTGCTGTAAGTGGCTCATCTAGCCAAGCTGGACTTTTTTGAGTGTTTTATTATCAGCCTAGCATTCTGGCAATGGCCACTCCAGGGAGAACAGGTTCTGGAAGCGTGTACCGCCAGCTGTTTTTGCCAGTGCCTGTCCAGGACAGCTCTTCCCAGCACCGAGAGCCACAGCTATCCTTTCACCTATCCTTTCCAATGACATAGCATCCTAGATCTTGCTTCTGCTCCATTGCCTTGTTTTCCTGACCCCATGTTATTTCTTCAGGCGGAATCCACGGGTTCTCCTTTGTCCCCACGTTATTTCTTCAGGCGGAATCCACGGGTTCTCCTTTGTCCCCACTGTCACCACTGCTCTGGATGCTCAGCCTGGAAGAGGCCCATGGAAGATGCTAGAAACTGGCCTATGTGCCAATAGCTGCCCAGGACCTTGGAGCTGGGGATTCTGTGGACCTGCACTTCTTAGAAGACTGCAGGGAACTCTGATGCTGATAAAGTAGGAGATGCCCTAATTTTCAGGAGTGCTTGTGAGCAGGTCTTCCATGGTGCTCCCCTACTGTGTATAGTCCATGGGGGACTTAGGAGGAAGGTGGAACTAAACTGCGAGGATTCCTGCAGCAAAGCCTGGTCTGGCCTAAGGAGTTTCAGTGTCTTCCACTATCATCTCCAGGTGTCAATAGACCATCAGAGGAAAGAGGAACTTGTCAAAATAAGTTCAAAACAGACTCTCCAGATTCGACATATGGGTTATGCATTGACAGAGGGAATGTCAACGTTAGCAATAAATGCCTGTTTGGAGGCTTAGTTGTTTAGGGGCCCTAAACAAAGCCCTAAACAAGACTTCTAGGAAGTGAAAGTAAAATTCGCTTCCTTTTTTTCTGCCAGCCTCCTTGGCCTCCAGCTTTCTCATGAAACACCTCCCAATAATGTGTATGCTCCTTTTAGTTGCTTGGGATAAAGATTCCCAGGAATACTGTTGCCTTCCCCTGCTGAGGACTTTCTCCACTGCTGGATGAGGGGAGGGTGGGAAAAGTCCTTCAGAGGTCGTCTGAGCTTCCAGACTGCACATTCAATGCACAGAGTGTCAGAGTCTCTTCAGTTTCCCAGCAGTTGGGGATAACTCTGGTGACTATGAGCCCTTGAGGGCTCTGAAACTTCTGGAAGCCAAAGACGTCCCCATCACAGCCCTCCTCTTGGATGTCTCCACATCAGGGCCTCAGGATGAGTGTTGTGGTCCTTCCCTCCTTCTTAGTAGGTTCTCTGTTAGGAATATGAAATAGGCACTGTGGGGTTGTGCCCTATGCCACATCTCAAATGGTCAAAGAGCTGTGTAAACCACACCTGTATAACTGGAAGCCATCAGGAACACAGTGCCAGAGGAATGCTGGGGAGGAGGGTGAGTGGATAAGGTGGAAAGGCAAGGTGTGAATGCAGCCAGGGACCAGTGTGACCTGAACCTGCAAAGTTGGCCTAAGTGGAAGCTCCTTAAACTTGTGGGTCCTGGCCCATTTCTCATTCTAAAGGAGAAAGTCTTTGCCCCGAACTTATTTGACTGGGTTGAAAGTGCCATTTGACTCATGATAGGAGGGAGCCTCTAAAGCCTCTCAGGTGGATGATGGGTGCCAGTCCTCATCCCATTCTTCCTGCAGGATGGAGTATCAGGCATTTCAGCTCCCTGGCTGATCTTAAGACTTGGATTTCACTGCACATGAGAGGTGTTCCCCTTGCAAACATCTCCTGGGTTTGTCTTCTCACAGCTGGCTGCCAGTTCCTGATTTTATTATCTAACTGAGAAACTGGACAAGAAGTGGAGTTTGGGGGCAATGGGGCCTGATTTCTGGGATCAGTTCCTGCTTCTTATGGAGAGTTAAAAAGAAGGCAGAATTTTCTGTATCCTTTTTCATGTGTGTCATGAAATCATCACAAAAGCTGTCTCAGATAAGAAGCTGATGGGAATTGCTTTGCTTTTCAATTCAACTTTGTCCTTGAGGCACTCTGCTGATGAAAATACATTCCACTCAAGGAAGCATTCTAATTCTCATCAAGATTATGCCGTTTGACTATATAAAGCACTGATCTTGTACTTAAATGGCAGGTTACCCTTCTGAGAAGGCCCATGGGAAGTTTATTCACAAATCTCCTAATGCTGCTATGGCTTAGATGTGCCTGAGAGGCTTCTCTGGAAATGGCCTTTAGAGCTGGCTTATGGGCTGTATGGGATTCAGCTTCATTTTCTTTTTTTTTTTTTTGGAAACACTCTCATTTGGGGCCTAAAATGTTATTCTCTAGTTTATTTGCCTAAATTCACACATCTCTCAGATATTTTCCAAAATCAATTCCATTCTCTAATAATGAGTTGCCATTGAGAGCGTATTCCAAAATGTTGCCCATAGGCTAGAAAAGCTTCCCGAAGGGCAGAGTCAGCACAGTGCTGTGCGGTGAGGGCTTTATTGGCATCAGCGTGGAGCTTTACAGCACAGCTACTTAGGTACCAATACTTACGTGGGGAGATTAAGTAGTTGGCTGTCCACAAACAGTCTGTTGCCTGACAGGCATAGTCCAAGGCCATTGAAACTTGAGGTGTTCTTTACTTATTGAGGATAAGCCTTGGAATTTAAGGCTTTGTACTACAAAGTGAATCCAAGGAAAAATTGTGTTTGTGTGTGAGTTCAGCGTGTGCATGTGAGGTCAACGTGCTGTTATGGAAGAGGACCTGAAAGCGTCAGGAGAGGAAAGAACAGAGAACTGAGAGGAAGAGTCCTGGGGGAAGGGCTTTATGGTAGAAAATGGGCCTGGGACACCAAGAAGGGGACAGAGCAACATGATGAGGAGATGGAGGTCTGTGGGGGCAGAGGACCATGAAGGGAAAGAGGCAGGGGAGGGGACCTCAAACCACGGATGCACCAAAAGCTGAGGTTGAGTGGTAAACAAAAACGAGATCATTTGGTGGATTTTCCACATAGAGCTAAAAACAGTTGGAGGACAGGGAGCTAAGGAGAGAATGCAAAGTGAGTGCCCTGGAGCCAGGATGGGAGGGGTCTCCTGAAGACCATCGCTTGCTACAGCAGTACTTGGATTCTTAGATGGGATGTTAAAACTCCTGGAGTCTGCCTAAGGACCAGGATCCTCTTATTCTACCCAATATAAAGAGTCATGTTTAACTTTTCACATTGCGCTTCCATTAGAAACCTGACCATCATGTCGGTCTCTTTACTCACACCCTGAATGCTGTAGCTGTCATGTATATTACATCTACATACACTGAAAACCCCACTTCACAATGTCATCATCTTTGCTTTCATCCATAATTCATACCTTTAAAAACTTAGAAGAATGTAAATCTATTCTATTCACCCCAGTAGTTACCATTTCTATGTCTCTTTAATTCTCAGTTTCCCCAGTTATCATTTCCCTTCTGTCTGAATAACTTCCTTCAGCATTCTGAAAGAGTAAGTCTGGTGGTGATGGATTCTCTTCATTTTTTTTTCATCTGAGAATATCATTTTCTGATTATTTCTGTGGGATATTTTGTCTAGGTATAGAATTCTGAGTTAACAGGTTTTTGTTTTTTTTTTTCTTTCAGCGTTTAAGAAACATGGTTTCGCTGCCTCTGGCAGCTGTGGCTTCTAATGATAAATCTGCTGTCATTTGAATGGTTGTTTCCCTATGAGAGAGAAATGTATCCTGTTTCTCTGGGTTTTCTCGTGGCATTTTTCTTTTATTTAATATTTGATAGATGGTTAGGATGTGTTTAGACATGGGTTTCTTTGAGTTTATTCTCTTTGGAAGTGGCTGAGCTTCTGAAATCTGTAAGCTTGTCTTTTACCAAATTTAGGAAATTTTCTTCAAAACATTTTAAAATACCACTGCATTTTCTCCTCTCCTGTGGGACTCTATTGAATGAATGTTAGACTTTTTATACTGGTGCTTAGGCCATTTAGGTCCTGTTCATTTTTAAAAATCATTTTTGCTTTCTGTTGTTTAGAATGGACAATTTCTATTGAACTAGCTTCGAGTTCAATTAATTTTTCCTCTGTCATCTTCATTCTGCTATCATCATGTGAAGTGGTGGGAGAGAGTGGACTGATGCAGCTCCAAGTTTAGAAATGCCAAGGATTGCTGGAAGCCTCCAGAAACTAGGAGAGAGGCAAGGAAGCAGTCTCCTCTAGAATCTTCAAAGGGAACATGGCTCAGCCAACACCTTAATTTTAGGTTCCTAGCCTATAGAACTGTGAGGGAATACATTTTTCTTGTTTTAAGCCACCAAGTTTATGGTAATTTGTATGGCAGCCCTAAGAAAACTGCATCAGTATTTACCCATATCTCCTGTTCTGGTCCCCAGGCATAATTTGGGTAAATATCAGATAACACAGCTGATAAAATACTGGTTCTACTAAGAGCAAAGAGGACTCTACAGTGAAGGAGCTGCAGGACCTGGTTAATGTGGCCAGCAAGACAGGAGAGTATGCTTAGGAATGGATCCTGAGCTCACTGATTCGGGAGAGGGCTGAATATAAAGTTGGGAATGGGAGATCTGTCACCACAGGAGAAATCTCTTGTAACACAGTGTTTGTGTCCATGGCAAAGACTCTAGAAACAATCCTACTATGCTGCCTGGATTCTTGGGAGGGAAGGGACTACATTCCTTAAGTGCAGATGCTAGAACTATTGTGGTCGACAGAGGAAGAGGAATTAAAAGTCTCAGTAAATGGGTATGGGGAATGGATCTTGTCTATAAGATCATTTCTTTGGAAGTCCTGAAGTCACTCCTTTTACCAGAACAGTGAGGATGGTCTCGATCTCCTGACCTCATGATCTGCCCGCCTCGGCCTCCCAAAGCTGTGAATTATTTTCTTATTCTACCATCAATGGGCAGTCATTTTATTATCTCTTGCTATTATTTTAAAAATAGTACTAAACATCCTTTGTATATGATAGCATTCATTTCTGTGGGAAATATTCCAAGGAGTGAGATTTCCCGCTCAAAGAATCCTTGAAAATTGTATAGCCATTGCCAAGTTGCTTCCCTTAAAGCTCTATAATAATGCCCATTTCCAACTATGTCTGACAGGATCCGTCTCCTCTACAGCCCAGCTAGCACCAGGGGTCACTGATTTTTAATTTTGCTAGTTTCACTGGCACTTTGATGGATAGTTTCTTTACTACCAGTTTTTTGAACAATGCTGATTATGTTTACTGGGCATTTGGATTTGCTCCCAATGATTAGCTTCATTTGTTTATTTTTCGACTGCCCAATTTTGCCCCTTTCGTATGAAATACAAAGTTATGTTGTTGTCATCTACATATAAAATAATCTTCCAATTCTATTGTTCATGTACTACATTGTTTTCCAAGCTTTTTTTCTCCACTTCAGTTGCTTAAATGTTTTATGGTCAATTACATCTGTCTTTTCTCTTATAGTTTCTGGGTTTCCTATCCAGGTTAAGAAAATATTCCTACATTTCCCTTCTAATTTTCTATTAAAATTGTTAATTCATTTTTTCTTTAATTCTGTAAATATATGTGGTACAGTGGTATTTTTTCCAGAATAATAATCAGTTGAGTCAGCATAATTTATGAAATAAATTACAATATTAAATTAAAAAAATAATTAGCCAGGCGTGGTGGTGGGTGCCTGTAGTCCCAGCTAATCGGGAGGCTGAGGCAGGAGAATGCCATGAACCTGGGAGGCGGAGCTTGCAGTGAGTGGAGATGTGCCACTGCACTCCAGCCTGGGTGACACAGCGAGACTCTGTCTCAAAAAAAAAAAAAAAAGAAGAAAGAAAATAATTCATAGCACAGCCACATCATTCAATAGTATTTGGTAGTCATTAGAATGAAATAGAGCTACAGCAATTGAGCAACAAAAATCTCCTTGAATTAATAGTTAAGGAAAAAATCAAGATGCAGACTAGTATATATAAAATGTGCCCATTTGAGTAAAATTAACAAATACTTGAATATATTTGAATACCTATATGTATTTATATGTGCATAAAAGAGTAGATGCACATGTTTGTGTGTGTGTATGATTGTGCAAGCAAGGATAATAAGATAGACTGCTTACCAGATTATTGGTATGAATTATTGTGATTCACTTGTGGGACAGGGACATAAAGTGGAGAGTTAGATATGCATTTTCATTCTGTAGTTTATGTAAGTGTATATAAGGTATACTATATTTTTGTTATAGATGAAATTAATTTATGTTAAATGACTTAGATTAGAACAAAAAACACAGTGTTAGCACTATATCTACTGACTTAACAGGAAAGCATGGTAGTCAATTGAAAAAATGTGCAGAGCAATGTGGGTAGAGCGTGACCCAGTTTCCAAAAGAGCACAGCAAACAGCTGTACGTGTGTGCCTGTGACTATATATATGTGTGTGTCTGAGCAAAGAGAAATATATAGAAGGATATACAAGTGCTTTTTCACACTGGTACCTTCAAGGAGAGGTGCAATTTACATTTGAGGGGCAGTTCTGATTATAACTTTGTCTTTTTAAAGTTTTGTACTTTGCACATGTTTAAGTAGGGATATAAGAGTTTTCTAAGTTAAAAAAAAAGCACATATATATTTTTAATTTTGGATATGTTTTTTGAATAAGGATAAAAATATCTTTAAAGTTGGATTTAAAGATTTGAGCCACGGCATGAATACACCTACAGACTGCACAAAGTTAGCCTCGGAGAGGTCTTGCTTGCTATTTGGAGACAATGACCTCTTCTGGCCTCTATACCTATGAATGACCAAAAGAAATATGTAAAGGTTAATGCATTATTTTCCAAACAACTCTGGAGTGTACCTGTCTACTTGGAAGGAAGAAGGCTGGACATGATGTGCAACTCACTATGTAACCACTAGAAGATTCTAGAAGATTCTCTGATGTGCCACTCCCACCTTCCTCTCCTGACTGGTGTAAAGGAAAACCCAACCTGGTACATCCAAGGCTACTTTCCAGGACTGCATTTGGAGGACATTAACTGGAAAGATGCAGATTTTAAGGAAAAAGATTTTGGCCAAATCACTTTGGACAGTTGGAAAAACCCCAGCTTGTGCTCACCCTGGAGAGGCCAGACCTCTTCAACTTTGGTGCCTCTAAGAATCATAAAATTTCCTTCCTTATCATCTGGAAAATGCAAGCCTGGGCTTTTGCATTCAGATGTTGAAGGCTGCGTGGCCCTGTGCCCTGGGGTGGAGGCCTCTGAGAATGGAGGTAGTGCACATGAACTCGCTGGCCCTGCGTCCTTGTCTGTGAGCCCAGGGATCCCTATCTGGTCTCAGGGATCCTGGGGACTTCTCCATCCCTATTGTTCTCCCTCTTGTTTTGAAATCCCATGACATCTTTCATCTTTCCAGATGTCTATCATTGGCCTGCAAACATTTGGGGGAACCACTATGGGAGACAGAGTTCCTGCACACAGTGGTACAAGTGGTAGCAGTGCCTTATAACGAGCTACACTGAAAACATTATCATACATACTGGGACTTTTCTGGTTTGTAATGGAGGATCTTAAAGATAATTTCTTTCCTGTATTGCAACATTTGTTTAATGCCAAATTAATTTGCTTCTCTGGGACTTGGAAACAATCTAATTTCTCCTTAACATACATAATATGTAGTTCTCTGAGATGTGTCTATGAAAGTGATTTTCTTAGCACATTTAGTGTTAGCATTCAAACAGGAGAATTGCTCACCTTGCTTCAACCTCTTTATAGAGAAGGCATTCATAGGAAGAATTATGCTTACAGAATACTTCTTTGACTTTAAGACTCTGCCATGTGTCCATCTTTCTTGTGCTTTTTCTAAGTAACAGTTAAAAGTTAAAATGGCCTTGCTCTGAACAGAAACTCCCTCACATGTTCTTGTTAGATGGACCCCATCAGGGAAAAGGCAGAAAACAGACATCCGTATCTGAGAGCCTTTTGATGCCGCAAGCGCCAATGGCCCAGGTATAAAAACCTCCACCGAGTGGACCTGGGGGCTGGATATGTCAGCCTAAGGGTCTGTGCTAGTTTCTGGATATGAGAGTAGATTGGAGGTTCAGGATCAAAACAGATGAGAGCAGTTTGTGGATGGGACTGGGTAAATCTTGCAAGCAGAGACACAGTTGAAGAGGAACTCTTGGGAGGGGTGAGAGGACCAAATAAACAACAAGACACAGGGTGGTGCCAGGGGAGGGCAGCCCAGGTGCTGGCCAGAGAAGGTGTAGGGTGCAGACACTGGGCGGGGAAAGGGTGCAAAACTATGATAATAGCAGAAGCTCCGTTAATTAGAGCAGGAATTTAAAATCCGATTCTGAAGTGAGACTTGGCTGTGAGGGGTTGTGAAGCCCCAGGAAGAGGTGGGCAGGAAACAGAGGAGGAGAAGGGAAGATTCTGCAGCATGGGGGACTGGGGTCTGCCCAGCCCTCCTCCCCATCCAGGCTGGGGGCAGCTGCAGAACTCACTCTGTCAGTGTCGGGGGCCCGGGGTCAGTGTGAGCTCCCTCCAGCTCCCACTTCCATACCTACTGCTGTTATTTCCTTAATTCCTCAAGTGATATGTGAATTCTTTCTCATAAGTAATGAGGAACTGAAGGACAGGTCTCCCTACCCACCCGTTCTGGCTATGCTCTCTGTCCCACTTGCCCACTTCGTCCTTTCCATGGACATAAGGACCCAGGCTTAAACACCTGAGACAGTCATCTGCCCCTATTCAGAAAAGCCCTTCAGACTCACAGGAGAATTTTTTGGTTCTCCCATTCATTTATTCCTTCAGTTATTCCTTCCCATTACAAACTTTTGTTAATTGTCCACTAGACAACAGTGAGAACTTCCTCAGGGAAACCTCAGCCAGCCTCATCCTGCACTCCAAATCCTACATGTTCCTTTTCTGACGAGGTGTCCAGGGGACATCAGAGCCCTGCGGCCCAGCTCTGATCCCTGAGAGGCAGCTTCATCCCCTACCTTTCGGAGGAAGGCCTCTTCCTTCTGTGTTGCTGGCTCATCCTGTCCAGGTGGAGGAGAACCGATAGGGTGGTCTCTGAAGGATTTCTAAGCCTCCTTTCAGTTGTAGGTGTGCCCCAGCCTCTCTGGGATTGGGACTTTGCTTCGGCCCTGGGTTTCTGTGACTCAGTAGCTAGGGCCTGTCCTGCAGGAGATGTGGGACCCTCACCCTCTGAGAACTTCTGGGAGCTGAGTGAGCGCCAAGCTTCCAGAGCCCTGTGTGACATCATTGCTGACCTAGTCCAGTGGGGTGGGCCACGACGACAGGCACACCTGGCAACTGGTGATAGGTGCTTGGGGCAAGGGGAAAACGTGGGTGGGAAATTATATAATTCTTTACCAAAATGGACTTGAACCTTTCCTTGCTCCCATGGAGTTTCCATTTCTCAAGGAGAGATGCTGCAGGGAATGGGGACAGACTGTGGTGGGGTGTGGCTTCCCCCAAACCTCCCCCTGCCTCTGTTTGAAACTCTTCCCCCTAGTCTTAGTCACACAAGGTCCCCCTGAATCCCTTCAGGTCTCCACACCTGAGTCTCCTCACAGCTGGTCCCTGGACTGGAAAATTGTCCTCGCCCTCCCTCAGAGAACCTGGGGTGGAGCAGAGCTGCCTGCACCAGCTGCTGCCTGTGTCCCAACCCCACCCCAGGCCTGGGGGTCTGGGACCCCTAAGTGTCCTCTCCCTGCTCCCTCCCCACATCTTAAGATGGAGAGCACTCCGCCCACCTCGCAGGGTTGTAAGAGGCTTCACTGGTGGACCCGTGGAAAGCATCTAGGACAGTGGCTGCTATAGGACATGGTCATGCAAACACTCACTGTTGTTAACTCTGCAGGTCACAGCTTGCTGAGGGTGCCCAGATGTGGTGATGTCCCTGCCCTATGGATTCAGAGCCTGATAAGCCCTCATCATGTCACTCAAGGACCACAGGGGAGGCTCCTTTACAAACCTGTTCCTTCCTCTTAAATGACTGGAATGAACTTTGGGGCAGAGACCAGGTCTGCCTCATGCCTTAGTCCCACAGAGTAGGGCAGTGCCTGACACAGAGCAGGTATCCATGTGCATTTATTGAATAAGTGAATGAATAACAATCACACATAAGACCTGCCCTTATGGGCATTGGTGCAAAACAGGACTGTTTGATTAGATGCCTGAGTTGCCATCCCTCAAGTGTGGACCCAGCGCCACTGCCCTCCATACTTCCCCAGCCCCATCCCTGAACCCTTAGGAAGGATCAATGTGAAGCTCCAGCGAGCACTCCCATGCTTTTCCTTGGGGCTGCTGAGACAGTGACGGCATCATGGCCTCACAACCAAGTACTGGGGCTCAGCACCCTTGTTCTCAACCTGTCTTAGGGGTTAGGAAGACACTTGGGGAAAGCCCACTGAGCTCTGCTTGAGTCAGACTCTGTTTCTGTTTTGGAGGCCATTTAGAACAGGAAGCAGCAAAGTGTGGGAACATTTTGAGAAAAGGTTTATGATGTTGAGGTGGTGGGTGGGAGAAGCTGAATATATAGAGGAAAATACATGCTCTCTCCAGGGAAGAGAGGGGTGTGATTCGTGTGACTCCAGAGGGCAGGACAGGGACAAGTGGTTGGAATCACAATAGAACAGGGAAGATCTGGGCTTAGTTAGAAATGTAGAGAAATGCCCCAGTGGCCCCTCCTTCTCCTCGGGCTCTTCCCTCCCAAGGCACCCCTCACCTTGCACTGTGCCCTCTGGAGAACTCTTCTGGTTTCCTGGATATATCAGATCATTTCTTCCTTCCACAATTTTGTATTTCCAAATCTGGCTCAAGTATCATTTTCAGGCTAAAACTGTCTCTGACCCATCCCTGATGGAGCTTCCCACCCTGTGACGTGCACTCTTTTGTACCTACTACAACCCTTTGCCATAGCTTTGAACACACTGGGTTGCATTTACTAATTGTGGTGGATGCAACAATGGCCACACGTTCTTCCTCTTTCTGTATCCACACCCTTGTAATGTGACTCTGCTGTTCCTTGAAGAGTAGGAGTCTTTCTCCCTCCTTGGGTTGAGGCTGACCTTATGATTGCCTTCATCGCTGGGACAGTAGCAAGCCTGACGCAAGCAGAGACTTGAAAGGAGTTTATGCATGGGGTTGCAATGATGCTCTTCATACCCTGAGAATCCATGGGAACAAGCCCAGGGCAGCCCTCTGGTTGATAAGAGACCATGTAGAGACAGCATCCAGCTGTTGCAGCTGAGTTATTTTTTGAGCAGCCAGCCCTCAGCTGACCCAACCCCCAGCTGATCTGGCCGCTGACTGCAGACACATGAGCAAGTCCATCTGGAGCTGCAGAGCCTGGCCTAGAACAGAACTCCAGAATGCCAAGTTACATGATCATGAGCCCATTAAATGGTTGTTGTTTCAAGCCACTGCATTTCTGGGTCATTGGTTACATAGCAAAAGATACCTGATATACTTGTTAACTTGGCTGTTTCCCTCACTTGACTTTCAGGAACCTCTGCTTCATCATTTCTGTATCAACATTATCTGGTATAGGTTCTGACATATAGCTATTATTTAGTAAGCCTTTGTTGACTGAGTGGATAAATGACTGATATGTATATGTAGGTGTGAATCTGTGCATAAAACCACCTGCTCAAAAAACTACCTTCTTTATATATTTTAAATAAACTGAATTCAACTTCAGATCTCAGCTTCCCAAACTGATGGAAAATGTAAGCTTATTTATTCTTAGGTTACTCCCCACCCAGAGTTGTGCAGTGACTCCCAGGGTCTAATGAAAAACCCAGGCATTGGAGAAGAATCTCAACAAAGCCTTCCCCCCATCATGTGTGGTGTCTCTAGAAACATTGGTTGGCAGCTTCCATATCCTGCTTGAGCACAAGCACTGTGGCAGACCCAGGAGTCCCATGATAAGGCCGGGCTCCCCTAGGCACTTCTGTTTCCCTCCAGATGCTGCCACCTACTCCAGGGCACCTCCCAGAAACAGGGCCCACTCCTTCCTAATGTCTAGAACTCTCTCCTTCCCTTTCTCAACTCCCTATGCCCCTCTCAGCCTCTCGTTCACTTCGTGTAATGTCAGTGAGCTGAGGTTTTTACAACAGACACCCTGAAAGCCATGCACTTAGGCAGCTTGTGATCTGAGCCCAAAAATGAGGTGGGATAGGAAGAAAATATAGGAAGATTTTATATGAATTTAATGTTTTAATAAATTATCTTTTCATGTGTGTTCTAAGGGCCCTGCACAAGAATTCTCTCAGGCCTCTTACAAGTTGCAAGATGATGAAAAGAGAATTTTTATTTGTGTCATAATATACTGGGCAAGATGCAAAAAGCAGAGACAGCACTACAGGAAGGATACAATAGCAGTTGGGGAGAGGAATAACTTCCCATCAGTTCTTTGTGGCATCTTCATCAGCACACTCCACCTCCTTAAAAGTCACTGCAAGTATTACTGATTCCCTCACACCTCTTCAAAGAGCATCTCTCAAATTCCCACAAGCAGTAATTGCTTTGTGCTCCATTTGTGGCTGCATACATAATTATGCTTAAAAAAATACAAAAGCAAATAGGGTAGGAGGTTAACACAATAAAATGAAACTGAAATAAAATTTATTTTTCATATTTACTTGGTGTAATCTTTTCAAGGTGTCTACCCAGGTTTACAGCGAAGAGAGGACTCAGAGAAACACAGCTGTAAAATAATAGGTATCACTCCCTGGTTACATTATTTGCGTGTTGTATTGCTTGTATATCATCTGCCTCCTCCTCAAAAATGGAAGGTCCACAAGGACACGAATTTGTCCGCTGTGTTTCTCAACATATTCCTGGTGCATGGGACAGTGCCTAGCACCTAGGAAGAGCTCAAAAATATTTGGTGAATGAATTCATGAATGTTGATGAGTTTGTTAAATTTGTACTGCTCTCCTTATTTACATCAGTGAAAACAAAGATAAGGAAATAGAGACTATTACTCATATAACTGAGGATTAAATACAATGAGGAAAGAGCTTGTATAATAAAGTGACTGAAAAAAATAAAATTTTCTTCACTTGTCTGTGGAGAGAGATACTCTGCTTCTTGCTTGCACATTGTAGGATGTTTGAGCCGATATACCCTGGTCTGGTGGTGTGTATAAATGCACAAAGGCGTTTAATTAAAAAAATCCTGCTCCAATTCAAGCATTATCCTTCAGAAGTTTTTTAAATGAGTAAAAAGGAATATATGAGAGCAGCATAATCTCTACATTTTCTTTTTTCCAATTTTGTAAAAGAGGACAGCGAAGGAGGCAGTTTTAGCATTATGAAAAATGAGCAGATCTCTAAATTGTAAAAGAGAGGACAGATGTTGTGAGTTTCTGCTGTCATTGATTGAATGTCCATGACCAAGACCATGGTGTTCCACAACTCCAGGGGTTGCCATTTTCTCACAGGCTATGCAAATGACATTTCCTGAGTTGCACAGTGCATGGCCTTCACAATTCTATGGTCTGGCCCTACCCACAATATGTCAGACAAAGTCCTATGTGTGTATATTCAATCTTATTCTCAAAGCCACTGTTCAAAGTAAGGGTGATTAATTTTCTTTATTAGAGAACAGCAGGCTATGACTCTGACAGGTTAAATGGCTTGTTGAAGCCTGCAGACTACTCTTTGCAACCTGCCAAACTTTCATTTTGACATGGAGGACTCCTGTTAGCATTTGTTGTAGGACAGGTCTATTTGCAATGAACTCCTTCAGTTTTTGTTTATCTGGGACAATCCAAATTTCTCTTTCATTTGAATGATAATTTTGCTAGATACAAGTTCTTGGTTGACAGCTCTTTTTTTTGTTTCAGCACTTTAAATATGTCATTGTCCTTCCTTCTGTCCTTCAGGGTTTTTGATGAAAAATATGCTATTAATGTTATTGAGAATTCCGTGTGTGTGATGACTTTCTTCTTTTTTGTTGTTTTCAAGATTCTCTGTTTTTTGCTTTCAGCAGTGTGACTACAATGTGTCTCAGTGTGAATCCCTTTGGGTTTATCCTGCTTGGAGCTGTTAAGCTTCTTGGATATGTAAATTCGTGTCTATTCATTGGTATTTATTCTACTATATATTAATTTGAGATATAAACTAAAGTACAAAGATAATTATATAAAAAATTTGAGAGTGGTTACCTGTAGGGAGTGGGAAAAAATTATGGTATGGGGAAAGGAATTTCTGTTTTCCTTAACAAGCTTTGCAGAACAAGTTGACTCTTCAAACTGAGTGCATGTATAACTTTGATAAGGTAAACATTAAATTTTAATAAACGGCAAAAGATAGAAACAATCTACAAAAAACGAAATACAAATGGCTCAACCACACTCATAATAACACAAGTGAAAAGAGAGAACATTATCACCTATCTGATCGGCAAAGGTCAAAAAGGTTGGTAACACACTGTATTGACAAGAGTGAGAGGTGACAGGCATTCAGATACATTCTTGATACAATTACATCAGGTTGCACATGCCTTTTGGCCTAACAATTCTACTTCCGCAAGTTTATGCCACGGGCACACTCACTAAGGTGCTCATAATTATATATGCACAAAATCAGCATTGTTTGGAAGAGCAAAAGATTTGAAGCAAACGTTCACCAGTAGGGGACTGGAAAAATAAAGTTACATCCATACAATAAAGCACCATGGAACCATAAAAAGGAATGAGGACATTCTAATGTACTTACATGAAAATATCTCTAGGATATTATGCTAAGTGGAAAAAAAGCAAGATTTAGAAAAGTGTATATGGTATGATTCCATTTGTGTAAACAAGAGGAAAAGGGAAGAATTTATATATATATGTATTTCCTTGTATATTCATAGAAACATTTCTATTTTGATACCAAACAATTTGTTTCCTCTGGAGAATGGAACTGGGAAGCTAAGGGTAGAATTGAGAGGGGGACATTGTACCCCCTTATGCTTTTTGGATTTGAATGATGTAAATGTATTACTTATTCAAATAAATTAATTCAAATAGTATGAATAAATCACTGAATGAATAAAATAATTCATCTAATGAATAGAAACACACATTGCACATTCCTTTCTGCAAGTCAACACCAGAGAATTTTATTCACCTTTCACTTACTTAGTCTCAGCTTCATTATCTTTCTGTTCTTTTGTTCTATCGCCTCATCTCTTCACCTCTTTTTCAGTGTCCAGTCAGGCATGAGGCTGTCCAGGAGGGACAGAATGACCACCAAGAAGACACAAAATAATATTTTAGTGATATAAGCAAGTTTTATAATCTGATCCTAGTATTGTTTACTCAGAAATACCTAGAATGGACCAGACATGCATGTCACCAGAGAGACATATAGAGAAGCCAAACCCTGGCTAATAAATTTATAAGAAATAGACCTGGTTGGACTAGATATTCACATTATACTGAGCAACACATTCTGTCCAATAAACAAAATGTGTAAAGAAGATTACTAGATCACAGGTCTTCAAACTGCATTGCTTGGAAAGCAGAATCTTTCCAAAGAGTGCATGGGCACAGTCTTAAAGGAATCCATTTTCATGTTCTTAATTTTCTTATCTCGTTTAAAAATCATCTGCCCAAGAAATCTCCTACATCCCCAATAGCCCTTTCCCATTTTGAGAAAGAAACATTTATCTGTTAGCTATCCTAGCTCTTACCACGGTGCTTCTCCAGCATTACTAGATATTACCAGATTGTCTTCAATGATTTTACTAGTTTATAGATCTACCTAAGAACTGGCATTGTCAATCTTTTTAATTTTTTAAACGTGACAGGTGTGAAATAGTACCACAATGTTGTTTTCATATGAATTTCCCTGATTATTAGAAATGTTGAGGACATTTTCATGTTTACTGGTATTCAGTGTTCTTCTGTAAAATGATTTTTGTACCGTGTACCCCACTTTTTATTGTTTTCTTTCTCATTTAGCATTAAAAGTTTCTTCATATATTCTTGATACTAATCCTGTGTTGGTTACACAAATATACACGTCTTTAAGCATTCAGGACTTCTATCTGTGCTCCTGGACAATTTCAGTGTGCTAAAGTTTTAATAGAATCAAATTTATTGGACTTTTTCTTTCTGGCTTATGCTTTTCGGTCTTCTTTAAAAAATCCTTTCCATTCCCTAGGGCACAAGTATATTCTCCTATATTTACTTCTAGATATTTTGTTCCTTGCTTTTAATATTCTTAAGTCTTTAATTTACCTAGAATTGATCTTTAAGTATGATATGAGATAAGAAAGATAATCAAATAACTAATAGTCTCATCATCCATTGAGTAATCATCATTTCCCCCACTCATTTGTAAAGACATCCCTATTGTAGATCAAAATTTCTGTAGTGTGTGCTTGCTTCTAAGCTCTCTATTCTGTGTAATCTGGGGAAGTTTGGTCTGTTTATATACCAATACTATGATTTCTTAATTATTACCATCTTAAAATAAATGTTGACTTCCAGTTGGGTGAATCCAAACATTTTGTTCTGTAAAAACTTTTTGGGTCCTCTTTCTACATATACTGTGAGAGTTAGCTTTTTAGGTCCCACCTCCCCCCAAAAAAATCCCTGATGGAATTGCAATTGATACCATATTGAATTTATAGATTGATTTTGGGAAATGGCTATCTTTATTTTTAATTTTTTTTTTTTTTTGGAGATGGAGTCTTACTAAGTAGTCCAGGCCAGACTCAACGCCTAGTCACAAATGTTCCCTGCCTTAGCCTCCTGAGTTGATGGGACTACAGGCAGAGGTTACCACGCCCAGATGTCGTCTTTAAAATATGGAGTTATTTTCCATCCAAGGACACAATCTAATTCTCCATTTACTTAGGATGTTCCTAATATTTTTCAATGAAGATTTTTTAAAGTTTTCTAACAGATGTTGGACACCTTTATTGATATTTAAAATGTGTGTGTGGGGTGTCATTGTAAAACACACTATCTTACAAATTATTCCTCGTGGCAGCTTTTTAAAAATGACTGTACATTCTCCACATCTCCGTTTGAGAGATGGAGACTAATTCTTGTTGCCTTTGCTCTGGGATGGCTTTAACACTTGCTTTTAACAAGTAGGTTATGGTAGAAGTGATGCTGTGTGACTTCTGAGGCAAAGTCAGAGAAGGCCATGCAGCTTTCTCCCAGTTTTCTTGGAATGCCCATTTTCTGAAGTCTCCCTCTCAGATGTTTCATATAATAACTCAGCCACCATGCTGTGAGAAGTGTAAGCCTTATGGAAAGGTTATCAATAGGTGCTCCTGTCAACAACCCCAGCTGAACTCATTTCCAGGCATAGCAGGACATGTGTGAATTAGAAAATTATCCTAGAAAAGGATCCTCCATGCCAATGGAGCTCTTCCAATCCTGCACTCCCAGCTATTTGAGACTTCTGCAGTAAATCCTCATACATCATAAAGCAAAGAAGAGCCATTTTCATTCTCCCATTTTTTTTTCAAACTTCTGGCCCACAGATTCTGTCAACATTATCAAATTTTTGTTCTTTTATATCACTAAGTTTGGATAATTTTGACATAGTAACAATAATCAGGACATTCCTTATTGCCATTATAGACAGGCAACTTAATTTTGTACATTTATCTTATATTTAGCAACTGTGTTAAACTCTCATTCATTCTAGAAGTTAGTTTTGGGTGTTTGATATCAGGAGTCGTCATGCTTTTTCTTAACAACCCAGACAAGAAATATGTTAGGTTTGTGGGCCACATTGTTTTTTGTTAAAACTGCTCAACTGCTTTTGTGGTGTGAAATCAGACACAGACAATATGTAAAAAAATGGGCATGGCTGTGTTCCATTGAGCGTTTACAGAAAGAGGAGCTCCTTGGGCTACAATTTGATGATACTTCTTTATATAGAATATTATGTATTTGTGGTTAATGACAGCTGTGTTTCTTCCTTTCCAGTCAATAGTCAATCTGATAATAGGATGTACATTTTCAATGGAGGCAAAAATTGGTTATTCAATGGGGGATAAAAATAATCTTGGATATTACAGTTGTTTGTGACCCTATAAAGGGCTATGGTACATATACATGTGTACAGTATTTCTGTGGTATAAAATTATCAGGGGAGGAGTGGCAATTATTGGAAAAGAAATGCCTGAAAAGGCTCCTTAGGGAAGCAAAAACTTTTTAAAAAATGTTACAATTCACTGCTCTGGGGTTAACATCATCCAGTACCATGTCAATAGAAATAGTAAATCAAGCAAGCCATCTTATCTTATTACTAACTTTAAAAATAATGCTTTTTTTTAAAAAAACTATGATGGTATCTAGCTAACTAGATATGACACTAGCTAGCTGGTATCACACAAACTCCCCCACAAGGAACAACTATAAATGCTATAAAATAATAATATTTTTGCAAACTGTTTCAAGCCATGAGATAACCATTAAAGCAATGAGGACTTGAGGGATTAAAAGCTTAAAAGCCTGAAGGCAGGGAAACTCAGAAAAGCGAGCCTTTTATATAGCTCATATTTTCCCTTTGAGTCTTCAGCAACAGCCCAGAGGCTGAGAAGCTCAACAGAGCCTTTAACAGTCTCCAAAAGCTAAGGAGACAAATATAAAAGCTCCATTCTGCTAAGGACAGGCAGTACTGCATTTTACTAAGGACAGGCAGGCTTTCAACTCCAATCTTTGAAAGTAGTAGAGAGGGAAAATTGGAAACATACCAGACCTCACACTGTCTGAAATACAGCTTCTAATTGTAGGAGAACTGTTTTGCCATGGCACCCTGTGACCTTGTGTACCTTCACTTAGGCCATACATGCAAGGATCAACCCCAGACTGATCCAAGTATTGGCAGAACACCTTGAGATCCTCCCAGGAACATGGCAAGATGGGCAATCTTGTGAGGAGCTGTCACAGATCATTTCCCATGTGCCTCTCTGTCTTGTGGGAGGCTACCACAAGGCAGTTTCTGATTTGCCTCTCTGGTTCTAACAAGACATGGGACTTTCTGCCTCTCCTCCATCCTTGAATACAGTTTGCAGGCTATAAAACTGTTTAGCTGCCATATGGAATTGGCTCTTCCACAACAAAGCTCCCTATAACTCATGTTGCCTATCATCTGGCCCCTTTGGTTCAATGACATTCTATGGGACATGGGGAACTGAGAGCATGTGATCTTGTTAATGATAACTGTGTTTCTTCCTTTCCGATATTCAATCTAGTATTAGGGCATGCATTTTCAGTGGAGGCAAAAATTAGTTCATCTAGAGGCTCCAGGAGGGAAATATGCATTTCCAAATTGCCTCTGGTTGTTAACAGAATTAATTTCATTACAGCTGTATGGCTGAGGTCCTTAGTTTTTGCTATCTGTTAGCCAGACTGCTCTCAGCTCCTAGAGGCTAGTCTTAGGTCCCTGCTTCATTGTCCCCTCTACTGGACCTCTTATATTTCCAATCTCTTTTTCAGGAAGGGCTCAGATTTTAAAGGCTTGCTTGATTAGGCCAAACTTTCTCAGATAATATTCCCTTTAATTATCCCCAAAAGATTGATATAGTTTATTACTTACACAGGCAGCGTGAATAATTCAAAAGTCAACTGACTAGTAACATTATCATAGGAGATATTGATCATATTCATAGGCTCTTCCCACACTGAAAGGATATTCTCTGACCACATTGGAATGAAATGACAAACCATTCACAGAGGAAATTTGGGAAATTCATAAATATGCATTAATTAGGCAATGCATGCCTAAATAATCAATGGGTCAAATAAGAAATCAAAAGGGAAATCGGAGACTACTTTGAGATGAATGAAAATGAAAACACTATATACCAAAACTTATGGAGTACATCTAAAAAAGTGCTTAAAGGGAAATTTATAGCCATAAATGCCTATATAAAAGAACAGAACAATTTCAAATCAACAACCTAAACTTCCACCTTAAAACACTGGAAAAAGTATTAGACCCCAAACTCATAACATGCAGAATATAGAAAAATAATAAAAATTAGAATGAAAATAAAATAGAGAACAAGAAAATAGCAGAGAAAATCAACAAAGTCAAAATATGTTTCTTCGAAAAGATTGACAAAATTGACAAACCTTTAAGTAGACACTGAAGGGAAAGAGAGAGAAAATTCAAACGACTATAATCAGAAAAGAAAGAGGAAACATTACCACTGACCTTACATAAATAAAAAGGATCACAAAAGAATACTATAAACAATTGTATGCCCCCAAGTTAGGTGAAATAGACTAGTTCCTTAAAAAAAAAAAAAAAAGAAAACCTCCACAAACTATCAAGATTGATTCAAAAGAACCAGAAAGTCTGAATAGACCTATAACAAGTACAGAGATTGAATTAGTAATCAGAAACTTTCCTCGAGGAAGAGCCCAAGACTAGATGGCTTCACTGGTTAATTCTACCAAACAAGTAAGAAGAATTAACACCATCTTGTTAAAAAACCAGAAGAAGAGAAAACAGTTCTCAACATATTCTATGAAGCCAGTACTACCCTGATAACAAAACTGACAAAGACATCACATAAAAATAAAACTATATACCAACATTTATTATAAATATAAATGCAAAAATCCTGCACAAAATATTAGCAACATTTATAAGCAAATCTAGCAACATTTAAAACATGATCAAATTGGATTTATCCTAGGAATGCAAGCTTGGTCCAAACTGTGAAAATCAATCAATATAATAAACCACATTAACAGGATGAAGAAAAAAAAATCACGTAATCATCTCAATTGATGCAGAAAAAAGCATTTGACAAAATCCAGTACTCAACAAACTGGGAATAGAAGGCAACTTCCTCATCTTAATAAAGGACATCTTTGAAAAACACCCACAGATATCATACTTAATGCTAAAAGATGGAGAGGTTTCCTACTAATATCAGATATATTTTTACCACTTCTATTCAACAATGTACTGGAAGTTCTAGGCAGGGCAATTAGGCAAGGAAAAGACATCCTGCCTGGAAAGAAAGAATTAAGACTGTCTCTATTTGCGGATGATGTAATTTTATATGTAGAAAATCCTAAATGATCCAAAAAACAACTATTAGAGCTAATAAACAAGGTCAGTAATGTTGCTGGATAAAATATCAATATACACGGATTATTTATACTTCCATAAACTTGGAACTTGGAGGATTCACACTTTCTGACTTCAAAATGTACTACAAAGCTACAGTAAACAAGAAACAGTAGCATTGGCATAAGGCTAGACATATAGATCAATAGAATTGAATTGAGACCTCAGAAATAAACCCAAACATTTATGGTCAATTGATTTTTGACAAGGGTGCCAAAAAAATTCAATGAGGAAAGGTAGTCTTTCAGCAAATGATGCTGCTACAATTAGATACCTACATACCAATGTAGTTGGACCCCTACCTCATACAGTATTCACAAATTAACTCAAAATGGATCAAAGTCTTAAATGTAAGAGCTAAAATTATTAAATGATTAGAAGAAAATTTAGGTGTACAGCTTCATCATCTTGAATTATGCAACAATTTATTAGATAAAAAGGCAAACAAATAAAATACTTAAAAATTGAGAGTCATCAAAATTAAAGACTTTTGTGCTTCCAAAGACTCCATCAAGAAAGTAGAAAGACAACCGACCCCTTGAATGGAAGAAAATATTTTCAAATCACATACTGTTAAGTGTCTAGTATTCAGCATATATAAAGAAGTCCTGCAACTTATAGTTGTATTACTCACAACAGTAAAGAGTAGAAACAACACAAATATCCATTGTGGTAGGCTGAAATATGCCACCTCCTCGAATGGTATTCACACCAAATACCTAGAACATGTTAATATTACTTTGTTTGGAAAAAGGTTCTTTGAAGATATGATTAAGGTAAGAATCTTGAGATAATCCTGGATTATATGGGAGGGCCCTAAATCCAATGACAAGTGACTTCATAAGAGAAAAGTAGAGAAAGAGACATGAGTCAGACAGAAGAGGAGGAGGAAGAGACACAAAGATCCAGAGGAGAAGGAGAATGTGAAGATGGTGCAGTGAGAGATGAAGGCACAAACCAAGGAATGCCAGCATCCACCAGAAACTGGAAGACAAGGAATGGAGCCTCCCCTAAAACCACCAGAGAGGACGTGCCCTTGCTGACACCTTGATTCTGGACTCTGGCCTCCAAAAGTAAGAGATAATGAATTTCTGTTGTTGTAAGTCATCAAGTTTGTGGTAATTTGTTACAACAAACACAGGAAACAAATACGCCCATGAAGTGAAGAATGAATCAATAAAATGAGGTACGTTCATATAACGGAATACTATTCAGCCATAGCAAGAAATGAAGTACTGGTTCATGCTATAACGTGGATGAACCTTGAAAACATTATGCTAAGTGAAAGAAACCAGTCTTGAAAGACTACATATTACATGATTCCATTGACATAAATATCCAGGATAGGCAGATTTTATAGGACAGAAAGTACATTAGTGGTTTCCAGGAGCCGAGGGGAAGGGATAACGCGGAGTGACACTAATAGGTATGGTGTTCTTTTGGGGGGAGATAAAAATGTTCTAGAATAGTGGGAATGTTTGCACTGCTTTGTGGATATATTTAATGCTAAAACCACTTAATTGTACACTTTAAAAGGACGTCTTTTATGATATATTAATTATATCTAAAATTTTTAAAAAGTGAAGCACTAAATCCAGCCCATACTCAAGGGCAGGGGAATTAATATCTACTTCCAAAGGATGGTATATCAGAGAAACTGTGGACATATTTCTAAAACCACCAGTAACTACTCTCTGTCTACAACTTATTTTCATTCCTCATACATGCAAAATACCACTTCCCAAGGCCCCACAAAGCCTCATCTCATACCAGGATCACCCAAATGTCCAGCAATACGTACTTAAATGCATATAGCAGAACTACAGAAGCCGAAGCAAAAGAGAGCATTCTAAAAGAATCAGAAAAAGAGACACATTGCCTTCAAAGAAGCAACAGGAAGATTCTCACTGACTTCTTAAGAGAAATGATGAGGTAATATCCTTAAAGTTTTAGAAAAAATTGCCAATGTAGAATTCTATTCCCATCAAAAATGTTCTTTAAAAAAATGAGAGTTGCTAAATGCAATGTGGTATCTTGGGTTGGATCCTGAAACAGGAAAGTGATATTTGTGGAAAAACTGTTGAAAGCCTAATGAAGTCTGCCATTTAGTTAGTAATATTACACCAATGTTAAACCAGCCTGACTGACATGGAGAAACCCCATCTCTACTAAAAATACAAAATTAGTCGGGCGTAGTGGCACATGCCTGTAATCCCAGCTACTTGGCAGGCTGAGGCAGGTGAATCGCTTGAACCCAGGAGGCAGAGGTTGCACTGAGCTGAGATTGCACCATTGCACTCCAGCCTGGGCAATAAGAGTGAAACTCTGTCTCAAAAAAAAAAAAAAAAAAATCTAAGTTCTGACAATGTACCATGGTTATTTAAGAACCATTAGTGGAAGCTGGGTTAAGGGGCAGTATTTTCTGTCCTATCTTTACAACATTTCTGTAAATCTAAAATTATTTTAAAAACAAAAGATTTCTTTTCAAAAAATGAAGGCTAAATAAAGACATTTTTCAAAGACCAAAAGAGAGAACTTGTCACATCAAAGGAAATAGTAAGGCAAAGACGCTGAAAAAGAATCAAACCAGATGGAAGCATGGGGATGCATAAAGGAATGACGGGCAATAGGGAAGATAAACACGTAGGCAAAACAAAATTAATACTGGCTATATGAAGCAATCAAAATCATATATTGTGGAGTTTAAATATACATGAAATGAAAACACAATAGCATGAAATGTGAGAGGGATGGTAAATGGAATTAAAGTGTTCTAAGGCCCATGCTTTGTCCTGAAAGTTGGTGAAAGTGTTAGCTAAATTCTGCTGCCATAAATCAACTATTCATACTGAGGAAGTAGGCTAACCACTACAAGGATAATAAAGTGTATAAACACAGTATATAACTAATTAGCTAATGAGGGATGAAATGGAATAATTCAAAAGGAGAAAAAGAGACAGAGAGAAATATAGCTTTGGCGAGATAACGAATATTAAAATGGCAAATTTAAAAGAATCCTCCAAATTTTTCTACATTAAGTATGAAGTTTGTTGTAGGGTTATTTTGAGAGGGAAGAAGCAGATACTCTATTAGAGCACAGACATGTTCTTCTGGTTTATATTCTAAAAGTTTTTATCATGAATGTCTTGAATTCTATCCATTTTTTTGTATCTACTAAGAAAACCATTAGTTCTTTCCTTTAGTAAAGTGATGTGTTAAGTCACATGAATGGAGTTTTCTAATGTTAATTATCCTTGTATTCCTAGGATAAACACAACTTGGACATAATTAAAAGTATGCATTCCTGAATTCTGTTTGCTATTTTTACAAATGTGAGCTTGTCAAGTCTATATTCACAGTGAGTTGACCTTCCTTATAATTCCCACGTCTATTTTTAATATTAAGTTTATAGTTGTATTAGTCTGTTCTCATGCTGCTAATAAAGACATACCTGAGACTGGGTAATTTATAAAGGAAAGAGGTTTAATTGACTCACGGTTCCACATGGCTGGGGAAGCCTCACAATCATGGCTGAAGGTGAATGAGGAGCAAAGTCATGTCTTACATGGTGGCAGGCAAGAGGGCATATGCACGGGAACTCCCCTTTATAAAACCAGCAGATGTTGTGCGACTTATTTGCTATCATGAGAACAGCACAGGAGAAACCCACCCACATGATACAATTACCTCCCACCAGGTCTCTCCCATGACACATAGGAATTATTACAATTCAAGGTGAGATTTGGGTGGGGACACAGAGCCAACCCATATCAATAGTGGTAGTAAATGAGTTGAGGAACGTTTCCCCATGTTCTCTTCTTTAGGACCATAAACAATAGAGATGACCTAAGGGATACATATTTAATAGAACTCTCCTACTAAACCATCTGGGCCTGGTGTTTCTACAGGGAGTTTTTAGCTACTGTGATAATAAAATAATATATATATATATTTGGTCTCTGCCCCCAGTTTTTGATGCAGAGCTCCTCAATCCTGAAATATCTGGGTGATGGGAGCATCTTTGGTTTTAATGACTATTGGTGAGCTCCTGGATTGTTTTAGGATGGGGGCTATTCACTAGAAAGACCAAGCATGATTAGGAGGTTGGACATTTTAGCCCCACCCTCTATCCTCCAGGGAGAGGAAAAGGGCTGGAGACTGAGTTAAATAATTGGTTATGCCTATGTGATGAAGCTTCTCTAAAAAACCCCGAACTATGGGAATTGAAGAGCTCCCGGCTGGTAAGCACACTGAGGTACTGGGAGGGTGGTGCACCCAGAGAGGGCACTGAAGCTTTGACTGTGTGGCTCCCCACCTTATCCTGGGCATCTCTTCCATTTGGGCATTCTTGAGTTGTGTTCTTTACAATAAACAGTAAAAGTAAGTGAAATGTTTTCTTGAGTTCTGTGATTTCGTCTAACAAATCATTGAACGTAAGGAAGGGGTCGTGGGAGCCTCCAGTTTGTAGCCAAGCCAGACAGAAATCATGGGTAACCTGGGGACCCATTATTTGCAACTGGCCTCTAAAATGGGGCACAGTCTTATGGGACTGAACCCTTAACCTGTGGCGGGGGGTCTGCCACCATCACAGGGTTGTTAGCATCAGAATTAAATTATAGAACAGCCAGTTAGTATCTGCAGGGATGTAAAAAATTCCTTGGTTTGGAAAACCCACACATTTGGTGTCAGAAGTGTTGTGAGTATAGGAAAAACAGTTTGTTTTCTTTTTTTAACTATTAATTGAATTCACTTAATGAATATGATCTATTTACTTGCCTATTTTTTTGTGAATTTGGATTTTTTGTAAATTATACTTTTCTACTACATTATATTATCTAAAGGTTTACATTCATTGAGTAAGGTAATTTATATTATGTATATTAAATCTAATCTTCCTATATTTATAACTCCCTTATCTTTCCTAATTGCATTTATTTGTGGCTTTTTTTTTAATCTATATCAATCTTCTCACTGGTGTGTATATCTATTTTTACAAAGAACAAACTTTTGCCTTTATTGATACTTTTTTTTTCTATTTAATTTGTTTCTTCTCTTACCTTTATTTTTGCCTTCTATTATATTTGCATTTAGTTTCTTAGGGTTTTTTTTTCTGGCTTCTTTATTTAGATGCTTAGTCTATTAATACTGAGAAATTTGTCTTCTCCAATAATTATACTTAAGGCTATAAATTTTCCTCTAAATACTTTAGTCACACCCCAAAAATAAAGTTCTAGTTATTCTCTAATTTTCATTATTTTTTATTGAGGAATGTGTTTTTAAATTTTCAACGTCTATATCTTTTAACTTTTGAAAAATTAAAATACAACATACATACTTAAAGATGTCAAAGACTTTAATAAATTTGCATAAAACTACCAGCAAGGTCAAGGCATAGAACTTTGCCAGTTCCCTAAAAACTCCCCACATGTCACCTTTCATTTACGACTCCTTTTTCCTTCCCAAAAGATCACCACTATTCTGACCTCTAACGCTGGAGTTCAGTTTCACATATTTTCTAACTTTAAATAAATGGAGTTATACTGTATGTGCTATTTTGTATCTGTTTTCCATGACTTTGACTCTATGGTTCAGGTTCACATATTTTTGAAGTTTATATTAATGGAAGTAAACAGTATGTATTCTTTTGTATCATTGTATTTTGATACACTTTATGTGAGATTCATATCCGTTGTGGCATTTACCTATAACTCATTCGTTTTCAGTTCTCTTTACTATTGCATTACACGGAAACAGCACAATTTATGGATCCATTTTATCGCTGGGTTGACAATGGGTGTTTTTCAGTTTGGGGCTATTGTGAATAGTGCTGCTATGAGCATTCTTGTCATATCTTTTGGTGTAAATGGAATTCCTGCCAATAGCTGACTTCAATTCTCTCTCCTTACTCACTAGAAACTGGAGGGCTAACGCTATCATATGTTTGCACTGACCAACATATACAGTGATAGAGGCCACTCTAACCTGCAACCTTCCAGGTCCACAAAATCTAAAATAATGAGCCTCCCAAAGAAGTGGTAAGAAAATTTGCAGTCAAGGGCCTGGGAGCACATGACTCGTCAGCTCCAGAGCAGCTCCCTTGGCCCTTCCTCGGCCACCCTCTGGATGGAAGGCAGATGATCAACACTGCACAACATTAGCAGATGAGGGCCCCATCTGCACACCTGTGGGGCTCCTCTCCAGAAACACGAGTCGTTGTTTAAATCATAAATAATAAATCATCTTTGATTTCTGACAGGAGGGTGGAATGATAAATTTATCTTTGTCTTGGTTTTGAGGAATGCAATAAACAAAGAAGGAAGCAGGTAACGCCTTTCCCCAATTCTCACCTTCTGGATGAGCTACTCTCCATAGCTGGGTGTTTTCGGAGCTGGATGGGCTGGCAGGAGGGCCTTGGTAGTGGAAATGTCTGGCATGGGCTCAGCTTAGCTTGCCTCCACCAAGAGCCTTGGGAATCTCTCAAGAAGGGAGCATGGGGAAGCCTGGCTGCTGTGGCCTGTCTCTGTATCCAGGGCTCAGTCTTCTGTCTTTTTTTTCTCTCAAAACCTCAGTCAACAAAAATAAGCGTGTTCCTCTAGATCATACCATGAAAACTTTTTCCATTTGTTTCCTATACTTCTATGGATCCTTTGTTACAAGTCTGGCTTGGTTCTTGCCAGCACGTCAAATTTGTCCAGTTAACAGAAGGTTAAAATACATATTGAAAGACATAAAAACTTAACTCTCATGCACTCTCTCAAACCGATGCATTCTTAATATCTTCAGCTTCACTCTTACTTTCTGAAGAAGAGATTTTCATGACATAGTTTTCAGAGGAAATTTTCCATCCCAATAGCTAAACACTCAGTAATAGGTTGCCTTAGGTGGTTAGGTCAATATCATGCATCCCAATTGATTGGGATGGTTCTGACTATCAAAAGAGAAAGTATGCGGAAAAAAAGCAAAAATCAAATGTTATCTATTGGTTTGGAGCATGTGATGGTTAATTGGTATAAATTGGTTAGGCTATGGTGCCCAGACATTTGGTCAAAGGCCAGGCTAGAATATTGCTGTGAATGTGTTTTTTTAAAGGTGCAATTAACACTTAAATCAGTAGACACTGAGTAAAGGAGATTATTGTACGATCCATGATGTGGTGGGCTGCATTCAGTCAGTTGATGGTCTTAAGAAAGAGACAGAGCGCCCCTACCCACCCCCCACCAAGGAAGAGGGAATTCTGCTAGCAGACAGCCTTCAGACTTCAGCTGCAACATCAACTCTTCCCTGGGTCTCCAGCTTGCCAGCCCGTCCTGCAGATTTCAGATTCACCAGTCCCACAGTGGCATGAAACAAATCCTTGAGATGAATCTCTCTATACGTATCTGCATCCAGTTGGTTCTGTCCCTGTCAAGAACTCTAATACAGAGGCCACATTGTCAAGGGTCTGAGATAACATGCCAGTGGAAGGAGATTGGTACTCTGTGTCTCTGCCTCCTCCCAGGTTACACTCACTGTGCCTTCTTCATTGGTCAGTCTATGAGTGTACAGGAGTGTAGACAGGAATACTTGAGAGTTTGGGAAGACTGGGTCAGGAAAAGGGATAGGGAAAAGATATTCATAGTGGGGGTGGTTTTTCACCATCAGGAAATTAAACTGTGGAACACACGCTGCTAGAACCAAGATACACTTTCTGGTTCCTAAGTCAGGTGCAAACCCCTACTCTTTCTCTCAGCTTTCCACTCCTGCTGTGGTGGCCAGGGGTATTTGGGCCATCCTCACCCTGACTCAGTTGGAAACTGTCACTGCTTCATACTCCTGTTAAACATGTCCAAACCAGCAGCTGCTTAGCAGCCTTTACCTGTCAAACATCATGCTAGACACTGAGACCAGGGAGAACTCTTTAGCCAAAGAAGCCTCCAAGAAAAGAAATCCTGCAGAAGCCTAGCTCAATGGGCTCACAGTTTATTCACTTAGTGGCTGCTAAAAAGTCTTGATGCATCCCCGTTTTAAACTATTTACTGTCTGGCTCATTGAAGAAAATATTTGCTGAGCCCTGAATTATTCACTGTGTGTGTCTCTTCCCTAAGGAAGGCAAGGACCAACCTCTGTTCATTTTCCTCCTCACTCTGTCACCCTGTTCATCTTGCTGCCATTGCTTTAGTTTAAACTGGACCCACAAATCTGAGCAATGTCAGCAATGAGGTCACACAAGGTTCCTGGAAGCCTTAGTGACCACTCCGAACCCAGTTGGAGACTGCAGTTCTAAGAGCTTCCTGTGAGAGAGTGACTTTAGTTATCATTTCACAACAAATTAAAGAAAGTAGCATTTCTCCTGGAATGTTACCCACAACCACAAGAAGTCATAGAACATCGTTAATCACCTTACTTGCAGGTGCAGGTTCTCCCTGATTGAATGAAGCATCAATTCAAGTGTAACAGCCTTACCCTTAACTCTTCTAGTAAGATGAGGGGAGATATCTTTCTCCAAGAATGGGAATTCGGTGAATAAACTGGTCTTTCCAAGGGGCGAGAATCAGATACAGAAAAAAAAATATGGATATAATTTTGAAAAGGCTTTATTGAGTCAAAAAGCATAGCGTGGTTTCTGGGATGTCTAAGCCATTCAACAATCTTTCCATTCCCAATGAACAAATGGAATGAAGGAAGGGAGGTAAAAAGGAACATGAATATTTGAATCTTACCTTGATTAAGAAGACTCAAGTTCGGCTGGGCGCGGTGGCTCACGCCTGTAATCCCAGCACTTTGGGAGGACAAGGTGGGCGGATCACGAGGTCAGGAGATTGAGACCATCCTGGTTAACACGGTGAAACCCCATCTCTACTAAAAATACAAAAAAATTAGCCGGGTGTGGTGGTGGGGGCCTGTAGTCCCAGCTACTCAGGAGGCTGAGGCTGGAGAATGGCGTGAACCCAGGACGTGGAGCTTGCAGTGAGCCAAGATCGCGCCACTGCACTCCAGCCTGGACGACAGAGTGAGACTCCGTCTCCAAAAAAAAAAAAAAAGACTCAAGGTCTTAAGATGATCTGCTGGTCATAGACAAAGATGTATCTCTCAGTTACTCAGATCTACGGTCTCTGTACAGTGATCAACAACAGCTGCAAGGATATCTCTAGAGGAGACACCACCTTTTTATTTTTGTGAACTTTCAAACGTGTATTTTTATTATGAACAGCATTGCATAGGCGGAGGGCATGAAAGGAAGAAGATTCGGGACAAGAGAATGAGAGGAGGGTTAGGTGGTCTGACATGTGTCTTCAAAGAGGAGGTTGATGTTTAACAAAGGAATTAGGGTAACAGGAAAAAACAGGAGGGGATTGAAGAAGGATGGAAGACCAAGGTCTGGGGAATGAGAAATGCCAGCAGGGAGGACTGTGCTTCCTGGACCCTACTGTCCCACCATGAATAGGCTGGAGAACCACTCTTGCTGAGCCGGTTACTCTATCCTAGATCCCAGGGCCCATTGAAGATGCTAAAGTGTGATGATTTGCAGATAATTGGAAGCCAATGAGGAAAGGAGAAGGTGTTCCAGGGTCTCTGTACCCTAAAGGCAGAGAGAGGACTGCAGCTACCTGGGGAAGCAGATGGGGTGAAACTGTGAAACTGAAACAATGCCTGGAGAGAAGCAAGAAATGGAAGAGTAGAGGGTCAGCCTGGGACTGTGGTTGGGACCCCCCACCATGGCCCTGCTGCTCCTCACTGTTCTGGGCCCATGGAACTGTGGACACCCAGGACTCTCAAAAATTGGGAATCAGCAGAAGTTTAAAAGTGAAGTAAAAGCACAAATGGCAGAATATGAAAAAAATTTATTTGAAAACAAAAACCATTTCTGTGGAGGTGTGAGTGTATATATATATGCATGTGTGTGTACATATATTTGTATAAATGTATATATGTGTATATTTATACATATTTAAGTTAAAGTTTTGGAATTGTGGATACCATCTGGAAATGTAAAAACTAGGATATCAATGGGAAACACTACCTTCATCATTGCTGCTCTACTGGATATGGAAACTAAACTCATTCAGTGTTTGAGCAATTTTATAAATCAAACCATAAACAAGGGGATTCTGGGAGGGAGGTGGAATTAGGGTGCAGAGTCCCAGAGGATCTGCAGAAGTAAAGATTTGTTGCATCAGGTGCTGTAGTCCACAGCATAAACACAGCACGCACGCGCACCCACACACACGCATGCGAGCACAATACACTCTCCTTCTGTCTGAATTTTCTCTACCCTGAACTTGTCCTCTGGCAAGTTCTTAAATAAACTCATCACATATTTGCCTTCTGCTTGAAGATGATGCTCTTTATCAGACACATATTTGATAAGGGAATACACTAAAAGACACTTTGTACTACTCAGGTTTAGATGTGAACACTCACACTATGCAGAGGGAAAGCAGGAAATTCTGAATCAGGACATCTTGGTCAAGCCGTAATAAACTGATAAGTCTCCTTCTGATTCTTTAAGTGTAATTCCTTACAGGAGAAATGGCTGCCCCCGTTAAAAAGGTAGATAGTCCCTTTATTTTACACTAAAAATTTATTGAGAAAACTTATATGCTTCCAAAGAAGAAAATTCATATTAGAAGTTGGAAAAACCCCAAGTCATCATTCCACTAAACCATACTGCAATACAAGAGTTTTAAAGTATTCAAACTTTACCAAAATGTACAAATACAACGTATTAACATTGTCTCCACATAAAAACCCTCTGGTAGTGAGATATGGCTGCGTTTAATCCTATTGTATACAGTAGACTAGGAAGGGGAATTTGATCCTCTTTGACCAACCTTCTACCTGGGCACTAATATTTCAAGGTAGGTGATGCTGAGCTACCAGCTGGGAGAAAGAATCGGATCATATTTCATAGAATAATTGAATGCCTGGCTAGAAAGGACCTGGGGGTCATGAGCACAAAGCCTTCAGTTTCTAAGTAGCAACATAGGGGCCCAGGAAGCTCATGGGAGTCTGCTTGTTTTCCAGAGGTCCTGGCAAGAAGGGAAAGCCCAAAAGAGCCTGGACCTGATAAAACAACAGGGCCAGCCTCAATGGAATTGGAGACTAAGTGAAGTAACTCAGCAACGGAAAACCAAACGTATGTTCTCACTCGTAAGTGGGAGCAAAACCTACTGAAATGAGAAATAAAACAACAACAACAATAACAACAACAACAGTTCCAGCAAGAGCCAGCAGGTAGTTGAGTGATCTTCCAGCTTAGATCCAACACCTCCCAGCTATAATCTACCTGACTGGCCCCAAAGAAACAGTGGAACAATGGATTGGATGTGCATATTTCAGGAAAGTCAGCACCCTAAAGGGGGTAGCAGTTAAATGGGAAACAAACACTGAGTTTTTACCCACCAAATATACCCTCCAAGTCTTATCTATTTATTTATTTATTTGTTTATTTATTTTCAGACTGAATCTCACTCTGTCGCCCAGGCTGGAGTGCAGTGGCGCGATCTCGACTCACCGCCACCTCTGCCTCCCAGGTTCAAGCAATTCTCCTGCCTCAGCCTCCCAGGTAGCTGGGACTACAGGTGCACGCCACCATGCCCAGCTAATTTTTTGTATTTTTAGTACAGATGGGGTTTCACCATGTTGCCCAGGCTGGTCGTGAACTCCTGAGCTCAGGCAATCTGCCTGCCTTGGCCTCCCAAAGTGCTGGGATTACAGGTGTGAGCCACTATGCCCGGCCACCTTCCAAGTCTTTGAAGCTGAACTTTCAAGCCAGAGTATTGGTCCTCCTCCCAGTACAGACCACACCAGGTCCCTGGTCAGCCCCGTCAAGCCTCTTGAGGAGGAGCCTAATGCCTGCACACTTAAGCCTGCTGGGCAGGTGCAGGAGGGAAAGCAGAGGCCCCTTGTGGTGACCCGGAGTGACCAGTCACCTGCAAGCATGGCTTTTTTCTGCTGCATGGCCTGCTGCCATGGGTTGCCCTTCTGGGCAGCTGTGGCAAAGCCTGCAGAGCACAGCTGGAAGGATGGGTTCAGCTGCCATGTCTTACACCGGAGATGCTAGAGAAGTGACAGCCTCTTTCAGTGTCTTAGAGGCCCAAACAGAAAGACCCAATTGGCCAGCATCTCCAAATGGTTGTTATAGTGGCAGAAATGGAAACAAAGCAAAGAACATCTCAAATGCTCCAGGGGCAGTTGGATGAGGAAACATAGCAGCTGCAGAGGCAGGAAAAAGAGCTGCAAGAATGCAGAGGCAGGCATGGTGCTCAAGGAGAAAAAAGATCTCACCTTATATCTCTTAGAACTCCATGGAGCAACCAGTAGAATGGGGGTGATCAAGCTCCTGCTGTAAAAATATCTCCATTCAAACTGATACAGGAGTTAAGAAGAAATTACTTCAGTGGGTAGTAAGGGCACAGAAGTCCTTGGTAAGGTTTTCCTTTTAATGAAAAGCAGCCCCAAATTATTTTCCTTTCTAACAAAGAGCAGCCGGTAAAATTGACCTGCAGACATAGATGCTGGCAGTTGTGCCAATCATGTTCAAGATGGCGGCTCCATCTTCCCTTCTCTTTGTCAGCCACGTGTACAGTAAGGAGCAGATAAGATGGCACTGGCCAAGCGGAAAGTTCCTTTGCATAATTAGATTAGGATGGGCTGGCCAGCCTTCCCCATGTGCTATTGTAAACATCATACCTGATCGAACCAATCTGTGAGCCCTGTGTAAATCAGATACCTCCTCAAGCCTGACTATAAAATCCAGCGCATCTGCCACTGGCCAGTCTTTTCTGCTCAGAGGACTCTTCTCTCTCAATAGAGAGCTGTTTTTCTTTCTCTTTTCTTCTGCCTGTTAAACCTCCACTCCTAAATTTCTTGTGTGTGTCCATGTCCTAAATTTTCCTGGCACAAGACGATGAACCCTGGGTATATACCCCAGACAATGTAGCCACTTCATACTGGGGACCTTGTCTGGGATACCAAGGTACAGCATTCATCAAAAAGGTGAGTAGAGGAGCAGACTTGAACTCTGTCCTTTCATTTTGGGGCTCTCAGCCTCCATTTTAGGACCAAATGAAATCAATAGCAGGCATTCATCAGCCAATTAAAAACATGGTTAGTGTGGCTGCCGCTCTTAAAGACTTAGATGTGGGGCTTATTGGAGAGAACATGGAGCATCCCCCAGCAACCACAGGTTGCTGGGCATGTTGGCCATGTTTGAACCAGCTTCCTTTCGTGGAGGACTTAGCTGTCACATGGGACTGGAAGAGATTTTGGAGCAACTGAGGATTTCTGGCTGGAGCTACCCCCTGGTGTTATCTAAAGGCTTCTGGACTGACCCCAGCCTTTGACTGCCCGATGGGATGTCGGCAACAGGATCTCCAACTTTCCTATCGTAATTTCCTCCTTCCCTGTCTGTGACCACCATATATCCTATCTTCTCTGTGTATGCAATGTGTGGGATGTTTTACAGTTCAGGGAAGTAATCTTGTTTGGCAAGATCAGGGAATGTCATAGTAAATGGGGATATAGCTCAAGGGAAAGTGTCTTTGTGACTTTCTGGGAACAGAGGGTTCTCCCCCTCCCCCCACAGTGAGCATCACTCTCTGCCCTTGGTCTGGAGAGCACATGGCATTTCAAGGCCAACAGCGCCACCTAGTTGAATAGGGATCCTCTCCATGAGGCACATTGTCGCTCCTTTATAGAAACACTCTAGCTTCGTAATTCTCCCTTTTTGTGCCCCTCTGCTAAAGACCAGGCCTTATGCTGCTTCTATGAACAGGAAAATTCTGCCTTCAACAACTAGGAGTAAAATGTCCTCCAACACCAAATTTTAGTTTCAATACTGTCTCATCAGCAGGAAAATGGCCATTTGGTTCCTATGTTCTTTTAAGGCACCTATTCTGCCTCCAATTAGAATGGTAATTAGTAAGGGGATTTTAGGTTCAGACATTAACTTGAACCATTATCTAAGGGTAAATGCTTTAGCATGGGCCATAATAGCATGATATAGAGCTCAAACCAGCACACTTCCTGCATTAAAGAGGGAATTGCAACAGTTGCTCAAATGCAACTGTGATGTAGTCTCACCTGAGATCCACTTTTCAGGGATCCAGGCAGATCACAGAAGTCTAGGAAGTCAAAGGGAAATCACAGGCAGAGGAGTAGGGTTGCATGGGTAAGTGTGACAAATCCCAGTAGCTTAGTTCCTCTGTTTCCATGGCTGGGGGTCATGCCTGCAACCATGGATGGCATTTTCAACAAGGTGCTGGGACTCAGGAACCACAGAAGGAAAACAGCAGAGGGGCACCCCTACTGTCTTCCTCTCCACCCTAGGTCACACGGAAAGGAAGGAGACTAAAGGGAAGCCTTTTTCTTGCTTCTCTTTCTAGATGGGTACCATCTTCAGCCTGCACTCCCCTGGAGTGCATGCTGAAGCAGTGGGACTCCTTTCACCCTGAGACTTTAAAAAAAAGCAGCTTATTTTCTTTTGCACAAGGGCATGGCCTTCTTACCAGACCTTATGCAAGCATTACAAAACCCACTCAGTTCTTTCAGCAATCATATCAGGCAGGCCCAAAGGGAATAATTCCCCAAAAGTAGAGAAGCAACTTCCAGGGGAACCATCTGAGGATCCCCCTTATTTGGGGCCCCTTCAAGGTCCTTTCTCATTGCAGGACCTTAGGCAAACAAAAAAGACTTAGGCCAACTTTCTGATGACCCTGATAGCTATAGAGAAGCTTTGCAAAATTTTACTCAGGTGTTTGATCTCTCATGAAGGGATGTTATGCTGCTACTAAGTCAAACCCTAACTGCAGCTGAAAAACAGGCAGCTCTGCAGGCAGCAGAGAATTTCAGAGATGAGCAATATGTCTCCTATCATAGGCCAAAAAGGAAAAGAGAAAATAAGAAAGGCAAAGAAACAGGGGAAGCTCCATTTCCAATAGGAAGAGAGGCATTACCTCTTGACAACCCTAACTGGAACCCCCAGACTTTTCCATGGTGTTTTTCCTTCTTTCATGGTTTGAAATGGCTCCTGTATCTTCTTTTATAATTTTCTTCCAACCTGGGAACAGTTAATTTTCCAAACCTTAAAATGCTTGGCTTAGAGTTAAGCTAGGGGGAAGGGAACCCAGAAGGCTGACACGCTGGCAAAAGTGTAAAAATTTCTTACCAGTTGGGCTTTTGGCTTCCCTCTCCCTTTGCAAACTGGTAAAAGGAATAATAAGGATTGTTGTTCATATTATCTGTAAAGTTTTAATTAATGAAAAGGGATTTGTGAGGTTTGTTTTAAGCTGTAGCCAATCTGATGTGCTTTTTGTGTCTTTCTGTATGGTTCTGTCAAGACAAAGGGTACCTTAGGTAAACATGCAGACCCAGGACCCTATAAACCTACTGTTCAAGCCATCCCAACAAAATGGTCAGTAACAAACTTGGCTGCAGGCCTCCATCTTCTCTCATGTTCTTGGGAACATGACTTGTAACTGCATGGCAATACTTTGTTCCAGTCTCTGCCATTTTACGGTGGTGGCTGTCTTCTTTTACTAAGTCAGTTCTTGGGTGGGGGCCACAAAATCAGATAAGCCAGTTTATTGATCTGGGTGGTGCCGGTTGATCCATGAAGGGCAGGATTTACAAAATATCTTAAGCACTGATCTTGAGAGCACTTTAGGAAAGGTCAAAATCTTGTAGCCTCCAGCTTTGTGATTCCTAAGCCATGGTATCTAATCTTGTGGTTAGTTTCTTGGTCTTGTCTCCTGGCAAGTTGGAAGTAAATTTTAGAAAAGGGCTGTTATCATCTTTGTTTTAGGCTACAAACTGTAACCAGGCTCTTCCCAGAGTTGGTTTGCCCTACACCCAGGGATGGGCAAGGACCGCTTGGGGGCTGGAAACAAAATGGAGTTGTTTGGGTTGGATCTCTTTCACTTTCTCAGTCACAATTTTGCAATGACAGTTTTAAAAGCTGCTTATCACCCTTTTAAAAATACCTTGTACACTCGTGGCTAAGTCATAACTTAGTTAAGACTTGTTGGTTTCACCTGTGAGATTACTTTCTGTAAAGTTCAAAAGCCAAAAATCTTAACTGCTTGGCATGGCTAAAATCCAGTAAAAAGGGAAGTAAAAGAATTTTCTTAAAGACCACTCAGCTTAATTAAAAGTGGATATCCAAATCATAGGTATACTGAAAAGGTCTTTATGTTTTTTTCTCTACTTGGATTTTGTTTTTCTGAAAAAAGGATTTTTTTCTTTTCAGTCCACTGAATTATTTTTTCTCCATTTTTTTTTTTTTTTGAGACAGAGTCTAGCTCTGTCACCCAGGCTGGAGTGCAGTGGCGTGATCTGGGCTTACTGAAACCTCTGCCTCCCAGGTTCAAGCAATTCTCCTGCCTCAGCCTCCTGAGTAGCTGGGATTGCAGGCATGTGCCACTATGCTCAGCTAATTATTTTGTATTTTTAGTAGAGACGGGGTTTCACCATATTGGCCAGGATGGTCTTGATCTCCTGACCTCATGATCCACCCACCTTGGCCTCCCAAAGTGCTGGAATTACAGGCGTGAGCCACCATGCCCGGCCTGTCTTGTCACTCTTAAAGCACACATGAGAGGCCCTAAGGTAACTTCTGGTAGCCTGTGATTCCTTGGGAAAAGCAGAGGAGGTGCCACAGACCCCGTTTTGGGAAAAAAACCCTCTGTTTTCCTCATGAAACCCGAGGAATCAAAAGCAAACAGTTTCCTCTCAAAATCAAAAAGGTTGTGTTCTGTTTTGCATTTTATTATGTGACAGTTTTGAGTTTTGGAGGTATCAAAATACTTAACATTATGAAAGAGCTTTGGCGTGTAGTAACTAGGTAGGAAATATACTTTAAGGGATGGCTAATAGTAGTTATGGAGGGATACTTAACTCTTTGCACATTTGAATCAGAGAAACATGCTCTTGGCCACCTGGAAGATATGGAAACATCCCCACCCCCCATTTAAGAGATGAGACTCCCATGGGGGATGGGCTAATTGCAGAATGGGCTGATTTGGCTTTGGGTTGCCTTACAATGAAACGCATGGTAGAAGCACTGACCTGCCTTTGGGACTCCTATAGTATCTCTCTCCTTTTGGGGATCCAGAATCCAGTAAAAAATGGCATCTTTAATTTTGGGATCTGTCTTTGCCTTCAGCTGTGTCTGCTTATTAGGCCCTAAAAATGGGTGCTATCGTGACCCTGTTCCTCCAAGGGTTCCATCCTGAAGGCAGTGATCTAATTAAGAAACTGGCAAATGAAAAACCTTACAAGTGCTGAATCTTCTGTCTATATTGCTATATATATATGTTGTGTGTAATGCCTATAAAAAGAGCTCTAATTGATCGGCTTAATGAAAAATAAGCACTTAAATATTTTTTTAGTTCACATGACTTTAATCTTTAAGAAATAAAAATAGTCTTAAGGATTATTGGTAAAATGCAAACGTTGTCAAAATGCAAATAGTGGCCTAAATCATACAAGTCAGATACTATTTTTCTCTCTGGTGCCTAGGCTCTATTAGTCCCTGGGACAGTGAGCTCTCCACTTGTGGGGGATGGGGATGAGGGGAAAGAATGGTGGTGAAAGTTATTACTAATTTAAATTGCGATGGCTTCTTTATCTCTAAGGCAAAAGGGGCAACTGAAGGGGAGTTGAGCCAAAAGGATGTGCCAGGGCTGAGCTCAGCATATCATAGAAAGGAGAACAGTATGGAAAGATCAGCAAATGTATACTATCTCATGCAGAGGCTGAGCTGAGGGCACCTCTGGTTCCTCTGGACTTTCTGGGCCTGGGGACCTCCATGGCAATGAAAGTGCTTGGAATGTCTGCTAAATACATCTGATTACAAAATAATTTTATGTTCTAAGGAATATACACCCTCTGGGTCAATCTACGATGGGAATGGTTAAAACATAGCATCTGTTTTTATTTTATTTTATTTTATTTATGTATTTATTTATTTTCGTTTCCAGCTATTGACATTGAAATATGCACGAGTGGATTGTCTGTCTTTGTGGTTCTAAGATCTTAAGACCAACAAGAGAACCCAGATATTCCTAGAGGTTGCAAGAGAGAGATGATGCTTGTTGGACTCTTGGAAGTGATGGAGATGCCCCAGATTTCAAAAGCAGGGATGGGATTACTACGCTCACTTTAAAGGATGGTTGAGAAAGGGTACCACAGCTGCATCATCAAATGCGAGGCTATAGGAATCTTCTGAGACTCTGGGCATGAATCCCTGAAATGGCAGACAGAAGCCCTTTGGGACAAAGGGGAGGTCGGAGTAGGCTAAGGAGCTGGTAAGTTCATCTACCTGGCACCACATTTCTATTTCTCACACTGGTAGTGAATGTCACCTGCCTGGAAGAGGGGAAGAGGTGTCCAACTGAGAGAGGACTCTGCATGTTTCTGAGGCTCAGAAGGGGTGAGTCCAGGCTGAGCTGGGTTGCAGAGAAAGGGCCTGGCATTCCTGGGAGTGAGCAGAGGCTGCACTGGGAACTGCAACTCTGGGAGAAACTGACTGAATTCTGTGTTCTGAAAATTAGCATTGATTGAGATATGTTTCATGCTCTCTTTTGAAAGCAAGTCCTGGACGCAGTAGATGTGTTTCCTAAAAGGGGCTATTTTGGAATCTGGATGTGGTAGCACATGTGTTATAGAAACTACTCAGTGACATGCACCAACAAAGTATATTTTGCGGCCTCTCTTGTTCATGAAATTGTACATCAAACATGCTTAATAAATGTTTGAGAAGTACTTAGAAATAATTTTTGTAATTTTAGGTCTGGAGACTATAATATCACTTTCTTTTTCTTTCTTTTTTTTTTTTTTTTGAGACGGAGTTTCGCTGTTGTTGCCCAGGCTGGAGTGCAATGGCGCGATCTCGGCCCACTGCAAGCTCCGCCTCCCGGGTTCAAGCCATTCTCCTGCCTCAGCCTCCCAAGTAGCTGGGATTACAGGCAACTGCCACCACGCCCGGCTAATTTTGTATTTTTAGCAGAGATGGGGGTTTCTCCATGTTGGTCAGGGTGGTCTCGAACTCCCAACCTCAGGTGATCCGCCTGCCTCGTCCTCCCAAAATGCTGGGATTACAGGCATGAGCCACCGCGCCCGGCCCAATATCACTTTCTTAATCTGCCTTATTTAAAGGATATAAGGTTCCTTTATATGTCAATTAAAACAAACCTGTTGGTCATCTTCTATTTATCCATATCCTTTATAACTTTCATCTAGGAAATATGTCTGATTCTGAAATATAAGTCTATTGAAAATCTCAAAATTATACTTATGTCACTGTTCATGGATTTATCTGTACTGGGTGTTAATTTATCCATGCAGTACTTTATATTAAAATCATATATGTATGTATTATATAAATAATATATAATATTTTGAATATTTTTAAACTTTATATAAATGGTGTAATTTTTTATATATTTCTGCAATTTCTTTTTTAAAAAACAAACATCCCACCAGAACCCATATTTAATAACATGCAAATAAAATAAGAATATTTTCAGAATGATTTAAAGCAAGCAGGAAAGGATCTGACATACTTAAATTGAAAGGATAAACATTTAAAAAATGCAAATAATTTTATCAAGCAGAAATGGTTCCTTTTCAAAGAAAAATAGGCAGGGATATTAAAATATTAAACTGATATAGTTTCCAAAATAATCCAATAAAACAAAAATTCCCCTATGCATGCTTAAGCATAGAACATTCTTTGAAAGCTACACAGCAAAAATTCATGAGAATAATATTTTATTCATAGTTTTCCTTTTCAACTATTCTTTGAATAGCTCTTGTACACATACAACAGAACTACAAGCTCATAAATAATGAGTTTCAGTTTTTATGTATAGATTGTAATTATTGAAGCAATTATGAGAGGAAATCTGAGGCCACAATATTAACACCAAATGAGAAACATAGTGGATTGTTCCCCACATTGATATCAGAGAGAGCAATTGAGTTGTGTCTTTATCCAACATAAAAATTACTTGATGCTGAGCAATTATAATGAACAATTTTAGTTTGGAACCTAATTTCTACTGGTATTAAAGATTCAGATATCGTAACAGAAAGAAAATAGTCATCACTAATAGTGTAAGCTGTTTTTTTTGTTTCCCTTTTAGGAACTTTCCACTATTTTTCCCTCAACTTTCTCATGTTCTGACAAAAGATACTTAAATTTGCAATATTTTAAACTTATTTTCAGCATGCACAATCCTGATTTTAGAAGTTTATCCATTTAATGATAATGTGTACAATACTCAATCATTTTTCTATCCTCATCATGCTCCCAAAGGTTATCCAATTAAAAAAAATTCCCCACTATAATAACTGAGAAATTTACATTAGGAAAATAAGCAGTGAGAAAAAAAATTACATATCTGAGAATAAAGATCACAAGATATAAAAGTTTCTCTGAAATTAAAAAAAATATATTTAGGCCACAGATTTAAGGAACCATATGGGAATGACTTGCAATTCATTTTATGTAAACAGAGAAGACAACATTTATTGGCACAATTTAATATGTAGATTAGTTTCTGCATAAATAGTTTAGAGTTGCGTGATTGGTATATCAAAGAGAGATAAATATAATTTTAGTAGATGCCTTGAAGTTTGGAAAGGTCTTCTGTAAGTGGCATATTTGCTTATTTGCTGTTTAATAGCAAATTCAAGGTCTGATGATGTGACATGTGATAACAGCCTTTAGATGCCTCATCCCAGGCAGCCTCCTGTACCCCTCTGGTCTGCCTTCCCCACTGGTCTGTGCTATCAGCTGCATTATTCAGTTGCCCATTAAGTGGGAATCAAATCTGTGTCATTAAGGAGCCCCAGGTCACAATAAGCCTTCATTACTTTGCTTATAGCAGTGTGGCTTTATTTTGAATTGGACCACTGATTAATACTGTCCAGCTCCTGTTATACTGATGAGATCATTATTTAACCTTACACCTTCTGAGGCTATCAGTTACACATCAGAGAAGCCTTGCCTTGCATTCCCCTTGCCAGAAAAATATTTTCTTTGGGAGTTCCAGAAGCCAACTTTGTCCCAGTTCTTACAACAAAATTTCCTCCTCTCTGCCCCACCTGCAAGGCTGGCCTCACGTAAACAGCCAGCCTTGGTCTCGGCCACCAGGGCCTTTGCAGCAAAGACGTGCCCGGGGGAGAAAAATTCAATTTGTACTTTTCACTCAACTTTATATTTGTGACATGCATCCACAGGCATAATTTATTTACTGTCACTGCTATTTATTTATTTATTTTTAATTTTAATTTTTATTTTTGAGACGGAGTCTCGCTCTGTCGCCCAGGCTGGAGTGCAGTGGCCCAATCTCGGCTCACTGCACGCTCCACCTCCTGGGTTCATGCCTTTCTCCTGCCTCAGCCTCCTGAGTAGCTGGTACTACAGGTGCCCGCCACCACGCCCGGCTAATTTTTTGTATTTTTAGTAGAGACGGAGTTTCACCGTGTTAGCCAGGATGGTCTCATCTCCTGACCTCGCAATCCACCTGCCTCGGCCGCCCAAAGTGCTGGGATTACAGGCGTGAGCCACCGCGCCCGGCCCTAAATATTTATTTTTAATAGTTATGTAACAATTTAATTATCCATTTGCCTATTCACAAACAAATATTGGTGAGTTTTCAGTATTACAATGTTGCCAGGAACACTTGTGTACTTGTCTTCTGGTGCACTTGTGTAAAGACTTCTCCAGGGCATATGTCTATGGGCTGAATTGCTGGTCGCAAGTTATGCACACCTACGGCTTTACTGGATATGGCTGGATTGCTCTCAAAATTATTCCCTTCAGGGACTCAAAGTGGCTACAACAGGTCCAGAAGTCATATTCAAACACTGCAACAGCCAAAAGAAAAGAGACAGTTTCTTCTGGTTCTTCTTAAGAATGAGAGAACCTTTCTCAAATAGCTTCCAACAGACTTTGCTTCAAGACTGTTTGCTGGGATGAAGTCTTACACTCATTCTTAAAGCAGGCATTGGCAAATCAAACCCCATAGACCACCAAGTTTTCTCAACATCGGCACTCTTAACGTTTTGGGGCAGGTAAGTCTTTGTTGAAGTGCTTTCCTGTGCATTGTAGGATGTTAAACATCATCCCTGGCTTCTACCCATGAGATGCCAGTAGCACCTCCCCAGATATGACAACTAAAAACGTTGCTAGATATTGCCAATGTCACCTTAGTAGGGGAGGGGAATAGCCTCTCATGAAGAACCACTGGCTTAGTCTGATTATTTGGTAAGGAATAGATGGTGGGAATTCAACCACTGTGACCACTACAGACCCTGTGCTGGGTCAGTGCAGGATGCAAATGAACCTTCCGGAACCCTGTGTTAAAATGCCTCCACATTGAACACCACTGCTTCTGCTAAATACTTCTTCCTAGGAAGTGTTAGATCCGTAGCTGTTTCTGCTTTTAGCCTGGCAGAGGATTAATTCCAGAATCTAGTGAGTGGCAGAAGGTACTCACAGCAATGAAACCACTTCAATTGTGCAGCTGTAGGACAGCAAGCTACTCAAGTCATCACAATATAGGCCTTGATTTCATTTTCAGGTCAAAATGTGATTGAAAATCAGGTCCTTATTTCCCTTTAGGTCCTGGACTCTTTTACATTCTTTTCTTCCAAGTTTCTTTAGAGAGCCTTGAAAATATTGCTGAATGTCAAAACAAGATGTTCCCAGTTCCCCGCCCCCCCGCCACCCTCCTAATTTATATATAGCATGGGCTAATTTTCAGTCTTCTGTTTCAGTGACAGTGACATCCTGTTCCTAACAGGTGGCAGAGTTACAGTCAGCTTCTTTGCAGTTATGGAACCATTATTTTAGGGCATATCCAGCCCTCCTAATTTATTTTATTAAATGAGGAGAAGACTCATCCCAGGGGGCTGTCATAGCAGGTAGGTGAACTTTGGCTACCTTGGCTTCTTGTGTCCCCTGGGCTTGCATATACTTGTAAACTCTGGGGAAGACTATTTGCTCCAGATGACACTGAATGGGGAACCCTCACATAGATCATTCCAGCTCTTCTCTCTGAGTGCCCTCCCTGATCATACTGAGGATTCCAAACACTCATATTCAGCACAAGCTGCAGTAGATACTTTTTTAAGAGGCAAAGGACCCACTCTTACATGCACACACAATCCTCCCCTTTTTTCTCCCACTCCTCACACTAGCCCAAGTCAAGATGTTTCTGAGCTCCTGCTGTATTCCCAGCCCTGTGCTCTGGGAGTAAGATTTGGTCTCGGCTCTCAAGGAACTCATGGAGCGGAGGGAGAGACCCCTGATGACAGTGCAAGGCAAGATTCATCAAATACGAAAAGCAGGTGCTATGGGCATCTTGAGGAAGGAGAGCTCCATGCCTGGGGTTCCCGGAACCAATGCTGGGAGTGGTTGAAAGAGAAACGGATTTGGGACTGATGGGTTTAACTCACAGCACTCCCTCCTCCAGCTTTGTGAATATATTAGTCCGTTCTCATACTGCTATAAAGATACTACCTGAGACTGGGTAATTTATAAACAAAAGAGGTGTAATTGGCTCACAGTTCTGCATGGCTAGAGGGCCTCAGGAAACTTACAATCATGGCAGAAGGTGAAGCAAGGCACCTTATTCACAAGGCGACAGGAGAAGGACAGCGCAGGAGAAACTGCCACTTTTAAACCATTAGATCTCACAAGAACTCCCTCACTATCACGAGAACAGTATGGGGGAAAACTGCCCCCATGATCCAATCATCTCCCATCAGGTCCCTCCCAAGACACCTGGGGATTACAATTTGAGATGAGACTGTGGTGGGGACACAGAGCCAAACCGTATAAGTGATCCTGAATGGAGTAGTTGGTGGTCATTTGACATTTTGATCCTTCTTTTTCTCATGTGCAAAGTGGGAACAGTAACACTTATTCATAAGGCTGATGTGTGGATGAAATGAAGTAATGGTTGTTAAAGTTCCCATTATGGTACTAGCTCAATAAAGTGATGTTCTGTTTAAAATATGAAGATGAGGAGTTCCCTACCCCTGGGAAAATTCACGAAGTAGTTTGGCAGTGTGAGTAATGCCCATAATAATTACTAACACTTCTTCAACACTTAATCATGTGCCAGGCACTATACTTACTGGTTCATTCATGCATTCTATAAATATTTACTAAGGACCTACTGCACGTTAGAGACACATCTAGGAGTTGAAGACAGAGCAGAGAACAAGACACTCAAAGCCCCTGTCCTTACCGCCCTTACAGTCTGGTGCTAGAGACAATTTACAAATTGCTGTTTCAGGAGTAATAAGCAAGTATGAGAAAACTAAAGCAGTGTAACATGGCAGAGGGGGTCCAGTGGTACTATTTTAAGGTGAGGTATCCAGGGGGTGAGAGATGTACCAGAAGTGAGATGGGTGAAGTACGCAGATATCAGGAGAATGATATCCAGCTCAGGGAGCACAAGGTTGTGGAGACAGCAAGGTGTCCCCTGAGCTGGAGGCAGTCAGGCCAGCGTGGCTAAGGCAGAAAAAGCAATGGTGAGAGAAGAGGGAGATGAGGCTGGAGAGGCAGCCAGGGGCCAGATAGGTGGGATGTTTTGGCCTTGGTAAGGACAGTGGATTCTACTGTAAATGTGGGAGACCATTAGAAGATTGGAAGTAGAGGCTCATGGGCTGGCTAGTAATTTCAAAGTGTCCCTCTGGCAGCAGTAAAGGGATTAAGGGTGGGCGCAGGGAGAGTGGAAATGTCCAGTGCACAATCCAGGTGACCGGCTACTGGCTTGGACTAGGGTTGTGATAGGAGAGGCGAGAAGAGGTCCAGTCTCCTGTGGGATTGGATGTGGGGTGTGAGCAAAAGAGAGGAGGCAAAGGTTTTGGCCAGAGTAGCTGGGTGAACAACAGTGCCACTAACCAGTAAGAGGAACCATCAGGGAAGAGCAGGTTTGGGAAGTGGAGAATCAAGGTTTCCATACTGCCACAATAAACTTAAGATTCTGTTAGACATAAAGATGTTGTGTAGGTGGTTGGAGATATGAAATGAGTTCAGTTAATATGTGGTCACATATAAACTACTTAGTCCTCTTAAACTAAGGTACGTACTCCTATTATGCTCATTTTATAGATGAGGAAACTGAGGCACAGCTTAAGAAAATTGAAACCCTTTGGTCCTTTCAGGACAAGGAGACATGGTTCATGAATGGAGCAGGTGGAAGAAGATGAAGGTTGTCCCCATCAAGTTACTGGAGACACCAGTTGGAGCAAAGCAGTGACTATTTTAGATGCTGACTCCAAAAAAGTAAGGGCACAGATAGGACTCATATGTTGGAGGTGAGGCCTGAAGGGAGGTGTTAGGGCCATGAGGGTGGACCCCCTCATGAATGGCTCAGTGCCATCCTCATAGCAATAAGTGAGTTTTCACTCTACTAGTGCCCATGAGAGCTGATTGTTAAAAGGGAGCCTGGCATCTCCCCACCTGCCTTCTCTCTCACCTTGTTGTGATTTGCACATACTGGTGCCCCTTCCTCTTCCACCATGAGTGGAAGCAGCCTGAAGCCATCACCAGAAGCAAATGCAGGTGCCTTGCTTCTTGTACAGGCTGCAGAACTGCAAGCCAAAGTAACCTCTTTCTTTATAAATTACCCAGCCTCAAGTATTCCTTTGTAGTAACACAAGTGTTCTAAGAAACTCCCCAACGCACAGCGTTTTTCAGGACTTAACATTGCCACCTAGCCCGCCAACGATCTTTACCACCTCTCCAACGCCTTTCTCCTCTGTGGGTTCTGGGAAGGACCTGTTTACTGGGATGGCAGCCAAGAGGAGAAGGGAGAAGAGCTGTGCGATGGTCTCCATGGCCAAAATCCCCTAGAATGAGAAGCATTTTCTAAGATCCAGAAGCCCATGACAGCACTGTCTACTTTAAGGCAAGCTGTCCCAAGAAAAGCAGGTAAGCTCATTAGTGAGGAGCTGGGTCTTCCTCAATATCTATATTCCTTCCTCAAGGTCTTTATTCCCTGTTTAGGAAGAAATTCAAACCTGCTCAGCCCTGGCATCTCCCACCGGCATCTCCCAGATGCCTGAGCAGGTCTGTGGCACTAAACTCACAGGAGCGAATAGTAGAAGAAATACGTCTTCCATCCTGCCCAAGCTCTGAAACCACCTTTTGTGTTTCCTATAAATGTATTCACTCTTTTCACTGGACAACCATGGAAACCAGTAGCAAAGGCATTTTGTTAAGTTCTAACTCAAAAAGCTTAATCACATTTTGGCAGCTTTTCTCTATGACACAGACGCATAAACTTCATTCTCTCCCCTTTTGCCCCTCAGCTTTGGGTATTAGGCATGTCTTAATAGACCAGCACAGCAGTTTAAAAGGAGAAAGTGTAAGCTTCCTGATACATTGGTTAACTCTGCTTCCATTCCTTTTGCAAACTTCTCAGCATTTTCCGAGAGCAACCATCTTCCATGGATCGATATCTCCCTTTGGATCTGGAATCAGTAAGAGAGAGAACCTGTGAAATGCCATTCCTGAATAAAATATGGAAAGAGTTCATTCTGATTTTACTCATTTTTTACCATGCCAACTTCTCTCACATGTTGGAAGGATGTGTGCCCATGAAGGGGGGCTGATCAGGGGAGGAAAAGCAGGGAAGCCATCAAGACTGTGGAGGAATCAGAGCAGAGCAACGACTGTACAAAGAAGCAGCCAGCAAGCTGAGGCCAAGAAGGTCTGGCCCAGGCCAGACCAAGCAATAAAACCTGAAGGAAGGACTCTCTGTAGGGCAGTGGGACAGGGGGCAGATGTGATGGCGCAGAACAGAATGGCGAAGTTTCTGAGCCAGGCAATTTCAAGAAATCTGTAACAGAGGGACAAAGAATGAAAGGGAGAAGGAGCTATCCAGGAGAACAGGGCTAGTAGGAAGAATGTAAGAAATCTAGCAGGCTGGTGGCCAAGCAGTGGTGTGCTAGAATCTATTCATATTAGTACTGGCTCATGAGAGCCCATTGTTACATTTTCAGGATTTTTGTGAGCCACTTGACATTAGGTTGGTTGCTGGAAATTGGCTATGTCGTATTCATACTACAGAAATTGATAAATGCTACAAATCCGGGTGCCCACCCACCTCTTGAAGCTCTCAATGGCCAGTTGTTAAAATTTACCAGCACACCACTGGCTGCCAAACTCCTAGGCTCCAGTGGCTTAAAATCCCAACGATCTAAGAGATCCAACTTGAGAGGTGAACTGGACAGCCTAGCCCCACCCCTTCTCTCCTCCTTGTGCTCTGAAGGGGCTGTGCCCAAGAGCATCAGAGAGGAAACTGCGATATGCCACCCACAGCCCCTGGGTGGGGACTCCCTGTAAAAGAGTAGTGATCACAGCCTAGACTAGAGTTCTCAAAGTGGGGTCTCCAGACCACCAGCAGCAACATCACCTGGGAACTTGTGAGAAATGCAGATTCTCAGGCTCCTCTCCAGGCCTGCTGAATCAGGAACTCTTGGAGTAAGGCCAAGAAATCTGTGTTTTAACAAGCCCCACAAGCAATACTGATGCTTGCCTGATTTCGAGAATCATCGGGCGAGGTTGTGGTAATGATAGTTGGGTCCAATTTGTGAACTAAGACAAAAATTTAAAAATGTATCACTGTGTCACAGTAAAGAGGATTGGAAAGATGGTGGGAGGTGGGTGCAAGATGGCCCAGCAAATGGTTCAGGATGAAGTCTTGAATTATGCAAAGGATTGGCAGGCTTTATGATCCCAGGTTGGGGAGGAGCTGATTAAGACCTGTGCTGGATAAAAACAGACACACAGACCCAGTGGAATAGAATAGAGAATCCAGGAACAAATTCATACATCTACTGTGAACTCATTTCCAACAACAGTGCCAAGAACATACATTGGGGAAAGGACAGTCTCTTCAACAAATGGTGCTGGGAAAACTGGATATCCATGTGCAGAGGAACTAAACCAAACCCCTACCTCTCACTGTATACAAAAATCAAATCAAAATGGCTTACAGACTTAAATCTAAGATCTCAAACTGTGAAACTACTATAAGAAAACATTGTGAAAACTCTCCAGGACATTGGACTGGGCAAAGATTTCTTGAATAATACCCCACAAGCACAGGCAACCAAAACAAAAATGGACAAATGGGATCACACCAAGTTAAAAAGCTTCTGCACAGCAAAGAAAACAATCAATAAAGTGAAGAGACAACCCACAGAATGAAAGAAAATATTTGCAAACTACCCACCTGGGTATCAATAACAGAATGTATAGGGAGTTCAAAAAACTCTACAGGAAAAAATGTAATAATCCAATTTTAAAATGAGCAAAAGATCTAAAAAGGCATTTTTCAAAAGAAGACATACAAACGGTAGGTATGTATATGGAAAGGTGTTCAACACCATTGATCACCAGAGAAATGCAAATCAAAACTATAATGAGATATTGTCTCACCCCAGTTAAGATGGCTTTTATTCAAAAGACAGGCAACAGCAAATGCTGGTGAGGATGTGGAGAAAAGGGAATCATCATCCACTATTGGTGGAAATGTAAATTAATACAACCATTATGGAGAACAGTTTGAAGCTTCCTCCAAAAATTGAAGATATAGCTACCATATATATGATCTAGCAATCCCACTGCTGGGTGTAAGCCCAAAGGAAAGGAAATCAGTATACTGAAGAGATATCTGCACTCTTATGTTTATTGCAGCACTACTCACAATAGCCAAGATTTGTAAGCAACCTAAGTGTCCATCAATACATTAATGGATAAAGAAAATATGGTACATATACACAATGGAGTACTACTCAGCCATAAAAAAGAACGATATTCTGTCATTTGCAACAACATGGACGGAACTTGAGATCATTATGTCAAGTGAAATAAGCCAGTCACAGAAAGACAAATTTCACATATTCTCACTTATTTATGGGAGCTAAAAATAAAACAATTGGGCCTGATGTGGTGGCTCATACCTGTAATCCTAGCACTTTGGGAGGCCAAGGCGGGTGGATCACTTGAAGTCAGGAGTCCAAAACCAACCTGGCCAACATGATGAAACTCCATCTCTACTAAAAATACAAAAAAATTAGCTGGGCGTAGTGGCAGGTGCCTGTAATCCCAGGTACTCGAGAGGCTGAGGCAGGAGAATTGCTTGAACCCAGGAGGCGGAGGTTGCAGTGAGCTGAGATTGTGCCACTGCACTCCAGCCTGGGTGACAGAGTGAGGCTCTGTCTCAATAAATAAATAAATAAATAAATAAATAAATAAATAAATAAATAAAACAATGGAACTCATGGAGATAGAGAGTAGAACAACGGTTACCGGAGGCTAGGAAGGGTGGAGCAGGGGGTTGGAAGAAAGTGGGAATGGTTAATGGGTCCAAAATAGTTAGAAAGAATGAATAAGACCTAGTATTTGCTAGCACACAGGGTGAAAACAAGGATTTATTGTAAATTTAAAAATAACTAAACGAGTATAATTGGATTATTTGTAACACAAAGTAAGAATAAATGCTTGAGGTGAGGATACTCCATTTACCCTGATGTGATTATTACACATTGTATGCCTGTATCAAAATATTTCATGTACCGCATAAATATATACACTTAATATGTACTTATAAAAATTAAAAATTAAAAAAAAAGACTTGTTCCGGACCTTAGTGATTCCTATGTATTATTCAACACCATGTACCACGGCGAAGTTTGCAACATCTACACACCCATCTATTTATTGATTCATTCATTCATTGAACAATTATCCTGAGGGAGCACAACTATTCAAGGATCCTGTGCTTTGCAAAAACAGGAGTGAATAAGTCACGTTCCCTACTCATAAATAGCTCATATTTCTAGAGGAGAAACAGTTGGGCAAAATATAATTACAATGCCCTAGCTACCTGACCCTAGCTAGGAAGGCTTTCATTTAAACTATATCATTTAGTTTTTATAAATAATCCAGTCAGCTATGACTTACTCCATTATATAGAGAAGAAAACAAAAGCTCAGGGAGGTGAAGTGACTTTTCTAAGGACACACAGTCTTTAAATATCAGAGCCAGGCTTGAATTCAGGTTTTCCAAAGCTAATTCCAGCTCCGTGTTCTCTGTATAACTGAGGCCTAAAAGATTGAACAGTTCCAGTTTTGCCCAGTGTTTTCCCCATGGTTTGTAGCAATTATAAAAATAGATATCACACAAGACCATGCTGAACCTTTCCTTTTTGTCTAAGTACTTCCTAAAGGAACAGTCCTGCCATGTGTCATTAAAGCAGGAGTTCTCAATGGGCACAGTGGTTCACGCCTGTAATCCCAGCACTTTGAGAGGCTGAGGCAGGCAGATCACGAGGTCCAGAGATCAAGACCATGCTGGCCAAGATGGTGAAACCCCGTCTCTACTAAAAATACAAAAATTAGCTGGGCGTGTTGGTGCTTGCCTATAATCCCAGCTACTCAGGGGACTGAGGCAGGAGAATCGCTTGAACCTGGGAGGTGGCGGTTGCAGTGAGCCGAGATTGAGCCACTGCAGTTCAGCCTGGAGACAGAGTGACACTCCATCAAAAAAAAAAAAAAAGGAGTTATCTTTTTGAAAAATGCAAAGAAGAAATGAGAATTTGTTTTCAAAATTAAATTCAGAGTGATAAATTCCTCTCCTGGGACCCAATTCCATGAGCCTGTGGCCTGGCATTCTTTCCTTGGACTTATATGTAAAGACAGGGATACCTTCTACCTGTATTTTTCTGCGGTTGGCATGATTTCGGAAGTAACTATTAACAACACAGTGGTACGCTTCAACAGTAGAATTGTATACTTATGCAGATTTATGAGAGATTTTTGTTCTGTTAAAATTTCTTTTCTGAGGCAGTGTAATGGGAACACGTGCCAGATGGACTCAAGATGGTCTTATCTGATATCTATTAATATTACTGTTGCAACCCACAGGAAAGGCACTGGGTGGAGTTGGCTGACCCTGTCATGTGAAGCATGAGGCTTGCTATTGCCTACTTTAGCAGAGTGATGTGCAAGGGATGCCTGACACCAACTCACCCCAGCCTTGGTGAAGCGTTTACATTACTAGTCTATTTATAATAAAAAGCTCTGGCTGTGCCACTGAGGTCCTTTAGGAAAATAGCAACCCAAAGAGTTTATGCAAAATAATATCCTTATTTGCTTATTGGGCTAAAATGTGTCAAGGACAAGACTTTGGAAATAGGATGCACATGAATCCCAGCCCAAACCTTTTACCAGCTGTGTGACCCTGGGCAGACTTTGATTTCCATAAATGCAAGAGGGCAATAATAAAATATACTTTTCCAGGTAATCAGGAGTGTTAGCAATAATGTTCATAAATAACATAAAGTTCCAGGAGAAGAGTGGATGCTCAATAAGTGGTTACTCTTGTTTTCAAGATTTCCCCCCATGAAGTTACCTAAGAAGCGTAACATTTCCTCCAATGAATAATATGTGTGATGCATCGATCACAATGGATATATGTTGTTTAGAGTCAACCTTTTTTTGTTTTGGAACCTATCTTAAACTATGCTGGCAAACTTAAAAATTCAGCTAACATTTGGCCTAGAAAAAGGTAGAAAGGTTATGTTATGCCCCATTAAAAAAAATGCCAGTATGGTATTTTTCTCATTTTTACATGATGGTCTCTTATTCTGCATCAGTGATAATGAAGACTTTTTAATTATCAATAATTTTTCATTAAATATTGCCAAGCTGTTGCTAATTTTCTTTGGTGAACACTAGCAAAATATTTGCCTGGATGACAGTACTTGAGAATTATCCAAGTCCAAGAACACAGAATAATGGGAAACTAGGCCCTTCCTTTCTAATTTCCAGGGCTGTTTCTAGAACAGCACTTTCTTCTACAGCAGGCTCTCCAAGGACACCAATTTGGGCAAAATCAGGCACATCATTGCAAACCTGAGTGTGGAGACTTGCTCACTTGGCATTTACTGGAAAAAAAAAAAAAAAGAACTTCCACGTGCCACGGGCATTTAAATGCTTGCTAGACCTTGCGGTTGCAGAGGGGAGTCAACAGGACTCCTGCCTCCAAGGATTCTCAGTGGGCTGAGGTCTGCAGGCATGCATTGAATCCCACAGCGCAGAAAAAACTCCAACAAGTTATGAGCTTGTGTGATGCGGGAAGAAAGAACAGTTCTTGTAATGACACAAAGATAGAGGAGGCCACCTATCTGACAACTCAAATCTAATTTCATTATAAAAGTCACTTATTTCATAATGAAGTCAAAACTTCTGTTGCGTATGTATTTGTCTCAACAAACTCTTTGGTTGTAAGTAAAGGGCAACAATTCAGGGGACTTAAGGACTAAAATTCGGAATGGACTCAAGAATGCTTTGTGAAGCCTTGAGGCTTAAGTGACCGGACCTCTCAAGGGAGGTAGTCACAGTCAGAAAGCCCTCAGCTATCTGAGCAGTCCTCATACCTCACCTCTGTTTCTCTGTGTCTGTTTCATTCTTGTCTTTCTTCCACCTGTCCTACTCTGCCTTTCTAGGTGAAGCACAGAAAACAGTTGCCTCACAGCATCTAAGTATGTCTTCCCTAAATCCAATCAGCTAAGGGCTCTGTGTCTGGACCTTGTGGAACCAAGAGGCAGCTGCAGCCCACCCAGCTGGTGAGGGAAGTTCTTAGGGAAAGTGAGTCATCCCCCATTGTTAAAGCACTGGATTGGGACTGTTCATAAGGTAAATAACCCAAGTTGCACACATAGCTATGGAAATGGTAGGTCAGAGGGAGAAGGTTCGGCTTCAGATTGGAAAGAGAGGAATGTTTGTAGAAGAAATGAAAATCAATTGAGCATGGAAAGAAAGTTTTAACCAGCATAGTGAAGCAGCATCATTGTCTGGGGTAAATACCTGGGATTCGTTGTTTCACGGCCAAGGAAAACTAGGACACAGACACACAGAGGGTAAGGTTCAGAGTGGAAGTTTAATAGGCGAAAGAAAGAGCTCTCTTGCTACAGAGAGGGGTCCCAGAGAAAATGGTTGCCGCGTCCGCAATGAAATGCAGGTTTTATAGATGAGCTTGAGGGGGTAGTGTCCGATTTACATAAGGCATGAAAGACTGGTTGCACCAGGTGTGCTATTTGCATAGTGCGTGTAAAAGCTGGCCGCCCCACCATAATTTTTTACTATGCAGATGGGTTCGCTGCCCGGCTGGTGCCATGTTGCCTGGTTCTTTTCTGTACACGTGGTGACAAAGAAGGGGGAAGATGGAGCCTCCATGTTGAACATGCCTGGCCTTCAGGTAGCCCTTTCCTATTGGCACAGCTGCCGGCACATTCACATGTGCAAGCTTCCAGCTTGCTTATTTATGTCTGCAGCTCGTTTTTTCAGGCTGCTCTTTGTTAGAAAAGAAGTGATTTGGGGGCTGTTTTTATTAAAACGGAAAATCTGCCGAGGACTCTGTTGCCCTTACTATCTGCTTAAATAATTTCTTTCTACCTCCTGTTATCAGTAGGGATGAGGGGGCGGGGGTGGGGAGTTGGGGGGAAACCCAGACCCAAAGAGTGAAGAGAAGTCTAAGGAATAATCAGACAGTAACCGCTAAGACCAAAAGCAAGACAGAATTAGGTGCCAGGAATTAACTGAGGCAAGCAGTTCAGAACAAAACCTGGAGTGAGTTTGTCCTGAAGTTTCCCTGTGGGAAGTACATAAGGAAAGCTATGGTCCTTCCGAGATGGTGGCTGTGTGGAGCTACTTGGTCTCCATTTCCCAGGCGCATCTTCAATTAACCACTCACATCCTAACCCCATAATGGCATCTCATTCTTATTCTGGCTAGTTAACATCTATTGAGCAGTTAACCATGCACCAGGCACTGTGCTATCTATATTACTTGAAATGATTTCCCCAATAGTGCAGTGAAATAGGTGTCTTTATTTACATTTTACATATGAGGAAACTGAGGTTTACGTGAAGCAAATCGCTTAGGGGCACATAGCAAGTAAGCCACAGGTGCAGCTTTGTGCGACAGACACTAAGACCTGTTTCTGCAATTACTATAGTGTCTATCCTCCACGTATTCTATCTTTGATTTGTCAACTAGATTGTCACAAAACTAGCACCCGATACATCTAATTTTCTGCCTCCCTTAAGAAAATAACTTATAATTCCAGACCACCTTCACTGATTGGGGGAAGAAGCTGAGGGTGATGAATTCATGCAAATTCTGGGGAAAAGTCTAATATAAAATAAAAGACAGGCCAAGCCTCAAAAAACCTCCATCAGGTTTTGTTGTTGTTGTTGTTTGCCTACTTTATGTTTTTTGGGTTCTGAGCTCTTGAAATTGCAATGGCTGCCTGTTTTCATTTGCAAAACTTCTCACCGTAGCATTACAGCTTTGGTAAGTGCTTTTGAAAGCAAAAGAGCATATATATTTAGCAGAGAAGGTCAAAAAGAAGTCTCTAAATAGAAAAATATGTGTGCTTAAACTTTTGTCTCATTTAAATATGAAGATAAATTTAAGCACTCTTTGGTATCCACAATTCCAACCTCATAAATTAGAAGCAACCATAGTAAATGCATCCAGCAGGATTTAAGCTATCCTTTTATTTCCCCTAATTATAAAGCACGGGGCTGAAAACATTCGCGCTGATTTACTCAATTTCCTATTGTCAAGTTCTATGTCTACACTTGATGTGATTATGTTAATGCGCTAATTAAGTTTGGTGTCCTTTACATACGTTCTGCTTCCAGCAAAATAAGAAAATGCTAAGAGAAGTATGTTTTCCTTGAATGTGGTCTGGAATAAATAGGGCAAATGCCCTGTGAGAGCAGAAAATATTATCTTTTGGGTTGAGCTGCCTTAGATACAATTTAATTTGAATGCTTGAACATATTTATGAGGTGCAAGAAGCAAATAGAAAAGAGCATTCAAGCTGTGTAGTGTGCCTTGCTTTCACCATTAGAGCTGAAACGATGGTGAATGTTCTCATATGTGAGCCAGAGTGTTTTGGGGGACACTACAGGGAGCAAAAGTCAAGAATATGCTGCTTGTATATTTCACCCAAGGGCACCTTTAACTCAAATTTATATCTTGTTCTATTTTTTTTCTGACTCGATTTATGCAGACATTTTCATTATTTTGCAGGTTGATATTCCTTCTGATTTTCAACTCTAGAAAAAGGACTGGGGCCCAGGTCTTATCTGTGATAATGCATATTCTTAAAAGAGACAAAAAGAGTCAATTGTTTCCCTTTGCAAATTAAAATATGACACGATATTTTGTTAATACTTAAATTTTAAATTTCATGTTATTGAAAGAGCTCTTTCAGATTTATTTAGATGTAGATTTTTATCATGTGACACTCAAGCATATATTAGTTAAGCTTTTCCTAAAATTGGATCATAGTCAGAGTCTTTCTTCTGAATCACTTACAACTCAGAGTCAATGTACATGTTTTTCTTCACACTTTCATCCTCTGGACTAGATGTTGAAGCATTTCTCATATTTGTCCCAATGCTGCCTCCAGGACGTTCTGCAAGTCTCGATGCTGAACTTTCTTGATCTTATTAGAAGGGTCATCCAAAGGTTTTTAGTCTATGTTGTGCATGCAGAGCATAGCAATTATGCCAATATGACAATGACTGTGAAACACTACTGACTGTAAGCCACCTCCTGATTTCAGAGAGAACCCTAGAATCCATGAAATACCGTAAATCCATAGCAGCAATCCTCCTAGGGTTGTTGTGAGAAATATCCTGGAATAGTGCCTAACACTTAGTAAGCATTCAATAAGTGATAGCTGTCAGCAATACTACTCTAACTTGTTGTGATGGCTCTGTATATGTAAATTATTGAATAATTAGGGTAATAAATTATACCCATAAATTATACCCAGGCTTTAGTTAAACAGGTATTTCAGGAATGTGTGCCTGTTTGGTCTCAAACAATGGGAAAGGATCTCCTATTCAGTAAATGGTGCTGGGAAAACTGGCTAGCCATATGCAGAAAACTGATACCGGACCCCTTCATTACACCTTATACAAAAATTAACTCAAGATGGATTAAAGACTTAAATGTAAAACTCAAAACCCTAAAAACCCTAGAAGAAAACCTAGGCAACACCATTCAGGACATAGGCATGGGTAAAGGCTTCATGACAAAAATGCCAAAAGCAATTGCAACAAAAGCCAAAATTGACAAATGGGATCTAATGAACTAAAGAGTTTCTACACAGCAAAAGAAACTATCATCAGCTTCAACAGGCAACCTATAGAATGGGAGAAAAATTTTTCGATCTACCCATCTGACAAAGGTCTAATATCCAGAATTTACAAGGAGCTTAAACATATTTGCAATAAAAAAAACCAACAACCCCATCAAAAAGTGGGCAAAGGAGGCTGGGCACAGTGGCTCACACCTGTAATCCCAGCACTCTGGGAGGCCGAGGCGGGCGGATCAGCTGAGGTCAGGAATTTGAGACCAGCCTGGCCAACACTGTGAAACCTCGTCTCTACTAAAATACAAAAAAATTAGCCAGGGGTGGTGGCGTATGGCAGCAGTCCCAGCTACTCGGGAGGCTGAGGCAGGGGAATTGCTTGAACCTGGGAGGCAGAGGTTGCAGTAAGCTGAGATTGCGCCACTGCACTCCAGCCTGGTGACACAGCGAGACTCCGTATGAAAACAAAATAAAACAACCAACCAAACAAAAAACTAAGAAATTAGCCGGGCATGGTGGCAGGCACCTGTAATCCCAGCCACTTGGGAGGCTGAGACAGGAGAATCGCTTGAACCCAGGAGACAGAGGTTGCAGTGAGCCAAGATTGCACCACTGCACTCCAGCCTGGGTGACAGAGTGAGACTCCATCTTAAAAAAAATAATAAAATAAATAAACAAATAAATTAATTAATAAAGTGGGTAAAGGATATGAACAGACACTTCTCAAAAGAAGATATTTATGTGGCCAATAAACACATGGAAAAAAGCTCAACATCACTGATCATCAAAGAAATGCAAATCAAAACCACAATGAGATCTCACGCCAGTCAGAATGGCGATTATTAAAAAGTCAGGAAACAATAGATGCTGGTGAGGCTATGGAGAAATAGGATTGCTTTTATGCTGTTGGTAGGAATGTAAATTAGTTCAACCTTTGTGGAAGACAGTATGGTGATCCCTCAAGGATCTAGAACCAGAAATACTATTTGACCCAGCAATCCCATTAATGGGTATATACCCAAAGGAATACAAATCATTCTACTATAAAGACACATGCACACGTATGTTTATTGCAGCACTATTTACAACAGCAAAGACATGGAACCAACCTAAATGCTCATCAGTGATAGACTGGATAAAGAAAATGTGGTACATATACACCATGGAATACTATGCAGCCATAAAAAGGAATGAGATCATGTCCTTTGCAGGGACATGGATGAAGCTGAAAGCCATCATCTTCAGCAAACTAACACAGGAACAGAAAATCACACGCACACATATGTTTATTGCAGCACTATTTACAACAGCAAAGACATGGAACCAACCTAAATGTCCATCAATGATAGACTGAATAAAGAAAATGTGGTACATATACACCATGGAATACTATGCAGCCATAAAAAGGAATGAGACCATGTCCTTTGCAGGGACATGGATGAAGCTGGAAGCCATCATCCTTAGCAAACTAACACAGGAACAGAAAACTAAACACTGCATGTTCTCACTCATAAGTGGCTGCTGAATATTGAGAACTCATGGACGCAGAGCGGGGGACAACACACACAAGGGCTTGTTGGGGGTTGGGGGATGAGGGGAGGGAACTGACGGGTCAATAGGTGCAGCAAACCACCATGGCACATGGTTACCTATGTAACAAACCTGTACGTTCTGCACATGTATCCCATTTTTTTTTCGAAGAAATAAAGAAAAAGCTAATCTGAAAAGTCTACATACTGTATGGTTCTAAACTATATAACATCCCACAAAAGGCAAAACTACCGGGATAGTAAAAAATTAGTGGTTTCCAGGGATTGGTAGGGAAGGAGGGATGAATAGATGGAGCAAAGAGAATTTTTAGGGTAGTGAAACTATTCTTTATGATACTATAAAAGTGGATACATATCATTATACATTTATCCAACCCCATGGAATGTACATCACAAATGTAAACCCTGATGTAAATTGTGGACTTTGGATGAAAACGATGTGTCAATGTAGGTTTATTGACTATAACAAATGTACTAGTCTGATGAGACATGTTGATAGTCAGGAGGCTGTGTGTGTGGAGGGGTAGGGGGTATGTGGGAACGCTGTACTTTTCACTAAATTTTGCTGTGAACCTAAAACTGCTCTAAAATAATATCTTTTAAAAGCAGAAACATTTCTAGATTAAAGAGACATAAAGTCATGACAATGAAATATAACATGTGATCCTGGGTTGGACCCTGAACAAGGATTCTTTTTTTCCATACAGCACAATTTTGGGATAATTGGGAAAAAATGAATAAGGTTTGTAGCTTAGATAATTATATCGATGATAATTTCTTGATTTGATAATTATAATATGGTTATATAAGAGGGAGCCCTTTTTCTCAGGAAATACACAGAAGTATTTAGCAGAAAGGACTCTGTCTCCAGTTAGTCTCAAATGGTTAGGAAACAACAATATTGGTATATATATATAGATATAAATATGTATAGAGAGAGAAGAAATGATAAAGCAAATGTGGCAAAATGCTAACAGTTGGGGTGAAAGGCTTATGATAGTTCTTTCTACTATTTTTGCAACTCTATTGAAAGCCTGAAATTATTTCAAAATAAAAAATATGAATAATTGGGAAAACAAACCACTTCAAAGAAAATAAAAAGTACATGAAGAGTATTAAACTCATTTTGAACCAATGATAGCATTCTAAATTCCATTCTGAACGCTTTTGTTATTGACATGCACACTCGTAGAATTATAGTCTTAGTGTTCGCTTCTTTCTTTCTGCTTTCTTTTAAACTCAACATTATTTCATGTAAACAATCTCTGCATTGACAGAGTGCAAAGACCTGCTACTTTCTAGGGACGTTTTAGGATCCCACCACTTGGCTGGGCCTTGGTAGCTTATGAATTATTTTTTTTTTGTTATTTATCAATTCCTAGCATGTTTATCTTATTCTACAAAAAATAGTGTCAGAGCTAGTATTGTTATTAACTGTAAAAAGCCTACTCACCTCACCTACCCCAACCCCTTGTTCTCGCATCCTGTAGCATCATAAGATGCAATCACCTACCAGTGAAAGCACAATGATGAGTTCTCAGAGTGGTTAGCCTGCTGGCTCCTGCATTGTTAGTCTATGCAGATACCTGATTTTGAATCTTGACCATGTTTGCGACTAGCTGTATGATCTTAGGCAAGTTATCGAGTCTCTCTAAGCCTCTGTTTCCGTTTATTTCATTTACTTAAGTCTTTCTCAAAAGTTTGAATGTAGATCTTGCTCTATATGTGAATCCTGAATACCTTACTCTATTTTTTGTTTCCCCTATTTACAGAGAACTTCCTCAATCTCATTCCAATTTACTTCACTAAGTTAGCAAGAGAAGTTACATATCAAGTTTCTGTGTTAAAATGGGATAACATTATCAGTGGAGAGAGCTCTAGTTTGCATAAATTAATACTTTAAGATTGACTGAGCAAGAATTTTGGAGTCAGATTTGTCTGTATTCACATATTTATCTATGTCACTTATCAGCTATGTGACCTTAGGCAAATTCCTCTTTAACTCTGTAAGTATCAGTCACCAGATCTATAGAATGAAAATAATATTAACTACATTAAAGAGTTACTTTAAAGGGTTAAATGAAATCTATATAAAACAATTTTGCAATATTTTAGACACTTTGTAGATATAGACATAGTTTGTATATATATATATATATATATATATATATATATATATATATGCACATATATATAGACGTTGACCTAAATACTCACATAAAAATAAATATGATATAGTTATTTACAGATTAAAATTGGAAATCAGTGAGACAAAGATGCTCTCTAGAAAGGTCAGGGGCTGCTCAGCATCACCCTGGGGCATGACTACTCCCCTTGGTCTGGAACCTTGGTTTTTCTTTTTAGCTCAAGCAGAGCTCATCAGGTCCTGAGGGACAGACTGAACTGATCAAATATCAGTTTATTTTTAATAGGGAGCAAAAATGGCAAGTACACTACAGTGAACCTGTGGGCTGATCTGCTCATTACCTTTTAGAGGAAAGTCTCCTTAGGAAGCCAGATTATCCTCTGAAGGTTGCTGGGGCAGGGTGGGGTGTGTGTATGTACACATGTGAAGTATAGGCCAGAAGTGGAGTGACGGGGGATTAGAAACATGGCCTTGTGGCCAATATCACTGAGTCATACATAACAGCCTAATGTGCCCCCATCAAGGAGAAGAACTGGCAGCATGATTAGGGAACTACTTGAGTCCTGGACACATCTTGTTTCTTGACGAGGCTCCTCATAGACCATTCCTTGCTATTGACAAAGAAGTTCTTGTGTATCATTGCTTGTTATTTTGTTTTTCTCCAAAATGTTACTTGTAACAAGTCTTTATTCTTCCCCCTCTCCTCCAATACACATTCATCTTTAGCAGGTCTTGTTAGATTTTCTAGCTCTTTTTTTTTTTTTTTTTGCATTTGACCCAAAAAAGATATTCTTTTAAGTCAACATCTGCCCTAAACAGTTGTATCTAATTTGTGCTTATTTCTAGTATCTTGCCTTCAATTTCCTGTTGCTATGGTCAGAATTTCAGAAACAGCTTCAGAAACCATCATGCCAACTCAGGAAACAAATTCCTTTTCTTTTTGAGCCCTGTGAGTAGGATGACTGGGGAAACACCTAGTTAGGAATATACTTTGGTCCAGAAAAAAAGAAAAAATGGGAGTTTCAAAGACACATTATATGAACAACCTCTGAGACATGTCACACTCAGCAAGGGTGCTAAGGCCCTGCCCTTGGCTCTCCATTTGGTCAAATTCTTATGCATTATGTAAACAACTTAGGTACCAGGAACAAAAGCAGAATGCTTTTCATAATGAATATTGGGAATGTCAGGGATTTTCCTATTCAAGTATCATGTAACATGAATATGATTTGATATACAAATATTCTGTTTAAGTTACAATTTTAGAGACTCAACTGATGAAATAGAGACCAGGTGAGGATTTGTGTTTTCCTCTAAGCATTTTCTTTTCCTCAATGTTGTAGTGCGTTGGAGTTTAACAACAGTAGTGTAGGAACGAGACGACCCCAGCCCTGTCTTTGCCATCATCCCACATTCTTACCAGTGATTTTCCTTTGTAGCCAGGGGTTTGACTTTTAATAATGTATAAAATTGAGAAACCCAGACCTAGAGAAATGTACCATTATCCATCTCTCATCATTGTCCTGTTGAGACCACGCGGGCAGGAGAGACCCCCATCTTGGCAGATCAGGAAGGAATGGGTGTCTCATTTTGAATCACCTAGGAGAATAGCTAATCTTAAGCCAGGAATTGAGGTGGGCTCTGGACTGGCTAAGGAAGGAACTTCTCCCTCGTTCAGGAGGCTAGAAGGAATTGGAACTCTGGATTTAAGGTGTAGTGAGGGCTGGAGTATGTGGGTGGTGAGGGGTGCACCCAGAGGCAGGCCAGCCAGATGGTACCAACACACCTCTTTGGTTTGTTTTTCAGTTAATAGAAAGTTGGTTTCCAGTGCAAGTATTAGATGAATTAGCAACACAGGGAAATGGTGAGTTTCTGGAGCAGTCAGCAGTTACTGCAGCCATAGCTAGAACTACTTCTGGGTTCTGACCCCACATGCAGGTGAGAAGGAGGAGCAGGAATGGCCCTTTGTAAGGGAGGAGAGCAGAGGCCTGCCCTGAGGCTAACTCTGGATGGCAGCCATGGTGTTGGCAGCAGTGCCAGGAGAACAGAAATCAAGCAGGGTCGCTGGAAGAGATGGGTGCTGATCAGGAGGGAAGTCTGGAGTAGAGGTGGCAGGGAAGTGGATGACAGTGTGACAAGAGGCAACCAAGGCAGGTTTGTGCAAGATTCAGCTTCGTTGAGGACCACCCCCGCAACCTGCCCAGAGAGGCCTGGGGGTTGGAAACATTGTGAAAACTGGAGTTCTCCCTAGCAGGGGTGGTGGGTATTTGTGTTATACTTTAAGACACAAGAATGGAGTAGTTGTGACTGCTTCTCCTTCTGCCCAACCCACAACTTCCCTCCAACCCACAACTCCTCCACTTTTGCTCAACATGCAAAAGCAGCACCTCTCTCTTCCACCCCAACCTTTAATTTCCTAATAGTCTAATACACAGGGAAAATGAGAAAGTTTCTTAGGTTTACCTCTAAATTGTGTACTAGATGGTTTTTAAGGTCACCGCTAAAATTCTATGACTCTGTGTTTGAAATAGTCATACATTCAAAGGACCGAAATCTAATTCCTCAATGAGTTAGACTGAATGTTCTTGAAATAAATTTTCTTAAACAAAAACATGCTTCATTTCCCTCTAAGAGTGTGACCTACAGGAAGGAAAGTCATTGTCACCTGTCCTTTGTTTGTGGTAATTTGCATGCTAATGATCGCGCAGTCCCAGACCAGTCGGTTGGATAATGAACTTGGCCGAGCCCTGTTGTATCAGAGTAACCAGTGTGAACGCCAACAGAATGCTGAGAATCACTTGGAAAGAGAGATTAATCATTAACCAACCCTATTAATTCACTTGGCATTTTTAAGCAAAGATTACTTCTCTGTATATAACATAAGAAAAGATCAGATGCACATATTCAGCATTACTTGCTAAGACGTCCAGATAATCATATTATGCTCAAAAAGATTGTTTTCAATTACGCAGGTGGCTTCCAAAATGAATTAATACAACAGGAAGGTGGTTAGCTATTAAAATCTGAATAATTTCATATATGTGGCACTTCTTCACTAATAAGACCAAGTAAAAAATGCCTGGACCAGTGAAATAATGGTGTTAAAATGATTTGAAAGTCAGAAGGTGCTGGGCGTAGATGAGAATTTGTTATAACTACAACTGGTAAATGGAGTTACGTAGATGAGAATTTGTTATAACTACAACTGGTAAATGGAGTTACTGAAATCTTTCCCATGGACTGGGAAAACATGAAGACTTATACTGAATAGGGCACTAACTGATGAGTAGAATATCTTCTTTTTCCTATGTCCCTGTTGTTCTCCAAGAGTAACTGATGTAGCTTTTAATATGAGTCAGAATCAAAGCAGGAAATTAAAAATAAAAATCCAGAGAAGAAGGGTTAACGATTGAGAGATGCTGGGGTTCCCTAACACTGCAAACGTGTTAGCTTTTGCAGGGAGACACAACATTTAGCTCTATGTATGCTGCCATGGAAGAGACAAAGGGATGGAAACATGCTGCTTATATGATCACTGATGTCTGATAAGATACTCAATCACTCACTCCATGAGTATTAGAATATTTCATATGGCTCCGGCTATGAGCTGGGTACCAGAAAAGAAAAAAAAACGAAGGTAGTAGCTCATACCTAATGAATTAAATAAGATGTTATTTTAAAAACCAATCCTTGTGTAGTGAGATATGTGCTAGAACAAGGGGAAAGCAGGAATTTGGAAGTACATGTCGGAAGAAGCCCTGAGCACACCACCAGGAAGACAGAAGGCAATCCATGCATGGTTCCTGATGAATGAGAGGTTCACTGGGGAGAGGGGCATTTTGGGCAAAGGGAATAGCATGGTGCACGTAGGAAATGACTGTGAGGCTGGATCTTACTGGAGCATAATTGGTGGGGAATGGGGAGCAACTATGGAGGTAAAAGTGGACAGGAAGGTAGAATCAGAGACATAGGGGTTCATTCCAGAGCCTCTGCCCTTGGACTGATTCATGAATGTTTCTTTTTGTGCTTGCTAAATTTGTTTCTGCATTTATCTTTGTTCATTTTTCCCTTGCTATAATTTTTTTTCCCACTTTGTGGCAGACATCTATGGAAATGTCCTCCTAGCCTGTCCATAGCCCCATCATCTTGAGCTCTGCTTCTCTGGAGCTCCAGCCTCTAGGTCCCATCAGGGGAGGCTTCCTTCCCACATATTCTTGTCTCCTCTCCCCACCTGGGACAGCATGGTCCCCAGCGCAAGGCTGGCCTAGGAACAGGCATGTGACTCGAATCAAGGCTTCCCCCAACCTTTCCCTAAGTCGCCATTCCTTCCAGAGAGGGTGTCCCCTTCTGATCATGGGAGCCAAAGATAGTTTCCATCCTACCTGTCAGGAGCGATGTATCTTCACCACGTGGAGGAAGGTGTGTGCAGCGCGAAAGAATGACACCTGAAGGGAAGGAGAGGGGAAAATACACACAGGGAGTCCTTGTGAAGTCCAGATGCCTGGTCCCAGTTTTCCTGAAGTCGAACTGTATCCCTGCCCTTCTGAGTTTTGGTTGTTAACCCTTCCTTTGGGATACCTGGGCATCCTTAGCACCTTACCAATAATATGGCTACATAAGCTAATGTGAGTTGGGGTGTTTTCAGGTACAAAACACTTATTGACCCTGAGATTTCTGAGCTAAATGCTAATTTCACATATTTCCATTCATTTCTATTTAATAAACAAGTATTTGCAGCTGTGAATTTTTCTCTGCAGCTAGCTTTTGATACAGACAGTCATCATTATACTATTTTCCAAATTGTCAGTTGCTTTTTCATTTTAATTAAATTTGTCCCATCTCATTTCAGGGATGGGAGGCTGAACTTACCTCACCCCTTTGATAATAATATCAACAAATATTCTATACCAACCACATACCAGATAATGTTCTAAGCTTTCTACAAACATTAACTCATTGAATTCTCACAAGAACCCTGTAAGATCGTACTATTAATATCGCTAGATCGTGGATGAGGAAATGGAGGCACAGGGCGTCCAACTCACACTGAGCAGGTAAGTAGAGTTGCTGAGATTCGAACAGGGGACTGTCCGGCTTCCAAGTCCATGCTCCGAGAGCAGTTTAGAATCTAAAGTGCAATGCTGTCACAGCCCTGTGCGGTAGAAAAGGCCAGCCCACATGCTGCTAGCCCCTGAGACAGCCAGAGAACACAGCAAAAGCACCAGCACAAGCATGTGCTGTTCTTCAACACACAAAGAAGCTCAGGCCTCAGGACACAGGGTTCTGTTTGCAAGAGAACAACTCCCAAGAGACAAGACACAGCCAGAACGCAAGATTATGCCTGTAACATCGTGGTCCCATCATTGTTTCCAAACCCACTCAGTCATTGCCCCATGCCTTCCTCCTGGGGCCGGGTGCTTTGGGTCCATGCTCGGGGAGGAGTAGGGAGATGGTAAGTGGGGCAGAGTTATCCAACAGGCCAAGAGTAAATCAACCTCAAATCAACATATTTTACATTTGTCCTTCATTGTTGTTGATCTCATCTGCCAATAACTAGAAAATCTTGGTTAAAGTCTCTACTGGTAAGGTGATTTTTGTCAGCTTCTCCTTAAATTCCTGGTAGTTTTTGTTGTGTACAGTTTAGTACTATGTTACTCGGTCTTGATTCCTAAGAGTTCATGGATGGTACATTCTCACCATGGATATGTTTCCATCTGTTATATTTTTCACTTTAGATTGTCTCTTTTTATCCCTGTAGCAGGGTGAGAAATTTACTCATACCATACTCATTTGAACTAAATGAATTTTAACCTTGAGAGCTCATAGTATTTCTTTGTTTTACACCATCTCTTAGAAAGCTCAGCATCACCCAGGTGAATGCACAGTCATTCTTAGGTCCTTTCCCTTTCACTTCCAGCTCCCCTTCAAGGTGGTGTCTAGGTGGTCAAGGAGGGAGTGGTGGGAGAAAAGGGAGCCTTAGAGCCTTGCCCGCCTCCATTCTGAGGGGCTGGGATGGTCATTTGGCTGGTGAAAATTAAGGTATCTTTAGGAAGACTCACACTGAGAGCTGATATCTGTGGCCTTGGTTTGGGGCCTTGTTCATTCAATCTTGCCTACTATAGCCTTTTAGTCCTCACCCAGATATCTGTTAATTTAGACCCTCAATGCCTTCATGTCTCCTCACCTGTGGGACACCTAGCATACTTCACAGAGCCACGAGGAGCCAGGAGTGCCATATAAAGCCCAGCTTTGCAGCTACATCCTTCGATCCCTGCAGAACCACCCTGTGTGTTATCTTCCCCAAGACTCCCACATGGGTGGTGGCCAGAAACCCCTCTGCTTTTGGCTATTCCATCAGCTGCCTTGATATACCTTCCACGGAAACTAGAGCACCTGGGTCTGACTGCCTGTTTCCCCTCCCACCCTCCTTCCTTCCTTCTCTCCACTCTCCATGAAGGTAAAGCACGACAAGCTTCCCCTTCCTATCTCTGTGGGACAGAGACTTGCCATACTTTTCTTCTTCCCTCTGCAATACTATCACAATACATTTTAAAGTCTCTAAAGTGTATACAGCACACACATTACTTCCTTCAATGTCATCTTCACCAAAACTCAGCACAGTAGGTAACATCATCCCCATTTTCCAGGTGAGGAAAGTGAGACTTAGAGAAGTTTCATGAAGTGACAGAGCAAAAACCTACACCACACTTTCGCTTCAAAGGCTGGTGCTTATGCCTTTTTGTATAAAACTAACATCTCATCCACATTTGATCTGTTATAAGTCCATGATTCTTGGTGTAAAGGAGAGACTTGATAGAGAAGAAGGCAGGGGTGGGGGCTGGGGGTAGTGCCTGGACAGACAATCCGTGGGCAGTTGTCACCTGTGTAGAAATAAAGATAAGGAGGTAGCAGTGGGGATAACACAGACCCATGAGCCTTTATCTCCAGCAAAGAGAGAGAGAGAAGTTAGAAAGAATGGAGGAGGAAGGAAGGGTTGAGAGGAGACATATAAATGGAGAGAAAGCCTGTGGTTATATCCATGGCAGCCCTACCATGCCTCTCCTTCTGCAGAAGCCCATGCGTTCATTCCTGGTTTCTTCATATCTTAAAGTGAAGTTAAAAGAACATAAAATTAGCCAGGCATGGTGGCTCACGCCTGTAATCCCAGCATTTTGGGAGGCCGAGGTGGGCGGATCACGAGGTCAGAAGATCAAGACCATCCTGGCCAACATGGTGAAATCCCATCTCTACTAAAAATACAAAAATTAGCTGGGAGTGTTTGGTGGGGGGTGCACCTGTAATCCCAGCTACTTGGGAGGCTGAGGCAGGAGAATTGGTTGAACCAGGGAGTTGGAGGTTGCAGTGAGCTGAGATCACTCCATTGCACTCTAGCCTGGTGACAAAGCGAGACTCCATCTAAAAAAAAAAAAACAAAACAAAAAACAAAAACAAATAAACAAAAAACCGGGTGCAGTGGCTCACGCCTGTAATCCCAGCACTTTGGGAGGCCAAGGCAGATGGATCACCTGAGGTCAGGAGTTTGAGACCAGCCTGACCAACATGGAGAAACCCCGTCTCTACTAAAAATACAAAATTAGCTGGATATGGTGGTGCATGTCTGTAATCCAGCTACTCAGGAGGCTGAGGAAGGAGAATTGCTTGAACCTGGGAGGCAGAGGTTGTGGGGAGCCAGGATTGCACCATTGCACTCCAGCCTGGGCAACAAGAGTGAAACTCCGTCTCAAAAAAAAAAAAAAGATAAAATTGCCTTGGATCATTATATATTATACAATGGAAATCCTTTGTCTCGAGTATTAGGACTTAAAGGGATATGAAGCAGAACTCAGGTGGCTGCTTTCTCCCATCAAGTTAAAAAAAAAAAAAAAGAAGAAAGAAAGAAAGGCTGTGGACCCTGGTACACATTAGCACAGCAGCTGGTCAACTCTGGTCATTTCTAGGAGCGCTGTGCTCAGAATCGTGTGCTATGGGCCCGGTGGATCTGCATTAATCTTTTCAAAAATGCAAATCTCAGCTTCAAATTCAACAGCCTCCTCTGGAATTTCAAAGAGTTCTGGGTTGTTTAAAGGTTGAGTGGAATTCCTGAGCCTGTGTTAACTGGTCACAGTCTACTGACTCTCATAATTAGCGCAAGACCACTGTGTTGTGTAAATGCCACTCAGTATTCAACAATGACTAACCACTCCATTTCAGATTGTTTACTTAAGTGGGGGGCTTTCATCCACAATCAGTGTTTCTGAGCATTTAACCTATTTAATACTGAGAGACGAGAGAGAAGGCGAGTTGCCCATTTCTCTATTTCTTCCCCTACACCCTAACCGCTCCCCAACTCCAGCCACCAAATCCCAGTATTGTGCGTAGCCCAGTTCTAAGTCTTGTCTGGCTATTAAGCTGCATGACGTTGGCTACCCTGAGCCTCAGTTTCCTTATCTGCAAACTCCAGGGGCAGAATTGGATGATGTCGAAGGTCCTTTCTACCTCTGAAATACACTGACTGGGGGAGAAGATGAAATGTCTCCTTTGTGAAAATCTAAACGTATTTATTACGTACCAAAAACCACAGCACGGCCGACTCCAGACTTGGGAAGTGTCTAGCAGTTGTCCACGTGTCGCCTGTCTTTTATTGCAATGGACCAGTGCAAGAAGTAGGAAGCTTGAGCAAGATCCAGTTTTAAAGATATCAGCCGAGTAACATTTAGAAAAATGGGCAGAACACAACAGCAGAGTAAGAAAGTAAAACTTGTCAACAAATTTGTATGGTTAAATGTGTGTGTGCGTAAGAGTCATGTTCACTCATATTTTATTTTTTAGGGATGATATTAGAACTGTATTTGGAGACAAAATGAGCCATGGGTCCTGGCTGAAATGCTAAACTGATACATAAACACCAAGGAGAGGAACTTGCTTCCTTCTAAGGGGTGTGGAAAGTTGGAGAATAAAAGAGCCTCGTGGGATAGGGGGCAGTGATGCCAAGTGCTATTTATGGGCTATTTATGGGCCACCAGAGATTGAACTGCCTGTGGGGAGAAGGATCCAGAAGGGACTCTGGGTAGCAGAAATATCTGAGATGGAGTTTTACCTTTTTTGATGTGGAGTGAGTGAAGAGAGCCTCCTCTTTTACTTTCCTTAAGAAATCTTCAGTCCAGTATACGTTATACATTAATTAAGTTGGTATTTTGAGTGTGTTGCTTTTCGGGGTATGTAGAAGAGAGGCTGAATTCTCATTTGGCTTGATGTTGGAATCAGGAACAGTCAACTTTGATACGGGGCACAAGAGCGGGCCATAGCTGATACCCTGGTTTCTCTGTCTGGGCCTGGCCTATCTTGTGGCTGGGTGCACACCTGCTTTATTTTTTACTTGAAATGTCTTCTTTTTCCACCTGTCCTACTCATGTCTTCAAAGCCTAATTTTCATTTTCCCTGATCACTCCACCTCCTCTCTGCCCTCATTCATTCATTAGTGACTACAGGCTGGAGATGCCAATTTCAGGGCTTCTGCCCTAAGCCCCCAAGGGAGCTGTGTGCTTCTTGAGTGCAGATACTTTGTTTCACTCTTCCCCACTCTACCCCCCAAACCAGAAGAACAGAGCTCCTGTTTCTTCCTTTCCATGGTAGGCCCAACACCTGGCTTTGTGCCTGGCACACAGCAGACATTCAACATTTGTAGAACTGATAGACTATTAGATTAGTAGTGACAAATACTCCCCGAAGAAAATGCTTATTTGAACATACATCCCAAATTTTCTGCCCTCCAGAAAATGCTTCCTTGGAAGGATTTAAGACAGTTTGATGTCTCTGCAAACATTATCTGCGTTTAGGGACCAACTTGCCCTTCTCAGCGTTCACCTGGGATGTCTTTATTCTTCCATTTAACCTTTACAGGGGACCCCGATGGTGACGTGTCCTTCCTAGGGGCCATTACCTCTCTCAGGGATCCTAGTGTCTGGTAGAAAACAACAGCTCCAAGTTCTCTGCATCCAAACTTCGCCAGGATACGCAGATAAACCTATTTAAAAAAAAAAATCTTTTTAAATTCTCAACTTGGTGGTGTAAATAAGGCCCTTGCAGCGCCCTCAAGTAATAATCAACGGCAGTCATTATGGAAGGAGGGTAGAGATGAGCGCCTTACTCAAAGCCAAGACATTCACAATTTCTCGGGCCGGCTGCCTGTGCCTGGGCGTGTGCACTGTGCACTCCGAAGCTGTGTGCGGCGGTGGCCTTGGAGGTGCGCGTGGCCTTAGGAATTCCCGCGGTCGGGCACCCTCCGCTTAACACCGGGCCGTGTCCCCGGCCTGGGAGCCGAGCAGCGCGGCTCTGGCATGCTAAGTGGGCAGCACTGGGGCGCCTTTGTTCCTCGCGGCCGTCTCCCAGGACCGGCTTCCCTCTGAATCTAAATGGGCTTCTCCCTCACCCGCTCCGCCCTGGCCTCCTGGCCTGGGCACGGCGCCCCTGGGTAAAGCGCGCCCGGACACCTGGGGCGTGGGCGTGCGGGGGCAGCCCGGGCTAGGCGAGCGCGGGAGAGGCGCCTGCGGTCCCAGCCCGGCCAGGCCCGAGCACCTGCGCGAGCCCGAGGGAGCGCCCGGCCCTCTGCCCCCGCCAGTCGCCGGCGCCCAACTTGGGGGTCCCGCCGTCCGCAGCCCCAAGTCTCGCGGTGCTACCGCTCTGACCGGGGAGCCGCGGGCCGGGCGCCCCCCGCCGCGCGACAAAGGCTGAACCGGGAGGAGGAGGCCGAGGAGGGGGAGGAGGAGGAGAGAAAGGCGGGGACGGCGAGCGGCCGCGGCGGCGGGGAGAGCGGAGGGAGCGCCGCCCGCCCGCGCCGTCCTTTGTGTGGCGGCGGCGGCGCCTGGGCCTGACCGGGTCCCCGGGGCTGAGCGCCGGGCTCCGCGCCGCCCCTCCCGCGCCCCTGCCAAGCGGGCGCCTATCCTCTCCGAGCAAGATGGCAACCCCGGCGGCGGTCAACCCTCCGGGTGAGTAGCGGCCTGGGCCCCGCCGCCCGCCGCAGCCCGCAGGCCTTGCCCGGGGCCGGAGCGGACCAGGCGCGCCGGGCGCCCCCGGGGGCGCGGAGCCGCAGCTCGGCGCGGTGGGTGGTGGAGCGGCTGTCACTACGCGGCAGCCGCAGCATCAGCACCAGAGCGGCATCTGCATCCCAATCGCTGCCCATCCGGTCCCGGGCAGGCGCCGGTCCGGACCCGCGGGCGGCCGGACGCTGGCCTCGCATCCTCGGGAACCCGAAGGGCAGGCCCGGGAGCCCCCGAAGTTCTGAAAATAACCGCCTTTGCCTTCCCCATCCCACGCATTTTTCTCTTCCGGTCCCGGCTTTTGTGGCATCACGGCGTCAGCCAGTCCTGGCTGGTGGAGGGCTCCGCGCTGACGGAGGGAAAAGTTTGGAGCTGGGATTCAACAGGGTACAACTCCCGGGACTCTCCCCTGCCCGCCCCGCCCACTAAGCGCTGGTCCTTTGCGCCCTTTGCGACTGGCTGCTGTGTGTCCTAACCCTCCGGGGGCACAAAACACCCAGCCTGTGGTCACCAGCGTGGAGCAGCCCTGGTCCTGCCCAGGTGACATCCTCTGCTTTCTGGTCTGACCTGTCCCCAGGGTGCAGTCTGTGACAACTGAGCTCATTAGGAAATATTTCAAAAATGGAAGAGTTCTTGATCAAGTGGCAACATTGACTTGTTTTGGTATTGTAGTAGGGAAGTTCCGTTTTCACTGGGAAAGTTCCCTACCTGATGAGCAGGGTGTGGGAGAAGAGAAACGTGAACATCTAAGCTAGTACAAACTTTTGGGTGTTGTGCAGAGGCTGCTGTGGGCACGGCAGGTTGCTGGGTCCCTGTGGAAGATGCAGGGAGAGTCACAGAGGGCGGCCCCCAGGAAATTCCCAGCAGAGGGAGGTCATGTGTTGGAGATAGGGAGGGTCGGGGGAGGAACAGCAATGCCTAGCAAAGAAAAGTGTCTCTCATCATAGAATTAGGAATGAAAGATCCCTTTCATCTAAGGCGGCCAGGGAAGGCTTCTGGAGATTGGACATTTCGGCTGAACCTTGAAAACGGGAATGTTTGAATATACAGAGCCAGTAGCAGAGGGGCATTGCAGGCGTAAGTAACAGTGGACTTGCTCTAAGCAAGTGCAGAGGTCAGTGAGTAGTTGGTGCACTGGGGATATAAGAGGCAGCAGTGGGATTTAACACTGAGTTGTTTGGATGTGACCAGGCTTTAAAGGACAGACTGAGGAGTATGGACTTTCTCTCTCCACATTAAGGGAGAGTCCTCTGCACACTTCCTAAGAACCAGAAAAATAAAATAAAATAGAAAAGAGAGAGAGAGACAGAGAGAGAGAGAGAGAGACCTCAATGGTATTGAACAAGGAAATCGCATGATCACTTTTTCTGGAAGACTGATTTGTCAGCTATGTCTAGGAAACATTCTAAGGAGGGAACAAGACTTGAGACAGGGAGGCCAGCATGAAATGAGGCAGGTGCTGGGGAGGCCAGAATTGGTGGCCATGGCTGGACCAGAGAGGAAGGAATGCACCACTGGGCGGGTAGAAGAGTTCCAGATTTGGCACTGATTAGATTTGGAGTAAGAGTAAAGGAGGAGGCCAAGGAGAGACAAAGGGGAGGTGTCCATGGAGACACCAAGGTGAAGAGCCTGTGTAATTCCAAGGAAGGCAGTTCCATCAGCAGAAATAGGGACTCTTGGAAGAACAGACAAGGAGGCCTCTGTCCAGAACACTGAGGAGGAACGTGGCTGGTCTGAAAACAAATCTGTGCCAGTTTGCCTGTGACTGAAGCTGCAATTTCAACCCATTCAACTACTTCAAAATCAATGGAAAATTGATAGATGTAAATGTTATGAAATTAGAAAAAGCAAAAGATGTTAAATGAAAACATTTTAGTCCAATATACACTGGGAACAGGAATAAAATCCCTGGTGATTTACATAATTTCTATGCCAGGACATCATTGTTTAAAACTTTTTTGTCCATTACATTGCTCCATGAGCTACATGGACTAAAGATCTAAAGATGGAGTAACTGCCCCTGGCCCCGTGGTGTGAAGCACAGGAAAGCCTGTGCCTGTGCCTTGGACTGCGGGAGACTTGAATGGTACAAGCATAGGGTATTGTTGGCGTTGCTAGTCAACACCTGGCCAGCTTGACAGATGCTTTTCTCTGTTGACAGCTATACCAGAGATCTTCAGCATGGTGATAATTTCTCAAGGGAAAATTCCTTGAGGTGATCACCTTTCCTTTTACCATCATTTCTTTTACTGGTCCCCTGAGGATGATCCGTGGGGATGTGTTATTATTGCCCCATGTGAATCTCCATCTTTTTCTTTGGGAGAAAGGGTTTAATTTTAAGGGACATGGCTCAGGGTTTGAGCCAAAGAGAGAGAGTTCAGATTCTATGGGCAATTTACAACAAAAAGAGCCATGGTACCCAAGCTTGTCACCCAGAGCCTACCTCACATGGGCTTGTGAGACTTCTTTGAATTCCTTTTTCTTCCTGCCTCCTTTCCCCAGATATGGTTGCTTTGCAAAGAATAAGAGCTTGGTAAACAGAACCAAATGGATGGGGAAGCACCAGGATTTATTTCTGCTGCTAGTTCGTGTCCAGGGTACAAAGGCCACAGCCAGTCACCTCCCCACGCCCCCACTTGTTCCTTTTTTCCCAGCTGACCACTTCACAACAGCAGAACCATTTACAATGACACTCTTCTGTGATGTGTAGTGGGGATTCTCTAGGGTCTTGTTGGTGACCGGTGATGTTGGGGTCTTCACGCTCATGTTACTCATGTTACTCTGTGGATATAATACAGGTCCAAATTTGGAATCTGCTCCTTCAAGGTCCCCTGTTGGGGTTTTAGGTTAGGATTCTACCAGCTACTCTGGGAGAGGAGAAGAAAGGATTGGGCTCCCAGATATTCTCCTCATGACTTCTGCTATGACAGTCCTGGTTATATTCCTCATATCCTGTGGCCCCTGGTGCCTCCTCCTTCTGGGTCATTTACAGTCCTTACGTTGGTCACTGAAACTGTTGTATTGGCTGATTTTCTCTTTTCTCTCTGGCCAGGAATGACATATATCCTTTAGACTAGAGAGTGAAGTCATAGAATCTTCCGTTTTGTGTGTCTGTGTGTGTGTGTGTGTGTGTTGTTTTGCTGCCTTTTTGAATGACATTTAAGTGTTTCTGATGTATAGGAAATAGTGAAGATTTGAATTAGTTATATACATAAAAGGGTATTTGCAGCTGAAATGGCACAATTAAGAAGGAGATTGTTTCCCCAATGTCATTGTTCCATCTTAATCTTTTGTAATTTAAGCATGAGGGAATCAGCTACAAATTCAGACCAGTAATCATTAGGAATTAAGCATTATGTGGACATTCTCTGAGATGAGTATTTGCAGAGTAATTAATAAGGCTCATATGTTTTAAAGGATTTCAAAATTATGTTTTAAGAGATTTGGAATTCCACTTTTTTTTCTGAAATCAATTATTGGATTTTTTCCCCACTTCCAGGTTTCTGGTCTTTGGCATTTCAATTTGGAATTAATTGTATAGTGCAGGAAGATTCTCTGGACAAATTGCCTTAGATGGAGGGACATTTGAATCAGCTTGTTGAACTGATTGGATATCTTTGATATGCCAAGCTGTCTGCAGGGAATAGAGCAATGTGGAGATGAGGGAGAATATTTCTTGACCTCAGGGGGTTCTAAGTCTACTAGGGGAGGCATAGGTAGACTAACTTAATAACACCAGGTGGAATGAAATGAACGTTGACTAGGCATGTTCATATCATCATGGGGAGCCAGAGGAAGTCTTATGGGAGGTAACTTCTGAACGTGGGCCTTTTGAAGACAGAGATTTTGACTTATAGAGAATTTAGGAATGGTCATTTTGCGCTGATGGCTGGCGTGTGAGGCAGACAAGATTTGTGAAAATATGGAATACTGTCAAGTGGTTGCTTCCTCAGTGCTCTTGGGGACTCAGCAGGACACCCAAGAATGTGGGTAGGTTTTGAGCCTTTGAGACGTGTGCGCTATGCTTGCAAGCTGTCCTGCCTTGAGTAGGGCTGGAACAGCCAAACCAGCTGGACATACAGTTGAGCCCAATTTCTCTATATCCTGTCCTTCATTGAATCTACGAGCCCATCAGTTGCAGGACACATCATTCTTTTATGGACTTATAAGAAAAAAATGAGCTGATGGCATTTTGGCTTTCATCAAAAGAAAGAAAAAAAGGAAGAAGTGATACCTGAAAAAAGAGATTTATTTATTCCTTCAGTATATATTTATTTTAATTAATTAATGAATTTTAAAAAGTTAATTTTTAAAGGCTCCTTTTTTAGGGCAGTTTTAGGTTCACAGCAAAATTGAAAGGAAGGCACAGAGATTCCTCATATATCCCCTGCCCCCACACATGCACAACCTCCCCCATGATCAACATTCCCCAGCAGAGTAGTACATGTGTTACAATTGATGAACCTACAATGACACATCATTATCACCCAAAGTCCATAGTTCACATTAGGATTCACTCTTGATGGTTGGTAGACGTTCTATGGGTTGGACAAATGTATATGACTTATATCTACCGTTATAATATCATGCAGAGTATTTTCACTGCCCTAAAAATTCTCCATGCTCCACCTATTCATTCCTCCCACTTCCGAATTCTTGGCATCCACTGATGTTTTTACTGTCTCCATAGTTTTGCCTTTTCCAGAAAGTCATGTAATTGGATTCATGCATTACGTAGCCTTTTCAAACTGGCATTTTTCACTTAATAATATGCATTTACATTTTCTCTGTATCTTTCAGTGGCTTGATAGCTCATTTGTTTTGGTGCCGAAGAATATTCCATTGTCTGGATGTACCACAGTTTATTTATTCATTCACCTACTGAAGGACATCTGGGTTGCTTCTAAGTTTTGGCAATTATGACGAATGAAGCTGCTAGGGGCTAATACTTACTGAGTAACTACTATGTGCCGGGGACTGATCTTGGTTCTGGGATCACTGTGGTGAGCAAATTAGGTATAACTCCTACCATCATGCTGCTTGCTAGCAAGACAAATAGTCACAAAAGAGTAACACAATTGGGTTAGTTATGAAAAGTGTAAATGTTATGAAGAAATGATCCCCTGAGATAAAATAACCAAGGGACCTAAATTAGAGGATTAGCAAAGGCCATTTGAAGTCAGTGAAAGCCTCTCTGAGGAGTTGACCCTTGAGTCAAGCTCCAAGGAATGATGAGAAATGTGAGGAAGAGCATTCCAGGCACAAGGAAGAGCCCCTTCAAAGGCCCTGAGTTGGGAAGAGCTGGAGAACAGGGAGCAAGGGTGAAAGCGGTGTGAGAAGCTGGAGCTGCGGTAGAGGCCAGCTCACGGGGGACCACTTTTGGGTTAGGGACTGAGACTTCATTTTTAAAAAGCGCTGGAAATCTACTGAAGGGGGTTTGAGCAAGGGGCATGATCTGACCTGCACTTTTAAATGCTGCTTCTGGCTGCTGTGTGGAGAGCCAATTGGACTGAAGCGGGAGGAAAAGTAAGACTCCAGTTAGATGGTGCTAACTTAGGTCAGGGGCTGTCAGTAGAGAATGAGAGAGAGGGAGGTGGATTTGAGTTATACTGGGGGCAGGGATGCCATGCTGAACAACTCCAGGGGCACCAGTTACTTCCCTGTCCATCCCTTGGGCACGACATGTCCTGCTTGGGGCAGAATCATCATGACTTCATTGTAAGGAGTTAGGGGAAGAGTCAAGGACGATTCCCAGCTTTCTGTCCAACACCTGGGTGGTTGGAGGTGACAGGAAGTTAGTGAGAGGCAGGGGGCCTGTGGGGTGTGCTCCAGGCTTCAGTATTGGACAGCTGAGTTGAGCTGCTTGTGCGACAAGCAAGTGGAACTGTCATGGAGGCAGTGGGACACATGCTCCCAGAGATCTGGGCTGGAGAAGGAAACAAAGAGGGATGTTGGCCAGCCATTTACCAGGTTCTCTAAATGCTTTCCTTGGGGTAAGTTAGTTCACAGAACATAGAGCTTTTGGTCCAAGTACCATAGTTCCCAAACAATGCTTGCATTTACTGCTTTATTGTCTGTCTTTATTGAGATTCACTAAGACACAAGGTCATAGGGAGATTATTTCTGCATCTTTTCCAGATCCAGCAATCCATTCATTTTTATCTATCTATCTATCTATCTATCTATCTATCTATCTATCTATCTATCTATCTATCATCTATCTACCTACCTATCATCTGTCTACCATCTCTCTCTCTCTCTCTCTTTCTCTTTCCCTCCTTTTGTGGGGCAGGTCAGGCTGTTGGACTAGCTCACCACACGAAACTCTTTGTTCAATGAAGAAAAGTTATTTCTCAGTTTTAGCCAAGCTCCTTTCCAATTGAGGGCTCTTGTTTATGTTGTGTCCCTCTTCTTGGAATGATTAATTGCTCACTGTCCCTCCTTCCCTACCCTTACCCCCTCCTCACTCCTAACCATTTTCCTGTCCAATTCCTACTTTTCTTCTGGTCTCAGCTTGAATTCTTACTCCATTAGGGAAATCTATCCTGATCCCTTTATCCAGGTAAAATGTACCTATCATGCATTCTTCCAGGGCCCCATAAAGCTGTACTTTGCTTCTGGAGCACTTCGCCTCATGTAAATTGTGCAGTTATTTGATTGATACCTGACTGGAAGCCCTGTGAGGGCAGGGAATGTATCCAACAGTATGGCAGCCCTGGCACCTACCATATTGCTTCCCATACAATAGATACCCAGTAGGGTTTTGTTAATGAATAAATGGAGGGATGCCAGGGAACTGTCTTTTATTTTGTATGTGGCTGCCTTTCAATGACTCCCTTGAAGGAAAGAAAGCATATATCCTATATTTGTGGGTCTCTGTAACAAAATAGTCCAGAGCTGTCTAATTGAGATTCTGACTTTTATTTGTGGAAACTGATTTTGATCTGAAAATCCTACCAAGATAATCCCTATGCAAACTAGTTCCTCTAGACTTTCTAATAAGGAGCCTTGGACACACAAAGCTCATCATTCTTCCCAGAAGAAGATTAGGTCAGAATTGAACAGTCGAATGTATTTATATATTTTTATTTTATACTGCTGTCCACAAAGGTTACACCAGAGGCTTAGAGAGGCTCAGAGACTTACCTCGAGTCCTCAGCAGGTGGGTGGGTGAGGAGGTCCTACACCTACCTGATACCTTGGACACACAAAGCTCATCATTCTTCCCAGAAGAAGGGTAGGTGATAGCTTGGAGACTGGCTGGTGGTAGTGGTAGGTTCCGTGTTACAGTCCCACAGGGTCTTCTCAGAAGGGAAGTGGGATCCTCCCATTTACTGCCTTCTGTGTTGTGTGTGAAACTATTGACATGGCTTGCTTAATTACCAGCAGTTACTGATAAGACAGACTCCAGGCTGGCTTTGAGATTCAGCCACCCCAACAGCATTCAGGAAGGCAGCAACAAGGTCAAAAGATGCATTCATTGCCCTCTGATTGAATAGTGCAGGCTTTAGAGTTGGAAGCTGAGGCTCTTTGCAGATAAGCAGAGACTCTGTGGCTGCCAAGTCTATAACAATTTGACCATTTTTTTCAGGGAAATCTACAAAAATGCCAAAATGTTTACAAATAGGTACTTCCTGCTTTTGTACATTGTATGAAAACATGGGACATCTCTTACTGTTTTGGTTTCATTGTGAGAACATACAAAGCAGAGGTTGGAGCTCTTCTCCTAGCCCCTGCTGAGGAGTTGGTTGCTTTCTTCACCACAACCACTTTTCCCCCACAATAAAGATCTGTGTTGATTGTAAAAAATTTGGAAAATGCACAAAAACACTAAGATAATTCTGCCACCCATAACTAACATTTTTGCGTATATCCTTACAGACTTTTTTCTAAATATTGTGTGTGTGTGTATATATATATATATAACAAAATAGAATTATTTCGAGCATATTGCTTTGTCATCCCTTTTTTCCCTTCATTAATGGTATATCCTATCAAGGATACTGATTTGAGAAGCTGCATATATTCTGTTTATGGCTGTGTCATAATTCATTAACTCACATTCTTATATCTGGGCATATAATATTTGGTGTGCTTTTCTGTTTGCCAGAATTGTACACACCATTGTATTGAACATCCCCGTATATGAATGAATATATGAATACATGATTTTTTCCTTATTGTCAATTCTTTGAAGTAGAATTGAACAGTCAAATGGATTTATATACTTTTATACTGCTGTCCACAAAGGTTAGAACAGAGGCTCAGAGAGAGGCTCAGAGATTTATCTGGAGTCCCCAGCAGGTAGGTGGATGAGTAGGTCTTACACCCAGACGCTGTGCCCCCTATCCTTGGCAGGTTCCGGCAACCCAGGCCAGGCCCTGTTGCCTGTAAGTCTGGAACTCAGATCATCTACTGATGTCTATAAAGGGCAACTGTGTACCTTTCCTGGCCTCCTTTCAGTGATTTAATAATTTCAGTGGCTTTTTAATTAACTGCTGTTAGGGTAATTGGTCCAGGTCAAAACAGGCAGGAAGTTGCCTTACTCAACAGGCAGAGAGCCTCTGATGGCCTCAGTGGGCCGCTGCAGGGGCCCCATGACTGGGCTCTCCATGCCAACCTGGGTTCTCATCTGAGGCCCCATTGTTCTCCCTCCACCCCCTCCCTTACCAATTCACCTCTTCCATATGGCCTTTCTCAAACGCTGGTGCCACTAACTTACCCAGAAACCTTTGCTCACCGTCTATTGTCCACACATCCTCCTAGGATTGACCTACACACTTCCAACCAGACCACCTGGCTGACAGGGTGGTCCCAGGGCTTAGAGAGCATGCGGCCAGGTGATTTCTGGTCCTGCCTGCCTGCCTGTGATACCATTAGGCAGGCCATGGTGGTTATTCCTGTTTCAAATGCACATTCAGGAGTTGTTAGTAACTGAGGATAAATGTGTTTGTTTCTGATTTGGCCATCCCTACTTTTCTTCCAACAACTCTAAAAAAGTGGAGAGCAGCTGCAGGTGGAACTAGGCATCTCTCTATCCAGGCTTAGGTGGCAAAAGGAAAGACTCTGAGGTAGGACAGCCTGGGAAGATTCAGGGGTGCAATGTCCAGGGTGGGAGCACCAGAGGAGTTGGCCTGAGTGGAAACCCAGCTCTTCGGGTAGAGCCAGGCCTTCCAAGAGACAAATTAGCTGAAGGCCTTACTGGTGGCTGAGCGAGGGAGGTGGGGCCAAAGGAGAGGAGGGTGGCCTTCCATATACTCTGCCTGTTGAGTAAGGCAACTTCCTGCCTGTTTTGGCCTGGACCACCCAATTACCCTAACAGCAGTTAAAAAAGCCACTGAAATTATTAAATCACTGAAGGGAGGCCAGGAAAGTTACACAGTTGCCCTTTATAGAGGTCAGTAGATGAGCTGAGTTCCAGACTTAGAGGAACAGGAAGCCAAAGTTAATTGGTGCACCAATTTTTAAATTAATAGCCACACAAAATAGTATTGTCTTTCTTATCTTCAATAGACCTCTAAGTTGGGTGGCAGGACATGTGAGAAACCTGGGCACAGAGGCCAAACGTGTATCCACACAGTGCTTCTCAACTGGGGGCATTTGCAATGTCTGGAAACATTCTTGGTTGCCACACCTCCAGGGAGTAGGGGTGCTACTGGCATCTACGGGTAGAGGCCAAGGATGCTGCTAAACATCCTACTGTGCACAGGGCAGCCCCCACAGCAAAGAGCTTATCCAGCCTCAAATGTCAATAGTGCCAAGGTTGAGAAACTCTGGTCTATGGGAACAAAACTCTGTAGGCCTCTGGACAGTGGCAACTAGAAGAAAACCCCAGGAGTTTCACAAGGACATGTGGCCCCCAGATAATAAAGGGCTGGCCCCTTTAAAACATGTCAAGAAAATGTGACAGCTTTAAAAGCAAGATGATGCTTTTGAGATAATTATGAAATCCGTGATGGAAGTTAATTTAAATGTGAAATAACAGAACTGCAAAAAGTTATTTTATTATTATTTTTAGAACAGCATTGATGTTTCTATCCCATCAGCAGTTTGAAATGAGGCATAGTCTGGAATCGTTTGCCATAATTTGATATGCTTGATGGATTCCAAGTCCCCCAAAGAATAAAATGAATGAATGTGATCAAGGATCACAGCTGTGTTCTCTCTCTCTTTTTTTTTTTTTTGAAAATATTTCACGCCAGAAAACTTCCAATTCAGTTCAGCCAGCCTCCCTGAACACTTCTATTCCCTGCACAAAGGGTGCTGTGCTCAGTGCTGGTGGTGGTGGTGTGGTGGGGGTGGGTTGGAAAGATGTGGCATAAAACAGGTTGGCTACGTGTGTGTTCCATCAGTCTCTAACACAGGCAGCACTGGACACTTATGCAAATTTATGCAAATGACTGACCAACCATTGGTGAACAGAGGAGAATGTAGACCCCCTCCATTTCTTTCCTGCAGGCAAGGAAAGATGCTGAAGACTGTTCCGGTATTCAACACATTTCAGGACCAGTGTGTGCCTTTTCCTAGTCAGTGTCACAAACTGCAGGCCTTATTCCCAGCTGCTTGCTGGGTCTGTGGTGTCCCACAGATTCTGCAAAGCCCACCGCTCCCACATATTTCCTCCTCCTGCTATGTCCCCTGTGGCAGCAAGTGGCACCACTATCCATTCATTGGCCCAAGCCAGACATTAATTATTTTAATTGCTTATCCACCTAATTAAACAAATATTAATTGAATGCCAACCGTGTGCTCACAGTAGTGTGCAAACCCAGGCGTGGTTTCCGCTTTCACAGAGCTTTCCTGTGTGGCAGGAGAGTCGGCCATTTATTAAATAATAAGTATTGTGAAAGAAAGGAGTCTTTGTTTCCAAATGCAACAGGAGGCCATTGAAGTGTGGTGAGTGGGGGCGTGATGTGATCAGAGGTGGGTTCTGAAAAGCTCTCTGGCTGCGGAATGAAGGACATTCTTATTGGCAGCAGGCTGGTGAGGAGGGAGGCCTGCCCGGAGGCCATTTCGGAAGTCCACGTGAGGGACGTGGAGGCCCGGTCCACGTAACATTGGATGTGGACAGCAATAAATGGATCTTTCAGATACTTAGGAGGAGAAACAATTGAACCAAGAGAGTAAGTGATGGACCAGATATCAGAGATGAGAGAGAGGGAGTGGTAGTGTTCCTGATTTGACCACTGGGTGGATAGGCTATCATATCCCCAGCTAGAAAATACTGGACGAGATCCAGATATTTTGGGCTTTTTGGTGGGGGTTGGGGGAAGATCAGGCGTTTGGTTGAGTTTAAGGCACCTTGAGCTCAAGACCTCCAAGGGAGATGGGGATTTGCCAGAAACCTCCAAGTTGCTTCATTTCCCCCTGGAGTCAGAACTTTGCCTTCCCCCTGCCCACTCTCCACTGCTGTGTCCCCAACACCTTCAGTAAGGTCTGGCACACACTTGGTGCTTAAAAAATATTTGTTAAATAATGAATGAATGACTGAATGAATTGGTCTCCACATCCTCCAGATCCCAAACAAATGAAAAGAGATGTGTCCATCACAAGGTTTTGTGTTTTTGGTAATGTTTTATGTTGAACTTATTTCAAGTTTACAGACAAGTTGCAGGAATAATACAGAAAGCACTTGTATACTTGTCCCCCAGATTCCCCCATTGTGTTGCTATTTTACCATGTTGGCTTTATCAGTTTTTTTTTTCTCTGTCTCTCTCTCTCTCTCACTGTGCCACTTGAGAATGAGTGGCATACACAATGTGCCTTCTAACTCTAAATGCTTCAAGGTATATTATTTCCTAAGAATAAGGACTTTTCCCACGTAACTACAATTTATGACAAAAATCAGGAAGTTGGCATTAATGTAATAGCATTATCTAATCCACAGACCTTATTCAATTTTCACCAATTGTTCCTCATAACAAAAAAAATGATTTTTCAAGTTCAGGGTTTAACCTAGGATTATAAGTTACATTAAGTTCTGATGTCTCTTTAGTGTCCTTTAATTCTGGACTAATTTCTCAGTTTTTTTTGTTTGTTTGTTTGTTTTTTTCTTTCATTACCTTAACATTTTTGCCAAGTATAGGCCAGTTATTTTGCAAAATATCTCTCAATTTGGTTTTGTCTGATGTTGCCTCACAATTGCATTGGAGTTGCGCTTTTCTAAAATTTTAATTTTTTTGGCAAGAATACCCCAAAAGTGCAGTTGTATCACAGGGTTACTTTTAACAATCATTTAAAAGTGAGTCTGTTGATGAAGTCAAGGTCGTGTATAGACAAGACTAAGGAAAGACGATTAGTCATTTAAGATGCCATTTATGTGCTTGGCAGACCTCATCTTTGGGTCCTATACACCATTTGCGAGTATAGGCAGCTTTACATGCTTCCTGTTGAGTACAGGTCCCAGGGGTTTTTTAAAAAAAAATTGTAACATTAACACTTTCCTAAACTAAGTATCAATTTCATTTAACAAATAAAATAATTATAAGCAAACTATGCAAAGATTATCATATCTCTAATAAAAGTCAATAGGGAGTTGAAGTGTTTAATTACCAACTTTCCTGACATACAAATTGAAAAGCTTTTCAGGTAAGTTGCTCACATGGAATGCCTGAAACACACTGCAATTAACAATTGGATCTTCATTCAAACAGTAATTAGTGTGTGATTTGTCCCGTTTTTGGTTGCTGGTGCATATCCAGGTTTAGATGTGTATTTGCATTCATTTTAGGAAATTAATTTATGATTTAAGTTTCACTTGAAAACAAATTTGCGTTTTACTGTGGCTTCATAAAAAGAGATCACCTTTTGTTGCCTGACTTAGTGACTTAAAAACCAAATTCGGGAGGTTATAATTTGTCTGCAGAAACTTGCCGAATTTTCCATTCTGAGAATTCTCCCTCTCCTTCCCATCCCCCCTCTGCTTCTTCTCCTCCCTCCTCCTTCTCTTCCTTCTCCTTTCTTTTCTCCTTCTCCCCTCCCTTCCTCCCTCTTTCTCTCTCTCTCTTCTCCTTCCCTCCTCACCCTCTCCTGCTCCTTTTTTCCTTCCTTCTTTTCCTCCTTCTCCCCAACCCCCTCCCTTTTTTTAAAGACCCAAAGAAACAGGATGAGGTGGAAATGTTTGGTCTACCCAGTAGTTAACACAATCCACTAGGAGACAGTATAGACATTGAATGCATCCATTTTCCCAGCTGTGAAATGAGGTGGCTCCTCCGTTGGGTACTGGCCATGCACTAGGGCTGTTCTGTGTGCTTGGGATTCAGAGGTGGACAAGGCATTGCATGACCTGGTGGACCAGGGGACCGTAGTGTGTGGGTGGCTGGTTGTTCTCTTGTTCCTGCTGTTGCCTTATATGTAAAATGGGGGGTGATCACAGCACTCATCTCATTTGATTGTGGCATGGTTATATTTACCAATGTTTGGGATGGTACCTGGCACACAGTAGGTGCTCTGTAAGCACTACTTGTTTCTCTCAGCACCATCCTAGTAGTGTGGAACATGGCACAGGGTTTGGGATTGAAAGGCATCTTACCAGCCCAGCAGTGAAAAGTTGGGGAGGAAAAACCAGATGTGCTTGTTGAAGAGAGGGGGTCTGTCATGGACCAGCAAGCCCCATCTTCCCTGGCACTCTGAGTCTGCTGGGTGTGTGCAGGATCATAAGCTGTCCCTGCTCTGGGCATTCCCAGTTCCACTGCGGGAAGAGCCTCTAGGCCCTGCCTCTGCTGTCCCTACCTTGCACTGCCCTGGGAAGAAGGACAGTGGTGACCTTGGATTTGTCCCTTCCCTGAACCTCCTGGATCCGGCTGCTTCCTCCTGTCCCTGTTGTGCTGTGACAGTCTTCTCACCACCCCTCTCCATTTGCTGGACCATTCTTCTGTCCTGACTTCTGCAGCTGAATGCAGACCAGCAATGCCCTAATCACCCACTCCTCCTTCCTTGTCCTCACTGACAGAGTGGGGTAAGGTTCCCACTGTCCAAGGACTGTTCTTCCTCTTGGCCCCTCCCATGCTCTGGACTGACCAGATGGGATCTGACCACTCTCTATGGATCCTCTGTTGGGTCGGGGGCTAGGCTGCTGTGCTGTGGGACGGATGCTGTGTCTGGTCTGCCTGCACATCTGAAACTTACCTCTGTAGCTGGCTGGCTCCTTGTACCTCCTTACCTGGCCCTGCTGGGCCTCAGGCTGAGTCCCAAGACAATCAAGTTTTGTACAACACTTTATGGACAGACTAGGAGTTAGGACATGTGCCCCTTTTTTCAAGTTAATTCATTTGTCCTCATTCATTCATTCAATAAATATTTATTAAATATCTGCCCTTCATTCCTCACGGTGCTTAGGTGCTGGGAATACACTGGGTGGAAAGAATGACAGAGTCTGTGCCTTCATGCATTTAGAGGCTTCTTGAGGGGAGCGTCTTTCGGAGTCCTCCAAGCTGAATATTCCAGCACTGGAAACAAACCATTTTCTAGAACGCAGGATCTGTTAGGTCTGTCTGCCACTAGATGGCGTGGTCAAATAGGTACCTCAGTGATTTGCAAACTTGACCCAGGGATCACCAGGAGGGCTTGTAAAAACACAAAGTGCTGCCCCATCTCAGTTTTGGAGTCAGTCGTTCAGGGGTGGGAGTGGGCTGGGGTGAGATCGGCATTTCTAACAAGTTCCAGTGATGCTGGTACTGCTGGCCCAGATCCCCTTCAGGTCCACTGAGGCAGGGGCTGCACTAAGCCAGTACTATCCAATGCCAGCTAACTCACCTGGTTCAGGATGGCTGGGCTCAATCGCCCATTTCACAGGTGAGGAAATAAAGGTGGTCGAACTGAGCCTTGAAAGGCTGATCCTAACACACGGATTTGCCTGATCCCAAGTGTACCTTCTTTCCACTGTCACACTGGCTTTCCCTGGGTGATCTGGAGGGAGAAGGGAAGATAATTAATGAGTGGACTGTGCTGAAGAGAAATGAACCAGAGGTGTTAACTAGGCATCCAGCAGCGTGAGAGGGTAGGAAGAGGAATCAGTGGCCCAGTCCTGGCATTGACATGGCATGGTGCCCTGGGACACCCCTACCTTTTCTCTTTGGGCTTTTGGTTTTCTTATCTATAACGTGAATGGTTGGCATGAAAGCACCTCTCATGTGGCAGGGTCCTGGAAAGTCCCGGGAGAAAAAGCTGAACAGACACCATGCCGGTTCTTAGGGAATTTCCATGGTATTTGGAAGATAAACACAAATGGTTTTCCTGTGCCTGGCAGCAGGTCAGCCTTAAACAGCAGGGCATAGTTTGCTTTGGAACGCAGTGTAAGGCTCTCACCAGAGGGTCTTAGGATAAGGGGTGGAGCCTGAAGAGCCTTGGAGGAGATGGTGGTGGGCTCCGTCTGAGTTGGGGAGCCTGGGGCAATGGGAGGATAGGCTGCCAATGGTCACAGCACCCGCACCTCCCTATGCAACCAGCCATCCACGTATGTCTTTGAGCCTCTCTCCACATTTTATCATCTCACACCAGAACCCACATTCTGGATCTGTCTTTTAACTCCTCTTCTATCAGCCCCTCTTTTTAGTTTAAAAAAAAGACCCTATGAACATATGAATATATGTATTGACTATACAGATGGTCCCCAGCTTACAAGGGTTTCACTTAAGATTTTTGACTTTATGATGGTTACAAAGTGATATGCATTCAGTAGAAACTGTACTTCAAATTCTGAATTTTGATCTTTTCCTGGACTATTGATATTTGGTACAGTACTCTCCCAAGATGCCAGGCCAGATCATGTGACACAAAGCCTATTTTATAATGAAGTGTTTAGTGTCTCATGTAATTTATTGGATATATACTGAAAGTGTTCTGAGCATGTTTAAGGTAGGCTAAGCTAGGGTGTTTGGTAGGTTAGGTGTATTAAATGCATTTTTGACTGAAGATATTTTCAATTTACGATGGGTTTATTGAAATGTAACCCCATCAGAAGTGGAGAGCATCTGTATGAATATATATATTATGAACATATGAATATATATATTATGAACATATGAATATATATTATGGACATATAAAAAGAATTATATGTGAATATATATTTTTATTAGAATGAATATATATATTGGAATGAATGAATTAGAATGAATATATATGTACATATGTTCATTCCAATAAAAGTGGCTTACTACCTGCCTTAGAAGAGTTAGTGAGATGAGATGGTAAGAACGTAATCACTCCTGGGATGGTTGACCTTGGGTAACTGAAAGCACGGACCTTGGGTAACTGAAAGTGAAAGATAACAAGGGACTACTGCAAAAGGTTTGGCAGTTACTGAGTATCTACCCAAAGGCAAAAGAAGTCATTATGTCAAAACAGCACATGCACACATGTTTATTACAGCACAATTCACAATTGCAAAGATAGGGAACCAACCTAAGTACCTGTCAACTGATGAGTGGATAAAGAAAATTTGGTATATATACACCATGGAATACTACTCAGCCATAAAAAATAACAAAATAATGCCTTTTGGAGCAACTTGGATGGAGCTGGAGGCCATTATTCTAAGTGAAGTAACTCAGGAATGGAAAACCAAATACCTTATGTTCTCACTTAGAAGCGAGAGCTAAGCTATGGATGTGCAGGGGCATACAGGGTAGTATAATGGACATTGGAGACTCAGAAGGGTGGAGGGAGTGACGGCTAAAAAACTATATATTGAGTACAATGCACACTACTTGGGCAACAAGTACACTAAAATTTCGGCCTTCACTATACAATTCATCCATGTATCCAAAAACCAGTTGTACCCCTAAAGCTATTGAAATAGAAAGAAAAGAAAGGAAGGAAAGGAGGGAGGGAGGGAGGGAGGGAAAGAAAGAAGGAAGGAAGGAAAGCTGTCATCACAATATTAAAATCAATAAAAATAAATGTTAAAAAGTACTTAATGGTACAAAGAAAGTCATTTTTAACCTATAGTTCACTAGTTTTGAAACAATGCACCGAATGACATTGTATAGGTTATATGAATTGTCTGATGGTAGCTGAGTGCAAACTCCATCTTATTGCTGTATTTTCTCCATCAAATTAAACCCAACTTATTTCTTCCAGCTTGGCTGTTTAAACATTCAGTCTCATCATTTGTTTTGAGGAAGGTGCACCTTTTTCCTAGGGTATTTACGACACCTTGGGCCTTATGCAGCTCAGGAAAATTAGAAGCTAATCTCTGATCTTCTTTTAATTGTGGTTCCTAGTGAGATACTCATTACCAGGTTTCAGGGTCCAGTTGAAGGCAGTCAGCTGGCTGGCAGTCCTTTAGTCCAAGTGGGTGTCAGGAAATTACAGCATTGAAAAATAAACAGAATTAGTAAAGCATGGACGAATTAAATAGCTACTCAACACAGATGAATAGAGAATTAATGACTTAGAAAGTAGAATGAAAGAAATTACAGAGAATTCAGCACAGAATCAGAGTTCAAAAATATAAAAGAGTGGCTGGGAGACAGAGAGGTGAGACCTCCTCCTTCTTATGTAAGTTAGAGTTTCAGGTAGAGATGGTAGGGAGAACAGGGAAGTTAGGTGTATTAAGATTCAAAGAGAAGAGGCTGATACTTTTTCAGAATCGATGAAAGTCATTGAGCCTCAGATTCAGGAGCAACAACAAATTCCAAGCGAGATAAATAAAGAGATATTCAAACCTTAACTAGATGTAGGGAAAATAGAAAATAACAAAGAGAAAAACTTAGAAGCAGTAACAAACAGCAGACATATCACCTATACAGGAGCAGCAATTAGATTGATGAATGACTTCTAAACAGTGATCATGCATGCCAGACGACAATACAATATTTTAATATGCTAGTTGAAAATAATTGTAAACCTAGAATTCTATACTTAGACAATTTATCTTTTAAGAATGAGGAGATAAAACATTTTTAGATAAAAATTTGAGAGGATTTGAGACCTCACTAAAGGAACTTCTGAAGGTGTACTTCTGGAAGATTTAAGTAAGTGACCGCAAATGGAAGTTCTCAGATGCAGTGAGCAAAGGAAATAATGGGCACAAGAATAAAGATAAACATGCTTCGGCTATCAATAATAACAACATGTACTTTGTGAGGTGATCAGAGGTAAAGCTGTGTAGTTTAGAACTATTAAACTTTTACTAAGTAAGTATAATAATATTTCTAGAGTAATAATTAAGGCATATAGAGTATACAACCACCAACATGTGATATTATTCATATTAAATATTTCTACACTTACTTGTATTTATATATGTAAGGAGAAGAGTCTGGATTTACATATACCAAAAAGTTAACCATGATTATCACTTTTTGCGTAAGTGTGTTTCTTAGCCTTTTTGGTCTTGTAATTTATAACAGAATAAAAATTTTAAAAAGAAAACGTGTTCCTAACTTACGTATCATACTTTATATTATGTAGTTAAAAACATTTGCTTTTAAATCAAATGTATGTTGGTTTGCATATTTCAGCTCTGTCACTTAGCTGTGTGACTTCAGGCAGGTTCTTAGCCTCTTTGCTTTGATGTCTTGTAAAATGAGAATAATAATAATAATGATATCCACCTCATAAAGCAGTTGTGTGTACATGAGGGGACACATGAAATGTGTTTCGTGCAGCACCTAATGGCGTCTGTGCCCAGTAAACATTAGCTGTTACCATCAGCGGGTCAACGTCACCATCATCCTAGACCTGAGGATCATTTCCACAAAGAGTTGAGGACTGATGCTCAATGGATCTGTGCAGTGGCAGCATTAAGGAGTTAGTGTGGAAACACACAGGAATTCCTAACCCTAGGAACATGTTGCTTACACTGGGAACGCTCACTATGTGATTATGAGTCACATAATCAGTTATGTCTAATGTATTTTTTCAGTGTCTACTGAGATAAGCATGTGTATATATATATACTTATTTGAACTATTGATAGATTTCCCAAGGTTGAGCTATATGTATCTTCCTGAATAAAAGGCACATAGTAACACTGCATGGTTCTTTTAATATTGTTATTAAAAGATATGATGAATTTGATTTGCTAAGATCCATATTAGTAAGTGAGTTTGCTAATTCCCATCCATTATGAGTAGTGAGATCTTTCTGCAAATATGCTAGAATTTGTAGTGTGGTCAGTGAAGCTTTTGATGATATTTTGTGTGTGTGTGTGAAAGAGAGGGAGAAAGAGGCAGAGAGAGAGAGAGAGAGAGAGAGTCATACTATATTGGTCAAGATTCTTTCAGCTCCAAAGACAGACAGCCCAGTTCAAACTAACTCTTAGACAATCCATAAAGGAATTTTTCATAAAACTGGGATATCCAGGCAAGCGTTTGGCTTCAAGTAAAGATCCAAGAGTGCTAGCAGTTACTTAAGGCACTGTTTCTCTTCCTCGTGGTCCCTTAGCTTTCCCCACCTTGTGTTGGTTTTATTCTCAGGCAGGTTCTACCCAAGTGGTGGCCCAGTTGCATCTTACCAATGAAAACTCCAGCAGGGGTCTTAGGTAGAATAGCCCTGCATGATATTCCTGAACCAGGCCCTGTTGCCAGGGAACACCGTGCTATGACTGACCAGATCTGGGCATGTATACACCCCAGGAACCCTCATGGGGTCAGACTTACCTGGGCCGCAAGGACTGTGGGTGAGAGAGGGAACATTCCTCAGGCAGGGTTCTCTGGGTTGTCCCCAGAAGGGAGACGAGGACAGGACAGGCAGTACAATAGATGTCTATGCCTCGTTGGCAAGGTACTTTTGTGTCACAGGTTTCAGACTTCATCTGGTTTGCACACCACTCCCATGAGGTTTTATTTTGTGACATTTCATTCCCACTTTTATTGGGAAGATGTCCTCATCCAAGATGTTCGGAGGCTGGCCCACTTTGGCAGGATGATAAAGTGGCAAAGTCAGGTCCCTCCTTCCACGGGCTGCTCTTCCAGTCAGATGTTGCCTCTCTCTGAGTGCCTCACAGTCCAGCCATGGCAGTGGTATTGCCCATGTCCCACTTGGTTTTATTATGGCATTCTTTTGTCTGTAATCATCAAATAAAAAATGTACCTGTGGGTGAAAGTCAAAGTGGTTGTATTCTTACTGCTTCACTATTGCCTGGAACCTTTCCCTTTCAGTGGTCTGAGTCATAATTTTTCTTTGGTTTGTTGACAAAACAGTTTATACTGTTTTCTTCCAAAACAGCCCTCAAAAAAAAAAAATAGGTAAACAGAGAATGGATTTCTAATTTGTCTTACCAGTTCAGGCTTCCGGCAGGAATTGAAACCCGGAATCTTTGTTTTGAAGACAGTAAAGTGGGGCTGCCTATATCTATGGCTGCTTTTAAGAATCTGACGTGAATTTTATCCAGTTCCTTGTGCAAAATAAATCCTTTTTTTGTAGCAAAAGGGGTTGAAGTTGAAGGAACACATGAGATAGTCAACAAACGAATTACTAAAATAAAACTATATCATGAACATGCTTGTGCAAACTTGGGATAATAGGCCATATCTGCCCACCTGTGGCCAAGTCTTGGCACACTGGTTTTTGTTTTATCGAAGAGCTGCTCACAGTAGCCTTGTTTCTGTCAAGAAAGATGAGCAGAGACTCAAACATATCTCCGAGTAGCTCACAACAAGAATACCCTTTGGAGGATCCTAGAGTGTTGTGCAGTCTTTGACTTCTGAAATATACAGAAGACTTACTGTTTCTGCAAGTATGGCTCCAAAATGGTGGTCATTTTTTGTTTTTGTTTTTGTTTTTTTGAGTGAAGAAAGGATAATTTATTTAAAAATAATAATGAAACTAGTGGCTATCCTTCTGAGACAAAAGAAATATCATATACTAAAATTCCAATTTACTTAAAAATTTAAATATAAACCTAAATCAATAAAAATATTGGGAGAAACTTTAGCAGACTGAATGTTCAACCCAGAGGTTAAAGATAGAAATATCTGAATGTGTAAATATTACAATCTTTTTTGATCATTTGTTTTGTTTTGTTTTGTTTTTATTTTTTCCAAAAAAATGGGATACATGTGCAGAATGTGCAGGTTTGTTACATACATATGTGTGTGCCATGATGGTTTGCTGCACCTATTGACCCATTTTCTAATTTCCCTCCCCTCACCCTCCACCTGTTTTGGAGTGTTTTTTTTTTGTTGTTTGTTTGTTTGTTTTGAAAATCTATAGGAAGGGGGCCAGGCATAGTAGCTCATGCCTATAATCCCAACACTTTGGGAGGCCAAGGCAGGAGGATCACTTAAGCCCAGGTGCTCGAGACCAGCCTGGGCAACATAGTGAGACCTTGTCTGTGATAACAAATCTTTTAAAAATTAGCTGGGCATGGTGGTTCACACCTGTGGTCCCAACTACTGTGCAGAGTGAGGGGGCTGAGGTAGAAGGATCGCTTGAGCTCAGGAGTTCAAGGCTGCAGTGAGCTATGGTCTCGTCACTGCACTCCAGCATGGGCAACAGAGGAAGACTGTCTCGAAAAGAAAAGAAAAGAAAAGAAAAGAAACTCTATAGGATACGTTTCTTTTTCACTCTCTTCAATGAAGATTGCCATTTCAGTGAAGCAGCAAAATGCTCAATTGAATTAAGTACTCTTTAGAACTGGACACTTAAAAAAGAGGAGAATATCATTTATTGGATGCATGGATACAAGAGAAAAGAGAGAAATGTGATTGGTTGCCTAGCTCCTTCTGTGACCAAAGTAGAAGATTCTTGAGATCTTCGCTGCTTGTTGAGATAAATGTGGATTGCTGGTAGCTTCTTAACCACACCATGGTCCTGTTGGTCCCTGTATTTCTTGTTTTGAGCACAGCTGGGGGAGTAGAGCTGAGTTTTAGGGTATCAACTTAATAGGATAGATATAGCAGCCATCACAGCGGCCCCAGGCTGCCACCAGAATCCATAGCAAAACACAGTCTCTCAATTGCCCCTGTGTCCCAAGGCTGCTGCATGGGAGCGGGTAGGGCTAAGGGAAGGAGGGGCTTGGTTCATGCAAGGCCGTGATTGTTTGTTACTGGGTTGTTCCTCTCTTGGAGTCCATGAAGAGGAAAGGAGATTTCACTGCTGTTGACCTGGTTAAATTATCTTGTTTAGAGCAACCCATTTCATGAATTAAAAATATCCTTCTGGTTAGGTGCTGTGGACCAGTTGTGTTCGTCAGCTCAGGCTCCCCTAACAAAATACTATAGACTGGGTGGTTTAAACAACAAATATTTATCTTCTCACTCTTCAGAGGCTGGGAAGTTCAATATCAAGGGGCCAGCTGATTCGATTCCTGGTTAGGGCTCTCTTCCTGGCTTGCGGACAGCCACCTTCTTCCTATGTCCTCACGTGGCAGAGGGAGCAGGGAAGCGAGCTGTCTGGTATGTCTTCTTTTCATCCTATCATGGAAGCTCCACCCTCATTCATGACCTCATATAAGCCTTATTGTCTCCTAAAGGCCTCATTTCCAAATACTTTCACATTGGGGGTTAGGACTTCAACATATGAATTTTGGGTGGACACGATTCAGTCCCTACCACCAGCTCAAAATTCTTTCTGTTGGATGATATCGTAGTGACCCGTGTTTGGGGCAATAAGGTAATAAATTCGGGCAAAAAGGGTAAGAAAAGACAGACATCAAGAAGGGCATCAGCAGGAGGACCTGACCACTGGGGCTGGGGCTGTGTGAGTGGGGTTTGTTCTGCTGAGACTTATGCACAGGAGTTTTGTGTCTCCCATCTGTCTCTCTGTTGAGATGCATTTTAAGATTGTTTCTTCGTTCACAGTTTAAATGAATCCTGTATTGGACTGTCCTGCTCTATTTTGAGCATGAGGGCCGTTCTTGGTATGGTACCTAATATACAAGAGATGTGTCCAGAAAATCTTAGTGAAAGGAAATTGGGAGTTTTGAACCTCAAGACTGAAAAGAAGGGAGGTTCTGCTAAGGAGAACACGGACTTGAGGTTGCCAAATGGTTTGGGGAGAAAAAAAATTAAGTTCAGTTTTAGAATACAGAGTGTGAGGTTAACTGTGAAATCTCTAGGTACACCTATGCCAAGAAGTCGCTGAAGTTGATAGAATCACACACTCTTGAAAGGTGTGGGTCATTTATTTTAACCCTGTAGTCACAGCGAGAATCCTTATGATAAAGCCATACCCTGCTGCTTACCCAGGCCTTGCTTGGTATATTTCTAGGGACATACAACTGTTTAGTTTACAAAGCAATATTTTCTGCATTTAGACAGTCCCAGCTCTTCGATAATTCTCTGCCACTCTTCAAAATCTACCTCTGTGACAATTATTCCTTGTCCCTGGATGTGTCATCAGAGGGAATACCATCTACATCTGGCCTTGTTTCCTTTGGCCTGACTCCAGCTCTGAAGGGTCTCTCTCTCCCACTGTCTTCTCCAGCGTTCACTGTCAGGATCACCTGCTCATCAGCTCGGCCTGATAATGAGGAGGGGAGATCTCTATTTGTCTGTTGCAGGTATCTGTGGGCTTAATGCAGTGCCTTGAACACCACTGCTCTTTGCACAATAAAAACGGTACTTGCTGAATGACTGAGTGGAAGACTCCGTGTGGGCCAGAGGGCCAAGATTTAGGTGCCTTCTTCCAGTCCTGAAAGAGGCAGAACTGTGGAATCGTTCACCCTCACCATGTCGATGCACAGACCCAAAGGGCTCTAGGGAAATTATTGAACAGTGTAATCGATATTCATATGTCCATTGCAATTTTAACCTTACAAAGATGTCTTGGACATGATCTCATGAAGCATGGATATATGTGGTGCATAATTTACAGATGGAGAGGAATCAGACTGTTACCCAGTTCCATGGACTAGCAAGTGAGGAACCTGGATGTGGTCTCAGCTCTTCTGCCTGCGTTCTTATCCACAGGGTTGTGTCAAACCTTACACAGTAATTGTGCAGGAATTATCTCATTTGCTTGAAACCACTGTCCACTGAAATGTGCTCAGTTGATAAATGTAGAAACTGCGTCCGAAGGAGGGCCAAGATCACAAGGGAGGAGGAACTGGTAGAACTCAGACTTTAAGCCAGTCTTCCAAGTCCTTGGCACAGGAGTTTTTGGAGCAGACTTTTTCAATTTAAAAGGAGTGAATTCTGTCCTCTTCTGGAGGGGAGATGAGCAGGATTCTGAAGGAAACAGAGAACCACTGTTGGTTAAAAGCAAACATTACTCCTTTAATATACAACTCCCAGCTTTTATTCTGTCATCTGCTCATATCCACGTCTGGTCTCTGGATCTAGAAATAGACAAATATAATTTTGCGATGTGTAATGAACTGACTCCTCAATGTTCATTCGACACATGCTTCCTGCCAGCAAGTAGATTGGAAAAGATATACGATCGATCTGATACAATATATGTCATCGGGAGATTCTTATTAGAATACTGTATTCCAAATCCCCCTTTAAAATAAAAGGCAGAAGAAAATAGCTCGACTGGTGCAGCTTTTCTGAACAAAGGAATGGTATGGCCTAATACTGCTTAGTTGAAGTTCCCGACTGTGATAATAAGAAATATATATTTGGTCTTCACCTGTTTCCTGACAAACAGCTCCTAAAACCCTTGGAATCTCTGGAGTGATAAGAGTGTCTTTTGTGTATTAATGAGATGACCTGTGGCTGGGGCCCCTAGACAGCTTCAAGAAGGGGCTGGGCCGTGCTCTGTGCAGGATTAGAGGGTTGAAGCTTTCAGCCCCACCCCTGACCTCTGAGAAGGGGAAAGGAGCTAGTGATCAAGCTAGTGGCCAATGATTTAATCTCTCGCACCTTCACAGTGGAACCTACATAAAAACCCCTAAATGTTGGGATTTAGGGAACCTCCCGGTTGGTGAACACATGGAGGCGCTCGCAAGGTGGGGCGCCTGGAGAGGGCATGGAGGCTCCACCCACCCCACCCCGCAATCGCCTGCCCTGTGCATGTCTTCATTTGGCTGTTCCTGCATTGTATTTCTTATCCTACACTCATAACAGAAAGTGGTTCTGGGAGCTGATATAGCAAATCATCGAACCTGAGAAGGGGAGTTGTGGGAACTCCCAATTTATATTCGGTTGGTGAGAAGTGTAGGAGGCTCGGACGTGTGATTGGCATCTGAAGTGGGGCAGTCGTGTGGGATTGAGCCTGTAACTGTGGGGATCCATGCCAACTCCAGGTAGTTAGTGTCATAATTGAATCAAATTGTAGGAGATGCAGTTGGTGTCTGGAGAGGTGGAGAATTGGTTAGTTTGAGAAAAAAGCCCGCCCACTGACAGAGCCCCTGCCCAACTAAGCTCTGTACCACCAGATATCATGACTGCCCTTCCATCCTGGGAAGTGGCAGAGACCCTGGCACCCCCACCAGGTACCTCTTTCTTCCTCCATTCTTCTCTCCTTTGGTAGTCACATCCCTGGGACATCACTGTCACCCAGAAATAGCAGCAGGGCAGCCTGGGGATGAAAGTGCCTGTCCTTGAGGCCCCACCAGCGGTTACCAGGATCTGTCTGTCCTCTCAGAAGGCTTCCCTAGGTCACTCTAGGTCTTCTCCCGAGAATGAGCACCCGCTTCCTGGTGCCACCCAGAGCTTCCTAGGTCCTCTGACTTGATACCACAGCTATAACTTGTGCTTTCCTGGGCCACGCTCTGTGCTGGATGCAACAGGCATGTGGCTGTGTGTCTGAGATCCTGAGTTGGAGATCTCTGTGGTCTCCCCACTTTCCAGGTCCAAGCAGCCTCCACTCTCACCTGTTCTCCACACCCGGCTGGCCACTTTTCCTCCAGACTCCAGAGTTAGGTTCACCTCATGGGAAAACAGGAAGATCATCTATGTGTCATTTATAAGATCAAACCAGATGATCAAAGCCATAACAAAGCTCCTAGGTCAAAGTTCCTCCTATCCTGGAAGCTCCTTGGATGTGTTCCCTGTTGGGATAGCCCAGGGCTAGGAGGAACCATCCCAAAGGAACAGAGCCCAAAGCTACTGTAGATGCTGACTGTCCAGTCTCAACGGGAGCTGCAAATAGCCTCAGTCCCTCTGTGCTGGCTTCTTTGCACTCTCACTCTCCTGTCTCTGAAGGGCTGGAATCTGCCTGATTCTTCATGGGTGTTGGTTGTGACCTCAGGGTTTTTCTTTGCTCTAGTGGTCTTTTTTGCCTTAGTGACAGAGAAGTAATCGGAACTGGGAAATGTGGGAATGAAGGAACGCAATCTCCTATCCTCTCTCCCACAATACACAGAACCCTGACAGCAGTTGGGCAGCCTGTCCAGGGCAGCAGTGGGCACAGATATGCAAATCCAGCACTGATCTTCCCTTAGTGGACTAACCTATGATCTTGCCCTGCACCTGCTGTGTGCTGGGCCCTGTTCTGGGTGGTGCATGTACGTGGTGATGAACCATGCACTCTCCTTCCCCAGATTCTGTCCCAGGGTTTTTTCCCACCAGCTGTCAGTCTGCCTATCTTCATTTATATCCTTCCTGGAATCCAATGTCACGATCCCCCCACAAAGCAATGGACACCGCTCAGGTACTTACATGTACCCCTGAAGCCACCTGCCACCACCACCCCATTCCCTCAAAATAAAGACAAAAACAAAACCAGAATCCTGAACCTTACATTTTCTTCGGGAGGCCACAGCCTTGGGCCTTGTGAACAGCACGCCCCCTCTGTCCTCTCTGCATGTTCTTCTCGAGGGCCTGGTGCTCTTCTGTGCAGGGGTATCACTGGGACCGTGGCAGTGGGATATAGAGCATTTGTAATCATCGTTCTTGCCATGCCCAGGTTATGGCCAGATCAGATCCACCCCCTCCCATTCCACAGCACAGGTCCTTTCCTGACCTTGCTCCTGCCAACCACTTCCCTCTGAAATCCCTTTTGCTCCTTTCCCAGTAACAATGAGGCTTCCCTTCAGGGTCCTGAAGAGGGCACAGAGGGCTCCCTGGCTCCCTTTGAGCCTGTCCTGTCTCCAAGTCCCGAAGCCATTCCCGGATGGGCCGTAGTAGGGGAGTGGGCCGGAAGATAGTCTGAAGCGGCTGGAATAGGGGTCCTTACAGACAGGCCCACCTTCCTCTCGTGATTGTCTGTTCTTCCCTTGGACCTCCTGGGCAGGCCCCTGTCTCTGCCTCCTGTCTGGCTGTTTTTCCAGGCTACCGGTTGTTGTCCCTACTTATCCAGCAGGGATCCTCATTAGGGGACACTGGCCTACCAGCTCTCTCCCTTTTGGTGCTGAGGGTGGGCTTTGTTCCTCCAGTGCTTCCTCAAAGACCCCCTGGTGGCCGAAGCCCTCTCTCAGGACCTCCTGGTGGAGAGCACCCAGCAGGGGGCTGAGCAGCTGAAGTAGCTCTCAGCTGAAGTAGCTCTCTGAAGCAACCGGCCATTCTGGGGTCGCTGCCCAGGGCCGCTCCTCCTTTTCCTCCAGGACAAGCTCAGGTATGTCAGCCTAAATGGCCCAATGGAACTGACCATGATCCTTGTGAAAGTTTTTCTCCACGGAGAATTGATGCTGCTGTCTCCTGAAAGCTCAGCTGCAAAGATTAAGGGCCTACTGTCAATAGGTAAAAATGCAGCATCTGTTTCCCATTCAACTACTGCTCCCTGGAGGGTGTGGACTTTGATGAAATAGTGCACCCGCACCAGCCCTTCACCTGCGTCTCTGGGGCACGGGGGGAACGGCAGTGTCTTGCCATCAGGTCAGCTGAATTAGAGGTAGAAGATTTCTCGCCTCTTCTTGAATTTTCTGGGACCTGATGCTTAGATCAGAGGTTGGCAAATTATGGCCAATGGGCTGCATCTGCCCTGCCTCCTGTTTTTGTATGGGCCATGAGCTGAGAATAATTTTTACATTTTTAAATTGATGGAAAAAAAACACCAAAAGAATATTCCATGACATGTGGAAATTATTTGAAATTCAAATCTCAGTGCTCATGCATTGAAACACAACCACCCCCACTCATTTATAGACTGTGTCTACGGTTGCTTTTGTACCATAACTGCAGCGTTGAGTAGTTGCCACAGAGACCTTATGGCCTTCAAAGCCTGAAATATTTACTTTCTGATCCTTCCCAGAAAAAGTTTGCCAACCTGTGGCTTAGGTGGTGCAGGTGGAGATGGATCTTCTGCTTGGGCTGAGGCCTCTGAGAGACACAACAATGTTCCCATGAACAGAGAGCTTGTCCTCCTCTATAACCAGAAGGTATGGTCTCACCATCACAGCTCAGCCTCCTGTGCTAGGAAATCCCACAGCCTTTTTCTCCTCCAGAAGCTCATGCTCCCCTATCTTCAAGTATTGGAGTCCCAAGCATAAATTAAGACATCGAGGAGCATCCCATTTGGTTTATAGTACCAAATAGCATAAAAATAACACCTTAACTGCTTTGAAAAGAAAACAGATTTTAATGCCTTGTGTGTAAACATTTTTACTGTTTTGCATATATTTTATATTTGTAGAGTAATTCACAGTTTAAAATTTAACACAAAATGTTTTTTTGGTGAATGATGGATGAATATATTCATCAAGGAATATATTCAACAAGGAAACTACTTTGTTTCATAAAACCTCTTAAAGGGGATTTTAGATCTGTGGAAGGATATGTGAGTTCCTTAATCAATTTGTTGTGTAAACAGCGGGTATGCCCACATTTTTTTTCCTTTTTAGAAAAGGCACTATATTTTATTTATTTTATTTTATTTTATTTTATTTTATTTTATTTTATTTTATTTTATTTTATTTTATTTTATTTTTTGAGACCGAGTCTTGCTCTGTTGCCCAGGCTGGAGTGCAGTGGTGCGATCTCGGCTCACTGCAACCTCTGCCTCCCAGGTTCAAGTGATTCTCCTGCCTCAGCCTCTCGAGTAGCTGGGTCTACAGGTGCACACCACCACGCCCGGCTAATTTTTGTATTTTTAGTAGAGACGAGGTTTCACCATGTTGTCCAGACTGGACTTGAACTGCTGGCCTCAAGTGATCCACCCACCACCTCCCCCCGCCTCGGCCTCCCAAAGTGCTGGAATTACAGGCGTGAGCCACCACACCCAGCCTAGAAAAGGCATTTTATAGAAATAATTGTATTTAGAGAATGAGATACCATTTTGTTACTGGAGGGGCAAAGGGAAAGCCTCTTCATTTTCTGAAGGTTTGCTGAAAAATCAACTCACAAAAGGCAGGTTAATTGGAGAAAATGGGTATAAATTTTATTAATGTGTACATGAGAACCTTCAGAATGACCCAAAGATACAGAGGAAACTGACCATTTTTATGCTTATGTTCAACAAAGTATGGACAGCCGTGTAGATATAGGATTAGACGAAAAGGGCATGATCCAATGTCAATCGGCTGAGTGGGGAAACTCAGCAAGGCCTGTCTGTTTAGATTCTTCTTGGCCTTGCTGAACGTGCATTCCTTCCTTCTGAGTATGAGGCAGGACCCTCTCTGGAATGAGGGTCTTATGACCTTCAGTCAAACAAGGTAGGGCAGATAGTTTCTTTATGGCCAGTTTTCACACAGAAAGGCAGAGGGAAAGTTAGAGTGACATCTTTAAGTTTTATGGCTGGCTTTGGGGAAAAAGGCTTCTGGCTTCCATGCCCTGCCCTGGGGCAGAGGGATTCTAGTGTCTGTGTCTAGCCTCAGGGGAGAATGGCGCTAAGAGACAGGAGGGCAAGAGAAGATCAGAGAAATAAATTTTTCCTCTGAGGATGCTTCTGAGGCCTTCATTTTGGGGTATTGTTGACTGAGTCCTGACATTTATGATTTTACAAGATTTCCTGAACAGGAAGTGCTCCTTTTTCTCCAGTTCACAATGTCACACTGGGCATCTATGGACTTGAGAATAACGGAATTGCCTTTGCTGCGTGGATTTTCTTATGCACGTTTGCTTCATTGCCATTAATCTTCACATATTACACCTAGAAACTTGAAGCCGGAAGCAAAGTCCAGAGTGACAAAGCCAGAGAAGAGAGACCTAGGAAAGAAAGCATTTGTGTGAAGGTGTGAGTGTGAGCTCATCTGTGCTTTTTGTCGGGGAGGCAGAGCATTAGTAGGACTCAGAGATGCCCAGAGGGGTCAAAGGAGTGGGGACAGAGAGCAAGGGATGCAGTGAGAGATCAAGAGAAAATCGGCAAGTGAGTGGAGGAAGAGAGGGGACAGGTAGACCGGGAGAGGGAGTGGGGAGCAGAGGAGAGGCAGGGAACGGGGAGTGGAAGAGAGAAGGAAAAGGAGAGGGGATGTCCAGGAGCAGGATAATAGATTGAAATAAAGATAAAGCCAGGAGCTCGGGTTAAGATAGGTAAGAAGTGGTACTTTCATGGAAGTTTTTCCTGAATCTTTCTGAGGTCCTGGGCGCAGGGTGGGTGGGAGATGGATACAACAGGGGAGCTGTTTGAGGCCACCTTCTCCTTTTATGTTTTCCAACTCCTGCTCCTGAGAGGCAGCACCTGGATCCTTACCTGCGGGTAAACCACTGGGATGTCTGGGGTCACTCTCCCCTCCTACCGGTTGTCGCCTGTACCACTCTCCACGCTCACTGAAGCCCAGTTTCCAGGGAGCTCCCCAATCCCTTAGTGTCTGCAGATACAGCCAACAGCCAGCACTGCCATCGGGCCACCTGGCCACACACCTCCTGCCCTCTGCCTGCCCTCGTCCTTTTCTCAGCCAGGACACCCCATTGCCTCCTCCATAGGTGCCAGCTCTGCCCGAGGTTCTCTTTCCCTCTTGGAGTGATGGAGGCTGGCAGTACAGAGTACCCTTCCCTTTAAGTTTTGGTTCTCACTTTTGAAGAACCCTGAGCCTCCAGGATTGCGGGCATAGTAACTTCCTCCTGAGAAGAGCCGTTATTGGGTCAGTCCCTGCTTCAGAAGCAGCAAGGTCCGTTGCTGCTGAGCGGAGGCTGCATGGGCCTTTGAACTGGCTTCCTTTCATCCTGGGCCCTGGTCCTCCCTTTCCCACCCCTTCCCATAGAACCATTTGCCTCCCAGTCCAAACAGCTGCCCCCCTCCCATGCACATTGCTGACCCCACAGCCCTCTCACATTCCTCTGGCTCAGAGGCCAGGTTCCCTCCCTCCCTCTGTCCACAGGAGCAGGCAGTACTAAGGATATGCTGTCCAAGGCCATTACCGGCTTAGAAGTGGGAGGCGTGTGGGCTTCAGAGACAGCTTTGAAATGGCCGTGGATCACTTGGCACTGATTTTGCACCTGAATAATTGAGAACCTTGTATGTGCCTCTTAGGGCAGCACTCAGAGCAAAATTTATCCATTCATTGATTCATTTATTCATCCGTGTCAAAAATATGTGTTGATGGTAAAAGGAATTTGAGGAGATATGGGCAAAAAAAAGGAAAAAAATGTGTTGAATGGCTAGTGCGTCCCAGCTACGATGCCATGCACATGTGCAATTGTGAGCACATTGTCTTCAGCTAACTGCACCGGAAGCCTCCACTTCCTACAGCCCAAGTCATCCCCTCCTTCATCCTTCCCCCCCGCCCTGCACAGCTCCCCTCCTTATTCAGCTTTCCCCCACCACTTTTACCTACAGACTCAGGGATGGGCCCCTTCATCTTGGATTGATGCTTCATCAGCCTGGGTGGGGCAGCGGTAGGTGAAGTCTCAACATCTTACGAGGTCTGGACTCTGATCTTACTGAGTTTCAGGATGCTGGCAGGTAAAGCAGCTGGGATCTGAGCAGTCACCAAGGCTTCTGGGAACGCCGTTCTGTGGGGCCCACTCAATCTCAAAGAAGGCGACAAGGAAAGCATGGCCATCACTGAAGGGTGTGGTGATTCCATACGACAAATGAATAGACACTGCTTCCTGACCTCGGGGAGTTCCTCCTACCTGGGGAAACAGAAACACACAGCAAGTGAGGGATTCTAACTGTATTGTGTTCCTTCACTACATCCATCCAGGTGTCCCCATCGTGGTGCCACCTCCATAGGGTTTGAGTTAAATGTACAGGAAGTGCATGTTGCTGTCCACTGTCTAAATTAGGAGTGATACTCCCAGGACACCCACATCCTCCAGATGATTAACCATCTGGTATCCTGGCGGGGGCTGTGTTTGCTTCATGACTTGTGTGGGCCCTGGCACCAGGAAGGATGGTAGCTGCTCTCGTTGTGTCTGGACAACAATCAGTACACGTGGAGAAGGGGCACATGTCCCTGGTTATGTGGACAGTCTTCATTTGTGCCTGGGATTTTAACGTCTCTGCATGCTATCTGATTTAGTATTTGTCCCACTCTCCTTCAAAGGTGTGGGTTTTGCATAATTGAGAAGGCCAGGGTATCTGTGAGCCCAGCGGGCATGACTCAAGCTTGACTCACCTTGTCTGTTACTTCCTGGTTAAACAGTGTTTAGAATCCACGAACTTATTGCCTCCTCCAGAGCCTTCTGCATCCGTCCCACTGATGGTCTCTCCTGGTTTGTGCTGTTTGGCACCTCTGGTTCCCAGAGCTCTCTGGATTTACCTGCTGTGTCACTTTTCACACAGCTTGTCCTGGCTGTTTGCTGGTCCTTCTTCTCCCTTCTCGATGGGCTCCATCTTTCCTTTCTGTATATTCAGGGCCTTATACTGTGCCATGGAATAACCTCAGTCTACCCTTTGTGGAGAGAAGTGGGCCTTCACTCCTCACTGCTCTAGCATCAAGAAGTCACGAGGTTGTGAAGGGAGCCACAGGAGGAACTGCACGCTCGTCAGGCCACTGTTACCTCTTGCCCCGACTTCAGAGCTGGTGGCGGTGTCTCCCCCACCTTGAATAACTCATCTTTTAATATTTTCTTTGCCAGAGTCTCACCCACTCCATCTCTCTTATCCCATTTTTGTCTTCTCTCCTCTTTTGTGGCCTCATCTCCCCGGTTTTTACTCTTTCCTGAGTATTTCAGATATTTTACCGTGCACATTTACTACTGTACTAATCAGAAAACCCTGAATATGATCACACCCAGGACACAGTGATAATGATGCTTCTTTCACAGTGTTGCCATGTGGATTTATGAGCCTGCTCAGGGCCTGCCACCTCTTTGAAACTCAGTAGCTATTTCAGCCTCAAATTCTGCCTTTTCCCCCTTTCATCACCTCTGTCCCATCCCTGTAGGGAAGTTTGCTCAGCTGGAGGTGGCTACACCATTTCACAACTGCCGGCTTCTGTTCCCCTCCCTCAGTTCTGTGTTCCCAATTCCCACGCAGCCTGCCCACAGAGCCGAGCATTTCACTTACCTTCGATTACATCACTTGCATTGCTTCCTGATCATAAGAGTATTATATTCTAAGTTTTTAAAACACAGAGATAATAGAAAATAAGTGGGCAGTAAAAATCCTATGTAGTCTTACCATTCAGTTATTAGCTTTGTTCCTTTTTAAAATGTATTTACCTACACACACACACACACACACACACACACACACACACACAGAGTCTCTTTCTCTGTCTGGATGTACACATATTAGAGGTGCGTTGAGTTAATTCAGTTTTCCTTAATGCTGAATGGCTGAGCATCTATGTTTGGCTGTGATTGAGGCTGATGCTGAATCATTGAATGAAAATATGACATTCTAACAAAAATAGGTATTGTTCTTATGTTATTTTTATTTATTAGGATTCCTCACATTGTAAAGTTAAACTCTAAGTCAGAAACAGTTGTATCTAGACCTTGCCCGCTGCTAGATACTCCTGTGCTTACCATGCTGCAATTTATTATACTAAATATAGACATTTGTTTGCAACTGAGTTTGGTGGAGGAATGAACTACGTTGGTTTTGTTAATTATGTCTGCATTGGTGATGATTTACTACAGATGTTATGGTGTGATATGGGAGGTTTTTTCCCCTGTGAATTTTTGAGGTGGCACAGTTGATAAACTTGGCAACTAATTTGTCCTTATAAAGATATGAAGGATTCCAAATAAGACTTTTTCTTGAAAGATGCATGGTCTAAACAGAAACAGGTAGAAAAATTTAAAATCCTAAAGATTGTTTATTGTTGTGAAGGCCAGCATACCAAACAATTCCACAAAGACATAATTTATAATATACACTAATAATCTCTTTTATTCTGTTTTATAGTAGTATTTATGGTTCTGTACATATCTTGGCTCAGAAAGAATATGACAGTCTTTGTAAAAGTAGCAAGCAAATGTTTTGCCTCTTTTTTGGGGTGGGGGGATGGAGTCTGGCACTGTCACGTGGGCTGCAGTGCAGTGGTGCAATCTCGGCCCACTACGACCTCCATCTCCTGGGTTCACGCGATTCTCCTGCCTCAGCCTCCCAAGTAGCTAGGATTATAGGCACACGCCACCACGCCTGGCTAATTTTTTGTATTTTTAGTAGATACGGGGTTTCACTGTGTTGGCCAGACTGGTCTCGAACTCGTGACCTCGTGATCCGCCCATCTCGGCCTCCCAAAGTGTTGTCTCTTAATATTTGTATTATTTCCTCACTTCCTATTAAATGTAACTATTTGTTAAAGTTCTTGATAATTGATTTGCACACAAATTTTGCATATAAAATTAATAGCTTTTACCATATGGTCAAAGATTACTGCACATTTCATTCTTGCAATAATATTTATATTTATACACCATCTGACTGGGAGAGTTCAAAATACATCATACATACAAGGAGCTTTTTAATCTGAGTACATCTAGAATGCAGATTTACATTTGAAAGTGAACATGCGGACTTGAGCAATAAGTTCATGTGGCATGGCTTATTTGTAGTATTGATGTTGTTATGCTGTAGACGTAGAGATGGTGGTGACCTGAGTATCGTAAGGCCATTGATCATGCACAAGTTCAGGGATGCCAGAAATGATCTTGCAATAGGTATTTGACTGTTTGTCCTTTCAAAGGCCAAGGCATTCATTTAGAAGCCATGGCCAAATAATAGGTTTTGGGCAAATAGTGTAGCTGAAGCTGAACTTTGATGGGTCCCTGATAAATATGTTTGCATATATGATTCTGTATCCTGCTCCATTAACTTACTCTTAGCATTTTCCTATAACATTATCTTTGAAATCATGATATTTAAAGGTTAAGTAATTTTTATCTGGGAGTATTCCATAAGTTATGAGCTTTTCTCTTTATGTCAGACTTGTTAGTTCATTTGGTTTCTGTTCAACTTCCAACTGCCTTTGGACAGTCAACATGCATCTTGGTCATTCATTTCTTTCCCCTACCTTTCATATCCTCAGCCACTGTGAAGAGGTCTCTGCAGTCATTGAGAACTGGCCTCTTCCCTTTTATACAGGAAGGTCCCTCAGGTATCTGAAGACAGTTTTATCCCTCCTTCTGCCTCAAGGACTCTCCAGGCCAACAAGTTGTGTCTCACTAGCAGGTCCTCCTCAGTGAACCCTTCACCATCCCATGGTTCTTTCTCGTATTTTTGAATGTGGAGAATCAGAGCTTTGAACCCTCCTGTGTACTCTTCCACCAGCAACCCATGCCTTGCACTTTCTCCTTCAGGGTCTGTCTTACTGCACAGGGCTCCTGATTCCCTAGACTCAGGTCTTGGTAGGCCAGAGTCTAGGTTTTGGCTGAGACTCCTTCTAAGACCTCATTAGGGACATTCAGTTCACTGACGGACACCAATCCTTCCAACCTAGATGTTCTGGGCTGGCTTCTGTGTGATTGATGACACACACTTTCTTCTGATGGTCTGCGGCTTCTAGGTTTGACTCAAGCATGAGACAAGTCATGGGTGGATGTCTCATTGCAGTTAGACCTGTGGGGTCATCTCGCACAGAGTGGGGCAGGTTGAATGGGTCACTCATCCTTGTTGTCTTGCTCCAGAATCATATCCTTGACAGCAGCCTCTCCACTTTTCTTCCATTGGAATTACTGGTTACCCATCTTCTTGCTGGGTCTGTTTTATTTTTACTCCTTTTACAAATTTCAGCACAGAGATTACAGGACTTCAGCCCACAGGGTGGAGAAGGAAGCTGGAGTTAGTGGGTTCGGACACTAGTGGGAACATGGGGAGTGACACCATAGTGTGCTGTAGTGCAGTGCCCCTGTTCCAGAGGAGAGCCAGAGCTCTACCTGAGCCAGCACTGTTAGCTGAGGTGGGAGGGCATCTCCCCGGGCTGCCTTGGGACTGGTTTCAATTCCCTAATGCCAAAACCTGCCTGCCTACTAGAAGGGGCTCAGGCAGGCATCCAGGGCTCGGTATCCAGGCTGGAAGCACCAGCCAGAGGAGACAGGACCTGGCCTCTTCTTGCTTTCCCAGGTCCAGTGGCCATCCTCTTCTCTATTGCAGAGACCTTGGCCCAGCCTGCTGATCAGAAAAGAATGTCTTACAGAGGATCTCACGGCTGGTTAAAGCCGAGCATGGATCTGCAGTCAGAGTTCTCTGATTCTCAGTCTAATGATTTTCTGTACATTGTGCTATAAAAATGCTACCCCATGGAGGCCCTTTGGGAATCATGTGCCCTGTCTTCATTCCAGAAGTAAGAGGGACCCTCCCTTGCTTGGACTTCAAGAAAAATCCTTTATTATCTCTCACTAAAATGTTTGGATAAGAATCTAGATTTTTCAAATATGCATTTGTTATGGTTTCATAGGAAATCCAAGTAACCGATTTTTCAGAACCTAAGCAGTTAATGCTAGAAATTTTGCTGCAAATAAATTGATCAGTATGCAAGACAGTTGTCACGGCTGAATCATGGTCCACAGTTAAGGTAAACAGATCTGTGATGACATTTTCTCAGCAGAATACAAATGCAGCTACATTTCCTCCCAGAGGTTTCTGACATTTCTTCTACACGGATAACAGATTCTCCTAAGAAGGTGTTGGTCACAAGGAAGAAAGATCTTTGTTTAATCCCTCTGAAAAGGTAGGGCTGTGATATTTGATGTGCTTTCTGTGAAGAGAATTGTTCTAAGAGAGATGAATATTGAGAAGAGCGTTTTTCTTTGGTTAGTTGCCTGCCCTCACCCCCCTCCCAGCCATGGAAAGAGCCTTTTGGTTTTTCATTTATTTGAATGGCCATTAAAATATTGTGTGTTGTCATGTTGTGAAAGTTTGCATGTAATTGATTTTTTCCCAATGTAAAGATCAGGGGATATTTTTCTTACTTGGATTCACATGAAATGTAGGGAGAGCAAGATGTCTTTTTTTCCATTTCCTCCTGTTCCTTTCATCTGTAATGCTCTCAAGTTCCACGTTTTTTCCAGGTTTTCGCTGCCTACACTGTATTATAGGAATTCTACACAGTACGTCTGCATCTGAAATGTGAAATAGTCTGTAGCTAGATGCTGCATTATAAGCCAGATATGTTTTCTGTGTTACGGTGAACCTTACAAAATCTTTAGCTTGTACTGATTTTTAAATGAGCTCCAAACCTCATTCCAACTTTGCCTAAGAGCAGACAGTCATTTCCCCTCTGTGTGTAATGGGAAACAATTTCCTGAGGGGATATTTGCATTTGGAGTCAGACTGCTGCGAATACAGATATTTCTGTCTATTTGTGCATTTGCCATCGGTTATGATCAGGGATCTGAGCAGAGATCTAGACAAGAGCGTTGCATTTGAGTGGGGGAATAACTCTCGATCTGTAGGGAGTTGCAGTTGGGATAAAAGACCAGAAATCTCCAGGGACTGGAAATGAACAAGAAAGCATACCCCTCAGAGGGGGCTAAATGACTCTGCTCAGAAATTCTGGAGCAGTCAAAGGAACGCTTTTTAGGAAACGGCATCTTTCCCATCGTACTTCGTTCCTCCCAGAGCATTTTTTGCAGTCCATTGCCAGGTTAGCATAGGGGTGGTGTCCTCCAGGAAGCCTTCTCAGATCTTCCCAGCCTTCCCCACCACATGGTATCCAGCATCCCTCACAGCATGCATTTCTCAGTGTGAAATTACTAGGCTCTGTGCCTCCATCACACTTAAGCTGAACTTGTCAGAGGCAGGATTGGGTCCTTTCATCTCTGACCATCGTTCAGCTTCTAGCACAGCCCCTGGCTCAAAAGAAGAGCTTTGCAAATGCTGCTTATAATTGAAACAGAGACCACTTTCTCACAGCAACCTCTGCAAAAGGAAATAATGTCCTGATAAACTCCATGTCTTAGCTGAGGAGAAACTGAGGAAAATAGTGATGAAGCCAGAGCTAGAAGTAGGCTGCTACTGAATGTGTGGCCCCCTGATTCAATGAACCGAGGAATGTGTGAGCACTTGTACCTCTACTTTGCTGCGAAAGTCCTCCTGTATTGAGCATGTGTGGCATGGTAGTTGTAAATATGCAACTGGCCCAATCATATTTTTCTTCTGTCTCTAAAATTTTTTTTGCCCTATACAGTGTAGGAGGATCAGGTGACCAAGGTTTTTTAGAATTTTCCCTTTTTGGGATCTGACGCCGACACACTATTTTGAGGCAGTGACATCATCTCTTTCCTCTGGCGTGCCCTCCTTGCGGCTCCATCATTCAGGCCTTGTCATCTCTCACCTGGACTGCTGTGACCTTCATTCATTCCCAGGAGAAGTCCAGGTACAGTAAGAATGAATCACCAGGGACCAGACCTGGACTGGGTAGGGGAGGGGTTGTTCAGAGACAGGCCTCCTTGAGGAGTGATATTTGAGCAAAATCTAAATGACTGTAAGGAACTAATGAGGTGAAGAGAGAGAGGAGAGCTTTCTTGCCAGAGGACATAGCATATGCAAAGGTCCTGGGGTCAGAACGGAACATAGTGTGTTCAAGAAACTGATAAGGCAGCATGGCTGCAGCCAGAGAGGTAGGCTGGAGAGGTAGGCAGTGGCCTGATCACACAAGAACAAGTTGATGATGGCAGGGAACTCCAGGTTTGGGCTAAGAGGAAAGAAAATGTGTTAGAAGACAGAGGCAAGGGCTGGCCTTGTCTGATGTGGCTTCCGAGTGTGGAATGAGTGGGAAGGACAAGAGTGGAATGCAGGAAGGTCAGGGGCGTCCTGAGGCAGGCCAGCAGCAGAGCCCAGAAGATGGAGAGACCTCTCGGAGGTAGCAGCAGGGCTTGCTATTGGATTGGAGAAGCAGCAGCGGAGGCAGCGCTGCTGCCAGGCACCTGGATGAGTTCACCTAGGAGGACACATATGATAGGAGGCTGCACAAGATGCCCTGAGGTCTGGAAGAGGAGGAAGAACAGGCAGAGGAGGCCTAGGAAGAGGGGCCTGAGGCAGGAGGTGAAGGACGTGGTCCTGGAAAACCAGGCGAAAATGCTTGAGACAGAGCAGGGGGCCACATCCCCATAGAAGGTCAGGGGCAGAAGAGCCACTGTTTGCCTTCACAAGAGTGGCCTTGTGACGATGGCAGCTCTCTAGTGGGGTGACAGACGAGAGAAGGTTGAAGGAAGCATGGGAGGCGAGGAACCAGCAAGGGGAAGCAGCTCTTTGGTGGTTTTGCTTCATGAAGGGGAGCGGATTACTTTTCCTTGTGTAATGGAAAATTCGGCCTTGGCTTTTGAGATTGATTTGAATTTTGATGTGTGTTATAGAATGTGTTCATGTTTCTATGCTGCACCAGATGCCTGTCTTTTCCAAATGTGGCAAACCCTCAGCTGCATGGGGAAATCGAGGTGAGGGTCCTGTTCTTCACGCCCATTTCAAATGAGTTCCTTGCCAGGCGCTGCTTGAGCTACCCGTGACAAACTGGAAACAAGAGGGGATGGATGACTTGTCCAGGATCCCTGGGTTTCCTTCTGAAGGGTGCGTAGGGCTGTGGGGTCCCAGGGCTGTGACAAATGGAGGGCACACTTCCCCGCTCAGGCGAAGCTTACCATCAGCGAGGAGGAAGTTGTTCCCTGTCAGGTCTGGGGTGGGCGGTGTGTGTGGTTTGTGTGTACGTGGTGTGTGTGTGTGTGTGTGTGTGTGTGGTGTGAGAGAGGTGTCTGTGGTATGTGTATGAGTAGTGTGATGTGTGTTTATGGTGTGTGTGTGGTGTGTATGTTGGTTTGAGTGGTTTGTGTGGTGAGATTTCTGTGAGTGGTGCATGTGTGTGGTGTATGCATGGTGTGTTTATTGATGTGAATGGTGTGTGCATGTGTGGTTTGTGTTGTGTGTGGTGTGTGGGGGTGTGTGTATATGATTGGTGTATGAGCAATGTGTGTTGTGTTTGTGAATGATGTGTGATGTGTGTGCGTGGTGTGTGTGTGAGTGGTGTGTGTAGGTGTGTTGATGTGAGTGGTGTGTGTGTGGTGTGTGTGAATGCTTTGTATGAGTTGATGTGAGTGGTGTGAGTGGTGTGTGTGTGGTGTGTCCAAATGGTGTGTGTATGTGAATGGTGTGTATGTGTGTTGTGAGTGGTATATGTGTGGTGTGTGTGTGAATGGTGTGTATGTGTTGAGTGATGTGAGTGGTGTGTGTGGTGTGTTGGTGTGAATGCAAATGGTGTGTATGTATGTTGCTGTGAATGGTGGGGGAGTGTGGGTTGTGTGAGTGGTATGTGATGTGTTGTGTGTGAATGGTGTGTGTCGTGTGTGTGTGAATAGTGTGCATGTGTGTCGATGTGACTGATGTGTGTGTGGCATGTATGTGAGGGTGTGTACGTGTGTTGATGTGAGTGGTGTGTGTGATGTGTGTGAGTGTTGTGTATGTTGATGTGAGTGGTGTGTATGGAGTGTGTGTGGTGTGTGTCACTGGTGTGTATATGTGTTGATGTGAGTGGTGTACGCAGGGTGTGTGGGGTGTGTGAGTGTTGTGTATGTGTGTTGAGAGTGGTGTGGAGGGGTGGGGTGTGTATGAGTGATGTGTATGTGTGTTGATATGGGGTGTGTGCAGGTGTTGTGTATATGTGTCGAGAGTGGTGTGGGGGTGTGTGGTGTGAGTGGTGTGTTTGTGTGTTGATGTGAGTGGTGTATGTGGAGTGTGTAGGGTGTGTGCAGGTGTCGTGTATGTGTGTTGAGAGCAGTGGGGATGTGTGTGGTGTGTGTGAGTGTTGTGTATGTGTGTTGATGTGAGTGACGTGTGTGGGGGTGTGTGGTGTGTGTGAGTGGTATGCATGTGTGTTGATGTGATGATGTGTGTGTGTGAGTGGTGTGTGACGTGTGTGTTGGTGCATGAAGCCCTGAGAGGAGGTGGGTGGGAGACAGGATGGAGGAGGCCGGTGCAGCATGGACTGGGTGCAGGCTCCCAGCTCAGGACTCAGCTCCGCACAGGGAGACCCGAGTGGGGTCTGCACTCCCTCCTGAGATCCGGGTGGGCCTGACAGCTGATGCAGAGACAGGACTCTGGGTAGAGGGACCACTGGAGGTCGGAACAGATGGAGCACCTCATCTCAGGCTCACGGGGTTTGCAGCTCCTCCTTCTGTCTCTGGCCACAGCCTCACGTGGGGGATCGTGTTACGAGTGGGGTGCTGAGGAGTCCAGAGGGCCTTCTGCCCCCTCTGCCCCTCTGATCTCTCTTGCACTCCTGTGAGTTAGAACCAGAAAAGCAACATTATCAAAGTGACTCAAGTCCTTACCATAGCAAAATGACTCTAAGTGGTGTTAGCATCTGTGTGTGTGTATTTTTATTGAACACTTACATGTGCTTACGCTGTGCCAGGCATCATTCTAAGTGCTTTACAACGATTAGCTTCTTTAATCCTCATAACTCCAGGAGGTGCGTTGCTATCCCCATTTTGCAGATAGAAAACCAAGGCACAGAGAGGCTAAGTAATTTGCTCAAGGGTTATATAAAGATCACACGTACATACAGGTATAATGTCTGCTTGGAAAAGACGTTCTGTGCTAGGCGAAAGTAACAGAGGAGAAGGAACATTTCTTCTACTAGACATGATAAATAATTGGCTTTCCTTAATACTTACAATAACCGTGTGATGTAAGTATTTTCCTGATCTTATAGAGGGGGAGACTGAAACTTAGCGAGGTTCAATAGCTTGCGCACGGACCCCATGGCTAGATGGAGTGACCCCAAAGCATGAACATGTCCTACGTGCCATACAACTTTCATCTGGGCCTGTGATTGAGAATCGTGGCCTTAGCACATCTCTTGCCACCCCAGGGAAGGATCTGCCTAGCCACCTGGCCTCCGCCTGGGCACCACAAGGGACAGGGACCCCACAGTGGGTGGCCAAACACGTAAGAGCCTGCTCTGCCCTTCACTAGCCATGTTACAGGGTACAGGGCTGACCGGTCCCTGCCGAGTTTCCTAATCTGTAAAATGGGATGAATTTCCATTTACTTTATAGGGTGGATGTAAAGCTTGTGCAAAGAAGATGGCAGAGTGCTGGAAACACAGTCAGTACCCAACATAAATCTTAGTTTAGGTAAAATTTTATCATTGTTCTTAAGCCAATCCGTCCCATTATTGGACACTTACTATTTAAAAAGGGCTTCCCCTTCCTCTGTCTCTGTCTCATTCATTCATTGCTTCCAGTTCTCACCAGTTATATATACTTTCTCCTGTGTCTTCCACATGAAACCCTTTAAAAAGTATTATTCTATTTGTGATCACTCAATTGACATATCATTAAATTAACACATGCATTGGGAGAAAATTAGAATATTCAAAAAAACAAGAAGAGCTTTTAGGATAAAATAAAACCCACCTATAATTCTCACAACAGGAATAGCCAAGTTTAACATATTAGTGTGTTTCTATCTGCCTTCTAGTCTTTTTTCTGTGCATATAACACACACACACACACACACACCCTTCCTCTCATCTCCCATCACAGCAAGGGAGAAGCTATGTCTGTGTTAGGTCCAGGACAGTGGGGAGTGTGTTTGCTGTGTGTCAGGGGTGTACATGTGCATGAATATTCTAATGTCTGTTGACACAGACTGCTGAGCTCTCCTCTGGAAAGGCTCTACTCATGAATACCCACAGCTGCAGGGTATGGTGGTGGCTGCACAGCCACCCTGGAGGTATCCAAAGTGTGATTTCCTCCCTATACAGTGCAGTGTTCAGTTCTCTTGGTGAGTGAAATTCAGAAACCCTGGAGCACATCATCAACTGGCTTGCAGGGCTGCTCTTCATCTGAAGGTTTAGCCAACTTTGCTCTATTGATACCAGGCCTTGTCTTTGGGACTGTCACCTCCAACCTGAACAGGGACCTTCCTAAGCCACCTTCTTTGGATGGACATCCCAAGAACTTTGCTTGCTTCGACTTGAGTCACAGAGAAAAGATGCCAGATTTGGGAAGCGGGTGCCAGACTTTTCCAGGGAAGGCTGACAGCTGATCACATTATAGATACGGACATAGATTGCAGAGGAGAGAGACTTGTTTTTTCACTTTTGTTTGAATTTATTAAGGGTGGCTCCTAAAAATCAATATTAGAGAAAATATTTTATCTTTAAAGTCAATGTTAGTCTCATCGATTGCATTTTCTGTTTGGCTTATTTAGTATCCAGAACACTTAATTACAAAAAATAGCATTTGATAAAATGAGGCATCCATTCCTTAAATAAACTTTTTAAAGTAGACATAGGAGCAGATTCCTTGACAACAGAAACAGTGTCTGTCTTAAACCAGCAGCTCATTCCAGTTAAATGCAAGGCTCAAGCAAGATTGCTTACCATCAGCATAATCATGATCATTTTAATTATTGTTGCTTGAGTGTTTTTTTTTCCCAAGCACTATGTTAGGCTCATCACATACCTTGTCCTTAATTTTTAAAATGCCCCTTCAAGGTACATATTATGAACATTTCACAGCTGACACTTTGACCTAGAGTAGCCCCGTCACTCATAGCTGGGAGGTGTTTGAGTTGTGATTTGAAACCAGATATATCTGACTGCAAGGTAGTGACTTTCTTTTACCTCATGATAGGTCATTTTTACTCAATATTGCTCTGAAAGTTCTGGCCAATGAAATAGGACGTGAAAATAAGAAACTAGACATGAAATCAGACAAGAAAAAGAAAGATCACTTGTGGGCACCCACGCAGGTCATCTAATCTCTCTTTGCCTTGCTCCCTTCATCTGTTGGAGGAAAGAAAGGACTTGGTTTTCAGTGTTCCTCATCCTTTGCCCCACCAGCCAAGGTTTTGGGGAGCTTTACTTTTTTCAACTTATATTGCCAAAACTATCGGCATTTTTGTTTTACCCAAATTAAATTCAGGTGATTGGAACGGGGAAGGGATGACAACATTTCTAGGATTACCAACAATGGCTAAGATCTCTTCCAGCCTGAAATTTCCTCAACTCGAAGGCAGGAATGAGGTAATGGCTTTAAAATACCAAAACTTGGGCCTGGCGCGGTGGCTAACGCCTGTAATCCCAGCACTTTGGGAGGCCGAGGTGGGCAGATCATGAGGTCAGGAGATGGAGACCATCCTGGCTAACACGGTGAAACCCCATCTCTACTAAAAATACAAAAAAAATTAGCCGGGCATGGTGGCGGGCGCCTGTAGTCCCAGCTACTCGGGAGGCTGAGGCAGGAGAATGGCGTGAACCCGGGAGGTGGAGCTTGCAGTGAGCCAAGATCACGCCACTGCTCTCCAGCCTGGGTGACAGAGTGAGACTCCGTCTCAAAAAAAACAAAACAAAACAAAACAAAACAAAAAACCAAAACTTGTGCTGCTTAGAACATTAGCTGAGCAGGTGATCCATTTTTAAAGTTTCCACAATTAGAGATATTTATGATATACTGGGATAACCGAAGTTAAGCAATCCTCTTTATATAGGTAGGACTTGTCAATATGTTTTTAGTGGATGTTGGAATCTCCAAGAAAGGGGGTAAGTGCACAGCTTTTTTCTTAACTTATTTGACCATGGAACTCTGTTTCTTGGAGAATCTTAAGGGGCTGCTGTTCTGTGGAACTTATTTTAGAAAGTAGTGACTTTCATTGTCATCTGTCTTTGCTGTAACAGTGATTCTGCCCTTCAGTTTGGGGACATAATGGACTCAATGTGTTTTAGCCTCCATTTCAGAAAAATATAAATATTTTATCAAAGCAGGCAGATGATAAAGTTGTTGGGTTATTGCTTTTAATACTGTCTAGCTGTCACAAACTCAGTTGTCTAAAGGGGAGAGAATTACTTTAAGAGGAGGATTTTTTTTTTCTTTGAGGACTTTTTGATGTGTACCTTGGTTTAAAAAACAAAACAAAAGTGTAATCATTCCCCAAGTTTTGTGGACATAGCAAGATGACTAAATTAAGCTTTTGTTTATTGTGAAATTGTATTGTGTATTGTAAAATTCTTCTTCAAGAGTTTTGAGTGGGATAGTTCAAGTTGAGCTTCAAATGTGTTTATTAAACATACAGTGTTTTGGGGCGTAACTGTGGGTCAACTGTCACAGGACTCCCTGAGTTCTACTGAAAGGAAACAGAGCAGTAGCCTACACCAACCATGCACTGTCAACATCACCAGGCATCTCTCTCCACTAAGAAGGGCCCAGATTCCTTATGTATCCTGACCCATCTTTTATATATATTTTTGTAGATTGCTGCTTCCCTTCTTCCCCTGGGTAAAAGTTGAGCTAAGAAAAGCTAACACTGTGGAAGTCGTTCCCAACCACGGTAAACAGAATCACAGAGGCCACTTGAAACATTTGTCGAGTCATGGAATGGTCTGGGAAAGGGTGCCTGAGCTTAGGAGCTCTCCGTTAAGTAGGAAAGAGAGACTGCTTAGTGTGGTTTCTTTGAAATCAGGGATGCTTAACATGACCTTAACGAGCTTCCAAAATTATCTGGCTTATAAGAAATAATGTCTTGGCCACAATGTGCAGGAAAGGTACTCTTATTTAGTAATAGACCTTCTTATTCTTTAAATTAATATTTATTCCTGAAAAGGTCCAGCTCTGGAGATCCAGGAAGCCTCAGCCTGGCCTGCTATAGCCTGAAGTGATGCTTTTAACACCCTAGAGCTCACTGTCTTCGTCAATAACAGAGGGGCCAAGCAGGGCTCAGATACTCAGGGCTTCTGAGTCCAGAGTAGGCGTGGCAACCAGCCTTTCTGCTTGAACACGAACCTAGGGCAACGGAGGGGCAGTGGCGGGCACTGCAGCAGGGCGTTGCCTCTCAGGGCGTGTGCCCCATCTGGGTTACCAGGAGTTGGTTCTTTCCCTCAGGCCTTAGCTGTGCTGCTCGGATTCCTCTGCATCTTACCTGCCTCCAGGTGGTCAGGAGACAGGAGTCCCTTATGAAAGCTGCTAAGCTCTTTTAATTCTGTTTAATTCTGTGGTTAAACTGTTTAACCACTGTTCCAATCAGTAAATATGAGAGTACTGCCAGAGATACCCTTTTCCAGAGAAAGAGGAAAGACTTGCCCCAGCCACATAGCTGATGATGGCAGAGCGGCCGCAGGATGCAGGTCCCTGGGCTCTCTGCGCAGGTGGTGCTTCTGGTACCGTATCACAACTTTCTTGCCCGTTACTGGGCTTTTCTGGCATTGACAAAACCTCTTGTCTTTGCTGAATTCCAGAAATGGCTTCAGACATACCTGGATCTGTGACGTTGCCCGTTGCCCCCATGGCGGCCACCGGACAGGTGAGGATGGCGGGGGCCATGCCTGCCCGTGGAGGAAAGCGGCGTTCCGGGTAAGCGACCTCAGCGTTTCCAGGAATTGGCTTAATAAATGTTGAGCAATGCTCTTGACCTGTTAGGAAAATATTGTTTCTCCCCTTCCTGTAGAATAAAAGCTCAGCAGTTTGCATCCTGTTTAACTTTTACAAGATTCCTAAATATGCACATGATTTGCTTCTAAGTGTTTTGGGCCTCGGCACCCAGCTGGGGACTTCTGTTTGCTTGTCCTTGTGGTGAGAATGTGCTTTGTGATCCTGCTGGGCCTGGCTCAGGCCATCTGAAGGGAGAGGGCTCACCCGTTATCCTGCCTGAGCCTCCAAGCCAGATTTGGCAGCACTGCTGCGCTGAGCTCCAGCCCCTGTGGGCTGCAAAGATTCCACCCTGGTGCTGTCCATTCTTTCCTCCTTCAGAGATGGTGTGCAGGAATTCCTTTCAAAATAATTGGCTAAATCTCAGTGCTTGAAGACCAGACAGTTGGCATTGTCTGCTGCTCTGCTGGTGAAGGTGGTAATAATACTAAGTACTATTGTTCCAAGTGTACTTGTTCTGATAGGGCCAGAAATGTCATCACTCTTGAGCAGATGGAACCAAAACTGCACCTATTCATGATCCATAATGTTTGTGGCTGTACACAGACCTGAAAAACCAACCAACCAACCAACTAACCAACCAACCAACCAACCAACTACCCACCAACCATCCAACCAACCAACCAATCAACCAACTAACCAACCAATCAACCAACCAACCAACCAACCAATCAACCAACCAACCAACTACCCCCCAACCATCCAACCAACCAAAATCCTGCAGGAAAAACATGATGGACATTTTCAGACTCAAGATATCACCTAGCCCCTTTCTCCTGTTGAATCTATTTTATTTTCGATGCACTATTTGATAAACAAGGTTTCTCATGAAGTTGAATCAATTTGTACTTTTAAAGCAATTTCTGATAACACACAGCTCCTTGGGAATGCAACTGTCTGGTTACAGCAGAACCCACTTCTCACAGCCCAAGGCCTGCAGGGTGTGCCCGTTTTTAGGTGGTCCAATATGATTCTTAAAGGGGGCATAAGTGGAGGCAATGGGAAGTATCAGGATCTGGGATGGAGTGTGGCTAGAATGCAAAAGCATATTCAGCCTTGTAATTTTAGGTTGGAAAAAAGACTGTTATGTGTGTTGTATAGTCTCTAAAGGAGGGCCTGAGATTTTTATGATGAGGGAGAGGGTTAAAAAGCCCAGCAGCAGAGCTCAGTGGTTATGCCAGCTTTCCCTGTATTCAGCACGCTCACTTGCACTCGCTGGGTGCTGATACAGCCACTTCTCTCTCTGCAGCTGCCACCATCTTTACAGCAGAACCAGCAGAGCTATAATGAGCAGTGTTGGTGCCTGGGGCAAAGCTCCACAGATCAACTCTGTAATAAATGATGTGGCTCACCGCTGGGGCTTCCTGCAAACCCAGCCATCCGATTTCAACCAGCCATTCTTGCTAACTAGGTGCTAAACTCAGCAGTTGCTAAAAGAAGACAAGAGGTGTCAACTTAATTGATTTTTTTTACAATTCCAGGCCTTTTAAAATTATTTTAAATGTCTATGTGCACTCTAACTCGCATTCCCTGAGGACAGAGCCCCATTGCTTGCCCAAGTCCTTTTCCAGAAGAGGCCAGCACAGGGCTCTGTGAGGAGGGAGGTGGGCTGAGTCAGGACCAAGTCCAGGCAGAGATGCTCAGGCCCAGCCTAGTACTTACAGGACCAGAAACCGTCTCTGTGCTGGGAAGTCGCCTCTGAGCCTCTGCCAGGAGTTTCCTCTTCCCCTCCCGTAGGGCCTGGGCTGCGGTGAGCCGAGGCTGCTTCCCTCCTCGGCCTCCATGTTTCTGACCCCAGCCTGGTGTCCACACCCTGATTTGTGGTTGCTCCCCGAGCTGATGATTTGACTGGGGACCCAGTCCCATTTCTTTTTATTTTATTTTTAGAGACAGGGTCTCGCTCTGTGGCCCAGGGTGGTCTTGAACTCCTGGCCTCAAGCAATCCTCACACCTTGGCCTCCCAAAGTGTTGGGACGACAGGCATGAGCCACTGCATCTAGCTTCAGTCCCATTTCTGAAGAAGTCCTGCACCACTGTGCTTTCCTTCCCGGGTCACACACACAGCGTGGCACTGGAGGCAGATGTGGATCCTGAGCAGGCAGAGACAGAGCCTAGCATGGAGTTCCACTTAAAGCCAAGGGAATGAAACATCAAGAAAAGCAATGAGAGAGGAAGGAGGATGAGCAGCAATTGCTGACAAATCACCCAGGGGCAAGGGCAGGACCTGTGGAAGGCAAATCAATGGGCTTGACCTCTCTAGGGTGCTTGTCCTCCACCATCCTCACTCCTACTTCCTTTTCCCTGCCGGAGGGAGGGGGCACACAAACCATGATTCCACTTGCCAAGCCTCAATGGCTTAGAGATGTATCCTGTGTCTAAGCAAAGAAACCTCCATTTTTACAGGGCCGTTTCCATAGTAATTCTTGCATCTGACGTTTTTACATGTTTTGCTGAAATTCTATGACTGAGGCCTCCGCTGTTCTAGAAGCTCATGATAATAGCTCCTTCAACCACAGCCTAAACACTTAACTAAGTACAAAGGAGACCCTGATGGAAGTCACTCACTCTCATCGAAATGCAGGTAACCCCATGGCAGGCCCCTGCTCCTGTGCCATGGCACGCATTTCCCACTGCCCTCCCTACTGATGGCATGGTGTTCTTCCACCTCCCTTTTCCATCTGAGAATGTGGGACATGGTGGAGAGACTCAGAGAGAGAGGGGAAAGAAGAGAGAGGAGGAATGGGGGTGGTGGAAGGGGGTAGTGGCATTGGCAAGGACCTTCCCACACCCCCATTCCTTGCCTAGGTCTTCCCACTCTGACCTGATTATTCTGATGGAGGGAAGTATCCCAAATTTCCAGGATAACCCCCCTTCCCACCCTAGTGTTCCAAAGCCAATTAGAACCAATGTCTTGCAGTTGGGATCCTCCAGGCCTCCCGCCGGGCCTAGCACTGTGGATCTTCATGGTTTAACTTTCTTCCCATTTCCCTGACAGCCTTCATCAGTAAGTGTCTTAGCGAGCTGCCTGCTCTCCCAGCATTTGGGACTCAAGGTGGAGGTTCCAAAGTCCCAGATTCTTTCAAAAGTGATTCCACATGCGTGGGAGAAATGAGCTGAAGCAAGTCACCTGGAATGCATGTTTGTAGTAACCTCCCTGATCTCAGTGACAGGGTGGTGAGGGGTGGGGGGCTTCACTGGGGCAAATTCAGTTGGGGGAAGCAGCAGTGGCTAGTTAGGGTTTGTGCCCATCTCAAAGCCAGCTTTTGATGGGTTGGAGGGTGGAGGCTGAGGGCAGGGATGTGTCAGTCCCTTTCCACTTGGAGTCCGATGCTGGGCTTCTAAAATAGCATCACTGAGGAAAAACTATTTTCAAGTTACTTATAGCCAATGGACTATTTTCAAGTTACTTGTAGCCATCTCCCTCTAAGGTAACCCTGGGAGCTGCTGGAATGTGGTCAAATTGCAGGTATATTTATGTAAGCAGCTGTTTCTCTTGGTGAACTTTTATGTGCTAGCATTGCTGCAGTCTGGGCTGGCCAGTCCAGGCTCTGAAGGAGGAGCATTTTCCAGCAGCCCTTGACACTTCACTTGTTGCAGAAGCTTTGGGTTGGCCCAGGATCACTCCTTTACTGTCACTGTGGGACCAGCCCTTTTATCTCACTAGAGCATAAGTGACTTCTGTTTAGAGGCTCGTATTTGATGAAGCATTATTATGATTACAGTCACCGTCAGGGAGCTTCACTTCACTCACAACTAACTGCAAGTTCAGAAATGCTTATCATGGCTTTCTGTCGAGGCAGGCATTCAGGCTCATCGACGGAAAAGTACAGTAAAATGCATTTTCAGCCCCCTTTTTGAAGACTCTTCTATCATCCATTCACTGTGTTGAATTAAAGTGAGTACAATAGGACTTAAAAGTCATATTTTGATTTCTCTCCTTTATTATCCAGATGCTGCTGTGTAATAGAGACACATACAAGATATAAAACAAAGGATGATTTACTTAGACTTATAGAAAAGAAATAGGCACAGCTTATGGTAGTCCTATGTAAAGTAGAGAATCCAAGATGGTGATAGCAGTCCAAAGCAGCAGCATCTTGGCAGGTGTGGCTCTAAAAGATCCTTTGTGTCCTCCAGGGTTGCATTGTTTTCCATGTTGCTGATGAGCCAGTGAGACTGTTTTCGGGTGGATTGAGTCATCCTGAGTATTTAAACATTTGTGTCCTGATTTACCTCCTGGTTCGCCTCCGAATTCCTAGAGCTGATGGCTGTACACATGCACAGGTGTGAGGCACAGGATCTGGGTCCCTAATTTTCCCAGACAAATGCTGGTTCCCAAGTTCCCGGCGGACTTCAGAAGACTCTGGCTCTGGAGCAAGGCCATCTCTTTCTCATACCCTCTGCTTGATTGAGCCACAGCTGACCTGGCCAGCGTGGTATTATTTACCATGGGGCTCACTTCCTTATCTGTCTGGTCCCACAAAGGGCTGGGTAAAGAACAGAACTCTTTGCAAAAACAAAAGTGACCAACCATCCTGGTGTGTCCAGGACTTTTCCAGTTTTAGCACTGAAGTCCTAGATCCCAGGTATCTCCACTCCTATACTGAGAAAATCAGGATGGTTGGTCACCCTAAACACCCCGAAGATCATGAAGGCTGAGGACAGAGGGCTGGCTTATAAATTGCATTTTGCAGGAGTACTGACAATCACACTCATACCAACTTGAGCTAAAAGGAATTTTAAAGATAACTGTATGTCTCACACCCACTTGTGGTTTTGTTAAATGCTTGCATGAGTTCTTTGGAATGTTGAAACTGCTATTTCTTTTTCTTAACGCTGAAATGTTTTTGACAGCACGCACGGGGTGTTAAATAACCTTCATGTGGACGGCAAAATCGCTCTTCCCCATGGTGAACACTAGGTGGCAGCGTGGTTCTGCGGCTCTGCAGAACACCGGGTGAATTTGGTTACAGCATTTTTGGTGCTTACCTTCGCGATGTAATTTTCCGAGAAAGGTGGGGTGATGGCTTAGTAATTATGCAGAATATTGATAGCTTTGATTCGTTTAGAAAGTCTTGCATTCAGCTCCCACTTGTCCACAACATCGGCAACTCTAAAGCTGCTGCCCGGTGCCTGGTTTCCCAAACTACCTTGCAGAGGTGTGTGTCTGTCTCTCTTAGTGGTGTCTGTAAGGCCCTTTAACTGTACTTTTTTTTTTTCTTATCACTGTTCTACCCCATCTCCTCTTCTTTTTGTGCGTAGGTATTTCTGTTATCATTACTGTCATCTTTTCCAGTTATGTAACTCCTTTTGTTCTTATACTGTTAGTATAACCCTTGTGTCCGAGAACCAGAGATTCCAAATTAGCAGGGGATCCCGTCAGGTCATTCCAAACAAAATAAGGCCAAGATTAGGACTTTGGCTACGCAGTACATAAAACAAAACAAAAACAAAAGATACTAATTTTAAGAAGAAAATACTTCTTTGCCTTACCTAATTCCAGTCCCTAGGTCCCTCAGTTTGCACCTAAACCCCTAGAGACTAGGATTTGTCTTGTTGGGAGCTTCTTGGGTGTGCCCATGCAAGGATGGCTCGCCCTGTGTAATCTGCCATTTCCTGGTAACCTGGGTGTCCTGTGCCTTCTCCAAGTCACTCATTAGCCACTGAAGCCCTGCCCTTAGAGCCTGAGGGTATGGGTCACCCTTACTGGGAGGCCAGCAGCTCTAGAATCTGTAGCAGTGGTCATTTAATACACACTCCATTCTGATACTGAGCTGTTCAGGCAAGGAGTTTCTCAAGCCAGGCTGCCAGGCAGGCTGGCCTTCCTTCTCCTTGAATTCCATGGGAACTGTGCCTCATCCAGTCCACCAGGACTACAAAGAACAAGATGGGGAATGCAGGGACTCTGAGACATTCTCTCCAAGGAGCTCCACTCACGTGGATGTCCAGGAAAGCTCAGACATCTGTATCATTTTTCATTTTGTTTCCCCAAGGACTCTGGGTACACTTGACACCAATTAAGTACCCCCTCTGCCCTAACATGTTTAGGAATTGTGTGAATTACCATTACAGAGACATGATTTTTTGAGAAGAGTTTGAGGTATTAGTTCAACAAATATCTATCAAGTCTTTTTGTCTTATGTTTACACTGAGAGGCCCAGTAAAGGGTGAATCTGAATAACTACTTGGTGAGTTTCCACAAGCACAGCTGATTTGAGTAGCTTGAGCCCCAAACAGCCATTTTCCCCTCAACAGCCATGTTTGTGGTCCTGGATTTAATAGGGCAAAGTCTTAAATGTCCTTTTCACTTTGACTCATCAAGACCAGCCACATTTTTAAGCAGTACAACCGGTAGTATTTCTCTTTCCCTTGTGATCCCTTCACCCTGAAAACTTCTGTTTTCAAAATCCCGTGAGCCTTTTTAGGCTCTTAATATACCACAAGATAAACTAAGAAAAAAGTCTTAATGTGGAATAGGTGATGCAGAGGGGTGCAGGTATTCCCAAAGATGGTGAGAGAAAAGGAAGAGACACCTTTCCATCATAGCCAGAGCAATCCATTGTCTGCTAAGAGTTCTAAGAAGGGAATGGCATATAGAGTTCTGGAGGGGACTAGTTGATACTTAAATATTCCCAGCCATAGAATTAGTGGTGCTTAGACTGAAGACCTTTCATTTTGCCTCTTCTTGTCTTGAACCCGTTTGATGACTGTGTAGAGATATTGCTTGTAGCACTGCCAAAGGTTGGGATCAATGGATAGCAGTCCTAGTGAATAAAGCTCCTTTTGTTCCAGCAGCTCCTGTTACCAGTTAAAATGTTCTCCTAATAATCAGTGCTCACTTGTGATCTTGACTTTTCAGAATGGACTTCGATGATGAAGATGGTGAAGGCCCCAGTAAATTTTCAAGGTAAGTTTATTTTATTTTCCTTAGACTTAAAGAAGGCAATAGCCAGCATTCACCTTAGAAAGATACAAGAATGTAACGTCTTTTGTCATTGCAAAAGCCATTGCCTGCAGTTTGACTGGTCCCTCACTCTGTGGCAGTATTTGGCCCAGTGGCAGCTAGCTATTAGCGACCCTGCCACATCCCAGCAGAGATGATCAAAAGGTAAGTAATAAGTTATTAACTCTGTTTGCTTTATAAGAAATTAATGTCAATTTTAAGGATTCATTTTAAAAAGACAATAGGGCTTTTTAAAAAGTATTTTTAAAAATTCCTATGTCTTTTAAAAAGGAATCTATTAAAATTAATATTCATTGCTTATAAAGCAAACAGAGGAATTCATTCTTCCTGAAAAGCCCTAGAGTTCAAGTTTAGAAAAAACTGTCAAGATAAGTCTTTTATTGCTACCATGGAAAATAAGAAGAGATATGAGAAACCAGGCAGCTGTGTTCTGGATGCAGGATAGAAAACTGGGTTTTCAGCTCCTAAGAACTGTATTGCCCCCTGGCCACGTGACAGCATCTTTATCTGGGCTCTGCGGGGCCGTCCTGAGTGCAGACCACCTCATGGAAAGTTTGCTGGATCATGAATGTCCATGGGTTATACACATTGCATACGTGAAGGATAAGGCAGGCCCAACCCCATGACTGTGTCTTTTTTTTTTTTCCATTTTGTTTAAGATATGGTAGGAAGTTTGGCAGTGTTGACAGGAAGGCACAAATCATTCCATCATTCTTAGCAAAATTCACATCTGTACCCACTTACCTAAGGAAGGGCCTGCCTTGACATTCCTCTCCACTAGCCAAGCCTCCAAGCCTTCCTAATTCTTGGTCATTGATGGACTTGAAAACTTGCCATGGGTGACGGTTGCTTTTCTTCTGTATCCATGCTCCATAGTTTGGACTGATGGCCTCAGTTGTTTTTGGAGGAACCACATGCATATTGAGTTCTGGGCCCCCTGAGTTACCCTAGTTTTCTCCCCTCATGGTAGCCATTTTTGGTGATGATTCCTTTTACAAACTGCATTGCGATTGTGAGTTCCACACACTTTTCCACCAGTCCAACAGGGACATGCATCTCCTTACTTCCCAGGGATTCCCAGAGTCTCCAAGTCCATAGTAAACTCGCATCATGCCATACACTTTCGTCCCCAAAATCTTTTCCTTCCGTCTTTCAGCTTCTGCTTTGGTTGAAACAGTAGAGAGGAGATGGAGAACATTTTGGTCACTAATGACCTTGGAGTTTCGAATCAAAACAGGACATGAGTTTCAATAACAAAAGCATGTATTGTTTTCCCTCGGTGCAGACAGAATGGCAGCTTGGACATCCACCCATTTCTTGGGATACACTTTAATAGCAGGGTGTGCTTTCTTGCTGAAATGGAAACAAGGGCACATATCTCCCTGCCCCAGTTTGCTCTCGCTGTACACAGCCTCCCTCTATGAAGGAACAATGACTTTGGTTCCTCCGTGTCAAAATTCCCCTTGAGATAACATTCCATAGCATGCTAACCTTAGGAAATGATGATTCCTGGGGCCTCAAAACATAAAGAGGAAGAGAGATGAGGAGTGACGTTTGTTTGACATTGAAAAGATCAGTGTCAGTGATGAAATAATAGTGCAGGGGTACAAAGAGCTCATTGTATTAGGCCCGATCATTAAGAAACAGAAACTCTACACTCTGGGTAACTATCTCATGACCGTGTCTGTGAGTCCGTTTTTATACAGTCAAGGTTCAAACCCAGGCATCTGTGAACCATATCATTTCCCCCATGAAAAATAAGGAAGATAGGATGTGTTTCCAGCATATGCTGTTACTAATAGGAATGAGTTTGTAGGACCGCAGAGGCCCAGAGGTCACCTAGGCTTAGCTGCTGGGCCCTCAGTGAATGGGCCCATGGTTGCATCTGAGCTTCTCAGCACTGGGAGAGACGACTGAGTCCACCCTCATCCCTCCACTTTGCAGTGACTGTGGCTGCTGTCCAGGGGAGGAGTGGAGAATCTGCTTCCAATTGGCATGGAACACCCCAGTGCCTCTCCTGTTGGCTTTTTCTCTTCTTACAATCAGGCAACAGAAGCCCCTTCATGTGAGGCCCTGGAAGAGATAGAGGCTGCCTTGTGAGCCAGCACCCACCGTAGTTTGCTGACTCAGAATCTAGGCAGGGTGCTGTGCCATGGTTTCTGTCTCCTGTGTGTGTGCCATCAGCTTTTCCAGCTTTTTGCAAGGGGGCTTCCCAGTTTAAATGTCCTGCCTATCATGAGACCTCATGTCTCAATTTTTGATTTGGGAAGTGTGGTCACAGTCACAAAGCAGCTCAATTATAGGAATTTGATATGGTTCCTACTTTAGCACAGCCAGGCCCATCACAGCAGGCCTTAGATGCAACAAAGTAGTAGATGTGAAGCTGCCACTGCTGTGTGACCTCAGGTGCACACACAAGCACGCACATGCACACGCCCATACGTGCATAGGCATTCCAGGATCCCGCCTGCCAGTGCCATAAATGTTCTCAGGCCCGCTCCACCACATCCCAAGGCCTCAGCTCTTTCTCACACATGGGATTCATGCCATTCGGGGAGCTGTGATATGCAGAACATGGCTCTGCCTACATTCGAAGTTTCCTTCCCCCCACACAAAGTCACGGGGACCCGGGGGACAGAAGCCAGACTGCAGTGGGCTGAGGACTGATGGGGAGATGAAGACATGAAGATGCGTGAGAACAACTCTTTGAGCAGTTTGGATGTAGATCAAAAAGGAAGGGGCTCCGGGAGGGGTACTTTTTAAGGATGAGTACATCCATGTGAGGAGGAGAAGTAATGGGGATAGCCAGAGATTTGGAAGACTCAGGAGTGACGCTGGGGAGAGATGGGTCCAGAGGAGGAGGAGAGAGCTCTGCCCCACAGAAGGGAGTACTCATGCTCCAAGGCAGAAGGAAGGAGCTGCAGGTGAGGCCAAGTGCGAGGCTGTGGGTGCATCAGAAGTGGAGGGATTAATTCTCGTGGCTTCCATTGTCTTGATTAGGTAGGAAATGGGGCTGTGTGCCGCAGGTGGGAAGAGGTTTGCTATTGTGCCTGAGAGCGAAGTTTAGGGTGGCCCTGGGTTGAATTCACAGGAAGGAGGCTAACCGAAGACAGAGATGTAAAAACTTTAGACCCCATTTGAGATTGTGGACCACCAATGTGAGGTGGCATCAATGTGTATAAGTGCAATTTCCCTCCAGCAATACCCAACGGTGTGGATACAGGGAATGGAGGCTTTTCTCAGACTCAGGGTTGAGGATTAGGGCAGGTGCCATGGAAGGACAGGAGTCGAGGTGGTTAAGGTCTCAATGAGAGGGTGGTTGAAGAGGCCAAGCTGTGGGTCCAATGGCAGAGGGAGTGAAGGGAGGCCGGCAGGCCGGAGGAGTGAGAAGAGAATGGAGGAGGCCGGGGACGGGAAGTAGCAATGCGGTCAAAGAATAGTTCTGATTTTGTGGGAGTTTGAGAGGGCTGGAAAAGTAGGAAGTTGTGGTCAAATAGTGAGAAGCCACCACCATGGGAGAGGCTGGCCGAGGTCCAGTAGAGGAGGCCGAGGTCAGTCCTGGGAGCAGAGGCATGGGGAGACAGATGGGTGGGTGTGCATCACCCCCTGCAGAGGCTGTCTTGGGGGTGGTCTGGGGGCAGGGGCTGGCTGGCTGTGTGGGTGGGCAGTGGTGATGATGATGCAGAGCCTAGAAGGTGGCAGAGACGGATGGCACGAGTTTCAGAGGAGGAGGCCTTTCTGCCAAGGAGGCAAAAAGGAGTGAAGTCGCAGAGCCAGCCTTTCTTCCTGGGCTCAGCCAAGAAAGCAGCCTCCACTGGGAATGCTTGGCTTGACCTCACTCTTGGAATTCCAGTTATCAAGTCACTGATCCTAACAGCAGGTGGTGATAAACCCTGTGTCTTTGGAAAAATGCCGATTACACTCCAGCAAGTGTTTCTCCAAAGATGATCCTCCCGGGCAGCTGGTAGTGGTGCCGCACCCTCCTATAGTGAGGTCGGCACCAGTCCCTCCCTGGTTCCTGTGCCTGTGTGGATGGCCCTGGTGTGCCTGGGAGGCAGATGCCAGTCCTGCCCAGCACGTCCTGCAACCTCACACTCAAGCAGAGGGCCAAAGCCTTTTCATCACTCTGAGTGGTTCAGGGGCATCTTCCTACTTTAATGGACCCTTAGATTGATACATTTTCTAGGGAGTTCCAGGACACCTTCTCATACCGGCAGCTGGGGTCAGCTGCCACCAGTACATGGAGGCATCTTAAATATTGTTTCATAAGGGGCATTACTAACATCCCAGAGCTGTCATCAACAGAGTCAAAATTATACACCGTGCTCATCGTGTGCCTTACGTATGTGAATGTATGCGTAATGTGTCATTAAAACAAAAGAGAGGAAACATTCCTAATGTAACTGTCTTTTTGTTACATTTACAACTTGGGGACAAACAAGCATGCAGTCCTCAAACTTTAATTCTTGCCACTGTGTATTATCTGTATATTTTTGCTCCCTTCAGACTCATTCCACACCCTTTCTCAAAAGACCCTAAAGGCCTTCCAAGGAGTTCTCGTATCTGTTGCTGTGGATTCAGCTCCAGTGCTTGGAGCCTCCTAAGAGCTCGGACTCAAAATCCCTTATCAAGGGGCTTCCTGGCCTCTCTTTAACCTTTTTAGAAATGGCTGCAAGTGACCCCATTGGCTGCTCTTTGGTGAGATTGTAGCACCCAGTTGCACCAGTCCAACATTGTGCCTTATATTTTGTAGAGTTAGCCAGTGAACCTCTAAAGTTATCTAAAAGTAAAGATATTCACGGTAGGAAAGCTTCTGCAGAATTGACCTTTTGTTTCTCATCACGTCCATTTTGGTACTTCCCTTTTGGTTTTGTGTGGTATTTAAGCTTGTAGGCATTTTCCCCCCTGGCTTTATAGGTTGTGGTGATGTTTTAGTTTTAATCATTCCTGCTTTGTGAGTAGGTATCATGACCAAAACTCTGTTGATAAGGAAAATATGCAAGGTAGACGTGTCCTGCAGAGGTCTTTCCCGGCAGAAAGAAAAGAAGATTGTGGGTTTCCAGAATTCTTAGTCTGAGCGTCTTAGCCTAGAGAGTGGGTTACTCTGTTTCCAAGTGAGAAGACGCCTAAAGTATTTCCAAGGCAGAGAGGATGACCAGGCAGCAGCAAGGAGTGCCCCTTTTTTTATCTGGCCTCATCTTATCAGTTACCATGTGTGGGACACACTGGATGGGTACGTGAGGTCCTTGTAAGGCAGGAAGAGATTCAGCCGAGCCTTTCAGAGGTTGCAGAGCAAACGCCAAGAGGAGCCCTTCCAAACTTCCCATGCCTCCTCCCTGCCTCTACAGTCTCAGTTCATATGAACCAGACAAGTGTTGCAGATAAGCTGGGTAGAATTTGGTACAGTGTTGCTTATGAGCAACTAAAGTTGCTTCAGTGGGTTAGGGTTAGGGTTAGGGTTAGGGTTAGCACACACTGGAATGAAAGATTTTGTAGGAGGGGTGGCTTTCTAACACCATGCTGATATGGATGGGTGATTTCCTTTTTTTTTTTTTTTTTTTTGAGACGGAGTTTTGCTCTTGTTGCCCAAGCTGGAGTGCAATGGCGCGGTCTCGGTTCACTGCAATGTCTGCCTCCTGGGTTCAAGCAATTCTCCTGCCTCAGCCTCCGGAGTAGCTGGGATTACAGGTGTGCACCACCGCGCCCGGCTAATTTTTTGTATTTTTTGTAGAGACAGGGTTTCACCATGTTGGCCAGGCTGGCCAACCTCAGGTGATCCGCCTGCCTTGGCCTCCCAAAGTGCTGGGATTATAGGTGTGAGCCACTGTGCCCAGCCAGTGTGATTTCTTCATACAAGATGTTTGGCTCTCACATGATGGACCTGCACCTTGATGTGTTTCTTACCATGTTTAGCTATGCTACCCGCTTCAGTTTTTCTGCTGGAGAGATTAACCCTGATTTGAAATGATAGTGCCTGGATAACACTAGAGTTTTTTGGAGAGAGAGGAGGAAATCACTTCTGGGATCATAAGCAGTCCTGAGCTGTGTCTCTTTGGAAGCTGCTAGGCATATTCTTCCCCCATAAAGCCTTAAATATCTTTGCTCCCTAGTCTCTCCGGGCATTCTAGCTCTGAACTAGGACCAGTTAGTGCTCTGTTGGGGAGAGGTGGTGAGAGAGAGGCAGCAGGTGACTGGCAGGCCTGTTCCCAGTCCTGGTAAGTCAGTGTGACCCTTGGAGCCTCAGCTTCCTCCTCTGGGGAAAGGAGATACATCCCGATTGGGGGCTGGGGGTGGGGGGTTGCAAGGATCGATTGCAGTCAGTGCTGAGAGAGTGCTTGGGAAGCTGTAAGTTGCTATAGAAACATGCAAGATGTGTGTCTCACTGGGAACAGGGATTGTCAGAGGTGCCGGGCCTGGGTCCCTGCTTGGGAGGATCTGGGCTTCTCAGACTCCTCCCTGTGTTTTGGGTGAGTCTTGCATTCAGCCTGGACACACAGGTATCTTGTAGTTGCCTTGCAGAAACCTGGGCCTTGGATGGCTTCTGGGGAGCAGGATGCCTACCTCCTTCTCAAGGAGAGAGCAACCCTCTGCCCTTCCTGGAGCAGCCTCAGAAGCTGGGAAAACTGCCTTACTGAATATGCCTCAGTGGGCCCTCTCTGCAGGTATCTGACCAGCCTCCATGGGGCTCCTGAAATGGCTTTCTTCTGGCCTTCATGGCTCTTACAATGCCCTGCAGCATGCCTGGGAGCGACTGGCCATGAAGGATGTTCCTGGAAAGGTACAGTCTTCCTTCCCGAGTGTCACCGAGGTGGGGCAGAGCCAGTCTGTGCCTAATACTGCACCAGAGGCTCCTGACAGCTGACCAGGACTCATGTGTAGACCCCCACGCAGCCACTCTTGGTCTGATGACTCCCCCAGGCTACCTCTGAAGGCCAGGTGGTATGAGCCTATGCAAAGGGTCTCTTCCTACAGTTCTGACTCTACCCTAACTGGTCAAATCTCACAGAGAAATCCCTAGTAGGGGAAGACGGGGATTGATGCTTCCTTTGCTTGAGAAGTGCTGAAGCCCTTTACTGGAATTGCAGGCAGAAAGCCTTGTTTGTTCAGTAACTTGAGCCATGCACAGTTTGGTGAATTGTCCAAGAGCAGAGGTTATCACTGTGTGCTGGGTGAATTCTGAAAAGGAAAAAACTCCTGGTGTCTGGTCTTCCAGTTCTAGTGCAATCTGGGGAAATGAGCACAAATTCTGCCCTGAGTGAGGCCTGTTTCCAAGCCCGATGGCTTTGAGAGTGGCAGCTGCTTGGTGATGCTTCTCCAGGTTGGGGAGAAGCTTTATGTTTATTTTCAGCAGGTCTGTTGTTTGGACTGCTGTGGCCTGGAGAGGGGTGTGGACCTCAGGAGGTAGAAATGGAAGCTGAGGCATCATGGAGAAATGTGGTCCTGGTGCCATCTGCAGCAGGGCTGCTCTACAGACATTCCACGTGTGTAGAGCTTCATGTAGCTCTGAAGCTGGCAGTGAGGTGTAGTGACCAGTCGTATTATTTCAAGTGCTGACTTCTCAGATTTGGACCATGGCAGTGTAGGTGGCCTGGCTAGAGCTAGACTTGGTCATATCTCTCTCATAGTATCCTGCATCAGCCCACCTGCTGCCTTGAGGTGCCCACACCTGATCACCCTGACATGAGCAAAGAGGAGGCTGCAGAAGCACTTAGGTTTATGTCGTGGCTCCTCTCAGCCAGGCCTGCGTGGGGACTTTCAGTGTCCCATGTCCTAGGGTTCCTGGGTATTTCCTGGGACTTTTTCACAGGGAGCTCTCCCCATCGCACACTCTCAGCATCCTCTTCTGACCTTTTAGTGTACAAGGAAACCACACAGGGATTGTGTTTGCACCTGCTCACTCTCTGTTGCCCCTGCTTTTCCGTGGGCTCTCTGTCCTGTCCAGCACCCGTCTCCAGTACCCAGCACAGTAACTCCCAGACTGGAAGTATGCTCCAGGTATACCATGTCTGCAGTGATCAGGGAGTTCCCAGCATGGGGCTGTCTCATTCAGTCTGCTTGCTCCGGGTCTAAGGTTCCCTTCCCATAGCAGACAGGAGACTCAACGGCTGTCAGCAGTTTAAGGATGCTCTTTATTGAGATCTTATAAAATTCTCCTTTCGTATTCTTTAACTAAGATGGGTACCTCACCGTTCAGATTAAACTTAGGAGGTCCCCATCAGGAACAGAGTTGGAAAAGAAACACAAGTCAGTGTGCAGTTAGTTGAACCTCTTCTTTCTGTGCCTTGATTTCCATAGCTGTGCTCCTGGAGCCAAGCTCTGGGTCCTCTTAGCACAGCAGAGGTGTCTTTGAAACTGACAGCTCTACCTGTGTCCCCAACTGTCAATTCTGTGGAGTCCTGGTCCTGCTTCCCTGTACATAGGAGTTAATTTCTTTATTGATGCTACTCAGCCCCGAGCAAGCATGTGGTACACACGCAAGTCACAGACACCAGGTTCACAGGCTCACTCCTGCAGCTCCTCCAGGCAGACCCCAAATTGTCTCCTCACTCTGGGGAAGAGATGGCCTTGCCCCAGCAAACATGATCTTGGAGATATGTCCTTCTGTGTTCCCAAGATGGCATCATCCCCGCTGCCTTGATGAAGGCTTCAGAATGAAACCGTACATACATATGTGTATGTCACTCACTTATCAAATCTTGTTGCTAAGTAATTGGCAGCTGTCAGTCATTTTGACATTCTGCTGGTAACTCAGTATTATTTCATAAAATATAAAGTACTTGGAGCATTTTCTGGACTAGGCAATAAATACAATCAGTTTTTAAGCAGTTGCCCTAAGGCCATCTTCTTCATACACCTTATCTCACAGATTGGGTTCACAGAGCACTGTGGTGAAATTGCTTTAGATCTCTGTTTAAGATTCCCCATATGAAGATTTTTCACCTGCAGAATATTTATAAAGCAAGATGGTCTGTGCCACTATGGGACAAGCTCTTTGGATAATAGTATCAGAAGCAAGTGTGCGTCAGCCCTGCATTGAAGCAGTGGTCACAGTGACCAGCTGAGGGGTTTGGAGGCTCAATGGAAGGGGTTTAAGCGAAGGCTCTGGTTTGTATTTTGAGAAACATCAGTCTGGCCACAACATGAGGACTAAACTGGAGGGTGAGACTGGAGAAAAAGGCTGGGAAAAGGTGGTTGGTGACAAGGGGAAAAGTGATGACAGCAGGCAGTCGGCATGGACTGGAGAAGGTGGGAGAGAACCAGGAAACAGCTGCAAGAGCTTTGACACAGATGGAATTTTGAGGGACGGGAGCAGTTCCACGTGTGCTGAATCGAAGATAAGTAGGAATGGCTATTGCCTGGTGATACTGATGGGTGGGGAGCAGCTGACACGTGGTTGGAGTAGGGAAGAGGGCTGTGGGTGGTGCCTAATGAGCGAGATCCCAGAAGTCAGGCTGAAGAGCTGGAATGCAGACTCTAGGTGGTGTGGGTGCATGGGAGGAAAGCCGGTTCTCCAGGGTGTCTGGCGGGCAAGTGCGGGGCGGTGGCGTGCAGCCCTGGACCTAACTCATGCGTGTACTGCCCATGATCTTACAACGCCCATCAGCGGCCAGGGTGCCTGCCCAGCATCTTGCAAGGTCAGCAGCCTCAGCCAACGGTCTCTGTGTTCCGTCCACCCCATCGGGCCTTGATGAAGTGTAGGCTGGCGAGGCGGGGGCTCACCCTCCTCTGAGAGCTCCTCTAGGCCTTTCTTGCTGCACCTTGGTTGTCTCGTGACAAGCTCCTGGCTGAGGAGTCAAATGCAGGAGACGTTGGTGAAGACCCAGTTCAGGGTGGGCTGCCACCACTAATTTACCTAATTTATGGAGAGAAGGAAAAGGAAGTCCTGTATCTCCTCCAGGGAAGGGTTCCTGAATGCACTAAATAACTCAACAATCTCTAACCAAATCCCCCTTTTTCATCACTTTCTTTCATTATGATTGCCCCGCCCCAACCCATTCTTCTCTGGTTACCTCTATCTACCCCCGAGTCAACAAGCCCTGCCTGATTACGCAGCAGCAGTTTCTCCTGGAGAGTATATGCCCTTCCCTACCAGAGTGGCTGTGCTCTGTGGACCAACGGCATTTGTGCCGTGGCTGGTGTTTCCACCATTCCAGTGGGTTGGCTGCAGAGTTATCCTTTGTGGGTGGGAGAGAGCACCAGGCCTCAGGAATCTCCCTGCTGGTCCCAGCCTCCATCTCCTCCTCCCCAACCCTGAACCTCTCCCGCAACCTGCACCTCCCCCGAGAAGCCAGCCACAGAGGCAGAGAGCATCACGGCTCTTATCAGCCTGCCATGCACGACAGCTTTCCCTTTACTGTCCAGCAAGGTTTCCCAGCTTCTCTTGCTCCTCGGCCCCTCTACTCCAGGGCCCATCTCTACCCTTCCGTCTAGGCCTGCCTCCTCACCACCCTCAAATGTTTCTTCCCAATTCCAGGCCTTTATTTGATCCTGCTGATCCCCTCCCCAAAATAGACCTCCTCTACTTGCTGACAGGTTAGGCCCAGCTCTCTCCCAGTTCCTCCTCCCTACCCCTTCTAGCACCCTCAGCCCCAGGACCACCTCCTCCTCTTCGCTATATCGTTCTCCATTGTGGTTTTTGCTTTTCACCTGCCTTTTGAAGCATTTAATCATACTCTGCGTTTCATTTCCACTATGCAAGGTGTATGTTTTATATTCATAGTTAACCCCCCACTGCTTGAGGACAGAGTTGGGCATTCCTTGTTTTCTCTACCACTCCTCCCCTCATGGGGTCTGGAAGGTTCATGGTGGATGGCTCAGGTCGCTCTGCAGTGACCTGTACTGCAGTCTCACTTCCCCTCGGTCTGTGTGTTCAGAGACCCTCAGCACGTGCTACTTGGTGTCATCAGGGCTGACTGGCACGTCTGTTCCCCAATCTGGGAGGATGGGCTGTTAAGCTAATTAATACATGCAGTGTCTGGAGGCAGCCCTGCCTGAGTTGTTTTTTTCTTGCCCTTAGTGTCACTCTCATTTTTTGAACACCAGTGAAACCCTAAATCCTGCAGCAGACATGGGATTTATTTTTAGATAATTCTTTTATCCCAAGTAACAGCTTTGTCTTAGAGTCGTTGAACTGAGTTGGCTGTGACTCCTTCAAGCCTGAAGGTAAAAAGCCTGGGTTGGAAACATTCTACCATCCCTTCTGCTAGTTTTTTATCATAACACATCACAGAGATTGCATTCAGTAATTCCTTTGCCATGCGTTTTTATTTTAAATTGGCTATTTATTGTTTCATAAGCCAGGGGTGTACCTGTTTTGTTACTATGCTGCAGAAAATCTGTTGGGCATAGAACAAAGGCTTATTCACAACTTTAAAGTAAATTTGTAGCATTATTGGTCTACTTAGTGACACAAAGAATGGTAAGACTATATAGTGCTTCTTACTGCAAGATATAATATGTAAATATTATTTATAATATATTACATACTTATATTTATATATTACATATTTATATGTAATAAATATGTAAAGATACAACATGTAAACCACATATTGAGGCAGACAGTAACCACATTTGTGTGTGTGTGCACGTGTGTATATCCATGTACAGATTCATGTGTGCACAGGTTGGAGTGCAGTGGTGCGATCTCAGCTTACTGCAATCTCCATCTCCCAGGTTCAAGCAATTCTTGTGCTTCAGCCTCCCAAGTAGCTGGGATTACAGGCATGCGCTACCATGCCCAGCTAATTTTTGTATTTTTAGTAGAGATGGGGTTTTACCATGTTGGTCAGGCTGGTCTCAAACTTCTGGCTTTAAGTAATCTGCACACCTTGGCCTCCCAAAGTGCTGGGACTGCAGATGTGAGCCACCGTGCCCAGCCCTCGTGTCTCAATTTTTTATGCTTACAAAAATACCTCAGGCATATGGGAGTAATTAGAAGATTTTGATATGTATTTAGAGATTGAGACTATAGACATCTGTGCTTCCAACACATAGATGTAAGAGCTTGCTGAGGCATCAGAAGGGCCATTTTGCCCAATAGTCATTCAAAGCACTCAGCTGTTAGGTGTTAGCCCCTAGTTCCTGGTCATTTGGTGTTAATGGTTTTATCCCATTAGATAGTAATCCCTAATCTGATACTTCTCTTTTTTCCCCCTCTCCTGATCTCGTGCTTTCTGGAAAGAGAGAATCATAGTGAAATCGAAAGGCGCAGACGGAACAAGATGACTCAGTACATCACGGAGCTCTCCGACATGGTCCCCACATGCAGCGCACTGGCTCGGAAGCCAGACAAGCTCACCATCCTCCGCATGGCCGTCTCGCACATGAAGTCCATGAGGGGTACAGGGAACAAGTCCACCGATGGCGCGTACAAGCCTTCCTTCCTCACAGAGCAGGTACCCTGGTCATCACATCACCATTGGAAAGCGGGGGGAATCCCAGCGTCACCAAGACGAAATAAACTACGTGGGGAACCAGGGCTCAAGGTTGAGGAAGGAATGAAGCCAACATGTTTTGTTTCCATTTTTCTCCAAGAAGCTGTCTTCAAAAGAGGGTTTGTCTGATCTTTGGGTCTTCTGCTTTTATGTTTCCCATAACCTTAATGGGATGTCACTCAAAAAAATATATTGAGCATTTGAACATCGTGCTCAGCACACTGACACAGGAAGAAGTTAGTAAAAACGCTGTATGCTGGAATTGTGCTGATATGATCAGCCTATGAAAGTGATGGTATATGAAAAAATCTCCACATCACTGATCATTAGAGAAGTGCAAATCAAAACCACTATGAGATACCATCTCACTCCAGTCAGAATGGCTATTACTAAAAAGTCAAAAAGTAACAGATGCTAGTGAGGTTGCAGAGAAAAGGGAACACTTATACACTGCTGGTGGGAGTGTAAACTAGCTCAACCATTGTAGAAAGCAGTGTGGAGGTTCCTCAAAGAGCTAAAAACGGAAATACCATTTGACCCAGCAACCCCATTACTGGGTTTATACCCAAGGGAATATAAATCGTTCTACATAAAGACATATGCTTACGTATGTTCATTGCAGCACTATTCACAATAGCAAAGACATGGACTCAACATAAATGTTCATCAATGACAGATTGGATAAAGATAATGTGGTACATATACACCATAGAATACTACACAGCCATATAAAAGAATGAGATCATGTCCTTTGCAGGAACATGGATGGAGCTGGAGGCCACTATCCTTAGCAAACTAATGCAGGAACAGAAAACCAAATACCACATGTTCCCACTTGTAAGTGGGGGCTGAATGATGAGAACACATGGACACAAAGAGGGGAACAACAGACATTGGAGCCTCCTAGAGGATGGAGGTTGGGAGGAGGGAGAGGATCAGAAAAAATAACTAATGGGTACTGGGCTTAGGATCTGGGTGATGAAATAATTTGTATAACAAATTTTCGTGACATGAGTTTACTCCCTTGGCAGTACGTAACAAACCTGCATGTGTACCCCTGAAAAAAGTTAAAGAAAAAAGACAGTGATGGCAGCAGTAGTGATAATAGTAGCCGCGATCAGAGCACTTAGCCGGCCGGCATTTGCTGGGTGCCTGGTGTGAGTCATAGTTTTCTGTGAAATATCTCATTTACTACTTATTCTAGCCCTGTGAAGAAGCCACTGTTATTTAGCTCTGTTTTATTGATGAGGAAGCTGAGGCTTAGAGTCAGCAGATTGCTCAGGGTTAATCTGCTGCTTAGTGGAGGAGCCAAGATTGGGTCCAGTGAAGACAGGCTGGTAGGACCCCAAAGCCATATTTTTAACACCTACACTAGTCTTTGACTAGTTGGCAAGAAGAAACGCACAAAATGGCTAGTGAGGTCGTATTTTATAAGTGGCTTTACATGAGCCAGAGGCCTGTGTTCAGGGTCTTTGTATTTCCATGTGCTGGTCATAGGGCAAGTTGGCAAATACTCTAAGCTTCAGTGTGCTCATCTGTGAAATGAACATAAAGCTTTTTGCTTTCCTGTCTCCAAGAGCTTTTGCAGGATAAATGAGGTGATGGATTTGAAAGCACTTCATTGTGTATAGCCGGTGGGGGGGCATTGGGGTGGGGAGGTGAAATAATACAGTTGTCAGGGCATGCAGTTAGGAAATGCAAAAGTATGTAGGGTATAGGGTCCTAAAAGTAATGGAGGATTTAACAAGACACAGCGTGTGGCCAAGCTGAAATAGAGTGGAAGTGTCCTGGTATTATCAAGAGGGACTTCTCAGGACAGAGACAGTATTGGCATAGAAAGGAGCCACAAAAAATACCTAGAAAGAGGGGAGCAGAAGGGATTTCACAAAAAGGGAAGAGTGTGTACAGAACCTCACAGGCAGGAATGAAAAAGATTTTGTTGGGAGACCTAATGATTTATTCTGCTAGAGCCGAGACTCGATTTATGTCATGGAAGTTAGGTTTAAAAAGAATAAGGGATGAGGAACTAACGTTTATTACTGTCTGTTCTGTGGCAGACACTTTAGCAAGCACTTCACCTATTTGATCCCTTTCTAAATCATCCCAGTGGTCATGGGAGCCCTCGCTTGGCAGATGTTAGGAAGGTCCAGCAGTGGTAATATGTGCCACTTGGAGGACACAAACTGTGGTGGTCAGGGCAGGAGCTTCAAGCCTCATTTCCACCTCTGTAAAAATAAATGCAGTGATAGCTCCCAGCTCGTGTGGTTGTGGTGAGGAAGGCAACAAGCATAGACTGTTTAACATGGGCCTGAGGTATAATGAAGGGTAAATAGCTGGTAAGTAACAGACAGAAATTATTGAGCACTACTGGCTGCTAGAATCAGTTTTTTGTCTATATTTTTTTAATCCTCACCAAAAGACCTACAGAGTCAAGGTTTGAAATGAATCTCGTTATCTTTAAGTGACTGAGGATTATGAAAGTGGCGTGAAGAGAGAAGGCAGCTATGCAGGTCAGATGAGCCCTACCTTTGTTCCTCTCTCAGCTGCTTGGATGGTGATGATAATGGTTACATTTATGGAGCACCTACTGTGTGCCAGGCCCTTACTAAGTCCTCACACACAGCATCTCATTTAACCTTGCAAGAGCTCACTGAAAAACATTGCTGAGGGCGTGAAGTAACATGCCCAAAGTTGCACAGCTAAGTGGGAGAGCGGTAGGTGATAGTCTCCTTTTACTCCAGAATACATGCTCTTAACCGTGACTGTTTTCTTGGAGTGTAGAGGCTGGTTCTGGATCAGGGCACAGGAACTTGGTAGTGATAGATGGTCTCCCAGGGAATACACATCAGGGAGGAGGGTGGAAAAAAGAGGGTCCGTGATGCGAGCAGGGCTTCATCCCATAAGACCTCCCCACAGTCTTTGCAAACTGGACAAAAATGTGAATTCATGAGTAAAGTCATTCAGTCTCCACTTCCTCTCCTCCAGTGACAAAGAATTCTGTACTTCCCCAGGCACCCTCTTCCGTTTTTAATTCTCTTAACAGCTCTTTCTGTTGGGAAGATCATCCAAAAACTGAAAATAAAAATGCTGACCGAATTCCCTGAACTAATTAAGCATCTAGGTGACGCAGAACAGCAAAAGTGCAAAGCAAGAGAAATGGGCAAAATAAACTTATCCTTAAAAAATGCTTGTACCAACTGCTTCTGCCCTGGTTTCCCAGGCAGAGGATGTTAGAATTCCTCCCCAGCCAAGGGCTTAGACACATTTACAAAGCTCCCTGGGTTCTGCTCATCAGCATATCAATGTTCCCTAGTCTCTGGGTCCTTGTACCCTGCTCAGTTACTGGGATTTGGGGCGCCAGACTCTCCACCTTTTGCCTTCACTCTGCTGGCTGTCCATGTGCTTTACAGTGGGGTTTTCACATAAGATTACATTCAAACAAAAGATTGCCAGCCAAAAGATGTTTGCTAGCTGCTGACCTAGAAGGATACCTTTGTCCTCTGGAGCCTGAACAGTACTTGAAGTGGTTGGAAGGGTGGCCATGGATTACAGTGTCTAGGGAAGACTTAGTGCCTGGCTCCTGCAGGCACAAAGCCCATTTCATTCAGTGGCAAAGGGCTCCTTAGCTTGATGTGAGAATAGTATGGGCAACTATACTTGAGCTGCCTTCAGGCGCTGCAAAGAAAAGACATCTTGTTTTAACAAAGTTAATTTTGCCCCATCCACGTCCTTCTGAGGATAATATCAAGGCTTCCTGCTGCCCCTTCCTTGATCCCAGTTTCCTCCCTGCCTTCAATGACAGTCATGACCCCAATGAATCAATGTGAGCTGAAGGTTGATGCTCCTATCCTCTTCTCACTGTAAAGTGATATGGATAATGCTGTATTCCCTGCTGCCTCCCAGAGTTACTCTGAGAGTCTTTTGAGATGATGGTGATTATTGTCAGTTCTGGAAATCTGACAGAAATGCAAATGTAAGGGGATACTCTTATAGCCAGTGCCAGCATTCAGCTCAGAAATATGGAAAGAGAAAAGGAACAAGAGGGTACTTTCAGTACGGCAAGCTGTGGGTGGGGAGACACGTGGTCTCTTTCGTTCTCCCTTCTCACCTTCCCCTTCCCCTTCCCTTCCTTCTATCTAGCACCTTTTGTGCCAAGCACTATGTGTTGGGCCCTTCTGCTCCAATGACATGACTACAGTTTCAATATGTGGCAAAGCTGTTCACGCCTCTGGCAACCCAGTACCTTCTGGTGATCACTCATTGCTCTCCCATCCCCCTAGGCTGGAAATTTTCTCTCCCCAACAAAGGACTAATGAAGATGGGCTAACCGTGTTTACAGTAGCTGTATCGTAGGGATGGTGCAAGCTTTGTGCATTTTTCTAGCTTATTTTCCAGAAACAAAGTTCTCATTTCCCAAACTATTTGTGTACCAGAATAAATATGCAGATAAAGGAAATTGAAGGCTGCTTTCCCAATAAGAAAGTTGAATCATCCTGGGTCTGTCAGTGTATTGTGCCAATCATAATCTTTTCTTTATAGGAACTGAAGCATCTCATCCTTGAAGCAGCTGATGGATTTCTGTTTGTGGTGGCTGCTGAGACAGGGCGAGTGATTTATGTGTCTGACTCCGTCACCCCTGTTCTGAACCAGCCCCAGTCAGAGTGGTTTGGGAGCACACTGTATGAACAGGTGCATCCTGATGACGTGGAGAAGCTGAGAGAGCAACTGTGCACCTCAGAAAACTCAATGACAGGTCAGTGGAGCTCCCTTTATGAGGCTGTTTGACTCTAGAAAACATTCTTGGCTGGGCATGGTGGCTCACGCCTGTAATCCCAGTACTTTGGGAGGCTGAGGCGGGTGGATCACGAGGTCAGGAGATCAAGACCATCCTGGCTAACATGGTGAAACCCCGTCTCTACAAAAAATACAAAAACAAAAAATTTGCCAGGCGTGGTGGTGGGCGCCTGTGGTCCCAGCTACTCCGGAGGCTGAGGTGGGAGAATGGCATGAACCTGGGAGGCAGAGCTTGCAGTGAGCCAAGATTGTGCCACTACACTCCAGCCTGGGTGACAGAGTGAGACTCTGTCTCAAAAAAAAAAAAAAAAAAAAATTATTTTAGTAAACAGGCCAGGAAACTGGAGGCCATAAAAAGCTGCCTAAAGGTGAGGGAATATATGTGAGTTGGCCTGTGTGATAGCTTCATTCATTCGATAACATTTAAAAATCCATTTTTACTACATCACATTTTTCTGTATTTTACCTGCAATTAGTATACATTACCACTAGAGGTTGTCGTTGATATATTAGCCAGATCCATATGCCCTGTTTGAAGTTTATCCAATAAGCATGTGATTTTCTGTGATCCTGACCATAAACATTCATTACCCAGGCCTTAGTTACCTGAAATCTAGTTCCTTATTGAAATGTTTAAATATAGTCAATTCTACTCATACATGTTTCTAAAAATCACTGCAGTATACACAATCATGCAATTCAAAACTATAGGGCTTATCGAGAAAAAGTGGTTTAGAAGAACAACACTCAATAATTTGTCAGATAAAAGCAAAAATAAAAACCTATTATAAATGGTAGCACAGCTTTAACATTAAGTGGTTAAGAAATGTATACATCTTACCACACATATGGCAGTTGAGTTTGAAAATGACCTAAAGTTTGCTTAAGAGGTGGTCTCAGAAGGTGTGGTCATTTGTATGTTATTGCGAAATGGTAGGAGGACAGTCATGTGAAATCAGACGGAGAGTTTTAACTCCAAATGTGGATGAGTGTGGCTAATAACACACCGTGGGCCGAGAGAGCTGACTGATGTCTGAGGTATGTGAATTTTGTGTATTTCCGTGTGGCCCGGTTCAGCTAGGCACAACCTTTCTATGTTCATCTAGTTTTTCTTACAGATAAGCAAACACAACATTCACATTATGCTCAGATTGTTCCTTAATATGTCAATCACATTGGAACAAATTTGCATTGTTGAAACAAGAGTTATAGAAGCATTATACCAAAATATTTGCATTCTGCTCTATGACAGATATATTTGTGTTGTCATTCTCCCTGACCATATTGTGAGCTGTTGTATTCCCACTTGCTTTTGTGTCTGCCCACAGTGCTAAACTCAGTGCTTTGCCCATAGTAGGCCTTCAGCAGAAGCCTGATGAATTAGTGAGTGTGTTGTTTATTGTGGTCAGCCTAGGATGCCATAACAAAATACCACAGAATGGGTTACTTAAATAACAGAAATGTATTTTCTCATAGTTCTGGAGGCTGGGCATTCAGTGTCCTAATCCATTTGGGCTGCTATAACAAAATACAATAAACCGAATAGCTTTTATGTAACAGAAATTCATTTCTCACTGATATGGTTTAGATCTGTGTCCTCACCCAAATGTCATGTTCAATTGTAATTCCCAATGTTGGGGGCAGGCCCTGATGGGAGGTGATTGGATCATGGGGGTGGGTTCGCCTGAATGGTTTAGTACCATCCTCTTGGTCCTGCTCTCGTGATAGTGAGTGAGTTCTCACAAGATCTGGTTGTGTGTAGTACCTTCCCACTCTCTCTCTTAAGAGTTCCTGCTTCTGCCATGTAAGACACCTGCTTCCCTTCACCTTCCGCCATGATTGTAAGTTTCCTGAGGCCTCCTCAGAGGCCAAGCAGATATCAGCATCATGCTTTTTGTACAGCCTGCAGAATGGTGAGCCAATTAAACCTCTTTTCTTTGTGAATTACCCAGTCTCAGGTATTTGTTTATACAATGGGAGAACAGACTAATACAGTCAGAGTTCTAGAGGCTGGGAAGTCCAAGATCAAGGCACCTTGATGTCTGGCAAGGGCCTACTTTCTAGATGTTGCCTTCTAGCTGTGTCCTCACATGGTGGAAGGGACTAGCTATCTATCTGGGATCTGTTTTATAACAGTACCTAATCACCTCCTAAAGGCCCCATGTCCTAATATCATCATCTGGGAGATTAGAATTTCAGCGTACGAATTTGGGGAGAGCGTAAGCATTTAGTCCATTGCATTCAAGATCAGTATATCATCAGGTTTGTTGTCCCCTAAGGCCCTTCTCCTTGATTTGGAGATGGCCACCTTCTTGCATTCTCACAAGAATTATAACCAGCCTAAGTGTAGGTCTCTCCTCTGTGTGCACGAATCTTTTGTGTCTCTGCCTCTTCTTATGAGGACACCAGTCACTAAATTAGGGCTCACCCATATGATCTCATTTAAGCTTAACAATCTCTTTAAAAGTCCTGTCTCCCAAATACAGTCACATTCTGGGGTACTGGGGATTAAGACTTTAACATACTAATTTTAGCGGGGAACACAATTCCACCTATAATAACACTTATGATAAGAGTGAGTTTGATGTTGCTAAAAGTGAGAAGTGTACAGCTGTTTTGGAAGGATATTAGTAATTTTCTCAGTGCTGGTGATCAAAGATGTAAAAAAGGAGGAAGAGGATAGAGAATTAAGGTGTAAAGACAGTGTCTTTTTCTCCTGGCAGTAAGCTTTGATGTTCTTGTAAAACAGCGATGCTGAAATAGGCTCAGAAAGACTCTTTCTGCTACCCCATTCTCCTGCCTGAATTAGCAAACTCCATATAGAAATCCTAAGGGACACACCTTATAAAGTTAAATATTTGGGAGGAATGTAAAAGGGGAAAACCAACCAACCAGGAAATGTTGGTTTGACAGCTGAAATCACCTTCTCTGGAAAGTGCTGTCTTTCCCAGACTTCTATATGTGACCACAGGATGTGGCTTTTGGAAACCCAGTCTGGAGACCCAGCTGGGGAAGCTGCCAGGGAAGCGATGGTCAAGGCAGGTCAGGCTCTGGCCAAGGGTGTAGCCAGCTGGTTCATCATAGTTGGGTGGACATTTCTGTCCATGTGAAGTCTGAATGTGTCTGGGAGAGTTTAAACAGGCGATGTGAACCACATTTGGACAGAAATGTCCTCGGAGTGGACACTGGACTGTGGCCAAGGCAGCCAGAACCAGTACAGTGGAGGGTGTCCTCCAAGATGCCAGAGAAGGCCCTGTGAAAGGTGAAGAGCCAGGTCTCTGAGTTTGCCTATGGGCCAAGCCCGTCTTGTCAGGAACAAGATGAGGCTGGAGAAGTGGGTTCTTATTCTTAGGGTGGAAGAGAGGACAGGGTCTCTTTTGCAGTCATAGGGTGTGATGCGACTTTCCTAGAACATGCAACAAGCTCTTATTGATTCCGTGGGGGAGAGCTTGGAAGAGCTCTCTGAAACTGGGCTGCTACTCAGACAGGCCTTAGGGTTTTCCTGGTGCTCAGGACAGGACTGGAGTGGGTTTCATATGTAACCAGCCCAAGCATAATTTTAAAATTGTATTAAAAGGCCTCAGGTGTGGTTTAATGCCTTCAATTATTGGACTAGAGTCTCTCAAACCCTCCTGTCCCTTGACTCATGTGGTTTTAGGCCTGGAAAGAGGTGACATGGTCCACTTTGGGAGAGTCAGGGTGGAAGGGTGTTGAGGCGAGGCAGGGAGCCAGGCAAGGCCTGCTGGAGTGGAGGTGGCTTAACTAGGGCAGCCTGACCTCCTTTCCCAGTGGAGTTTCCCTCCTCTGAGCCTCTCTCAGTGGTGATTCAATGTCTCATTCGTTGGACCTGCAGGGTCACCTGTACTGAATGTGTGGAGGTTTGCATGTGCACAGGGGAGGGGACAAGAAACCTGACTTCACTGGGGCCTGCAGACTCCCATGTTGGCTCAGGGACCCCAGAAAATCAATATGCTGTCAAAGAGTTTCAGCATCTGGGGTGAGGGTGATGGTGGAGTTCTTTGTTGAATTAAATTTTTTCCTAGCTGGAGAGGTGGTGACAAAGAGTGGGTGAAAGGTTATATACAGTCTCCTTAGAAACATCATGGAGTGATGTGACTTGTCATGATCTGACTTGTCTGCGAATAAAACTGGAATTTATCCACATGGAGAGAGAATGGGTGAAGCCTTACCATACAACAATGACACTGCTAGTGGAAAAGTGCTGGAAAGGGAGTTGGGAGCTCCCTGCTTTTGTTCTGGTTTTCACTTTGTGATCTTGGCAAGTTCCTTTCTTCTCTAACCCTCATTCCCCTCATCTTGACCCAGGAAGTTTCTAAGGCTCCTTCCAGCTCTGATTCTACTCTTTTGTTCAAGGCCTCATCCACCAATGTATGAAATGGAGGCAGATTGGAGGAGGGGGACTGGTGAAAAACCCAAGAGGACCTATTCTGAAGGCTCAGCAGAAACAGGGTGCCTTCCTCCAGTGGTTGCCGCAAACATCCTGGGCCCGGCTCTCTTGGCTCATTTTGGTCTACCTGCCCTGCTGTTGGCTGATCCTGATGGCCAGGGAGACTCTGAGCTAAGATGTGAGGTCCACCTACCTCACCACCCAAGGCACTTGGATTCAGAAAGAGAAGATTCCCTCTTGGAGGAAATCAGGTGCTGTCTGTCACTAAAAGAAAGAAGAGACAAGTGGGCAGGCAGGCACTGGCTGGCTCAGGAGAGCTGGCCTCGGTGGTATTGGAGGAGCTCCTTATGGGGAAGGACGAGTGTTCTGCAGAATGAAAGTGCCTTTTCCTCTCACCAGGAATGCTGGGATGTTTGGGTTACAGGATTCTGAGAAGAAGATGGAGCATGGAGGTGCCAGGATCAGATGGGAGTGGTGTCAGGGAGGGGCCACAGAATTAATGATCCTGGATATCTGAGTGGCCTAAGCCCCAGCTCTCTGCAGGGAAGGAGAGGAGCTGAGGAGAGGCCCAGGGCATTCCAGGTGATAGCAGAGCCTGTGACTGTAACTGGATATGCCCAAGAGGTGGGGTTCAGAGAGCAAGCAGGGAGCAGCAGAAGCAGCTCAGCAGGGGCCGCCCAAGGGAGCATGGAGTGAGCAGATTCTTTGTGCCTTCCGGTGGCCTTTCCCAGGTTCCCTCCTGTGGCTGTTGAACTCTGGAGAACCTTGATCCTGGTGAGCAGAACTGGAGGCGCCTTGTGGGTGACCTCAAGCACTGCCCTGGGTGGGGACCGCCTGGCTGTCCTGGCTGGAAAGTGGATGTGCACAAGCATAACCCACGGACTCTTCAAGACAAGGTCGATTTGGCCTGTTTCCCCTGCATCATACTTCCATGGCTCTGTTTCTGCTGGACTCTTCCTGCATTCAGAGAATTGGGTCAGCATTTTGGTTCAGTGTAGAAAATAGCTTCAAAATAGAGCTGTCCAACAGCAGAAGAGGGTGCAAGCAAAGGCCAAATTCCTCCCTCCCTCCCTTCCTCTCCCCATCCTTCCTGCCTGCCTGCCTGCCTGCCTTCTTTGCTTCCTTTCTTCTCTCTCTCTCCCCTCCTTCCTCCTTCCCTCTTTCTTTCTTTCTCTGACCACTACTTAGTTTATTCATTTATTCATCCATTCAACAAATACCTGCCTTGCATGGCTGTAGAAAGGTTATGTGGGATGCAGCTTACCTTGCGATCAGCCTCTCCTTCCCCTATCTCCTATATGCAGGAATCCCCAGCTGTTGTTGAATGAATGGACCCCCATTTGCCAACTATTCCAGCCGGGATTCTTTGTGATAATTTGTAGAGAGCCTGAGCCAGGTTGGTCCCCAAGGGATCTGGCTGGAAAGTTCCTGTGCATGATTCACATGTCCCAATCAGCTGTGATTAAGCTTTCCTATCTCCCTGAGAGCTTCATGGAAATCCAGAGATATTTTCAGCCTTGGATCACAGGATTTGGCTAGGCTGTGGTCTGGGCACAGATAGCAGCTCACGAGAACAGCTCACCGGGGAGCCATTTTCAGCCAGCTCTGCAGCTCTGCTCATATACCTTTCATCAGGCTGCATTTCCATGAGAGTTTAAAGATGGTGCATTCACTGAAGAGTCTCCCTGCCTGGGAGAGAGGACGTCTGTGGGACACTCGGTGCATGTTGCATTTATTCTTCTCATTAAACCATCACAGCTGGGTGGGTGGCTCACACCTGTACTCCCAGCACTTTGGGAGGCTAAGGCAGGAGGACTGCTTGTGTCCAGGATTTTGAGACCAGCCGGAGTATCATAGCAAGACCTTACTTCTACAAAAAAATTTAAAAAAATTAGCTGGGTGTGGAGTCATGCACCTGTAGCTGCAGCTACTCAGGAGGCTGAAGTGGGAGGATCGCTTGAGCCCAAGAGGTCCAGGTTGCAGTGAGCCATGATTGTGCCTCTACACTCGAGCCTGGGTGACAGAGCGAGACCCTGTCTCAAATAAACAAATAAATAAATACCATAACAGTGAAATATTAATAGCTGTAATGAATTCTTTTACTTTTTTAGATATAGGGTCTCACTACATTGCCTAGGTTGTTCTCAAACTTCTGGCCTCAAGCAGTCCTTCAGCCTCATCCTCCCATGTAGCTGGGACTACAGGTGTACACCATCATGCCTGGCTCATTTTTAAATTTTTTTTGTAGAGACAAGGTCTTGCTCTGTCACCCAGGCTCGAGTGCAGTAGCACAGTCATAGCTTGCTGCAGCCTCTCTTGAGCCTAGGAGGGTCCCAAGCATTTCTCCCACCTCAGCTTCCCAAGTAGGTGAGACTACAGGTGGGTGTCACTGCACTCAGCTAATTTTTTAATTTTTTTGTAGAGATGAGGTCTTGCCATCTTGCCTAGGCTGGTCTCACACTCCTGGACTTAAACAGTCCTCCCATCTCAGCCTCCCAAAGTGCCAGGATTATAGGCATGAGCCACCGCAGTGGGCCATCTTGCATGTTTCTAGCACGTTTACCTATTTCAGTGGATATCAACCCTAGCTGCACATTAGCATCAATCACCTGGGTAGATTTGATAAATACACTTGCCCAGGATTGGGGAAGGGAGCTGGGCACTGGCGTTTTGTTAAACCTTCCCAGGTGATTTTGATGCACAGGAAGGGTTGAGAACCATTTGTTGTCTGGGGCTCATCAAGGTCCTATGCATGGGGATTATCGGCCCCATTTCACAGGTCAGGAGCATGAGGCTTGAAGTTACTGAGAAGTTCTCAGGGCCACACACCTGAGGCCAAACAGCTGCTACAAAGTAGAGCTCGTAGTCAATGCCAAAGAAGCTTATTGCCTTTGGGGCATCTAGAGACAAAAAAGCCTTGGCGTGACCCAATATCCCTGGGGCACCAGGAGCCAGAACAGCGTTTAGTGGGGTTTGGGCATATGAGTGGTGAATGGCATCAAAGCTCTGAGACTGAGGCTCGGATGCAGGGGTCTCTAGGATCCTGTGTAGTCTAGTGGAGCACTTCTCAAAGTGTAGTCCTTAGGCCAGATGCATGAGCATCACTTGTGAACTTGTTAGAAATGCAGATTCTTCCCCACTGAATCAGAAGCTCTGGAGGCCCAGAGATCTGTATTTTCACCTACCTTTCAAGTCATCGTGATGCATGTTAAAGTTTGAGAACAACTGACTTGGTGAAACCATCCTGGGACTTCATATCAAGTTATCTGGATTGAGTCCACTGTTATTCTTGGCTTTGCCAAGCTCTTTGATCTCTGAGTTTAGCTTTACTCCTCAGAAAGTTGGGGAATCTATGACTTTGTGAAATGTCTTATTATAGAACTCCATGCACATGTTTATTTGAGTTTACTTGGAAGGTAAACCCTGGTAAAATCTGTTAAGTGTGTTTCATGGGTACACTGCACTTGCATCCATGAAGTGCAGGGAGCTTCTTAGAGATGCAGAATTGCAGCTCCCATCCCAGGCCTACTGAATCAGGATGTACATTTTAATAGGATTCCCGAGGAACTTATATACTTCGATGCACATTTTAGTTTGAGAACTGCTGAACTAAAGAATTTAGCAAATAGTGATTGTGCTGGGGGCTGCTTGCAGCAACCTGGGTCGAGGGCATCCTTTGGCATCTGGGACTGGCATGAAGTGATGGGATCTGCCTGAGTGACTCAACTGCCCTACTTGTGTTTGTACAGCTCTCAGGCGACCAGGCCTTGGTGGGGAGCAGCTAGAAGTGTAGCTCTGGGGGTTTGCTGTCCCCTCTATGCTTGCTATCTAGGGCAGAGGCTGACTAGGCAGGGGAAATGTGTATGGCAGCAGAGCAGCCTGTGTAGCAGCCTTAGGAACCTCACCGCACAAGCCCATACATCCTCTGCTCTCCACCAGGGTCCGCACCAAGTTTGCAGGTTCAGCAGGCGGCATCCTCCACTGTGGAACAGGAGAGCGAGGAGCTGGTAGCATGCTCATCCTGTCACCCTGGAAGGACCCAGACTAGAGCAGGAAGAAAGCCAGTTATACATGATGCTGCAAGAGTCAGCGTGCACCTCCTGGAACGTGTGTGCCTGGGAAAATAGCTGCCAGTTGTCAACATGCAGCCTCAGCCTACCCAAGGCAGCTGGGCCTTCTTCCTGACACTTTGCAAAAGAGGGCAAGGACAGACTGTTGAGTTCAGCCATGTGGTTGAGTCCTTCAGTGGAAGAATGTCAGGCAGATAATTGATCCCACAGGGGTCCTGTGAATTATGCAGTCCACCCCTGGGGTATCAGTTCTGGAAAAAGATGGTCCATTTCCAAGTGTCAGTCATGAAGGTAACTTCATAAAAACTGTACTTTCAAATATATAGCTTATTTTCTTTGGAATGCCCAAACTTAGTCTTTGGACTAATGCCAGAATCTTAATCCTGAACACATTCAGCAGTCCATTTCTTGCTATATTAGGTAACATATATAAATGTGGCAAAAAAAAAAAAACAACTTGATTTGATCTCGACTCAACTATTAACACTGTTATTGAGTTTCTGTTGTTCAAAATAGAAATAAAGCATTTTTATGGCAAGAAAAGCATGTTTATTTGACTTAGGCCCCTTGAAAATTGCCCAGTTGTGTAAGTAAACACTTAAAAACAAAGCATTTGGGGGTAAGTTGCCAGAGGTGCTTGATAAATGCACGTGAGAATGAAATCTGAGAATTGCTGGCTGGTTGTTTTTTGTATCTTCACAGTGACTTTCCCACTAGAAACCTCAGCCTCCTTAGATCTGTTATCCCAGATGTTTCTTTGGAGCCAGTTCAGTTCTTTCTCGTTGTTAAATATTTATACAACCTGCCTGTTTTGCTTCGCTACATGCATAGCATGGCTGATGCTGCTGAACTGTTTGTGTTTTTTTCTCATATTTTATGTTGAAAGATATTCCATGAATCTGGACAGATTTCCAGCCCAGGCTGTTGGGTTCATTATCACTCTTGTGTCACAGCAGATAAAGGAGTCAGAGTGGTGCTTTTGCACACGTTGCTGACTCTGGCTGGAAGGCTGGCCTCCCTGCACACAGTGAGCTCCACCAGCCGTGTGTGCTGAGGAGTGGTGGTGGGGATGGGGGGCGGTGCATAGGGGTGTAGGGAGGCAGCGGGGGAGTGGAAGAATCCCTGTACTTGGAGTCAGATGAACCTGGTGACAGTTACAGTCCATGGCCTTTACCTTGGGTGAATGACTTAACCTCCCTGAGCCTCAGTTTTCTCGCTTGTAAATGCAAACAATAACGCATCTCCTACAAAACTGCTTTGAAGCAGGCATTCAATGACATATGGGATAGTATTAATGATAGTGTTTGGGAATTGTAGAGAGTTCATTCATTTGTTTTAATAACTGCAAATTCCATTTAAACACTACTATAGATCAGTGGTTTCCCAAACTTTCCATCTTGCCCTGCTTTATTTGTCTTCTTAGCTCTCTAAAATGTGTCTTAGGATTTTGGTACTGTTGACAAGGGAAGATGGGTAGGCCCTGATCTTTGTTAGTTTTGCCCCTTTACAAAAGTGTGACATGTGCTTGAGAATCCCCATTGCAGGCTCAGGTAGAGGAGAGGGAAGAAAAGAGGCACTTACTTTTTTCTTTCTCTTTGTTCTATTCATTCATCCATTCATCCAGCATGTATTTAGTGAGTACTAACTAACTTGGTGCAAGACACTGTACTAAGTGCTGGGGATCTAGTGATGAATAAAACCCATGTGGCCTGGCTCTTGTGGAGTTTACAGTTCAGTGGGGAAAAGAGACACCAAAGAGATAATCACATCTAACACACTGTGGTAGGTGTTGTGGAGGAAAAGGCCAGGAGGGCAACAAGAACAAACAATACAGAATGGGACATGTCTGGGCAGGTTGGAGAATGCCCCTGTGAGTGACTGATGCCTGGTGAGATCTAATAAGGAAGCAGAAGGCAGCCAGGTGAGGAGATGGTGAAGCGTGGGGAGAGGGGATGCTGACTCCAAGACCAATTGCAGGCCACTGAGGATTTTAACCAGTAGAGGCCCATGAACCATGTTAGATGTGAGATGCTCACTCTGGTGACAGAGTGGAGAACATGTCATAGGACAACCAGACAGGTTTGGGGTATTCAAGGTTAGGAGGATGCTAGAGTTATCTATGCGAGGGCTGATGCAGGCTTGGGTTGGGGAGGAGTATAGTTTCCTCTGGCTGCCGTAGTACATTACTACAAACTGGGCAGCTTAAAACAATGGGAATGTGTTATCTTGCCGTTCTGGAGGTCAGAAGTCCAAAATCAAGGTGTCAGCAGCCAGGTCAGTTATTTCTGGAGGCTGTGAGGAAGAACCTGTTCCATGGCTGTCTCCTAGCTCTGGTGGTAGCTGACAGTCCTTGCCATTCCTTGTAGACACATCGGTCCAATCTCTGTCTCCATCATAAGGTGGCATTTTCCCTTTGTGTCTCTGGGTCCAAATTTCCCTCTTCTAAGAATACCAGTCTGTTGGATTAGGGCCCACCTTAATCTGGTATGACCTCATTTTAACTTGATTCTATCTACAAAGACTTTCTTTCCAAATAAGGTCACATATGCAAGTTCTGAGTGGACATGAATTTTGGGCAGGGGGTGGTTGGAGACACTGTAAAACCCAGTATAGATTGTAACAGTGGAGATGGAGGGAAGTGGTTAACTTCACCAGATATGTAGGCAGTGAAACCAACAAGGGGAGTTGATCCACTCACTCTAGTCCTTTACCCAAATAGTGTTTTAAAAAAGCTGATATCCAGGGTCATTGGTGGCCTCGTTGGTGCCTCTTCTCATTGTCAGATCTCTTCTACTAGAAGCAAGTTTAACTGCGGGGAGGACAGGAGGCACCTCCTCAGCATCCCTGACTTGTCGTGTTGAGTCAAGCCACAAAATCCACTGCTTCCTTTGATGTTTATGCATTCACTGATGGATCCCTTTGGACCCACAAGCCTATTTTTGTAGATCAACTTGGGTGCAATGCAGAATGTGCTCATTGTGCCCTGCTGGGGGATAGGAATACTCACTGGTGTTAATTTTTTATAATTGCTAATCACCTATGCAGTGAGTCAGCAGAGGTACAGCCCTAGGAATGGTCTTCTAGGCTGTGGGTGGTGTGGGATTTGATTTGCCCCACCATGTAGGCATGGAGCCCATTCAGATGTGAACGTGGTTACAGGTTGAGCCTTGCTGTATCGATTCCTCTGCTTCACTTTCCTGCTCTATTCCTCTTCATTTCCTTCCAGATGGGGCTACTGATGCTCACCACTCATCCATCTGGAGTAGGCTGAAGCTACCCTAGGTGGGACAGAGCAGCACTTCCCCCTCTTCCTCTCCACACCTCCCTGATATGGCAGGGCTTGGAATTCAGTCGCCGTGCAGACCCAGGCAGGCAGTTGAATTCCTCCAGGCTGCCCCTTGCTGTACTTCTCCCTGCTTCTCATACCACCCAGCCCTGAGCCCGGGCTTCCATCTCTCTTCGCCTGCCTTTGTCCTGACCTGATTCATCCTCTCATGCCTGAGTCCTGCCCACCTCCCCGTGCCTTGGGTCAGACCTGCCCCTTCATGTTGTCCATGCGCACAGCAGCAGAGCTGGGCACAATCCAGAGCCGAGGTCAGGGCTGTTTTTGCTGAGAGCAGTGGCAGGTCGCCACACTGAGGGTGGGTTCAGATGGGGCGCGTGGAGGGGTCAAGTCCAGGAACTGATGCAGGAGAGGGTGCAGGGAGATGGGCCAGAATGTCTGAGTGGGGAACAAGCCATGCACATCCAGGAGTTGAGAAGTTTGGCCCCCAGCTCAGGACATAGTCTGTGACTGACACCTGGCCCGCTCAGGCCTGGCTCTGACAGCCTGCAAGGTACGGGCTCAGTTTCCAGATGTTGGACTTAGATAGCTGGTACTTGACCATTGTGCCTACATTTCCAGAAGCTTCCTTTATAATCGGACCCTGAAACCAGACCAGGGCACCTGCCCCTCACCAGTCTCCTTCGTCTTCTGGACCTTGTCTTCTAGGTATGCAGACCTCCCATGCTTTGTTCATGGCAACAACTTCTTAGGGAAGGGATCTAAAACAGAAGCCAACCTGGGCATTGCAAGACCGGAAGAGGAGGCTTGCCCAGTAATGTCACTGAATGACTGGATTTTCCATGCATGGTAAATATTTCTTTGTAAGAGAAATAACGGAGAGGACACAGCCTCCCCAGCACAGGGCTTACAGGGAATCAGGGAGGCTGCCAGGGATACAAGTAGAACAGCCCTCACTGTGAACCTTATGTGCATTTTATGTACACATCCAACTAGGTTCTCCCTTTTGGCATTAGAGAACAAGCCGCTTCCCTCTAAACAAGATTCTGTAGTAGAGGGAGCTCTCCAGCCTCTGCCTGAGCTGGGCTGTTGGGAATCAGGAAGTTGGGTTTGAGAAGCAGGGAGAGGTGGTCTGCAGGATCCAGGCCTTTCCCAACTCCCAATAACAGTGCATCTCTGTCCTGGATAAAGAGGGAGTAGGCGGTGAAAGTTCTCTTCAGTGGTTCAACATACATATTTTCTATCCCACCAAAAATGTATGTGAATCGACTTGAGAATGCTAAATCTTGCTTTAAATTCATGCAGAGATTTAACCATGTAACACTGGTGTGCTTCTTTGTAATGCTAAAAGTCACCTCCTAAAGTTCCTACATTCTCATTTTCGTATTATGGCTTTTCTTGAAACAAGGCATACCCAAGTGACGCCTGAAGAACATTTATTACAGCTTTGTACATAAGTTTTTAAAATTCCCAGCTCTTAAAACAGTGGTTCTCAATCTCATTGTGCATCAGAATTCTGTTGATTCTTTTAAAAATTCAGATGCCAGGACTCCACTCCATTTCTGTGAACTCGACTGTACCATAGTGAAGTTCAGACATCTGTCTTTCAAAAGCTACCCTGATGATTCCAGTGTGGACCAACTACTGCTCCCCAATGCGACCCCTGCCAACAAACCCCACGCATAAATAAAATAAAATAAAATAATACAACCTAATTTGTCCTTTATCTAGGAGATAAATTTCAGGAAGATAGTTTCTTAATTTACTACCACCGAAAACCAAAATGTTAAAAATGTAGTCATCAACACAACTGAAAAATGTGCAGCACTTAGCATTCTAAGTCCTCTTTGAAAGAGTCTTGATTTCCTAATGAAGTATCTTTTATCCTAACTTTGATGTTCAGGAAGCCAATCGACAAATACTTTTTTCTTCCTTCTATAACAGGAAACTACAACAGAAATAACCTAGAAGTAGTATTTTTTTAGGCAGATATAATTACTTTGAGTTACTTTGGGATGTTTGAAAAGACGAATTGAATCATTGCTTCTTGCTGGTATGATTTAGATTTCAGTAATCATCTCACGTGATAGTCATATTTTGTAATACTTTGGTTAAAAATAGCTTTGTTGCAAAAACTCCAGTGTGATAAAGAAAATAAAATAGTTTCCTTTAGCTTCACCAAAGACAGACACATTTCCCTCTGAAATGTCATGACTCATGCCACATGGCTAAATAAAAGTGCACGTATAGCACTGATCTTTCCTGTTTATTGCTTTTTTAGTAGAAGCTAATTGAGGAAAACATCTGCATCCAGTTTTCCCTTTATTTTTGTAGATTCTTTTCTTCTACTCCAACGCAAAGCCTCCCTGGACAGTCATTTGCTCAGGCAGTGATCTGATAGATGGCTTTCAGTTTTCTCCTTTTGGGTGATGACATAAATTACTCTGCAATGAGCTATTTACAATGCCACTCTTTAACCTTGAGCTGAGCGCACACGTTCTAAGGACCTGAACTCACAAGAGCTCGGCATCATGAGGGTCACACAGGCTGACTCTTCTCTCAGTTCTACAGCTCTCTCCATAATAGGCCTGTGAAGTGGCCACTGGCTTCTTTTTGAACACCTGCAGTGGCAGAGCTGGCCACCTCAGAAGATAGCCCTTTCTACACTGGAACAGTGCACTTGTACTCAGTTTGAAGTTATCCCCAGTAACCCTTGCCATCGTCTTAGCACAGCCCACATTGCTTGCTAGGGCTGGGAATTGGCAGATGGGTGGACTCACCGACAGCCATGGTGGGGGGTTAAGAGCATGGACTTTCTGCCTGGGTTTGAGTCTTCGTTTCCCCGCTGACCAGTTGGGTGATCTTGGACAGGGTACAGGGATCCTCCCTGAGCCTCCAGTTCCTCATCAGTGTTGGTGTGAGGATGGTGCCCAAGACAGTGCCTGGCGTGGTCTGGGTACTCAGTAAATGCTTGTCATCTTTTTTTTTCCCCCAACCGTAGGCAGCTTTGTCTTGGGAGGTATTCTCAGTCCCTACCTAGTCAGGGATTCGTGCACACACTTTTGTAAGCACTCCCAGGAGAAAGTGGTGAGAGAGAGAAGCTGGATAGGTCAGGACAGGTCAGAAGAGAAGCCAGGCAAAGATGTGATTCTGGGGAGTCTAGCTTCAACCTGATCTGCAGGGACAAAGCCTGGGAGAGTAAGTTGCACAGAGTCAGTCCCTCTTTGAGGCAAGGGTGTGGGGTTTTGCAGTCCCTCTTTGAGGCAAATAAGTCACTGGTCGCAGGCCTTGAGGGGTGGGTGTAACTCCTAGATAACTTCAGTCCAGGCGGCTTCAAGGAGAAGGCTCTGGAGAAGATGCAGGTGTGAGCCATCAGCTGAAGAACCTGCAGCAGCTAGGAGAGGACCCAGCAGTCAAATTGGTGCGTGAGATCCAGGGTATCTGGGCGGGACATCCGCAGTGTCTACTGAAGCCCACGGAAGAAAGCCTGTTGGTGGAGCTGGCTGCAGGCTGGCCACCAGAGCAGCTGAGGTTTACCCAAAATAACCTGACAATGCAAAGAGCCCCTCCATGTGGATGCAGACCCCGCCCCACAGTCCCGTCTCCCCTCGGGGCTGCCCACAGCCTGGCCCAAGACTGAGGCCAGCAACTAGGGCTTGGCCACCAGGTCTTCACAGATGAAGGGGAAACCTCTTTATGGGAGGCAAATTGCATATCTTAGTTTAAGTCAACAGATAGTTATCAGCACAAGTCACTGCACTAGAAACGGAAGATGCAGCAATGCATGAAACTGTGGTCACCATGCATCATGGAGCTTTACCCCAGGAAATGGACAAACAGGCAGTTATATAATGAATATAGAGTCAAATTGGTGGCATGTTCTAAAGAAAAAGAACAGGAGGCTATGGGACAGGGGCAGGGGACCCTAATTTACACGTTAGAGGTGGTGGGGAGAGTGGAGCAGGGAAAGGCCTCTGAGGAAATGACTATAAAGCTGAAAATGGAAGGACATGAATGGGAATTAGCAATTTGTGAGGTGGTAGGGGGAGTGAGGTCAAGAACTTTCCCAGCCATGGGAATAGCATAGCATGTGAAAAGGCTCTGGGGCAGGGAAGGTATTGGTGGCTCTGGGGAAGTGAGGAAGGCCATTGTATTAGTTAGTTTTCACGCTGCTGATAAAGACATACCTGAGACTGGGAAGAAAAAGAGGTTTCATGGCCTTACAGTTCCACATGGCTGGGGAGGCCTCACAATCATGGCAGAAGGCAAGGAGGAACAAGTCACGACTTACATGGATGGTGGCAGGCAAAAAGGGAAGTGCTTGTGTGGGGAACCCCTTTTTATTACCATCAGATCTTGTGAGACTTATTCACTATCACGAGAACAGCACGTGAAAGACCTGCTCCCATGATTCAATTACCTCCCACCGGATCCCTTCAACGACATGTGGGAATTCAAGATGAGATTTGAGTGGGGACACAGCCAAGCCATATCCCTTGCAGTGAGATGAGGGGGAAACGTCAGGCCAGGGACAGCCACAGAGAACCATTATGCACTTGGAATTTACTGTTAGTGCAAGAAGCAGTCCCTGAAAGCATGTTAACATGATCCAATTTGCATTTTTATATAGAAAGACTGTTCTGGTTGCTGGAAGGGAAATGGATATTTTGGGGAGTGAGGTTGGGAGGATCCAAGAAGAGAAGAAATTAATATTTACATACTGTGTAAAGTGACTTCACAAATACATCTCATTTACTTCTCAGGACAGGCCTTTTTTTTTTTTTTTTTTTTTTTTTAAGTATAGGCATATTCAGTTGTTCCAGCACCTTTGGTTTTTTGGTGATTTTTTGCTTTGTTTTGCTTTTTAATCTCTTGGCTGAATCACAGTACCTTCACTGAAAAGACAATTCTTTCTCTACTGAATTGCCTTTGCACACCAATTATATCTACACAGGTGTACGTCTATTTCTGGACTCTGTGCTATTCTGTTTATGCAGAGTGTCCTTCTTTCTTTCTTTCTTTCTTTTTTTTTCTAGACAGGGTCTTCTTTGGTTGCCCAGGCTGGAGTGCAGTGGCACCATCACAGCTCACAGCGGCCTTGCCCTTCCAGGCTGAAGTGATCTTCCCACCTTAGCCTCCTGAGTAATTGGGACTACAGCCATGCGCCACCACGTCTGGCTAATTTTTTTATTCTTTGTAGAGAAAAGGTCTGGTGTTGCCCAGGCTGATTTCAAACTCCTAGGCTCAAGCCATCCTCCTGCCTCAGCCTCCCAAAATGCTGGGATTATGGGCATGAGCCACCATGCCTGGCTCAGTGTCTTGATTACTACAGCTTTATCATCTTCAAATCAGATAATGTTAGTCCTCCAACTTTGTTCCTCTTTTCCAGTCTCTCGGGGTCCTTCACTACCTGATGTCCAATGTGTAAGAACTATTCTATAGATTTTACTGGGTGCTTGATGGTTTCAGAAGGGAAGGTCAGTCTGGCTCCTGTTACTTGGTTGGAAGCAGAGGTCCTTATGATAATTTCTTTGAATGCCTCTTCTCTGTCTCCTCTGTCAGCTCAGTTCTCAAATTCCTGTGATGGATTGCCTGACTCTCTTATCTAGGAATCTTAGCCTTTTGCATATTATATTTACCTCCTTTCCCTTTTGTTTTGTGTGTGTGTTTGTGAGTGTGTATGTGTGTGTGTGTGACCTCGGAGAATTTCCAAAGGTTTCTTTTAATTCATTGATTCAGTTTTTAGCAGTATCACTATTTATTGCCTCCATTTGGGTATTCATTTCTGAAATCATGTTTTTCATCTAAAAGCAATCTTTCTTGGTCCGAGGTTATTTTCTTTTTATTATGAAAGATTTTCTCAAATATTGCTGAGACTTAATGTTTCAACATATTGTGTTCTTTCTGTTTCTTGGTGTCTTAATCTGTTTACTGCTGCTATAACAGAATACCACAGACTGATTAATTTATAATGAACAGAAACTTATTTGGCTTACAGTTCTGGAAACTGGGAAGTCCAAGACCATGGTTCTGACATCTGGCAGGGGCCCTCGTGCTGTGTCATCCCATGGTGGAAGGCAAAAGACTGAGAGAGCAAAAGCAAGAGAGAACGAGACAGAGAGCGGAAAGCAAGAAGGGCCAAGCTTGCTTTTATAACAAACCCATCCCTACAATCATGACATTAAACTATTCATGAGGGCTCTGCCCTCCTGAGGCCTTATGACTTGATCACCTCTTAAAGGTCTTACCTCACAACACTCTTGCATTGGGGATTAAGTTTCCAATACATGAGCTTTGGAGGACACATTCAAACCACAGCAAGTGGCGGGGGGTGGGGGTGGGGGATTTGTTCTGATTTTTCCTGAATTGTGTACAGCTATCTGGGAGCTGCAGCCGAGGCAGCCCTGTACCTTGGTCACCATTACCTGAAGTTAGTAGGGCCATGCCCACTCCTTTACATGAAATGCTGCCTCTCAGAAGCAGGCTGTGGCAGCTTTTCTTCCTCTTTATGTGGCAGGTTGTTTGCTTTAAGTCAGGGTGATATGAGGGGGCTCTGCCTCTGGCCTCACTGTGATTATACCCTAGGTCACTTGTCTTCTGCTTCCTGATTTCCTGTTCTCTCTCTCCTGCTTGGAGTTTGGAAACTTCTAGTAGGGAACTCTTTCACTTTCTTCCCAGGCAGTTTGTTTCCTCATATTGGTTGAACCATGATGATATAGTTGGAATGGTTGTCCCCTCCAAATCTCATGTTGAAATTTGATCCCTAATGTTGGAGATGGGGCCTGGTGGGAGATATTCGGATCATGAGGGCAGATCCCTCACTAATGGCCTGGTGCCCTCCCTGTGGAAATGAGTAAGTTCTCACTCTTTTGGTTCACCTGAGAGCTGTTTGTTTAAAAGAGCATGGCACCCCTCCTTCTCTCTCTGTCTTGCTCCTTTTCTTGCCATGTGACACTCCTGCTCCCTCTTTGCTTCTGCCATGATGCTTCCTGGAGTCCTCACCAGAAGCAGATGCTGGCACCATGCTTCTTATACAGCTTGCAGAACCATGAACCCAATAAACTTCTTTTCTTTGCAAATTACTCAGCCTCGGGTGTTCCTTTATAGCAACACAAAATGAACTAAGACACATGAGCTGCTCATACTCATTTCCAGACCATCCCAGGTGTGCTGTGCTGTTTTTTGCAGAAATATTTCAATATCTCTCTATTTTAAGGCCCCTTTTACTGTTTTTCTTCATGAATGCAGATTTTTCCTGCTATTTTTGTATTTTTAAAATCATTTCATTAGCAAACTGCGAAGGAGGGAAGGCACGACTTGAAATTGCCTTCTTGAACTCCATGTCAGCCTGGTCTCCTGGCATATACTGGGCTGCCTTTCCACAGCCAAGGAGGGTTAATCATTTACCGTTAAAATTAAACCCCTCAGGCTTGCATTTCTGGCATTTTTGTAGCATGATACCCCAAGAGGAATGTATTTCTTTAAATCACACTTCAGCATATTCTAAACAGGATGAAGAATTTGTACTTTTGTCTACAGATTAAATAGCAGAAGAGGTGCCGGCCATGGGAGGACTGTGGGGTGATGATTTTATAATGAATAGCAGAGCAGCAGGCCACAGCAGGCGGTGGCCCATGATCCCACATCATGTTGAGAATGTGAATGCAGAAAAAGCTGTGAAGTTCTCAGGCTTTTCAGAGAGCCACGAGAGCCCAGTTGTCGAGGTGGGAGAGGTGGTATGGCCTGCCATTCATGTTGGAGTTCTCTGCCCGTTGGTATGGACTGACCCCAAATGTGCCAGTCTTGGTCTTTTCATTGCTCATGAGATGATGATCTCTTGGATATTCTCTGCAGAGTTTTGCTGCCCTCCTTGTGCCATCCTGCTGCCTGCTCCTTGCCTAGTTAGTCTCATTAGCACCTTCCCCAGATGGTACAGTAGAGGGACAAAGGGATTGACATGCAAACAGACTGCTTGGCGGAAAGGCTCTTCTGAGTGTCTGCAGGGCCTATTAGTCGCAATGCTAAGTCCCTTTTGCCAGACCTAATCAGGCACCCCCACCCCTGTAAGCCTTTTTTTTGTCTCCTTATTCCATGGCCACTGATTCTAATCTGAGTTCTAACCCAAACCCCAGCCGCCATCTTCCTTGCTCAGGAACGCAAGAGGGCCCAGAGGGGGATGGTTCCCAAAAGCCTATTCTTACTATCTGAAAACAGTTTCCCTCTGTGGGTCAGCAGGAGCCCATTCTGCTCAGTGAACATTATTGTTGCTGCCAACTCTTCATTCTTCCCAGTACACTCTTTGTGTACACAGGAGCTCTCCCGACATGGCTGGACACTCAGGTTCCAAGTTGAGGTGTCTCTCTTTTCCTGAATGTTGGATATGAATGCTAATCTTACAGGTTTTTTGCTCCTAAAATCTAAATTATTGATATTCGTATATTTAAACTGCAAATCATATGAATTTTCCTAGGCAGTTCCGGGAGGTAGAAGTTTTGCTTTTAGAAGGGAATGTGGCCTTTGCAAAGCATGCTCAATATTCATTGCCAACAGCATGAAGGGCTGGAGGGTTTGTCAGAAGCATGTTTCTCAAGTCTCTGGCTTTTCTGCCTGTGTGACAGATAGCAGAATCATTTTGAGAGCTTGACTCCTCTGTTTGCTTTTGCTCATGCCTTCCTAGGGCTCTGTGCCCTGGGGTTGGGCCCCAGCCCACCTCTCCAGCCCCTCTCCCTGTGGAGCTCCAGCCAAACAGGACTTTGTACTATTCTCAGACCCCTCCTTCCACTTTCCCCACACCTTGCTCTGAGCCCTTTACTTGGGGCATCCTATCCCTTGCAGCTCCATCTCTCTGAGGCTCCTTTAGCACCTCCTCTGGGAGGAAGCTTTCCCTGACCCAGTCTGCTCTCTCCAACATGAAGCACTCTCTCTGTCTGCTCTGTGCTGCCTTTGCATTTTGTGCAGACATCTCCTCGAGTACCAGCTGAGTTGGTTTCATCGTTAAGTAGGAATGGTGTCTTGCTTCCCCTACTCTGTGAGCCACTTTGCTTAGTACTGCAGCTTGCACTTTGTAATTTCTGTTGGATGGAGTCAGTTTATAGATTCTTGCTCTCTACCCAGTCTCTACACATTTGTGAGCTTCCACGCACCCTCTCTTGACAATATTATTTTGAAAAAAAAAAATCCATTGCACTGTGACTTATTCCCATGCCATGGAGTGGGACTGGGCTGTCTTCTATAGTGCATTCCTGTGTGAATTCACCACATGCCCAGCACCCTTCTCCCTGCTCCCAGCTTGAACTGTGAGCATCTTGTGTGAAATGGGAGAACTTGCTCAGCACTGGTCTGGGTAGGTAGAGTTTGACACAGCCTGTAACTCCAGCTGGTAAGGACGCTGCACTTGGTCACTGCTGTGAAACCATGTGTCCTTTCTTAAAAACCTTTTCCAGGCTCAAGTGCCATAAAGTTCTGAATTAGTAGTGGATAAATAAGTGGATAAATAGTTCTGAACTTGCCAGTGGGATACATGTAGCCTGCCATTCATTGCCTGTCACCAGCCTTTCCCTGCCTGGATAACCATATAGAACCAGGAAAGAGGAGACGTATTAGTTGATAAGTGGCCCAGGTTACTAGGGGAGGGCCTGTGTTTATAGCCTCCTAGTTGTTGAGAATATGTCAGGAGCTCAGCTTCTGGAAGTTGCTTAGGATTCCTACTGCCAAAGGAAAATGCTTTGTTAGGCTTGAGGGGTAGAATTACTTGTAGAGAAAAGCATTAGTTCTAAATCCTCAAGGATTCTTTGGAAAACAGGAAAAGAGAGATACATGGAGCATCCATAGGAGCCTGTAAGGAGTTGTAACTGGGCCACTGTGCAGTCATGACAGCTTAGCCTCCACAGTGGGTGGTTGTGATTCAGGACAGAGCTGTTGGACACCAGTGTATGTATGCGAGGCACCCTGGACTAGGGGACACAGAGATATTCAACCCCTGGCTAGCTGCTTTCACAACGTTTGTAATCCAGGAAGGGAGGCAAGCTATCTGCCTAAGTGTCGATAATGTTGGGGACCATGTGGGCAATATACTAAAAGGATCCCTAAGGTTTCCATCCTCTGGTTATTCAATCAAACACTAATCTAAGTATGGCTGCAAAGGGATTTTGCCTATGTAGTTAAAGTCCCAAGTCAGTTGATCATCAAATACAGAGATTATCCAGTAGGCATGACCCAAACAAGTAAGCCATTTAAAAGGAGAAAATTGTATCTGGCTCATGACAGATGGGGAAGTCAGAAAGATTTGAAGCACAAAAAGGATTTGATAGGCCATGACCATTGCTGGCTTTGAAGTTGGAGGGGCCATGAGCCAAGATCTGTGAGCAGCCTCCTAACATGGCCCCTGGCCAACAGCCAGCAAGGGCATGGGCACCTGACCTGACAACTGCAAGGATCTGCCAACAACTGGAATGATCTCAGAGGTGGATTCTTCTGCAGGGCCTCTAAGTAATAGCCCAGCCCAGACAACACCTCGATCTTGTCCTTATGAGGCCCTCAGCAGAGAACCTGGTCAATTGTGAGGTAATAAATGGGTGCTGTTTTAAGCTGCTGAGTTGCTACATGGCCATGGAAACTAATATAGATACCATTCTGTTGAGGGCAGTAGCATTCCCTGTGCTGCAGGAGAGCTGAGAAGCTCGCAGCCCATCATGACCATTAAATAGATTTGAAATGGTAGAGCAGTGTTGGATATAGATTTGAAATGGTAGAGCAGTGTTGCAGAGGAGATAATTATAAGTATATTCTTCCTGAGGAAAACACTTTACTCAGCAAGTGAGGAAGAAAGGCCTTCTCTCTGGAGCAAGAATTTAAGGGAGAAGGGGGAAGGGAAGGACTTTCTAATACACTTCGTGTTGTGATTCCACTTTCGTGTTAGTCTCCAAGTGTTTGCAAGAAGCTGAACATCTGCATGTGGCTCCAACTGTGTTCCTAGTGTCGTGGTGGCCCTGGTGAAGTTCAGGCCAGAACAGAATGAGGTACAGCCAGCTGCACCATCGGGGGCCCTCAGAAAGCTTTTCTTTGGAAGAATGGAGCTTTCTGACTCTACCTGAGGGTTAACTCCCTGTTACTAAACTGGAACAAGTTCTACCCTGAGTGACCAGCCATCTCCAGTTGCACTCCCTCCTTCCTGCCTGGAAGCACCGATGGCACACGATTTTTTTCTGAGGGGCTGTTGGATCATTGCCCCCTACCCCTAAAGACAAAATGTAGACCTATCTAGGAGGAGAGAGGAGCTTAAGTGACTGGCAGAAGGGCTACGTGGCCTTAAATGTAACTGTTTCTCAACCTCCTTGGTGTGGGATTCATCTCTCACTCATGACTCTCTCTTTGCTACCACTTTAAAAACAGTGACCATATTGTATATATAGGTGATGGTCCAAATCCACGCACTAGGAGAGTGAAAAGAGGCTGTATTAATGACCGTCCTAGGACAATAGGCAAAAGCTAGGCTGTCCCAGCCAAAGCTGGAAAGTGTGGTCACTACAACCGTGCCTGCCATTAGGGGACCTGTACCTCCTATAACTCCACCAAATATGGATGCAAACCCATTCCCCCGAGTCTCCCAGGAATGGCTGAGAGAGGCTGGAATGATCCAAAGTTCTCTACTAAACCAAAAGGAAAAATTGAAGAGGAATAAAGACATACACAGAAAAGAACTACACAAAAATAAAAATAAAAAGGCAGATGTTCCCAGTCTGGGTTTCTGATCCTGAAACAGCCACAAGCTGGCCACAGTCCCTGCAGATGGCTGACCTCCTGCCCCCTCACTGCCCATCTGCTTCTGTTCGGTGGGTGCCGTCTTATTTTCTGCTTTGGGGAGTGGTCTCCAGACTTCCCAGAGCAGTTGTACTGTGAAAAGTAGTACAGGCTCTGCAGTAAGTCAGGCTGCCCTCTTCAAATCCTGACTCCGCAGTTCTCAGCTGTGAGACAACCGTAACTGGTTACTTAGTGTCTCTGGGCTTCAGTTTCTTTGTGGGACAAATACAGCCTGGCAGGGGCTATAGAGGAGGGGGCATTGCCCACCATGCAGGCAGTAGGAGCTGCATTGTCCACAGGGTATTTAAAAACAATAATAGAACCTACTAAAAGTTAATCTGCTTTTTATTATCATCATGTCCCAGCAATTCTTGGCATATCAATGATCAAATATTTCTCCCCTCTGAAATGAACTGCCCCTAAGGCCCTTCTCCCCGCTGCATCTTGGTGTGCAACCACTGTGACCCACTTCCTAGGGCTGTGTAGATAAAATACTGTAACACATGTAAAACGTTTCAGAATACCTAGCCCTTAGTAGAGTCCTCAGTGAGTAAAGAGTTAATTCCCTTGTCCTTCCTCTTCTGTCAAAGGCCACAGAACATTGTATTAGCCTGAACTATTTGGTTGCAGGTGACAGAACCAAGTGTTAAAGACTTGAACACTGGGAGAAACTTTTCACTGTTTTATGTTTTTACTACTTTCTTGGAGTCAGTTTTGTTCTCCTAGACCCCATTGTCCTTGAAGCTGAATCACTGCTGTTGAAAGAGCCATGCTCAGATTCTCAAAGAGAAAAGAGGGGGAAAGGTGGCAAAGGTCACATTTTGCCTATGGAGGACTCTGATTGGCCTGGTTGGATTCTATCCTAGTCTTGGGACCAATCACTATAGACAAGAGGGTGGGTGAGTTACTATGATTGGCCCAGGGTGTGTCAGGTGCTCAGTCCTCAACCAATCACTATGGCGAGGGAGATGGGATCTTGTAAGAAGATGGCAGCTCTTTTTTTGACTTTCATAATGAAGGATTAGTATGAGAGCTATTTCTCAAGAAAGCATTGTGGTAGAGGAGGTAATGGGTAAATAGAGTAAGAGATGTCTTATGCAACTCTACTGCCCATTCAGAGCTCCCTCTTCTCGTTTGGGAAGAAAATGGTTTGGCTGCAACCGGTGAATTGATGTGTTTGTGCCCTCAGCCACTTATAAACACCTGCCAGAGAGAATGAAGTCTAAGGAAAATGCACCCACCTTTAGTAGTAGAAGGCCCATTCTCTCCCAGGTTCACTGACACAGCTCCAGGCTCCAAAGTTTGTTCAGGAGCAGGCCTCAGGCACACTGGTTGGATCCCTGTCCTATGGCCTGGTGTTTTTTCCTGTGTGCACAGCTGCTGTAATAACTGGGGTCAACCTTTTGAGAATAAGAACACACTGTCACTGGAACAGTGACCAAAGCATCCTCCAGTTCTGGGCCCCCATTTCAGGGGGACACATTTTTGGAACCACATCAAATATTGTCCTTCATGGGGCCATCGTTTTGCTTTGTTTTTGTTCCTAATTATTTTCTCTTGTTTTCTTCCTTTGCCATCTCACTGTTCCTCCTTTTTGAACCAAGATAAGATGTTTCCAGTTTTCTTAAGGATTCTTTTGATGAAATAATTCTAATTTATATTTGTATTTCTCTTGTAGCCTGGGGAGAATTTTTATGTGCACAAAGCCTTCTTTTGTGATCTTATCCAAGACAAACTTCAGATTCTTCTTTTTAAAAAGTTACTACCGACCAAAATAATACTTACAAATCAGCTTACTGCAAACAATTACAGAAGGGCCCTCTGCCCATCAAAAAAGATGCTCTTTTCTGGAATCTTTATATCTTCTGAAGCAGGAGTCAGAGAATGCATTTTTGTGAAGGGACACACAGTAAATATTTAGGATTTGTGGGCCATGTTGTGTTTGTTACAACCACCCAGCTCTGCCATGGTGTATGAAAGTAGCCATAGGCAATAAATAAATGAGTGGGTGTGGCTGTTTTCCAATAAAACTTTATTTACAAAAACAAGTGGTGGACTAGATTTGGGCTGCAGGAAGTACTTTGTTGACTCATGTTATAAAGCATGTTATGCTTTTCAACTGTCTTAGAAAAATTACAGTAAAAAACTTTGAGGTAAGGTGGTCATAATTCTTATTCTCATTTCATGGAGTAGAAAAACTGAGAATCAGTAAAGGTATTGACAGCATAGTTCCCTGTGAGCTTTAGAGGCAGAGTAGGGTTTGATATTAACAGCCTTAAAAATATTCTCCTTATTTGATGCAGGAATGCCATATTTGGAAATCCATCCTAAGATGGTTTGGATTTTTGTTTGTATGTACATGTTCACCCCAGCACCCTTGGCCATAGGAAAAACCTGGAAACAAAGTAAAAGTCTAATAGTAAATTACCTACTCAAAATAATATTAAAAGAGCCTTTAAAATGAGGTTTGTGATGAAATTCTTGAGTTTATGCTAAGTGACATGAAGTAGAAAAATATACACCATGAGGCCTCAGCTAATTAAAATAAAGAACAGGCATGCATAGAAAAAGACTGACCAGAAACGCACCTAAATGTGAACAGTATTCTTCTCTGGAGAAGGTTATCTGGGATTTTCACTTAAAGTGTTCGTGTGCGTGACTTTTCTAAAACGACCATGTTAGTTTTAGAATGAAAATTAAGGAGAAAAACAAGAATAGCAAGTTATTCAATCTTGTAGCCTGAGGCCTTGCTCTGTGCATTATTCCAGAGTGGTCTGAATGCCGTCTCTCCCTCCAGCAGCCAGGAGGCAGGGGCTAACTCCCGGTCTCAGGAGACCCTCCCTGCCTGCGGCTCTCTGTGCCGGGAGCCTGCCAGTCACTTGTACTCTGATTCTCTAAGGGGGTTTGTTGAGCTTTAGTGTGTAGGTCTTGAAATCTGTACATAACCCTTCAAAGTAGGAATGCCTGATTCCATTTTCCAGTTGAAGAAACTGAGGATCCGAGAAATGAAGTGACCTGAACAAACTCTCACAACCCGCATATGGAGGAGCCATGTCTTACATCCTTGCTGCCTTTTTCATTTGAAATAGCGTAATTACTAATTTATCAGCTCACTAATGGGTCTCCTTTGTACATCAAACCCAGAACAATATCTGCTTCCACAGCTTCTGGTTGTGTTGGAAGATTTCTGGGGCCTCTTACAAAGCCAGCCATTGTGCAACTTGAGCCCAAGTGCTCTAACAACTGGGTCCCTGAGCCACAGGGAAGCTCATAGCTCTGTACCAAAAGCAGGATGCTGATAGGACATCAAGAATTCTGACATTAGATTCTCCCTGAATTCAAAGAATGGGGAAGGTGAGAGGACCAGAGTGAGAAAACTAATTGTGGTCCTGGGGGCTGTTTGATTGTACCATTTCAGATGGAGCAGTTATAGATGCCCGCAAGTTCCCAGATGTGGCAGTGGGCATGGCTGGCTGCCCCGGACAGGAGGAAAGCGTGCTCAGAATTGAGGAGGACACGTCCTGAGAGGGAGATGTTAGGTGGGCCTTCCACATGGGTGCTGAAACCATGTAGGGTGATAGCAGGTCTTGGGGTAAAGAGAAAGGCTGTGGGTGCTGTGCTGAAAGTCTAAAATGCAGGAGGAGGAGAGACCCAGAGGTGGGAAGACAACAGAAACAAAGGAGGGGTAGTAGGTGGACGAGGTGGATGACATGAGTCTGGAAGGAGCGTGTCATGCAGGAGTCGGGTTTTGAAGGGCTTCGGGGACTGAGGAAGACAGCAAGACTACCTTTGACCCCATGCCATGTGGGACATGGGAGCATGAGCCTTCTCTCCAGAGGGCATGCTCCAGAGGGCAGGCTGGTTTCTACTGAGGCAGGGAGTTGAGTTGAGTTCAGGGAGTGTCTATAAGGAGGCTGAGTATACAGGAGCTGTCTTACTTCCAAGTGGGTATTCTGGAGGGCACCCAGGGGGTTGGAGATTAGGAGGGAAAGGAGCAGGGGGCTTGGATCAAGGGTGAAGAGTACACATAGGAGAGGTGACCAGGGTGGCCGGTTGTTTAGGCACTGACTAAGGAAAACAGAATGGGAGGCATCATGGGACCAGCCCAGAGACAGGATTACAAAAGAACCAGAGTCCTTCAGACCCAGTGGATGAGGCTGGGGAGCAGGGATTCTAGAAGGAGCCAGCCTTGGCTGGATGGATTGTGCCTCTAGGGATCTGCTGGGAGTCAGCCCGAGGAATCCAGGCCCATGGCTCTAAGCAGAACCCAGGCTTCTGTGGGTCAGGAATGAAGATTAGATTAGGAGCAGTGTAACTGGCAGTAACATCTCTGTTTGCCTCTCTACTGGGAGCCGGTAGTAAGCAAACCCAGCACCCAGGTCTCCTGTGGGATGGAGACTGACTGCCATTCCATGACACTGGGATTCACAACCCAGTGCTGGGGCGATGGCCACTTGATTTTGTACATCTCAACTGCTATTACATTTGTCAAAAATCCAATTTACACACAACCTTGCAGGAACACACCTACTCTATGAAGTCAGGCATGCTTTCAGAGGAGCCTGAAGAGCGGCTTCATTGTGTCCAAGGAAACCGGAGAAGCACACAGAGAAATAAACGTTGAAGCTGTTGTCTCTCAAGGTCATGACAACAGATCATGGAAGTGTGTTTTTTCATTTCCTCATGTTCCACTGCTCATGTGCTACGCAGCTGGGATTTATTTTCAGAGCACACTTTGGAATCTGCCAGACCCTCATGCTGGCCTGCTTCACAGCTGAAACCATTTGCCATTTGGTAGATGATAAAGCAAGTGACAATTTACACTAACATGGCCGTAAAAAGATGCCGTCTGTGAAGGAGACAGACAGGTGTCAAACCTGGGGCAGCAGACAGCGCAGAATCAGCAGACGCCCAGGACCTCCCCTGCACAGGCTGCGCCAGAGCTCTCAGCACACTGAGTCAAACCATTCCACTGAATAGAATTCTGGTCTACACATCCTGCTTAAAGATGTACGTACCAGTAGTCAGCATGGTGGTGATTGCTGGGTCTTTGTAGAGCGCCATGCAGTCTGCAGAGCCCTGGTCCATGTGAGAAGGGAAGGCTGCAAGTGTTGAGGGGAGCAAGCTGACCAGGCACAGTCCTAGACCATGTGTGCAGGATAGTTCTAGCACAGCGTGACAGAGCCGGCCCAAGGAGAGCACAATATGCTGCAGAGTGCAGCGAGGAAGGTGACCATCCTCTCTTGCATGTATTTTCACTCCCCCACACCTTCCTCCATTTGGAGCAGTGGGACGCAGGCTTGGGGAGGGTGACTTCTTCAAGGCCCTTTTGATTTCAAATGATAGAAACCCTTATGAAACGCTGTCTGCTGCAAAGCCGCAGCTCTCCAATCCCTTTCTCACTCTTCCTGGCTTTATTGTTCTTAGCTGTTGTCTCAGTGTAACAATCTGTTCTGTTTGAGTCTATTCTCATCGACTTTAGTCTGTTCTCTTCTTTGTTGTTGTTGTCCGCTCTCTCATCCTCTAGGATATAATGGCCTTTGCCTGTTTAATTCTTTGTGCTTACATTAGTGTCTCTCACATATTGTCCGGGCTAAATGAATATTTGTGAAGTGATGGCTGAGGTGACACCTTGGGTAAGTTGTGATAAAAAGTAGAAGTCAGCTAAGCACAGTGGCTCACGCCTGTAGTCCCAGCACTTTGGAGGCCGAGGCAAGAAGAATGCTTCAGCCCAGGAGTTCAAGACCTGACTGGGCAACATAGTGAGTCCTTGTCTCTACAAAAAATAAAAAAACAAGCTGGGCATGGGGGCACACGTCTGTAGTCCCAGCTACTTGGGAGGCTGAGGTGGGAGGATTGCTTGAGCCTCAGAGGTCAAGGCTGCAGTGAGCTAAGACTCCACCACTGCACTCCAGCCTGGGCTACAGAGTGAGACCCTGTCTCAAAGAAAAAAAAAAAAATGGAAATCAGGCAAAGGGAAGGGGATTGCTCAGGGAGGGGAAGTGGCTGGGAAGGGCCAGGGATGAGAGAGTGGCACACTGGGGAGCTGTGAGTCCTTCCGGGCAGCAGCAGGGGCCTGCGTGGAGTGGTGGGATGGCATAGGGTGAGGAGGGAGTATGAGAGGAGGGCAGGGGCCGGACTTTGGAGGCCTTTTATACTGGTCTGCGGGACTTGGATTTTCCTGACAACTAAGAGTGGAGAACATGAAAGGTTCTCAAGGAGGAGTGTGACGCGATCATTTGATCTAAGCCTGCCAGGAAACACATTTGTCGCTTGCCTCCTGTGTGCGAATCACTTTTATGTATGTTGTATCACAATAATCCTGAAAGCAAGATCTTGCTCTTTCATTTTTTGCAATAGAGAAAACCATGGACCAGCGAGTCTGAGTGACTGGCGTCACATAAATGGTAGAGCCATAATCGTTTTTGTGTTTTAAGTGAAGAATTCTGGTAGCAGTACAGAGGCTGGAATGAAGGGGACAAGACCAGAGGAAGTGATGACTGCCCTTTTTCAGCCATCCATCCAGAAATGCAGTGAGGGGGACAGATGTAAGGTGGTAGCACTTCAGAGGCAGGAAGTGCACAGGCCAAAGATACACAGGAAGTAGAATTGATGGAATATTGGTGACTGATCAGATGTTGGAGTTTTTCATATTCATTATTTAATAAGCATTTATAGAGCCAAGCATAATTGTAGTCACTTTGTAATATTAATTCATTTAATGCACACAAAAACTATCTAAAGGAAGTACTATTATTATCTTCATTTTTACCAATGAGGTAGCTGAAGCACAGAGGTGTTAGGTAACTTGCCCAGGGTCACACAGTGAGTGAAGGAGGCAGGACTTAAAGCTAGGTAGTCCAGCTCCAGAGTCTATGCTCTTACCTACTAAATTTCTAGTTTGAGCAACTGGGTAGTGGTGGTGCCAATGACAAAGATAGGGGACTGTGGAGAAAGGGCAGCTTTGGACAGGAAGAAGAATTTGCTTTTGGACCTGAGGAATGTGAGATGTCAGTGAGATGCCCAAGAGACAGTTGTACATGTAAGAGCTTCCAAGAGAGGTCTGGCTGTGTTAAAGAAAAAATGATTCCCAACATTTGTTGTTTTTTTTTTTTTTTTTTTTGAGACGGAGTCTTGCTCTGTCGCCCAGGCCGTACTGCGGACCGCAGTGGCGCAATCTCGGCTCACTGAAAGCTCCGCTTCCCGGGTTCATGCCATTCTCCTGCCTCAGCCTCCCGAGTAGCTGGGACTACAGGTGCCCGCCACCGCGCCTGGCTAATTTTTTGTATTTTTAGTAGAGACGGGGTTTCACCTTGTTAGCCAGGATGGTCTCGATCTCCTGACCTCATGATCCACCCGCCTCGGCCTCCCAAAGTGCTGGGATTACAGGCGTGAGCCACCGCGCCCGGCCCCAACATTTGTTAAAAACTATAAAGAAGATTCCATTCAAGGGATGCCATGTCAAGAGGTGCAGGCACCACTGCACTGTGGTCTTGCATGCTAGGAGAGAGTGGACCCAATTCCAACAAGGATAAGTGAGGGTTTAGAAGCAAGAAGCAAGAATCAAGGTGGCAGCAGGAGGCAGTGGGTGGAGAATGACTAAAAGGAAACATCAGAGGTTGGGGGATTCCGGTTAGACTCAATCATCAGAATCCTTGCTGAGGACAGTGCAGGGTGGTAGATATCAAGGGTGTCAGATACCGAGGGTGGGGGATTCTCACCAAACTAAGTTAGGATGCTTGCTCAAATTGGGTTCTGCAAGGACAGAGAGGGAAGCTCAAGGTTAGGCCTAGACAGGCAGAGGACTCACAGGAGGCCGATTGAGTTTCGGTCAAAGGAAGGAGGCTTTATCAGCTGGAGATGGACATCTTGATGTCCTCAGTATGTAAGAGGTGGTGAAGTGGAAAGTCGCCAAGGGTCCCTGGGAGAGAGTGAGAGAGAGAAGGGCCAAGGCCCAGCCCTGAGAATGCCAACATGGGGTGGGGAGGAGCTGGACTGAGGAAGAGGGGCTGCCCCAAGGATAGGCTGGAGAAGGTGGTGTCCCAAGGCAAGAATGTTCCAAGGGACTGGCCAAGGATAAGGACAAGGTGGAGAGGGGCTGAAGAGTGTGTATCAAATTGGGCCACATAGAGAGCCCTTGTGGCCTGGGCTGGAGCAGCTGCCATGGAGCTGTAGTGGGTGGAGGCCCAATACAGTGGGTACAGTGGGCTGGACACCAAAAGGGGGCAGTGAGTGTGGACAGAACCCTCCAACCACAGATGCAGAGAGAGGATAAGAGCTTCAAGGCCAGAGAAGATCTTTTGCTTGTTTGTTTTCCCCTAAGATGGAAGAGATTTGATGGTGTTTAAATACTGGAGGAAGTAGACAGTAGGGAGGGGAGAGGGTAGAAATAGCCACGTGGGAGGAGGTCAGTTGATGGCCCAGAACCCCGTGGGGGGTGGGAGCAGAAATGCACTGAGGTTCACTGCTTCTTCCTCTGAGGTAAGAGCAAGGTGGGGGATGGATGCAGAAAAGTGGGAGGGACAGAGATGTGTGTGCAGGCGGTGAGGGAGAGGAGGGACTCGGGGATAATGTCTGGTTTCTGACTTAGATTTCCATGCAGATGGCAGTGCCCTTGCTGATGTTTAGGGAGGGTTTGGGGAAGAGTGGGTGAAGCTGCTTTTGCGGTGCATGGTCAGCTGCTGATGGTGTGGCCCTGGGGCTAAGGAAATGAAGAGGTTGATGCTAGAGGTGTAGATATAGTACGGTCATTGGCATCCAGAGGTGACTGTCAAAACCTGGGTGTGGATAAAATTGCATAGGGAACATGTACAGTGAGAAGAGAAGAAGGCTGAGGTTGGAGCCTCCAGGGAGAAAGGAGCAGAGAGGAGAGAGGAATCGGGAGCGCTCTGTCCGAAGCCAGGGGAGGGCAGATGCTTGAGAAGGGAGCAGTGCGCGGTCGCATAAAGCCCAGCAAAGCAGTTGGATCAAACAAAGGAAAAACGTGTTTTAGATTTAGCAGTAAGGAAGTTGGTGACCTTGGTAAATGCCTTTTCCATGGAGTGGTGAGGGAGAGAGCCAAATTGGAGTGACTGCAGGCGACGGAATCCAGCAAAGCAGAGACAGCAAGTGTAGACGGCTCTGAAGAAACAAAGCATTTTGAACTGTATGGATTTCATCACTATGTGAGTTTCTTGCCAAAGAATGTTGGGAATTCCAAGACACAAACAATTTGCACAGCCACACTTGTCCTCATTTGGCAGAGCATTTGGAGAAAGCACTCCCCGAACTCCCTCCTCCATCTCCCAACCGAAGGCAGAGGCTTACGTAACTGTCCTTCTCTCTCTCTTAGGCCGGATCTTGGACCTGAAGACTGGGACGGTCAAGAAAGAAGGGCAGCAGTCATCCATGAGGATGTGCATGGGCTCGCGGCGGTCTTTCATCTGCAGGATGAGGTCTGTTTTGGGGGAGCAGCAGGCCATCAGGTGGTTGGTTTGCTCCTTTTTCTGTCACCGTTAAGAGCCTTGACCAGCTCTGCCGCAGTCACACATGCCAACGTGGGTTCACTCCAGGGACTTCGTCTTCTTGACCTCAGCATGCAGATATACAGGATCCTTGGTTTAGGAAGGATTCTCTCTATCCTCCTACCATCCCACTTTGTCTAATTTCCTACCATTTTCTTCTCATTCCTAGATTTACACCCTCTTGTCCACTGTATCACTCTACTTCCTACCCATCTTTAAGACCCTTCTCCAATCCAACCTCTCCAAGATTCTGTAGTTCTCAACATGTTTTATATTAAGATGCCTGATTTCACACTTATTCATATATTTCCTGTCACAATTCACACATTTACTTGGTCTCTATGATATTGTTGATTGATATGTTAAATGTAAATGTCTGGGTTCCATGAGTAAATTATAGTGCCTTGAGGATGAAGGCTTTGATTGAGACTTCTCTGAGCCTCCCTGACATCTAGCAGAGTCTTCTACATATATTTGATTTGTACATCATAATTGAAGAAATGCAGGAATGAATGAACTTTGGAGAAAGCAGGGGAATTTTGCCATGTCGTTGAAGAAGAGAGAGCTGGGATCTTGAATCCTCCAGTCCAGTTCAGCACCTCTGTACCTTCAACCCTGTGCCCCCTGAGGGATGGTTGACATGAACTGCAAGGTGGGAGGTGCAGGACAGAGAATTGAGATTGTTTGGGCTGTGGAGTTCATGAGGCAGTGATGTGAGGTGATGCCACTCATCATTCATTTATTTAGTTATTCAACACATTTATGTTAAGGGCCTACCTGTGCCACGTGCTCTTCAAGGTGCCCGGGAGTCAATGTTAAGTAAAGCAAACAAGGCCGGGTGTGGTGGCTCATGCCTGTAATCCCAGCACTTTGGGAGGCTGAGGTGGGCAGATCACCTGAGGTCAGGGGTTTGAGACCAGCCTGGCCAAAATGGTGAAACCCTGTCTTTATTAAAAATACAAAAATTATCTGGATGTGGTGGCACACACCTGTAATCCCAGCTACTCAGGAGGCTGAGGTGAGATGATCGCTTGAACCCAGGAGGCGGAGGTTGCAGAGAGCTGAGATCGCGCCACTGCACCCCAGCCTGGGTAACAGAGTGAATCTCTGTCTCAAAAAAAAAGAGACTAAAATAATAATAATAATAATAATAAAGCAAACAAAACCCCTGCCTGCATAGAATTCATTTTAGTAGGGGTGATACAAAGTAGACAAAAGTACCAAGTAAATATATGGAACATCAGATGGTGGTGAGTGCTATGGAGGAAACATAAAGCAAACTTAAGTGGGAGTAGGAAATAGCAGATTTCGTTAATTTCCATGTTATATAGGGTGGGAGGGGAAGACATCACTGATAAGGTGACTTTTGAGCAGAGACCTAAAGAAAGTGAGTGAATGAAACAAGGGAATGTCTGGGCAAAGAGAAGGGCAAGTAGAGGGAATAGCAAGTGCAAAGGCCTGGAGGCAGGGATGGTCTTGGCATGTTCAAGGAACAGTGAGAAGGTCCTTGTCTCAGAAGCAGAGTGAATGGGGTACGGTGCAGGAGGAATGGGCAGAGATGTGGTTGAGAGGTAGTGGATGTTAGGTCGTGTTGACTTTACATCGCTTCAGCTTTTACTCTGCATGAGATGAGAGGTCCCTGAAGTTGACTGTGAGAGTTACATGTTCTGAATAACATTACTAAAAACTGCCCCGGTTTTCTGTGGAGAGTAAACCTGTGGACAAAGAAGAAGGGTAGAAGTAAGGAGGTTATTGCAATGATTCAGGTGAGAAATGTGATTGTGGTAGAAAGTGCTCAGATTTTGAGTGTATTTCACAGACGGAGCCAGCCTTCAGGCAGGGTGTGAGGAAAAGAGAGAAGTCAAAGGTTCCGCTAAAGTCTTTGCCCACTCAGTCGGAAAAACTGAGTTGTCATTCTCTAAGATGGAAAAGGTTGTTGGGGGGAGCTGGTTTGGGGTTGAGGGGAATTCCAGCATTTTAAGGTTAAGATGCCTGTCTATAAGAAACTTAAACAAATTTACAATAAAAAAACAAGCAACGCCATAAAAAAGTGGGCAAAGGACGTGAGCAGACACTTTTCAGAAGAAGACATACATGCGGCCAACAATCATATATAAAAAAAAAGCTCAATATCACTGATTATTACAGAAATGCAAATCAAAATCAAAATGAGACACCATCTCACACCAGTCAGAATGGCTCTTATTAAAAAGTCAAAAAGGGCCGGGTGAGGTGGCTCATGCCTGTAATCCCAGCATTTTGGGAGGCCAAGGCGGGCAGATCACGAGGTCAAGAGATCAAGACTATCCTGGCCAACATGGTGAAACCCCGTCTCTACTAAAAATAGAAAAATTAGCTGGGTGTGGTGACGCGTGCTTGTAGTCCCTGCTACTCGGGAGGCTGAGGCAGGAGAATTGCTTGAACCTGGGAGATGGAAGTTGCAGTGAGCCGAGATCATGCCACGCACTCCAGCCTGGCAACAGAGCAAGACTCCATCTCAAAAATAAATAAATAAATAAATAATAAAAATTTAAAAAGTCAAAAAATAACAGATGCTGGTGAGGTTGTGGAGAAAAAGGAATACTTACACAGTATTGGTGGGAATGTAAATTAGTTCAGCCATTGTGGAAGACAGTGTGGTGATTCCTCAAAGACCTAAAAAGAGAAGTACCATTTGACCCAGCAATCCCATTCCTGGGTATATACCCAAAGAACTATAAATCATTCTGTTATAAAGACATATGCATGCATATGTTTATTGCAGCACTATTCACAATAGCAAAGACATGGAATCAACCTAAATGGCCATCAGTGATAGACTGGATAAAGAAAATGTGGTACGTATACACCATGGAATACTATACAGTCATAAAAAAGAAAAAGATCATGTCCTTTGCATGGATGTGGATGCACCTGGAAGTCATTATTGTTAGCGAATTAACACAGGAATGAAAAACCAAATACCGCATATTCTCACTTACAAGTGAGAGCTAATGATGAAAACTCAGGGACACATGGAGCAGAACAACACACGCTGGGGACTTTCAGAGGGTGGAGGGTGGGAGGAGGAAGAACATCAGGAAAAATAACTAATGGGTACTAGGCTTAATACCTGGATGATGAAATAATCTGTACAACAAAGCCCATGACACGAGTTTACCTGTATAACAAACCTGCACTTGAACTTAAAAACTAAAAAAAAAAAGATGCCCACAGACACCTAGACGGAGAAGATGAGCAGACAGTTGGACATGTAGTTCTGGAATCCAAGGAACAGGTTGGGGCTGAAGATATGGACCTGGGGATTGACATCAATAAAATGGTATCTAAGGCCTCAAAACTGAGATGCATGTGAAATCTCGTGGGAGGTGGGTATAGACAGAGGAGAAGACAGAGGACTGAGTCCTGGGGCTTTCCTGCCTCAGGGGGTTGGGGAAGAACCAGCAAAGGAGACTGAGAAGGAGCAGAGAGGCAGGTGGGAGGGGAAGAAGAGAGGGCAAAGGGAACAAGAGAGGGCGAAGGAAGTTTCTGGAAAAAAGGAGTTATCAAAGGCCAAAGGCTACTGATGAGCCCTGAATGTGAGCCCTGAATGTCCATCACTGGACCTCAGAGAGAGAACCAGCAGGAGATATGGCATGTAGGATATACGGCACGTAGCAGCACAATGGAACCACTTACTAATGTCACCCTCACCTAATTGCGTGCCACAGGATCTGTGACTTGCACTGGGGCGTCCGTTGCGTACTATGAATTTCCAAACAATAGGTGCTTTAAAATAAGTATCTATTTTCCCTAATTTAAAGTAATCTTTTAAAGCAACTACACTTTTTAAGCAAAACCTGTTTATGTACAGGCTGGTTGGTCTCCCTCAGATCACCAAGGTTGCCTGTGCTGAGGGGAGACCTGCTTCTCTCACCCACTCCTTGGGCTCTGAGAACTGGCAGAGACCATTTGTTCTGTTTTACGAGAAATGGCCCTTCAGGGATTTGAGCCTCGCTGTTCTTTTCTCTGAGTCTCCTCCTCTCGAGGCTGAGCCTCTGGAATTCTTGAAGGCACAGATGAAATCCTCTTCACCACCTGCCTCAGGTCACAGGATGGTGCTGGAATGACAGAAAGCACGCATGTCTCCATTTAACTTAGGACTGGGTCCCCACAGACTGCCTGCCCCTCTTTCAGCAGCAGGGGCAAGCTGGGCAGTGGGATCCACTTGCATTGCTGTGCATCCAGAGATGAAATGCCATCAGTTAGTGTAGTCAGTCACGGCATGTTTGTCCTGCAGTGCTTCTGTGAATAAATGCCTATCCTAGCTTAGTAGACATTGAGTAGAGCACCAGCAATACAAATCTTAATGGTACCATCTAAGCAATTCCCTTATGAATAAATTGATTGAAAGTGCCATAGTATATCATTTCCATTAGCCCATAAAGCCATTATCACTGCCCCGTCAATGAAATTCATGCAGTCCCTTCCCTGCCCTAGTGTCCTTCCAGGGAGCGTGATATTGGTTGCTCTTTGAAGTGCCAGGTCCATACTGCCTGTGTTTACCTGAGAGGTGGGCAGTGCTGCCATCTACTGAGAACATAACATTTTCCTCCAAATGAAACAGCTATTTTCAGTAAAGCACTGGGCACAGTCAGCCAGAAAAGGGCAGAGGGCCAAACATTGCTGGGCAGCAATGACATGGGGTGAGCCTCCTGTGAAGACCACACTAGTGCTGGCAGCTGTCTAAGGTCTCAGAGTATAACTAGACTCTTATCCCTGCTGTATTGAAAATTAAGATATTCAGGATATCATTTGTGATGTAGTTGGGAAATGGAAATGCACATAAAAAATGGATATACCAAGCAGCAGTCAGAGCCTGGCCATGGTGCAGGCTTTGGGTGTTCAGCACCTGAGATGCTGAGAGGATCATTGTAAAGGGAGGCAGGAAAGGTTGTCCCAGAGTGTACAGTGTGATGCCACCATCCCCTGCCTCCCAGATGGGGACTCACAGAAAGACCGGATTCTCTACCTGTTTATCTCTCATCCCCACGCTCTCCTCTGCCATCAGCAGACTTCCAGCTGTCTGGTTGTCCCTAGTGCTAGAACAGTGTATGGGAGGAGAGAGTTTCCACAGCTGTGATGCTAAAGCCTGAGAAGATGTTACTGTTCATTAACTGGCAACATCTGTTTTAAGTTGATGTCACTGCTCAGGCCTGAAGGGACATTATTGCTGTCATCACCCTCTTCCCTTCTTTCCTAAAAGCCATGGAGTTCCACTGAAATGATCTGCAGGACTGAGCATGGCCAGGTCTCTCCTAGAGTCTTTCTGTAGGTCTCCAGCTCCTGGACTGGGCCCTGAAACAATTTCAGTGTGTGTTGTAATGTGGGTCACACTCTCCTTTCTTCAGTCACAAAAAAAAAAAAAAAAAAAAATCAAAGGCATGCAGGTCTGCTTCTGCACTTTTGAAGAAAATTGGCTATAGGCGTCACCTGAATAAATGTGTAAGCATCAATTAAGGCTCATCTACTTGATGGCAGCACCATATATTGAATAAACTTGCCTGGGTCTTTGCTCATTCTAATACACTTGTCACATCTTAGGTGTGGAAATGCTCCTTTGGACCACCTTCCTCTAAACAGAATAACCACCATGAGGAAAAGGTTCAGGTCAGTATCTCTTCCGATGTATATTTTGGGACTGTTCTGGTAGATAGTCTAAACACCCTAAGCTAAGCAGCCTAGATTAAAGAAGGGGCTTAGTGTGGTGAGGACCAAGAGAACCAGACATCAGGGTGGCAGTGGCAGAGATGAGAGAGAACAGGGAGTTGGGTGGAATTTATTTTTGATTTTCAGACCATGTGGGAGGAAGGAACACAGGATGGTGAGGAGTCAAGATTCAAAACCACAAAGGCAGACAAGGGAACCCAGTAGCTTAGATGCCAGAGGAGTCATCAACATCCTTGCCTCACCCTCATGTGATGAAAACAATTTCACAAATGTTCTTTTTTAGGAATGGCCTTGGCCCTGTGAAAGAAGGAGAAGCCCAATATGCTGTGGTCCACTGTACAGGATACATCAAGGCCTGGCCACCAGCAGGTAAGGAGACCTGCATGTAAATTCCACGGGAACTGGGTGCTGCTCATACCTGACCATGGTGTCCTGTTAGAGAAGTATTCTCATAGGAATAGGTAGGAAAATATTCTTATTTTTCTTTGTGGTTAGAACACAATGATCTTTGTAATTGGAAAACATCCTGCTACTTGAAACAAAGGTTTCTGTAAAGAGCTAATTGTGCAACCAGACGCAGTGGCTCACGCCTGTAATCCCAGCACTTTGGGGGGCCAAGGCGGGTGGATCACGAGATCAGGAGATGGAGACCACCCTGGCTAACACAGTGAAATCCTGTGTCTACTAAAAATACAAAAAATTAGCTGGGCGTGGTGGCGGGCGCCTGTCGTCCCAGCTACTTCGGAGGCTGAGGCAGGAGAGTCGCTTGAACCCAGGAGGCAGAGGTTGCAGTGAGCCAAGATTTCGCCACTGTATTCCAGCCTGGGCAACACAGCAAGACCCCATCTCAAAAAAACAAACAAACAAACAAAAAACAAAAAAACCCACAACTAATTGTACAAAGGTGATTGGAGTCTTAGCAACTTGTTTCTAGGTTCTGTCACCCAGAGCATTCTATAAAGTCAGAGTGGCAATTTGAAATGATGAGTGTATCTAAATCATTACAGAAATGCAAATAAAAGCCACACTGAGATACATCGTATTCTCACTAAGATGGTTAAAAGACAGGTAACAACAAATGTTGATGAGAATGTGGAGCAACTGGAATCCTCATACATTGCTGGTGGGAATATAAAATAGCATAGCCACTTGGGAAAACAGTTTGGCAGTTCCTGAAAATATTAAAAACAGAGTTACCATATAATTCAGCAATTTTCACTCCTAAATATACAACCAAGAGAATTGAAAATGTTCATAGCAACATCATTCATAATGGCCAAAAAATGGAAACAACTCAAATGTACACCAAGTGATGAATAGATAAATAAAATGTGGTATATTCTTGTAATGGAATATTATTCAGGAATAAAAAGCAATGAAGTATTGATACATGCTATATTATGGACAAATCTTAAAAATGTCATGCTAAGTGAACAGAGTCAGACACAAAAGGCCACATATTATATGATTTCATTTATGTAAAATGTCCAGAATAGGCAAATTCATGAAGACAGAAAGTAGATTTGTGGTTTCTTGGTACTGCAGGGAAGAATGAGGAATGACTGCTAATGGATACAGTGTTTCTTTTGGGGGTGACAGAGGTGTTCTAAAATTACATAGTGGTAATAGTTGCACTGCTATGTAACTATATTAAAAACCACTGATGTGAATTATATATCAATAAATTTGTTCCTAAACCAAAAAAAAAAAAAAATACAATGTTAAACAATTTTTTGTTCACTTTATGGCCCAGAATGTAGTATATATATCTCAGTAACTATTTCATGTCAGCTTGAGAACAATGTGTATACTGCTGTTGTTGGATGAAGTATTCTTTTTTTTTTTTTTTTTTGAGACGGAGTTTCACTCATTACCCAGGCTGGAGTGCAAAGGCATGATCAGGGCTCACTGCAACCTCCACCTCCCGGGTTCAAGCGATTCTCCTGCCTCAGCCTCCTGAGTAGCTGGGATTACAGCCTCCCACCACCACACCCAGCTAATTTTTTGTATTTTTAGTAGAGATGGGGTTTCACCATGTTGGCCAGGCTGGTCTTGAACTCCTGACCTCAGGTGATCCACCTGCCTCGGCCTCCCAAAGTGCTGGGATGACAGGCGTGAGCCACCGCACCCAGCCAGATAAAGTATTCTTTAAATGTCAATTTGATCAAGATGATTGATAGTGCTGTTGAGGGCAACTATGTTTTTATTGACTTTTTTGCCTGCTCAATGTAGCAATTACTGAAGGAGAAATGTTGAAATCTCCAATTATAAGAGTGGATTTTCCTGTTTCTCCTTGTAGGTCTTTTTTTGCGTCACGTATTTTGATGCTGTGTTGTTTGGTGCACATATGTTAGGGATTGTTATATTTTCAAAGAAAAGTGTTCCTTTTTATCCCTGATAATTTTCCTTGCTCTGAATTCTGCTTTGTATGAAATTAATAGAGTTTCTTCAACTTTCTTTTAATTACTGTTAGCATGGTATATCTTTCTCTATCCTTTTACTTACAACTTAACTGTGCCTTTATATTTAAAGTTGGTTTCTTGTAAACAACATATAGTTGGATCTAGTTTTTTAATCCACTCCCATAATCTTTTAACTGATACATTTAGACCAGTTACATTTAACATGATTATTGATATAGTTTGATTGATAGCTACCATGTTTTCTATTCATTGCACTCATTCTTTGTTTCTTTGCCTCTTTTTTTGCCTTTTTTAAGTTTCTTTAAAAATATTTTTATTCTTTGCCCTAAGTTTGCAACATACATTTACAATTATTATATACAATTACAAATATATATATATATATATATATATATATCCATGTTCAAAAAATATTATGCCACTTCATGTATAGTGCAGGCACCTTATAATAAAATCTTCCTTCTTCTGTCTTTTCATTTCTTATACTATTGCTCTCATTCATGTCACTTATGTGAATGCTATCATCACCCAATACATTGTTACTGTTATTGCTTTGAACAAACAGTTATCTATTAGATCAATTTAAAATAAAATGTTTTATTATATCTTTATTTATTCCTTCTCTGATGCTCTTCTTCCAAGGAACTTATTTTAGTATTTCTTACAGGGCAGCATTACTGGTGATGAATTCTGTTTTTGGTTTTTTGTAGAAAATGTTTATTTCTCCTTCACATTTGAAGGATTGAAATTATGAGATATGGAAATATAGGTTGGCAGCTACTTTGTTTCAGTGCTTTAAATATTTCACTTCATTCTCTTCTTGTTAACATGGTTTCTGAAGAGAAGTCCACATAATTCTCATCCTTGTTCTTCTATAGGTAGTGTGGGATTATTTTTTCTAGCTTCTTTTAAGAGTGTCTCTTTATGTTTGGTCTCCTTCAGTTTGAATATAACATGCCTAAATATAGAGGGGTTTGTTTGTTTGTAATACTGCTTGGTATTCTCTGAGGCTCCTGGATCTGTGGTTTGATGTCTCTCATTAACTTTGGACATTTTTCAGACATCATTTAAAAAATATCTCTTCTGCTCCATTTTCTCTTTCTTCTCTTTTGTATTCCAATTACACAGATATATCTTTTGAAATTGTACCACAATTTTTGAGTGTTCTGGTTTTTTTTTTTTTTCATTCTTTTTTTCTCTTTGCATTTCAGTTTGGGAAGTTTCAAATTGATATATCTTCAAGTTCACTGATACTTTCCTTGGCTGTGTTCAGCCTACTGATGAGTCTATCAAAACTCTCCTTGACTGTTTTCAGTTTACTGATGAGTCTACCAAAGGCCTTCTTCATTTCCATCACAGTGTTTTTTAATTTGAGCATTTCTTTTTTATTCTTTCTTAGAGTTTCCATCTCTCTGCTTTTTATTATCCATCTGTTCTTGCATATTGTCTACGTTTTCCATGAGAGTTTATAAGTTATTAATCACAATTATTTTAAATATTTTGTGATTTCATAATGTGTTTCACACCTGAGTCTGGTTCCAGTGCTCACTTTGTCTCTTCAAACTATGTTTTTTTTCTAGCTTGTTAGTATGCCTTGTAATTCTTTGTTGAAATCCAGACATGTTGTATCAGATAATAGGAACTGAGGTAACTAGGCCTTTGGTGTGGGGTTTTATATTAATGTTCCTAGGAGTTGGGCTGTGTTTAATGTTTTAAATATTGTAGCTATAGGTTCCAGAGGCTATAAATTCCTTTCATGTTCTTGTTTTTCTCTCCTACTACCTTTGGTTTTCCGAAGAACTTTTTCTTTTTCTATTCTTTTTTTTTTTTTTTTTTTTTTGAGATGGAGTCTCGCACTGTCACCAGGCTGGAGTGCAGTGGTGCAATCTCAGCTCACTGCAACCTCTGCCTCCCAGGTTCAAGCAATTCTCCTGTCTCAGCCTCCGAAGTAGCTGGGACTACAGGTGTGCACCACCACAGCCAGCTAATTTTTGTATTTTTAGTAGAGGTGGGGTTTCACCATGTTGGCCATGGTGGTCTCAATCTCCTGACCTGGTGATCCTCCTGCCTTAGCCTCCCAAAATGCTGGGATTATAGGCAGGAACCATGGCTCCTGGCTCAAAGAGCTTTTTCTTAAATAGTCTTAAATAGAGTATGCCTTGCAGCTATTTGAGCCCTGTTGATGTGGGATGAGGAGTTGGGGGAGAGAAATTGTTCTGTAATCTTATGATTAAACCTCATGGGCCTATGTCCTGGGGCTGTGACCTTCACAAGTGTTTCTTGTCTCTCCCTCCCCTTAGGCCATATGGGAAGGATAGAGTTGGGCTGGAATTGAGTAACTCCTCTTTTCCGTAGGTGAGATAAGGTTCTGGTAAAGTCTTTTCTCTTAGAGAGTAGGTCTTTGTTATGGAGAATGCTCTGGACATATTTCAAAATGGTTACTTTTTATCTCCCCCTACCAGAGATTGGGGGGGTGATTTTTCTTGGTTTTTCACTGTGAGAACCTGGTGGGTTCCTGGAGGGAAAACCCATGAAAGTGTGGGGGCCCATTTTTGTACATTTTAAAACACATTAATAATACATTCATATAGTAAAGTTAAAAATATTGTTTCATTCATTCATTCAACACGTATTTGTTGACCACCTACAATGTATGTGCGAGGCATTGTTCCAGGCACTGTAGATATTATAGTGCATGTAAATCAGTGAAAATGACCACGGCAAGTCTCAATCATTTTAGGAGATTTATTTGCCAAAGTTGAGGAAATGTGCCTGGGAGATACGTATATGCCTTTCTCCAAAGATGATTTTGAGGGCTTCGATATTTAAAGGGAAAAGGGTGGATATGGGGGGAAGAGGAATACATTTTTAAAAGGTGCAGGTAGATAAGAGACAAATAGTTGCATCCTTTTGAGTCTTTGATCAGCCTTTCACTGAATATACAATTGGTGGGGGCAGGGGGCTGCGGTAAATAGTCACTTTTGCCTTCATCTGGCTCAGTGACAAGCCAGATAACATAAACAGTAGAGCAGAGGAAGCAATCAGATATGCTTTTGTGTCAGGTGAGCAGAAGGATGTCTTTGAGTTCTGTCCTTTGTCTCACACCTGTGAAGATAAGCTGTCAATTTTCATTGCCAGGGTGAAATTCACCAGAACTGTTTTAGGGTAAAGATTTGGGGCCTACAAGGAATTTCCTTATGAACAAATTGTGGGGAGGTATGTAGCTTTTTTTTTTTTTTTTTTTGAGATGGAGTCTTGCTCTGTCATCCAGGCTGGAGTGCAGTGGCGCAATCTCTGGTCACTGCAAGCTCTGCCTCCTGGGTTCACGCCATTCTCCTGCCTCAGCCTCCGAGTAACTGGGACTACAGGCACCTGCCACCATGCCCGGCTAATTTTTTGTATTTTTTTTTTTTTTTTTTTACTAGAGATGGGGTTTCACCATGTTAGCCAGGATGGTCTTGATCTCCTGACCTCATGCTCCGCCCGCTTTGGCCTCCCAAAGTGCTGGGATTACAGGTGTGAGCCACCGTGCCTGGCCGCTTTTTTTTTTTTTTTTAAATCTTTGTACCTATCTTATTTAGGAACCAAATGGAAGGCAGGTTTGCATGACCCAGTTCCCAGTTTGACTTTTCCCTTTGGATTAGTGAGTTAGAGTTCCTGAGATTTATCTTCCTTTCACATGCGCAAAATAGACACAATTCTGTATTCTGAAGATAAAAATGGACAATAAACAAGATGCATAATCAAATATACAGTACCTTAGATAGTTCATGCTGAAGATGTAGACTCAAGAGTCATCAGTGTACACACGGTTATTAAAGTCGTAAACCTCTGTTTACCTCTGGGGAGAAAGGAAGCAGAATGGTATCAGGAAGCCCTCCAATTACACTGGATATTTTTTATTTCTCTAATATAAAGATAACATGAAGTAAATGTGGCAGAATGTTAACATGTTTTAAATCTGTGTATTGAAGAAGGTAGTTAAGCAAGACGAGTAAATTACAGAGATTTGCTGTACAATATAGTGCTTATGGTTAACAATAAAATACTGTGCACCTAGACATTTAAGAGTGTAGATCTCATGTTGTGTTCTTACCACAAAAAAAAATAAATAAATAAAAATAAAAAAATACCAACAGACATACAAAAGGAAACTTTTGGAGGTCATGGTATGTTTACTACCTTGATTGTGGAGATGATAACGTGAGTGTATACATATGTCCAAACTTACCAAATTGGATATGTTAATTAGGTACAGTTTTTCATATACTGACCATATTTCAATAAAGCTAGGGAAAAAAATCTGTGTTTGGATACGTGGGTGTTTGTTACATTTTCTATTTTTGTCTATGTTTAACCCTTTTCCCATTTGCCCTGAGAATACTTGCCGGTAGCACTTGTGGCTGCAGAGTTTACCCCAAGATAACTTTGCCACAAAGTATCTTGCTTTTATTATTGTCACATTGCTCTAGTATATTGACTTTGGAAACAAAAGACATTCTATTTATAGCAGTCTGTGCTTAGTAGTGATATTTCCATTTACAAAATATAGTAATTCTCAATTGCTGAAAATACAAATCCTAGAAAATGTAACATTCCTAGACACGATGTTAACATTGTTCTTGAACAGTTGTTGGCCAAAGATTTATTTGATAAATCTGATTTTACTGAGATAGACAATTCTGATGATTCAGATGATTCTGATGTTACTTCTGTTTAGAAGTAACTCAAAGAACAGATTTTATATTTTATTTTCACATTGAAAATCAGTCATATTTGCTTCAGACTCCAAGAGCGTGTTTATGTAAAATTAAATGAGTGCTGGCAGCAAGTTACACTTTTTTTTTCTAAACAGGAGAAGAGTTAAAGCATAAAAAATTAAAAATCAGACTATAAAAAATTGTGGTACACAAAATATCCTGGCCACAAAAATCCAACAAATTTACTGGTAAAAATGTATCAACTATATATTTTTGTAAAATAAAAGCAAATACCGATAGTGTATTTCATGACTACACAAATAAATCATGATATTGAATAAATTTGCATCAATTTATAAAAGGTACATAAGGAGAAAGCAGCTATAGCAATAATAATTGTTACAAATCAAGCTGCAAAATGTAAATTTTTATTAAATTCTACATGTCATTGCAGTCCATATAAATAAATACTTTAATACACAAGAACACAAAGCATATGGCAAAATAATACATTTGAAGAAACGCCAATGCCATCTTCATGCTTGGAGTAAATAAAACGTTTCGTAGAATGTTGGTAATTGGCAAGCAAATGAAAAAATCATGAATTCTAAGAAAAACTAGCTTAAACTTAATATATATCATTGCCTCCGCTGGGTAATGGGTTATGTTAATAATGGATTCTGGTAGTAACAAATTGAATCTCTAGTATTAGGATAATGATCCAAGTCCTATCTCTGACCAACTCATACACCTGTCACGTACATTCCTTTGCTCATTACCATGCTCTGTCAATAGACAGTGAAGCCTTGCTGTCTTCTAGTAGACTGTACCTCTGACCTTGTATATGAGGCCTTCCATGAACAATATGGATGATTTGAAAGCAAAATAATTTTTAGATACTGTTTAAAACGTAAAAAGAATGAGTTTTCTATATTCACAAATATAGTAAGCACCTTAATGCAGTTCTTAAATGTAAATAATAATAATAATAAATACTTACTGAAGGCTTACTATGGGTCAGATGTAATTATAAATGTTTTAGCTACATTAACTCATTTAATCGTCACAACAGCTGCATGGAAAGGGTGCTATCATTTTTATGTGATAAACAAGCAAACTGAGGCACAGAGCTATAACCTGCCTAAACTCATACAGCTAGTGCATACATAATGGAGCCAGAATGTGGACCCAGCTAGCTTGATTCTTAAGTTTGTGCCCTTAATCAGCATATACATACATATGTATACATATACAGTCTTGCATCACTTAATAATGAGAATACATCCTGAGAAATGTGTCATTAGGCAATTTAATCGTTGTGTGAACATCATGGCGTGCACTTAAACAGACGTAGGTGGTATAGCCTACTACACACCTAGGCTATGTGGGATAGCCTGTTGCTCCTAGGCTACAAATCTGTACAGCATGTTATTGTACTGAATATTTTAGCAGTTGTAACACAATGGTGAGTATTTGTATATCTAAACATAGAAAAGGTGTAATAAAAATATGGTATTGTAATCTTATGGGACCACTGTCATATATGCAGTCTGTTGTTTACCAAAAACAACTGCATAATGACTGTGTGACTGTACATACACATATATATATATATATATATCTGTTTGATATTTACATATGTGTGTGTGTGTGTGTGTGTGTATATATATATATATACACACATTAAAAAATTTTTTTCTACTTAGACCATAATGCACAGAAATGTCAGGATATTGTTTGCCAAAGGCCTCCAGCTGGACTCAAGGATGGCGATCCTAAGAAGCAATGCCTTCCCAGTGTTCAGAGCCTGGACCTCAGCTTTATAGATCCAGAAAGTCTTGACAGTGTTCTAGAATTTCTCAGAGCCAGGGAGTGTGAAAGAGTTCTCATAAGTGAATGTTTTAACCAGGTGCAATTCAGTAATGTCATGGGGCTCCTTGTCCCTGGCATGGATGCTCATGTCCAATGTCTCATGAACCCATCAGTTTTGAGTAGTTGAGAAACCACATTTGTATTAGAAGTTTGTTTGCTGAGAGGAAATTAAGAGTAAAGGGATGTGGACCACTGGAAGGGAGATTTCCGAGAGTGGCCCAGTTCACCGAGCATGTGTGCTGGCTCCAGGGGTGGCAGTTGTTGAGCCAGGCTTTCAGGGGTACAAACACAGACCCATCCTTCAGGGATTGCACAGATTGGTGGGGAGATCAGTGCATGCACAGGTGACTATGGGGAGTGTGGTCAGGGCAGGCAGCCTTGTGGGGGCAGAGGAAGGGTCCCTAACCTGCCTGGGGTTAGGACAGGGTTCCTGGAGGAAGCCCATAATACTGCAGGATTGGTACTGACAAATTCTGTGCCATTCCAAGGTGACCATCTCATTCTTCTTGATGCTTTCTTCACTTGAGTTAATCATTCTAATTATACCAGGCAAATTTCTCTTCCTGCTTCTAGTCTCAAAGTGATCTTCTTCTTACCACTTTATTTGAGCTCCAGCCCCCTGATATCACATGGTAAATGCCTTGATCATGGAAAGACTCACTTTTAGTGTCCTTATGGATGGGAGTGAGAAAGGAGGCTGAGGCCCAAGGTGCGGACAGGTGACTGCATCCAGAGAGTCTGCAAAGAGGATTCAGGATAAGCTTTTCTGAAGTTGCATGCAGGTCTGTGACTGTGAGTGTGAGTGTACAGGGTAACAGAGCAGTGGGACTATTATGCATTAAGTCTGCAACGATGGCCCTTGAAACTTTGCCGCATGAGAAATGATTGAAGGAGCCAGGGGTGTTTATCTTGGAGAAAGTGAGACATGATTTCTGTCTTCAAGTATTTGAGGGGGTGTCATATGAAGGAGGAATTAATCTCCTTAGGATAGTTCCAGAAGGCACAATTTGGATGAAAAAGGGAAAGTTACCAGAAGGCAGAGTTTAACTTAATAGGGAGAAATGAGCAAAGGCAATGAACAGGGTGCTAAAAAATGTGTATACAGAGACACTAAACATATGGAAAAAGTTAGCCTCACTATTAATCAGAACTGCAAAGTAAAACAATTTGTTACCATCTCTTACCTATCAAAAGGTAAAAAATAGAAAAGACAAAATACACAATGTTGGTAAAGTTAAAAAAAATGGACACTTTATGTACTGCTGGTGAAAAAATAGGTTAGTACAAACCTTTTGTAGAATAACCTGGCAGTGTGTATTAAATATCTTAAAATGTGCACCTCTTGAGATACAGAAATTATGCTTTTAGGAACTTATTTCAAGGAATTAATCAGAGATGTGTGCATGTGTGTTGAAGCATTAATAATAATTGTGAAAACCTCATATTAATCTACATTTCAATGGTAAAGAATTGGTTAAAAATAGCATGGGACATCTACATGATAAAATACTGGACAATAATTAAACAGGCATGCTTTTAGAGGCTATGTAAGAACAAAGTGCTGGCCGGGCGCAGTGGCTCACACCTGTAATCCTAGCACTTTGGGAGGCCGAGGCGGGCGATTCATGAGGTCAGCAGATCGAGACCATCCTGGCCAACATGGTGAAACCCTGTCTCTATTAAAAATACAAAAATTAGCTGGGCGTGGTGGCGGGCGCCTGTAGTCCCAGCTACTCGGGAGGCTGAGGCAGGAGAATGGCATGAACCTGGGAGGCAGAGCTTGCAGTGAGCAGAGATTGCGCCATTGCACTCCAGCCTGGGCGACAGAGCCAGACTCTGTCTCAAAAAAAAAAAAAAAGAACAAAGTGCTAAGAAGTATTAAAAAGAAAAACAGTCTATAAAACATGCACTTCATGATCCCAATTTTATTTTTAAATTATAAGTGAATCAAGTGTATCTATGCGTTGAAAAATGATACGGAGAATAGTAATCACTGTTATCTCTGTATAGTAGATTGTTGGCTACTTTTTCTTTTCTATTCATTTCTGTATTTTCCAAATTTTTGCATGACTTTAATAATAAAAGAAAATGTCATTTTTGCGAAATCAATCTAAATTTTCTAAAGAGGCATTCCAGACAATTGGATTGAGTGGTCTGCACTGGATTTAGAAGTTGTATATTTTTGTTTGTTTGTTTTTATATTTAGTTGGTCATGTTTCTGTCAAGATAGAGGTTCTGGAAAACAACACCATCTCCATACATGATGATAATAGCATGCCTACAGGATACCTAGCTATGCCACCTTGTTCTGTGGCTATTAATACTCTGTTTCTTGATTGTAACTACATTCTTAGCACATATAACACTATTTTGTGCTTACTGTTTAGATCCCTCAAGAGCAAGAGGCATGCTTTGTTCATCATCTCATTCTAGTGCGTAGCTCAGACCTGACAGATAGTATGTATTTCATGAAGACTGGTTGGATGGATGGACAAAAGGAAGGAAGGAAGGGGAGGATGGAAGGAGGGAGGGAGGGGGGTAAAAGGGAATTTTTTGCCTAGACAAAGAAATCACTCACTTTGAGGGATGGGTATGTGAAATAATTTCTTGCCAGGATTTCCAAACAAGTTTATAGAATCTGCTTTCCCAGAAATCTTTTAAGATGGTAGAGGCAATCATCTAGCTTAGATGAGTTAGCTGAAATGAGGTCATGGCACTCTTACCCTATTACAAGGTCATAGAATTAGAGCATTGAAGCAGCAACTCCCTCAATGATCGGATGATGCCTTGTAAGTGTTCATGGGGAATGCTGCCCTTGCTTGCTCATGAGTTCAAGTTCCCTAATTACCAACAATAACTTGGTTAGGAAGTATGAAGATTCTTGAGCAGCAAAGTTGCTAAAAATATCTAAAGGCAACCTTGAAAAATCTTTAAAGGTGGGCAGCAGAGGTAGACTTTGGGGAGTGAACAAGGGTTATTTGACAAACCACTTGCAACATGTCTGCTTATACCTGAGAGGGTTAGTTGTACACTCGTTGTTCTTTCTCCTCCCTGCCGACTCCCTGTTAAATGTAAATCTCACAGTGTATTCTCATACATTCCAGAAGCCCTTTCTGTTACACAGTGGCCTTCTTAATTAGCCTCACCAGGCTTTATACTGAATAGGTTTCATTTAAAACATTTGGGATATGACTGAAAGAAAAGGAAGAGTTCTAAAGTCAATCAGCTCCCTTGTCTAATGCTTCAGGTGTTCATTCTGTCAGAAATCACTCATGATGGGCTGCGTTTTCCATTTTGTGGGGTGCGTTCAGAGTTCAAAGGACACTTTGAAAACCTGAAGATGTGAATTGCTTCTACCCCATTGTTATCACCCAGCACCTTGAATTTCATGGACTAACATTCAGCTTTGAGCCAAATGTCTTTTCTACAACAAATCTTCCTTTCTAGTAACCATCGTCCGACCTGCCTGGTTCCTCACCTAACAATCCATGGAAAATGCCAGGTTAACTGGCAGTGTGTCTGCACAGCAGAGCCAAGGTCTGACCCTGGCAGCTTGACCCAGAGCAGGTGAACTCCCACCAGACCATCTGGGTCAGGAGGAGGTTCGGGTGTTGGCTCCCTTGTGTGCTTTCTTAGTGGTGAAATGATGCCTGTCCTCACTTTGCTGCTAGACTTTCAGTAAGCCTTGGCCACAGCATGCCAGAGGCCTGAGGTTATTTTGGGGTTTTGGCTAGAATCTGCTATGGTCAGGCCAGTGCTGTCACTTCACCAGACAGCTCAGTTTTGCCATGAGCTCATCTACAAGAACCTTGCACTTCTTGCAGTTTGCTTGTTGATCATTGTGTTTGTTTTCCCTTCACTTGGAAATTTCCAAAAGCTGCTTGTCTGTATTGAGGCCACCAACTCACAAGGCATTGGCTGGACCCCTGCTTTCTCCAGCCCCCAGCCATCCCACCCTGCCCATGTGGCATGAGTACATCAGGTCTCTGCCTACTGCTCAGGACCTCACCAGGCATCAAAGCCATGATGACCTTAGCTGATGAGATGGAGAGTGATGATTGGCAAAGTCTTCTGGCCTCTTTGTTCTCAGGCAGGGCAAAGCCACTCTTCCATTTTGTTCCATAAATACTTTCTGAGCTCTTGCCACAGGCCAGCCACTTTGCTAGGTCGTGGGGATCCTAAGGTGAGTCTGACACAGTTCCTGTTCTTAAGGAGCTCACCTCCAGTGGAGGAGACAGGTAGGCCTGCAGGTCATTGCAAAGCCACAGGTCAAGGGTCATAACCGAGACACATGTAGGGGAAACATGCATGTAGGAGAGAAATGCCATTAATTGGGAGTACCAAGACTGGCTTTTCCTTGCTACACACTGTGGCCAAGCCCTACTGAAAGCTTAGCAGGCAAAGAGAGAGTAACATTTGAGCTGAAACATAAGCACAAAGGAGATGTGGGAATTGGCTGGTTGAAAAAATGCATTACAAGCATGGGAAATAGTGTGGACAAGGACAAGGGAGATGTAATGATGATTCCAGTTTTCATTTGCAAATGATCACTATGTGCCTGCCTCAGTGAAAAATCATTTCAATCATTTCCATGCATTGTGCTATTTTAATTTTCACAACAACCCTAATGAGGTACAGTCACTCTTACCATCTCCATGAGGATTGGAATAGTGAAGAAATCAGCCCAGTTTGCACAGCTGGTAACTGGTAAGGTTGGGTTGCAAAACTAGGCTTTTTGATGCCCTTACCATAATTTTCTGCTTTCTCAAAGTGGGAGAGAGACACTGTGTTGAGAACCACATGTAATTCACTATGGCTGCTAGGGAAGATGGCTGGACAGGGAGATAGCATCAGATCTTGGGGAGGGGGCCTTGTGTGCTAAGCCTGAGAGTTTGTACCCTTCCCTACATTCCTGGGAGTTTGTAGCCTTCCCTACACTGAAGGTTTTAAATTATTCTTCTGGAAGTTGGATTGAAGGGAGAGGAGGGACAGGAATAGGCCTGAAAGCAAAGGGACCATAAAGAGGAGTACTTATGCAATAACCCATGGAGAAGCTGTGAGGCCGAACTAGGGCAGCAGCCGTGCACATGGGGAGGGGTGTGGAGAGTTTATGAGAGCTGGGAGATGTGTGATGACTGGGATGAAGTAGGCCACAGGCGGGGGTGGCAAGGACCACAGCTGGCGGGTGGGGACGCTGGGATCCACACTCAGGGAGGCTGATTCCAGAGTCTGAATGCTTAAGCATTACCCTTGCTGCCTCCTTCACTCTGCCAATGGAGCTGAAAGTCATCTGAGGCTTTGCATCCAGAATTTAGATTTTAGATATTTGACCATTTATCTATCTATCTATCTATCTATCTATCTATCTATCTATCTATCTATTTATCATCTATCTATCCATCATCTATCTACCTATCTGTCATCTACTGACATCTATCTATCCATCTAACTATCTATCTACTATGGTGTGGTTTGTTTGCGCACCCCCTGCCCCACAACCTCATGTTGAAATTGGACCCTCAATGTTGGAAGTGGTGTCTAGTGGGAGGTGTTTGGGTCATGGGAGTGGACCGCTCATGAATATATTAATACCCTCCCTGGTGGTGGGGGATCTGTGAGTTCTCATTCTTGTTAGATCCCAGGAGAGTTGGTTGTTAAAAAACCTGTTGTCTCCCCACTCTCTCACTATGTGATCTCTGCACATGGTGGCTCCCCTTCACCTTCCACCAGAGTAGAAGCACCCTGAGACCTTCACCAGGAGCAGGTGCTTTTTATACATCCTGCAGAACTGTGAGCCAAATCAAACCTATTTTCTTTATAAATTACCCAGCCTCTGTTATTCCTTTATAGCAAGACAAAACAGACTAAGACACAAATCTTTTTCAAGAAACAGGTTTGCCATTTCCAACAAATTCCTTGGCCACATTACCTACAGTTAGTCTGACACCAAGTTGGTTTCACTGGTTTCATTGCTTACCCCTGGTTTTATCTACACCATGCCCCCTCCATTGTTTTATTCTATTTTATTTGTGCCAGGATGATTTTTAAAATAATTTCTTACAAGACAGGTGAGCAGGTGCTTCATTTCATGACTTCTTGCAAGGTTGAGAAGTTCTTCCTGTTGCTCTCGAATTCTTGGTCATAGGGTTTCTTCTTGGTCCCTCCACCTGTTCTTGCCATTGCTAGCCTGCCCTGGTTGCCATTGCTGATTTACATTTCTCCCTATTTCAGACTTGAGTCACTTCTGTTGTAAGTTTTGGAGGGACGGGTAGTTACTCAAGTGGTATCACTTCACTCTGATGAGCTGAAAGCACCTGGTATACTTCAAAGCTTTGCATTGCATAGTGGGGGATCCATTTCTTTAGGGTCACCAGCAGAAACCCTGAAATGCAAAGTACCTACAGATCAGCATTAGCTTTGTAGAGAAGTCTGAGACCAGCTTTTATTATTTTTTTTCTAGATAGCCTGTTTTTCTTTTCTTTTTTTTTTTTCATTATGACCTTTCTAGGTTGTTTTTTCCTTTTCCTTAGAGTTCAGAATTTTCACTCAAGTGAATGTAGTATAGGTCAGTTTTCCTTCATTTTCATTATTGCCCGGTGGGCTGTTTTGGTTTGCAGACTCAAGTCTTTCTTCACGATAGGAGAATTTATCTATGGTTTTTCAGAGTTGCTGCTGCTTCTCAGTTGCTCTCTTCACTTTAGGATGTTCTGTATTGATTTCTCAAATCTGCTTTCCCTGCCACTTAGATTTTTGCTCATCATATTAATTTCCTTATCCTTTGCTCCAAAATCTTGGAGAATTTCTCAATCCAAATCTTCTATTCATGGTTACTGTTTAATTTTCTTAAAAATTTGACAAGTACACATTTCATCTGAACTCCATCTTTGCTGAATTAAGGTTGTGCCTTGCGCATAAATATTATGTCCTCTTATGTCACACTGAGTAGTTGAATTTAGGCTTTTTCCTCTTTTCTTTTTATTAAGAAAGTCTCCTTTTCTAGTGGAAACATTGGCTCTAATTCCTTAACTCGGTATCTTCTTTTTCATAGGCTTGTGATTTTTTTTCCATGTGGCTCAACTTCGAGAGGTCACTATGTGGTTGTCCACTTTTGAGAGTTGAGAATGGTTCCATCAATGATCACATGGGTTCCAGAAAGATATTTCAGGCCCTGACACGGGCAGAAGAGGAATGTTTAGCTTTGCTGCAGTTTTACTGTCAGCTGACCAAGGTTCACTTGTCTGTACATGAGGACCAAGGCTGACGGTGGGAAGATAACTAAAGTCACAAACACCCCCTGTAGTGAGCGCAGACATTCTGCCACCATACTGCTTGCTGGGACTTACTGGGAGGGAGGGATAGAGATCTGCTCTCCCTCACAACATGCCGTGTTCTGTGCTGATCTCAGCCATGGTGGCTGTAAGCTTGTAGGTTGGTCTTGCTGGAGCCTTTTCCTCATATGCAGGGAATTCAGGCTTTGTCGACTCTTCCCTCCACCCATTCTTGCCTGAACCATATATTTCAAAGTTTTCTCGCCATTGCCATCCTTCCCTGGTTGCCAGGGCTGATATATATGTTTCTCCCTATCTCAGACTTGAGTCATTTTTGTTGTAAATTGGGGAGGGACGGGTAGTTACTCAAGTGGTATCAGTTCAATCTGTTGAGCCAAAAGCACCTGGTATACTTCAAAGCTTTGCCTTGCAAAGTGGGGGATCCATTTCTTTAGGGTCACCAGCAGAAACCCTGAAATGCAAAGTACCTACTGATAAGTACTCCCCAAAATATCTTCCAAAATTAGTCCCCGTAGATACACCATGAATACAAGAATTCCATGCTCAATCCATTTGGGAAACTTGGCAGTCTGTATTCTCCTCCTAGATAATTATACTCCACAGTCCACAGTTGCATATTAAATTCTCTTAGACTTCTACAGTGATGAAATCTCTTTATCTTTGTTTAAACTATGTTTCCCAAATGTGTTTGGCCAAAGAAGCTTTTTTTGCCCAAAACTTACTAATATTCCTCTGAGAATACTTTGGATGCATGCCGTGAACAAGTACCCTTAACTCTGCTCGTAGCAGAAGGTGGTTTTTTCCTTCTGAGTTTTGTGGAATGCAAAAATATGTTTCAATTCACATGTGACAATGTAAGTCCCCGGACAGCCTCCACCCAGTGTTGTTGAAAAACTGTCCACTGTTCCCTGAGTGTTTGCACAGGGTTAATGCAATCCTTGGGAAGAAATGAAGAAGCATTTCTGGCTAATGCCGAGTTTCATCCCAAACAGCAGTTTCCAGTTAAATTTCATTTGTGTGTTGTTTATATTACTCAGGATTTACTTAGACCTGGTATGAGGGAAGAGTATATCCAAGGAGAAGGTAATTTAATGTGGGGCACAATGAGCTTGTGAAACCAATTAGGGAATCATTAAAATCTGTTAAAATAGCTGGAATTATCCTGTTCATATTAAAAATCAGTTTGATAAATGTTGCAATTCCTGCCAGGAAGCTCTCCCTTCCGACATGGCTCCTTCTGGTCCTGGCATCCAGCCTTGGCCATGTGCCCCTCCTCAAAGCAGAGTGTTCTTTTCTCCGTTATAACACCAACCATGTGGCATCCTCATCATTTGGTTCTGTTTTCCCCACTAACCGGTAAAATCCTTGAGTAGGAGCTGGATCTCATTCACTGCTAAACTCCTAGTCCATAGTGGAGTGTCAGATGCTTACCTGGAGTTTGGACTCATTGAATGTCAGAGCCAAAGAGAACCTGGGGCATGATCAGTCCAGCCTGCCACTCTTATAGATGGAGAACCTGAAGCTCCGTGAGGTTCTGAATCTCAGCTGACCCTAACGTCTCTCAGCTCCCCAGCACTTCCTTTCCCTTGACCACAGCCCACACCCCGCAAAGGACGCCTGCAGCAGGACAGAGCTCAGCCACAGAAGAAGCCAGCTCGGCAGTGGGCGGCTCCACCTCTTCTGACTTGTGCTAGGATGGCCTTATCAGCTTCACAGTGAAAACAAGAACTGGATGTGTTCAGCCCCACGTGCCAGGCTAAATGCTTAATGTGTATTTTCTTATCTAATGACCACAGCAACACTATAGAATAGGACCATGGTTATTCCTATTTCACACATAATAACTACTATTATTCCCATTTCCTGAAGCCTTGAGAGGCCAAGTCTTTTGCAGTCAGTACATGGTGGAATCAGGATGTCTGAGTCAGGACACCTCTTTGGTCACCCTAGAGCTTGAGCCTTTGATGACCCCCAAGCTGCACTGCCCCCAGTCTTCTACCATTGCTTCCATCATTGTTGGTGTCAGCCATGATGACCATTTTCTCTTTAAAGGATCCTTCCTGGAGGCAGTTTTGCTATTCATTGTACCATTGTGAGGCCCTCACAGTGGTAGCCTATGTCCCTGACCTTCAAATAATCTTATCACCACCATCTCAAATATAAAGATTTGTGTCTTCCTATATGAAGAGGAGCTCAGCTGATGTGCTCCGAATAGTCCTCTCCAAAGGACAGATGCATGCTTTGCTCCATGTGCTTGGGCCACAGGTCACTTTCTAAAAGGCCCTGTGAGTGGCCAGCATGCTGTTGGGAGAGAGAGGAAGAAGCACTCAGCCACCGTCTGTAGCAGAAAGTTATTTTATTCTTCTATCAAAAATATTTGCCTTTCATAACTGTCCTACTGTCATTATTCTTATTTAGATGAGCTGATCACCAAAACAGATCCTGATACGTGCTTTCAAGGGAGTATTCACTAGAATCATTTTCAGAAATGGAATGAATGGCTTTGAAATTGTTGACCAGTGGGAGACCTTTGAGGTTTTTTGAAAAGGGACTCAAATATGGTCAAGTCTGTGCTTTGACAAGATGAAAGTGGAGATTGGGTAGACAGTGGTCAGGGAGAAGCAGGAAGAAGAGGAGAGAGTGGTGGGAGTGGACAGTGGAGGTGAGTTTGCAACAAGAAGAGACTTTTGAGCACCAGGAACAGAAGCACTGTGTGGAGGCAGCACCAGGCAGGAGGGACCGGCTCCATGGCCAGGGGCTGTTGGAGAAAGGAGCAGCCACTGTTGGGGAGGGGATTGACAGCCAGGGAGGGCCATGGGGGCAGACCAGAGCACAGAGCCCACAAGAGGTAGACAGCCAAGGGCGAGGATGGAATACAGTTCTCAGGTCCTGAGTGGAAGGAACTCGTTTGGGAACTGGTTAATTTGGGAAAGGGGAGCAGGGGCAGGTGGAGACTGATCCTTACAGGGAAGAGTGTGGAGCAGGAAGTGGAAGGACACTGATGGCGGTGAGAGGTGATAGCAGGATAAGGACGCAGGGGCTACTGGAGAGGCCACTGTGATGGATGACGAGTTGGCAAATTTTAAAAGTCATGGAGGAACGGTCAACACAAGCCAGCCTGGGGTGCCCCAGGCAGAAATATGGTAATGGAAAGTTGGAGTAATGGTGTAGCCCCAAAACTGGTTGGGTGGCAGATGGACTGCAACATGGCCCTACACTTCAGATGCCCATCCTGCTCTGAGGGGCATTTTCAGCTTCTAGAAGTGAGACATGGGGGAGAAGCCAGCCAATGAAGCATGTCATGGTTTCTGTGAATTTTTTACAACTGAAAGTTGAAAATAACAATGAAATTCCACAGCTAAGGCATGGAAAGGATTCAAGGTTCTAGGTTCCTCTGCCTCCCTTGAGAAATGACCAACTGTGTTCCCATTGAATCCCACTGCTCCTGTGCCAGTGAAGATGAAGCTAACTCAGAAGCACACAGTGGGCAGAAGCCTGGGGGCCTCCTGGCCCACTTCTTTCTTTACTGATGAGGCCCCAAGAGGGACAGTTGTTGTGCCCCCTCATTCCATTTTCCTGATGTCCTCTTTTCACCTCACTGTGTCTTTATTTTTATGGCCCTGTAGCAAACACTGTGTTTACAGATTCTGATTTATTGGAAATGAAGCTCTGTCTTCTAAGTCCAAGTTTGTACAGAAAATACTCATTTGCAACTTCCCCTCTAGGCAAAGGAAGATGCTTTTTCATTTCCATGATTTAGTGGCAGTAAATTTGGAAAGAAATGTTCCAACTCTGCCAAATGTTTTAGAATTAAACTCCTACCATCATCAGGCATGTTATCTCTCAATTTGATCATTGAGGGGCAGGGTTCTAGAGTCGGAATGGTACACCACACTCGTCTTTCTGGCATTGTTTGAGAATGATGTACAACGTGAGAAAATTTCCCAGCTCTGCAAAGCGTAACTTTTTAAGTACCAAAACATCATTGCTTACCTTCTTTTTTTTTTGTCTTTTTAAGAAAATGATTACAAAAATGGTGCATGTTCATTAGTGAAACTTGAAAGATATAGAAAACTTTGCGAAATAAAGTAAAAATTACTTGTAAACTGAACTTGCTTTTAAATTTTTAAAAGGTTATGAATAGTCCCCCTTCCTACCCTAGTCCAACCCCTAAAAACCAATTGACAATATTCTAGCACTTCTCGTTCTAGACTTTTGTATTTAAAAAATGGAGCTCATGTATATTTTACTACATGGTCTTGTTTCTTTTTAGCTTATTTTGGATGTCATAAATACCTTTCCAAATGAATACAGATTTGTATTAATTCATTCTACCTTGTTCCTTTAAATGGCTGCATAATATTCTGCCAGCCATTCCCCACTGGGAACATGAATCTTGTTTTCAGTCTGCAGCTCTTGCAAAAGATACTGCAGTGGACGTCCTCGCATTTGAATCATTATCCATGAATACTGGTATTTCTGAAGATAGCTAAGAAGTGCTATAGGAATGATACATTTAAGTTTTGGTAGTTACCCTGCCGAACAGGATAGGTATACCTTTTTTCCCACACTCCTACTGTACCTGAACCCAGGTTCAGCCGTTCTCTACTCAAAAGCCATACAGGAGAGACAAGATTTAGTGGGAGGAACAGCAGATTTATTCAGAGACCCAACAAATCAGGAAGATGGTGGATCAGCATCCTAAAGTACCATCTGAAGTCAGTACAAATTTTAGGCTCTTTCTACATTCAGGGCAGGAGGAAGAGGAGGTGGGTAGGATCAAGAGATAATGGACTACCGCAGACATCTGGGAGCAAGGATCCAATGAGGTTGGGAACTTTTTTGTGCTTGGTCAGGTCACAATGCTCCTACAAATCTTTAACAAAAACATAGTTAGTTGTTTACATATTTCTCCTTTAGTCCCAGAGTTAGTTTTATAAAACACGTGATTGCTGTTTTTGCAATCGTTATGTCAGTGCTCTAAAATCTTCCTAGCCTACAGGCAGGAATGGGTAAAGGCCTCTTAAACAAAAATGGAGTCCGTTATGTTCATTATTTTGCTGTTTCACTGTTACACTACTAACTCTAGATGTTTTTATTCTTTTGTCAGTTTTGCCAGTCTGATAGTTTGTGGGGGAGAGGAATGACATATTTTAAATTAGATTTTCTTCATTAGTGAAATTGAGCATCTTCCCTGGATATATTTGCTGTCTATTTCCTAGTGAATTGCCTGTTCATGCTGTGTGCCCATTTTTCTACTGGGGGATTTGTGCTTTTCTGATTTTCTCCTATGAGGTCTTTAAAACATTATGAAGGTTAGCTGTCTGATTACTGTATGTGCTACAAAGATTTCCGTTCAACCTGTCTTTGTCTTTTAATTTTGCTTATGTTGTTTTGCATCACACAGGTTTTTTTTTTTTTTGTCTGTTTAAATAAAAGGCCCCGGACATGCTTTCCTCTTTCTCTGTTTACTCAGAGCACTCATTACAAACGCAGAGCTTTCCATTCAGAGATGTCCTCGGGGCTTTTCCAAGTACGTGAAGCTTTTCAGCCCATGTCCCTGTGGTGTTTGTTGTTTTGTTTGTTGTTTGTTTTTCAGTTATTTTTATGTCTTTTTATGTAAGGATTTGCTGTCCTACCTCCTGCTGGTAGCTGACACTTCTTGTTTCTCTCTGCATGTCTGCTTTTACACCGACCCAATCCAATCACATCCTTTTATTATGGTCTAGAAAACCAAACAGCACAACTTGCTGGCATTGAAGCAGCATGGTTGTCTGGGGTAAATACCCGAGGTTCGTTGCCTCATGCTGAGGAATCAAGGACACAGAGGCACGTGGAGTGAGGTTAAGAGCAGAGGTTTAACAGGCAAAAGAAAGAGAAAGGAGAACAGTTCTCTCTCCTGTGAGACAGGGGTGCCCGAGTGGGACCAGCAGAGTGCACAGGGTTTTATAGACAGGCTTGAGGAGCCAGGGTCTGATTTACACAAGGCCTGAAGATTGGTTGGACCAGGTGTGACGTTTACATAGCTTGCCAGGAATCTGGCCACCCCACCCTAATCTTTTATTATGCAAATGGGATCTCTACTTGGCCAGTGCGATGTTGCCTGCCCCTTACTGTGCACCTGGTTGACAAGGAAAGGGGAAGATGGAGCCACCCTATTGGACATGTGTAGCCCCCAGGTACCCTTTTCGTATTGACACAGCTGCTGATATTCACCCGTGCAAGCTTCCAGCTTCCTTGTCTATGTCTGCAGCTCAATTTTACAAGCTGTTCTTTGTTAGAAAAGAAAATGATTTGGGAGCTGCTTTTCATTAAAGGAAAACCTTACCGAGGACTTCCTTACCCCCACTATCTGCCTAAATAATTTCTTCTTAACTCCTGTATCAGCATCATGGGTAAAAGGAAGCAAAACAGGCTGTGAGTCAGGAACCAGCTGACTTTCCTGAGTGAAGCATCCTAGGTTTTAGTGCTTGGCCTTTGGGGCATCTGTCACGGCTGCACAGAGACCTTGTTCCTGTCAGCTGAGATTTGTAAAGGGGTAATTTCCAGATGAATGAAGTGCTTTTGTGGTCATTTATCTTACATGACAGGCTATGGAGGAGCCTCTGCCCTGACCTGACTGCAGGGGTGCTCAAAGCCTCAAGCTGGTGGCCTCAGGGTGATGTTCAGTGTGACTGTGCCAGAGCCATCATTACATGACATTGCCCCTCCCTCCCCCTTAAACCTAGAGCACTCTTTCATCCTCAGCCCAGAGCACTCTTTTCGCAGGCTCTGCTGGTCCCACCAAATGTACAAAGGCCAATTCTGATGAGTCCTGCTCCAAGGAACCTTCACCAGTTCTGCCACCAGCTTCTCAGCCACTTGGTTTGTATGGACTTTCTCACTTCCTGCGTTGTATTATGGCCATTTTTGCATCTGTTTGTCTCCTCTGCTTACCTGGCAGTCCAAGAGGACAAGGACCATATTATTTAAACTCCTGAACACAGAACTTAGAACACAGCAGGAATTTTGGTGAATGGCGACTAAATTCCTCTTGGCATCTCCCAGTTATACCCCCTGCAGTACCTCACCAGAAGGTACCCAGGTTTACCAATATCACTACTTAAAATTTTAACCTAATTATTATTGAGAGAATTTATACAACTTTATATTAAAACACTAAATATTTTTAATGACAAGTAGGTTTGATTTCATGATATGTTTTGATTAACTGTTTAGGATCTGCTTCTGTAACTAGTGGGAAAATGTCCATGATCAATCTGTGATGCCTGCCATGGATACAGGAGCAGGTTCTCTCAGTTCCTGTGCTGTACGCCTGCCATGCCTGACCTGGTAGAGAAAAGGGCAAGAATAAACATATAAAATATTTGTGTACCTCCAAAAATTCCTATGTTGAAGTCCCAACCTCCAGTACAGTTACTGGTGGAAGGTACCCGTGTTACCACTGACATCCCTGGCAGGAGGGGTTGCAGGGGGAGCCCTCTCCTGCCCCACCCCTACCTGTCTAACTATTTATAACAGTGCTTCAAAATGTGACCATATTTGGAAATAGGGTCTTTTTGCATATAGTTAGTTAAGATGAGGTCATACCTACCTATTAGAGTGAGTCCCTAATCCAGTATGACTGATGTCCTTATAAAAGGGGGAATTTGGACACAGACGTGGGACACAAGGAGAATGCCATGTGAAGATGAAGGAATATTTATGTTGAGCTAAGTAAATTTGAAACAGAATGTGTTTAATGGAAATGGAAAGGTATATTTATATTGCCAAAACGAAGAGTTCATAGTAAAACAAAGAAGTCATGAAATTTTATAATATTTAAATATATGAAGCAAAACTATTAGACATACAAGAAGAAATTAAATAAACCACCTTTTGCATTATACCTTTAATGTACTTTTTTCAGATTTTGACAAATGAAGCCATTGAAATGTAAATGAGGATTTAGAGGATTATATAATATGGCCAATAATCTTGATTCCACATGCATAGATATTCAATGTCAAATTTTAACATTTTAATAATGGATTTTCAAAATTTTAGTAAATCTCAAACTTATAGAACTTGGAAAGCCCATTTTTTTAATCCCAGTGCAATAAATCTAAAAATTCATAACAAAAAGTTACATTTTTAAAAATCAGTTATTTGTACAAAGGAACCTGTCCCAACTAGCTTCTGGTGAAGGATGGAAATCAAAACACTAAATATGGACTATTTTGTAATTAAAACCATGGCCCCACTCCATATCAAGGGGATGTGGCCAAAACAATGTTTAGAGGAAACCTGTGGCTTAAAATGTTTTTATTATTAAATGTGGGAAAACTAAAAATTTTACTTATGAATTATTAACTAATGAAAATAGAAAAAGAATAATAGAATGCCATAGGCAAACTGAGAGGAAGCAATTAATAAAAGAAGTAAAAATAAGAAAAATTAAATTAGAAAACCAAAGTATTATCCAATTGATAAATAATTCTTCATCAAGACTGGTAAAAGAGAAAATCCCTGACAAGTCTATTGTAATTTTAAAAAGAATGAAAATAAATGAATATTAAGAATAAATCAATTTAACAAAGTTTAAAAGTTTATGAACAAATAGTGTGCATAACTTAGATTTTTATGTGTCAAAACTTTTCAAAAGAAAGCTAATTCCTGGAAGGAAGGAAGTAACCAAATTTGAATCAAAAAAAATTTTTTTTCTTTTGTATTTTTTTAATGAGAAAAGATCAAAGCTAGGCAAAAAATTGAGAAAGCTGACAAAACTGCACCCCAAATGGTTCCAGGCCTTGAAAGCTTTATGGGCAAATTATTTAAACACTTCCAGAGCATGAGAAAAGTTAGAAAGTAGACTGATTTGTGAAGTTAGCACAACTTTGAAACAAAAACCTACAAACTATGAACCCAATTTCATGTGTTAGGATAAAGATACTAAATACAATGCTAGCAAATCAAATTAATAGTTATAGAAATACATACTAATGACAAAAATGCTTGGGTGGTTTATCATTAGGAAATCTGCTAATGTAAATAATTCAAGGAAAAAAACTATTGACAAAATATAAGTTTAGGTATTAATTTTTAATGGAGAAATATCTTTGTAAACTAATAATAGAAATATATTTTCTTAACATAGATGAAACACACACTTGAAACCATAATTAATATCTTATGCAGAGTGATTAAATATTAGAAGGGTTCTCAAAAAAGTGAAGAATCTGAGAGGAATGCTCATTGTTATTCAACAATGTTTTGGAATTTCCAAGCCAATAAGTTAAGGAAATAAAATATAATTACTTAAGAGGTAGAAAAGTAAGGGAAGACAGAATTAACATTGTTGGAGATGTCATGATTATCTACATGAAAAACCTAATCCAGTCACTGGAAAATCTATTCAAAGATTGAGTATGAAATGGCCAAAAAATGTATGAACAAAATGCTCAAATGTATGAAAAAAATTATCTTAGTGTTGCTAATCCTCAGGGAAATGCAAACCAAAATCACAATGAGGTATTATCTCACCCCATCTAGGATGGCTATTATCAAAAAGACAAAAAATATTAATAATAAATGTTGGCAAGGATGCGGAGAAAAGGAAACTGTTATACGCTGTTCTTGGGAGTGTAAATTGGTACAACCACTAAGGAGAACAGTATGAAAGTTCCTCAGAAAACTACAAATAGAACTACCACATGATCCAGCAATCCCACTACTGGGTATTTATCCGAAGGAAAAGAAATCAATATATCAAAGAGATATCTATGCCCCCATGTTCATTGCAGCACAATTCACAACAGCCAAGAGTCCAGTTTTTATGCAGACATATAGCTTTATTTCTCTTGGATGTGACCTAAGAATGGAATTGCTGAGTCCTGTGGTAGCTCCACGTTTAACCTCATGAGAAACTGCTAGACTGTTTTCTGAATAGTCGCACCATTTTACATTTCCACCAGCAGTGTGTGAGTGTTCCAGTTTCTCGTATCTTCACTAACACATGATTGCGTTTTTTTGTAAATTATGATAGCCATCTTAATGGGTGTGAAGAGGTATCTCACTGTGGAATTGATTTCTGTTTCCTTAATGACAAATGATGTTGAGCTCTTTTCATGTGCTTATTAGCCATTTGTATGTCTTCTTTGGAGTAATATTCAGATCCTTTGCTCATTTTATTTTTTTGTAATTTCAATTTTTATTTTAGATTCAGTAGGTACACGTGCAGGTTTATTGCCTGGGTATATTGCTGATGCTGAGGTTTAGGGTATGGTTGATCCCATCACTTACATAGTGAGTATAGTACCCAATAGGTAGTTTTGAAACCTTTGCCCTCCTCCTTCCCCCATCTAGTAATCCCAGTGTCTATTGTTGCCATCTTTATATCCATGAGTACCCAATGTTTAGTTCCCACTTATAAGTGAGAACATGTGGTATTTGGCTCTCTGTTCCTGCATTAATTCATTTACAATAATGGCCTTCAGCTGCATCCATGTTGCTGCAGAGGACATGATTTCATTCTTTTTTATGGCCATGTAGTATTCCACGGTGTATATGTACCACATTTTCTTTATCTGGTCCACTCTAGATGGGCACCTAGATTGATTTTATGTCTTTGCTATTGTGAATAATGCTGTGATGAGGGCACATGTCTTTTTGGTAGAACAATTTACATTTTCCTTTGGATATATACCCAGTAATGGGATTGCTGGGTCAAACGGTAGTTCTAAGTTTTTTGAGAACTCTCCAAACTGCTGCTTTCCACAGTGGCTGAACTAATTTACATTCCCACCAACAGTGTATAAGCATTCCCTTTTCTCTGCAGCTTTGCCAGCATCTGTTGTTTTTTGACTTTTTAATAATACCCATTCTGACTGGTGTGAGATGGTATCTCTGCGGTTTTGTTTGATATTTCTCTGATGATTAGTGATGTTGAGCATTTTTTCATGTGTCTGTTGGCTACTTGTATGTCTTCTTTTGAGAAGTGTCTGTTCATATATTTTACCCACTTTTTAATGGGGTTATTTGGTTTTTACTTGTTGAATTGTTTAAGTTCCTTATAGATTCTGGGTCTTAGACCTTTTTTAGTTGCATGGTTTGCAAATATTTTCTCTCATTCTGTAGGCTGTCTGCCTACCCTGTTGATAGTTTCATTTGCTTTGCAGAAACTCTTTTGTTTAATTAGGTCCTACTTGTCAATTTTTTTCGTTGCAATTGCTTTTTAGAACTTAGTCATAAATTCTTTCCCAAGGCTGATATCCAGAATGGTGTTTCCTAGGATTTTCTTCTAGGTCTTACATTTAAATCTTTAATCCGTCTTGACCATTTTTTAATTGAGGATATTTGTGTTTTTGTTATTGAGTAGTAGGAGTAAAACCCACTTTTAAAGGTCATGTACTGTTAGAGGATATTGTGCAAACAATGCTTGGAAGATAGAAAGACATCCGATATCCAGATGACAATATGTAGATTGCACAGTCCTGCCCTGTCGTAGAGGCATTTTGTCACAAACAGCATGTGTGAACTTAATCCTAAATCTTTTCCACCTGCTAATGGCAGAGCCCTCCCCTACTGCCTTCCTGCAGTCATCCATCAAGACCCTGGTCACGTGAGTGGCAATGGCCACAGGTTCACTGGCAGTTGGATCTCTGTGGCTGCTCGTCAGTGTTGGTGTCAGGGCCTCCTTTACAAATGCTGGCCCTTCTGACTTAGATGACATCCCTTCCACAGGGAAGCTGAGCCCAGTGTCCTGAGAACATCACACTTAGGCACATAAAGCATTCATTCCGTTAATGAATTTGAATTTACTGAAGACATTCTGGAAATTTTACATACACACACTTGAATCTCATTCACAACTAAACATTTTTTGCCCATATTAAGACATAAACTTTTTAGTAAGTTGCAGCTTTCCCACTTCACTTCTGTAAAGCCAGCTTGTTATTTTAACATTATTCTACTTGGTTGATTAAAATGCATTCTTACAGATGAACTCCCTTATGTGCTTAAAGGACTGGTATCTTAGGGCCCCCATCAAGTCTCTTTCTATTCACTTCTAGGCTGATGAAACTTACAATTGAGAATTATTTTATTTTATTGATTTGCATAAAACCACCACTATTTTATTATATTCATAGATTTTGTGCATTAGGAATTAGACAGGGTATAGTAGGATGGCATGTTTCTGCTCCTCAATATCTGAGCTGCTAGTCTAGAAGTCACATAGTGTCACTTCCACTGTATTTTATTGGTCAAATAGTTGCAGAGGAATCTAACTTCAACCCTTGATGGAAGGAATATAAAGAAAATTTATGGGTATTTAAAAAAATCTGCGGAAGTTCTTCATTGATGCTCATTGAATGAGGAACAAATGAAGGAACTGGAGTTTGTTATCTCTAGGTAGATGATCTCAAGTTTTAGCCAGTCAGACCCTATTACCGAAAGATCCCTCCAAAGGATAGGACTGAGAAGAACATCATTTTCTTTATGCCAGCTGGATTAGAGGGTTCTTTATGCTGTTTTCTCTGCTTCCTGCCTGGCCTGTGGCATTGATTCCTGATTCCTAAGTATGGCAAAAGCGCATTTGTGCCAGCCTGGGCAACATGGTGAAACCCCATCTCAACAAATACAAAAAAAATTAGCCAGTGTAGTGGCACCTGCCTGTGGTCCCAGCTACTCAGGAGGCAGACATGGAAGGATGGCTTGAGCCTGGGAGGTCAAGACTGCAGTGAACCAAGATCGCGCCACTGCACTCCAGCCTGGATAACAGAGCCAGACCCGGTCAAAAAAAAAAAAAAAAAAAAAAAAAAAGAAAAGTGCGTATATGCCTCTTGCCTTCTTTGCCCACAAACATATGTTTACCAGCAACTGGGGAAGCAGGTCAGGTAAATGAGAAGGAAGCTGACATTCAGGCCTCAGGTGGGGTGCTCCACACACATCTTTCTAGCATCCCATAAGGTGAGCATTCTGATACCCATTTTATGTATAAGGTAACAGAGGGTCAGAGAGATTAGATCACTCTAACAGGTCCTTGTGGTGTCCGCTTCCACTTTCATATCCATGTGGCCCAACTCTGATTTCAGCCACAGCTACAGTGGGCACTTCTGTATGAGCTCATTCTCATTTCAAGCTGACAGTATCCCGTGTCATGATGGGATATACTTGCTATCAAAGATTTATACTTTGTATCAAATTTGGAAAATTGTCAGCCATTATTTCTTCAAATGTTTTTCCATGTTCCTTCCCTCCTCCTTCACAGACTTTTAAGTGTATTAGGCCACTTGAAGTTTTCCAATGAGATCACTGATACTCATTTTATTGAAAAAGAACATTTTTATTACTTTCTATCTTTCATTTTGGATTGTTTCTATTGTTATGTCAAGTTTACTAATCTACCTTGTCTAATATGCAATTAATACCATCTAGTACATTTTAATTTTTTATTATTTTACTTTATTTTTGAGCAGAGTCTCACTTTGTTGTACATTGGCCTGATCTCGGCTCACTGCAATCTCCGCCTCCCACGTTCAAGTGATTCTCCTGCCTCAGCCTCCTGAGTAGCTGGGATTACAGGCACGTGCCACCATGCCCGGCTAATTTTTGTATTTTTAGTAGAAACGGGGTTTCACCATGTTGGTCAGGCTGGTCTCAAACTCCTGACCTCAAGTGATCTGCCCACTTCAGCCTCCCAAAGTGCTGGGATTACAGGTGTGAGCCACCACACCCAGCCCCATCTAGTACATTTTTAAAATGTCAGACATTGTAGCTTTCATCTCCAGAAGTTTGCTTTGGGTCCTTTTGCTTCTTCCACAGCTCTACTTAACTGTTAGTATGCAGTTATAATAACTGTGTTAATGTGTTTGTTTGCTAATTCTAAAATCTGTGTCAGTTCTGCGTCATGTTTTGGCAGCTTGGTCTGTTTTCCTTCATTATGGGTTGTATTTTCCAGCTTTGTTTCATGCCTGGTAATTTTTTATTTGATGCTAGACATTGTGAAATTTAAGTTGCTGGCTTGAAAACTCTCTTAAGGCTGTGAGCTAGGGGCAGTCACCAGGCTTGTCGTATTTGTTACCCATTTCTCAGGGATTGCTCTTGTTCATTGCCTGATATCTAGTGTCTTCTAAACCATCATTTCTTGCATTTGTTTTGTTTTTTTCTTTGTTTGTGTGTGTTTGTTTCTGACAAGAAGGTAAATCTGATCTGTTATTTCATCTTGGCTGGAAGCATAACTCCATTGTGATTTAAAAAGCAACGACTAAATAAAAGTTGCTCTGGTTATGGGGAACTGTCAGCATAACTCACACCTTGCTTCCTGAATGCACTTCATTTATTATCAGTAAGCCAGGCTTACAGACCAGAGGATGTGAAAGGCCTCTGTAATGATCACACCTAAAGTACTGTGGGCACATTTTAGGGAAATAGAGGCAATCAGAAACATATTCAGAAATGTGACAAGAATATAGAGAGGCAAACTATTTTTGTAGGAAGAACAGTTTAAATGATGGAAGGATGTTTGTCCCAGAACGGAAAAGACTCAGAAACTCAGTCATATTCTTCACTTGTCTAAAGGGCTACACAGCAGAAGAATGTATGACTCTAAGGGCAAGTCCAGGACCAGCAGGCGAAATCTTCAAGGAGATAGATAGACTGAGTTGTCTGGGGCTATAGTGACCACCCCACCACTGGAGGAGTTCAAGCAGCAATAGATGGACATGGGATTGAAGTCTCATGAGGGTGTTGGGCTCAGTGTCTTCTAAGGACACCTCCTACCCTGAAACTCCATTGCCATGTGGAATCCTATCTTCCTTCATCTCAGACCTTGGGGCAGTAACCCTTGTCCATCTACTGAGCAGGAGAACACCTTCTTCCTTATTGCTTTGGGGCTCCTACTGTAAGTTATTTCTGTGCTTTCAGAGCTAGCTCTTTAGTCAGCTGAGTGTGCTGCTGCCCAGCCCAACTCATCATTCTAGAATCACCTGGTCCTCTTGAAAGAGGGCAGGGCTCTTTAAATTCCTGAGGGGCAAGAAACTGGACATCCTTAAAGGCACATGTGTGCTGTTCATGTGAGTCCTGACTGGTATTTGGTGTTTGGAGGAACTGTAGGTACATGGTAAATGTCATGAAAAGCCATGTGTGCTGGAATGAAGACTTTTGATTTGTGTTTATTCCCTGCAGAGGAATGGTGTGGCCAACTTCTAGGAGTGATATAGACGACAGGGTAGAGAGGAGATGATTGGAGAGCTAACTGAAGTCGAAGCAGACAGGTTTGGTGTCCATTGATATGCAACTGGTGAGAGGAAGGAATAGTGCAGGATGATGCTAAGATTTCTAACCTGAGATATGCAGTCACTAATACATAACAGAAGACAACTCTAGATGTCATTAGCAAAAAGAGAATTCTTAGATAAATGTTAATGAGTCCCATCATTCAAAGGGGGCCAGCTTTGGAAAATGAACAGAAACCTAGGCAGCTTCCATGGGTTAAAGAAGCATGAAGCCCAGGGAATATCTGTTAGTAGCAGCAGCCTGCTCAGGACACTGTGCTTTGTTCTGCTGATGAATTTGAACCATCCCTTCACCCCGGAAGGATACAGGGAGGTAAAATCTAGCTTCTTTGACTTCCAGAGTGGAAGCTAGTATACCGTCTTCCACCATGATCACTCATAAAGGAGGATTTCTTTCAAGTAAGACGTAGGTTTGGCTGCTGGTCAGTCTAATTAAGTGACAGATGTTACTGCTGGTAGTGCTGCTTCTAATAGAGATTAGAATGTATACCAGTAAGTGATTGAGTTTTGCTGCGTATAACAGAAAATCCCAAATATCAGGGCCTTAAATAAATCTATTTTATATCCAAAGGTAGACAATCTAGAGTTAGTACAATGATTCTGTGATGTAAGCAAGGACTCCTTCTCTCAGCTTTCACTCCACAATCGTTATTGTGTGACCCTGGCTTTCCTGCCTTTCGAGATGGCTGCTAGCACTCCCCGGTCATATCTATGTTTCATATGGAAAGGAGTGTTCCCAAAAGCCATGCTCATGACTTCTGCATCCATCTGATAGGCCAGAGCCATGTCAGTTGAACACCTCTAACTCTAATGGAGCAGGCACATTGCCGCTCTGAATAAATCAAGGTTCCTTAGCATGGAAGGAGAGAATGTAAATGATGTATGTCACTAGTGGTCTTTTCCATGGAGAGCAGAAAGAGGAGGATGTTTTGGTAGAGAGATTTGGGCACGATTTTGAAAGACCTGTGAGACTGAGGTAGACATTTTCAGTAGGTAAGTGAAGGCAAGATCTGGAACTGCAAAGGAACATCTCGACTAGAGACATAGTCTTGGGTCTCATAAATGTATGGTTAGAAATAGAGGCAATGGCTGGGCGCGGTGGCTCATGCCTATAATCCCAGCACCTTGGGAGGCTGAGGCAGGTGGATCATGAGGCCAGGAGTTCAAGACCAGCCTGGCCAAGATGGTGAAACCCCGTCTCTACTAAAAATACAAAAATTAGCCATGTGCGGTGGCAGGCGCCTGTAATCCCAGCTACTCAGGAGGCTGAGGCAGGAGAATCGCTTGAACTCGGGAGGTGGAAGTTGCAGTGAGCCGAGATCACGCCATTGCACTCCAGCCTGGGCGACAGAGTGAAACTCCATCTCAAAAAAAAAAACCAAACAAAACAAAACAATAAACGGAAAGAAAGAAATAGAGGCAATGGAAAAATGATATAAAAAGAGACAAGATGAGGTATAAAACTCTGGGGAATGGCAATGCATAGAGCAGCAACAGTTATCAAGGTGTGGTCCATGGACCCTGGGAGTCCCTGAAACGTCTTCAAGGGCACACAAAGTTAAAACTATTCTCATAATAACACTGAGATGTTATTTGCTGCTTTCTGTGTGTCAACATTTGCGCTGATGGCGTAAAAAGCATTGGTGGGTAAACTTGCTGGGCCTTAGCGTGAATCAAAGCAGTGATACCAAGCTGTCCTGGTGGTCATTGTATTCTTTATCACTACACACTTGCAATTAAAAAATAATTTAAAAATGTTTAAATGCCGGCTTCACTTAAGAATGTCCCTGAAGAGGCAGTAAAAATTATGAGTTGTATTAAGCCCCGGATGGAAAACTTGCATAAAGCAACTTCTGCAGCATACCAAAGCACAGGGATTGTGTCAGGGGAAAGCATGTATGCTTCCTTTGGGCTGTGAGCTGAACTAGGTGTTTTTTCCATGGAACATAGTTTTTGCTTGAAAGAATGACTAACAAACAAATGGTGGTTATTATAACTTATGTATTTAGCAGATATTTTCTCAAAAAAAATTGAACTTGTCACTTCAAGGAAAACAATTGACAGTATTTGTTGTCAGTGGTAAAATTCAGATTTTCTAATAAAAATTTGAGTTTTGGAAAGCTTGTATCTGTCACCATAATTTTGACCAGTATCTAGAGATGTTTCTGATGAGATACATGGTGGTATTAACAAGTGCAGTTTTTTTTAATGTTGTATAATGCAATGTGTCAACATTTAGAAGGTCTGTATAATACGGTGAACTAGTATTTTCCAAATGACCAATACATAGTATGTAAAATTATGTGATGGGTAAAAGATCTATCTAAAGTGTTAGACAAACTAGCCTATTTTAATATTGTATTGAATATTACAATATGACAGTATGAAAAATTCATTCATATAGTTTTGGATTTTATATTACAATTAGCCTTTAAGAAACTAACACTTGTCAAGATTTGGAAAAATACCAAAGGAGAATATACTCAGTATTCTGAAAAAGCTTCCCCTTTTTCTCTCTTTTCCATATCTGTGTGAGGCCATATTTTCTTCATATGCCTCAACTAAAACAACATATTGTAGCAGATTGAGTGCAGAGCAGATATTAGAATCCAGCTGTCCATTATTAACCAAGGCATTAAAGAGATTTGCAAAAATGCTAAACAATAATTGAGGGATAATTACTTAATATGATAAATGTGTGTGCGTGCATGTTATATCTTAGTCCAAAAGGTGATATTTAATGGAGAAAGCCCTGAGACATTTCCACTAAGATCAGAAACAAGGCAATAATGCCCACTATCTCTACTACTATTCACAATTATAATAGACATATTATCCCATACAACTAAACAAGAGAAATTAGAGGCAAAAGAATGCACAAAGAAAAAGGAAAACTGTCTCTGTTTTCAGATTATATAATATTACACCTGGAAAAGCCTAGTGAATCAGTGATAAAACGGAAACAAATAATTCAGGTTAATATATGAAAATCAATAGCCTTCATATACATAAACAATAAACAGAGGCTATAATGGTAGAGAAAGCCACATTTACAATAGTAAAAACAGGATTAAATACTTAGGAATAATTTTAATGAGTACACAAAGTACAAGTATATATGAGGAAAATTTGAAAACAGTCCTGAAAGACACAAAAGTAGGTTTAAACAAATGAGAAAACATCCTTTGTTCTTGGGAGGATAACTCAACATTGTAACTTCAGGAGATGTCAGTTCTCCTGAAGTTAATTTACAAATTCAATGCAATCCTAATAAAAATATTATCAAGCTATTTTATGGAGTCAGATAAGTTGGTACTATCAAAGTTCCTGTGGAAAAACATACCTTCAAGAATAGCCAAGAAAAAATACAACGAATAGTCCTACCAGACATTAAAACATACAATAAAGCCTCTATAATTAAAATAGTATGGTACTAGTGCCTGAATAGACAATTGGGCAGTGCAATAGAAGAGACAGTCCAAAATTAGACCCAAACATGTATGGAAATTATATGATAAAGTTGGCATCTCAAATCACTGCAATTTAAGAAAATGTTGATGGGGCAACTGGATAGCTATTTAGAGAAAGATAAAATTAGATTAATATCCCAAAACTCCCAAAAGAATAACTCTGAATGGATTAGGGATCTAAATGTGAAAAATAAAACCATAAAAGTATCAGAGGAAAACAAGAGTGAATTTTTCCTTAAGCTTTGTGTAAGAAATAGCTTTCTAACTATGACTCAGACTCCAGAGGTAAAAAAAGGTTGATAAATCTTACCACATAAAATTTTTGAAATTTTTAAATCACCACAAAGTCAAAAGACAGGGGACCATCTGGAAGAACATATTCATAACATATACCGCAAGGATTTAATATCCCAAATACAGGGAACTCTTAAAAATGGACAGGCAAAAGATCCAAATAGAAAAATGGGAAAGAGACAGAAGCAGACAATTCACTAAAAAACAAGATATAAAAAATGATCCTCAAACATAAAAAGTAATGTTCAAACTCACTCATAATTAGAGAAATGCAAATTAGGACAACACTAAGAAATCACTTCTCACCTGTCAGACTGACAAACATTAAATAATGTGACAGCACATTCTGTTGGCCAAGACTCTGGGGAAGCAGACCTCCTATACATTCCTGGTGGGAATGCAAATTGGTGCAACCCTTCTGGAGGAAAGTTTGGCAAAACAAAACTACATATGCACTTACCTTTTGACCCAGCAATCCCACTTCTAGGGATCCACTCCGAAAACGCACTTCTGATGATAATAAAACACATATGCACAAGGTTATTCATTGCAGCATTGTTTCTCATTGCAAAATATTGGAAACACCTAAACGTCCAGTATTTAGTGGTTGAATAAATCATGGCACATCAATAAGATGAAGCAGTGTGCAGTTATAAAAAAGAATTGAGGAAGAGCTGTATGAATGAATATGGAGTGAATTCCAGGACATAGTGTTCAGTGAAGTAAGCAAAGCCCAAGAGTGTCTACAGTAAACAGCTCTTCATAGAAGAAAGAAGAGGACATGAGAAAGTGTACATGTATCTGCACATTTGTGCAAAAGAAATGCAGTAAGGATAAACCAGAAATGAAAGAGACTGGTCACCTACAGAGGGTGAATGGAACAAGGATGGAAAGAAGACAGAATGTAGTGTAGTGAGAGTGACATTTCTCCGGCTCACAAAACCATAGTGATATTTAACGTGCTCTTATCAATGTCTGGAGTGAGGGGCTGTCACTGTACTTGTGTGACTCTATCACTGTGAACCCTTGGTCCGACCCAGTGTGGAAATATTTGCGTTAAGTGTCATGCAGTGTAAAAGGAAATGTTCTACTTAACAGCACTTGCCTATGAGGTATCAAAAAGGAATGCTTGTTTTCACTACGACAGTTCTAACCAACTGCAGATGTTTAAGAACCTTGCACTGTGAAGGACCCCAGATACCAGACCCACATTGGACCAAACAGAAGACTGTTTTCTAACCCCTGTGAAGAGTGAGGATTGTTTTAACCAGTTCCTTTCTATCTGGAGCACTAGTTTTCAGTGCTTAGCATAACCATCACCAGTGTCTCCTTTCTAGCCCTTAAACAACCCTGACTTCCCCCTACAAGGGGAAACACTGGTTGTGCTCCCTTGCCTGACAAGTTAGTAACCAGCTTCAGTGGTTTTTACTTGTGTTTCTTTTGCCTCAGATGGTCTTTGTTTCATTCTTTGTCAGCAGATAAGAGAGATATTTACATAAGCTGAAAGACCCATATTGGCTTCTTACTGAAATATCCTAAATAAATGTTTTGTCCAAGTTGTACAAGTGTACAGAATAACTATTTCCATTTCATCTTCCTTAATTTCCTCTGCATCATCCACAGATGGAGATGATAATGTACCATAAAATTATCAAAAGACATCAGGCAGAGAGAAGCAGGAACTGAGTGAGGAACTGGTTAATTCATTGGCTGGCTTCCCAGCCCTGCATGGCCAACACTCACTGTATTTTCGATTGCTTAAATAAAATCGTGGACACTTTTCTTCTTTCCCATTCACCTTGGGCATATTGTTGATGACACAGGTATTTCCCATTTCAGGAATGACCATACCTGAAGAAGACGCTGATGTGGGACAAGGCAGTAAATATTGCCTCGTGGCAATTGGGAGACTCCAGGTAAGAAAAAATTCGTAGCCTTTTTAATCTTAAATGAAGGCTTATTGCCACAAAGTGCAGAAGACTGTCGGTTTGGCTGCCTATTCTGATCACCTGTGTTCTTGGTATTTGTTGGGTTTCGTGTCTCACTCTGTGGGACAAGGCTGAGGCCAAATCTAGAAGAGAAGGGGACTGTGAGCTGTAAGCAGAGTTCTTACTGAATTGAGGGGTTGCATCAGTTCATCCCCCATGCTTGTGCTGGTTGCCACAAACTTGCGTTCTGCTCACATCACATCCCTGCTTAACCCCCTTGACTGTTTCCCCAGAGTCTATGGGATGAAGTCCAAGCTCATCATTACAACTTTATCTCCTTGCCTTCTTCCTCTCTCACATCTTATTCCCACACAGCACCATTCCCCTTTCTATAAACCCCCACCTCTACGGGTGTTCACAGGCTGTTTCTTCTGCCTGGTATTTCCTTGTTCTCCTTCTTCTCCTTTCAATGTTCCTTATCCTCCTTATCTGCTCATCTTTCAAGACCCAACTAAAATGTCTCCCTGATCTTAGTCTAAATCAATCCTTCTCTCCTCCCTATTCTCATAGCACTGAGCTCTACCCTCAGTTACTCTTCTTTCACTGTCTGTTGCAGGTAGTAAGTTGAGTGCATGCTCATCCCCGCAAGCTCCTCAAGGCCAGGGAACGTGTCTTTTATTGTGTGAAGGTTAAATTTGCTCAATGTCTGGCACACACAGTAACCACTCATTCAACTGGACTGTTCATTCTCCCTAGGACATTGAGGGTCTTCCCCATGCTGAAGAGGAGAGACATACTAGACCTGGTTCAGATACACTAATCCCTGGTTTCCTAGTTCTGACCATTTTCAGACAAATGAATAGGTAATTTCATCCATGTATGGGTATTGCTTGCACATGGGTGAAGAAAGAATATTTGGGTAAATTCAGTTCACAAATATATATGCTCCAAGTATTTTAACTAGTTCCTTAGGCTCGTTTGCCATCCTTAGTAAAGGGAAGGTGGGGGAAGAGAAGGGGATTAACATTTATTGAGCACCAACTTGAGCAAATGCCAAGGTTTAACATGCAATATCCCTTTTAAGGCTCACAAATGCCCTGTGAGATTATAGGTTTTATTATTCCCATTGGTTGATAAGGCAACTGAAGTTCAGAAATGTAAAGAAAGTGGCCAACTGTTACAGTTAAAGATGTGACCAGGGATAGATATTTGAACACTTTAGGGTCATCGTACTAAATGACATGGAAGGATCTTTGAAGTGAAATGCACATGGATTATTCTTCTCATCTCTGTCACCATCTCCATCTCGTCTCTGTCAACACCACCTCAACTGTGGATTTTCCCCATCCCAGGTGACCAGCTCTCCTGTATGCATGGACATGAATGGGATGTCGGTGCCCACAGAGTTCTTATCCCGGCATAACTCCGATGGAATCATCACATTTGTGGATCCAAGATGTATCAGTGTGATTGGCTACCAACCCCAGGTGAGTAGATAGTTTTGAGCCTATGGCAATTGACTAGAGATTTAATTGTTTTTAAAACATTCTTACTTCATTTGAGATACAACACAATGGCCATGTGGAGAAACATCATAAAGACCCATATACCCTGCCTAGATAGAACGATAGATATCCTTCCAAGGCAAGAAAAGACGTTGTAAACACTTGTGCCACTTAACATGGACTCTTTCTTCTTTGCCCTCACTGTTATGTTTCTCTAGTTGATTTTTCACAAACTGGAATTAAGATGTTCTATTAATAGGGGATCTCTTATTAATATTCATTACAAAGCTCATTAATGTGGAAGACCCTGCAAATCCTGGTAAAGATGCCTACCTAATTTTGCCTAACCTCTTGTTTCTCAAGTGCATTTGGAAACCTTTTTTTGTATAGGTGGCACGTCTTTAGGTCTGTGTTCTAGACTCTTTTTTGAAAAGTCAATGTCATAAGAAACAAAAAGGCAGGAGCAGTTGTCCCAGATTAAAATAGACCAAAGAGATAAAATAATAATATGCCACATAAGGGCCTTAATTGTGTCCTGGGCCTCAAGACATATTGATAGAAAAGACATTTAGGAGACAATTGAAATGTTAATATGTACAGAATATTGGGTGATGTCATTGAATAATTATTGATTTTCTTAGGTTTAGTATAGCACATGATAGCACATTGTCGTTTTGTAAGATAATCTCATTTTTATGAGATACATGCTAAAATACTTTGAGAAGTACCATGATGTCCACAACTCAATTTCAAATGGTTCAGTAAGAAATTAAGTATATTAAGTATATACATGCATATGTATGAATATATACACATATATGAAGAAAAAAATGCAAATGTGATAACATATTGATAATTATTGAATATACATAAAGGATATATAGCAGTTTATTGTACTATCAACTTTTCTGTAGATTTAAATTTATTTAAAAATAAAAAGCTTTTTTATAAAAGAAAAAATATTTATTCTGAGCAACTACGTTTGGGATATGTAGATATGAGTATTTTAATGATGTGTATTTTAGGACTAGAAGCAGTTCAAACTAGAACTATTAGGACTCTGCATATAATTCTGCATCTCTAGATTCATATAAACCTCGAGATTCTTGGATGAAATAAAGGGAGAAATTGATTTGTTTCCAAATTCACCCCAACCTCTGATGGCAGCCAGACCCATTTATCTAGTGGCACCTCCCAGGGGCATCCAGTTGCTCCTTGGCACACAGATAGGACTTCCCCTCCATTGCCAGTGTCAGCATTCACTTAGACCATTTGCTGATTTGGATTGCGATCTATGAGTTAGTTTAAATCTTTTGCTGTTTAAGACACTTCCTGGCCAGGCATGGTGGCTCATGCCTGTAATTCTAGCACTTTGGGGGGCCAAGGCAGGTGGATCACTTGAGGTCAGGAGTTAGAGACCAGCCTGACCAACATGGTGAAACCCTGTCTCTACTGAAAATACAAAAATTAGCTGGGCATGGTGGCGGGTGCTTGTAATCCCAGCTACTCGGGAGGCTGAGGCAGGAGAATTGCTTGAACCCAGGAGGCGGAGGTTGCAGTGAGCTGAGATCGCGCCATTGCACTCCAGCCTGGGGGACAAGAGTGAAACTCCATCTCAAAAAATAAAAAACATAAAATAAATTTTAAAAAATACACTTTTAACTGGACCACTTTACTACAACACTTTTGAAGTTATCCGTTAACAGTTTATCTTATTCTGATCAGTTTCATTGTGAAACACACTTTTGTTTTGGGCTAATGCTATGTCCTTTGAATGTAGCATAGACTAATGATGATAAATAGATAGTAAACAGGCTTTTAACAAGTACAGTTATTTTATGATAACCTCATTTTTTCAGCCACAGGAGAGCTACAATTTCCACATTTAAACAATTCCAGTTTTCATAAGCAACACATCTGTCCTCAGGCTATCATTTTGCTTTCTTTTTATGTTATTAAAGTATGTTTATTGCAGTTTGCCTCTCCAAGACAAACAAAAATAAAATTGCATTCTGAAGCTACTGATGTAGTGCCTTAGCAAAATTAGAAATGGATATTGAGCATGCCAGAAGAACTTAGAGTGAATACCAAGAAGCCAGTTCTCTGACGGCTCCCAGGGAAATTTTGCACTCACTTTTTCAAAAAATCTGGGGTGGGACAGGCTAAAGGAGATGAGTTAAAGGAGATGGAAATGAACACTGTTGTATCACAGTGAGTATACAAATAATTACAAATGGATCTGGGATTATTAAAGCTTGTCTCTTTTATTTAGGATCTTCTGGGAAAGGACATTTTGGAATTCTGCCACCCTGAGGATCAAAGCCATCTGCGTGAGAGCTTCCAGCAGGTACATACTGCCAGTACCCACTTAAAGCTGATGCATAGTCTGGGCACCTGTGGATGTGGCTGGCAGGACATTAGTCCTACTATGTGCCAGGCAGGCTGCAAGGTCCTACCTATGGCCTCACTCAGGGCCCCTGCTAGGAAGTCACTCACAGTCTAGTAGGGAAGACAGACACACATCAGTAAATAAGTACTATGTAATAGGAGGAGAACTCTAAAGGGTCATGAAGAAAAACATTGCAGAGCACAGAGGCTGGAGAGGTTAACTGCATGGGGAAGAGGCAGGAATTGTTCCAGGGGAGAGAATAACTGGGATGGGTCTTAAAGGATGAGCATAGAATAAATGAGTGAACATTCTAGACTGAAGGGGCAGCCCTAGAGATGCAAAAGGGAGAATCCTAAGCAGTTCCTAGTGGCTGGAGTGACACTGGCTGACTTGGAGGAGGTGGGCAGTGGTGATAGAATGAGCCTGGTACAGCCAAGTTATGAAAGGCCTCTTAACCCATGCTGAAGAACATGGATTCTCTCCTCAGTCATTTAAAGGTAAGTGAGGGCCAGGTGTGGTGGCTCATGCCTGTAATCCCAGCACTTTGGGAGGCCAAGGTGGGCAGTTCACTTGAGGCCAGGAGTTCGAGACCAGCCTGGCCAATGTGGCAAAACCTCTACTAAAAATACAAAAATTAGCCAGGCATGGTGGCACGCACCTGTAGACCCAGCTAGTTGGGAGGCTCAGGCAGGGGAATAGCTTGAACCTGGGAGGTAGAGGTTGCAGTGAGTGAAGATTGCACCACTGCACTTCAGTCTGGGCGACAGAGTGAGACTCTGTCTCACTCACTCACTCACTCACTCAATCAATACAAAGTTAAGAGACCGGGTGTGGTGCCTCACGCCTGTAATCCCAGCACTTTGGGAGGCCAAGGTGGGCAGATCATGAGGTCAGGAGTTCGAGACCAGCCTGGCCAACATGGTGAAACCCTGTCTCTACTAAAAATACAAAAATTAGCCGGGTGTGGGGGCGGGCGCCTGTAATCCCAGCTACTCTGTAGGCTGAGGCAAGAGAATCGCTTGAACCCGGGAGGCAGAGGTTACAGTGAGCCAAGATCGTGCCATTGCACTCCAGCCTGGGCGACGAGCAAGACTCTGTCTCAAATAAATAAAGAAAGAAAAATAAAATACAAATAAAGGTAAGCGAGGATGACTTTGAGGATTTTAGGCAGAGCAGTGTTTTGAAAAACCACTTTAGTAGCCCAGGTTTGCAGAAGAGACAGGTGGAGGAAATAACTGGAAACAAAGACAAGAGGCTTTAAAATTGTCCAAGTAAGAGGTGATGTGGCCAGAATATGGGCAGGAGCAGTGGGAATTTGAAATAGGGGGCAACTTGAGGAGACAGTTGTTTGATGAGTGCTGATGCTTTGGATAGACATGGTGAAGAGAGAGAGGGATTTAGGATGACCTGGGAGCCCAAGAGGGTGGCCACCTGAGTAACAGTGTCATGCACATCGTGACTGTTAGCTGCTGTGTACCGAGCACCTACTGTGTGCCAAACATATGGGAAGCCTTGTCCCATGCACTATTAAATCTGCACAGTAGTCGGAGGAGGTAGGCATCATCATCTTCATGTTACAGGTGAGTGTAGTGAGGCTTGGTGACCTAAAAGCACCGTCCCGCCACACAGGTGATGAATGAGAGAACCAGGATTCACATGGAGGAGTTTCAGCTTCCTGAGCCCAGGTTCAGCTGAGGTGAGAGAGAGAACACACCTCCTCTCTCCACAGGGCTCTCACATCTTGCTTCAGCCCTAGGAAAGAATAGAGCGGGCAGTGTTCTATTCAAGTAAAGAGGCCCTTGAGTTACTTTTCAAGAGGGAATAATAGTTTGTCATGCCTCTGAGAAAACATGTGCTTGACATTCTGCCTTACAAGTATCTAAGAGTGGGCCTCTCTGACCGCCAAGCCTTCCTATTGAAGGCGTTGCTATGTTTGCACAAATTGACACAGGACTCCAAATTTATGCCACGTATGTGGATAGAACTCTTAACCCCCACTCCTCCCTGCACACTCTGCTCCTTCCTTTCATAACATCAGCCACTCCTGGCTTTCTTCCCACTTCTGGCCTCCTCTGCTGGTTTCTCCTCTTCTGCCTTCTTCTACAAGCCATGATGGATGATGCCCCAGGGATCTCCCCTTGGCTGCCTTCTCTCCTCCCTGTGATGTCTCCCTGGATAATCCTACCCATGGGATGACTCCAGCCCAGACTGTCCCTCCTGCTCCACACTTGCTTATACACCACTGGGGTAGTAGCCCACTGGGGTCTACTTGAGGGTGGACAGTGGGAGGAGGGAGAGGAGCAGAAAATATAACTATTGGGTACTGGCCTTAACACCTGGGTGATGAAATAATCTGCACAACAAACCCCTGGGACATGAGTTTACCTATGTAACAACTGGCTGCTACTCCACACTGCCACGTGAATGCCCCACAGCCCTCAAATGCAGAATGCCTGAATCCTTTCCCAGCCCCCAGTCCTCCTCTCATCACCATCCACCTGTTTGCCCAGGCCAGAAACCAAGAAACATCCTTAGCCCTTCCCTCAATCCCACTCCACACATTCAGCCCCTCCTCTCTTTCTTCTTTCCTACCCCCCTGAACCAGATCACCCCATCTCCCATTCTGACCATTGCAGTCATTTCCTTGCTGGTCTCTCTGCTTTTACTCTTACTCTACTCCAAGCCATTCGGAAGACATAAATTAGGTTTTGCCACGTCTTTACTTAAAACATGCCAACAGGGCATTTAGAATCAAATCCAAGCTCCTTATCATAGCTTCATGCTGTATGTATACCTGGCCCCGTCTCATCCTCATGTGGACACTACTCTTGAGTCACGCTGGCCTTCTTTTTGTTCCTTGAACATGCTTTTCCCAACCTCAGGGCCTTTGCACATGCTGTTCCCCTGAGGGAATGCCTTTCCTTCACTCTTCACATTACTGACATCTTATCCTTCAGCTTTCCACTCATATTGTCTCAGGGATGCCCTCTGTGGTCACCCTAGCTAAGAAAGTCACCCCAGCCTCCTTCTAAGTCCCTTGTTTTCCTTCATAGCAACTATTTATTTGTCCATTGGCTTGTTTGGGGGGTTGTTTTTCTGTCTTCCTTACCAGAACCTGACCTCCCTGTGGGCAGACTTCATTACGTCTGTGCTTTTTTTTTTTTTTTTTTTTTGAGACGGGGTCTTACTCTGTTGCCCAGGCTGGAGTGCAGTAGTGGCACAATCTCGGCTCACTGCAACCTCCACCTTCCAGGTTCAAGTGATTCTCATGCCTCAGCCTCCCGAGTAGCTGGGATTACAGGCCTGTGCTGTCACGGCTGGCTAATTTTTGTATTTTTAGTGGAGATGGGGTTTCACCATGTTGGCCAGGCTGGTCTCAAACTCCTGACCTCAAGTGATCCGCCTGCCTCGGCCTCCCAAAGTGCTGGGATTACAGGCATGAGCTACCGTGCCCGGCCTTCATGTGTGCATTTGATCCTAATCTTCACCACTGAGTGTAGAGCCCTGTACAAGGGTGGCTCTCAACAAAGCAATCTAAATGGATCAAAACCCATAGCAACTGACTTTCATTTTGGAAAAATGTGAAATTGGAATGGTTAAGCATTGTAAGGGGATGTGTTTTTGTGCCATATGTTTGCTGACTATGTGGAAATTATGATAAACTTTGCATCGTTTAGCAGTCAGGTTTGGGCTGGGTGGGCTTTATTTTTGTGGGTTAATGGAAATGGAGCTTTAACAGTGGTGGGGGCCTCCATTCTGTGCCCAGTAACTGGCCAGACCCATTTCATTATCTTATGTAATCCTCAAACCTACACAGTAAGTGTTGTCTTCCCCATTTTTTTCACAGTAGACACTGGGAGGTGCAGTTGCCTGCCCCAGGTTACAGAGCCCAGGCCTGTCTCCCTCCAATGCATTCAATCACAACACCACACCCCACACATGGGCCTCTCCATCCAACAGCACATCCAAGGCTTCAGACTGCTGACGCTGTCAGAACCGGTTGGTTTTGAAAAGACAAAGAAGGAATTTAACATCTGATCCCACCCTGATATCCAGGTTAAGTAACTCTCACTCTGTGAGCAGCCACCACATTTCTCCAGTGGGATGGGAGGCCGAGACAGCAGTGCCGGCAGTCCCAGCCCCAGACCCAGCCCCAGCCCCAGCCCCGGCCACAGGGCACTGTGGGCAGCGGCCAAGCAGCCACAGGGACATCCTGGAGCACACCGCACCTCGGCCCCGTGCTTGTGTTCTTTGGTCTCCGGCCACTGACAGCCAAGGTGGGGGTCAAATGTTGATAAAGGGAAGTGGCTTCTTCTTGCAGAAGCAGGGAGGTGGCTACGTCAGCTAAGAGCCAGCTCTTGAACTCTGGATTTAAACAAAAGCACTTGAATAGCCCAGACAGGAGGCCCTTAGAACTTGTTTGTGAGGAATTTGAGTTTGAGGGGGTGAGAGGGAGCCAGCCAGGAACCGGGAAACTTGCCTCTGCTCTTGGATTCCCTCTCCAGGCACAGTTTACCTATAAGTCAAAAAGAGCTGAACTCTGTGAAAGTGAAAGCAGCCTCCCATCTCCCCCGTCTCCTCTCCACTCAGGCACCTTCCATGATGATGAGGATGTTGAAGGGGGCTGTTTTTATGAAGAGCCAGGCTAAGCCGGGTTTTACGCTTGGCCTTGGCCATCTACCGCATTGCACCTGGGTTAAGCACAGCCACGTGTATCACCCTGGTCTGAGGGCCTGGACAATGTCACCTGCACCATGCATAGCCAATCCCCCATCACATCTCAGGTTTCCCAGCCTCCCAACATTGGCCCATTGCTGTGCCTTCTGCCAGGAGAGCCCTCCCCACACATCTTCACTTGCCAACACTTTACCCACCTTCCAACTGTGTTCCAAACCCCATTTCCCTCCAGGAGCCGTCTTCAGATCCTGACTGCAGGTCATCTCTCCTCGCCCTCCTGGTAACCCCATGGCATTTCATCTTGTGTTTCTGTAGTGGCAGCAAGCATACTGTCTCTGGGTTACAGTTATCTACACATTGATCCTTCACCTGCTGGCTGAGAGGCTCTTTGGGGAGAGAGAATGTGCATTGGCAGTAGGGATTTATGCAAAGGGCTTTGGGGCCAGGTAGATCTAGGCTTAGGATCATAAGGCTTTAGGCAACATATTCAACTCCTTTGAGGCTCAGTTTCCAGGTTCACAAAATGCTGTTATGGGGACTGCTTGAGCTAACATGTCTAAGGTGCTTAGCCTATAACTTGGACCCAGGAGGGTGCAGAACTGCCCGCTCCCTTGTTCTGTTCTCTTTCCACAGCTCCTAAGGCTGAGCTTCCCTTTCCCCAGCTCCTAAGGTCGTGCCTTCTGTGTGCTAGTTGCATGGAGCTAACAAATTTCACACTGTCTCGGGCGTTCTAGTTAGAAGAAACAAACAAAAAAGAAGGACCGCCCTTCCTGTGCTTCCTCAGAGTGCAGAAGATGTGGGTTTCAAAACGTGGACAGTGACTCCCTATGTCCCCTGTTTTTGGTGCAGACACAGAGAAGTCCCTCTTGGTTGCTGACCTGAGAGGCACATGGCCTTGACCTCCAGCCCCAAGGGGAAACAGCCAGGTTGCTGTTGGGGCCGCAGATGTGCCTGGCCTTACTTACTCTGCAGCTCAGCCTCCTCCCCTGTGGTGTCAGGGACAGCCTCCCACCCTCCCAGAGCTCTTGGTTTGGTTTATTTATCACTCAGGGATTTCCCACCAGGGAGCCTTATCTGACATCCGCAGGCTCAGATCTTGTCTGGCTTCCCCTAGGGACAGTGTGGAGGGAGGATGGCCAGCCCCAGCCGTGGGGCCAGCACACCATTGAGTCCCTGCGGGAAGTGTGCTCTGAGAGCCTGCTCCTTGCAGGTCTTGAGGATAGAGATGGGGTATTCACAGGTGACCAAGATGTCCCTGTCCCCATGCTGCATGCAGTCTGGCCAAGACGACAGACACCACCGAAGAATAGACCACAAGTGTGGCGGGTGTGAGGAATGGGTGAGTCAGACCTTCCCTGATCACAGGGACCAAGTCCCCATTCTAATCTATGGTCACATTGTGATCTCTCAGTTGGCAAACCCGACTGCCATGGCCCAGAGATTTACCAGCCCTGATCTGGGGTCTGCACATGCCTGTGGAGGGGAGAACTCCTGCTCACTGTATTTTGTGCCAGGGGTGTAATCACACCCAGGCCTAGCCCCACCAGTCATTTATATCCCTTCTTCCATTTGTGCCTTGACCATGAGAACCACACCCGAATGCTACCTTCTGCACATATGCGTGCGTATTTCCGTGTCTGGTTTGCTGTGTGTGCATACAATGTATACAGCAGTCCCCCTTATCTGCCGTGTTGCTTTGGACAATTTCAGTTACCAGCAGTCAACCACAGTCCAAAAATATTAAATGGAAAATTCCAGAAAGAACTCATCAGTTTTAAATTGTGTGCTGTTCAGAGTAGCATGATGAAATCTTGTGCCTTCCCACTCTGCCCAGCCTGGAATGTGAATCCTCCCTTTGGCCAGTGTATACACACTATGTTCACTACCTGCCCAGTAGTCTCTTAGCCACCTCAGTTATGAGATCAACAGTATCTTAAGACTTGCATTCAAGTAGCCCTTATTTACTTAATAATAGCCCCAAAGTGCAAGAATAGTGATGCTGGCATATTGGTACAATTGTTCTATTTTATTATGAGTTGCTGTTAATCTCTTACTGTTTCTAATTTATAAACTTTATCATAGGTGTGTATATATAGGAAACAGCATAGCATCTATAGGGTTTGGTACTATTCACAATTCCAAGCATCCACTGGGGGTTTTGGATTGTAGCCCCCTTGGATAAGGGGGCACTGCTATATATTTTATTTATTCTTCTTCCTTCTTTTTTTTTTTTTGAGACTGAGTCTCACTCCATCACCCAGGCTGGAGTGCAGTGACGCAATGTCTGCTCACTGTAACCTCTGCCTCCTGGATTCAAGCGATTCTCATGCCTCAGCCTCCCAAGTAGCTGGGATTACAGGCATGGGGCCTGGCTGGTTTTCGTATTTTTAGTAGAGACGGGGTTTTGCCATGTTGGCCAGGCTGGAGCATATTTTCAATAGAACAAAGGGGAGATCTGTATAGCCAGAGGGACAATCTTGTGATTTGGAAATGAGATCTTGCTTCCTGTCCCAGCTTTTCCACCAAAGTTGTCTGATCTTGGATGACTTATTTAATTTCTCTGAGTCTCAGTATTATCAGCTGTAAATAATAAAACTCATCTTACCAAACTCTTATGAGGCTCTTTCTGAAGCAATACATTTGAAATCATATTACAACATCAAAGTGTCATACATAGAAACTTATAAATAAATAAATAATCCATAGAAAGTGATCATTTCATTACGTCTCCTACCAGAGTCTACTGACTCCATTTTACAACGTTAAGCAGGGTTAAGCATCTTGTATGTTGCCGTACCAAGAAATAAATCAATGAATACAATGTAGCTACATACCTGAGTGAGATAACTTGGGGGTGAGTGGAGAGCACCAAACCCAGAGTACCCTAGCAACCGAGGCAAAAAGAAAAACGCTCTGGCTTGCAGAGTTTTCATGATCTCATTTGTAAAAGCTAAATTAAAAGTTCTGCTATAAAGCAGGCATTGAGTGGTTGCTTTCTCATACCGTGGTTACAGAATGACCCAGATGCAGCACCCCATTTCACCAGAAGGTAGACGGAGGAGTTCCCATTGCAAAACTGCTCTCCCTCTCTTACTGTCTTTTAGCCACAATGCCCCTATTCTGAGGTCCTGCTGGCCCCTGCCGCAACCCCACTGCCTGCAGCTTCTCCCTCCTCCCGTTTGGCACCATCCTTCCTCCTGCTGACTTCCTTCTCCAAATGTTTTCTCAGGTGGTTAAGCTGAAAGGCCAAGTCCTGTCGGTCATGTATCGATTTCGCACCAAGAACCGGGAGTGGATGTTGATCCGCACCAGCAGCTTCACATTCCAGAATCCCTATTCTGATGAGATTGAGTACATCATCTGCACCAACACCAACGTCAAGTACGTACACTGCCATTTCCCTCTCCTGGAATCCACATGCGCTTGCTTGGGTCCAGAGCTGGCAATTTTATTTGGAGTTCTTTCTCCCTGCCGGCTCTCCCTGCAGCTGGAAATCCCTGTAGGATTAAGAATAGAGGAGACTGTAGGTCCCCATCACTGTCTCCCTCCCATGTTCCTCCTTCTCATTTCCCTCCTGATTTGTGAGAAACAAAAGAATGAGTGATAATCATGACACTCCCTTCCCTTCGGTGCAAGGTGCTCCAGTTTCTGCTCCTCTTTTCTTCCCCCTGAGCATGGACCTCAGCCAACTGGAGCTCTGCTGGGCCCCGCCTTGTTGCTCCCTGTTGCAGCAGCTGCTTGTGCCTGGTTTCTTGGTCCTACCGAAGCCGGGGGTGGAGGAAGGGAGGCTGAGCCTCTTGGCAGCTCTAGGGAATGGGACAGGTGGCCTGGGTGTAGGCACCTCAAGGACACATGATTTCCCTGCTGCCCAGCCGTGGAAGCATTCCTCCCTGCCCAGGGTCCGAGGATCCCAAGATCTCTGCTGGAATCACCACTCCTGTGTTCCATGCATGTTAGCAGACCTCACACCACTTCCTGGCTGTGCGTCCTTGAACAAGTCACTTCCTCTCTTCACCTCCCTCATAAGGTTGCTGTAAAGATTAAATGAAGTCAAGCTACAGGCCAGACACTTGGTTCAACTTCCAGCACAGTGAGCATGACCTTGAACAGGTCATGCCTCCTCTGCATTTAATCTCAAGGAAATACAAGGCCAAGGAACCAACACAAAGACATTTGGACAAAAGGATGTCCAAGCAAACGCAAGCATGTGGAAGCCATGGCCAGTGTGTCGGGAGGACTGTAGCATGCAAGGGTATGAGATGAGGCTGGCATCCGGAGAACTGTCCCCATGTCTCACCATCGTAGTCAGTGGCACCAGCATCCATCATTTTCCCCAGTTCAGCACTCAGTCGGGGGACCTGTTTCCAACCCTACCACCTCTTCTTCCTCATCTGCTGACATCCCTTCTCGGTAGCCTCCCTGGGATTCTGAAGCCTCCAGGCGGTCACCACAGCCTACTGGCACTCTCAGAACTTGCCTGGCTCTGCCCTCTGTTGCCGTCTCTGAGCCCCTTGGATTTGGGAGTTCCCATCTGGGCCCCACAAAGTAACCTTCTTTCCAGGCAACACCACCCTCTGAGTCCTCAGCCTCTGCCCTGCTCCTGGGCCAGAAGTCACAGAGCTGGACAGACAAGCCCATGAGAGAACCCTCAGAGGGCCAATGACCTGGATTTTTTTTTTTAATTTTAGATTCAGGGGTTACATATGCAGGTTTGTTACATGGATATATTGCATGATGCTGAGGCTTGGACTTCAGCTGAATCCATCACCCAAAGGGTGAACATAGCTCCCAATAGGTGATTTTTCACCCCTTCCCTCCCTCCCACCCTCCCTCTCTAGTAGTCCTCCCAGTGTCTATTGTTCCCATCTTTATGTCTGTGAGTACCCAATGTTTAGTTCCCACTTAAAGGTGAGAACACGCGGTATTTGGTTTTTTGATTCTGCATTCATTCACTTAGGGTAATGGATTCCAGCTGCATCCATGTTGCTGCAAAGGACGTGGTTTTGTTCTTTTTAATGGCTGCATATTTTGTGTCATTTATGTACCACATTTTCTTCTTCTTCTCCTTTTTTTTTTTTTAAATTGAGACAGAATCTCACTCCGTCACCTAGGCTGAGGTGCAGTGGCACTATGGGCTCATTGCAGCCTCGACTTCCTGAGCTCAGGTGATTCTCCCACCTCAGCCTCCCGAGTAGCTGGGACTACAGGCACACACCACCACGCCTGGCTGATTTTTTTGTATTTTTAGCAGAGATGGGGTTTTGCCATGTTGCCCAGGTTGGTGTCAAACTCCTGGACTCAGGCAATCTGCCTGCTTTGGCTTCCCAAAGTGCTGGGATTACAGGTGTGAGCCACCATGCCCAGCCCACGTTTTCTTTATTCAGCCCACCGTTGATGGGCACCTGGATTTGTTCCTTGTCTTTCCTATTAGGAATAGTGTTGCAATGAACCTGCAAGTCCAAGTGTCTTTTTGGTAGAACAATTTATTTTCCTTTGAGTATATACCCAGTAATGCAGTAATGGGATTGCTGGGTTGACTGGTAATTCTGTTTTTAGCTCCTTGAGAAATCTCCAAACTGCTTTCCACAGTGGCTGAACTAATTTACATTCCCATCATCAGTGTGTGAGCATTCTCTTTTCTCTGCAACCTTGCCAGCATCTGTTTTTGTTTTTGTTATTGTTTTTTTTTTTTTACTTTTTACTAATAGCCATTCTAACTGGTGTGAGATGGTATCTCATTGTGGTTTTGATTTGCATTTCTCTGGTGGTTAGCGATGATGAGCATTTTTTTCATTTGTTTGTTGGCTGTTTCTGTGTCTTCTTTTGAGAAGTATCTTGTTCATGTCCTTTGCCCACTTTTTAATGGGATTTGTTTTTTTCTCATTGATTTGTTTAAATTCCTTGTGGATTCTGGATATCATGTCTTTGTCAAATGCATAGTTGGCAAATATTCTCTCCTATTCTGTAGATTGTCTGTTTACTCTATTGATAGTTTTGTTGTGGTTGTGTTTGTTTGTTTTTTCTGTGCAGAAGCTCTTTAATTAGATGATGACCTGCATTCCAACCCCAGCTCCCAACTGGGCAAGTCACCTACTCTTTCTAAGCCTCGGTTGCTTCATCTGTAAAATGGGGAGAATGACAGAACGTACTGGCCCAGAAGCATAGAATTTTTCTGCAGATTCTGCATGGAGCTACTGCATATGAAGCACTCTACTGTGATAGCAGGCAGAGTCGGCCCCGGTAAAAGTGGTCTGCAGTAACTATCACTGAGATTGTCAACAGCACCAGCAGCAGCAACCCTGCCACCCTTTGCAGCGACTTGGCAGTTTCTTGGGCCAGCTCTTGCCTGCAGCCCTAGATTATGTTTGGTCTTCTAAATGCCCTGCCTGCCTTCTTCCTCTAACTCTGGGCAGATCACCTTGCCTTCCAACAAACAGAGACACCAGGACCCTCCTGGTGATTCTCTTCCTGTTCATGAGTGTATCTATCTCAATGCCCTCCTCTCCTCCATTTCTGGCATCTAGCAGAGGCAAAGCCTCCTCCTTCCAGGGCCAAACTCTGCACCTTCTTCATCTCCCTGCACGTCCCTGGACTCCCGTGACCCTCCCTTCTTGTCTCATCCTCCTTGTTGGCTCCTTCTTGGGCTTTCACATAGGCACCTGACTTCCTGATCTCGGAGAATCCCTGTCTGGCCAACCCACCAAAGCTCCCCTCCCACCTGGCCCTGCCAGACGTGTCTGTGGGAACCTCCTTCTTCACCATTCATCTGTTGTTAGCACCTTACAGCCTGGCTTTGGCCCTGAAGGTATTGAAATTGTTGTCCCAGCAGCCTCGGATAACTCATATGAAATAACCTGTTCTCACTGGTCATTCTACCCAAACTCTGTCCAACCAGCTCCTCTTTGTTAATGTCACCCTTGGCTGACTTGATATTCTGATTCTTTTTTTACCTTTGCCTTCTAGTCAAGACGTTCTTGGTTGTAAGTAGAGCAGGAACAAATGTACTAAGTCATAGTTCCAGGTGTGCAAAAAGATAATACTATTTTACTATTTTCTATTCTGATTTTATCTAGTGAAACTCAGTTAGCTTGGCCAAATTAAGGATGTTTTATTGTCTCACTTCTCCCAACATGGGAAAAGGGTGGTTCTTCTTTACTCAGGAAGCAGAGAGGTACCACCTCTGTGCCAGGCTCATGTGTGGCCCGGCCTTGAAGAAAATAGGGAAGCTTGAGAAACGGGAGTAAAGGTAAGCAGGGCTCAGGATTCCATGGTGCTTCCTTTGTTCAACAGATGGGTTATGGAGGGTGCTGAGCATGGGCCTTTCAGGAGCTCTTGAGACAGGGTAACAGGATGTGCTCACTGACCTGAAGGAGCCAGGTGCAGGGCGGTGAGAGCCCCAAAGGGAGAGGAGGAGGAAAACACCATCCTGGATCTGCTTAGCATCTGTTCAAGACATAGCTTTAAATGCCAGCCTGGATCTGCTTAGCATCTGTTCAAGCCATAGCTTTGTCCCAGGCTCATACCTCCTGTCATGGCCCCTTGCTCCAGCCACTCCAGGCTAAGACTTGAGCTCCCATAACGTTCTTGAGCTCCAAGAACGTAAGAAGGGGCAGACGGGAGGGACAGGTAGAATGCAATGGGGGCAGAGAATAAATACTTCCCCGCAGGGCCTCGGAGAAAGCATCCCCAGGAGGTAGCACTGCAGTGGGGTTTGCAAGAAAAGTAAAGATCCCCCTGTGAAAACCAGCCCCCTGGCTGAGGTTTTGCTTTATTTTTCTGAAAGTCAGGCAGCACTGAGAAAACAGAAAAGCCATCTTGTACAGGGGGTGGCCTACGTAGTTCCTCCAGACAACTGCTTTTGCAGCTTGTGAGGTTACACGGATCAGGATGCCCCCTCAGGGCACAGTTACACCAGAAGCCTCAATCTGTGTCTCTGAACTGAAAGGTCCTACACTGGTGAAGTTGGTTGGAAAAGTCTACTGTGGACGGTAGAGGGCAGTGACAATCAGGGATGTGAACTGGCCAGCTCTTTTTTGAATTTGTGAGGCGAAACTTTGCCAGCAGTAGGCAGACTTGTTATGGAAAGATCCTTAAATGCTCTGTGCTGAGGGGAGGGGATGGCGAGGGTGGAGTGTGGGCAATTTGCAAGCTCGGTTGCTTTCAGTCAAAAGCATCCAAAAGAAACTTCCTGGAGAAACTGAGTGTTTAATGTTGAACATTTGTGTAAAGCCACTACAAAGAAGACCTCTTTATCATCCTTGCTTTTTTTCCTGTTCCATCAAATATGGAATGAGGTCCAGAAAAACACAGACTGATTTAACGTGCTGGTCACACAGCACAACTTTGAAACGTGCCTTGGCACTGGGGGGCCAAGACTCATTTGGGGCTGTTTGTTAGCTTGAGTCATTTCAGCGTTTTTACATGGGCACGACCTAGCTGCTGTGCTTTCTTCATTTCTGACATCTTTTTAGGGGAGTGATCTGAAGTTATCTCTTTGTGTCTGTTCAGGCCAAGTCCTATTTCCTGTCACAGCATTGTTCCAACGTTGTCATAACCACACCTGTTGGTCGTGCTCGTGTATGTGTGTGTGTGTGCATGTGTTTTTAAAACCCCAGAATGCCCAGAATCATGACGGAGTCTCTCTCGAGCTGACTCACCATCACGTCTCCTTCGTCATGCTTAGCAGTGGCCACCTGGTTGGTCCTAGGCAGGCAGTGGAGCATAGGGGTGGGTACAAATGAAGTCAAAGGAAGGCTGCTTTCCTGGTCTCTGCAGAGCGTAGAGGCAGTAAGGGGCTGAAACAGCCAGTCACCAAGCCCCAGATCTGGGAGCTATCCTGGATCCCTCCCTCTCATTCACCTCAACAGGCAACCTGGCACAGAACCAGAGCCCCACAGGTTCTACCTGCGATTCTCTCTAGCGCATCTCCTCCTCTGCCTCTTTGGCCTTGCCTCAGTTGAGGCCTTTGCCGTCTCACAAGTGATCATCGGTCTTCCTGACCATCTCCCCTGCCTTCCATCAGGCCCCTGCTGAGCCAGTCCACGTGGCCCAGGAAGTGAGCTCTAACACACACACACGCGCACACACACGCGCGTGCACACACATGCTTGACTGGACCGTGCTGCTCCCTGCCCTGATCGAATCAATTCCAAACCCTGTAACAAGTATTTCGAGTCCTTCACAATAGGCATGCAGATGGTGCTCAGTCAGGGTGGATATTATTAGCCTCCATCCCCAGACGCCTCCCAGTGTGCTTCCAGTTACTCCCAGGGACATGATTCCAGCTACCTCAGAATGCCCGCTTCATGGCTTCTTGCTCACTTACTCAGGCTGAGTAAAAACCCCTGTCCAGGGAGCATCAGGGAAAATTGACAGCATCTGCCCGGACTCCTGCACCTCGCCGGCAGGAAGCCGCACTTGATGCATTCACTTTCTACTCCTCAGCCGTTGTAGCCCAGCTAATGGAGGGCAGCACTGGCTGTGGTAGGAACCCACTTCCCTCGCATGTGCTGTCAGTCAGTTTTCTCCTGAGCAGCCCTGCTTTCTCCTTCTCTGGAATTTGCAAGCACACCGAGGTTTATTTTTATACCATTGCCGTGAAATGTCTGAGAAAACTCCCCAGGGCTCTTCTCAGGATGGGGCAGCCTGCAGGTCAGCACTTTCTCTTCCACACATGCTCAGCTATGGAAGCAGAAACCCAAAGGTTGTGGGATGGAGATGCTGATGTTCCGACCACAGAGCCAGAGCAGTTAGGGTCCTGGGGATTTGCCAGCCATACCTGCGACCTAATTTTTCTGCTTCCCAGTGAAAGGAGCTTTTTCTGGTCTAGGAGCCCAAAGAGGAACAGAACTGAAAGCAAACCCCCGGCCTAATACCAAGAACCCTTATCACAGCCTTTATCCACATTAGAAACATGGGCCTTCCCCAAACACAGACCTGCACCAAGGTGTGTGAGTGGAGAGGGCCAGGTTTGTGCCCCACTTCGCCCCTTGGCCAGGCATCCGGGGCACAGCTACACAACTGCGCACAGTGGTCCCTGTCCTGTCTCTGAGATTCTGGGCCTGGGCCAGAGAATGGTTCATGGATTGCTGCCATCATGGGGAGTTCACTGCTTCAACCCCACAAAAGTCCCAAGGAACAGATTTTTCTCTTTCCTGTGGCTCAAGATGCCCAAGGTACTAGAATGGGAGACATGGAATAATTGTCCTTGTTATAGCCATGGGTATTTCTCTTGGGCTGGGGCAGCAGCCTAGGCCAGAGTAAAAAGACCGCAAGGCCAACAGCCAGACAGACTTGGGTTTGAGTCATATGTGTTCCATATTCTTGCCATGTCACCCGGATGTACCCTTTACACATCAATTACATTCTAGCCATGTCGCCCTGGATGCATCATTTACATTCTAACTGTTACTCTGGACCCATAGTTCACACCCTGGACACTTACATCTACACTTTCCTCATATGTCTCAGTTGCTTTATCTCTAAAATGAGGATACTGCAGAGATGTGAAAATATTGACAAAGTGCTGGCCATCAGTCCTACATTAAGTGGAAGGTGACGGTGCCCCCAAGGTGTGAATCAAAGCAAAACATAACAAAAGCCATAAAGTAAGAATAAGAGAGTAGAGAAAGTAATGCTTTTTTTTTCTATTGATTATACTGATTCATTTTTCAATTTCTGAAATATCAATTTGTTTGGAAAATTATTTCTAGTGCTCCCACTTTGCTGGTCTAACAAGTGTGGGCTGAGACTGCCTGGTGGGAGATCACATGCTTTTGGTTTTATCCTTTTCCTTTTATCTGGGCTCCCACACCGACATTAGGAGGCAGACTGTACCCTTGGATAGAACCTTGTTCTTCCTGAGGCGTCATCTTAACTCACCACACTGTAATTGCTTGCCCACGCCTGTCTTTCCCTGGAGACTGTCAGTTCCATGAGGGCAGGGATCTTGTGGGTTCTGAGCAATCAGTCTGTCCCCGGTGCCTGGCAAAAGAGTTCCGTACAGTTCACTGAATGAATGACTCTTCTGGGCTGAATTCGAAACAGAATGTTCTCAGGGTCCTCCAACTGGGGTTCCCTTCAAGGAGGCCTTCCCTTATGGTGGGGACACACACACACCAGGGCCATCAGCACAGACGGCATGGCCAGAGGAGGAAATGGCGTTCAGATCATACATATTTTATAATGCCGAGTAAAAGAGTTTAGAAACAGAATCCAACTTATTTTGTGTTTCTCCAGGGGCAGAAGTTGTTCCCCAGATGAAAGTTATAGGGAGGTACATTTCAGCTCCTTAGGGGTCAGGCTTTTTATAAGTATTTCTGTCTGCAAATGGATCAGGCTGCCCCAAAACGTAGTGAGCTCTCTAGCAGAGAAAGTCAAGCAGAGACTGACCAGTTGCCTGTCAAAAGAAATGATGTACTGGGGGTTGCTGTTATCAGAGGAGCTGTGGACCAGATCACTTGTGTGCATTTGCTTCTTAGGAGCTGAGGAGAGTTGGTAAATAGCAATGCATCTTTTGTGTAATCCAAACAGCCTACACTTGGAATGAGAAAATCTAGTCTTGCTCAGTCTTCACCACTTACCAGCCTGGTGATTGTGTTTCTACCACACACAGTTGGTGCACCCTCTGCCTTGCCTGTTTGCCTGGGAGGAAGATTGAAGTTAACCATTGTGGAAAGGGCCAAATGGGATCCCTTGATCTCTGTCCTGGTTAAGTTTGGCCAGTGGAGGGACTGGCTGGAAACAAAGGAACAAGAGTGGAAGAGTAAAAGGTATTAGGCAGCCTTGCTCACCACGGCTCTCACAGGTCTGATAGCTGCTCACTCCCCCTGTCCCTTTGGCCCTAGGGATGGTCATGGCTTCCTGTTGTTGCTAGCCTAGGGGCTCTTCACCATCCTAGTATAACAACTATGAAAGCTTTTCCTTTCCCAAATGGGGCAGACAGCAAAGCACCTTGAAATCAGAAGTATCAGGTCAGTCCTTGGCTCTGTTCTGTGATAGCCACTTGCCAGTTGGCCAACTTTGACAACCACTTAACCTCTTTGAACTTCAGTTTCTTAACTTTAATATGGGGGTGAAGTAACCACTCTGAAAGCTTAGTGTGAGGATTGGATGAGATAATGTAAACACCTGTCCATTTATGGCCACACCTGTTAAGTAGCCCCTTCCCTAAACCTTCTTTAATCATCCCTTTTGAGGGTGCCATCTATTTTCTGCAAACCTCTAGCATCTCTGGGCCTCAGTTTCCTCATGCGGAAAGGGAATTAAAAAAAAAAACAAACCTATTTCCAAGGTGACTGTGAGCCTAAGGTGAGTTAGGATGAATGCAGGCACCTAGCAGGGGGCCAGGGCAAATGCACAGGGGCGGGTGCAGGTGTTACCTCTGCCTTCCTTCCACGGTGGCCACACACCACCTTCTCCTGGATGGGGGCCTCCAGATTCTCACCAAGCCTGTGCTTTTGCTGATAGTTACAATTTTGTTACAGTTTTTGTTACAGTTTGTTTACAGTTTTGTTACAGTGTTCCAGCCATGCATTCCTGGTGGTTCCTCCCCAGGAAGCTGGTCTACCTTCCACACCTGCTCCTCCCCACCAGCCACTTCCTCATCCTAGATAACAAAGGCTTCCTCTCCCACCCTCCCCTCTCTTCCTACCCACAGAATATCTAGCCAGCCCTCCTTGCATCCCAGACCCAGATGAGGGGAGGTGGCCTGTGGGCAGTTCCTCCATGGGGTTCCCCACCACCCAGTCCAGGACACAGCCATGGGTGAAAAAAGTGGGACCACGAACGTGTCAGAGGAGACCCACTGTGATCCTTCTTGTTTCAAAATAGACAGTGGACGTAAACAAAGGAAATCCATAACCTTCCTAATTAATGCAGACACTTGAGAGATTGTTTTTCTTGGTGTTAAATTTTGCTCACCCACATAGTTTGTGGCCATAATTGCAGCGTGCATAATATATTGTGCTGCACTTGAACTTTTCCACACCTTTCATCATACCTTCCTGTGTTTCCAGACGATCTTCACAGTGGTTGCTGTCAGTGCTGTGGAATAGTCACTCAGGAAATTAATATTCAGGATTTACAAAGTCACTCCTGATTACAGCCAACTTTGCATGGGTAGCTCTTACTTCCTTCCACTGAATAATTTCCTTACTACAGCTCAGCAGCAGGATGACCACCTGGGAGCGTGTGAGCAAGTCCACAGTCCCTCATCTGGGTCACCATAGTTTTCCGAAAAGGTCGTGCCATGCACACTTCCCCAACACCGTGTGACCATGGTAGTTTCAATGCAAAGCCACCATGTGAAACATATTTTTACCAACTTAGCAGTTGAAAAATTATACTTCAAAGGTGTTTTAATTTACATTTATTTTGATTATTTTAATGGCAAAATGTTTCCCTGACTTGTTTATTGTATCTATTATATATACGTTATTATAGGTACATACAGTACATGTATATTTGTCCTTTTATTTATTTATTTATTTTGCTTGAATTGTCTGTTCATATGCTTTAAATTGATTGCTGGGCTGGGAGTAATGTCTGTTAGTAATTTGAATTGCATAGTACCACTAATAATTTTTTGCCTGTCCTTCTTAATGATATTTACAATTGAAGAGGATCCTGTCATTTGCCCCATTTTTAGGCTCTGAGCTATAGAGTTCACTTTCCCTTGAAAACAATCCAGTAAAGCCGCCATTTCCTCCAGCAAGTCTTTTTCTTCCCCAAATGGAGCAGGCAGCAAAGCCCCTTGGAGTCAGAAGTATCAGGTCAGACCCTGGCTCTGTTCTGTCATAGCCATTTGCCAGTTGGCTGACCTTGGCAACCACTTAACCTCTTTGAACTTCAGTTTCTTAATTTTAATATGAGGGTAGAATAACCACTGTGAAAGCATAGTGTGAGGATTGGATGAGATAATGTAAACACCCGCCCGTTTATGGCTAAGTGTTAGCTGAAGCCAACTGCTTCATTCAGCATTAAACCCAACTGCTTTTCTGAATTTGCCTTAAAGTATTTGTTCTGCGGTATCTTTTGACCCTGCATAAAATGAAGTCACACGTCAAAATTGGTTTCTTAAATAGTTGAGTTTGGTAGCCTAAACATGAAATGCAATGTCTGGAGTCTTGATTTAGGGCATTAAAAATAAAATGATTAAAAATGGAAAACAATGTAGAGATCCATCGGATATCACCCACTCTGCCTCTGAGGTATGGGAAAAGTCCTGGCTTAGCCCTATTGTCACCCCTTCTGTTCTTCATGACCCTCTGTTGTCTTCTTGTTTCACAGGCAACTTCAGCAACAGCAGGCAGAATTGGAAGTGCACCAGAGAGATGGATTGTCATCGTATGACTTATCCCAGGTGAGTTTCTGGAAAACCCTTTCCCTGTTGGAATTGTCTCCAGCCCAATGGACTTGGGACTCAATTCAGCCCTGAGCTTGAGCCCCTCAACACAAAGGATTGCCCCATCCCCCCACTACAATGGAAAGAGCAGACCTACAGGTCCCCTGGGGGTCTGCTGCTGTCACTCCTCCCTATAGAACTGAGCCATGAAGAATGTGTGAGTACCAGGTGAAGAACCAGGGGCCATAGTCAACCTAAGGGCTGAGGGACATTTCTGAGGACCATGCGTGAACTGTAGTATGAGTATACTCAGAGGCCAGCAAGAGCAGCTTCTGATCCCCTTGGGCCCCTTGGCTTCTTGGCCATTTCCCTGCCACTGCCTGTGTCCTGTTCTTCCTCAATGTGCCTCTTCCTGTCATGCTCTGAGCCTCCCTCTTCACCGGCTCTGTCTCCTTTCCTTCTCCTATCTCCACATGATGTCCACTTTTCCTGATATTTAGAGTAAGTTGATTGTTGTTCATTTCTCACTCTCTCTAAGAAAGTAATCAGTGTGACTCTGCTGTCCTTCCTCTGACCTTCAGTTCACCGCCCCCTAACCCCCTCACCGGCTTTTCTTGGCTTTCACATATAGAAAAGCTTCCCACCCGATAAAATGTTCCAGCCCAAAATGCCAGTGATTCCAGAGGGAGGGGGCTCTGATGAAGGAGAGCTGGTGGCTCCTGGGGACGCATGTTCTGTGCCTTACGCATGAGTTGCTGTTGTGTTTTATTTAATGTGCAAATAGGTCCCCGTCCCCAACCTACCAGCCGGTGTTCATGAGGCCGGGAAGTCCGTGGAAAAGGCGGATGCAATCTTCTCCCAGGAAAGAGATCCTCGGTTTGCTGAAATGTTTGCAGGAATTAGTGCATGTAAGTTTCCAAATGGTACTGAGGTTTTGAGAGTGTGGGTTTACAGTTGCTTTCAGGCCATCTACAGACAGCTACTCTTAGTAAGAGGGGGCCACGGAAGGTGAGTTTTGAGTAACCATTGCAGGGTATAAAAATACACGAGTTGGAATGGATTCTGTCTACTCCTGGCCTTGCCTCTGTATACCAGTTACCCAGGGTATGGTAACTAAACTTTATTTCCTTTATTCCAATATCGCATTGCGGGTGAACATGTTAGGGATTGTAGGAATGAGATGGGTAGAAATTTGAAGATTCTGGGGCACTGGGAGGGCACTGCAGAGAGCCCTGGGCACCCTCGATGACCGAAGGAGGGAGAACTGTCACATTGGAGCCTGCTGTCTAGCACCCTGCCACCACTCGTGTTCCCACTCCTGTTTCTCAAACCACCATACAAAGCACCTTCTCTCTCGTGTAAAATTCTAAACAGCCAGCTGGGTCTTGAGCCCATTTCTTCAGCCGTGTGGCTGTGGGTGAGCCTGTGGGTGAGACGACTCTGCTCACCATTCTGCGGTGGCAGAAAATCATGCATTATTGCACCTGCTGGCCAGGGGCTGAGTGTTTTCAGTGTTAGAGGAGCTCAGTCTCTCAAAGAAACCCTAGTGGAACGTCAAGGCACACAGATCCAGGGCTGTTCCCTGGACATCACCTGCTGCGGCACCTGCTGGGTGAGGGTGGCCAGGGGTAGCTGAGTTCCAGAGTGGGAAGAGCACTGGGCTTGCATTCACGCCTTGAGCCCTCCCTCGCCGGCTCATGACTTTGGACAAGCTACAACTCACTTTTCTCATCTGTAACAAACGATAGCAAACTTTTAGTTTCTGTTTGCTCCCTTAATCAGGCACTGTCGTAAGCACTTAGGTTAACTCACTGAATTGCCACTACAGCCTTCTGAGGAAGATACTTTTATTCTCGCCTTCTTTCTGTTGGGAAACTGAGGCAGGGGATGATTAAGTAACAGTCCAAGGTTGCACCTCTTACCTTGGAGATGGGATTCAGACCCAGAGAGCTGAGATAAGAGTCCATCCTCTTCGCTGTTACCCTGTGCTTCCTCACCCAGAACTAGAGGACTTGGAATCCCTACACCGCAGGGTTGGAAAGATTGGATAAAATAATGTCTGAGAAAGAACTCTCATTAATTTTTTTTTTTTGAGGTGGAGTCTTGCTCTGTCGCCCAGGCTGGAGTGCAGTGGCGTGATCTCAGCTCACTGCAGCCTCCGCCTCCTGGGCTCAAGCGATTCTCCTGCCTCAGCCTCCCGAGTAGCTGGAACTACAGATGGCTGCCACCATGCCTGGCTAATTTTTGTATTTTTAGTGGAGACAAGGTTTCACCATGTTGGCCAGGCTGGTTTTGAACTCCTGACCTCAAGTGATCCGCCTGCCTCAGCCTCCCAAAATGCTGGGATTACAGGTGCAAGCCACCATGCCTAGCCTCATTAATTCTTTTAATCTTCCCCACTCTCCAAAAAAGCCTTGCCGTCAAGCAGCCTGTGGCCTAGCCTAGGGGTCAAGAACAACAGCCCAGTGCCTTCATATGCCAGGGAGGCTCCAGGGGAGATGAGGAGGCAGAGGCAAGGCTGAGAAGATTGCGTGCAGGCGGGCTGCCCTGACTTGTGTCCTCCCGTTCCCACGCCCACCCCTGCACCTCTTCTTGGGGCAGCCTCCTCTGTGGTCTGCAGAGCAGGGAACCTTCGCATGTGACTCCTGCTCTGGTTTTCCTAGCGGAGAAGAAGATGATGAGCTCAGCCTCTGCAGCAGGAACCCAGCAGATCTACTCCCAAGGAAGCCCATTTCCCTCTGGACACTCCGGGAAGGCCTTCAGGTATGTGCCAGCGAGGGGGACAATGGCGTGGGAAGATGCTCCCTCACCAAGAAAGCCCTGGGTCTCAGAGCACAGCTCTGTGGGCTGTAAGCATGAGTTAGTGGTTACTGGCGCTCAGGCCTTGGACTAAACTGAGGATTCTGGTGGCTCTGCTTCTGCTCTGTGAGCCCTCTATGAGTTGCCATAGATTCCTGGTGTCAGTTACTCTTTCTTGGATGTGAACAGCACCAGCCACTGTGTTCTGTGGCAGTGATTGCCAGGGAGAAGGGAGTGAGTTCCCTCTAGCCAGGACCCAAGTGAGCTGGAGCTGGGAACAGCTGACAAGGTAGCAGGAAGTATCCTGTCATCTGGTGCCCAGAGGCTACAGCCAAATCCAAGGAAGACTGGTCAGCTCAGCCCACCACGTCTGAGCCTCATCCTAAAGGGCACTCAAGGCTTCAGGCAGGGTGTCCAACCTTCCCAAGGGTTGGTTCTTAGCATCAAGGGCATCTGGTAGGTCACTGAGGAAGCCCTGACATCATCACTGGAGGCAAGGCCTGGCTCCACTGACTTCTGGGGAGACAGAAGCATCAACTGGGAAGAACGGTCAGAGAAGAGGCTGGCAGCTCTTGGGGAGGGTATGTGGGCACTCACCTGTGCCCACCAGACACCCTAAAGTTCCTCATGCCCAGCAGGGCAGGGCTTCTCCAGTGAGGTTGGCCAGACCCTAAGCAGAGCTTCCAGATGCAGAGGCCAGGAGGGCAGGTGGGGCCGGCCACCCAGAGAGAGGCCCCTGCCACGGGACTGCCCTAGCCACAAGGAATGAGGATTTTGCTTCCACACTGGTTCAAGGACAGACCTCCTGGAGACAGATTAGCAGACATTGCAGGGGCTCTGGCCACGCCTGCAGCTGAGTCTTGCTGAATTGCACACTGCTCTGAGGCTCTGGGGAGCCCTGGCTGCAGGCAGGGCCTCTGGTCTGGGGACAGCAGACAAGATGGCAGCCCTCTGTGAGCAGTCCCTAACCATCATCACCGCAGGTCACGCTGCTCTGCTGAGCAATAGTCAAGCCCTCCAGACTTCTCTTGGCTGCTGAGTTACTCAGCTACTCAGCACGCACTGACCGATCTCCGTTGATGCCAAGCCCTGTGCCAGCCCTGCCTGGGTGCTCATGTTCATGGGGTCCTTGTGACACTTGCTGCTTGTCCTCCACTCTGGACAAAGGGGATCAGGGAGAGCACAGCAGCAGGAGGTAAGGAGGGGACAGTTCAAAGGCAAGGGGACAGCCCAAGGTGGCATGACCGGAGAAGGTCTGGCTGACTCTTCAGCTAGGCCTGAAAGCAAAAGTCAGGTTCTGCCTCCTGACCAGGGCAGGGGTGCAAGGGCCTGAGGGGTGTGCTGAGTGAAGCCTTGGAGGAGGTGTTGTTGGAGGAGGCCTCACTAATGGGAGAAACAGAGGATGACCACGTTGTTCTATGACAACGGCCTCACACAGGCTCTGCACCTCACACTGGACTGTCTGCCCTGAGCTGTGTCTGCAGCAGCAGCCGTGGGGACCATGCTGAGGAGGAGGACACCATCACTGATGACCTTTGGGAGAAGAGTGAAGCTGCAGACAGGGCTCAGGGCAGACAGTCCAGCGTGAGGTGCAGAGCCTGGGTAACGCTGTTGTCATAGAAACAAAAATGTAGGGTGCACAGGGCAGTGATGAGTGATGGGGAAGGAAAAGCAGGTTTGGGGCAGCTGGCAGTGTGGGGAAGGAATCCAAGGAACGTCCGAACACCTGTGCAGAGCCTGGCATAGAAAAGGCACTTGCTGAGTACTAGTCTGTAAAATGAATGAATAAATGACTGAGTTAATTAAAGGATGCCTGTTAGGGCTAAAGCCTGTGGAATGGGCAGAATTTCCTGTATATCCGAAGGATCTGAGCTGGCTTGGGATGGGGTAGGCTGTGGGATGAAGGACTCTGGGGCCCAATACAGCCATAGGGAATCCTGGGCCGCTTGCAGAATGGTGTTGCTGGCACCTGAAGTGCATCCTCACCCACAGTCCTCCCTCTCTGGTCCCGCCAGTTTTGGCCCCTGCCTGTCCACACTAAGGCAGGCAGCTGTAGCCCAGAGGCCCCCAGGGAGGGCTGTGCACAAGGGCTGGCGCTTTGCCCCAAGAAGCCCATCCCTTTCTGCCAAGGCGCCTTTCCTAGGACCGTCTACGCTGTAGCGGCCCTCATCAGTCAGTGTTTTGGGGAGGACACCAAGGGCTGGGGGCTGTGGAGAGGGTCCTACTAGACAATAGTGACCAGAAAATGTCCTCTGAAGCAATACTTTCATCAGGAAGGAGAATGGGAAAGGAGCCCTTATGTTAAATGAGGAATTGATTGTATGAAGACAGAAATGATGTCCCCTTTATATAAGCCACTGAACTTGTTTTACAATGATCAGCTCAAGAATGTCTCTGACATTCTTGGTTTCTCCCTATTTTAAAAGGGATCAGATAGCATAGGAAACTTATTAGAATACAATAGTAAAATTTTACCCAATCTCTGCTGATCTCTGGCTTGCCTTTTTTTTAACACGGAGCTGAAAATCTACCAAAGCCTTCTGTGATGAGCCCCATTCTGCCCTACTTGACTGATTCATGGGCACCCAGCGCACTGCCCTGCATGCTGAGCTAGTCCCAGGGAGGCAGGAGGAGGGGCCTGAAACAAAGTAAAAGTCTGCCCCCAGCCTTTTAGTCTTTGATGAGCTTCTCATGTAATCGACATAGCCTGGAAAATCTCCTGGAAGAAGCGCCTGGTGGTACAGACAGTGCCTGCCGAGGAGCTAAGCAGGGTCAGAGATTTAGCCTGCAAAGGCCATGCAGAGAGCACGGCACACAGCAGGGGCCTAATAAAGACAAACTGAGTTAAGTCGAAGGTGAACTGAAGGTGGGAGGGGTAAACTCTGGGTAGCAGGACTAGGCCCCATCCAGCAGGTTTTCATTGAGAAGCTTTTCTTTCCGTTTAAAACTGACAGCCTGCAACCTATTTCCTGAATCCTTAAGCCTCATAGGTGCCCCAAAGGAACAAATTAACCAGAGCACAAAAGAGTGAGTGAACAGTGGGACTGATTTTTATTCTAAGAAGCTTCTCTCTTTCTGGGAACCAAATCATCTGCTGAGAGCAGAGGATGTACAGGCATAGGATAGGGGCTGAAGAGTGCGTGGGAGACCCTGGGGAGAACGAGGAGAGGAAGTACCAGACTACTAGACATGGCAGGACTACTCAGCAGTGTAGAGGAAGCCCTGAAGGGAGAGGAGGACGGCCAAGGGGCTTTGAGGCTCACGATGTGTGAGTCATTTTCTCTAGTGACGTGCTGCATGGAGAGAGAGCCAGGAAGATGGCCCAGGGCAGATTGTGTGGTTGGCTGGGCACGTAGACTCATGCAAACCAGGTGTGTCCTCGGGATAAATGCATTTTCCTCTTTTCTAGCTCTTCAGTGGTTCATGTGCCTGGAGTGAATGATATTCAGTCCTCTTCTTCCACGGGCCAGAACATGTCCCAAATCTCCCGGCAGCTAAACCAGAGTCAGGTGGCATGGACAGGGAGTCGTCCGCCCTTTCCGGGACAGGTATGGGCATCTGTGAGGGCATCTCCCCTGGGTGACCAGAGAGGCAGAGCACTCTGGGAAGTGTTTTCTTTGGATTGCGGTTCTGAGGATGGGTCGGCTCCTAGCTGGAACCAACCACCCTAACAGCAGCTGGCTACTCAGGAGCACCATCCACCCTCAGGGCTCTCGGAGAGCCAGGTGCCCAGCCTGCAACTTCAGCAGCCTTTTCTCCTTACAGCCATGCCCTGAGGCAGCTGGCAGGGAAAGGTTGGGCAGGTTGAGACACCTCATCAAGAATGAGCCCCTCACTACTCTGGACCTCTGGCTGCCCCTGCGCCAGGAGGGCATGAAACCACCAACCCTTGTGACATCCCCAGACCCTCATAGTCACTGTGAGGGTGGGTGTTGATTGGGCTGAGGGAGTTCTAGGTGTTCATAATGCCAAGGCCTTGGTAACCAGACTCCAGAGGGCCCGGATCCTCGTAGCCCTGGGGAGTAACTTCAACCAGACGTGCCCCAAAGATCCTGCAGTTCCTGGGCCCTCACACACCGGGCTGATCCCAGGCCTGTGCCTAGCCAGACAAGAGGGTCATGGGGAGTCACTGTCAACCCAGAGCAGGCACTGCCCCTGCGACCAGCCTGGGGCATCGGTTGGGGTGCAGGGGTCTGCTGGTGATGCTTTCCATCTCTTTGCTTTGTCCTGATTGTAGCAAATCCCATCTCAGTCCAGCAAGACTCAGTCATCTCCCTTTGGGATTGGAACGAGCCACACCTACCCGGCAGACCCCTCTTCCTACAGCCCCCTCTCCAGCCCAGCTACCTCCTCGCCAAGTGGGAATGCCTACTCCAGTCTTGCCAACAGGACTCCAGGGTTCGGTAGGTGGGGAATGAGGGAGTGAGATTCTGGGAAAGCCAGCACAAATGCTTTCTGAACAGCCTGAATTCAGGAGGCTGAGCTCCAAGCTCCCAGCTACCAAAACAAGGTCTGGAGGTTTCCAAGCACCTCCTCTCTCTCTGGCTATGAGGAGGCCTATGGTGTTCCTAAGAGACTGGATGCTTAGGCCTTGGCTTTGTGATTTGACTTTATCATTTTCAAGGCATTGGGATGATGTTGCTGTGCTGTGAGGTGATCTGAATACCATTTTAACCCATTATGGCCCTGGCAAGGATTTTCAGGTCCCCCAAGTCAAAAACCTTATAGTCTTGTTTCAAGAAACTAGAGAATAGCTATAGAGACAATCAATTGCATAAATAACACTGCAAAGTTTTCTGTCTCTTTTAAATATTAAAAACACCTATCTTACTTTGTTAACAAAACCTCAGGCCATAGAGGGTTAAGGAACCGCTGTGTCCTGTGCATTTCTCAGGATCCTGGGCCTTGCCCACTCTCCGTGTGTGTAAGGAACCTCCTCAGCATGTCTCCCAGGGCTAGGGTTCCACTCCACGTCAGGACAAGCTCATAAGAGACCCGTGGTCCTGGTAAGAAGTCCAAGCTGGTGCCTGCTTTCTCACAGTGAGGTCACTGGGTGACACCCAGCAGTGCGGCTCATAGAGCTTTTCTCTACAGAATTGATTCCTCAGATGAGCGTGAATCTGAGCCCAAACATCTGAATTTCCACGTGGCAAGTTAAAAGCTTCCATTAGAACTGCTTGTCTGTCAGCCTTATGAACAATTCTGTGCAGGCAGGGCGCGGTGACTCACATCTGTAATCCCAGCACTTTGAAAGGTCAAGGTGGCAGATCACCGGAGCCCAGGAGTTCAAGACTAGCCTGGGCAACATTGCAAAACCCTGTCTCTACAAAAAAAAAAAAAAAAAATTAGCCAGGTGTTGTGGTGCATGCCTGTAATTCCAGCTACTCAGGAGGCTAAGGTGGGAGGATCATTTGATCCCAGGAGGTTGAGGCTGCAGTGAGCCATGATCACACCACTGCACTCCAGCCTGGGTGACACAGTGAGACCCTGTCTGAAAAAACAAAAGAAAGAAAAATGCTGTGCAGAGCCCCTAGCACACAATGGGGAGTTGTCATCTGCTGCCCAGCCCTCCCCACCTCCTCCACTAACAGCAGCACGTCCGTCCCACTCAGCCCGAGGTCTTGGGGCACAGCATTTCCTGAGGCCATGCTTGTCCCTCCAGCCTTAGTCCCATTTACTTGCAGTGTGTCTCCTCTTCGTCTGTTAAGTATTCTCGCCACGTGGTTCACTGGAACCCAGTTTAGAAGCACAGCACCCTGTCTGAGGAAGGAGAAACCCCATAGCAGTTGCTCTCAAGTCAGCCAGGCACTCAGCACGGTTACCACCTTGAGCCCAGAATCCTGTTTCTCAGGATAGCATCCACCTTCCTGCAGTCACACGTGAGATCCTTCTCCACATCTGGTTCCCCACCCGGGTGTGGAGAGACCCCTTCACCTCCTCCTGAAGGTGGGCCTCATAGACTCAAGGCCTCCTGGGTACCTAGTCCTTCCCGGAAGCCCAGGGACCATCTGGCACCGATCTACTCAAAAAAACCTTCAGTGCCAGGCCCCGAATCAGCCCTGGAAGACAGGAGACCTGGTCCCCACCCAGAGAAGGACACAGTCCAGAGACTGGGTCAGGGGAGACAGACAGAGGTAAAGGGAGGCAGGCAGGACAGTCTGCAGGTGCGGCAGCCATGGTCTGCGTGGGGGCCCTTGTGGCTGCAGGCCAGGACAGTCGTTATGTCTGATGGGGTCAAGAGAGGCTTCGGAGCAGAGCTAACACGCAACCGTGGCAAGGTCTTGGAGCATCCCACTGTGGCCGTGACGAGACAGGTGGGCAGGCCACTTCCCTGCCCCAACCATCCAGTGCCTTTAGCTCCATGCCTCTGTCTAGTCTCCACTAAACAAATGCCAGGCCCTGAAGTATAAATGGAGACGGGACACAGGAAGGACGAAGCCCTGGGTTGAGGCCACTGCACCACTGTGGCCAAGAACAGGCTCAACACAGATGGGGCTCCAGGTTGGGTTTTTACATTTGCCTTTGAGCTATCTCACACTCAGATGATAATAATAGTAATGATAGCAGCCTGCCCTTAGTAGGTACTTATTATATGCTAGCATGTAGCATTCATTCAGTGCTCACAATAGCCCTAAGAAGGAGATACCATTATTATTCCCATCTCACAGATAAGTAAACTAAGGCACACTGAGGTCAGATAACTTACCCAGGCTAACTTACTATAGCTGATAATAGCAGAATCATGCCTTTGGAGCCAAGAATCAAAGCTGGGCAGTACATCTGAGACTGTGTTCCCATCCACTACTCTGTACTTACCATCATTTTCAAATCCATTCACAGGGGACCTCAGAATTAAGCAGGAATTGGATGTCCCAGCAGATGGCCCTTGATGTACATTCATGAGAAAGGGGCTGGAACCCTTCCAATGAGGGCATGGAAAAAGCATATAAAATCGAGAAATGAAGGACTGAGAAGTTTCTTATGGCCTTGCCATCAGTGCATCATGTGTTACCTTTGGCCACAGCTATTTGAGTGGAATAGGATGCAGGGAGAGTGTGTTGAAAGCCAGGCTGTGGTGGAGTGAACAGGTGATAGAGTGGAGACGAAGCTGAGCAGGAGAGCAGGAAGGGAGGCACAGTCTTGGGAGGGAGAGGGAGACCTCGAGGCGAGGGGTTGCTGTCATCGTCTGTGATGAGTACACTGCTGGAGGAAGGCTCCCAGTGCAGGCAGAGGGGACCCAGCATAAGGTGTTGGGGTTCACATCAGAGGTGTAGAGGGGCCTGGAAAATGGGTGGACACCAGACCCCCTTCTGACCACAGGGTCAGCTTTTACTCCACAGGGCTTCAAGGAAGTGGAGTGCTGGCTGGGAGAAGAGGGCAGGCTTTGGTTAAGGACAGAAGAAAGAGGGTGTGTGTATGGTTAGGAAGAGGACCCAAAGGGTTGTTCGTTAGTGAGGATGGTTACTCCCGAGGGCACAGTGGGAAAGGGTGCAGGGAACAGAGCAGGTAAGAATGGGTGAGTGGAGAAGGAACAGAGCAGGTAAGAATCGGTGAGTGGAGAAGGAACAGAGCAGTCTGCCCCATTAATGGTCAGTTTCATTAATTATTAAACACAAAGCAGGCTTAAAAAACAGGCCGTGTTTACATTTGCAATGGACACACACCCTAGCCCAGCGTGGGCACATCTGAGTGGCTTCCCAGTGCCCTCTGTGCAGCCCTGGGGCCTATTGGTGTGGCACTGATGGGTTCCCAGTCCTGACAGCACCCCACGGTACCTGGCCTCAGTTCATTATCCATGGCCAGAGCCCAGAGAGATAATGCGGTTGATCCCAGCCTCCTGCTTCTGGCTGGCTGGAGCAGGCAGGGGATTTGGAATGCCTGCTGAGCAGACTTGCCGGACGTCACCCAGTGGTGGACCAGGGGCAGACATCGAGTTGTGACAAGCATAGCATGTCACTTTTGAACAGTGCTTCAACTGTAGCAGACTCCTCAGGATAGCTTTGTAGACTGAGTTTATACATTGAGTGAGAAAAAACGCCCCTGCCTGGGTCTCAGCCCTTTCTGTGAAACACATGCTGGTTTTGTTCAACGAGCTTTCAGGAGTCAAGCCAAAGCATTTCTTCCATTTCAGACCTTTCACGTTATCTTGAGCTTTACTGCTGTCATAATTGTGTTTCCAGTCTTAGTATCATTTTCATTTTGAGTCCAGTCACAGCAAAAACCTAGCCATTTGAAATGTAGCATCCACTAGGAAACTACACAGTCCCATTACTTAAGCCCTGAAAAATCCAAGCATTTATTCCCTTAACAAAGTAAGTGGGGAAAGTGTTGTGCCTGTAGGGCCCAGTCAGGAGACAGAAACCATGGCAGTAATTTAAACAGGAAAAATTTAAAGATTTTGTGACTAATTAAAGGTGGTTAAGAAGGACCCTGAGGAATACAGGAATAATAAATGTGGGCAGCAGCTTCTACCTCTAAGGCTAAGGGAAAGTAGACAAGACAGGAACTAAGAACTTGGAAGAGGAGACCCCACCCCACAAAACCTGAGGTTCAGCCCTTGTTGGAGAATGTGCATCTGTCTTGGTAACACACTGTGGATGCTCTGGACTGCAGTGGGTCTGTAAAAGCAGCCTGCCCACTGACTGAGACACTCAGTAGGGGGTGCAGATGGACCAGAAATGGTCTACACACCCACCCCACCAGGTGGCCAAGAATTTCCCCAGGGAGTGCCCGCAGGTAAAACTGACTCACAGGAGGCAGCCTCTGGGTGGTAGAGAAATGTGCTGAAGAGGGAGCACCCTGACATCCTGCACACTGCGTTAGACACACTGCAGGAGGAAAGAAACACCTGATCCAGGAAGAGAAGCCACTTCTCTGCAGTACCTCGCTTGTCTCTCCAGCGTCCTCTGCTGAGAAAGCCTAACGCTGCACTCGCTGACAAAGGAGAAATGTTTGCAGGGTGTAGTTTCAGTATCATGAAACAGGGCAAAGAAGGATGGATTTAGAGCCAAGAGGCAATAAATTGATAACTGGCAAGAATGTATATGACCTGAATCCTCAAATTGCTCAGTTTCTTTTCATCTCAACTACTGCCAGGCATCTGCTTGTTGATATTACCTTGTTTCTTGGAGAAATGCAGGGAGCCAAGTGCACAGGTTGCTTAAAGAGAAATGGCTCAAAGGTGCTGTAGCAGACCAGGTTTCAATTCCTTGACTTGCTCCAAGTGTGGCATACACATACGTAGGATCTAAGTTACATTATTTTCTTAGCAGCATGATTTCCAGATATATTGTCTTGGCAAGCAACAGCATGTCCATAGCTCCTTGTTCCCCACATGCGTCTCAGTTTAGGGTGAGGTCTCTAAAGCAATTCATCCATGCATGACACAAGTCAGATCAGGTCGATACAGATTAAATCAGGTCACAATAGATAAACAACTCTGGGGATGAATGTCTTTTACAAAGCTCGAGAAACACATCCAGAACACATTGCCTTTTTGTAAAAGAGCCATGTCCATCCCAGCCTGCCCCACCTAGCCCATACTCACTTTGGAGAGGAGAATTGAAAGAATTTGTTATTCCAGGCTGGGTGTGGTGGCTCATACCTGTAATCCCAGCCCTTTGGGAGGCCGAGGTGGGTTGATCCCTTGAGGCCAGGAGTCCAAGACCAGCCTGGCCAACATGGTGAAACGTTGTCTCTACTAAAAATACAAAAATTAGCCGGGCATGGTGGTGCGCGCTGAGGCAGGAGAATTGCTTGAACCTGGGAGGTGGAGGTTGCAGTGAGCCGAGATTGCACCACTGCACTCCAGCCTGGATGACAGAGGAAGACTCCATTTCAAAAAAAAAAAAAAAGGAATTTATTATTTCAAAAATATCTGGAGTGAGAAACGAAAGGCATAATTCAAAATAGGGGAACAGGGTAGACTAAGCACAGGCAGGGAGCCAGTAGGATTTTGCTGATCTGAAATGTTTGCAGACACCATGCACCCTCTTCCTCCCCAGCTCCTGCCCATAAAGCTCAGTCCCGGACATTTTTACCAGTGAATTATGGGGAATTATAGACCTCTCCATCCCTAATACTAGTTAGTGTTGAAAAGGTGAGGCCTTAGCCAGAAGGCTCAGGAAGACTGTGATCCTTGCTGTAAGGTGCGTTTTTCTTCTGCCTAGAAGGCATTTGTAAGACAATGAGCTGCCCTTTGGTGCACCTTGTTACTTTATCCAGCAGGGTTTCTCAGTGTCAGCACTATTGACATTTTAGGCTGGATAATTCTTTGTTGTGGGGGGGCTATCTCTTCCTTATAGGGGGTTCAGCAGCATCTCCCTGCCTCTACCTACTAGGATTTCTCTGTTTATGATAATGACAAGTGTTTCCAGACATTGTCAAATGTCCCCCTTGGTTTGGTGGGGGGGTGGGGTTGCGCAAAATCACCCGATTGGGAACCACTGAGCTAAACCCAACTACATAGGACTTCCAAGCAGGACTTCAAGTGAGCCTTAAGTCTTAGGGCAATTTCCAAATCAGCTGAACCTCACAAGAAAAAATGTTAATGAGAGGAGAATGATAGCATTGAGCTTCAAATTTTTAAAAAAGGAGGATGTCATCCCTGCCTCTGTGACCTAGGAAGCCACAAGCTCCTCAAGATTCTGACCCGTGGTCTGAAAGCCCACACAGCTGGCCCAGGTGTTATCAGCCCATAACACAGTCTATCTGGGCTGGGAGGTGGCCCATGCACAGAATTATCTAGGCACAGAGAAGGGGAAGGATGTACATGACAGAAAGAACACATGTGCAGTAGCACAGAGATGTAACTGCATGTGGCTCATGGGGGACATGCAAGTATTGTCATGTGACTAGGGCAAGAGGGGCTGGAATTAGACACGAAGTGGGAGATGAGGCTAAAAATAGGTCCAGATCGTGAAGGATCTTCATGCCAACATCCAGAACATGGATGTTACTACATAGACCGCGGTCAACCACTAAGCAGTCTGTAAGCAGTGGACTACTGTTGGAGGGAGATCACGCCAGTAGCTGTGTGGTTATGGGGGCAGTGGGTGTGGCCATGACTCACAGCACTGGTTGGGGCAGTGAGAATGGAGGAAAGCAGGTAGGAGTTGAGAGATGGTATTTAGGGGAGTGGGAACTCAGCCGACCCCAGCCTGTCAATACCACCAGAAGTGCAAGTTTATCATCCCTAGCTCTTCCCACTCACACCCCTCAGCACAGTCAGTAATCAATCAACAAGCCTAGGCACCTCCTTCTCCATCACATCTCAAATCCACCCACTGCTCTCCAGCTGGCTTTTGTTCTGTGTTTTGAGCCACTGTCGTCTCTTGCAAGGATTGCTACAGCAGCCTCCTCCCCTCTGGCTCCTTCCCTCTCCTCTTGTCTACCCCATTCCTTTCTCGGTTGGTCTCTTTCCCTCTCTTTTTGTCCACCCACCCATGGACCATACACATCTGTGTGCTTCCTGCTTCTGCTTAAAAACCTTCAGTGTTTCTCTGTTGTCCCCAAAATTGGTCATACTGACAGTGTGGAACCTGACCCCTGGCTTACCCTCCAGCCTTATCTCTTATGACTTGCCTGATCTCACTCTATTCCTCTTCCATCCTGAGCCACCTGTAGATGCCCGGATGAACCAAGCCCTTTTTCACCATCAGGCCTTTGAACAGACTGACCCTTTTCTCTAGAATTATTTTCAACCTTACCTCCAAGCCCTATACCGGATTAATTACTAATTCCCCTTCTGGTGTCATCTGAGATCTCTGAAAAACCTTTTCTACTTGTCATGGCTAGTTAGGTATCCCTCGTAAGCGTTTTTATTCTAGTTCCTCTGACTCTTAGAGCAGCTCTCACCTGTGCAGAATTGCCTGTTTGCTCCCTTTCCCAACCATGCTATATGCTTGTTGAGAGAGGAACGATCTTATTCTCCAGTGTGTGTACAGTACCAGCATGGAGCCCACGTCAGAGCAGGAGCTCAGGAAATATTTGCCAAGTGAATAAATGAATGAGTCAGTTGATGAGATTAGAAGAGGTTATTTCCTTCTTGTTTGTTGACGAGAAGGAAGGCCTGACTCAGACCCCTGCTTTCAACATATGTTAAGAGATAAGGTCACTTACAGTAAGGACCAGGAGGCACGTGAGAAAGAGTAGTGTAAGAAGTAGCAGAACCAAAATCAAGTTCAGTCCTAGAAGTCAACAAGATAGTTTCAAACAGAATGATCAAGAGTGTTGGATACTCAAGAGAGATTGAGAAGAATGGGCACTCTTCAAATGCCTATTGGATGGGGCCTGGCAGTAGAGTAATTGCACAGGGTTGAGAAGGGAGGGAAAGGAGAAGATGCTGTGGGGTGGGGGTGGCTGTAAATGTTGATGGCAAAGGGAAGGAGAGGTAGGTATGTACTTTAAGGAGGAAGGGCTGAGGGCATTGATTTGTGATGGGCAAGCCCCAAGGAAACCATCATTGCAGCAGCATCCTGGGTGAGCCTGTGTGGCAGTCATCTTCCTGAATGCATAAGGACATTCCCCCAGTCTACCATGCCCTTCCTTCAGCACAGGTGGCTATGTCCCTCCACCCTTCTGCCAAGCAACATGGACCCACTGAAGGCCCCATCTTGTGCTCAGCCTCTGCAGGCTTCCAGAATGGGACAGGTGCCTGTCAGGTGGGAATTTCCTCGTAGCTCCAGCTGGCGATGCTACTGTTTTAACTTTGCCACAGTTGTGGACCCAGCCTTCCCTCTGCTAAGCCAATTAATGAGGCCAGTCGACACGATTCTATGAAAGAGTTCCTCCTGGCCCTTGGGGTCTTGTGTGGGATCATTAGGAAAAGACATTTCACATAGGCAGATGAATTTTTTATAGCAGAATCCTATGTGCACAGTAGATTTAAATCTCTCTTATGCTAAGGAGGGGAATGTACCCTGCCTCAATTTTATAGAATTCCTTACCAACTATTGTCATCATGTAGAGTTTGAAAAGCACCAATGGTAAGGCATTAAAGGGACCTTATGCATTTTATTAAAGCCCTTTATGTCTCAGGCATTATATATGGGTGGATGGGTGGGAGAGAGAGCGAGGGAGAGAGAGAGATTCTTCTCCCTGAACACTTTCTAACCTGGCCTCACATTAACGCAGTGCCCAGGCTGGGGGTTGGGTGGGGCCTGAGGCTTCCCCGTGGCCAGCATGATCGTTGGAAAGAGTAGTATGGGACAAGATGGGGCTTCTCTTGCCACCCAGAGCTTGACAGAGAGCCCATTATCTCCAAAATGGTACTGAATGATTTGAAACAAGAAAAAAAGCTTCTAAGATTTTTGATGTTCCTTAAAGGTATCTTCTCTGAAGGTATTTTTTTAAGCCTCCTCTTTGGTTGAATCTCAAAAACGTTTTTAGACAAAATTCCACTTACTGGATCCTCTTTGGTTGAATCTCAAAAATGTTTTTCGACAAAAAACCACTTACTGGATAGGCACAGTGGCTCACTCATCCCAGCACTTTGGGAGGCCAGAGCAGGGGGACTGCATGAGGCCAGGAGTTTGAGACCAACCTGGGCAACAGAGCCAGACCCCATCTCTAAAAAAAAAATGTTTTTTAATTAGTCAGGCAATGTGGCATGAGCCTGTAGTCCCAGCTATGAGGGAGGCTGAGGCTGGAGGATTGGTTGAGCCCAGGATTTCAAGGCTGAAGTGAGCCATGATTGCACCACTGCATTCCAGCCAGGGCAGTGGAATAAGACTCTTTCTCGTATGTAAAAAACCAATTCCACTTATGTTTCCTATTTTTTGTTTTCTTCCATTGGCTGTTTTTTTGTATAAACTGTAGACAGAAGCAAAGTGGCTCTCATTTATAAATGAATTTGCTGATTCCCACAGAGGAACCTTATCTTGTCTGACCAGTGCCCAAATTTCTTCCCCTGCAAACAAACTGACGCAAAGAAAACACTCTGCCAAAGAGCCAGGCAGGAAAAGACTGTGGTGCTTGGCCCTGTAGGGGGACCTTGTATAATGCGTGTGTGGCTTCCGAGGAGTTGCTCGGGGGCAGAGGCTGAGGTTGGGAATGCCAAGATGAGGCTTTTCCTCTAGCAGGGCCAGATGCCTTTCAAGAGCATTCGGTGGACCGAGAGGGAATCAGGAGCAGGGGCAGGTGTGTCTTCCTCCTCATGCCAACACCATACTGCTGAGGACAGACCCTCTCTCAGCCCACACTCTGCATGCAACAGATATGCCCCTTGCCCCCCAGATGCCCGCAGGAGGCCTTTGTGCACAGTCACCAAGTGCAAGGAGCACTCCAAGGCTTAAAGCACCTAGTCACCTGGCAGGTGACCTCAGGAAGAGCCATCCTCTCTGGCCAAGTACCTGCACCATTGGGCAAAGGGCTCCTGTGTCTCTTATCCACTCCATTTATGATCTGTCAGCCAGTGAGAAAGACGAGGATAGCAAACACATTCCGCCAGCTCTGGATGGAACGTGCCTTTCAGAAGCGGGAGGCCCTCCAGCCGCAGTGGTTCTTAGGTCTCACAGAACCACGGGATGGCTTTTAAAGGAAGTGTCCTGTGTGTCGAATCTTTCAGCTGAAAGTGGACAAAGTAGCGGGCAGTTCCAAGGGCGGCCCTCGGAAGTCTGGTCGCAGTGGCAAAGCCAGCACCATGGCCAGCAGAGCGGTGAGCAGCACTCCCACCAGCAGCCCGGTCAGACTGAAGTGTTCCAGGTAAATCGAGCGAGCACCGCCTTCTCGTAGGTACCGGCGCCTTCTCTCTGCTTCCTTTCCCCCTCGGTCTCTGCCGCACCACCGCCTGCCCGATAGCCGTCGTGAGTTCTGGCCCAGCCTGGGCTCGAGGGAGTCCAGGAGTAGAAAGCCCCATCCTACCCAGCCAGAAACGTCAGGTGCATGTGGGAAGGAGAAGGGGCTGATGTAGCCTTCGAGCTAAGCCACACAATAGAGGAGGCTGCAGTTGGAGATGCTTCCCAGACTCCAGAGCTATCCAGGGTAGAGGCACAAAACCAAGGCCAAAGGGGGTCTCTCCTAAGAGCTGCAGGCACCCCCAGGCTTGGCTGTCTGTCACTGGCTGACCCTCTTTCTTCCCACCGTAGCCCCCAGGATGTGGAGGACATCCCCACCCAGGCCCTTGCTCAGTGCCAGCCTTGCCCTGGCTCTGCTCTCCTCTGTGGTTAAGCTCAGGGAGAGTCCCCGATTGAGGATACCTGGGCACCTTGAAACTCTCCATTATTTGAGACCTTTCTAGACCATCCCTCGTGTCTAAGGCAGACTGTGTGGCTGGGGATGGCACTGCTGCAGCCCCACAGAGCAGGCCCCTGCCCTTTGTGGGCTTCCTTGGCTCAACTTTCAGCCAGAAACATTCCTACTGGAAGGCTTCAAATGGAGGTACGAGCCCATTAACTCCCCTTCAGCCATCCCTCCAGGTCCTTCTAACAGGAACCCAGGCACGTCCTGCATGCCCCAGGCCTGCCCTGCAAAGCAATGATAGGGGCAGGAACCACATCGTGGGAGGGTTCTGAGACTCCCAGGATTGCAACCCCTCCTTCTCAAGAATCAGTGCTCCATATACCCCACCCTCATCCCAAGCCCCTCTCCTGCCGGGGTCAGCTGTGTCTTCACAGACAAAGGCCTGGGACTCAGATGTCACTCAGGGCAGCATTCTGTGAATGTACAGGGGAACGGCTCACCCAGGCCTTCGCCTGCCTCCCCTGACTGCAGCCATCTCCTCCTTCCTCCTTCTGTAAGGCCTTGTTCCTTGCCCATTCTGAGGCCCCACAGCAACCCTGTAAGGCAGAATTTCCTGACATGGATCTTCATGGTCACGATGCTAAAAAGAATTCTTGGCCAAATAAGCTTACGAAAAACTGGTTAAACAAAGTTATTGAGTTTCTTTATTGCAGGACGTATCAGAGCTTTTATTACACCAATAAGGACTGGATTTCTAGGAGGTAGGCAAAGTGTGCCTTGTTTCCCAAACTTATTTGTCCACAGAATTCTTTTCTCACAGAGTATCACATGGGCTGAGAATTCAACAGAACACATGTTGGGGAATTGGCTGTAAGAAACTAAAATAGTGCTATTCCCGTTTTCTGGATGGGTCATCTGAGGCCCAGAGGACTGGAAAGACATGTTGAAACTGAAATCTAACCATTCAGGGATTCGTCCCTGCGCTAAGATAAACATGGAAGACAGGCCAGCCAGGTCTCCACATACATCTTCCTTCCACTCCACTCTGCGTTGCATTTCTCTTATATTTTGGCCATCTGCTATCTGTTAGGTGCACCTTGCTTGGGGCCAGCCTGGGGTCTCCCCGCCAGTGGGGTTCTCGTCTACCCTGGGTCCCTGACTCAACCTTAGATAGACAAAGGGCATGTCCTAATGCCGTTTACCTGCTGTCACAACAGCTCCCTGGGGAGAACAGTTTCCCCGGGTCTCAGACATTTGAGGACCCTTGCAGAGCATCCCGCAGAAGGCTGGGGAGGACCTCTGGGCTGCCCCTTTAGGGATGGCCATGAGGGTGAGTGCAGACTGGGCTCCTGGGACATGCCCAGTGCACGGACAGAGGAGCTGACTCCCCTGTGGCTCTCTTTTCCTCTCCTCTGCAGGACATGCTGCCCATGCCAGGAGATCCAACCCAGGGGACTGGCAACTATAACATCGAAGACTTTGCCGACCTGGGCATGTTTCCACCGTTTTCTGAGTAGCTGCGGCCAGAGTGAGGCTCCTGCTGTACAGTGCCACCCATACTGTGATGTCGATGCCCATGTGAATGAGGCCCACCCTCGCCCTGCTTGCCCTGCCGCAGGCCCCCCACCAGAAGCCATCTCCCCCGCTGTGTGTCCCCAGGCGCATCATTGCTCCACTCTCCCCTGCAGCCGCGGCTGCTCGGCCACTGACCAGGGGCCCTGGCAGACATTAGGGGATCAGTTGTATTTATTGTATTTTATCTGTGTGTGCTCAGGAGGTGAGCCTAGTGGGTCCTTAAGTTTGGTTGTGAATAATCTCTTGATAGACAATTTATACCCATGAAAGTTCAGCCAATGCCCAGAGTGACCAAGCAGCACCAGCAGGCCTGCCCAGGATGCTGAAAGCAGATTTCTTCTTGATTTCACTTCTGATGGATGCATGGGGCTCTGGGGGAATGCTGGGAAAATGGGCAAGCAGAGTGCACAGCCCTCGTTCTGCCAGCTGGAGCCAAGAAGCACAGAGACACAGAGGCGCCTGCCCCTCAGCTCCGCTGGTCTGTCTGTGCATCCACTGTGCCGTGGGACATATGTAATTTGTGCAGTGTGACATGGACTTGCTGTCCTAATGGATGTGTTGTGCCTTGTGTCTGTCATGTGTGGCCAGCGTGATTGTATAGAATCCAGAGTATGTAGAGAGCCAAAATGTGTGGCCCTGTCCCCAAGCTCAGCACCACCGGCCATGACCAGAGGTTGCTCGGCCCAGGGTCTGGGAGCTGGGCTAACAGGCTGACACTTCGGCAGGGTCACCAGGAGGCACAGCTAGGGGCATGCTCACATGGGTAGGTCAGTTCTTTGGTCCAAGCCTCTGGTGCAGATTCAAGCTCCTCCTCTTAGAGGAAGCAGCTCCTTCCTCCCACAGGAGCCCCAAGGGAGCACTCACCCTCCTCCCAATTGGATCTGAATAGCTGTGTTCCTGATCCCACATAAGCATGTCTCATCCTTGCCCCACTGGTGAGAGGAGGACCTTGTGCCTGCCCAGAGCCTGCAGGACAGCACGCCTTGAGGTCAGAGGCCTGGCCCTTCTTTACAGATGTAGATAGCAGGGTAGGACGCCCAGGCCTTCTCACATGGGCACCATGAAACACTTTCTTCCAGGCCACCTGAGCCTTCGTTCTTCAGCCCGACTGGAGGAACAGCAGCTCTGGGAGGCACAGAGTGCAGGTCTCAGGGGCAGAAGACATGGGTTCCAGTTCTGGTTCTGCCACACACCCACCGGCCTTGAATTTCTCTGGTGGTCTCAAGACAAGAACAAGAGCTGACTCTAGAATCTTCTGCCTGGCTGACCTCTGAGCCCATGATCCCTGGCTTGCTGTGCTTCTCTTGGATTTGAGGAGAGTTTATGAATCCATCCCCCTGTTTTCAGGGACCTCTGCCTTCTCCCACACCCCTTACACTAGTGAGGACTCCTTCGGCCTCTTGTGTTTCCTTCCTTTTGTGACCATTACGCCCCCTCCCTGTTTCTTATCACCAGCCCATCAGCCCACTGACTCCCATATGGTAGAAAAGGTACCGTGGCTGCTGCAGGGCACATGGAGGGACCTACCCTCTGGGAAAGCCCTTGTGTCCCTCCCAGAGTCCTTCAGGTAGGCCCTCGCAGATGCTGCTTGCTCAGAAACAACCCGTGCATCCCTGCCCATGGATTCTGCAGGACCTAGAAGAGTGGCATTGGTTCTAGGAACCTGAGAGTGGAGTGAGGCCAGCATGCAGGAAGGAGTTTGGAGAGAGTGTTTGCTGTGATCCATTGAAAGCTCCACATTAAACCCCAGCCCTGTCTGGCCAGGGAGATCCATGTGCTCAATGTTGCTGGGGGACCTACAAAAGTCAAACATTGCTCAGTAAAATGCCTTTGGCTGGTCGCCAGCTGTGCATGACTGCAGTTCCTAGACTCTAACTTAACCCCAACTTTGCAGTTTCTAGAGCTTTTTGTCTGTAATGGTGATTGGGTCTCCACTGTAGATGCATGCAGTGTTCACTCCAACCTCAGAGGCTTTCTTGCTTCTGGGGAAATGGCAGGTGGTTGAAACCCTGCACATCCTCCCAGGGCCAGCCCCAGAATGGGCCTTTCTCTGCCTGCCCTGCCCTTGGGGCCACCTCTGCCTCCAGCAGGCTTGAGCTTGCCCCAGGCCTTGGGCATAATTATTTCCCCCCAAAAAAGGCACAAAAATAGGTTTTGGATCAAAGAAGTGTTTCTCAGTGAAATGAAAACAGTCTTTTTATAGCCTTTAGCTTGTGAGTTTGGAAGTTTGGGGGGTCTTATGTTTGTTTTGCCTCTTCTGTTTCTTGGAGGAGAGTTGAGGCTTTTCTTAGGTGCATACACAGACCCAGGTGAACACGCTGACTGTGAACCTGCCCTGTATCCGGAGCTGTGCTGGGCACTGAGGGGATGCAACAAAATTAGGAGAGGATCCTTGCTCCCAACGTCTACTTCTCCTACCTCAACAGGGGTCCAGGGTGCAGTGAACTCAGTTCTTGGCCCTTGGGTGAGGATTCATGGATGAATGAAAGCTAGACCTGATGGGGAGGCATTATGACTAAATAGGCCCAGCCTCCTTCCCTTCCAGCTCTGTCCTAGGAGCATAGGCGGGAAATCTGAGTAGAGTCTGACTGCAGTTTTTGCTTATGATTTGTAAAAGCCGTCATGGGGTCAATAAGAAAATAGGGGTGATGGAGGGGGAGAAGCCCAGGACTGGGAGAATCGCACATGCCCCAGGGGTTTTCACCAAGGATTTTCAAGACAAACTGGAGTAAGAATTAAAGCCCCAGAGGATTTAATTATCCTGGTTTGCAAAAGAGCCTCCCATGCCAGTACCGCCCAGCCTTGGAGGCCGGAATGCTCATGGCCCCTGTGGTCTGCTTGTCCTTCAGCCCATGCCCAGCAGATACCTCTCTGACTGGAGACGGGCTCAAAGCTGGATTAGAAAGGGGAGAGGCACTTGTGACTTTGTTTGACTCTGTGACTCACTTCCTCGCTCACACCTTGTTTGAACTACTGGACTTTCAACTGGCTTTCCTTAGGTCAGGCAAGCAGACAGCTCCCCACTGAAGAGGTCTGTACAGTGACAACCCGGGCCGGCAGCAAGGACACAGATGCAGCCACAGTAAGGCTCCATCAGGACTGGGTCAGTGATGGCAACAGGATGGCCAAGGATGGCTCTAGAACACTCTGTCCATGCGTCACTCCCCCCAGTTTTATTTTTAGCTTTGGCTTCAGGGAGTGACAGCCATCACAAATAGCCACATTCTGCTCTACTCTCCAACATACCAGATTCTACACTGTTGTTATTTCATGAGACGTGAATGTTGCAGAGAGTGGGGGGATTCTGGTTGTTAAGGAACTTACACTGGGGAGCTTTACTCTTCCGTGTCAACAATGTGACTACATGTTCTCCAGATTAGCCACACATGCAAACATCAGTGTCCTTCTAGCTTTAGCCGAGAAAGAAACCAGTCCCAGGGAATGAATGGTGGTCTCCCCACTCCCGGCAGCACTTTAGGCAGCCCATAAGCTATGCGAGAATGTGAACGCTCACCTTGCTCCGTCACGGTTCTGACCTACCACATAAACAGGAAGAAGCCAGTGACCGGAACAGCTCTAGGAATAACAAGTCAGAATAGAAGTGTCCTTTATATTACCAGAAAATATGGGCTTGGCCTAAGTCGCTGTCTCCTAACCTGCCGGGGTCATTCCCCACCAAACACCCCATACTAAGGAGCCATGAGCCACCTGGACATTCACCTTTTCTTTGACCATCTGGAGTCTGGGGCAACTTAAGGAGGCACCACACAGTGGTGCAGGCACATTTCCAAGCGTAGGTGTCCCTGGCTTTTGTGGCCAAAGCTAGTGTTATGGTCAACAACAGGCCAGGGTCTGTGGGGCACTGACCTTGAAAGTGGCAAAATGGAGGTTTCACAGGCTGTGCGGGAGCAGGACGGCTTGCTTCATCTAACAATCTCAGTTTCCTTTAAAAAAAGAAAGAAAGGAAAAGATTTCATAAGCAGGTGTCAGTGGACAGTTTAAGTACTTAACCATTTCTCTTTCTTCTTATGGATGTGAACTGTGCTGTGGATAAATCATTTGTATTTCTTGAATGTTCTCTATGACTAACAGTTATTAAGTCGGTTGTGTATATGTGTAACTAATGTAACTGCCTTTTAAAATTTCATTACAATAAAAATGACTTTGCTCTGAACAACAAATGGCCCAGGCCAAGTTTGTAATTGAACCATCCTTGAAACCTGCCCTTTGCATTACACTCCCTCCTATGGGCTGTATTGTGTCATAATCTGTAAAGGATGTGGCGTACATTATACTAAAGAGTGACCCTTTTGGAGGTTTAGCTTCTTAGGATAGAAAAGGAAACTAGGGCTGGGCACAGTGGCTCAGGCCTGTAATCCCAGCACTTTGGGAGGCTGAGGTGGGAAGATCACTGGAGCCCAGGGGTTTGAGAACAGCTTGAGCAACAAAGCAAGACCCTGTCTCAAAACAAAACAAACAAAGGAAGCTAGCATATCAGTCATATTGCATTAGAACCAACAGAAAATAAATAAACAAATAATAAAAGGAAACACAATTCTTGACCGTCTGTGTTAGGCAAGGCTCTCTAGAAGCTTCCTTACAAATGCTATTTTTGTTAATACAAATCTGATATGTGGTTACTCTCCCTGGTTTACAGATGGAGAAACTGGAACTCAGAGAAGTTAAGAAAATACAGGAAGGAAATGGCAGAACCAGGATATTGAACTCAGGTCTCAGTCCAAAACCCTGTATATATTGTCCTATTCAAACATTCTTCTTATTATTTTTTAATCCTTACAAAATTGTTAGTGTTTTAATATGCTGATGCCTCTAGTAAATACAATTGACTCTTGAACAACATGGGTTTGAACTGTGTAGGTCCACTTACACGTGGATTTTCTTCCATCCACCTCTGCCAGCCCTGAGACAGGAAGACCTCCTCTTCCTCCTCCTCCTCAGCCTACTCAACGTGAAGATGACAAGGATGGAGACCTTTGTGAAGAGCCACTTCCACTTAATGAATAGTAAATATACTGTCTCTTCCTTATGATTTTCTTAACATTTTCTTTTCTCTAGCTTACTTAACTGTAAGAATACAGTATATAACACATCTAAAATATGTGTTAATTAACTGTTTTATGTTATCTATATTCTGGTCAACGGTAGATTATTAGTTGTTAAGTTTTAGGGGAGTCAAAATTTATACATGGACTTTCAACTGCATGAAGAGTAGGCGTCCCTAACCCCCATGATGTTCAAGGGTCAACTGTACTTACAAATTCTATTGTTCCTCTGCCAAAAGAGAACTTTTTGGATTCTAGCAAAATGGCAGACTAAAATTGTTTTAAAACTCTTCCATCAAACACCTAGCATTGCTAGTTTTTACAGCTTTATTGATCTATTATTGACATAAAGTAGACTGCACGTATTTAAAGTATACATAAAATTCTGTGACCCTGAGTTAAATATAGACTTCTTAGATACTACACCAAAAGCATGATCCATCAAAGAATAAATTGACAAATTAGACTACATAAATATTAAAGGCATTTGCTTTTCAAAAGACACTGCTAAGAGCATGAAAAGATAAGCCACTGATGGGAGAAAACATTCACAAGTCATGTATCTGACAAAGGACTAGTACCTAGAATATGTGAAGAACTCTTACAATGGAATAAAACAAATGACTCAGTACAAAACAGGCAAAAAATCTGAACAGGCACGTCACCACAGAAAATATACAGATGGCAAATAAGCATGTGGAAAAAACTGATTACCATCATTAGTCATCAAGGAAATGGAAAATAAAATATACAGTGACTCTAATATTTGGCTAAAATGTAAAAAGACTGATGATAGCAAGTGTTGCCCAGGATATGGAGCAACTAGAACCCTCATAAAGGCAAAATGGTACAGCCACTTTGAGTAACAGTTTCTTAGGAAGTTAATCATCCACTCATCTTATGACCTAGCTTTTTCATACCTAGCTATTTGCCCAGGAGAAATAAAAACATATTTCCAAACAAAGACTTGAATAGGAATATTCATTGCAGTTTCATATGTAATAGCCATGAGGGAAAAACAACCTAAATGTCCATCAGTAGGTGAGTGGATAAACAAATTGTGGTACCACCACACAGTGGAATACTACCCAGCAATAAAAAGGAACAAAGCACAGATACAATCAACAGCATAAACAGAGCTCGAAAACATTATGCAGAGCAAAAAATGCCAGGCACAAACATACACAATGATTGCACTTATATGAAACTCTAGATAAGACTTATCCAATCAGAAAGCAGATCGTTGGTTGCTGGCCGGAGGAGTAAGTGGGAGGAGGCACAAGGGAAGTTTGTGAGATGATGAAAAGGTTCTATATCTTTCTTGTGTGATGGTCACAAAGGTGTATACAAATCACAAAACTCATCAAACCCTTCATTTAAGATGGGTACATTAAATTCTGTTGTGCATAGGTTGTCTCTAAATAAAGTTGATGTAAAAATAATCACAGCAGTTTCTTGTGGAATTTGTCAAGTTGATTTCAAATTTCCTATGGAAGAAAAAATGATAGGCAGTAAATTTTGTTGAATAAGATCTAAAAAAGAAAAGAAAGAGGGAGAAAGAGGAAGAAAAGGAGAAAAAAGAGCCAGCCTTTATCCCACCGGACAGTGGGAAGCTTTATCATTAGAAGTGTGGGGTTGGGCCAGGCATGGTGGCTCACACCTCTAATCCCAGCACTTTGGGAAGCTGAGAGGTAAGGATCCCTTGAGCCCAGGAGTTCAAAACCAACATCATGGTGAGGCCCCATCCCTACAAAAAAGAGATGAATGGCTTGAGCCCAGGAGTTCGAGGCTACAGTGAGCTATGATCACACCACTGCACTCCTGACTGAGTGACAGAGTGAGACCCCCTTTCTCTAAAAAAAAAAAAAAAGTGTAAGGTTAGCATGGAGATGGAAAAGTAGATCACAGAACACAACAAAGAACCTAGAAATCCACAGACATTCAGAAAGAAGCTTGGAAGAGTCAGCATTACAAATCACAGGGACCAGCTAGACTTCCAATAGATGGTGCTCGAGGAAAGAATGTAGGAAAAGAAATCTTCATACTCTCATCTCACACCCTATAGAAAAAATAAACTCTACACAGATGAAAACATCGCAAGGCTAAAGGCAATATATGTAAAACATTTAGAAAAAATCTAGGAGAATATATTTTAAAAATCAAGTCTTGGAAGGATTTCTTAAACCCGGCACAAAGACAACAAACAATGAAGTAAAATATTGATAAAGTTTAACTCAATTTAAAAAATCAGCCTCAAAAAATGTAACAGTCCATTAACTGGTAGAAAATATTTGCAATTTGTATACCCAAAAATGTAGTATTCAGAATAAATGAAAGATTCCTAAAAGTCAATTTAAAAAAATAGAACTCAATAGAAAAATGGTCAAAGAATTTGAGTTGTGAGTTCATAGAAAATCAGATGGCATTAAATCTATTAGAAGACGCTGAACTTCATTGTAATTAAGGGAAAGGCAAAATTAAAACAAAATAAATGCTTATGTCGCTCAGATTTACTACGTCTGATAACATGATTGTTACTGAGGATATGGGGAGACAGGAATTCTATTTCCTAGCTAGTGGAAAATAGCATACTTGCTCTGAAAAAGATGACATTTATCAGTACCATTTTTCCAACAGCATATTGGAATGTCAAAGATGTACAAACCCATGACAGTGATTCTAATTCCAACTGTCTGTTCTACAAAACGTCTCACATATACACAAGAAGACAGATAAAAAGATATTTATTGCTCTGTGTGTAAGAGTGAAAAAGTGGAAGAAAATAATCTATCCTTTAGTAGAGAAATGAATAAATTGTGATTTAGGTACACAAAGGAATATATCGCAGCACTTAAATACCTTGTTGCAGATGCAAAAATTCTAAAAATATAACATTGAATTTAACTGCTGTGCATATTTTTATAACTCAACATATTAACATATTTTGTAAATAAATAGATAATTGGTCAAAGAAAGAAAAGAAAAATAACCTCATTGATGCTAAAAACAATTCTGGATAATGTTTATCCTTAGAAGAAAGACATAGAATGACTTGTATGATTCAATTCCTTAAAACAGATTAAGAAAGAGAAAAAAAAAGAGGTATTGACTAAAAAGGAACAGAAAAGTAGCTGAGGCAATTATGGCAAAATGTTAAACAGCTGTTTCATTTCGGTAATGAGCACGTAAAATTCTATAATACTTTTCTCAAAATGATGTATAATGGAAATATTTAATAATTAAACAGAACTCAGAAAGCAGACACTTAAATCTCACAACTAGTCAAAGAAATGCAAATTAAAGTAACAATGGCATGACATTTTTCACCCCAATGGACTGGCAAAAGTGGGAATGAATGTGAAAGGATTGTCTTAGTTATTTTTGGTAAAAATAGAAATTTTTGCAATTCATTTTGAGAGTGACGTGACAATATCTATTAAATAAAACTGTATCTTTGACTCAACTATCCCATCTCTAATAATCTGTCTTAGCGAAATAAGAATGTTGAATACAGATATATTTATAGAAATATTTATTGCCACCTTATTTTGTAGGGGTGGAAAACTGTAAATTAAGGCAAAGCTCACTGATAGAAGAATGGATGAATACATTGGAGAATACCTACTTCATGAACTATCAGATAGCATTATTTCAATATATTAATAAATAAAATAAATAATCAGAAAATTATAAATGAAATTAATCTATGTTGATAAAGCAAACATGACCAAAAGCACATTAGTTAGGTTCATGTGTGAGTACATGGTTGTATATATACATACATATGTACATGTAGAAAATGTATAAAGTATTCAGCCTGGGCAACATTGCAAGACCCTGTCTCTACAAAAAAAAAAAAAATTAATTAGCCAGGTGTGGTGGCACATACCTAGTAATCTTAGCTACTCAGGAGGTTGAGGTAGGAGGATCACTTGAGCCCTGGAGTTTGAGGCTGCAATAAGCCATAATCATGCCACAGCACTCTAGAGTCTAGGTGACAGAATGACACCTTGTCTCAGAAAAAAAAAATGTATAAAATACCATATTCACATTAATAAGCTGTATTTGGAGGGATTGTAGAAGCAGAGAAAGTAAGCAAAACTTAAAATAAATGTGTTACGTATAATAACATTGCATTTACGTGAAATTATTTACATATGCATTTATTCATTTATCTTGTGTATTTCTCCAAGAAAAAAAGGCATATGCCTTTATATGTATAACAGATGGATGAAAATCCCCTCATGATGGTCTCAACCTAATGGGATCTGAGGTGAAGTTCCCTTCCATCCTTGTAACTTTTAATATGACTTGTTCTACAAAGAATATATATTACTTATAAAATCATTAAAAGTAATCTAAAGCAAATTGCCTGCCAGAATAAGAAGAGAATAAATGATCACCCACAGTAACTTGAAATCTTGAACCACTATGGAATTTTGATGCCAAGGAGTGGGAAAGAGAAGGACACCTGTGTGCAATGGTAGAATGCACTCTAGCTGGACACACCTGTGGCAGATGGGAAGCTGAGTGGACTGCAGGGCACGATGAGGAGAAGAAGTACTGAATGAAGGCCAAAGGACCTGCCATGACCTAGGCTGGTGCTTTACCTGTAGTCCCTCTTTCAATCCTCAAAATAAACAGCTAACAAAAATATACCCTTTACATAGATGGAACAATATAATTATTTTTCTGATTTTTCTGATGATATACATTCATTGTTTTTAAAGTGAAGGGTATAGAAAAGTATGAAGAACAATAATACTGTATTCCAATTCGCTCTTTTTCTTTTTCTGACAGAGTCTCACTCTGCTGCCCAGGCTGGAGTGCAGTGGTGCGATCTCAGCTTACTGCAACCTCCTCCTCCCGGGTTCAAGCAATTCTCCTGCCTCAGCCTCCTGAGTAGCTGGGATTACAGGTGTTCACCACCACGCTCAGCTAATTTTTATATTTGTTTAGTAGAGATGTGGGTTCATCATGGTGGCCAGGCTGGTCTTGAACTCCTGACCTTAGGAGATCCACCCGCCTAGCCTCCCAAAGTGCTGGGATTGCAGGCATAAGCCACTGTGCCTGGCATCTTTTTTGTTTTGGAGCCATGGTCTCCCTCTGTTGCCCAGGCTAGATTGCAGTAGCACAATCACAGCTCACCGCAGCCTCGACCTCCTGGGCTCAGGTGATCCTCCTGCCTTGGCCTCCTAAAGTACTGTGATTACAAGTACGAGCCACCACACTTGGCCCCAATTCACTCTTATTGATGATTGGGACAAGTGAGTAAGGAGAGGTGAGAGGGGTCAAGAGCAGGGGTGAGGGAAGCACTGTGTCTGCTCAGAATTCAGGGAGTGGAACAAAGCCGCTGGAAGAACCAGCACTCATTCTCATGATACCACCTAGACTTTACTCCCCTCTCAGCCTCCACTCCCAGAGAGAACTTATTTTTCCACTGAGAAAAATAAGCTTATCCCCCCGTTACCATGTTGATGCCTGACAATCATGAGCTTCTTTCTCCTGTAAATCCTTTAAGCATGTTCTCTCAGTAAGCATTTGCGTGGCCCCCACCACCTGCTCCATGAACAGTGCTGGGGTTGAGGCTACACAGGGACGACCCAGGTCCCACTCATGAGGACTGCCTCATCCTGAGGGGAGAGGCAAGCAATATGATGTTCTGGAATGTACTAAGGATTTTGGTAGAGGTCACCTATTCTGCACCAACACAAAAGAGGGAAGGGGGAGTCCAGGAAGGGCTGAGTATCTCATGCGTTTGTGATTAGCATGACTTAAGCAAGAGGTCCCAGTTGGGGCCCATCAAAGATGGAGTCTACCCACTGGGCGCACAGCTTGTTGGCTCAGCTTTTGCAGAAATCACTTAACAGACCCCCAAATCCAAGCCCGAGACCCCTATAAGTCATGAAATAGCTATAGCCTCTCAGCAGGACACCAGATTAAAATGCCTGGAATGTAGCTTGCCTCTAGTTCTACAGCCACAACCTCCTAATTATAAATTACTAATTCTTTCCACACATTTTACCCAGAGTCAAACATATATGCCAAGAATAAAGAAATGTGGCCTGGGGCTGATGAGGCCAGAAAACATTTCATCACAGTGATTTATCAGAGTGTGAGCATTTCTCATTCACAAGGCTCATTGAGTGCAGGTGTGCCTACTCGTTTTTTTCGCAGAATCCCCACTCCTTTAAGTGGAAGCTATGTTTTCATTGCAGCCACAATGAGTTTACGTTGGGCCCATGGAATAGAGCCATGTCAGGGATGATGTTACATGGGGTTCCTGGAAACCCTCGTGATCCCTCATACCCCACCTACTCCTAGGAAAGGCATGGTTTTGAGAGCTCCCTGTGGAAGGGCACACAGGGCCAACTAGTTACCAACTCCATGAGGAACCAGGACCCCAGATGTTAAGAAGATGCCGGGGAGCTTGGAGTCATCCTAGGCTCACTATCAGCAGTCAGAATGAAGTGTTAATTCAAGAACAGCAGGCTCTCTTCCTAGTCGTCACATTGGGGTGGGAAAGAGTTTTGTCCAAGCCCGGGTGCTAGCACAAAGAGATGGGCTGGCTCCCCTGGAGACAGGACAGAAGAAGAGAGAAATGATTCAGGGTGCGATGCTGAGGACGTGTTCAGTGAAGGCTACTTCAGGTTTTTCCTTCATCGGTTTATGCCCTGTACAGTGCATGACACTCAATTAATGTTCAATAAATTCCAAAGAATTCGTCCTACTCTGGGTCGCACCATCATTCCTCAATTGTCTTTATCTATAATGAATTCACAGTGACTGGTTGCAGCTTTAGAAAAGTTTTCAGATAGGTCTCAGAACCCCCACTCTGTGCTGGCTATGAGCGTGCAAACTTGTATTTTCATTCCTGGTTTGCTTCAAGTCTATGGTAAGGAAGCAGAGAGCTGGAATGGAGACACAGTTGGCATCTCATTGTGACAAAAATTGGCAGGCTTCAAGGGGACAGGCTGGCAGGAGTAGTCAGAGAGAGGTGGCATCTCATCTAACCTGAATCCTTGGGTTCTAAAAGGATTCCTAATGAATGACAGATGGGAAGAATTGAAAAGCAATGAGTAAAGTACGGATTCCTGTCACCCGAGTGGACCCTGCATGATGCCTGGGGTCATCTGATGGGAACATGGCATGTCTCAGGCAGATGGCCTGTAGATAAAGAAAAAATGGAAGAGAGGCAGGTGATCAGGCTTCGTGGCCGGGGCCAAGATGGAAATGCAGGTTCTCACTGCGTCTTGTGCCCAAGGATTCTGTAGATGCCACAGATCCAGGATCCAAGGGACCTGGGCCTCCTTGGACATTAATGAGGAGGTTAGGGACACAGGGAAGGTTGAGAGAGCATAGCCTTGCTGAGCAGGCCACAGAGGTCCCCGGGACTCTACTCGTCTGCTGGAGAGACATATGGTGCTGCCAGCAGGCCATGGGACCCTCTGCCTATTTTCATCCACACCTGCCCTCTGCTTTCATGCTCAGGCACAAGGATCCATATCCCTTTTTTGAAAGACTGTCCTTAAGCTGTTGGATCCTACTTTGCCAAAGCATGCAGAGCCAGGGGTTCCTAGGATTTTACATCCCACAGAGAATAGCTTATTACCAATGACTCCTGGGTGCAGGGGCATCAATATGCCAGCTTCCTTGCTCCTAGATGGGGGCATCTCTAAGTTGTAACATATTTTCTCTACAGCATCCCAGTGGGATTGAGATACATTTACCCTCTGCAGAAACTTTATTTGCCTTGCTTAGTCTTCTTTCTTTTCAATCTCAATTCCTGGAGTGAGATGTCTCCCTGAGCCTTCCCTGGGGTTTGGTGACAGCTGAGCCTCCTTGTGTATTGCATGTTCTGTGCAATTTTGTGGGATGGAGGTGGTGGCAGATGGAATTTCCACATCCCTCCCAGTTTTTCCTGGGAATTCCTTAAATAAATCACTTTTACCCAATTTTTCTCAGATTCCACCTCGGAAGAACTCAGCCTCAGGCAGGACTATTGTAATAACCACTAAACTGCAGCTGCATAGATAGTAAGAACTTGTAAATGCTGCTATGTAAATTACTCTCTTACAAAAAAAAACAAAAAACATATGTGCTTTTAAAAGCTATAGATAGAGGCTGGGTGCAGTGGCTCATGCCTGTAATCCCAGCACTGTGGGAGGCCGAGGCGGGCAGATCACCTGAGGTCGGGCACTCCAGACCATCCTGGCCAACATAGCAAAACCCCTCCTTTACTAGAAATACAAAAATTAGTGGGATGTGGTGGCGCACACCTGTAATCCCAGCTACTCAGGAGTCTGAGGCAGGAGAATCACTTGAACCCAGGAGGTGGATGTTGCAGTAAGCCGAGATCATGCCACTGCATTCCAGCCTGGGTGACAAAGCAAGACTCCTTCTCAAACAAACAAACAAACAAAACAAAACAAAAACAAAAAACAATGTTATAGATACAAAGAAATTAAGTTTCACTTTTCAATCAAAATAATATTTTAGTAATGTTTCATACTATAGATGTGAACAGTACTTTGTCCTCAAAGATCAATTTTTTCAAGGACTAGAGAGAGCAACCCATCCCTATTTATTAATACTTAGACTTTCCCAGTTTTGGCAGTGAATGTAGCACATTCCAGGAAATGCTTCAGTCCCAGGAAAACTAGGACATTTGGTGACCCTACCCTGGATGCCAATATTTGTTGCCTGGGAAGGCACAGCCCTGGAGAGGAGGAAGCTGATAGGATTTTATAAGACCACAAAAGTCTGAAGGGGATTTCAGTGATAACGGAGACCACCTTCTCAGAGGAGGAAAGGAGATCCAGATGTTCTGAAGAATTTTATTTTGTTTCCCAGAAGCCTCAGCAAGAGAGAAAAGCTCCTCTCAGCCTGGACTTTCTGCAGAAGCACGGCCAGAAATCAGACTCACAAAGATCCTGTGAGAAGCTGAGGAGCCCTCTCTATCAAATTCCACTCACCAGGCCTGTGGTGAATGACCCTTCCACGCTGACCCAGAAAAGCCTGGCCAAGTCAAGTGCATGTACTCTGCTCAAGTCCACACCATAAACCGAAGGTGAATCCACCCTAGTGATTTACCCATTAAAAGGAATCCTGAGTCTTTGAGGCTGAACTTTCTGAAGAGAGCAACATTGCTTCTCCCCTGAGGAAAACCAACATAAGACTCCCAGCAGCCTCATCAGACCTATAAGAACCCTGAGAAGGAGGGAGTGGCTGAAACTCAAAGCTGGTTCCTTCAGCAGAGAAGGGGAAATCTGGGCAGAGACCCTGGAGCGCCACCCCAAGAGTGCAACCTCCAATGCTTAGCCTGCTGCTGGTGCCCCCAGTCAGGAGACCATTTCAGAAAAAGCCTGGTGTGATGGTTAATATCAAGTGTCAACTTGATCAGATTGAAGAAGGCAAAGTATTGTTCCTGGGTGTCTCTGTGAGGTTGTTGCCAAAGGAGATTAACATTTGAGTCAGTGGACTGGGAAAGGCAGACCCACCCTCAATCCCGGTGGGCACCATCAAATCAGCTGCCAGCACAGCCAGAATAAAAGCAGGCAGAAGAATGTGGAAGGACTAGACTGGTTTAGTCTTCTGGCCTCCATGTTTCTCCCGTGCTGGATGTTTCCTGCCCTTGAACATCGGGCTCCAAGTTCTTCAGCTTTTGGACTCTTGGACTTATACCAGTGGTTTGCCAGGGGCTCTCAGGCCTTTGGCCACAGACTGAAGGGTACCCTGTCGGCTTCCCTACTTTTGAGGTTTGGGGACTCAGTCTGGCTTCCTTGCTCCTCAGCTTGCAGGTGGCCTATGTGGGACCTCACCTTGTGATTGTGTGAGTCAATACTCCTTAATAAACTCCCTTTATATATACATCTAACCTATCAGTCCTGTCCCTCTAGAGAACCCTAATACACCTGCATCTTCATTTCCTCAGGCTGCCACAACAAATTGCTACAAAGTGTGTGACTTCATAGAACAAAAATTATCTCACAGTTCTGAAGATCAAAAGCTTGAAATCGAGATCTTGGCAAGGTTGGTTCCTTCTGAAGGCTCCATGCCTCTTCCTGGCACCTGGAGGCTGCCAGCAAGCCTGAGCATGCCTTGGTCTGCAGCTCAATGTAATTGAGATGTTAATTACATTTGCAAAAGCTCTCTTTCTAAATAAGGTCACATTCACACATACCAGGGGTTAGAACTTGGACATATTTGGGTGGAGGGCAGACATCATTCAACCAACTTCACAGACAAGGGGTGAGGGAGGGTTCCAGCTGCCAAGTCTTCCACAGAGATGGACAGGAATCCAGGTGCTCTGTCTCAGAAGTGAGGAGGCCCAAACCAAATATCCAGGAGTGCAAGAAGCAGTTACATGCATCCTTGCTAAAGAAGTGGGAGCCAAGGAAAAGTACGTGCCAATTCCCGATTAAGCTTTTGGATGAGCAGAGATGACAGTTGCATGAGCTAGAACAATACATGGACGGGAAGCAAAATCAGCCGACCTGGGAGAGACAACAAACAGCTGGTCATCCCCAATGCCAGAGAGGGAATGGCTTAAGGAAAACTTGGCCCATGATATTTAAACCTCCAAAGGACAATAATGAAGTGGGAGGTTCAGGGCTATTCTCTAGGAACCTCCTTTCAGGCACTCTCATCTGCCACCACCCCCACCCCACCACTGCACAGGTTTAGAAGATTCAAGACTCATGGAAGGCTCGGGACAGGTGTCCTCAACCCTCCTCATTGCAGGCTCAGGGGGACGCCTCGCCCTAGATGGGGGAAGCAATCAGGACCTCAAGTGGAGAGGGAGGCTTTCAGGATGCTGAGGGCCAGCTGCACTGATCTCTGTGATTAGAATATGATTCACTGCGAAATGGGAGGTGGGAGGGAAGATAGTTTCCAAAAAGGCTGCCCCCAGGTCTGTTGTTTGTGGAAGCAAAAGGAAAAGAGACAAAGCAAAGGCAGGAATTATGACTTAATTAAGGAAATGGGGCAATGAAGAAATCTGGCAGGATATAAGCAGTAGTCATAAATCACTAAAACCAACACTGCCACTCTTGTTCAGCAATCCTCAGGCAGAGAAAAGAACAAGGCCTATGTGAAAGAAACAAAGAAAGATCCAATGTTCTCAAAAATATGAATCCACACAGCTTAAGGCTAATAGGTTCAGTGATGAAGATTAGGGAGGTTGTTCCATTTTTTTTTTTTTTTTTGCTTTAGTTTTGCATTAAAATATATTGCATTCTTACTTCTGCCTGGAATCTATTTGTTAAGAGGACAAGATTGTGATCTAGAAATGCCCTAGAATAGACAAACTTCCTGGGTGAAAAATTGATTAATGCATGTTTTTTTTTGTTTTGTTTTGCTTTGTTTTTTTGTGACAGGGTCTCATTCTGTTGCCCAGGCTGGAGTGCAGTGGCATAATCTCGGCTCACTGCAACCTCCACCTCCCAAGTTCAAGAGATTCTCCTGCCTCAGTCTCCAAAGTAGCTGGGATTACAGGCGGGTGACACCACACCCCAGCTAATTTTTATATTTTTGGTAGAGATGGGGTTTCACCATGTTGGCCAGACTGGTCTCGAACTCCTGGCCTCAAGTGATCTGCCCACCTTGGCCTTCCAAAGTGGTGGGATTACAGGCATGAGCCACTGCACCCGGCTGATTAATGCGTGTTTGTAGATTGATTGAAGGTGAGGAAATCAATCAAAAGGCAATGCTGGATTTGCCAGTTGAAGGTTCTACTGCATGCACCTCCCCGGCCTGTATGTACTGGTGATGTCTCACAAAAAAACACAAGAACAAGAGGGTCCTTAATTTCCAAATTCAACTTAATTTGTAAGTCTTAATTTCCAAATGCAACTTTGATTTTGTTGGATTTTTTTTTTTTTTTTTAAACAGACTCTCACTCTGTCACCCAGGCTGGAGTGCAGTGGCACGATCTTAGCTCACTGCAGCCTCTGCCTCCCGGGTTCAAGCGATTCTCCTGCCTCAGCCTCCCAAGTAGCTGGGATTACAGGCACCTGCCACCACATCTGGCTAAATTTTGTATTTTTAATACAGATAGGGCTTTGCCATATTGGGCAGGCTGGTCTTGAACTCCTGACCTCAGGTGATCTGCCTGTCTTGGCCTCCCAAAGTGCTGGGATTATAGGCATGAGCCACCATACTCGGCAGGAAGAGCATTTTGTAATTTATAAATAAACTGCATTTACACTGTACTGAAGCCTTAGTTTTTTAAAGAAACCATTTTCTTTTGAAATAATTATAGTTTTACAGGAGGTTGCAAGGAAATGTACAGAGAAGTTCTGTTCATCCTTCTCTCTCCTTCACCTCCTTTTTAACACCTTACACAGCCAAGAAATTTACTTTGGTGCAATCAAAGAAATCAAAGAAGCCAAGAAATTGCACTCTAGCCTGGGCAACAGAGCGAGACTCTATCAAAAATAAATAAATAAACAAATAAATAAATAAAAAGCACTCTTCCAACTTCCTCTTTCTTTCCTTTGTATCCTCTGGCCAAGGTGATATGAACTCACTTTCAACACTCAAGAAAGCCAAAAGGAAACCATAATTGTTTTCACAGACATGTATCATGGGAGTAGCATCAACAATGTCAAATGACAAGATGACATGGCTGAAAAGTAATTTCCAGCCTGAAAATGTCCAGTGGCTTTGGAGCTTAGGAGTCACTGGGGACCCAACAAGTACAAGTCCAGTGGCAAGGCAGAGGCAGGAGCCAGGGGCCCTTTATGTGGGGACTAGTCCCCTGAAGGTTATTCAGACGAGGACCCAGACATCATGAAGCAGTTACGACCTTGATTGCCGCCCTAGATCACAAGGTAATGCCTAGGTTTTAGAAACAGGCTTCTTGGGCAGAACAAGCAGCAAGATGACCTGATGGCGGCAGGAACCGAGCTGAGCCTGCAGGTGGAGGTCAAGAGGTCACAGCAGTGGGCAGAGAGCTGACAGTCTAGTAGCTGGGCAGGCTCGGATGGCCACTTTTTTTTAGAGACAGCATCTCTCTGTCACCCAGGCTGGATTGCAGTGGTGCAAGCATAGCTTACTGCAGCCTCACACTCCTGGGCTCAAGCAATCCTTCCACCTCAGCTTCCTGGGTAGCTGGGACTACAGGTGTGCACCACCAGGCCTGGCTAATTCTTTTATCTTTTTGTAAAGATGGAGTCCAACTTTGTTGCCCAGACTGGTCTCCAACTCCTGTCTTCAAGCAGTCCTCCAACCTCATCCTCCTAAAGCGCTGGGATTACAGGCGTGAGCTGCTGAGCCAGGCCTTCCACTTCTTACTGTGTAAGCAGGTGTTCAGGGTGTTCAAGGATCACTGCACACATCTAAAGACTCCAGGCCAGGTGTGGTGGCTCATGCCTATAATCCCAGCACTTTGGGAAGCCGAGGCGGGCAGATCACTTCAGGTCAGGAGTTTGAGACCAGCCTGGCCAACGTAACAAAACCCTGTCTCTACTTAAATAAATAAATAAATAAATAAATAAATAAATAAATAAATAATTAGCCAGGCTTGGTGGCAAACACCCGTTATCCCAGCTACTTGGGAGATTGGGGCATGAAAATCGCTTGAACCCAGCAGGCAGAGGTTGTAGTGAGCCAAGATCGAGCCACTGCACCCCAGCCTGGGCAACAGAGCAAGACGCTATCTAAAAAATAACCCTAAATAAATAAATAAAGTCATCTGATTTAGGTGCTCACCCAGCTGGGCTTAGCCTTGAAGAATGAGGCTGTGGCATTGTACAACTGTCCTAAGAATGAAAAATGGGACCTGTGTGTGCTGTTCTTCCCCCACTAAGTGGTCACTATTGATCTCAGCAATGCAGCATTCATTGGTCCCATGAGGCCTGGAAAAGACCATTGCAAGTTTCTGACCTTCATTTAGTACTAGAATAGATTATAAGCCACTCAGACCTATATGTATACCCACTGACCCATTCACCCTGACCTGAGAATTTATGATAGAAAAATTGCTCAATAGAAGGAAAAGCAAAATGCACAAAATTCCTCATTTCCATTTTATTTATGTGATATGGTAATGCTTTAATATTAAACTACAGATGTTCCGTTCTCATTATTCCATCCTTCCCTGCCCACTCTCTACTCAGGCAGCAGAAATAGCCTCCACATACGGTGCCACTAGAGGACAGAAGAAAGAGCCTCCAGCAAGCTTGTCCAACCTGAACGCATGCGGCCCAGGACGGCTTTGAATGCGGCCCAACACAAATTCGCAAACATTCTTAAAACATTATGGGGATTTTTTCAATTCTTTTTTAGCTCATTAGCTATCGTTAGTGTTAGTGTGTTTTATGTGTGGCCCAAAACAGTTCTTCCAATGTGGCCCGGGAAACCAAAAGATTGGACCCCCCGGCCCTAACACAAACAAGTTGATTGTTAATAAAATGTTATGTGAATTACTTTAAAAAGGTAGAGAAACAACAAGCTATTTTGCAAAATCCAGCCTTTATTGAAAGTTAAAAAGGACTTTCAGCCAGGCCTGGTGGCTCACAACTGTAATCCTAGCACTTTGGGAGGCCGAGGCGGGTGGATCACCTGAAATCAGGAGTTTGTGACCAGCCTGGCCAACATGGCGAAACCCCGTCTCTACTAAAAATACAAAAAATAGCTGGGCTTGGTGGCAGGTACCTGTAACACCAGCTACTCAGGAAGCTGAGGCAGGAGAATCACTTGAACCTGGGAGGCGGAGGTTGCAGTGAGCTGAGATTGTGCCACTGCACTCCAGCCTGGGTGACAAAGCAAGATTCTGTCTCAAAAAAAAAAAAAAAAAAAAAAAGAATTTTCTAGGCATTCTAGGATCTGAACTTCAAAAATAAAAAGCCAAACTTGGAGGACGGAGTGGAGGTTTTACTACCCAGTGAGTAAGAAAGACTTCCCCGTGACCTCGTGGTGAGCTTCCCATCCAAAACGGCAGCGAGACTTTGCCTGCAGACAGGAAGACATTCAGAAAGGAGTATGGATGCTCATAGATGCTGCGGTCATCTCACGGAATGCTAGCCCTGGGTGCAGTGGCAGATATAGTCCCAAAATATTTGTGGGTGTCGCAGACCAGTCAGGCTGTGTCTCCTTTTCTCAAGCACAGCAAAGCAATTCAGCCCCCAGGCAGAAGGTCAACCATGTCAGGGTGGGGCTGAGGAGGCAGCAAGAGTCCCCGATCACCCAGGGAGATGCAGAAATGCTGACATAGCTGGAGGCTGGAAAAGGCGTGAGGTTACAGCAAGGATGACCCAGGGAACATGGGCCCTTGTGACCAAAGATGGGGACCGTAGACATCAGTGCCAAGAGCAGCTCCCGGTGTCCAATTCCAGGCATGTCAAGCCTCAGCGCCACAGGTGCTGGCGAGGACAGGAAACAGCCAAGTGAGAGGAGATAACCCCTAGGGCCCCTGGAAATTAGAGCTCCTTGGGAAAGATGGAAAGTGGAAGCTAAATGAGGAGAGTTTCAAAGGTGGCTCTTGACCCAAAAGATGCTATCATAACTTTTAAAGGAGAATTGAGTGAAAGAATAAGAGTTTTCTACCCTCTGTGGAACTAAGTGGAGTTCAGTCTCAGAATCGTCACACACCAAAGAGGTGCAGCTATAAATTGTTTTTGTTCTTTTTTTTCTGACAGAGTCTCGCTCTGTTGCTAGGCTGGAGTGCAGTGGCACGATCTCAGCTCACTGCAACCTCCACCTCCTAGGTTCAAGTGATTCTTTTGCCTCAGCCTCCTGAGCAGCTGGGACTACAGGCACAGGCCACCATGCCCAGCTAATTTTTGTATTTTTAGTAGAAACGGGTTTTCACCATGTTGGCCAGGATGGTCTCGATCTCTTGACCTCGTGATCTACCCGCCTTGGCCTCCCAAAGTGCTGGAATTACAGGCGTGAGCGGCTGTAAATTCTTAATGGGCTGCAATGAGAAACCAGGAGCTGTTTGGCAGCCATTAAAAGGTATCAATATGACAAAGATGGAGCAATGTGCCTCAATGCGTGAGGATAGGCGAGGTGAGCTGAGGAGTGACATCTGATTTCTGGGATTTTCTTAGAAGAGATATCCTAGGCTCGGGGAGTGTCTAGGTGAAAGGGAAAGGACGTTTTACACCGACTGTCGTCATGCATTCTTGCCAAGCTGCCTACAGTGAACTGACTGCTGGATACTCCCTCAGAATCTGTCGTCCAGCCTTTGAGAAAATCTCGTGGTCACGAATTTGACCACCAAGCCAAAGCAAAGGATGCAGCCCCTCGGAGCCCAGGCAGCTGTGTCCAGTGAGAGGTGCCTTTTCCAGGATGCCAGGGAGGTGAGGCAGGACTTACATGCCGGCTTCTCCTTCTATCTCTCCGCATCGCCAGGACCACATTCGGATTCATAGTGTGGGCAGTGGGTGGAGGGCTGCCAGGAAACATGGTGCAAGTGCACGCTTCACAACACCTCATGCCAGGGGCCGGCAGAAAAGGGCCTGCCTCCTGAGGGGTGTGTGTGGCGGGGTGAGAGAGAGAGAAACGGGGAGAATGTGTGTGAGACAGAGTGTGTGTGTGTGTGTGTGTCTGAGAGACAGAAAGAGTGTGAGAGAATGTGTGTGCATTTGTTGGGGGAGAGAGTGTATGAATGTATGTGTGTGCTTGCGTGTGTGAATGTGTGTGCGAGGAACTGTGTGTGTATGTGGGGGGAGAGAGTGTGAATGGGTATGAGAGTGTGTGTGTGTGAATGCGTATGAGTGTGTGAGTGTGTGGGGGAGTGTGTATGGTGTGTGTGAATATGTGAAGGGAGAGTGTGAGTGTGTATGTGTGTGTGGGAGTATGTGTAAATGTGTGAGGGAGAGTGTGCATGAGCGTGTGTGTGTGAGTGTGTGTGGGAGAGAGTGTGTGAGAGGGTGTGCCTGTGCATGGCAGGGGGCTCTGGGTTTGGGAAGCAGAGGTTCTTCCGCTCTGGCTTCCGCACTGGCCCCCTATCCTCCAACACAGCCCCGGCAAATGAGCGGCTCCGCGTCTACTCCAGCCTGCTTGCTTGGCGGGAAGGAAAGAACAGGAGCACCCTTTTGCCGTATTCCACGCACATTGTGCTTGCAGCTCAGCCTTGTGCCCTGGATGTACCACAGGGACAGCAGCACCTCACCACGGGGCCCCAGTGCTCTCACCCAACCCTTCACCCTTCTTCTTCACTAGCCCAGCCTTCCAGGGCTTTGGATTGTCTCCAGAGTTGCAACAGTCAAATATTTTTACTCATTGTTCTGTTTGGCCTCAGCCTGTGTTTCCAGCCTCCTAACTCCTCCATGGTCATGTTTTCCAATCAAATCTGACTGCTTATTGCTATCTTAGTCTGTTCAGGCTGTCACAACAAAATACCACAGGCTGGGTGGCTTAAACAACAGACACTTATTTCCTCACAGTTCTGGAGGCTGGAAGTCCCGGATCAAGGTGCCCGCCTGGCTGGTTTGTGTGGAGCCTCTCTACCTGGCTTGGGGCCAGACTGCGTAGTGCTGTGTCCTCACACGACCTTTCTTCTGTGCACGCGCAGGGAGAGATCCATCTCTGCTGTCTCTTCCTTTTTTCACAAGGACACTTATCCTACCAGATCGGAGCCCTGCCCTTTACCACCTCATTTCCCTCCATTATCTCCCTAAAGGCTTTCTCTCCAGTGTAGTCACATGGGGATTAGGGCTTCAGCCTGTGAATATGAGACTCACAATTCAGTCCATGGCACTATCTCAACACATTTTTCCTTCCGTGCCTCTGCTTACCCCAGGCCTCCATCTGGGCCACCCCCTCTCCCCTGATCCCCACTCTCTAGCAGCCGAAATCCAGGCCGATTCGCATCAGTTCCCTGACCCTCCTGTCCGAGGGGCTGTCTCCCTTTATTTACCCTCCATCGCACTTGGAACCTCTACGGATGTGTGTTTTCTGCCTTGAGTACTGGGACTGGTGGATTTACATTTTCTCCCTTCCGAGACCGGGAGCTACCTGGAGGAAAAACACATGCTTTGCTACATTTTTAGCCATCTCAGTGTCTGACATTGGTTGCTCAATAAATAGTTGCTGACTTTAATTTTAAAAATATGGAGCCACGCTATCACTGAGAACATTTATTCAAAAGAATGAATGTATCATCCATTCCATTAGCCGTTCCTTAAATAAGTCTTTCCAAGATGCTGTGTTGGAATATGTCTCTGACCCACTGTCTTAGTTTCCTGTGTCTACTGTAAGAAAATGCCACAAACAGAATGGCTTAAAACAGCACACATCTATTATCTGACAGTTCTAGAGGTCAGAAGTTTAAAACCAGTCTCACTGGGCTAACATCAAGATATCGGCAAGGCTGGTTCCTTCTGGAGACTCTGAGGGGAGAAGCTGTTGCTTTCCTTTCTCAGCTTCTACAGGGCTGCATTCCTTGGCTTGTGACCCCTCCTTGAATAACGGCAACCTCTCACTTCCACTGTCTCATCGTCTACTCACTACAGCCTCCTGCCTTCCCCTTATGAGGATTTCTGTGATTCCACTGGGTTCACCCAGATAATCCAGGATAATGTCTCATCTCTCAAGATCTTTAACTAAATCACATCTACCAAGTCCCTTTTGCTGTGTAAGGTAACATATCCACAGGTTCCAGGGATTAGGATGTGGACGTCTTTGGGGGGCATTGTTGAGTTTACTACACCTAACAAGAAACCATGCCTTTTTCAGTTGAAAGTGCTGTGATTGTCAGAAAATCAGTTACATTATAGTAGGGTTTGTCCTCAGGTTTGCCATACAGTAGGCTGAGTAGGAGTGGATAAAGATCCCAGACAGAGGTAGGAGCCTTGAACTTGAGCCTCCAGTGTCTTGTCTACTCTACATTTTTGAACTCTAGTGCTTAGGGCAACAAACTACTGCTCTAAAGACGTAGGGAGCCAATGCCTGTGGAAGACATTGCATATACCTGAGAATCCGCTTCCTGTCATTCAGAAGTCCGCTCCTTTCCATCAATCTCAGTGTTTAAAACACATCTTCCTCTGTTTTACCTACAACACCTACAAGTGTTGAATTTGATCGAGATTAAGTAGGCTTCCTGATGGAAGCAATTTTTCCTCCCCTGGCAGACTTAAATGAGGGCCCCTTGAATTCAAAATGCAAATGGCTCACATTTGAACTTTGCATGCAGCACAACTCAAGCATGTCTGGCTTCCCTTTCATTGTCAAGATCGGTAGAAACTCCTGTTACACACACACACACACACACACACACACACACACACACATGCCTTTACTACTAGCTCCACTCTAGGGCATTTGAAGCCTGCCTATACAACTTCCTACTAAATCAGCAAACATTAAGCGACCCCCAATGAGGACAAGATCCCAGACAGATCACGAGGACTGCTGAGGGAGACGAGAAGTGGTCCTCGTCATCCTGGTACCCCATCATTCCCTCGGCAGCCTCTAAGCACCAATCCTATCCCTTCTAGCTCATCCTCCACATCGTGGCACAGAAAGTATCTATTTAAAAATGCAAGTCGGATTGGCCCATATCTCATAAAACCCTTCGTGGCTCCTTTGTATGAGAGTCCATGCTCTTTTGAATGACATTCCTTTAAGGCCCCACCCATCTCTCCAACTTCATTGCCAGCTACTCCCTTCCTCACTCCCCAGACTTCACTCAGCTACTCCTCCAGGCACCACAGTGTCCCTGGCCTTCGTGCCTCTGACCATGCAGCAACTCTGCTTCTGATGCCCAGAAAACTCAGTTGAGACATGACCCCTCCAGGAAGTCTTCAACAACACCCAGCCTGGGTGAGACATTTCTCTTCCATACATGGTGTCATGGCCACTTTGCACTGAAACGGCCATCAAGTATTTGTCACTGGAGGATCCCCTTAAGGGCAGCGGTGGTGTCCAATTCATCTCTGTATCTTCAAAGTCTCATTCAGTGCTTAGCACTCTGTGGGAGAACTGGATTTAAATGAATTCAAGCAATTGGCATCCCTGCCAAAGTTAAGCTGATGTTAACATCAGCTTGTCTGGACAGCAGCTGATAGATCCTATGGTTGATAAAAATCTCCCTGGCTGGCAGCTAAACTGTTAAGCCAGCAAGCCCAGAACTTCAGAAACTACCAGAAAGGGGAAATGTGACAGAAGCTGGTATTCGTTACTCACCACCGACATTTGTTTTCCAGCCAAACGGGTTTCTTAATTAATGGTTTTGTAAAATGTTCAGGAAAAAAAATTAATATGATGTTCTCTGATTCTCAGATCCCTGCCAAACATCATCTGTAACATATTGCCATCTTGGCATCTGAAGAGCGTCCCTCCTCTTTGCCCAACCCTCTTGAATTGTGGGGGCAAATTCAACAACCCGGTTTGAGGCAATCATGCTGATGAGGCACACATTGATGTCACTCATCTTGGGAGGGTACACACACAGGACAGTCACCATCTGCCTGAAGGCTGGTACATAATCCAAGAGAGCTGTTTTATTTATTTTTTCATTTCCTCTATTCCCTGCCTTGAAATAGTTTTGCAACTCGGGAAGAAAAACAAAGAAGAGAAAAATTTTCCTACCAAGTTTTGGACTCAAGTGATGTACATAGCAATTAGCAACCAATAATGTGTTATAATAAATGTACAACAACAACATCTATCACTTGTTGACATTAACTCTAATTTAGCCTTCATAGTATCTCGGTGAGGTAAGAACTATCTGTAAAACCACACTTTACAGATATAGGAGCTGAAGTTCATCTTAACCAACTTTACCAAATGGCTAGTAAGTGACAGAGCCGTGATATGAACTTCAGCTTTGACTTCAACATTATGCTCTTAGCTACTGTATTCAGTGTTTGTATCTCCTCACTCTGCCCCTTGATCCATTAGTTCCCTGACTCATATAATTCTAGCACCCAGAGGTCCTTGATATAACCATATTTCTAACTGCTCACAGCATTTCTGTTGAAGCACACAGTCCATTGCCTCCCAAAACAGCTTGTTCCAGATCGGCTCAGCAAAAATTCTGAGCCAGGTCTTTCCCAGGCTAAATTTAAATCCACTATTGGTCTACCTACTGGTACTAGTTCTGACCCCTGGAACTGCACAAAACCATTCTTCCACAAGATGGCTCTTGATGTGTATAAAGAAAATATCCCTAGGCTTGAGCTGTACCAGGATTCAGGACTGAGCCCAGGGGCTAGAAAAGAAGCCAGCACAGAAGCTGAATTTTGAGGAAAGACTAATTGTGAGTATATTGATGGTACCCAGCATTGCTGCTTCTCCACATAAAATCTTGCTTGAACCAACATCTAAATTCTCCATCAGTCAAGTTTTTCTTAAATGAAGCAGAACTTGAGCCTTTTTCTCCTCTTGGGACTAGGATAGGAATGGCTACTCTCATCATGGTGGTCCAAATATGCACTGAGTGATCAGGCAGGGCTCTAACATGGTGACAAGCTACAACAGAGGTTCAATGGAGACAGTCACTGGGAATGCCCATCCCCTCCCTGCATCCAGAGTGTGCCTCACGGAAACACAGTGGCCAGGCCTAACCGTGGATTCCAAACCCTGCTCCTAACCTGCAATACTAGGTTCCCCACCTTGAAAGTGATGCTTGTGGTTTGGCTTTCCCATCCCCTGCTCCTTTCTTCTCTTCTCTTGCTGCTGCATTTTGTGGAAAAGAGTTTAAGACAGAGGACAGCAAACCTTATGCAAAGAACCAGAGAGTAAATATTTTAGGCTTTGCGGGCCACACAGTCTCTGATGCAACTACTCAACTGGAAAGCAGCCATAGCTGTAGACATAGGTGAATGGATGCGGAGGTGTTCCAATGAAACTTTTTTTATGGAAGCAAGCTTGAATTTTATATGATTTTAATTTGTCACAAAGGATTATTTTTTGATTTTTTAAAAACATGTAAAAACTTTAAGAGCATGCTTACCTTGACAGCCATACAATAACAGACAAAAGGCCATAGTTTTTAGGCCCTTGCTCTAGAATGTTTACTGAATCTGAGTGACAGACCCTGGTCTACAGGATCTCCCAAGGGCATTGACCCCTGGACTATAAATCTGGGCCATATGAGACTTAACATCTTTGATGACTCTTCTGGAAATAATGTGTATCCTGACCCTGCGTGGTTTCTTCTCCAGCAGCTCCACTCCTCTACTCATGGCTGTGCCAAGCTCAGTGGCAATCACTTCGTCACATCCATTTGTGTCTTCACTTTGTGGTGTCATTCCTTGGAAGGCTTGGCCTGTACGAGAGGAATATTTGACAACTGAGTTTTGACTCACTACTGCAAAAGGATAAATGCTCGAAAATTGATTTCCTGGGGAAAGAAACATGACTAAGAGGAAACCTGAAAGTTTACGAACAATAGCACCTTAACGGGAAATGAGGCATTTGGGGAAGCTGGCATGAACCAAGAGTTAGGATGAACCATTGAGTTGGACCAGTTGAGGGAAAAGTAGTTTTTCCTTGAGCTAAAACTAGTATTTTCCAACCTTAAAAACATTTCTTAAACTCAGCTTCTAACAGCCTTATTTTTTTTTTATTTTTTATTTTTTGGTGCTGTAATGAGAGGGAGAGGGTTTTTTGTTATTGTTTTTTTGTTTTTTGTGTTTTTTTTGAAAAATGAGAGCTACTTTTAAATATTGTAAGTTGTTTGCAGCAAGTTGTTTTCTTAATCTGGAAATGGGAGTTTTGCATTCTGCTAAATATTGTTCTTTCTTTAAATCCTTTGTTTTTCTTAGGAAAGTCCCAGGGCTCTTGTTCCCGTTTGTATGTTGGCTTTCTCCCCAAATCTTCTCAGTTGAACTCTGTTTTTCCCCATTTTATGGGCTGCCTGGAAAAAGGAAGACTACATGGTTGGAGTGTAAATAATGGAGATCTGAGTCAGAAGATAGAAGCTGTCACTAACCAGCAGGTCAATAGACTCTTCGCCACTGTTACATGCCCAAGAATAGGTATATATCTCCCCAGTGTCCATTGTATTGAGGGCACTGTGGCATGAAGATGGGGTGAGAGGTATAAAGCAAATTCAAGTGGCAAGTCTTACTGTTAACAAAAAAATGTCCAGGGTATTATGCCAGTTATGTTCTGACCCATGTGTCTGCAGAAGGAATGAGACAATCTCCCAAGTTGTCAGCAAAATGATCACATAAACCAGAAGTTAGCTCCACTGTAAACATATATTAATTCACAAATTATGGGAAATGTTGAAAAGCTCACAGAACATATGTCCATTTACAATGCAGAATGCATTCAAATAATTAGATTTTAAAAGTAATGCTTTCATGATTATATAATAAATGTTAAAACACAGAAGAACAAAAAGATAATAATGAATTTAAAATTATTCATTGATCAAAAAATTAAGCACAGAATTACCATATAATCCAGAAATTCTACTTTGGGGTATATACCCCTAAGAATTAAAAGCAGGGACTCAAAGAGATATTTGTAGACCTATGTTCACAATAACCAAAAAGTGGAAATAAACCAAGTGTTGACAGATGAATGGATAAACATGTTGTACATAATATTATTCAGGCTTAAAAAGGAATGAAATTTTGACATATGCTACAACATAAGTAAACCTTGAAGACATTATTCTAAGTGAATAAGCCAGACACGAAAGGACAAATATTGTACAATTTTATGTACATGTGGTACCTAGAGTAATCAAACTCACAGAGACAGAAAGTAGGTTGGTAGTTGCCAGGGGCTGGGGGAAAGAGGGAATGGTGAGTTATTGTTTAATGAGTATGGCGTTTCACTTTGGAAAAATGAAGATATTCTGGGCATGTATAGTGGTGATGGTTGCATAGCAGTGCACTTAATGCCACTGAACTGTGCAGTTAAAATGGTTAAAATGGTAAATTTTATGTTATTTATATTTCACCACAATTAAAAATTCTTCACTAACAAAAGAAGTACAAAACTTATAATCCAAAAACTACAAAACATTGTTAAAAGAAATAGAAAACCTAAATAAATTGAAAGACATCCCATGTTCATGGATCAGAAGACTTAAGATGGCAATACTCTCCAAATTGTTAAGATGCCAATACTCCACAAATTGGTCTATAGATTAAGCACAATTCCTATCAAAATCCCAGCTGGCTTCTTTGCATAAATTGACAAGTTGATTCTAAAATTTACATCAAAATTCAAAGACTCAGAATGGCCAAAACATCTTGAAAAAGGACAAAGATAGAGGACTCATACTTTCCTATTTCAAACCTATTACAAAGCTATAGTAATAAAAGTGTGGTACTGGCATAGGATAGACATATAGACCAATGAAATAAAACTTAGAGTCCAGAAATAACCCCCCACATTTATGGTCAGTTTATTTTCCACAAGAATATCACAACAATTTAGACAATTCAACAGGGAAAGAATAGTCTTTTCAACAAATGGTACTGGGACAATTGGATATCCACATGCAAAGGGAAAAAAAATGAACCCCTACCCCACACCATATCCAAATGCAAAATGCATCAAAGACCTAAATATAAAAGCTAAAACTAAACTCTCATATACTGCTGGTGGGACTGTTAAATAGTGCCAATACTTAGAAAAACACTCTGGCAGTTCTTCAATGACATAGAGTTGCCATATGATCCAGCAATTCCACTCCTAAGAATATACCGGAGAGAAATGCAAATATGTACCTTCACAAATACTTGTACAAGAACTTATAACAGCCCAAAGTGGAAACAACCCAAGGGTCCACCAACCAAAGAATTGATAAATTAAATGTGATATGTTTACACAATGTAATATTCAATCATAAAAGGAATGATATACTGATGCATGCTACAACATGGATACAACTTGAAAGCATTATAAGCGAAAGAAGCCAGTCACAAAAGGCCACATATTATATGATTCCATTTACATAAAATGTAGAGTATAGACAAACCTATAGAGACAGAAAGATTAGCTGTTGCCTTGGGCTGGGGGTGGGGGGTGAGAAACGGCAAGTGACTGCTAATGGGTACAGGGTTTCTTTTGGGATGATAAAAATGCTCTAAAGTTGACTATGGTGATGGTTGCACAGCTCTGTGAATATACTAAAATAATTGAATTGCATACTTTGGATGAATGGTATGGTATGTGAATTATCTCAAAAGACTGTTATAAAAAAAAACTATCCGTATCATTGTTAGCATTTTGGTATATGTGTTTATATCCTTTTTTTCTTCAAATGTTTATAGATTATTAAATAGAATTAAGATTGTAATGTTTTATAGTCTATATTTTTATTTAACTATATAGTTCCATGCCATTAATATTGTACAGAATTATTTTATTTTATTTCATTTTATGGATGGACTATCGATTATTTAAACAATATCCTATAGTCAGACTTTTGTTTTCAACTACTTGCACTTTTAAATAACATCATGATGAACATCCTTGCAGGTGAATTTCTTAGCCATCCATAATTATTCCTTGGAATAAATTCTGGAATCAGGTATTACGGTCAAATTACATGCACATTTAATGGCCTTTGAAAGGTATTACTAAACTGCTTTCCAAAAAGGATGTATCTGGTATATGAAAAGATGCTCAGTATTATTAGTCATTAGAAAAATGCAAATCAAAATCATAATGAAATCCCACTTCACACCCACTAAGATGGCTATAATAAGAAAGACAGACAATATGTAAGGTGGAGGTTGCAGTGAACTGAGATCGCACCACTGCACTCCAGCCTGGGTAACAGAGTGAGATCCTATCTCAAAAAAAAAAGGCAATAATAAATGTTGGCAAAAATGAGGGAAAATTGGAACCATTGTACATTTTGACAGTTCCTTTAAAATTTAAACATAGTTACAGAATGACCCAGTAATTCCATTCCTAGGTATATCCCCAAGGGAATTGAAAACATATACACAAAAACTAGTGGATGAATGTTCATATAAACATTATTTATCACAGCCAAAAAGTGGAAACAACCCAGATGTCCATCAACTAATGAACGAAATGTGGTCTATTCATACAATAAAATATTATTCAGCCATGAGCAGTAATGAAGTGCTGATGCATGCTACAGCATGGATGAACCTTGAAAACATTATGCTGAGTGAAAGAATCCAGACACAAAAGGCCACATCTTACAGGTTTCACTTACATACAATGTTCAGAACATGTAGATCTATAGAGATGGAAAGTATAGTCTGGGTGCAGTGGCTCACGACTGTAATTCCAGCACTTTGGGAGGCCGAGGCAGGAGGATCACTTGAGCCCAAGAATTCGAGACCAGCCTGGGCAAGAGGGAGAGACCTTGTCTCTACAAAACTTTAAAAATTAGACAAGTGTGGTGGTGTGCACCTATAGTCCCAGCTACTTGGGAGGCTAAAGCGGGAGGATGGCTTAAGCTCAGGAATTCAAGATGGCAGTGAGCTATGATCAGGCTACTGCACTCCAGCTTGCATGACAAAGGTAGACCCTGTCTCTATTTTTTAAAAAACTGAAAGTATATTACTAGCCGCATCAGGGGCTAGAGGAAGGAAGAAATGGAAGTGACTGCTAAGAAGTACTGGAGTTTTTTCAGGGGTAATGAAAATGTCTGGAATTACATTGTGGTGATGATCTATAACTGGAATTAGGTGAAAATGAGCCGGAATTAGATTGCGGTGGTGAGCACAACTTTGTGAATACTAAAGCCACTGAGCTGTATACTTTAAAAGGGTAAATTTGTGGTATATAAATTACACTTTGCTTAAGAAAAAAAAAAAAGCTATAGCTCTTTTTACTCCCAAAAAAGCAAAGTTTGAGTGTGACTAGTTCCTTCTAGCTCGTGTATTTTTTATTTTTCCTAATTTGATAAACAAAAAATGTCTTTTCTTAGGTGTTTTAACTTGCATTTCTTTGATAATCAAGGAAATTGCACTACTTTTTATGTTTATCAACTATTTGCATTTTATCTTTGTGAATTACTTGTTCATAGCTTCTGCCCATTTGTTTTGGGGTTTTCATTCTTTCTTTTATTATTTCACAAGACTTTTTATTAAAGTTTTTAATCTGTAATCTTTTACCATATAGTTGCTTAATTTACTTTTTCATTTATTCCTTCAACCAGTATTTATGGATACCTAAGTGTCACTAAGTAAGCCTTTTGACTTAGTGTTGATAAGAATATTTATGTAGTCATTGCATCCCTTTTTCTGCTTTCTGCCTGTTCATATACTTAGAAAAGACATCAGTACATTTTTTCAACCTAATTTTCTCTTAGGATTTCTTTGGTTTTCATGTTTACCTGCAGCTTCTGAATTTGTATGGAATGCTTTTGCTGAAGGATGTGAGAAGTGCAGTGCCCATCACAGGGGGCCCTGCAAGGCTGGGGCCTCTGCGCCTCCAAACCAGATCCCTAGATGCTTGGGACACCATTCCTGCTGACTTCCTAACACCACTATGCCTGGCTAATTCCCAGTCTTGCATACTTTTTCATCCTCCTTCCACCTCCTTTCTCTGCTCTCAAAAGGCTTCCGAAGTGCTGGGGATTGGGTAGGGGTGCCAGCCTCGTTCATTTTGCTTCCCAACTCACTGTCTTACAACAGAGAATATTGATTACCTGCCAATCCCTGTGCTAAGTTCTTTTTGATGCACCAGGTCACTTAAGCTTCAGTCAGTCCTACATGTCTGTTTTACACATGGGGAAACTGAGGATTAGGAGATTTAAGTAGTTGTCCAACGATGCACAGAAATCTGTCTCCAGCCCCTGCCCTTCTAGATATTGCTGTGAATATGGAAAGAACAGGAACCTAGAGAGAAGGCTCTGCCCAACTCCGAGATGCAATGGCATATATCATCCACTCAATGGGCAAGTACATACTGAAATCCTGCCCTGTGCAGGCCCTGGGTATGGGTGCTGTGGGCAGAGAGGGGTAATAATACAAGACCCCTGCCTTCAGGGATGTGACATCTGGTTAGCTCCCTAGAGAATACACTTCACACCATTTTGCCTTCTCCCTTTTTCTTTCTTTCTTTTCTTCCAACTTTCTTTCCTTTCTTTCTTCTTTCTTTCTTCTTTTCTTTCTTTTTCTCTCTTTCCCTCCCTTCCTTCCTTCTTCCTTCCTTCCTTTCTCTTTCCTCTTTCTCTTTCTTTCTTCTTTCTTTTTCTTTTTCTCTCTTTCCCTCCCTCCCTCTTTCTTTCTTTCTTTTTCTTTCCTACCTTCCTTCCTTCCTTCCTTCCTTCCTTCCTTCCTTCCCTCTCTCTCTTTCTCTCTTTCCCCTGCCTGCTTGCCTGCCTGCCTGCTTGCCTTCCTTCCTTCCTTTCTTCCTTTGTTTTCTGAGACAGGATCTCGCTCTATTGCTCAGGCAGGAGTACAGTGGCATGATCACTGCTCACTGCAGCCTCGACCTGCTGGACTCAAGCAATCCTCCCACCTTGGCCTCCCAAGTAGCTAAGACTACAGGCATGCACCACTATGCCTGACTAATTTTTTCATTTTTCTATAGCAACGGTAATGTGGTTTGGCTCTGTGTCCTCACCCAAATCTCATCTTGAATTGTAATCTCCGCATGTCGAGGGAGGGACTTGGTGGGAGGTGACTGGATCATGCGGGCGGTTTCCCCCATGCTGTTCTCATGATAGTGAGGGAGTTCTCATGAGATCTGATGGTTTAAAAGTGGTAGTTTCCCATGCATGTGCTCTCTCTCTTCTGCTACCATGTAAGACGTGCCTTGCTTCCCCTTCACCTTCCACCATGATTGTAAGCTTCCTGAGGCCTCTCCAGCCAAGAGGAACTGTGAGTCAATTAAAACCTTTTATTTTATAAATTACCCAGTCTCAGGTAGTACCTTTATAGCAGTGTGAAAACAGACTAATACAAATGAGGTCTCACTGTGTTGCCCAGGCTGCTCTTGAACTCCTGGGCTCAAGTAATTCTCCTGCCTCAGCCTCCCAAAGTGCTGGGATTACAGGTGTGAGCAACCATGCCTAGCTGATTTGCCTTTTTCTAACCTGATGAGCTCTCCTATTCCTCTTCTTACCTAATGTGGTAGAAATTATGACAATCTTCTCTTATATCTGTTAATAGACCAAAGACAAAATGTTTTTGTTATGGTTAATTTTATGTGTCAACTAGATTGGATCACAGGATGCCCAGATACCTGATTAAACATGATTTCTGGTTGTGTCTGTGAGGATGTTTCCAGAGGAGATTAACGTTTGGACTGATGGGCTGAGTAAAGGAGACAACCCTTCCAATGTGGATGGGCCTCATCCAATCTGTTGATGGCCTGAATGAAACAAAAAGGTGGAGGAAGGTTGGATTTGCTCTCTGCTTGATTGTATCAGCTGGGACATCTCCTTTCTGCCCACAGAATTCCTTGTTCTCAGGCCTTCAGATCCAGACTGGAATCTATGCCATCAGCTCTCTGGCTCTCAGGTCATTGAACTATACAACTGGCTCTCCTGGGTCTCCAGCTTGCAGAGAGAAGATTGTGGGACTTCTCAGCCTCCGTAATCACATAAGCCAATGTCTTATAATAAAGAAATACCTAAGCAAATAAATTGGGCCAGGCACAGTGGCTCACTCCTGCAACCCCAGCACTTTGGGAAACTGAGGCAGGAGGATTGCTTGAGCCAGCCCAGGAGTTCAAGATCAGCCTGGGCAACATAGTGAGACCCACATATCTACAAATTTTTTTTTTTTAAATTAGCTGGGTGTGGGCAGGGCGCGGTGGCTCACGCCTGTAATCCCAGCACTTTGGGAGGCTGAGGCAGGCAGATCTCTAGGTCGGGAGATCGAGACCATCCTGGCTAACATGGTGAAACCCCATCTTTCCCAAAAATACAAAAAATTAGCCGGGCGTGGTGGTGGGCTCCTATAGTCCCAGCTACTCGGGAGGCTGAGGCAGGAGAATGGTGTCAGCCCAGGAGGTGGAGCTTGCAGTGAGCAGAGATTGCGCCACTGCACTCCAGTCTGGGCGACAGAGCGAGACTCCATCAAAAAAAAAAAAAAATTAGCTGGGTGTGGTGGCGCATGCCTATACCCTAGCTACTTGAGAGGTTGAGGTAGGAGGATTGCTTGAACCCAGGAGGTTGAGGCTGTGGTGAGCTAGTGTATTAGTCCATTCTCTTATGGCTATAAAGAACTATCTGAGACTGGCTAATTTGTAAAGAAAAGAGGTTTAATTGGTTCACTATTCTGCAGGCTGTGCAGGAAGCATGGCTAGGGAGGCCTCAGAAAACACAACCATGGCAGAAGGCAAAGGGGAATCAGGCATGTCCTACATGGCTGGAGCAGGAGGAGGAGAATGAAGGGGGAGGTGCCATATGCTTTTAAACAACCAGATCACATGAGAACTCACTCACTGTCATGAGAACAGCAAGGGGAAAATCTACCCCCCAAGATCCAATCACCTCCCACCGGGCCCCTCCTCCAACACTGGGGATTACAATTCCACATGAGATTTGGGCGGGGACACAGAGCCAAACCATATCAGCTAGGATCACACCACTGCACTCCTGGGCAACAGAGTGAGACCTTGTTTCCAAAAAAAGTAAATATGTGTGTGTGTGTGTGTGTGTGTGTGTGTGTGTGTGTAAGATCTATCTATCTATCTTTATACGTATATATCTTCTTGGTTCTGTTTCTCTGGAAAACTCTAACATAGCTTCTGACTCCTTAGCCTTTGGATATGAGGGCTAACGAAGCTGTCTCCCTTTGTCTAGCCTCAGTCTTCATTCCTCCAGATCCCAGCTTACCAATAACTGGCCAGTCTCCATGGTGACTGAGGTAAGGAAATTGTGACTGCCTTGAGTGAGCTGGTAATGGCTTTCAGACTGATAGCTCTGCTGCCTGCTCCCTTGCCCACCCCCCTCACCTTTTGCCCTGAAAGTGCGGTGGGGAACTGAGGAATCACAGACTGCTGGAGGGGGTGCAGAGCCTCCCACAGCATCCTCAAGATGAGAGCACTGCCCCAGGCACCTGCCATTCATCATGCTTGCCACCCTCTGGCAAGGTATTACTACTGGTGACAAGGGTGAGGGCAGACTGACTTCAACCTTGCCTGGCCCAGCCTGCAAAAGGAAGCTAATGAGGACCTGAGGCTGGCATATTTTTAATCTCAAAGTTAGAGTCCCTGGACTGGCAGCCTTAGCATCACCTGGGAACTTGTTAGAAGGGCAAGTTCTTAGGCCCCATCCTAAGATCTACCGAATCAGGAATTGGTGGTGGGTTGGGGACAGCGATCTGTGTTTTACCAAGCCTTCCAGGCTATCCTGATGCAAGTTTAAGCCCAAAAACCATTGTTCCCAAGCAGTGGATCCCAAATTTGTCTGCACTTTGGGATTACTAGGGAGCTTCAAAAAACTACTGATGCCTGTCCCAGTAGTGAACTGGAGTTGGTTTGTACCAGCTCACCACAGCTAATGTTTTAAATTTCAGAAATTTTGTGAGTCGGGTATTTAACACAGTCACTATTTAAAATTAAATTATATACATATAAACTTACAATGAACTAATTATATTAAAAATAAAAGTAATAAATATTCAAAACCCATCACCTCTAAATTACATTTAACTATTGTCTATGCTCTTGAGATTATTTATATTTTGTTTGTTTGCTTTTGTTTGAGACAAGGTCTCAAGTGCAGTGATCGTGACTCACTGTAGCTTTGACCTCCTGGGCTGAAGCGATCCTCCCATCTTAGTCTCCCCAGTAGCTGGAACCCCAGACGTGCACCACCATACCCAGCTAATTTTTCTTTTTATAGAGACAAGGCCTCACTCTGTTGCCAAGCTGGTCTCGAACTCCTGGCCTCAAGCAATCCTTCCACCTTGGCCTGCCAAAGAACTGGGATTACAAGCATGAGCCACTGTACCCAACCTTATTTACATGTTCTTTCTGCATGATGAAAACACTATGTCATGGTTTGCTGCTGAGCATCTCTTTTCAGCTCTGCATTCAGTGAAGGCACATTTGTAGCTGGAAATCAACCATGATGGGAATATTTACACCTCGGTAATCAGCAAATGTTACAGGTCAGGGCTTTTCCTCCCAAAGAGCCTGTTGTTAAGCATTTGCCGCATACTACTACTCATGTTCCACCCCAGAAGTTGTAATTTAATGGGTCTGGGATGTGGCTGGGCTTTGGAATTAAAAAAAAAAATCCCCAGGTAATTCTAATGTGCACCAACTCTGGGAACCACCATTCTAAAGAAAGTCAGCTCACTGCAGACCCCCCGCGGGAGTGCTTAGTGGGGTAGTTCACCCGTAGGCCCCTGCGCTCAACAGGCCCGACTGTGTTGTGTGATGACGTGGGAAGGAGTCCTCTTACTTCTCACAAACTCAGTTTGAGGGGGCAGGTAGTTAAAGTAGATAAGTGAAGAGAGTGAAGGAGGTGACACAGTGGCCAACCCGAGGGTTCACACCCCATTTGCACCTCACCCATGAGCTGTCAGCCCCAGCCAGGAGTTGCCACATGTGGAATGCTGGCTCAAGGCTACCAGAGCTTCTGATTGTTTTTAGATAAACTACAATTCTGGATATTTCAGTGAAATCTTCCCATCTTTAGGAAATCACAAAGGCCACACAAAACACACCTGCTAACCAGCTTCAGCTAGCAAGCTACTGATTTGAAACCCTTATCTAGCAAGGGTGGACCTCACACAGGATACATGAGAGTATGGCCACATTGCAAGTAAGTGAAAATGACTCGATAGTGCTGCTGGGGCCCCTCATCAGAAGGGTGGACCCCACATGGTCACTGGATTCCTCCTCAAAGCCCAGGTGGTAAGTTGGTTCCAGGGGTCCTGGAAAAGCAGGGGGGTGGCATTTCAGATTTCACCTCATATAGTTTAGTAGTCTCCAAATACAAGAAGAGAGGAAAAAGAACAGCAAATACTGATCACAAACCCCCTACCCCAGAACGTCCTGTAAACTGACATTTAATCATTGAAAATGATGTGGGGAAATGAGTGTGGCCATCCACATTCCCACAGCTATTTCTGGAGGTCAGCAAAACAGACCTCCAAGCACATCACCTTCAGGTGAGACCCTGGACACCTCACTGCCAATCCCTGTCTTAAGTTTTGGATGAAAATTTTTCAGATCCTGGACACTTTAGGCATTGGGTTAGTCTAATCACCGTCAAATCGCGGCCATGGAGAAATTAGAACCTTCCTACAGTGCTGGTGGAAATATAAAATGGCATGGCAGCTTTGGAAAGCAGCCTGGCAATTCCTCAAAAGCTTAAGATAGAGTTACCGTGTGACCCAGCAATTCTAATTCTAGATATATATTCAAAAGAATTGAAAGCATATTCACACAAAAACTTGCTCATGAATGTTCATAGCAGCATGATGCATACTAGTCAAAAAGTGACAAGAACCCAAATGTCTATCAATTAACGAATGGACAAACAAAATGTGGTCTTGCCATACGATGAAACATTATTCAGCCATTAAAAGGAATGAAGTACTGATACATGCCACAACATGGATGTAAGTTAAAAACATTATGCTAAGTCGGGCAGGGCATGGTGGCTCACACCTGTAATCCCAGCATTTTGGGAGGCCGAGGCAGGCAGATCACTTGTGGTCAGGAGTTCGAGAGCAGCCTGGCCAACATGGCAAAACCCTGTCTCTACTAAAAATACAATAATTAGCCGGGCATGGTGGTGCATGCCTGTAATCCCAGCTACTCAGGAGGCTGAGGCAGGAGAATCACTTGAACCTGGGAAGCGGAGGTTGTAGTGAGCCAAGATCTCACCACAGCACTTCAGCCTGGGCAACAGAGTGAGACTCCGTCTCAAAAAAAAAAAAAAAAAAAAAAGCCAAAAAACCCATTATGCTAAGTGAAAGAAGTCAGTCACAAAAGGCCACACATTGTATGATTTATAAGAGATGTCCATCCAAGATAGGCAAATAGATAAAAACAGAAAATAAATTAACGGTTGCCAGGGGCTGAGAGCAGGAGAAATAAGGACTGGCTGCAAATGGGGCTGGGTTTCCTTTTGGAGTAATGAAAATAATTGGCATTGGATAATAGTTATGGTTGTATAACCTTGCGAATATACTAAAAACTACTGAATTGTATACTTCAAAGTGTGCAATTTTAAAAATTGTGGCTACATATCTAAGCAGACAGCTTGTACTTTGGCAAAAAATATGTAAACATCCCATTCATCTCATTGTGGAGTGAATCAGGAAGGGAAGAAACACAGTGAGAGTCCCTCTGATAACAACTGATATTACAGAGGCCACAACGCAGGCTGTAACCAACATTTATCCCACCATGGCCAAGGAGGAGATGGACCTGAAGACACCTTCTATGTAATTTAAACACATTGCAAGTGCAGAATGTGAAAATGCAGAGGAAAAGCCCACAGAACAGGCCCCTCGTGTTTAGAATCCTGCCCAGCCATGCTCCAAGGTGGGAAACTCAGCTGCCCAGAGGCCCTCTTCAGGGATTCTGCCTGCTTTGCTGTATGACAGCCATTAGTCTCATGCAGCTAAGTTCTAATTGAGGCTGTAGTGACATGACTTGAAATTCACAAGATTAATTTTTGCAAACCATGAAGGGATTCATTTATTCTTAGTTTATGGAGATGACTCTGCAGAGGGGCAGTTGATTGTGCTATGAAAGCCCAACAGGGCTAAGCCCAGCCACAGTCAACCTGTCCATAGTTCTCACAAGAAAGGGAGGGATATGAGAGGACACACCCCCCAACAAGAGGAATCTTCTTCAGTCACAGAATTATTTTCATATGAAAACATATGTGGGAACAATGTCTAGGTAAGTGCTCAGGGCTGTTATGGAACTACAGCAGGAAGGCATGTTGATCAATGTCCAGTCAGGGAAACAAAAGTCACATCATGTTTTCCAAATACAGAGAAGTGAAGACAGAGAGTTAGTTACAAACTCACTGGGAAGGCCAGAGGAGCAGAAGGAGAGAGATCAGATTAGCCATAAACTAGAACTACAGGAAACCAGATCACCCTTAGGCAAGAGAGCTGACAGGGATACAGTGTTGCCTAGAGTTGAGAACCTAGATATTGGGAGGCTGTAGCTGTTGGACTCTTGCAGCTGACATCTTGATGCTCCAGGAAGTCAGAGCCTACACTCCTGCTGCTGCTGTTGGAACCAGGTACCCAGATCACACCTGCCAGCCTGACCCCACCTGAGCCTCAGCCCACAAACCACCATGCTGTTGAGGCTGCTGATGTACCCACTGCCATTGCCACTGCACCTGAGCAGGAGCCTAGGAGTCCACACTCTGCAATGCTGCGGCAGACAGAAAGGCTAGGAAGGGCTTCACTCTTTCTCCCCATCTTCCAGTCTCCTGCCACTGCTCTGCCATGGACAAAATCTAACCGGTATGCAGAATCTAGATGCAGTGTGCAGGCTCCCAGCCCCCTACCATACAGAGCAGAGCACAGAGGAGTGGGAATGGAGCTGAGGGGCAAAATGGCCAGCATGGAGTGAGTGGGGGTGCCTTTCACAGCCTGAGATAGCTAAACAGGGGCAGAAAGTACCTAATTTCTACCCCAGGCAGAGCTTCAGCTTGGAGAAAATTGGCCTTACCAAATACAGACAGATTTATTGGTCTATTTTTTATTCACTCATGCATTCACACATCAGTTCATTGGGTTAAACAGTAATGCAGCAAATAGTGAGTGCCAATAATAGTATCTGCTCTCCTTCCCTTTTTTACACCCTACAGATCTCTAAGGTCTTTGTGGACTTCTAGAATTCCCTATAATAATTTTTCCTTATCAGAGATTAGAGCCAACATCAACAGAAAAGGTATAACGGGAATGAGGAGGCTCCGGTCCAAGCACACAAAAAGATGCTCCCTGGAGACTGTGAGGGCACCAGGAGGCTGGTGCTGGAATCCCTCCAATTTTGTCATTACTGCTGGTTCGGCGTGCCTGGGGTTCACATCATTCTTTTTATTAAAAAGTGCACCTTTTCCTTGAGGGGACAGGACTTTCTCTGGCACATAATTCTTTTCTTCTTTTAACTTTTATTTTAGGTTCAGGGACACGTGTGCAGGTGTGTTATAATAGGTAAACTTGTGTCATGGGGGTTTGGTGTACAGATTATTGAATCGCCCAGGTGCTAAGCATAGTACCTGATAGGCATTTTTTTCTGATCCTCTCCCTTTTCCCACCCTACTCCCTCAAGTAGGCCCCAGTGAATTCTAAAGGGACTTTGTCACATGGAGTTTTCTATGATACGCTATGATATTATGAGACACTGCACAGCATCCTTGCTCCCATTGTCCCAGGGAGCCCAGAGCAGAATCTACATGACTGCTTCTACTGGAGCCAACAGAGAAAAACCAAGGAGCTAACCAGAGTCATGCCTGCTGGCTGCAATGGCCCCTGCAAGTACCTGGGAGTTTGGAGGAAGCACACGTGTTCTGGAGGAACAAGTCTCAGTGCCCTCAGACCTCAGCTCTTGCCACTTTGAAGAGCCTTGGGCTAGCTGTTGATATGGGTGGTGGATGGGTGGACCAGGGAGGGTTGTGACTCTACTCAGTTGCTTCCTGAGGTTGCATTGCTCCTGCTGGGGGAAGGAAAGGCTGATGATCATAAGAAAATGGCCCTTTTCCTTGGCTAAGCAAACGATCCTCTTTCAAAATCAACTTTTTAGCTCTTCTGGCAAGGGCCTTAAACAGAGTCAGAGAAAACCTCTTTGTGAGTAGAGAAAATCTGAAAGAAGAGAGTGAAGACACTTGAAGAAGAAGTTGTCCTGCAGGTCACAGTGGCCCCAGTGAATGAGGCACTGCAGGCCTTGGAGGAGGGAGTTCCAGAGAAAAGGTTCTGATGTAGCCAAACAGGTCCTGATGAGCTAGACCCAGGTGGGGTAGGCATGGAAGCAAGGAAATATCCCAGGCTGGGTCACAAGGAGAAAGCAAAAGATAGAAGTGGGATCTGAAGGGAAGGGTCAAAAATGGTGAGTAGGTAATACAGAGTAAGAGGGTTCAGAAGGCAGGCCGTGAAAAGATCCGAGAGTCAAATGGGGAAAGAAGATGTGCAAGGGCACAGAAGGAGATACAAGATCATGGAGTTCATTTCTACACTACCCTTTTTTTTTCTGGTGTCCCCATGGATATGGTGTGGCAGTGGTGGAAACACCCTGTGGAGGTGCTTCAGATCCCAGAGGCAGGTTCCCACCAGCACTCAGCAGATGTACTCTCCTGGTGAGCTAGGTACTGAGCCGGCCGTGGTACTCTGAGGAGTGCCTGACTTGCATTTCCCGTTTCTGCATCTCCAGCGCAAGCTGCTGGCACACAGTAGTGGGACAAAACAAGGAGCAGGGAGAGATGGGATTCATGCACACATGACTTACAACAGCTGGCTCATTTCTGCATAAGCAAGTACAGCACATATCTCTCCCACTTAAATGAGCCAAGGCTGCGCAGCACACTACTGCTGTTCTTGGCTGCAGAGTGGCCTGTGCTCTGTGGCCAGAGTGACCATGATGCACACTCAGCAGGACTGGGGGGAGGCCATAATTGAGTGATGGTTTATTGATCCTTCTGGTGGGAGGAGTTCAATAAGGTATATGAGAATTCTTTGAAGGTCAAGTTGATAATCTCATGGTGTTCCATAGATATGGCAATGAACATATTTCACATCCTAGTTGGTAGATGTCATTTTGCCATCTGGAGTTACCAACAACTGAGTAGACCTTGGTGGAGCCTTCTTCCAAATCCAGGAGTCCAACAGGCTGTCTGAGAGCACGGGTATGGAAGGTCAGTTCATGGAAGGAAGAGCATCTCAGTGATCATGAAGTAGACCATAGATGGAGGAGCTATGGTCTACTCCTCCAGGAACTAACCATTCTGGTGAGAGGAACTACCAGAGGGTCCTGAGCACAGTGAGATAGATGAGATGGATGGGAGATCAAGTCTAGGTGAGACGGGTTCCCAAAAGTATCATGCCCCAAGGATCTCACCTTTCTCTACGTGCTGCTTAGTGGAGCCAGGGCTAAGAACCTGCAAACTACATTTCTTAGATCCCTAGACAATGGCCTATTTTAGGTTTGCCAAAAGGAGGCGTTAGAGAGAAACTGAAAGGGGAGCAGAGGGGAGGAGGGATGCCCCTCCCGTTTTTCCTGTTCCTGCTTGTATCGCTTCAGCAGGAGCAGTTGGCTTCAGCTTCCAGCTTCTCTTGGCACTCCCAGAACCAGCCTTGCCTGCTGAATGCCAGTTCTGAAGCGGATATCAAGATACTGTCTAAGAAGGTCTAGAATGGCATCCAAAATGTGTTCATCGGGTTCTGAAAGAGGATCAGGGCACCATATGGCCAAATGTTATCATAAGGAGTAAGGCATGTCCAGAAAGCCACTTTCCTCTGTACTATCTCTCTGGATACAGAGGAGAAAGGACTCAAAGAGGCACTTCAGAGAATAAACTACAAATTGCTAAAAATTAAAAAATTCATCTAAACAAAACAAAAAACCGACCGTGGTGGTGGCTCACACCTGTAATCTCAGTACTTTGAGAGGCCAAGGTGGCAGATCACTTGAGCCCAGGAGTTCAAGACTTGCTTGGGTGACAGAGCAAGATCCTGCCTCAAAAAAAAAAAAAAAAAAAATTGTATAACCATGCACATACACAAAACTTCAACTTCACCAGTAATTAAAAAAAAAAAGAAATAAAAATCAATATTGATATTTGCCACTTTCTACTCACATTGACAAAATTATGTGAGAATGATAAACACTGATTCTCAGGAAAAAATTATTGATGAGCACAAAATAGATTATATGATGGATTGTTTGTTAGGGTGTTATTTATGATGGTGAGGAAAGTTAAGTTACATACCAAACAATAGAATGATATTAATAAGTATAAATCCATAATATAAAATATTATTTAGATATTTAAATAATCCTATAAATAAACATATACTGCCACATAAAATGTGTGTAGAATATTACTTAATAAAGTAATTTAAATAGATAATATATTCATCTAGTAAGATCCCATTTATATTAAATGTATGAATGTATATGTATATATGTGCATGTACACATACACATATATACAATCATGCATCTATTAATGATAAGGGTAAGTTTGGAGAAAGATGTTGTTAGATTATCTCATCATTGTGTCAACATCAGAGTGCGCTTACACAAACCTAGATGGTACAGCCTACTACACACCCAGGCTGTATCGTATAGCTTATTGCTCCTAAGCTATGAACCTGTGCAGCATGTTACACTGCTGAGTACTGCAGGCAATTTTAATACAATGCTAAGTATTTGTGTATCTAAGCATATCAAAACATAGAAAAGGTACAGTAAAAAATACAGTATTATAATCTCTCTGTTGTTGACTGAAACATCGTTAGGTGGTTCATACTGCATATGAAAGAGGTATTTGTAAAAGGAAAGATTTTTAAAGTCCTGATGCCGAGGCCATACGCAAGCCAATGAAATCATAATAATTTGTCGAGTGGGACCCAGCCCTCAGTTTTTAAAGCACTTCAGGTGATTACAATGTATAGCCACGATTGCAAATCACTGATCTAAGCACATCCCACCTTATTCTATACACTCTCCTTTTCACCTCCAATATTAAACTTCTATTTTTATATATGTTTCCCAATCTATTTCTTTTGGTAACATTTGGCCCTCAGGAAAATAGAGAATCCCAATGTTGGTTTGCTACAAAGAAGCCTGGAGCAGGCTGGGCACAATGGCTCACGCCTATAATCCCAGCACTTTGGGAGGCCGAGGCAGGAGGATCACTTGAGAGCCCTGGAGTTCGAGACCAGCCTGGGCAACATGGTGAAACCCAGTCTCTACAAAAATTAGCTAGATGTGGTGGCATGTGCCTATAGTCCTAGCTACTCAGGAGGCTGAAGTGGAAGGATTCCTTGAGCCCAGGAGGTCAAGGCTCCTGTGAGCTGTGATCACACCACTGCACTCCAGCCTGGGCAGCACAGAGAGATCCTGTCTCAGAAAAAAGAAACCTCACGCATTTTCCTGGTCAGGGAGTCTGGACGGTCTTGGGAGCCAGTCTGACTCTGCTCGAGTGAATCATCCACAGATATCACAGATATCAGGTAGAATCTTCTAAAAGTCATTCTGAGCAGAAGCCTGAAAAAGAAACACACAAGCACATACACAGCAGAAGCCAGGGCTGACTCCCCATCTGGCCAGGAAGAGTTGCAGAATATTTGATGTTTATAACATTAACTCTCTTTCATTAGTGACCTTTCATTAAGTTGAATCATTTCCTTTGGAAATAAAAGAAAATGCCTCAATTGTTTTTGACAAGTTCTCTTCATCTTTGAAAATATTTTGCAAAATGACTTCTTGCATTTGCAACCTCAGACTTCCTCTAGATTTTCTCCCTATTGACCTAAGCAGACAATTACAAAATATTGTTGGGCAAAGTCTTAATCTAGCAGGGAAAATTTTCACATTGGAGTTGAGGGATCTCTTAGACTTCACCGTCTGCAACCCCCTCTGCCATTTTATAGCTTGGGAGCTGAAACCTAAATGCCTTGGTTGGGGTTAGCCAGAATATTAATAGCTGAGCTGGGAATGGGACCAACTGTTTGCCACCTCCCTTAGCATGATTTTTGCCAGATCACACTGTGTGGGCCATAAGTATTTCATTGCAACTTTCTCTAGTGCCACCAGATTGCTGCCTCGTTCAGCAGTAAAGTGCATGGCCTCTTAGTGTCAACATGCCCCAGGTTCAAATCCTGGCTCAACTAGGTATTAGCTGTGAGAATTTTGTCAATTTACTTAACCTCTCTGTGTCTCAGTTTTCTCATCTATAAAATGGGGATTCACAGGATTCTCATAAGGCCTAAATGAGTTAATTCATGAAAGGAATGTAGAACAGCGGTGGCCATAGTTACAGCCATTTTTACCTCCATGAGGCACTTTATCCTGTTGTGAGGCACTGACCTCACTCTTGCTTCACTTTGGCCTTAGATGCCCCTCATGGTGTTCCATTTCCCACGCTGAGCCTTGAAAGTCTGTGTCCTGTACCAGATATGAGGGGCCCCTCACATGCAAACAGCGGGAAAAGCTGCTCAGCTTGTAGTGAAGAGGGAGGATGGAAGGCTTGGGACGTGGGAGCAGACAAAGGGCTTTCAGGACCAGAGGTTTCAGAGCACTTTTGTTCAAAGCATTGTTCATTCAGCCCTTCATCAACACCTCCTGACTAAGCCACTTGGTATAATTACCTTGCTCCAATAAGAATCATTAGCATTTTCACAGCTAAAAATGCTAAGAACCTTCATATATATCGCTGGCCACTTGCACTGGAGGGTGGAGACTGTGTTGCAGCCCTGCTCGGCCTTTGAGGTCTGGCGTGGGCTTGGGCTAGATCTCTCCCTTCCCTGTGCCTGCCTCCACCTTTGCCCAGTGGACGCAAGATGGCTTCCACCAGTCATCAAACGCTATAGCCTTTTCTTACTGGGTCCTCATAATACCTGGTAGTGAGAGCAGATGTTTTGCCCCATTTTATGAATGAGGAAGCCTAGTCTCAGAAAGACTTGGCAAGGCTATGGGTAAGTGCATGGAAGAGGTCCCTGGGTCCACAACTTCTGTTCGTTACTCCACATTCTTCTGGACTCTACCCATGTTCTTGCACCTGCCACCATGGCCTGCCTCTCACTACCCTCATCCTTTTCCTCAACCATCTATATCCATTCACTCTGGGCTTCTCTCCGCAGACACTCATATTCCATCAAAATCTATCTCCTTTCCTTCTCCCACCTCTTCCAGGGCCTGGTTTGAGGCTAGACCCTTAGTCAAAGTGATTCTGCCTGAGACAATGATGGTCCAAAATGGGGTCACGAGTTACTACTTTCAGGAAATGAAACTCATATTTAGCATGCCTTCCTCAAATCAAAATGCCATCCCCAAAGGGAATGACTCATGGATGATGGAAATTTCTGGTACCTTGGCAGGCCAGAGTGACAGCTGCTGCCCTTGGTGAAGCTAGCCTATGGAGAAGCAGACAGAGACCTGAGTAAGCCTAGTGGCTGAGTCACCTTGGGCTCATCACTCCCCTCACTGACCCTCAGTGAAGTTCCTCTGACCCTCCGGTGAAGGGGTGAACCAGATTCTGGCTGAGATAAACTCCAATCCATGTTCCATCTTCTCGAAAGTCCCAGCACACACAGTCTTGGGTCTGTGGATCTTCCTCAAAATTTACTGGTATTTTGCCTTCATCTCTCCTACCTTCCTTATGAGGAGTTTCAAATTACCTAGAAAAGTCCCACTTGATCATCTCCCTTCCAATAGCTTTAAGATGTATCAGGTTTGTTTTTTTGTTTTTTTTACCTTACCTTGGCTTCCATTTTCCTGTTTGCTTCTTGCAGACAGAGAAGCCAGAAAGAGGGAATCAAGAAAGTGTTGAATTCAATGAATACTTCTTTAGTAACAATTATCTGTCAGGTACATGGAGCAAATAAGAAGGAGCATGGGTCATGATTTTTGCCCTCAGGACCCCAAACTACAGTCCAGTCTGAGGTGGGGCCAGATGAGGACCATAGGAGAGGAATGAAGCAAGAGCTGAGCGGGGGTTGGGAGAAGATTTGCTGAGCATGGAGTTGCTCAGCAAGGTAAGAGGGGCAGCCCCACTAAAGACAGAAAAGTGAGTCTGCATAGGGTGTTGTCTTTCTTTTGCATTTATTACACAAACAAACAGCAACGATGGAAATCATGGGGGAAGAAATCATCACAATCCTCCCCGCTAACACATCAGATGTTTTTATTTTTCCAAGTGCTTTTCCAGGCCCTGGTGACATTTATGCAAAAATGTTATGTTGTGGTAAACACAGCACGAGCCCAGTTCCGCATCCAGCTGTTCTCACTTAGCCAAGCATGTCTCTGTGTTGCTACACAAACTTCATCGGTTTAACAGCTGCACAATATTTCACCGGGTGCTTCCACCAATACCACCAACAATGAATGGATGTGCCGGCTTCCTGAAATGTGTGTACTGATTAGTGCTGCTATTATTATTATTATTATTATTATTATTATTATTATTATTATTTTAAATGTTTATTCATTTGTTAAACATAGAATTGTTATATTTTCTGTATTTCCTTGATAAGTAGAAGGGTTGAACATGTATCAGTTCTTTTGTTTGCTAATTATAGCTCCTCTTGTTGGAATGATCTGTTTGGGTTCTTTAGTTTCCCTGGACCTGCTACGGTGTACATAGGGTGAGTAACAGCCCTGGTTTGCTCAGGACTGAGGTGGGTTCCCTGGGCATAGGGCTTTCAGGGAGCCCTCCTGAAAACCCAGGATAAGTTGGTCACCCTATTTTTATATAATAGGCACAGCAATTGTGCAGTTAGTTCTTGATGAATTCCATTCCACGCTCCCAAATAAGCCTTCCTTTCTTCTTCATCTGTAATAGTCATAAGAGTCATTATAAGAAATACATGAAATAGGCCAGGCGCGGTGGCTCACGCCTGTAATCCTAGCACTTTGGGAGGCCGAGGCAGGCGGATCATGAGGTCAGGAAATCGAGACCAACATGGCTAACACAGTGAAACCCCGTCTCTACTAAAAATACAAAAAAATTAGCAGGGCATGATGGCGGGCGCCTGTAGTCCCAGCTGCTCGGGAGGCTGAGGCAGGAGAATGGCGTGAACCCGGGAGGCGGAGCTTGCAGTCAGCCGAAATCTCTCCACTGCACTCCAGCACTCCAGCCTGGGCAACAGAGCGAGACTCCGTCTCAAAAAAAAAAAAAAAAAAAAAAAAAGAAGGAAATGAAATAACATAGTTCAGGCACTTAGAACAGTGCTTGGAACATAGTACTTAATAAATTTAGAGGAAGAGGGTATAGCATATTGATTAAGATTTTGTCACGTAGAATCACACTGCCTGCATTCAGATCCTGCCTGCTTGGTTTCCTCCTCTGCAAAACTGAGATAATAATTACCTGTGTCATACTTCTTATGAAGATTAAATGAGCTAATTTAAGCAAAATACGTGGAATAGGGTCAGGCAAATTGTAAGCCCCCGGATGTTAGCTTCTCTTTATGGTAGTAGAAATGGCAGTCATATGTACCAGTAACTGCCATTATTGATCATCTACTACATCAGGCACTGCTAAGGTGACCAGCTGTCCCAGTTTGTCTGGATTAGTATGGGTTTAGCACTGATGGCCTCATATCCCAGGAATCTTTCCATTCCAGGCAAATTGGGATAGCTGGGCATCCAGGTACTGTGAGAATTTTATTTTATTTTATTTTTAATTTTTATTTTTTGAGATGTAGTTTCACTCTTGTTGCCAGTCTGGAGTTCAATGGTGCGATCTCAGCTCACTGCAACCTCTGCCTCCTGGGTTCCAGTAATTCTCCTGCTTCAGCCTCCCGAGTAGCTGGGACTACAGGCATGTGCCACCATGGCTGGTTAATTTTTATATTTTTAGTAGTGATGGGATTTCACCATGTTGGCCAGGCTGGTCTTGAAGCCCTGGCCTCAAGTGATCTGCCCACTTCAGCCTCCCAAACTGCTGAGATTCCAGGCATAAGCCACCGCTCCTGGCCAGGTACTGTAAGAATTTTAAATGATCTCATCTTGTCACCCAACATCCCTTCACTTTTACACATACAGAAACAGGGACTCCAAGCAGTTAAGAAGTTTGCCCAGGTGACACAGGTGGTGAGGACCAGAGCCGGCTGGCCCCAGAAGCAGAAGTTGCCTCACTTCATGAGCAGCATCTTCACTGGGAAGGGGCTGGATACTGCCCGGAGGCTGACTCATGGTCACCAGAGATCATCTTTTTCTTTTTAATTGTGGTGAAATATGCATAACGTTAAATTGACCACTTTATTTTGAAGTGTCTATTTCAGTGGCATGAAGTACATTCGCAATGTTGTGCAACCATCACCACCATTTCCTGACATTATCCTTTTACAATTTTTTAATTTGGTCATGTGCTGACTCTTTCTACATTTATACCACCCTCACCGTGTGCGCAGGAAACAGAGGGTTTTCACTCCCAGGAAAGCCCTGTGAGCCACCAGTCATCCTGATGTAAGCCGAACATCATCTGCTTGCAGTTACACAAGTGCCAGTAATACTGAGTCTGTGGCTATGGCCACATATGCCTCACCTCTCCCATCTCCTCTTCCTCCTCTAAGTGTGTCCACTGAGGTACCACAAAGGACTCAGCAAGCTGAGATCAGGAATGAAGGGATCAGCATTGTTTCATGGAAAGTATTTGAAAGAGTGATGAGTCTGCACTGCATCTGGGCAGATGCTTTTGTTCAGGGAGGTGATGCCTCCGGCCTCTCTGTCCAGGAGACCATAAGACCCAGCACTGGGAAATCCTCCATCACGCTGTGACTAAAACCAAACCTGAAGCATGTGAGTTTAGCCCAGTTAAGATGCTCCTGAGAACACGGCCCATCAGTCCCTGCACATTAAGGCTGCTCAGGGACCGGCAGGCAGCCTCCGGGTTCCCGTGAGGGTGCAAGGCTCCGAGAGAGCTGCACCAGCAGTGGGGTTGGGCCAGGAGTGAGGGCTGTCTTCCTTCCCCCGAGTTTCTACCACCCACCCTTTCTTTGAACTCTCTTCAGATCTTTATCCCATTCATCTTTTGCCTTCTATAGACCATGGACTCCTGGAGGGCAGGAACACCATCTCACTGCCGCCTGTGCTTGAGCGTGCAGGCGCTCAATCACCTGCATTGCCTCAGAGAAGAGCAGGTGTCTTAGGGGTTTGGTCCTGTGCTAACTATGGCAAAGGACTAAGAATATGAAAATAATAATACTAAGCACTTTCTCTCTTTTCTTTTCTTTTTTTAAGACAGGGTCTCATAAAAGACAGGTCTTTTGGGCTGGAGTGCAGTACACAACCATGGCTCACTGCAGGCTTCAACTCCTGGGCTCGAGCAATCCTCCCGCCTCAGCCTCCCAAGTGCATCACCAAGCCTGGCTAATTTTTTATTTTTTTATAGAGAGGGTGGTCTCACTACATTGCCAAGGCTGGTCTTGAACTCCTGAGCACAAGCGATCCTTCTGCCTCAGCCTCCCAAAGTGCTGGGATTACAGGCGTGAGGAACCACTTCCTGCCTAAATACTTTCTGTGTGCCAAACTCTGTGCCAATGCTTTCCATCAAGTGTCCTCACCACGACCCTATGAGGAGGTTCATGCCCTTTTTTAACCATAGAAAAACTGGAGTGAGTTCAGAGGAGTGTGACAAGGGACATGAGTGGCCTTTGGGGTGAGCTTACTGGGTGATAAGAGAGGCCTCCCGAGGGCAGGATGCCCACTCAGGCAGGCTCTGAAAGGGAAAGGCTACAAGAACTGCAGGGGCCTGCGGAGGAGAATGTGCAATAAACAGAGGCCTATAGAAAATAATTATTCTTGCAAGGGCTGTGGGGGATGAGGCGCAGAACTCAAGGCGCTCAAATTCGATTCAGAACAGAGGCTGGGAGACCAGGCATGGTGGCTCATGCCTATAATCCCAGCACTTTGAGAGGCCAAGGTGGGTGGTTCATTTGAGGCCAGGAGTTCGAGACCAGCCTGACCAACATGGTGAAACCCCATCTCTACGAAAAATACTAAAATTAGCTGGGCCTGGTGGTGCGTGCCTGTAATCCCAGCTACTCGGGAGGCTGAGGCAGGAGAATCGCTTGAACCTTGGAGGCGGAGGTTGCAGTGAGCCCACATTGCACCACTGTACTCTAGCCTGGGTGACAGAGTGGAAAAAAAAACCCAAAGAACACAAGTTGGCAAGGTGGCAGCCTCTGGAGAAGGCATTGGTTGGGAGGTGAGCTGCACCCCCAAGATGTTGTTCTGCTCTATAATTCTGGGCTGGGCTGAGGATGTGGTCAGAAAGCACCATCACCCAGAGGGAGCTCAGAGGATGAGCAAAGAAAGAACAGCTTCCCGAAGAACATTTCCTCTGTTTACTCACTATAGCTTAAGCAGAAGGTGTCTGCTGTGGTGGCTTTGCCTGGAGTAATTTGTAATTGACACAGTTTTCACGACCTTCTCTGGGTTTCCTCTCATTTATTTTTTTTTTCGGTTAACAGAATAGTGATGAGTAATTTTATCTGACTTCACTGTGACATCAACTGGCACATCTCCTAAAGTAGCCTTTTGTCTACTGACTGCCCTTCAGGGGGATATATTTATATTTATGTCTCATTTATTCTCCTCCTCTGTGGATTGTGGTTTTCTGGGAGAGAAGTAAACTCCACTTTAGGGGAACATGGAAAATCCAATTGTTTAATAGATGATAAATCGCATTTCCTTTCTCTTTTTTCAAAAGATGAGCTGTTAAGAATCACATGTTAGGAACGGTTGTCATGCTAGAAATACATGGCTCCCAATGTTTACACCTTATGAGTTTCTGGGGTATTGGCTGCCATTTTTACCCATTTTTTATTTTATTTATGTTAATACTCTGTGCCATTTGGTCCACTACACCTGAACATGAATTTATGTCCATCTGCATTCATTGATCACTCGGCTCTTTACAAACAGGGCCCTGTTCATGCAGTCGCTTTCCATCCTCATGCATTCTGCTTCAGAGGTACTGGATCACTTACCACTGTCCAGGTGCTCTGGGCTGTCTCCCCTACTATGTCTTTGCCATGCCATCACCATTGCAAAAAAGAAGAAGAAGAAAAAAGCCTTCCCACTTATTATCTGCCTTGATCATGCCTATAAATCTATTTGGTACCAGTTCAGCCCTGCACCTTTCTCCTGGAGACCTTCACAAGCCTCTCGTCTAGTTATAGCACCCTCCATTCCCCTCTGTCACATGCTATCATGATGGTGCTTGTGTGGGATCTCCTTGAAGGCAAAGACCTGACTTTGTATCTTATTCATTCTTATATCCAGGGCCATTGCATTGCATAGTGTGTGGCATGACATAATTTCTCAATAAATCCATATTAAGTAAAAACAAAACAAATATCTCTGTAGGAAAGGATTCAATTCACTATGCCACGTTCTCCATGAAGACTTCTTTGATCCTTCCAACCTGGAAGACATTTCTACCTGTGGGCTCCTGCTCACTCCACCTGTGCCTCCCTTTGAACCTGATACCTTTCTGATTTTCCATTCTACCAGCAAACCGCCAGGAACGCAGGAGGCGCTAAGTGGTCACCAAATGAAAGTTAGTTGAAAACGGAACTGAATTTGCTCACAGTCACACCGAGATAATCATTCTGGAATACTCTTGCATCCATGCAGTTTTTCCCTCACATTGTGAAAACAACATTCCTAGGAATCCAGAGAAGAACTTCAATCCTGAAACAGAATATTCTGTGTGAGTAGTATCTCCATCTTTCCCTGACTGTAGAGGTACATGGAATTTATTGTTGTCGTTGTTGTCTTGAGGTTCTCAGAATTTTAAAGGTCTACAGTTGGGCTTTAAGGAACTTGAAAGGTCACCTAGCCCTTTAAAGCCACTTTATCGGCCAGCCTCGGCCTCCCGAGGTGCCGGGATTGCACACAGAATCTCGCTCACTCAGTGCTCAATGTTGCCCAGGCTGGAGTGCAGTGGCGTGATCTCGGCTCGCTACAACCTCCACCTCCCAGCCGCCTGCCTTGGCCTCCCAAAGTGCCGAGATTGCAGCCTCTACCCGGCCGCCACCCCGTCTAAGAAGTGAGGAGCATCTCTGCCCGGCCGCCCATCATCTGGGATGTGAGGAGCCCCTCCTCCCGGCCGCCCAGTCTGGGAAGTGAGGAGCACCTCTTCCAGGCCGTCATCCCGTCTAGGAAGTGAGGAGCGTCTCTGCCCGGCCGCCCATCGTCTGGGATGTGGGGAGCGCCTCTGCCCCGCCGCCACCCCGTCTGGGAGGTGAGGAGTGTCTCTGACCGGCCGCCCCGTCTGGGAAGTGAGGAGCCCCTCCGCCCGGCAGCTGCCCTGTCTGGGAGGGGAGGAACATCTCCGCCCGGCAGCCACCCCATCCAGGAGGTGGGGGGCAGCCCCCGCCCGGCCAGCCGCCCCATCCTGGAGGTGGGTGGCAGACTCCGCCCGGCCAGGCGCCCAGTCCGGGAGGTGAGGGGCGCCTCTGCCGGGCCGCCCCGTCTGGGAAGTGAGGAGCCCCTCTGCCCGGCCGCCACCCCGTCTGGGAGGTGTACCCAACAGCTCATTAAGAGCGGGCCATGATGACGATGGCGGTTTTGTCGAATAGAAAGGGGGGAAGTGTGGGGAAAAGAAAGAGAGATCGGATTGTTACTGTGTCTGTGTGGAAAGAAGTAGGCATAGGAGACTCCATTTTGTTCTGTACTAAGAAAAATTCTTCTGCCTTGGGATGCTGTTAATCTATAACCTTACCCCCAACCCCGTGCTCTCTGAAACATGTGCTGTGTCCACTCAGGGTTAAATGGATTAAGGGCGGTGCAAGATGTGCTTTGTTAAACAGATGCTTGAAGGCAGCATGCTCGTTAAGGGTCATCACCACTCCCTAATCTCAAGTACCCAGGGACACAAACACTGCGGAAGGCGGCAGGGCCCTCTGCCTAGGAAAGCCAGAGACCTTTGTTCACATGTTTATCTGCTTACCTTCCCTCCACTATTGTCCTATGACCCTGCCAAATCCCCCTCTACGAGAAACACCCAAGAATGATCAATAAATACTAAAAAAAAAAAAAACAAAAAACAAAAAACAACAACAACAACAAAAAACTCCACTTAACAAAACACAATCTGATTAGTTTCTGAATAAAGTAAATAAAACCTGTAAAAAAAAAAAAGCCACTTTATCTTCAGGGTTTAGAAACCGTTGTCTAGAAAGACAGATCATTCATCAAGGTAAGTCAATGGCCAATAGAGTGGGTCCCATCTATACTACCTCTCTCTGTATAGATATAGTGAGGGCTGATCAAGCTATGATACAGAGTAGGGCTTGATTGCTGAGCATGATATGCAGGAAACAAGTAACTTAATAAACCCGCCTGACTGAGTCTAGAAGGGGAGCATTATTCTCCCTCTTATTGATGAGCTGCAAAGCTCACAACCCTCAGAGAGTCTAAACCAGCCCAGGATACTGGGTCAGTACTCTGAAGAGAGGAACCAGAAGCCCCGAAAAATACTTGGCCTGACTGTGGCCTTGGTCTCTTCCTGATATTCTCCCTCATCATGTCTAGGTCTGACTTAGGGAAGAATCCTCAAGTGCTGAGGGAATAGTGAGAATTTAGAAAGGCCATTCAGAACATATGTACTGAGTTCAGCAAGCCACTATCATAGTCACCAGGTCAGGGGTCCATGAGAGTAGTGAACTTACACTACTTGCCCACAATACTTGGCACAAAGCCTGGCACCTAGCAAAGACTGCCCAATCCACATTTGTTGGGTTGAAATCGAGTCAAGTATGCACACTTCACCAATGTGTTTGTCAAAACTGGAGCGATGCAGAGAAGATGGCAAGGTCCCAGTGCTAGGATACATGCAAATCCATAAAGGGATATAAACACACACAGGAATGCTGGGCACAGTGGCTCACGCCTGTAATCCCAGCACTTTGGGAAGCCAAGGCAGACGGATCACTTGAGGTCAGGAGTTGGGGACCAGCCTGGCCAATATGGTGAAACCCCCCGATCTCTACTAAAAATACAAAAATTAGCTGGGCATGTTTGTGCACACCTGTAATTCTAGCTACTCAGGAGGCTGAGGCAGGAGAATCACTTGAACCCAGGAGGTGGAGGCTGCAGTGAGCCGAGATCATGCCACCACACTCCAGCCTAGGCAAGAGAATGAGACTCCATCTCAAAAAAAAAAAAAAAAAAAAAAAAAAAAACACACACACACACACACAGGAAAATAGTATCAAAACCCCAAAAGGAAGAATATTGACCAATCTCAGAGGAGTGACTGCCACAGGGACCAGCACTGGGTGGGGTTCAAAGGAAACTTGATATGTGTCTATTATGTACTATGTTTTATTTCTTCTCTTTTCTTCTTTTCTTTCTTTTTTTTTTTTTTTTTTTTTTTTTGAGACAGGATATCGCTCTGTCACCCAGGCTGGAGGGCAGTGGCGCCATCATGGCTCACTGCAGCTTTGACCTCCCGGGCTCAAGCAATTCTCCCACCTCAGCCTCCTGTCTAGCTGCTGGAATTACTGGCAGGCACAACCACACCCCACAAATTTTTTTTTATTTTTTTGTAGAGATGAGGTCTCACTATGTTGCCTAGGCTGGTCTCAAAGTCCTAGGCTCAAGTGATCCTCCCACCTCTGCCTCCCAGTGTTTTATTTCTTAACCAAAAAAAGAAAATAAAGGAGGAACTGAAACAAATATGATAAAATGTATTTATTAATTGTAGGCAATGGATACATTGGTGTTATATTAACTTCTGTAATTTTCTGAAGGTTTGAGTTTTTAAAAATAATATTGCAGCAGTATGCTACAAAAATCATTATTTTTGTTTCTGTTTTGGCTCCAGCGTGGAGGATTCCCAAGACTACTCTCAAGTTCAATGATTTGGTAGAAACTTGTAGAACTCAGAAAAGCTGTGATACTTACAGGCTCAGTTTATTAGAGTGAAAGAATACAGATGAAAATGGCAAAGGAGGCCAGGCTCAGTGGCTCATGCCTGTAATCCCAGCACTTTGGGAGGCCAAGACGGGCAGATCATGAGGTCAGGAGTTCAAGACCAGCCTGGCCAACATGGTGAAACCCCATCTCTACTAAAATACAAAAGAATTAGCCAGGCATGCTGGCGGGCACCTGTGATCCCAGCTACTCAGGAGGCTGAGGCAGGAGAATCGCTTGCACCTGGGAGGCAGAGGTTGTAGTGAGCTGAGATCGTGCCATTGCACTCCAGCCTGGGTGACAGGGTGAGACTCTGTCTCAAAAAAAAAAAAAAAAAAAAAAAAAGAGAGAAAGAAAAAAAAGAGAGAGAGAAAGAAAGGAAAGAAGGAAAAGGCAAAGGAAAACGGTGCCTTAGGCAGAGTCCAGGACAGACCGGGTATGAGCTTCCCACTGTCCTCTCCTAGAGGAGTTGTACAGAGAGTACTTAATTCTCCCAGGGACAACGTGTGGTGGTGGTACACACAAAGTACGGCCAACCACAGAAGCTCATCAGAGTTTTGGTGTCCAGGGTTTTGTTATTCAGTCTCTGGCCTCCCCTGAGGTCAAACACAGTGCGGTCTAAGACCTGCATCATAAATCACATTACTAACATTAGGTCATCTGATGTCGTCCAAGACTTCAGGTATACAAAAGCTGGTCCTTTCTTTGGAACATGCAGGGGTTGAACATCATAAGCCTGTGAGTTAACCCTTTGTTACACAGTCCCCAAACAAGCCAAAGTGAGATGCAAGACCTCTGCCTGGATTTGCAAAAGATTTTGTGACCCTCAGCCAACCACCTACCTCAAGCCTACGGAACATTTGGAGAGATGGCATTGGTTGGAGAGCCTCCAGTTTTCTTAAGCTCCTCACCTCAAGCCTAAGAATATGGGCTCCAATCAGACCACTGGAAATCACAGCATGTGTCTCCTGAACTTTCAGAAACAAACAGACTGGTGACTGATTTGCACCTGAGATATCTAGTTCAGGAAAGAGTGTCTTGTTGCTCTGGGAACAGACTTTGGGATTTGACTGCCCTCCCAGATTTTGATGAGACAAAGAATAGGTGCGTATTTCTAGTGGAGGGAGGAAGAACAAACCAGTTCAGGACCTTCTTGGAAGCTGTGGGGCTGGACCACAAGATTCTCAGGGGCTAAGGAAGGCGCTGTAAGCAGCCAGCCAGAGGAAAAGGTATCAGCCCCAAAACAGGAAGTGGAGGAGTTTTCGAAGAACCTTTTAAAGTCCCATGGGAGAGAAAGAGTTAACTTTCAACACTGCCAAGTCCAGGAAACACAAGCCAACTCACTATAGTAGTCAACTTTAAAAGTTCCTGGCCCTGCACCATGGTGCACACCTGTAGTCCCAGCTACTCGGGAGGCTGAAGTGGGAGGATGTCTTGACGTCAGGAGATTGAGACTGTAGTGAGCTACAATTGTACCACTGCACTCCAGCCTGGGCACAGAGCAAGACCCTGCCTAAAAAAGAAAGAAAGAAATTTCTGTCCACTTTCTCCTCCACATTCTGCCCTGTTCTAACTTTGGAGAGTCAGAAACTGGTTAGTAGGGTGCATGAGAAGAACTAGGTGAAGAAAAAGAAAGAATTTTCTTTTGACTACAGGCCTACATAGGTCAAAGCTAGGGAAGTAAAAACATTCAACTTTGAATGAAGTGCAAAATTCTAATTATTAATGAGACTGGAGATTTTAATTAATAGACTGGTACTATTTGGGAAACAGAGTGACAAGAGAAACTTTTTCACTATATTCCCCTCTCTGTACTTCAGTTCTAGTAATTTTCTTGACTTGTCTCCAAGTATACTAATCTTATTTCCTGCTATGTCCCATCTGCTGATAAGTCATTCTAATAAATTTCTAATTTCAGATATTGCTTTCTATTTCTAAAGTGTCTACTTGGTTTTTGAAGAATATATTTTAGTTTTCTATTGAAATGTTTATTCTTTTTACCTATTTCATTCTTTTTTTCCTCCATTTTCTAAAAAATATTAATCAAAAGAAGTTCTTGTGTGCTAACTCCAATACCAGGGTCATCTCTGAGTCTGCTTCTATTGACTGTTTCATTCCTTGGTAATTGGTCTCTTTTTTCCTGCCTCTTTGAGTATCTAATAATTTTATTGTATGCCAAATGTTGTGGATGGTACATTGCAGAGGCTCTGGATTATGTAATACTCCTTAAGAGAGTGTTAAATTTTGTTCTTGCACAAAGTAAAATTACCAAATGATCACTTCAATCATGTTGAGACTTGAGGATTGGTTTTAGGCTTATTTAGGGCAAGTCTTTTATAGTTTTGCCCTAGTTTCTAAAGGGTAGCCCTTACTTCTAATAAATGGTTCTTATTCCTATGGTACAATCTTTCTAGAGTCTCAACTGAAAGCTCACATGTTAACCAAGTACGTCTACTCTGGGTACTCCTGAACTTCAAAATCTCCTCAGCACTGTCCAGTACTGAAATCTTTGCTTTGCTGTCTAGCCTTCTGGTCACCTGGAATCTCAGCCTACCCATGCATCTTTTATGATTCAGTCAAAGATATGATGGAATTTGTGTGTGTGTGCAGATTTTTTTTCACTCCTTTTCTGAGGCTTTCTTCTTACAAGTACACTGACTCTAGCGGCCTACACAGCCATGAACTCTAATCTCTATTTCTTCCACGCAGCGTGATTCCTGCTGTCTGCATGGGTTCTGTTTCCCTGCACCATGGCTTGGAGGTAATTTCAGAGTTTCAGTCCAATCCTCAAATGTTCCGTCTGTCTAACTCCATATAAAGGCTGCAGAAAGGAGAGAAATTGGAGAGGGGAATCGCATAGTTATCCCAGAAAGGCAATAACCCAGATAGAAAGAGGAAGAGCACTGGGAATTAAATATAATGAGAGCAGTTTTCATGTGTTGTGGTATATCCAGATACTGAAAGATTTTAGCTCTAGTGTAGACAACATAACACCAAGGTAAGAAAAGAACAAAGAAAAACCTGGAAAGATATTCCAGTTGAATTTGTGTTAGACTTCTCAAATTGACTTAGGAATTGTGCATTTAAATGTTACTTGCAGGTTTAAATCTGAAAGGGTAAAGTTTCTAGCACCCAATAAGGACAGAGAAGGTATAAGTATCCACCTACCTCCTCCATCCTCTGAAACAGAAAATAACAAAGAGTTTGAAAAGGATAGGAAGACATTTTGGCTTAGTCCAAGATTTGGCAACCAACTCGGGAATGTAAGGACAAAAATGACCAAAACAACAAGTCATGGGAAACAGCTGAAAGAAGAGACTGCAGTTGTTTATTAAACCCATTACAGTAATTTTTGATGTTTAAGATTATGCAAATGAATTTTGATCTTTTCCAATAGGAATATGAACAGAAGGAATAAATAGGATATTTAATTTAAAAAAATACAAATGGCAAAAATCGTAAGAAGAAAACTTTAAATAAAAGCAGAATAAAACAACTAGTTACCATTTTTTAAAACTATAAGCATAGCATAGAAATTAAGCATGGAATAATTTAAATAACCAGCAATTCAAACAAGGCAAAGGTCCCCAAATGGGTAGATTGCTTAAATAAGTTATGATGAATTAAAGAGCTGTATGGATATGATCTTATCTTGGCAGAAATAGAATTATTTGAACATATATGCATATATATATATATATACATGTGTGATCTAAATAATATATGTTAATGTGTTAGTGAGAGTTAACATTACAGAGTGGGATTATGAGTTTTCTTTTTGTTCTTTTGCTTATCTGTACTTACATATTATAATGAAGATATAATGTTTTTATAACAAGAACTCTTCTCCCATCAACACCAAAAGTCTTGTATTTTTTGTGCATGAAAAGTTTTTTCTTACTTAAAATTATCAATTTATTTTACACTAATTATACCTGCTTTGCTTATTTGGCTTTGTTTCCACTTTGTGGACAGGAGTAAAGAGATGTCACTGTTTTAACATCTGTAAGATGGGGATAATACATAGCTCAGAAGGTTACTACCTATGTCCAGCAATAAACTCTTTGCTGTTTAAATCAAACCCCACTGTTGAATTTAGATTGTTTTGGCTGATGAGGGCCAGAAGAAGAGATCAAGTTACCTTCTTTGATCTCCATTGTCCCCTCCAAGCCACTCCAGCTTTCCTCCTTCCCTCACAACACTCAGCTGCTTCCAACTCATTCCTTCCAGCTATCTGACCTGGCACCTACCCGCTGCAGTCACCAGCTGATTTCCTGGTCTCTCCTGTATTCATGAAGGAATTGAATTGGCCTACTGGCTTGCTGTCTTCCTCTCTAACCTCATGTGGGCTTTAATTCTTGATGATTTCAGTCTCTAACTCTTCACTCCCTTAGCCCTTCAATTCCTTAACCTCCTTCCCTCTACCCTAGCACAATCCCCTCTTCCCATTGCCATACTCTAGACCAAGTACCCCTGGTAAATTCACCTTTTCTGAAAACTTCCTTTCAAACATCTTTCTCTCTTCCGAGCTTACTTTCTCTAATACCCCACTTCAACAATTATTAGACTAAATCCATTGATTTCCCCTCCTTCTTTTCCACATTAAATTTTCAATATCCCATTACTTCCCTCGTGTCTTCATTTCTCATCATTACAATCAGTTCCTTAAAATGCCTTCATCTCCCCTGTGCCTTTTTCCCCTTATCATATTTGCCTGGCAGAACTCCAACCCTGGTTGAATGCAACTTTTAGATTTCTTTGTACTTGCTTCCAATTATCTGACTGTCACCAGAGAAAAGGTGCAGAACCTGGGTGACTGGTTCAGCTTAGACTTCATAACCACAAACGAAACAGGTAACCAACACCACGTGGCAAGCCTGTTCCATTTCCTTAGTATATTTTCTTTTCTTTTCCCTCCATATCAAGTTGATGACCAGGTGCACCTTCAGAAGCTCTGTCCACTGAGAGGCTATCTATTCCCTTATGACTGTTTTCAGGGCCACTCCTGAGTGGGACAATAGTGGCGGCAGTCCATCTTTGGCTTGAACCAACATATTGAGCTGACTGATTCATGATCCAGTTTTGGATTTTTCCCTCCTCTATCAGAGGTTGTGGGGAACCTTCCCCAGGAGGTCATGGTGTGAGCAATTGCCTTGGTGCAACAGAAGTAAATAACGTAGTTAAAGCCATTATAGTAATTTTTGATTTTTAAGATTATGCAGATGAATTTTGATCTTTTCCAGTAGAAATATGAACAGAAGGAATAAACAGGATATTTAATTAAAAAATACAAATGGCAAAAATCATAAGAAAAAAGTTTAAATAAAGGCAGAATAAAACAACTAGTTACCATTTTTTAAACCTATAAGCATAGAATAGAAATTAAGCATGGAATAATTTAAATAACCAGCAATTCAAACAAGACAAATGTCCCCAAATGGATAGATTGCTTAAATAAATTATGATGAATTAAAGAGCTGTATGGATATATATATACACACACATATATATAATATATGGATATATATACATATATATAATATGTGTGTGTATATATATATACACATATATATAATATGTGTGTGTGTATATATATATATATATATATATATACATATATCTATACAGGTTCTTGCTCTGGCACTCAGGCTGGAGTACAGTGGCACAATCACAGCCCACTGCAGCTTTGAACTCCTGGGCTCAAGTGATCCGCTCACCTCAGTTTCCCAAGTAGCTGGGACTGCAGGTGCACACCACCACACCTGGCTAATTTTTTTATTTTTATTTTTTGTAGAGATGAAATCTCACTATGTTGCCCAGGCTGGCTCTGAACTCCTGGCCTCAAGCAATCCTCCTGCCTCAGCCTCCTAAAGTGCTAGGATTACAAGTGTGAGCCACCGCGCTTGGCCTAGTAGATGTCCTGTTTATAGAACTTACTTGTGCCCTCCAGACCCATCCAGGCCAGATTGCAAATGAACTATTTTCATTGTGCACTGCTGTTGTGCCCGTCCTACCTAATGACTTGGAGGGTGTGCCAGTGTCCAAACCCTGATGCATGGTCTCAAATGGGACCCTGTAGCACACAGGATCTGCTTCTCAAATGGTGACGAATTCTCTGCTGCAAATGGCATGGCCTTGCTCCAGAACCCTGGGGCGCTGTGCTGGACCCCCCTACCTCACAAAGTGTCCTTACCTACTATGAAATCCTCTGGTACAGTGGATTAATTACAGCAGTGATATGGTTTGGCTGGGTCCCCACCCAAATCTCATCTTGAATTGTAGCTCCCATAATTCCCATGTGTTGTAGGAGGGACCCAGTGGGAGATCATTGAATCATGGGGGCAGTTTCCCTCATACTGCTCTTATGGTAGTGAATAAGTCTCATGAGATCTGATGGTTTTATAAGGGGAAACCCCTTTCACTTGGCTCTCATTCTCTTCTCTTGTCTGCCACCATGTGAGACATGCCTTTCACCTTCTGCCATGATTGTGAGGCCTCCCCAGCCATGTGGAACTGTGAGTCCATTAAACCTCTTTCTTTTGTAAAATTGCCCTAGTCTTGGGTATGTCTTTATCAGCAGCATGAAAATGCACTAATACAAGCAATCACATGCTGCAAGTGGCAAGGCTGGTTGTATCACATCCCGAATCTAGATCAGAATTCTCTACTGCTCTGGGCTCTGGCCAAGAAGTCCCAGCCATTGGAATTCAGTCTCTCTTGTGGGACTGTGATAAGGCTCGGGAGGCACATGGGCAAGAAAATGAGAGGTGGAGACATTAGTTCCTGATTGCTCTTTTTTTGCTGTTCCCCCCCGCCTCAAAACTAGTATTTTTTTTTTCCATACAACATCTGTTTTCAGTGATGGCCCATCTCTTTTCTCCTTTGTAAATAGAGTGTACCTTTCCTTTGAGCTCTACCTCCAGGTATGTAATATTATGTGTATCCCACCCTGATCCTAAGAATGTTTCCGTTTAATGACTGACAGCACATTGAAATAGCTCATTCATCTAGGATATTCTTTTCAACATTTATTTGTATTGGATTTAGGAGGAACTTAGAATTCCTGTGTTAGCAGTTGGGAATGTAAAGTTAATTTTTTTGCCATCTGCCATTTCTTTAAAAAGTCTAGGCCAGCACTGTTGAATAGAAACACAAGGTGAGCCACATATATAAGTTTACATTTGCTAATAGCCACATTGCAAAAACAAACAAACAAACAAACAAACAAACAAACAGGTGGAAGCCAGGCAGCCAGGTGTTCAGGCATGTGTCTGTAGTCCCAGCTACTCAGAAGGCTAGGGTAGGGTATCGCTTAAGCCCAGGAAATTGAGGCTGCAGTGAGCCAATATCACACCACTGCACTCCAGCCTGGGTGACAGAGCAAGGCCCTGTCTCTTAAACAAACAAACAAACAAACAAAAACTTACAGAAGGAGCAGGATTGAAAAAAACTAAGTAAATAAATAGGGAGAGGGAAAGAGGTGAAGTCAATTTTAATTTTTTTTTTTTTTTTTGGGGAAGGAGTCTTACTCTGTCACCCAGGCTGGAGTGCAGTGGTGCAATCTTGGCTCACTGCAACCTCCACCTCCCAAGTTCAAGGGATTACCCAGCCTCAGCCTCCCTTGTAGCTGGGACTACAGGTGCGTGCCACCGTGTCCTACTAATTTTTGTATTTTTAGTAAAGATGGGGCTTTACCATGTTGGCCAGGCTGGTCTCAAACTCCTGACCTCAGGCGATCTACCCGCCTTGGCCTCCCAAAGTGCTGCGATTACAGGTGTGAGCCACCGTGCCTGGCCAATTTTAATATATTTAATCCAAGATATCTAAAATGTTTTCTTTTTTCCCCTTTATTTTTAAATTTTTTTAGAGACAGGAGTCTTGCTCTGCCTCCCAGGCTGGCGTGCTGTGGGGCAGTCATTGCTCACTGTAGCCTTGAATTCCTGGACTCAAGAGAACCTCCCATCTTAGCCTCCTGAGTAGCTGGGACTACAGACATGAGCCACCACGCCTGGCTTAAATATTTTCCACATTTTATCCTAGCCACCTTTCAAGAGCTTAATAGTTGAATGTGGCTAGCGGCTATCATATTGGAGAGTTCTGATCCAGACTCATTCCCAGTAATTCTTCATATCCACGCAGAACTTTAGAGGCTACAAAAATCCCCCTACACCTTCTCTAGTTTGTTTCTTGAAAATGTGATCAATGGATTTATGACCTCCCTGTTGGAGATCAGAAACTGAAGATCAGAGATATGAACTGATTTTCCCAAGATAACCCAGCCAGTCTGAAAGTAGCAGAGGTGGAACCCAGATCTGGCCATTCAGAGTCTAATTCTGTAATGAACAGAGCAGTAATTCCCAAACTTGTCTGTATATTCAAATCACTTGGAGATCTTTAAAATTTCCAAAGTCTAGCCACACCCTAGATGAATTAAATCACAAGATCTGGGGTGGGACACAGGCGTCATTAGTTTCTGAAGCTCCGTGATGGCGTCACTGGGCAGCCACTTTTGGGAATCACTGGTATACATTCTTGTTCCTCAAAGTGTGGCCCATGGACTCATAGTATCAGCATCACTGGGGAGCTCGCCTTGTCAGAAAGCCATCTTCTCAAACCCACCCCAGACCTACTGAATCAGAACCTACCTTTTAACAGGATCTTCCAGATGATTCCAGTGCATGATAAAGCTTGAGAACTCTAAAGCATAGCATACTCCTTTTAGGTGAAATAAAATATAGTCCAGTACATTTTCATTATGGAGTTTATTGAAAAAGGCAGTAACCATGGTTTCATATTGGTAGCCATTATGTTTTCATTAAATTAATATTATATAATTAGGGTGCTGCTTTCTTGGTTTTATTATGACTGTATTTCTGAATGATTATTATACACTCCCTTTCTATTGCACAGAATTGATGTAAGAAGACTAGGGAAATTGCCCTGAATCTCTTTCCATGCATTTCTCTCAACCTTTAAATGCACCTTTATTTAACAACAAAAGTTCAACTTTTTCCCCCTCATTCAATCAGCAGACTTTTACCAAGAACTTATACTGTATATGATGTTGAGAGGTGAGATGAGAAATAAAAAAAAAAACCACTTCAAGTCTTTTTGTATGTTTTCAAGAGGCTTACAGTTTGTAGCAAAAAGCTAGCACATGCACCCAAATGGCTGTAAAATAAGAGAACACAGGGCACACCATGAGGGTGTGTAGATAAGGTGCCCTGTGATTCAGGAATAGGAGAGGCCACTTCCTGCTACTAGGATTAGGGAAATTGCCATGAAGGAGGTGACCTTTGTGTTAAAGGATTTGGACATTCAGAGGGGAGGGAAGCTGTTTTTACAAGAGAGAACGACCTCCCAGGATGGCTTCAATCATTAGGTGAATACTGATATGTATTAGTCAGAATGCCTGGTAGTAAGGGACTGATATCCTACTCAACCTAGTTAAAGCTGGAAGGAAGATTTTGGGCTCAGAGAATCTACAGATGTGAACAATCAAACTGTGGAGAGGACTCTGGAACATTGGGAACCACAGACTCAAAAGCTTCCAGAACTCTTTCTTCCTATTTTTTTCTTTATGTCAGTTTCATCTTTTCTTCCTTTAGACTGGCTTTTTCAACATGAGAGAAGCATGGCTGCAAACCACTCCTGTCTATTTACATCCTACACCTTCCAATACCAGAGAGTGAAATCCCAGATTTTTGGTAACTGCTTCAAAATAATATGACGACGGAGGAAAAAGATGGATGTATGGCTGAACCAAGATAGGTCAATGAATCATTGTTGAAGCTGGGTATTACACAGATGGGAGTCTGTTATGCTATTCTGTTTGTTTGTTTTTTTAAGACCCAGGACAACACACTGAACATTATGCTATTCTGTAGACTTTTGTACATGCTGGATGTTTAAATTTTAAAAACATCCCCATGAAGCAATCATACTTAGCTTCTCTTGAGTCAGACACCTGCCTCTGGATCAGGCAACAGTGGCCAGGGAATGTGGTGATGGAGGAACTTGGCAGTTCCAAAGAGAGCCTCATGGTGGGGACTGTGAGGTAGGATAGAGGAGCTGTTCCTGGAATAAAGGAGGCTCTATTTCCAGAGGAAAGGAGGGAAGGCATCCAGGGCAGAGATGATTGATTTACAGTGACTCCACCTTGTTATTATCAGCCTCCATTTCTCTCTCCTGGGCTCTAGGCCCATATTTCTGAGAATCATCAGATTGTCCCAACTGGATGTCCCTGGGCACCTCTAAATTGACACATTTAAAATCAGACTCTTCATCATCTCGTGTTCCTGCAATGTTTTCATCTTCCACTCAGTACTCTAACCAGAAATTTCTGAGTCATGTTCAACTGATCCTGCTTCCTCACCATTCCCATATTTCAGTTTTGTCATATCTACTTCTGAAATAATTATTGACTCCATCCCTTCCTCCCTATTTCCAGCTTCGCTACACCAGGTCAGAAGTCTCCTAACCTCAAGGGCTCTGAAGTCCGCACCACCTCATACAAGACATCACAACTTTCTACAACACCTATTTAATCTTTTCATCCCTGGGCTTCAAGTCTTCAAGAATTTCTTGTGGTCTCATAACAAACATAAGGCATCATGAGCTTAAGCTCTTATAAGGTTGTTAAAAATCGGGTCTTAGATTACTTTTAAAGCTTTAAAGCTTCTCACCTCCCAATATCGTATACAGTATAAGTGCTCAGTAAAAGTCTGCTGATTGAATCAGGGGAAATGAAAGTTTAACTTTTGTTGGAAAGCAAAGGTGCAGTGTCATTTAAAGCCATTTATATTCATTAGGCTACACACAACATGCACATCTAATTCTCCTGTACTTTTGCTTATGGCTCTTCCTTCTACTAATTTATTAGTTATAATTAACAAGTAATTGTGTATTTTTGTGGAGTACAATGTAATGCTTTGATCTCCAATGTATGCATTGTAGAGATTAATCTAGCTCATTAACATATCAATCACTTTACCAACTTATCACTTTTTTGTGGTGAGAATATTAAACATCTATACTTTTAGCAGTTTTGAAATATACATTATTATTTCTTTTTTAATATTTTTTTTATTTTATTTGACTTTTTTTTTTTTGTTTTTTGACATGAGGTCTCACTCTGAGACCCAGACTGGAGTGCAGTGGTACGATCTCAGCTCACTGCAGCCTTGGTCTCCCAGGCTCAAGTGATCCTCTCACCTCAGCCTCCCAAGTAGCTGGGACCAAAGTCATGTGCCACCATGCCTGGCTAATTTGTGGTATATTTGGCAGAGGTGGAGTTTCACCATGCTGTCCAGGCTGGTCTTGAACTCCTGAGCTCAAGCAATCCACCCACATTGGCCTCTCAAAGTGCTGGGATTACAGGTATGAGCTACCGTGCCTGGTCCTGAAATATATGTTGTTATTAACTATAGTCACCATGCAATTCAGTAGATCACTATGTTATTTCTTATCTGTAGTCTAAATGAAAGTTTGTACCCTTTGACTAACAACTCCCCTTTCTCTATCCCTCCTTCTCTGTGAAGCCTCTGGTACCCACCCTTCTTTCTACTCTCCATTTGCATGTGATTGAACTTTTTTAGATTCCACATATAAGTGAGATGATACATTATTTGTTTTTCTGTGCCAGGCTCATTTCACTTAACATGATGTCCTCTGATTCCATTTGTGTTGTCTCAAATGACAGACATTCCTTGTTTTTTAAAGGTTGTATATAGTATTCCATTGCGTGTGTATATACCACATTTTCTTTATTCATTCATCCACTGCTAAACAGTTAGGTTGCTTCCTATCTTGGCTGTTGTGAATAATGCTGAAATAAACAGAGGTGTGCAGATGTCTTAGATGTTCCAATTCCAATTCCTTTGGATATATACCCAGAAACAGAGTTGCTGAGTCATATGGTAATTCTATTTTTGGTTTTTTGAGGAACCTCCACATTATTTTCCAAAATGACTGTACTTGCTCCTTCTTGATTATGGACACATTGGCTCAATTCTACAAGATTGGGCTTAAAACTCACCTCCTTCATGAAAAGCCTCTGACTTCTTCAGTAGTCACTTCCTCTTTTGTGCTCTTAGACGACCTTTTAGTATGGCACTTCTAATGCCATGCAGTAATTATCCTTTTTTTTTTTTTTTTTTGCCTTCTTATCCTCCTCCCTGGCAAAAGCCCAATTTTAATCATCATGATGTATCTCTTGTACATAATGCAACAAAAAAACATTTAAAAAATAAATTTGAAAGCTACAACACAGAATAATGGGCCCTCTTGGTTACAAGGGATCCCAGCATTCTAGTTCAGCCACCTGTGACAGATTAGACTTTGACATAATCAGCTCCAGTGAAGGGAACTCTCTCCTGAGGGAGCCCATTCTATTTTTGGAGAACTTTTGTAAGGTCCCTCCTTGTACTGACCCTTGAATCCTTCTCTCTGCAATTCTTGCCAATTAGTCCAAGTTCTAGTTCTTGGAACCTCCTGAATGACTATTGGACTTCAGAAATCAGCTCTCCTGTTCTTCAAACTAAACATCAAACATTCTTTCAAGAACTGCTCACAAGGCACAGGTTGAATTTCTAAGCTTCTGCACATGCTTCAGCTTGTCTCAATCTCTCTGTATATGTGGCTCCAGAATTGTGTATGATAACAGGTGTGGTCTGATTGGGAACAGGACATCAACAAGGAAGTCTCATGAGTAAGAAGACTCGTGAGCAATATTGAAGGCACGGCTGATGTTGTGCAATGAGATACCAATTTCCACAGCCAAGCACAGCAGCCCATGATGAAGAACAAAGGAGACAGGTGTTTGTGTTTTTATTTATTTTGAGATAGGGTGTTGCTCTGTCACCCAGGCTGAAGTGCAGTGGTATAATCACGGCTCACTTCAGTGTCAACCTCCTAGGCTCAGGTGATCCTCCTCCCATCTCAGCCTTCCAAGTAGCTGGGACCACAGGTGTACGCCACCATGGCCAGCTAATTTTTTTCATTAATATGTTTTATAGAGACATGGGTTTTACATGTTGTTCACACTGGTCTCGAACTCCTGGGCTCAAGCGATCCTCCCACTTCCTCATTCCTAAGTGCTGGGAGGGATTACAGGAGTGAGCCACTGCACCTGGCCTGCTTGTGTTTATTCAGGGCTACAGATTGGCAAGGTAAGAATAGTGAAGGATCACAGAAAAGGAACCTCTCTGGAATTCCATTTCATCCATTTATATCATGTTCTTCACACTGTCATCTTGAGAGCAGTCCCCTCATTCTTCAAAGACTTCGTCATCTAAAGTGAATTTGTTCAGACTTTCCTCTGTAAGTTTTCAGAAGTTATTGATTTTTAAAAAATCTATCCCTTCTTCTTATTTGATGTGGCAAAGAGAAAGACACTTTTCACATTATTTTCCTAACAATATGTTGCTTAAAATTTGATAAACTAGTAATTCTTTTGAAATTACACGAGGAAACAAAATAAACCTTATCTCATTAGATTTAAAAAGAATAAAATAGTGCTCACTTCAGCAGCACATATACAAAAATTGGAATGATACAGAGAAGATTAGCATGGACCCTGCATGAGTATGATACACAAATTTGTGAAAAATAAAAATAAAAACATAAAATGGAGTGTCCAAGTCACCCATGATTGGTGTTGTTCTGTAAACATGGGAGAATCAGACTCCAGGGCAGGGTGCCATGAAAGAAGGAATGGGCTTCATGGATCTCTATTCTTCACTGTAAGATTATGGGGGGTGGGGGGTGGGAGCTGGGGATCAGGGAGATGTGTGGAACTCTCCCTTCCTGGAGTGCCCATTTCAAAATTAAAGCAGGAGCAATTTGTTAGACATAAAGAAGAAATTTCTGACGATCGGGGTCTCCAAATATTGGAACACTTCAACAACACGAAACATCAACATTCTGTGAAACAGCAAACTGACACATGACTAGGGAAGGAATGTCCCTCAAGAGGGTCAAGATTAATATTCGTGTCCTGGAGATAGGGCGTCCAGATCAGAAGGGCTTTAGATTGAAATTAGAGGAGGAGACAAACACCTAGATAGACTTGTGAAACCAGTTGCTATGGAAGACAGGTGTGACTTCTACAGGAAGAGCCTTATTTTGTAAATGATATGTGCAACCTCCACTGCCTACATAATAACGTGTATTTCACTGGTAATAATGTGGACGTGAGATATAATATAGTATAGTACAAACAGTCTTAGGAGGATAAGGTTACTTCGTCTGATAGGAATTCAAGAGAGGAATATGGGAATTAAAATACTTCTATAAGTCAGGCAAGGTGGCTCATGCCTGTAATCCCAGCACTTTGGGAGGCTGAGGCAGGCATGGTGGTGGGCACCTGTAGCCCCACCTACTCAGGGGGCTGAGATGGGAGTATCACTTGAGCCTGGGAAGTTGAGGCTGCAGTGAACCAAGATTGCACCACTGTACTCCAGTCTGGGTGACAGAGTGAGACCCTGTGGCAAAAACAAAAACAAAACAAAACCTTACAAATACATCTTTAAGCCAGGAGAGGTGGCTCATGCCTGTAATCCCAGTGCTTTGGGAGGCCATGGTGGGAGGATATCATGAAGAGGCCAGGAGTTCAAGACTAGCCTGGGCAACATAACAAGACCCCATCTCTCTCTCACACACACACACACACACACACACACACACACACACAGCAGGGCATAGTGACGAGCTCCTGTAGTCGCAGCTACTTGAGAGGCTGAGGGAGGAAGATCGCTCGAGCCCAGAAGTCTGAGGCTGCAGTGAGCTACGATCACGCCACTGCACTTTAGCCTGGGCAACAAAGCAAGATGCTGTTTTATTTTATTTTATTTTTACAAAATAAAAGTACATTTTTTATAATGACCAGTTAGAAGGGAAACTGCAATGCACCAAAGACTCACAGACCATGGCCATATGTCAAGGGCCAGATGCTGCATTGGGCCCTAGGAATGTGATGATAATCAAGGCAACTATCCTTCCTGTCCTTGTGGAGTCTAATGGGGGGTAAGGGAAGAGAGTATGGCCTGTTTAAGGGACTGAGAGAAGGTTCTGATGAGGTGGGAAATGGCTAGAGATAAAGTTAGAGAGACAAGAAAGGATGCAGGGGCCACATAATGGAATTTAGACCTTATCTTAATGTCAAGGGCATGTCATTAAAGGATCTGAAGCAGGAACGGGACATGAACACATTTTATGGGGAACAAGAATTGAGGCAGAGCCTAGAAGCTAAGACAGCAATCTATGCACGAAAGAATTGTGGCTTGAGGCTGGGCAGGCGGCTCTCGCCTGTAATCCCAGCACTCTGGGAGGGTGAGGCAGGCAGATTGCTTGAGTCCAGGAGTTCAAGACCAGCCTGGACAACATGAAAACCCCATCTCTACTAAAAATACAAAAAATTAGCCAGCCGTGGTGGTGCTTCCTTGTAGTCCCAGCTACTCAGGAGGCTGGGGTGGGAGTATCACCTGAGCCCAGGATGTTCAAGCTTCAGTGAGCCACGATCACACCACTGCTCTCCAGCCTGGGCAACAGAGTGAAACCCTATCTCAAAAAAATAAATAAATAAATAAAAATAAAAAAGAATTGTAGCTTGGATTAAGGTAGGGATGGATTCAATTATAGTCAGGATTAAAATTAGCAAGACCCAGACCAACTGGAAATAGAGGGTGAAAAAAAAGAAGGAATCAAAGATAACACCAACATATCTAGCTCTGGCTTTCTGGGGAGTGCCATTCGCTGAGCTGGGAGCATGGGAGGAGGGCTCCGGTAGATGAGGTGGGGGTTTGAGCTGAGCTCCATTTCAGCCATAATAAGTAGAAGGGGCCTGCAGCTCATTGGAGTGGAGATGCCTAGGAGGCAGGTGGAATTACAGACTGAAGACGTGGGAAAAGAGGTGGGTAGGTATTCAAGATTTAGAAGTTGAGATTATCCAGGGAGAGGCCCAAGAATGAAATCATTCATCTAGACATAAATGTGTGAAAGGCCGGGTGTGGTGGCTCACACCTGTAATCCCAGCACTTTGAGAGGGCGAGGCAAGCCGATTGCTTGAGCCCAAGAGTTTGAGACCAGCCTGGGCAACAGAGCAAGGCCCTGTCTCTACAAAAATACAAAAAATTAGCTGGGTGTGGTGTGTGTGCCTGTAGTCCCAGCTACTCAGGAGGCTGAGGTGGGGGGATCACTTGAGTCCGAGAGGTTGAGACTGCAGTGAGCCAAGATTGCACCACTATGCTCCAGCCTGGATGATGGAGTGAGACCCTGTCTCAAAAAGCAAACAAAACAAAACAAACAAATAAAAAACCACACCAAATCTGTGAAAAGGTACAGAAGGAAACTGCAGAGTACACACATATTTTTACATCAATCCCTTCTGTACTCATTCCACAGCAACATTTTAAAAATAAATTTGTAATCTGGAAGTTTTAAATAAATAAATCTGTAATCCCTGGGCGCGGTGGCTCAAGCCTGTAATCCCAGCACTTTGGAAGGCCGAGGCGGGCGGATCACAAGGTCAGGAGATCGAGATCATCCTGGCTAACGCTTAAAAATACAAAAAAATTAGTCGAGCATGGTGGCTCGCGCCTGTAGTCCCAGCTGCTGGGGAGGCTGAGGCAGGAGAATGGCGTGAACCCGGGAGGCGGAGCTTGCAGTGAGCCTAGATCGCACCACTGCACTCCAGCCTGGGCGACAGATGGAGACTCTGTCTCAAAAAAATAATAATAATAAAATAATAAATCTGTGATCTGGAGGTTTAATCTGTCAAATTAAAAACATAATAGTCTTATTATGGGGTATTATTTAGGAATGTGGCTAACATCAAGATATGAAAGAAGAATGGAGACATCTACTTTTTTTTAATTTTAATTATTTTTTTAAAGGCAGGACACCACTATGTCACCCAGGCTGGTCCCAAACTCCTGGGCTCAAGCAATCCTCTTGCCTCTCTGCCTTACAAAGTGCTGAGATTACAGGCGTGAGCCACCGCATCTGGCCTTTGTTAACATTTCAAGAAAAGGTAATGTCCCTGTAATCCCAGCAATTTGGGAGTCCGAGGCAGGTGGATCGCCTGAGGTCAGGAGTTCAAGACCAGCCTGACCAACTGGTGAAACCCCATCTCTGCTAAAAATACAAAAAAAAAAAAAAAAAAAAAAAAAAATTAGGTGTGGTGGCAGGTGCCTGTAATCCCAGCTATGTGGGAGGCTGAGGATTCCCAGAGGAGAATCGCTTGAACCTGGGAGGCAGAGGTTGCAGTGAATGGAGATCACGCCATTGCACTCCAGTCTGGGCAACAAGAGAGAAACTCCGTCTTGAAAAAAAAAAAAGAAAAGAAAAGAAAAAGAAAAAGAAAAAAGAAAAGGTAATGTCAGTATTGTAAACACTGGAGTCCTGGTTATTGACTTAGGAATTGTTGACCTTGAGAGTGTAATCCTCATCCCTGATTTTTCATATTTTTTTCTCATCTATTCAGGTCAGAGAAAAACTTTTCTAGTTATTTCACACTCAGATGGATTTGCCAAGAGCCTGAGGTACAATGGAGGACCCATTCTCTTTTAGAACTGCCAGCTGGTGACTGGGGTCACATGCCATAAAGACAAACAGCTGGTGCCTAAGTCAAGACATTCTCTTTACTTATCAAACTCTTAAGAATGCTTAGCATTATTTCCTAGGTTAAAGTTGTATCTTAGACGTTAATGGGATGCAAAATTATTTGACTTGTCTCTTTGCATAAAAGATCTTTGCCATGCTTCGGGGCATACCAGACACAATCACCCCATAATTATGGGATAGCTCTTGGGACTGGCTTCAATTAACCAAGCTGCTTCTCAGTTACTACTATATTATCCATATTTATAGCATTTGACATTTTCACAGTGCTCTTTAATCAGATTGTATGTAGGCTGACTTAATCTAAATCTCTCACATACTTGGGATACCAGATGTTCCTGTTTTCTGGACCTTCGAGATGGAGAAACAAGGCATGAATCAGTTGTCCGATGATGGCACCTGGGAGTTACAGTCTCAAGTTACTTGGGCAGGTCAGGGGTGGTTGAGCATTCATACTAAAGAAAAGACCTTTTTGGTAAGGTTGGTTAGGTCAATGGGACACCAAGAAACTGGGCTAAAGGTAAAAAGACATTGTCTTGAGTTCAAAGGTCCAAGGACTGGACTAGCCCAGCTAGTTCAATGGAACCTCAGGAGCCTAAAGTCCTTGCAACCACCAGGCTAACAAGGCAATGAGACGGAGCAAGGATGCCTCTTAGGGGCCTGCCAGACAGCCTCTCACAAGCATGGAAGTCAAGGAAAATCTTGAGTTCTTTCTAGAGAAATTCCAGGCATCTAGCTCACCCTGAGAAGTAAGTGAGCAACTTGATAAGCAAGAAAGTAATAGTAGCTTAAAACTATAACCAAGGAAATTAGAATCACGAGATGTTTGGTTCCACATAGAAACTAAAGATAACATCTTACCATATCTCTCTGAGTTGTTTCAGAAACTTAAACCCCCAACAAATGGAACTGCTGGCACATACACCTCAGATAAAGGGGAACTGAGGAATGAATTCTGACAAGAGTTCTTTGTTCTAAATTTCTTCATGAAGGGCCTGGAGGAGGTCATCTCCACAAGCCAGAATTTACATTCTTTTCTGCGGATCCCAAATTTTTAGATAAAGCTCTGCCTCCTGAACCAACTACAAATCAGAAAATCTTTGAATCCACCTATGACCCGTGCCCTGCCTGACCCAGACATCCTGCCTTTCTAGGTCAAACAAATATATAGTTGCCATGTATTGATTTATGACTTTGCCTGTAACCTCTGCCTCCCTACCTTTACAAACTCTTACCTGTAATCCATCAGGGACTTCAGGTCTTAAGCATGAGCTGCCTGATTCTCCTTGCTGGGTGCCCTGCAATAAATGCCCCATTTTCCCTGGCTGCAATCCCAATGCCAGTGTTTGGTTTTGCTGCACTGGGTGAGCAGACCCCAGTTTGGTTCGGTAACAGCAAGAGCTGTGAGTGGACTTCTGCTATTACGTTTTAAAGTGAGCTAACTTTGGCTTCCCTGTTCTTTATCCCCTGGGTCTAACAGTTTTCTGGGCTCTGCTGGAAGTTCTATCTCTTGTGACTGGACAGTGGTGATCAGGACCCAGGATGGAAAGTTGTCTGAATCTGAAATAGTGAATATGGGATGCCATCACCTTATTCCTGCTCATCACCCATAAGGATTGGGCATGGACCCTGATCACAAAGATTCTGACAAAGCTTTATATCTATTTATGAGTGGTTAATTTTACCATTCTGATTGATAGCAGCCCCAAAGAAATACTAATGCAAATCACAATAGCCAGCACTTTCAATTACATCCCATGTGATTGAAAAGATAGGGATGCATATATGCTATCCCATAGGTGCATAGCTATATATGCAGATACATGACTTTTGTTGTCTTGCTATCCTGGAAATCTACAGCAGAATCCATATGGAAATGATAACCCTCTGTCATTCTATATCTGATTCACTGAGAACACATCTGCCCCTCCTAGCCCTCCAAGATTTTTTTCTTTCATTATAAACCATAAATCCTGTCCCCAAGTTTGTAGAGCTGGAAATCATTTGAATTTGCGGGCTGGATTTGTTAGAAATGTTTTTTGCAGTAAATGTGAAATGAGATGAATGTTAAATTGTGCAGTGTTTTTTTCTTCTTCTGATTTAATGGTGACTATTATGCTCAGGTTTTGCTTTCTTTCATTAGATGAGTCATTTTAAAGAAGAATGACCTGTCCTGAGATTGTCTTCTGAAGTTCTGTATTTGACCAAGCACAGCTGGCTGGTTTTGTAAATGTCATTACTAAGCAAAGTTCTTTTTCAATGAGTGGCTTTCTGGTAACTCAGCTGGGTCCTCGGTGCTGCTCCACACATGGTCACACATTGTCACATACTCCAAGGCAATTCTTCAAACCTCAGTGTTCCTTGTTAACCCATCCAATCTTTTCTATCTTCACTTACTCTCAATAAATAACTGCCCACACAGTTCAGTGACCAGGTGAAAACTTCTTCAACTTCCCTACTTACAGCCTCATACTCTTTATTTCTTCACAACTGACCTTACAGGTGAAATGTTGTCTTTGGTCAAGCCTGGTCCTCTATTTGTACTTTTGTTTCTCTACTGCCCTCCTTCTCTTCTGGGTACATCAGGCATTCCCTCCTGAATTTTCCATTTCTTCTCATTGTCTCCTTCTCCCTGCCTGCAAAACCACAAAGTCTCTTCTATATTTTCAAAGAAATACCCTTCCCTAAAAACAAAATATAGTCATGTTTCTCTTCCACCCTTTGCCACCAAGCTCCTCTAAAACATTCTACACCCATGTAGTGGGTCGAATAATGTCCCAACAAAATTCATGTCCACCCAGCGATACAGGAGACAGGGAAATACTGGGTAGAAGAGGGCGGTTCCCCGGCAAAGGCCCCACCCTCAAGCCTGAAGACTCGTGGCCCTACATGAGGACAGGCATTTCTGTTTTCACGCCCAAAAAGTTGCCTTTTGGCTCACCATGCTCCCTATCCTGCCCCCATATAAACCCCGAATCCCAAACTCCAGATAAGACCCACAAGTGAGGAGACAAGGAGGCAAGTAGACCAGCAGACCAGCGATAGCAGAATGACATGGCAGAGAAAGAGAGAAGAGGAGGGATGTCTGGACACCGAGGGGAGTTCGGCCGAGGGTGGTCGGAGAAGAGTCCGGCCACTGGGTTGACTGACTCCTGAGGAAGATCACCTTCCCGCTCCATCCCCCTTCTGGCTCCCCATCCATCTCTCTGAGAGCCATCTTCACCACTCAATAAAACCTTGCACTCATCCTTCAAGCCTGTGTGTGATCTGATTCTTTCAGGATACTGGGTAAGAGCTTGGGATACAGAAGGCTGTCACATTGGCCCCCTCCCTGCCCTTGTGATAAGGCAGAGGGTCCATTGAGCTGATTAACACACAAGCCATCTGCAGATGGCAAAGCTAAAGGAGCACACTGTAACACATGCCCACTTGGACTTTGGGAGTCACAGACACCCACCCCTAGATGCAACTACGGGCCGAGAGCCCAAAGCACTCTCCCCAGCCTCTCTGTACCTACCTGTCTGCATGCTCCACCTAGGGGTTTGAGCTCAGGGTGACCAAACAGGCAAGCCACACCCCTGTTTGGTCCCCACACCCAAGTCAGGGAACTCTCTCATTTCACTAGAGCCTCAGAATGTGAGCTTATTTGGAAATAGTCTTTGCAGAATTAATTACTTAAGAATCATTAGATTTAAATAATCACAGATCTATGGTGGGCTCTAAATCCAATGACTGGTGTCTTTATAAAGAAAGGAGAGAGATATTTTGATACACTGAGAGACACAGAGAAGGCCATGTGAAGACAGAGGCAGAGATTAGAGCAATGCAGCCACAAGCCAAGGAATGTCTAGAGCTCCCAGAAGCTGGAACAATCAAGGAAAGAGCCTTCCTTGAGAAAGTATGGCCTGATACTGTTATTTCAGGCTGCCAGCAGTAAAAGAGAATGAATCTCTGATGCCAGCAGTAAAAGCCACCCAGGTTTTGGCAATTTGTTATGGCAGCCCTAGGAAATTAATAAAATCCTCCTTCCTCCTGCTTACCAGATGTTTGAGCAAGAATCATAACTGAAATTTTATTGAGCACCTAATATATTCCTATTTCCAAGTTTATTTTCTGTTTTCTTTTTTTCTATTATTTTATTTTAAATAGAGACAGAGTCTTACTCTGTTACCCAGGCTGGAGTACAATGGTGCAATGATAGCTCACTGTAATCTCAAATTTCTGGACTCAAGTGATCTTCCCACCTCAGCCTCTCCAGTAGCTGGGACTGCAAGCACACATCACCATGCTCGGATAACTTTTTAAATTTCTGTAGTGACATGATCTCACTTTGTTGCCCAGGCTGGTCTTGAATTCCTGAGCTCAAGCGATCCTCCTGCCTCAGCCTCCCAAAATCCTGGGACTGCAGGCATGAGCCATCATGCCCAGCCTATTCCAACTTCTTTATACATATATCTCATTTGATCTTTAGTCTCTTAGAGGTAGGGGCCATTATTATTCAAATTTATATAGATGAAGTAACTGAAGCTTAGAGTGCTTACAAGATCACACAGCTAAAGGGGAGAGTTAGGGTTCAGGCCCAAGTCTAGCAGATTCCATAGTCCAAACTGTCAATCATAATCACAACTGGCCACTACATGATCCTCAATTTCTTGCAATTTAGGTTCCATTCAAAATATGACAATGTTTCCTTAATACCTAACAACGGTAGTGTTTTTCTGGTCCACTGTATAACATTTCATGTTTAGCCCTGTTGATCTAAAAAGAAGAGACTGAGGCACAAAATATAATTTATTTATTTACACTTATAGACAAGGTCTTGCTCTGTTACCCAGGCTGGAGTGCAGTGGTGCGATAATGGCTCGCTGCAGCTTTGAACCCCTGGGCTCAAGGGATCCTTCCACCTCAGCCTCCCGAGTAGTTGAGACAAGTATGGGCCAGTGCTTCCAGCACAAAATATAATTTAAAGAATGTACTTGCGCCAAAGTGAGGACAGCTTCCAGGAAGACTCAGACTCAGTTAACCTTGGATGTGAGCTCTGTTTGGCCTTTGTTACAAGCAGGTTTTGTTTTTGTTTTGTTTTTGGATGGGGTCTCACACTGTTGCCCAGGGTGGAGTACAGTGCCACAGTCATGGCTCACTTCAGCCTCAAACTCCTTGGCTCAAGTGACCCTCCCACCTCAGCCTTGTAAGTAGCTGGGACTACAGGTGTGCATCACCATGCCTGGATAATTTTTTAATATTTTGTAGAGATGGGAATCTTGCTATGTTTCCCATGCTGGTCTCGAACTCCTGGCCTTAAGGGATCCTCCTGCCTCTGCCTCCCAAAGCACTGGGATCACAAGCATGGCGTGAGTCACTGCACTGGGCCACAAGCAGATTTATTTATTTATTTATTTATTTTTGAGATGGAGTCTCGCTCTGTCACCCAGGCTAGAGTCCAGTGGCGTGATCTCGGCTTGCTGCAACTTCTGCCTCCCAGGTTCAAGAAATCCTCTGCCTCAGCCTCCCAAGTAGCTGGGACTACATGTGTGCACCATCATGCCCAACTAATTTTTGTATTTTCAGTAGAGACGGAGTTTCGCCATGTTGGCCAGGCTAGTCTCAAACTCCTGGCCTCAAGCGAATGGCCCACCTTGGCCTCCCAAACACAAGCAGACTTTTAAAGACAAAAATGAGGTACAGTGACTACAGAGTGTGGGCTACAGTGTCCAGTGAGGCATTGTTACATTAATTTACAGCTACCTGTGGCAACGGCAAGCAGTTTTAAGAGACGAATACATAGCTCAAGAGGGTACAGTTGCTGTCTCATGCTAATGCCTCTCTGGGCCTGATGATTTAAAAGGACTCACATTCCTCAGATAAAAATTATTTTTCCCTTAATCCCTTCTTGTAACTCCTCCATCCGCATGGAAAAGTACTCATTTTCTTACCCTGATTCTTCACAGATGTCTCTTCCACAGTGGCATCTGCTTAACTTTCTTCTACCTCTGCACTCTCTTCCCCAGAGACGTGGTCTACCTCCACAGCTTCAATCATCACTTCTACCTCAAAAATGCTGCCCTCCTCTGGGGAACCAGCTTCAAACTAGCATTGCTGTCCTCTTCCTCCAGCCCTCCTCCCGGAGGTCCCGCAGCAACCTTACTCATGTGATCACCCTTGCAAAGGTGCCTCTCACTCTAGATTAGCTCTGATTATAGAACCATCTCTGCCCTGTAAGACTCATGGCCATATGTGATACCCACCCCCTATCTGTGCTATTATGACAGATATATATTTGGTTTTCATCAAGGATTCCCAGCTCTCAGCCCCAGTAGCCCTTGTTATTTCCTAAGTGACTAGTACAGTAAGAATATTTTTTGCTAAAGTATTTGGATTTTTGGTTTTGGTTCCTAAAGTAGCTCCTGAAGGATAAAGGTGAAAGACAATCTTTTACTATTTACAAGTCCTTTCAAATACATCTGAGCTTATGTGAATGAGGCAATGTTTGGAAAGTCCCTGAAACCACTGGATGGGGGTTGGTTGCCAGAGGAAGCAGCTTTGTGCTTAAAGGGTTGGGACTTTCAGCCTCACCCACCAACCTCCAGGGAAGGGACAGGGCCAGTGGCTTCCTCAATCATGCCTACAAAATGAAACCTCCAGAAAAACCCAAAAGGACAGGGTTTGGAGAATTTCCAGATGGTTGAACATGTGGAGGTTCCTGGAGGGTGGTGCTCCAGGGAAGACCTAGAAGCTCTGTTCCCTTCCACACACCTGACCCTATATGTCACTTCATCCACATTCTTTGTAATATCCTTTAAAATGTGAAAGGAAAATAAATCTTGAAACCCAAAAATCACTAAGCTAAAAGGGAAAGTCGAGCTCGGAATGGCTTAGGGTAAACCTGCCTCCCGTTGTATTCCAAAAAAAAAGATAGCTACTAATGTCAGAGGCGTGTGAACCAGAGCAACTCCGTCTTAAATAGGAACTAGGTAAAATGAGGCTGAGACCTACTGGGCTGCATTCCCAGATGGTTAAGGCATTCTAAAGTCACAGGATGAGATAGGAGCTCAGCACAAGATACAGGTCATAAAGACCTTGCTGATAAAACAGTTTGCAGTAAAAAGCCAGCCAAAACCCACCAAAATCAAGATGGCCACAAGAGTGACCTTTGGCTGGCCTCACTGCTACATTCCCACTGGTGCCATGACAGTTTCCAAATGCCATGGCAACGTCAGGAAGTTACCCTATATGGTCTAAAAAGGGGAGGCATGAATAATCCACCCCTTGTTTAGCATAGCATCAAGAAATGCCCATAAAAATGGGCAACCAGCAACCCTCAGAGCTGTTCTGCCTATGGAGTAGCCATTCTTTCATTCCTTTACTTTCTTAACAAACTTGATTTCACTTTACTGTATGGACTCACCCTGAATTCTTTCTTAGGCAAGATCCAAGAACTCTCTCTTGGGGTCTGGATCCGGATCCCTTTCCTGTAACACTAAGATTAAAAAAAAAAGTTACATACCTCTGTCACAATTTGTGGGCAAAGGCAAGACAGAGCTCAAAGTCACCCCTCTGCTCACTGAGATAAATGCATATCGGATTGCTTCCTTTGGAGAGGCTAATCAGAAACTCAAAAGAATACAACCATTTGTCTCTTATCTACCTATGACCTGGAAGCCCCCACCCCGCTTCAGTGGTCCCGCCTTTCTGGATTGAACCAATGTACATCTTGCATATATTGATTGATATCTCATGTCTCCCTAAAATGTATAAAACCAAGCTCGCCCCAACCAAGCTTGGGCACATGTCATCAGGACCTCTTGAGGCTGTGTCATGGGTGTGTTCTTAACCTTGGCAAAATAAAGTACTTCCTAAACTGATTGAGACATGTCTCAGATACTTTTTGGTTTACAATAATAAACTGGTTATAGAGTTCATAAGCCACTCTAGCAAATTATTCAAAACCAAGGAGGGGGTCATGGGAATCCCAATTTATAGCCAGTCAGTCAGAAGCGCAGGTAAAATAATCTGGGGCTTGCAACTGGCATTTGATATGGGGCCAGTCTTGTGGGACTGAGCCCTCACCCTGTGGGATCTGATGCTGTCTCCAGGTAGACCATGTCAGAATTGAAGTAGAGAACACCCAGGTGGTATCTGCCACAGCACTGCTTGCTTGCTTGGTGTGGGCGGGAAATGCGCTGCAGTATTTGTGAGCGCCCCCCGCCCCGGTCCCCTGCTCTTGACATTTGGTCACAGAAGTCTTCTGTATGGATTGTCGTGGGATGAGAAAATAGAAAAAACACATTGGGTTTGTTATTTCCACACTCCACCCCCATGGAGTTAGTGTATGAATCTTATTGTTGATTCTTCTTTCTTAATCTCTTGCAAAACTCTCCTCTTCTCTCCATCCTTTTGTCAATGTTTGAGTCAGGCTCTATCTCTCATTTGGTTTGTTGCAATGGCCTCCTATCTTCACTGTCCCCATCTCTAATCCATGCTTCACACTACTGCTCCTGCCATATATTCAAAACACATGCTATTTCCTTGTTGAAAATCCCAAATAGGTTCTCATTGTCTAGAGAGCAGGTCCAGGCACTGCCCCTGCATTTTCTTACCCCTCCATAATTTTGTCTCAATGTGGAATACCTATGTAAACCAAAAATAAAATTCTAAGCCCCCCGAACATGTGAATGGACCCCTGCTCTTGGCAAGGGCATTTCAAAGCTAACTTGAAAAACTAGCTCAGGTCATGATGGGCAGGGGCCGTCTGACATGCCTCATTATACCCTCCTGCCTTTTGGAATTACTGATAAAACAGACTCTTTACGTCTGACAGGTAACATTTACAATGTATTCTCTCTGAAGCCTGCTACCCCGAGGCTTCACCTGCATGATAAAACTGTGGATTCCACACCCTCAATCTTGACCCAGACATTCCTAAGTTTTAGACAATAACAACTATTTCAACCAATTGCCAATCAGAAAAATTTTAAATCTGCCCTTAACCTGGTAGTCCCTCCCTCATCCCAATGCCCCATTTTGAGTTGTCCCACCTTTCTGGACTGAACCAATGTACATCTCACGTGTATTTGATTGATGTCCTATATCTCCCTAAAATGTAAATGAAACTAAGTTGTACCCCAACCACCTTGGGCACATGTTCTCAGGATCTCCTGAGGGCTGTGTCATGGTTCATTGGGCACTCATATTTGGCTATAATAAATCTCTTCAAATATTTTAGAGTTTGACTCTTTTCATAGACACCTAGTTTTACCTTATACCTCTTAGCCCCACCTTCAATACTTCCTAGAGCAATTTGTCAATCTATTTGTCATTATTGACTTTCTACCACATCCACCTCCTGTTAAGCCAAGTTTAGCCTAAAGCTGCCTCCTTACATACATATTTTAAGTTTGGCCCAAAGGTTTTTCTGTACATTGTGAACTATAACAAGTGGAGGTGTAAACAGACCACAGCCTACACTTGCGCCAGTCACCTGGTTTTGGCCAATCAAATGTAGCCAACTGTTCGAACTGTGTTCAAATAAGGCAATGCCACCATGTAACCAACCCAGCTGTTTCTGTACCTCACTTTCTTTTTCTGCACATCACTTCCTTTTTCTATCCATAAATCTTCCACCATGTGGCTGCACGGGAGTCTCAGAGTCTACTCTGGCTTGGGAGGCTGCCTGTGAATCGTTCATTGCTCAATTAAACTCCTTTAAATTTAATTAGGCTGAAGTTTTTCTTTTATCACTTCTTTTTTTTTTGGAGACAGAATTTTGCTCTTGTTGCTCAGGCTCGAGTGCAATGGCGTGATCTCGGCTCACTGCAACCTCCGCTTCCTGGGTTCAGTGATTCTCCTGCCTCAGCCTCCCGAGTAGCTGGGATTACAGGCATGTGCCAGCACACCCGGCTAACTTTGTATTTTTAGTAGAGATGGGGTTTCTCCATGTTGGTCAGGCTGGTCTCGAACTCCCGACCTCAGGTGATCCGCCCGCCTCGGCCTCCCAAAGTGCTGGGATTACAGGCGTGAGCCACTGTGCCCGGCTTTTTATCACTTCTTTGATATTGTTTCCCTAATTGTTTCTCCTCATGAAACTGTAATGTAACAGCACAGATATACTCTCTACGTGTTTATGTTCTGTGACTCTTTGAAGGTCGCAAACCCTGTAATATCTAAGATCATTTTGTCCCTGCCAAAAAACAGTTTTCTGCCAGGCGTGGCGGCTCATGCCTGTAATCCCAACATTTTGGGAGGCCAAGGCGAGAGGATCGCTTGAGGCCAGGAGTTCCAGACCAGCCCAAGCAACATAGCGAGACCTCCATCTCTATAAGAAATGTTTTAAAACTTAGTGGGGTGTGGTGGCACATGCCCATAGTCCCAGCTACTTGGGAGGCTGAGGTGGGAGGATTGTCTGAATGCAGGAAAGTCGAGGCTGCAGTGAGCTGAGGTTGCACCACTGCACTCCAGCCTGGGTGACAAAGTGAGATCCTGTCTCAAAGAAAAAGAAGAACCAGTTTTATACCCTTGAAGACAATATTACTCCCTGCCCCCATATCTGCCACTGAGAATGCACATCCTAGAGAGAATACGAACTTTGGAATCAGAACCAGACTCAAATTTCTGCTCTGAGATGTGTAAGCTGTGTGATATGTGACATGAAAAAGTTGTTCAGTGTTCTCTCTGATCTTCAATGTTCCCTGTGCTGGCAGCTAAGATATTCAGTGAGACCGCATTACAGCCCAACTTCCCTTCTGCCCAATCCTGCTTTCCTTTTTTCCCTTTCCCATCAACAGATGTTGATGCCAAGGTCACTCCCTGATAAACTTCCTGCATGTTGATCTCTAGCTCAGAGAGTCTGCTTTCTGGGGCACAGCCTTTCACAGTGCCCTGTTTGTCACAGGGCGAACCCCAAAACTGCGGTTCAGCCTGGGAGCCCATGTGGGTTCTTGGTTTTGTGTAGGAAAGAATTCAAGAGTGAGCTGACAGAGTAAAGTGAAAACAAGTTTATTAAGAAAGCAAAGGAGGCCAGGCACGGTGGCTCACGCCTGTAATCCCAGCACTTTGGGAGGCCAAGGCGGGCGGATCGCCTGAGGTCGGGAGTTCAAGACCAGCCTGACCAACATGGAGAAACCTCGTCTCTGCTAAAAAAAAAAAAAAAAAAAAAAATTAGCCGGTCATGGTGGTGCATGCCTGTAATCTCAGCTACTTGGAAGGCTGAGGCAGGACGATCACTTGAACCCAGGAGGCGGAGGTCACAGGTGAGCCAGATTGCGCCATTGCACTCCAGCCTGGGCAACAAGAGCGAAACTCCGTCTCAAAAAAAAAAAAAAAAAGAAAAAGAAAGAAAGCAAAGGAATAAAAGAGTGGCTATCACATAGGCAGAATGGCAGCATGGGCTGCTTGACGGAGCATACTTATGGTTTTTTATTGATTATATGCTGTGTGAGGGGGTGGATTATTCATTCCAGAAAGAGGTGGGGAGTTCCCGGAACTGAGGGTTTCTCCCCCTTTTAGACTCTATAGGGTAACTTCCAGACATTGCCATGGCATTTGTAAACTGTCATGAGCTGGTGGGAGTGTCTTTTGGCATGCTAATGCGTTATAATTAGCATTTAATGAGCAGTGAGGATGACCAAAGTCACTTTCACTGCCATCTTGGTTTTGGAGGGTGTTGGCTTGCTTCTTCACCACATCCTGTTTTATCAGCCAGGTCTTTGTGACCTGAAGCTTGTGATACCGGTCCTGCCGAACTCCTATCCCATCCTGTGACAAAGGATGCTTAACCTCCTGGGAATGCAGCCCAGCAAGTTTCAGCCTCATTTTACTCAGTCCCTGTTCAAGATGGAGCTGCTCCCATTCAAACACTTCTGACATGTTTACTACTGCCTGGCACAGAGGTAGGGCTCCATAAATGTGAATTCTCTCCTTCCTGATTCTGACCAAGATTCCTGGGTTGCCACTTACATTGCTTGTTGGTACACACTCTGGACACTTTCATCTGCTCAAAAGTCACCTTCTTGAAGCCTTTTCTGACTGACTACTTTCCCAGGGGTGGAGAGTAACTACTTCCTTGATGCCCCATAGCATTTCCTATTTGCCTCAGTTAACGTGTCACTGTACTGGCTCAGCACAGACATGGATTGCTGAGTGAACAGGAAGTTCTGCCTGTCTAGCAGGATAATTTTCTGTTGTCAGAAGCTGGGTCCACCACCTGCCTGGTGCCTATCCCAGGGCAAAGAATACGTATCATTTCTGGATTCCTGGCCCTGCCCCACTTTGTTTATAATGTCCCAAAACACCTACTTATGTAAACAGTGCAAGGTTCCAATTTTATTAGAAGCAATTCCACAGAAGGCTTTGAATGCTAAGAGTGTATACCTAGTTGGTAGCCAACTATTTCCAATGCTTTGGGAAAATGGAGCATGATAAAAAAAATAAGAACATAACGGGGTGCAGTGGCTCATACCTATAATCCCCAAATTTTGAGAGGCCAAGGCAGGAGGATCTATTGAGCCCAGGAGTTTGAGACCAGCCTGGGCAACATGGTGAGACCTCCATCTCTACAAAACAATTTTTAAAAATTAGCCATGTTTAGTGGTGCATACCCGTAGTTCCAGCTAGTGGGGAGGCTGAGATGGGAGGATGACTTGCACCCAGGAGAGGTTGAGGCTGCAGTGAGCTATGATTGTGCCACTGTACTGCAGCCTGGGCAACAGAGCAAGACCTTGTGTCAAAAAATAATAATAATAATGATAACATTAAACTTTGCTTTTAGTGATCTTCAAGGGAGCAACCTGCAAGGGTTATGGCAGTCCTTTTCAAACTGGTCCACACAATGGAATTACTTAGTCCCTCCATCAGAGACTGGGATTTCTGATCTAGAGTATGACCAAGTGTATTAGTCTGCTCTCACACTGCTATAAAGAACTACTGGAGACTTGGAAATTTATAAAGAAAAGAGGCTTAATTGACTCACAGTTCTGCAGGCTGTATAGAAGTCATGGCTGGGATGGCCTCAGGAAACTTACAATCATGGCAGAAGGGCGAAGGGGAAGCAAGTACGTCTTCACATGGTGGTAGGAGAGAGAGAAGTGGGAAGTGCTACACTGTTTTAAACAACTAGATCTTGTGAAAATTCACTAGAAATATCACAAGAACACTAAGGGGGAAATCGCCCTCATGATCCAATCACCTCCCACCAGGTCCCTCCCCCAACACTGGGAATTACTGTACAATTTGACATGAGATTTGGGTGGAGACACAGAGCCAAACCACATCACCAGGGTTTTGGAAGTTTTAAAGATACTCAGATAGTTTTGATTTGCAGACAAGCTTGGGAACCACTGGGTTGTGGGATTGCTGGATATTGACAAAATGGAGATAGTGAGTATAGACCACCCTTCTCAAAAGAGCTTGGCAGTGAAGAGATAAAAGTGCACAGAAGGTAGGAGATAAGAGGATACCAGGAAGGTGAGGGTTTATTTGTTTACAATATGGATAACTTGAGAATCCTTATCAGCTGAAGGGAAAAATCCAGAAAGCAGTGGAGACTGAAGCTTCTAGAATAATCCCTAGAGGTGATGGGTCTGTGGCACTAATGAAGAGATTTATTTTATTTTTTATTTTTGAGTCAGGGTCTCTGTGTCACCCAGGCTAGAGTTCAGTGGCACGCTCATGGCTCACTGCAGCCTTGGATTCCTGGGCTCAAGCAATCCTCCCACCTCCGCTTCCCAAAGTTCTGGGATTACGGGTGGGAGCCACCACCCCCAGCAACAAGCAGATGCCTTAAAAAGACACCTCTCCAAGGCACTGGGGGCATCCTTCCCAAACCAGATAGGATTATTACCTTCCTAAATACCCCAATGTCTGTTGCCTACAAAATGAAATAAAAACTCTTTAGTGTAGCATAGAAGGCATTAACAAATAAAATGCATTTTTATTCTCCAACATGCCAAATGTAATTATGTTCATCATAGAAAAACTAGAAACCACAAGGGAATAAAAATAAGTAGATAGACATTACCCACAGTCTTACAGCTAACGACAACTGCTCCCAATATTTGGAGATACTTCCAATATTTCTTCCCACTGAACATCTTTTGTTGGTTGTAGGACATAGCTGGGATCACACTATAAGCATATCCAAGAAACCAGTGCAATTTCTGGCAGCATTAATAGAAACCATGTGGAATAAAGAACAGAATGGTACCCCTTTGCTCTGCTCTTGTCAGTGTGGACACTGACTTTGTGCTGCTCTGTGGAGTGTGAAGTTTGAGTCTGAGTACCCTTTTAAGAGGAGGACCAATGAAGTGGATCACATGGAGGAAGGGAACAAGCAATATGAGGCCTCTGTTAATTTAGTTTCAACTTCGGATTTTCTTTTCATCTCCTGCCATCCTGCCATATCTGGCTCTAAACCCATGCAAGCCATATCACCTGTTGGTTTCCCAGGCATCCAAACATTTACACTCATCTGTGTCCTCTGCACACTTCCCTTTGCTTTGAATTGCCCCTTCTTCCTCCAAAGTCCAGCTCTGAGAAGGCGTCTACCAGAGGCCCCACAATGAAATAAATCATTCTGTGTTCTCAGAGCACTTTCAGTATTTCTTATATTACTGCTACCATACAAGTTACAGAATAAGCATGAGAGTTATTTTCGTATGGGTGTCTCTCCCTGAGAACAACACCGTGGCTGATTCAACTTTATGACTCTTTCATAAACCCTGCACAGTTCCTGGAAAATAGTCTATTTATTTATATTTATTACATTCTACCTGGTTATAGGAATAAGTTAAGAAAGCTTACAAGGATACTTGAAATGTAAGCTCACATAAATTATATGTCGGGTTTTTTTAAGGTAAAAAACAGAAAGACAACAAAGTAAAATTTTTTTAAAAAAGCTATGATTGCAGATGATTACAATCACACCAGTCTCAAGAGGGGCAGCACTTGGCTCTGGGCTCTCTAGCAGTTAAAATGAAAGGGTCAACTTCCGGGCCATACAAGTCACAATGTCCATGGTTGGATGTGGGTAGGTGAGAGCAGGACAATTAATTACTCAACGCTTTTTGGCATCAAGATAAAATAGAAATTTCTCCTAAGGAATCCTAATGAAGAGGACTTCATTTGGCATGATAAAAAACGTTTTTGTTTCAGTTTTCTAATGCTACATAAGAAACTGCTCCAAAGATTGGTGGCTAAGATGACAATTTATTCTTATTATTCATGGTTCTGAGGGTTGATAGGCTTAACTAGGTGGTTCTCACTTGGGATCTTTCATAAGGTTGTGGTCAGATGGCAGCTGAAGCTGATCATTCACTTGAATGTCTGATACCTGGGCTGGAACAACTGGAGAATCGGGGAGGTTGATCAGACACTCTCAATGCAGACCTTCCATTTGGATAACTTGAACTTCTTCACAGCATGCCAGCTGGTTTTCCCCAGAGGAAGCATATCAAGAGAGTCAGACAGAAGCTGGGAAGCTTTGTAGGATATAGGCTTGGAAGTCTCACAGAACCACTTCAACTACATTCTGTTAATGAAAGCAGTCACAGGCAAACCCAATCTCAAGCAAGTAGAGGAATAGAATACATCTCTCAATGGGGAAATTGCTTGTAAAGGGAGGGAAGGAATTAGCAGAGGCCATCTTGGAGACAAGCTACCATAATTCTAAACATGTTCAAAATATATGTAATTCTTCATAGACTATTTCTTTTTTCTTTTTTTTTTTTTTTTTGAGATGGAGTCTCGCTCTGTTGCCCAGGCTGGAGTGCAGTGGTGCGTTCTCGGCTCACTGCAAGCTCAGCCTCCTGGGTTCACACCATTCTCTCACCTCAGCCTTCCGAGTACCTGGGACTACAGGCACCTGCCATGGCGCCTGGCTAATTTTTCGTATTTTTAGTAGAGACAGGGTTTCACCTTGTTAGCCAGGATGGTCTCGATCTCCTGACCTCATGATCCACCCACCTCGGCCTCCCAAAGTGCTGGGATTACAGGCATGAGCCACCACGCCTGGCCCATAGACTATTTCTTATACCATACTTTCAGCATAGTCTGTGACACTGATTGATTCATAAATCTATGCTTTCATTCAACAAATAGTTATGAAGTATTTTCAGTGAGAGGTAGTATACAGCAGTGGTTAAAAGCAAGGGTGAATCTAGGCTTTTCCACTTATTAGTGGTGTGACCTCAGAAGTTACTTTATTTCACTGTGTCAGTGATATAATTTGGCTGTGTCCCCACCCAAATTTCATCTTGAATTGTAGCTCCCATAATTCCCTGGTGTTGTGGGAGGGACCCAGTGAGAGATAACTGAATCATGGGGGTGGTTTCCCCCATAGTGTTCTCATGGTAGCGAATACGTCTCACCACATCTGATGGTTTAATAAGGGGAAACCCCTTTGCTTGGCTCTCATTCTCTTGTCTGCCGCCATGTGAGACGTGCCTTTTGTCCTCCACCATGATTATGAGGCCTCCCCAGCCACATGGAACTGTGAGTCCATTAAAACTCTTTGTTTTGTAAATTGCCCAGTCTCAGGTATGTCTTTATCGGCAGTGTGAAAACGGACTAATACAGTCAATTTCTTCATCTACAAATGGAAAGAAACAGTAATGTATACATCAGAAAGATTGTTCTGAGGGCAAACTGAGCTAACAACTGTAAAGTACATGTATTAATCTGTGAGCACAGTAAGTTCTCAACAAGTGTTAGCTTCTATAATTACCATCAGCACCATTATCACCATTGCATGCCAGGTACTATGTTTTCCAGAGCACAAAGCAAATTTAGTAAGAAGGAATTTTCTGGAAACAGGCAAAAATGCTGTGGTCTGTTTCTCTCTGCTGCATACTCAGAACTGCCAATAGAGAAAGCAGCATACATTTGGTGAGCAATTTCTATGTGCCAAGTGCTGAATACTACACACACATATTTCCTTCAATTTTCACAAAGCCCTAAGAAACAAAGGAACAGACAGATTAGGTCATGGGCCCAAGTCTACCTAGCTGGTAACAGAAAGAGCTGGAATTTGAACCCAGGTTCTTAGTCATTACTTACTTAGCCTGTCAAAAGGGTAAAAGGTAGTCTTCACAAAACTTTTATTAGGGGCCAGAATTGAGTCATGTGCTGCTGAAGTGCTTGTACTCATAACCCTGGACTTCTTATCAGTTTACAAGGTATTTTCTCTCAAAAGGTGTTGTCATCCTTTTTACAGATAGGGAAGCTGAAGTTCACAGAAGTGGTTTGCCCAAGGTGGCAGAACCAGGATTCAAATCCAGACCTACTATAGTCTAAATCCCAAGCTCCTCCACTGAACCAAGCTGCCTCTTATTCTATTAAACTTAGTAATAGAAAAGCAGTTTTTAAAAATGATGTGATCTGGGTATCCAGCTCTTTACTGATCTACATGGCACAGAGTAGATGCTCAATAATATTTTGTTACATATTTGTTCTGTCCAGAGAAGGGGATTAGCAAAGTGGGCACAGCAGAAGCCGAAGAAGTATGGGCATGGAGGCGGGTTGCAGTTTAAAGTGGCAACAGAGCATTCTAGATATGATTTACTGCAAAGTCAAGGTCAGGAAGAACATTCTGGACTGTCAGGTCAAGGAGGTACTAATTAATAAGAATCTAGTAGGGGGTCAGTAGAAGAAAAGAAGAGTGGAGGAGTAGGATGCTGTGGTCAGGGAAGGGGACTGCATCATCCTAGGAATGACGCAGTGCCACGTGATAACAAGGACAAGAGAGTGGCAATGTTAGGGGTAGTTCAGTAGAGAATAAGTAAAAGGGTCAGGAGAGATGAGGCAATACAGAACTGTGAGGTCAGGTTCTTTATCTGGGCATCCTCACTATGACTACTGCTGTCATCATTATGGAGAAGAAGGTAGAGAAGAGAGGAGAAGACAGTAAACCTGCTGCAAAAACCATCACAGAAGACAAAAGCACATCCTTGGGCTAAGCAAGTGTATTAGTCAGAGTTCTTCAGAGAAACTGAATCAATAGGAGAGACAGGGTGAGAGAGAGGAGGTTTATTATGGGAACTGGGTCACACAATCATGGAGACTGTGAAGTACCATGATCTGCTGTCTGCAAGATGGCAGAACCAGGAAAGCCCGTGGTGTAATTTAGTCCAAGGGCCTGAACTAGGGGAGCTGATGGTGTCACTCTCAGTCTCAGGCCAAAGGCCTAGGAACTGGACAACAGTAGGTGGGGTGGAGGGACTGTTGATGGGAGAGAATCACTCTTTCTCTACCTTTTTGTTCTATCTGTGCCCCCAAGGGATTGGATGATGCCCTCCCACATTAATGAGGGTGAATCTTCTGCACTTAGTCTACTGATTCCAATGCTAGTCTCTTCCAGAAACACCCTCCCAGATACAGCCAAAAATAATGTTTTACCAACTACCTGGGCATCCCCTAGCTCAGTCAAGCTGACATATGATATTAACTGTCACAGCAGGTACCAATATTGAGAAAGTTTACATAACCAGATCATTTGGATTGTAAAAGAGAGAGGGATATGAGAGGGAGAGAACGTTCTTGAGGGTGGGCATGGGCTGTCTTGTTCATCTTTGTATTTTCTTCAGAAATTACCATATTTCTGGCTCATAGTAGGTCTTGGTAGAGCTTTGCTGAACTCAATTGTAATAACATTGTTTTGTTCTTATATTAATAGAAAATTACTTTATCTCTGAGATATTAATTTTAAAGTATCTTAAATAGGTCCAGCACGGTGGCTCATGCCTGTAATCCTAGCACTTTGTGGGGCTGAGGCAGGCGGATCACTGAAGGTCAGGAGTTCGAGACCGGCCTGTCTAACATGGCGAAACCCTGTCTCGACTAAAAATACAAAAATTAGCTGGATGTGGTGGCATATGTCTGTAATTCCAGCTACTTGGGAGGCTGAAGCATGCGAATCACTTGAAACTGGGAGGCGGAGGTTGCAGTGAGCTGAGCTCACACCACTACACTCCAGCCTGGGTGACAGAGTGAGTCTGTCTCAAAAAAAATAAAAAATACAGTTAACAAAATGTAAGAAGAACAATTAAATTTTTAAAAGAAATATTTTTAAAAAAGAAAAAATAAAGTATCTTAGAATAGCTAGAAGAACATTTTCATTATTTGTGAGTACTTTCCTCCTTTTTTGTGTGTTTTGCATAAAAATGGCCTTTATTATTTTAGTGTTAATTACAAAAATAACACATGCTTAGAACTTACAGAATAGATGCATTCACAAGACACAACCATCAAACAAAAACAAATCTCCCATAATCTCACTAGCCAGTGATATGGTTTAGATTTGTGTCTCTGCCAAATCTCATGCTGGAAGAGTAATGTAGTCCCCATTGTTGGAAGTGGGGCCTCGTGGGAGGTGTTTGGGTCATGGGGGCGGATCCCTCATGGCTTGGTGCTGTCCTTGCCATAGCGAGTGAGTGCCTGCAAGATCTGGTTCTTTAAAAGTGTGGCACCTTTCCCCATCTTTCTTGCTCCTGCTCCTGCCACATGAGAGAGCTATTCCCCCTTCACCTTCCACCATGATTGGGAGCTTCCTGAGGCCTCCTCAGAAGCAGACGACAGCACTACGCTTCCTGTACGGCCTGCAGAACCATGAGCCAATTATACCTTTCTCCTTATAAATTACACAGTGTCAGGTATTTCTTTATAGCAATGCAAGAATGACCTAATAAAGTCAGTGATAGTGTTCTTCAGGGCTTGAACTTTTAAAGTATATTTACATATTGCTGTATATACTTTGTGCTCTGTTTTCACTCAACATATTGTGGATATTTTCGTACCATAGTAAATACGGTTCTTCAATTTCCATTTTAATGGCACATATCACTCTATTGTCTGTACTATTATTTACTTTAGTTTTTGGTGTTCTCAATTTTTTTTTGGCTATGATAAACAATGCTGTCATAAACATCCTAGTATTTAAAATCTATGTGAGAAATGAGTTATTTCCTTAGAGTAACTTCCAATCTGAATTACTGGATTACCAGAAGGTATGTTGTTAAGCCTTTAGATATATATTGCCAAATTTCCTTCCAGAAAGTTATACGAATTAACACTCTTGCCAGAAAGTTGTATATGAGAGTGCCTGCACTCCAGCACCATGTCCAACAGAGTGCTAGTGGTCTTTATTCGTTTTCAGAAAAAGATCTTTTAGTTTGGGTCAATCGAAGGGGGTAAAAAATACAGTTTTTCAAATTTGCTTTTTTAAAACTAATGACTCTAAACATTTTTTCATATGCTTATTGGCCATCTGTACTCCTTTTTATAAAATGCTTGGTCATTTATTCTGACAATTTTTCTCCAGTGGGGTGTTTGACTTTAAAAAAAAAAATGAATTTGTAGCAAATATTTTTGCCCAGTTTGTCAAAATCCTGAAGATTAAAAAATATGTAAATTTTATTATGAAAATTTTCAAACATATACACAAGTAGAGAACAGTATATCAACCCCCCATATACCCATCAACCCATGATTCAACGATTATCAACTCATGGCCAATCAATCTTGTTTCTTGTCTATCTTCCTTCCTCACCCTCTCCTCACATTATTTGATTTGATTTGATTATTCTTTTTAAGACAGGGTCTTGCTCTGTCGTCAAGGCTGGAGTGCACTGGTGTGACTTCTGCTCCCTGCAACCTCTGCTTCCCGGACTCTAGCAATCCTCCCATCTCAGCCTCCCAAGTAGCCAGGACTACAGGCAAGCACCACCATGCCTGGCTAACTTCAGTAATTTTGGTAGAGTCTAAGTTCTGTCATGTTGCCCAGGCTGGTCTGAAACTCCTGGGCTCAAGCGATCCACCTGCCACGGCTCCCTGAAGTGCTGGGATTACGGGCATGAGCCACAGCACCAGGCAGATGATTTTTTTTTTAAAGCAAATCCTTAATACCATGTCATCTCATCTGTAAATATTTTAGTATAGAGAAGACTGAAAATTTATGTTATCAATTTTTTTTTTTTTTTTTGACAAGGTCTCACTCTGTCACCCAGGCTGTAGTGCAATGGTACAAGCATGGCTCACTGCAGCCTCCTGGGCTCAAGCAATTTTTCCGCCTCAGCCTCCTGAGTAGCTCAGACCATAGGTGTGCACCACCACACCCGGCTACTTTTTAAAATTTATTTTTGTAAAGATGGAGTCTCACTATATTTGAACTTCTGGTCTCAAGTGATCCTCCCACCTTGGCCTCCCAAAGTGCTAGGATTATAGGCATGAGCCACCACACTCAGCCCATGAATTTTTATCTAAATTTCTTTTTTGGTTGTCTCTTGGTTTCATTAAAAATAAATCTTTGATTTTTTAATCCATCAGAACTGATGTTTTCCAAATATGTAGCTAATTGAATATGTTAATGTATCCTCACTGATTTGAAATATCAACTTCATCATATGCAAAATACTTATACACTGCTAGGTCCTGTTGGTTTCTCTCTCTGGTCTCATGCTGGTATTACTATTTTTTGGAACATGCATTTAACATTTGTTATTAAAAATTTCCAGGAATAACACTATAATCATCCATGTATATTGTGTTAATGTGCAACTATCCAAAATTCTTTTAAAAAACACTTAAAATTGATGCCATGATATTGTTCATCATCATCTTAAAATTAGATTTGCAAACTCAGCATATAAGAGGCTGCTCCTTCCCACTTTCCATTTAAAAAATTACTTATTAAGTTTAAATTTACTTATTACTTAAATCCAGTCTATTACATCTTTGCATATTTTTAAGTGTTTGGAAATCACCAGAAATTTAATTCCAATCAAGTGACAAAGGTGTTTTATGTTCCCATTATGTACTAGGATATGATGTTTGGTGCCGATTACACAGGGAAAAACAGGTGGACACCGATCCTATGAAGTACTGTACCAACTCGAAATTCTGTCATCAAGTTCAGGGACTCTGGACCCCCTGTTAAGAATCTATGAATAGGAGATTGGATGAGATGAGTCAGAAATGCAGGTTTGAGGGCATTATCATCCATGGAATGACCGTGGTTATAGGAACTGTGAAAACACATTTCTGTGGGTGGGTGGTGTTTTATTTCTTTCAATCTTTATCTCTGCAGTGCTTTCTCAGCGGTTTGTGGATCTCAGAGCTCTCCCCGGCTGGGTTCCAGTCATCTCATTTACAACCCTTTGGATAAGGGCCTTCAGACTGAAAAAGATTCTGGGAAAAGATATTTTGCCTCCAAAAGTGTTTAGTTGAATGGCAGGCCTCTTATCCTAATTAATGTCAGCATAGAACTTCTGGAATAGCCTCAAAGTATCATTTATTTTAAAAATTATAACCTTTTCATGTTTTCACATTTCAGATTTGTTACTTTACTGGTTATCTCCTTAAAACGTTTTCCCATCTTTAGTCAGTCATACTTAAATATTTTTCTACAGAGGGGCAAGCAGGATTTAGGCACACTGTTCCACTACCGATCAACAAAGTACTCATTGTCCTTATTCAGAAAGCAGTTAAGAACAATGTAAGATCTTTGCTTCTGATTCCTGAATCAGTTAATGCTGCATTAGGTTACAGGTAACAAATAAACCAACTACAATGACATAAAAAGACTTAGTTTTTTCACATAAGAAGCCTCGACAAATACAGGCGAGATCGGGGCAGCTATTAAACCATGAAGGAAATAGACTATCTTTCTGCACCACCATCTTCAGCTGTGAAATTTACCCTCATGCTTGCAAGATGGCTGCTGTTGCTCAAAAAACAATGCCTGCAACCCAGGCAGGAACAACAACAAAAAAAAAGTGAAGGGAAACATTACAGCTGAGCCTGGCTCTGTTAAAAGTCTCTCCAGAAGATCCCCCAGTATTCTCCAGTTAGGGCCTATTGGACAGAATCCTGTCATGTGGCCATCCTGATGGCAGGGGAGGTTGAGTGACTATCTTAACTGGGTACATTGTTACCATAACAAAATTTGAGCTCTATTGGTAATAAATATGGAGAGAATGTCACAATTCCTTAGCCAGAGGACACAGTGTGATGCTGGCCTTGGCTCTGGACCACTTTGTATCTTCTTCAAAGCCCATAACTCCAATAATACTGCCCAAACCAGAAGGAACAGGCTTGGTATTTTGGAAGCATTCACTAAATCACTCATTCATTCTTTTATTTTATTATTATTTTTGAGACAGGGTCTTGATCTATCACCAAGGCTGAAGTACAGTGGCATGATGACACCTCTTTACAGCCTCGACCTCCTGGGCTCAAGTGATCCTCCCATCTCAGCCTCTGGAGTAGCTAAGACTACAGGAGTGCACCACCACACCTGGCTAATTTCTTTTTGTATTTTTTATAGAGATGGGGTTTTGCCACGTTGCCCAGGCTGGTCTCAAACTCCTGAACTCGAGCAATCTGCTTGCCTCAGCCTCCCGAAGTGCTGGGATTACAGGTGGGAACCCCTGCACCTGGCCTCTCATTCTTTAATTTAGCAATTTAATTAACATTTACTGAGCATCTTCTCTATGCCAGTCATAGGGGAAACGATGAACAAAATACACATGATCCCTGATTTCACTGAGTATCCAGTCCCAAATTTTTAAAAAAATGTACAATGGGGCAACATTACCTTAGATTCCATCAAGACAACCAGATTCTGTTTTTAAGCATGAGTATCCTCTTATGGTCAAAAGTTGGTTCTACTTTTACAAATAAAAGTGGTCTTGAGCAACTCCACATCCAGCTGACTAGTGTGGAAGCCAAAATTCAGTGTGTAAAGGGCCAATATTAAGTAATAGAGATCAGGGTATTTAGTTATGTGGAATATTGTTTAGTTCATCAATACTGGCTGGCTTGGCAGGATACAGAGTTACCTAAGAGACAGATCATACAATGCACTTGTTGAGGGCAGGAGGAGCTGTGCATTAGCCACCTTTACATTCCCAAGTCAACTCAGTGACTGACTCATGATAAGTACCTAGCAGAGTAAATATGTTTGCTGACCTGAACTCAAAGTTAGATCTTTCTCTACTAGGATGATCAGAATGACATAGAAATTTAAGGCAGAGGTCCCCAAACCCCGGGCCGTGGACCTGTACTGGTCAGTGGCCTGTTAGGAACTGGGCCACATAGCAGGACGTGGGTAGCTGGTGGGTGAGCATTACTGCCTGAGTTCCGCCTCCTGTCAAATCAGCGGCAGCATTCGCTTCTCATAGGAGTGCAAACCCTATTGTGAACAGTGCATACGAGGGATCTAGATTGCGCACTCCTTATGAGAATCTAACTAGGATTTTCATGGAAAAAAATTGCCTTCCATGAAACCAGTCCCTGGTGCCACAATGGTTGGAGACTGCTGCTTTAAGGTCAAAGTGGACAGCTGGTAATCCCCAATTTTCACATTTTATAGGGCAAATGCATTCTTTATGTGCTGTATGTTAAAGTTTCCAAACCAACATGACAAGGCACACTAACACATTTGTTGTTAAAGATGTTAGATGTTAGAGACGTGCTGAGATCTTTAACCTCTTATCCCCTGGGCAGCACGTCTCATGTCAGTGGGCTACAGAAACTCTACCACTGGCTATATGTGGCATGAGATAAGAAAGGCTTGGTAGCTTCACTCTACGGCATATAATTTTAGGGTCTCAACTGAATATTTACACAAACCTGAACCAACATGTTTTCCTGGGGAATAAATGCTCTTTCAGCCCACCTCTGTGTAGCCTTGTAATAGAATGAAAACAAAAGCCAGGCTTTTATTTATTTGCTTATGTATTTATATTATACTGAATCACACTCCACAAATCCCTTGTGGAATGAGACCAGGTATAAATAAACAAGTATCTAGCTTTTAGATTTTTCTAACAATGCTAACACTGCTGCCAGGCCATCTGAAATATAAAGACTGTCTTTTCCATCAGCAGCACAGAAGACGAGTACTTGAGACTCTCATCATTCCCCCCTTTCATGAACTAAGGGCTATTCAATTCTTATAAAGGACAGGTGAGAGGAGTGGTATCTGAGAAAGACTGACTAGGGGGCTGTTAGATACCCTTTCATCTCAGTTCCCAAAGTTTGATTCTTGTTCTGAATTAGATTAGGGACTAATGCACTCGACTATAACCTTAGCTCCCCATAGAAATATCACCACTGAATCAGGACGCAAGACCATCTTCTTAGCTTTTATGAGGACTTGATTTTTTTTAAAGGCACATAAAAACTGTTTTGAATCTTCTGCTGATGCCCTAATTAGACTGTAAGGTATCTGAGAGCAGGGACTATCTTACTCACCTTGGTAGCTGTAGCACCTAACACAGTGGATGCTGTGAGCACAAAAAACATTACATACATAAATGCTGAATACAATAAAGTGACCAAAGTATACCAATGTGTAGCAAGTTAGAAAGCCTTTTTATTTTTTTGAGACATAGTCTCACTCTGTCACCCAGGCTGGAGTGCAGTGGCATGATCTCGGCTCACCGTAACCTCTGCCTCCTAGCTTCAAGTGATTCTCGTGCCTCAGCCTCCTGAGTAGCCGGGATTGTAGGTGCACGCCACCATGGCCGGCTAATTTTTGTATTTTCAGTAGAGACGGAGTTTCATTATGTTGGCCAGGCTGGTCTTGAACTTCTGACTTGAAGTGATCCACCCTCCTCAGCCTCCCAAAGTGGTGGGATTACAGGCGTGAGTCACTGTGCCCAGCTGTATAAAGCTTTTTTTTCTTTTTAAAGGATTTTCGCAGAAAAATTCTTTTTTTAAAAAAAAAAAAAAAAAAAAGGAAATGCAAACCTGCAAAGCTAGAATTGGGCTTTATGTGAAGAGTTTCACCAAGTGTGAAAACCTTCAAAACAGACTTCAAATATGCAATCTGGACAGGCTTTGTTACCAGGTTTTTAAAAATCAAGTTTGAATAGTTCAAAAACAAGTAAAATTGTTTTAGTGAAGAAATGGCCTTTTAAAACCCAGGTCCTAGCTGGGCAAGGTGGCATGTGCCGGTAGTCCTAGCTACTTGGGAGGCAGGCCGGAGGGTCATTTGAGCCCAGGAGTTGGGAGTCCAGCCTGGACAATACAGTAAGACCCTGTCTCTTAAAAAAGAAAAAATTAAAAGCGAGGTCCTGAAGGTTAATGAAATCAGTATCGGCAATTCATTTAGATGACGGTGCTCAAAATATTCGTCCTGTGGAAAGTCACAACGAAAGGTAAAATTCTCAGGACATCTGTGAGTTAAAACAACAGACCCAGCGTAGGGATTGTGCCAACCTCCCAGTCTCTAGCTGCCCTGCTGGCAGTCCAGGAAGGGTATCTCCTGTCAGTTCCTGAAAGGGAATTCTTCAGCTGCCAAATCAGGCGGGAAAAAGGAAGTATAGAAGGCTCTGTGGAAACTGGCACCAGAGCACAGTTTCAAGGCACCGAGAGTTATATTTGAAAAATCATGTAAAGGTGGCTGCCAAGATTACAGTAGATTTAAAGCAGTATAAGAATCGTTCATGACTAAGACCACTGAAAAATCCTGGACCCAAAACAACTCTAGAGACACAAACACTGTAAACGATACCTAGTATATACTTACTACCGGAAAATCTGCCACACGTGGGATTAGAAATGACAACCTCAACATGGTTTGTTGCTAAATACAGTACCCTCCTGTTCTAACAGCTGACTTTTATAGATACAGAAATGTACTAAGGGTAAAACCATGCCCTTAGAAAGGAAACGCTGTTGCTACCTATACAGAAACAGCCTCTCCTAATAAGAAACACACTGATGACCACCCTATCCCACAACCCCGGTACCCCTTACGGTGCTGAGAACTTTTGGTACTGAGCCAGTTCAGAAAGCAGCACACACGAGAGCCAAATATTTCGGGCACATTCCAACTCTTGTCCACCCCTTAGTTTCCTTTTCAGTAGACTCCCAAGAACCTCCATCCACGGGAGAAACCTGGATTTGGGGGAGGGAATCCCAGGGGGAGGGGAGGGGAGCGGTCCACCCCGGGACACATGCACCCCCTCCAGGGTCCCCTCTGCAGATCGGCCCAGCTGTCCGGGCGCAGAGCCCCCAGCCCCGGCACCCAGCTTCTCCGGGCCCCGGAGCCGCCTGGAAGCCCCCGTCGGCCGCAGGTCGAGAAGGTGCTTCCCAGGCCGGGGAAGGTGCCCGCGCCCTTGCCCGCAGCGCCCCGCCCCGATGCCCGGCTCTGCGCCGCGTCCCAGCGGCGGCGCCGCCGCGCGGTAACCCGGAAGTGGCGGCGGCGGCGGCGGCGGCGGCGGGCGTGCGGGAGCGGGAACGGGAGCGGGGGGCGGCGCGCACGAGCCGGCCATGGACGCCGCCGCCGGCTTTGTGTGCCGCGCGCGGGCCCGGGCCGCCCGCGCCTCGCCTGGGTTCCGGGGCCGCCGCTGACCCGCCCGGGCTCCGAGCGCCGCGCCCGCCGGGCCGGCCCCGCCTCCTGCCCTCCTCCGCCTCCGCCTCCTCCTGCCGCCGGGCGGGCGGGCTGCAGCCGCCCTCCGCGCTCGCCTGCCAGCTCCCTCGCCGCGCGTCCGTCCTCCGTCCTCCCGGGCCAGCCAGCCAGCCAGCCAGCCGGGCCGGCGGCGGGCACCAGGCCGTCCCGATGCCCGAGCCAGGCCCCAGGATGAACGGCTTCTCGCTGGGTGAGCTGTGCTGGCTCTTCTGCTGCCCGCCCTGCCCGAGCCGCATCGCCGCCAAGCTGGCCTTCCTGCCGCCCGAGCCCACCTACACGGTGCTGGCGCCGGAGCAGCGCGGCGCCGGCGCGTCCGCCCCGGCCCCGGCCCAGGCTACCGCCGCCGCCGCCGCGGCCCAGCCGGCACCGCAGCAGCCCGAGGAGGGCGCGGGCGCGGGGCCCGGTGCGTGCAGCCTGCACCTCAGCGAGCGCGCCGACTGGCAGTACTCGCAGCGCGAGCTGGACGCCGTCGAGGTCTTCTTCTCGCGCACGGCCCGGGACAACCGGCTCGGCTGCATGTTCGTGCGCTGCGCGCCCTCCAGCCGCTACACGCTGCTCTTCTCGCACGGCAACGCCGTGGACCTGGGCCAGATGTGCAGCTTCTACATTGGCCTCGGCTCCCGCATCAACTGCAACATCTTCTCCTACGACTACTCGGGATACGGCGTCAGCTCGGGCAAGCCCTCCGAGAAGAACCTCTACGCCGACATCGACGCCGCGTGGCAGGCGCTGCGCACCCGGTGAGCCTGCCGGGGTCGCCAGGCCTGACTTCCAGCTGTGGGGAGGCGGGGTGGGGGTCTCTTGGGGCCCCTGGGGCGGCCTGCCAGGAGAGGGGCCCCTCCTCCGGGGCTGAGGGCCAGCGGAGAGCCCCTTGGCCGCCGTAAATTCGCTTTTCTTGTCCCACCCTGGCTTGCTCCCACCCTCTCCAAAAACCGCGCCAGCCTTCAGGTTCCTGGAGAGCTCGGACTCAGAGAATTTTGCCTGCTTTGGCTCGCCTGTGTGTCGCCGGCCCACCGGCTGGGTCTTTTGTGGCTCCGGTCACCGCGAGTGGCAGAGTGTGGGTGCTTAAGTACCGGGCAGAAAGAAACAACTTGGTTCGAGTTTCGTTTGTACGAGCTGAAGTGACCTTGGGCAAGGCACATGGGTTTCTAGACTCAGTTTCCTTCCCTGTAAAGTCAGTGGGCGAGACAGGATGGCCTCTAAAAGACTTTCTGGTTGTAAAGTGCGGGCAGGACAATGTCTGGGCAACCTTGGAAACAGCTGGAGCGTCAGGTGGAGCGGGGAGTTTGCCTCCTGGTGGGGCAAAGTAGTGGCACTGTGGGGCAGGAAGTTAGCTGGTAGCTGTGGGCCTGGCACCTTCCACACGGCCTCCATAACAGTCCAGGATAAGTTTGAAACTTGCAGGGGCTGGGAAATCTCTGACCTTAAATTAGCATTCACAGAAGGACTGAAAAGTGTTTAGGGTGGGCCATCTGTGAGCCAGGCACAAACTGGGGGCATGGTTTAGGGGTTAGACCTGGTTGTTTTATAACAAGCAAACCAAAAACCTGACTTTTATTCACTATTAGACAAAAGTCTTATACATGTGCAGGTCAGGTTACCTGTTTGTGCTCCAGTTTGGGTATCTGTGACCTTTCCGACCTGCCTCATAGCAGTGATGGTGAAAATAACCTGAGGCCATGTCTATGATGAGATTTGATTTCTTCAGATGAAAGAGTCCCCAGAGGAAGTACACCGGGCATTATTGTCGCCATGGACCCTTCTATAGTTTTTATCTAAAACCTGTTTGCTTATGCACATCACCAACGTTAATGATTTTTTTTTTTCATTCGTACTCACGCATATGTTCCTAAGTGACTCCTTGCCTGTCTGGGAAAATGGCTTGTCCAACAGGGAAGTACTTAATATTTGCTCTATGTTGCATGTTTATGCCCTCCTGAAGTCCTGAAGGGGATGCCCTCATTGGGATTATAGCTTTTCGAAAGTGGCTTAGGCAGATGAGAATGTATCATATGCAGATGCATTGGGTCAGAGTCTGTAAGTAGTTAAAAGCCACCTGTTCCAGTAAAGGGTTTCAAAAGTATGTGTCACACACAGTCTATAGCTTGCTAGAATTTGCTGTTGGCAAAGGTATTAAAAATAAGGTTGGCATTAGATCTTTAAAATTTGAAACATGAAAATCCTACCTTGAGTAGATTTTTTAATTGAAGAGTTTCCATAGAACATTGCTTCTGTGTGTGCATGTCCACATTACAATGAAAGCCTTTCACATGGCTCACCCTTTGCCCCAAATATACAGGTGTGTCTGTGTTACAGCTTACGTGGAGTGTAGTTATTTCCTGGAAACTTTTTTTTTTTTGGTCATATTTAGTTGAATTAAGGGGCGTTGTTTTGGATAATGTTGAATTATCTGATAGTGTATCAGTTGAATTAAGGGTAATTGTTTCGGATAACTTTGAATTATCTGATGGTATGTCTAAAGATTGCCCATGATTTATTTAATGTTATACCAGAACTCATATCTAAGTTAATTTATTCACCTGTAAAAAAGGTTAGAATTTGAAGGCTGCATGCGAAGCTTAGAATTTGAAGGAACCTTATAGATCCTCATGTCTTGTGCTTTTCAAACTGTTTTGACTGTAACCTCACAGTAAGAAACACATTTTACGTTTTGATCAAGCACACATACACGTCTGTATCCACATACCTGAAGCCAATGCTTCACAAAACAGTAATTTTTCTATGGGCAGCACACATAGCAGAATATGTTGTTTTATTTCACTTTTTTTTTTTTTTTTTTTTTGAGACGGAGTCTTGCTCTGTCGCCCAGGCTGGAGTGCAGTGGCGCCATCTTGGCTCACTGTAAGCTCCACCTCCCGGGTTCACGCCATTCTCCTACCTCAGCCTCCCGAGTAGCTGGGACTACAGGCGCCCGCCACCGCGTCCGGCTAATTTTTTGTATTTTTAGTAGAGACGGGGTTTCACCGTGTTAGCCAGGATGGTCTCGACCTCCTGACCTCATAATCCGCCCACCTGGGACTCCCAAAGTGCTGGGATTACAGGCGTGAGCCACCGCGCCTGGCCTATTTCACTTTTATAAAAAAGAAAAAAAAAGATGGTTGTGAATTGCTAAATTTATTTCCCAACTCATGTATGGACACTGCACACGTTCACCCAGCTCATCTGACAGGAGGATAGACTGGCGGCAAATCAGCAGTAGGTCTCTTGACTACCAGTTTAGTACTCTTGCGAGGGCACCATTGCCACGGTAAGCATATTTATCAGATTCTTCAGGAGGTGCATTTGTGTGTCTTGGTTATTCTGCTGACATAAGAGTTACCTAATTCTGAAGCCAATCAGCCCCTCAACCACTTTCCTCTTGCTGTTCAGTATGGTTCTTCTGCTCTTACTTGCCTGGAGCAAGTTCTTATGCTATTCTCTCTTCTTTTACAGCTTAATTCATGTCAGTGCCATGGCAGGAATGCCTTCCATCCCATGTGTCCATTCTTCTGTTACTGGGTCAGACTCTGTTTTCCACCAGCCATCCCCCATGTCTTCTTTGGGAATCTTTATCTTTCCTGCCCTCCTAGTTAACCACACTCCCCAGGACACTGATTGGAGAGCTTGCCTTGTTCTGAGTCATCTTCATCTCTGTACTTAGATTATTCCCCCAGGAGGACTGTAAGGTGCAGTGCCCTGCAGGCCCCAAAGCCCCACACTCAGGACTTTGCCCCACTCTTCTGCTCACATCGTCTTTTGTATCTGCCCTTCTCCTGTGCTAGGAACAATGGATCCTGACTGGATCTTAATTGGATTAGGAGACCCTTTGTGTTCCCTGTGCACCTGGTACTCAGCCCCTTTGCTTGAGTTATCACAGTGTTGCTGTATCTGTTATTTAACTGTATCTCCACTAAATTGGAAGATCTCTGAGGGCAGGGACACTATGTCTTCTCTATTCCTGACAGTTGGCAAAATGTCTTAAAATAATAGGTAGTCATTGGTATTTGTTGAACGAATTGCACATAATGGGCGCCCCATAAATAAGTGGGGTAAAGTTAATTTTTCCTAAGTTGGACTCTTACAAGTACTTGGATCTTATTTTATCTTCGGGGTTTAATATCCATGGGTACAACCATAGACAAAAAAAAAAGGGCCAGATGTATTGGCTTGAGGCCTCATCCACTTTGTATTCATTGTATTGGTGTTCTTGTGACACTGAAATGTCTGTATTGAAGAGAAGAACAATACTAACCCATCCTTTGTATGTCTCTACATCTTTTATCCATTACCTATTTGTGCCAGCTCCTGCGCATGCTAGAGTGAGCTGTCCAGCCCTTGAAACAGATGTAAATACTACCAGTGTGCAGACCCCTCATGCATGGATAAAGACAGTGAATCCCCCCAGATGATGAGTATTAAGGTGGGCACGTAATCCAGAGTAAGGGTTTCAGGAGGAAGTAGATTTGGTAAGAAAGGTGGTTGTTGCCGTTTGGCCAATAGATGATTATTTTAAACTCTTGAAAAGTTACTGAAAAGAGTGTAGCGGAGAGGCAGGGTTTGAAGGAGCCAGGAAGAGTGGCATGAACAATGAGGAGAGCTCATTGAGCATGATGGAGAGCCCCAAGATCAAAACTTGTTTTACGTTTGCATTACTGGTAAGAAATATAAGTATGTTGTGAATACAAACAAGTGAGGGAATGAATTGAAATCACTTAGACATATCTGTGGAAAAGACACTGAAAATCAGGGTCACCTTATTGGAGTGTATTGTTGTCACTTGAGTTGGGGAAGTAAAGTGATTAATCTGTGCAGGAATGGCTGCCTATTGGTTAAGGTGGGAGTAGGCAGATTCAGCCTCCTCAACACACATCCTTCCAGGGGATCCTCTTAGGGCTGAACAGTTTTAGACTGTGTGTGCACAAGTGGCACCATGACTCAAGAGACAGTGAATCAGACTGATTTGAAACTATAAACCCAAACAAGCAAATAGCCCGAAGAATGAGGTGTAAAGGAGGCAGAGTATTTTAGCTGAAATATTTTAATCTGGAGGAACAGGAGAGTGGGACTCTCCTGTTTGGACATTTGTAACTTAGGTGTCTGCTGATGCCATCCACAGAAGTCGTCTTTGATGCTTCTTTTTGATGCTGGTGACAAAAGCTGTGGAGGAGAGAGGCGTTTGGTAATGTGGGCAGAGAAACGTTGATACAGTCAGAGAAAGCAGATGCAGAGGGAAGAAGATAAATAAGACTCTTCAGTGCCTTTAGTACAAAAGGCAAATTACAAAAGACTTAATATTTCATTTATTCCTTCATTTGACCAGTAAACCATTAAACATAGGCTGGGTGTGGCGGCTCATACCTGTAAACCCAGCAATTTGGGAGGCCTAGGCAGGAGGATCACTTGAGCCCAGGAGTTCAAGACCAGCCTGGGCAACATAGTTGGGACCCCCATCTCTACAAAAAATTTTTAAAAGTAGCCAGGTGTGGTGGTGTGTGCCTGTAGTTCCAGCTACCCAGGAGGCTGAGGTGGGAGGATCGTCTGAGCCCCAAAGTTTGAGACTGCAGTGAGCTGTGATTGCGCCACTGCTCTCTAGCCTGGGCAACAGAGTGAGATCCTGTCTCAAAAAACAAAACAAACAAAAAACCCCAAACTGTTAAACACACATTTATTTATGCTCTGCTTGTGCCAGACCGTGTACTACGTACTCTTGAAGTATCGTTAATCCCAAGCTGTTTCTTTTTGTTGTAAAAGGATGGATAGATTTCAGAGGCATTTTGAATACGTAACTATGATTTGCTGTTTTATAACTTTTGTGTCGGTGATTCACAGGATCCATAATTGGAAAATCCATGTCACAGCAAAGCTGTAGTGGCATCCTCTCAGGTCGTGGGACCCTTGAAAAACACCTTCTGTTGGTTGTGAATGGTGTTCACAGCCAGCAGTCTCAGGGTGGAATTCTCCTCCAGTAGCAAGTTACTTTCCTGGGCATGTTGAAGTTAATAACCTAACTTCTTTGTTCTCAGTGTTCTCAGAGGGAATACTATGATGCCACTAAGGGAAGAAAGCTTAGAGTTTCTGCTTGAGTTTGACTGATTAGGGAACAGAAAAACAGAAATATGTCGGCCGCGGTGGCTCACAGCTGTAATCCCAGCACTTTGGGAGGCTGAGACGGGCGGATCATTTGAGGTCAGGAGTTTGAGACTAGCCTGGCCAACATGGTGAAACCCCATCTCTACTAAAAATACACAAATTAGCTGGTCGTGGTGGCAGGCACCTATAATCCCACCTACTCAAGAGGCCGAGGCATGAGAATGGCTTGAACCCGGGAGGCAGAGGTTGCAGTGAGCCAAGATTATGCCACTGCACTCCAGCCTGGGCGACAGAGCGAGACTCCATCTCAAAAAAAAAAAAAACAAATGTTATGAATACTGTTTGACATAAGGGGAAAGCACAATGATATTTCTACAAAGGAAATAGAATGTTGGCTTGCAATTCAAGGCAGCCAGTATGTGAACAGGAAGAATGTAACTCTTAAGAACAGACCTGTTGAAATTGAAGTAGGCATAGTCCGTTTTGGGGATCCACTCAGAGCCCTTCTCTTTGGTCCACCTTCAGCCTGTTTCCAAGTGCTCTTTTGTCATACCTGGCTCTTCCGGCTTGCCTCACCGTGTGGTTCGGCAGGTTTTCTCTCTTTATCAGTACCAGAAGCTGAGCTCTCACTCTCCTCTTGCCACAATTTACTTACCCGTGGTTCTGTTTTGAGGGGCCTTGCTTTTCTCCAGTAATCCAGTTGCAAAGGATCTGACAGATGACTTCATTTTCTGTGTTAATGGGCAATAACTCCTTAATGTGTTCTCTTCCGAGCACAGTTGTTTTCATTTAGTGCACTCTTAGAGGCTCAGTCTTCTCTAAAATTCAGTCTTAGGTCAGGCACGGTGACACAGCCTCACTGAGACCTCCCTGTAGTCTCAGTTACTGGGAGGCTGAGGTGGGAGGATTGCTTGAGCCCAGGAGTCTCAGACCAGCCTGGGCAACATAGTGAGACCTTGTCTCTACAAAAAATAAATTAGCTGGGCATGGTGGCTCATGCCTGTAGTCTCTGAGCCCAGGAGTTTGAGACCAGCCCGGGCAACATAACAAGAACCTGTCTCCAAAAACCAAAATCAAGTCTTAAAATTCTAATAATGCCATGTCATATTGGTGTAGAAAGCATTTTTTTCCCCTGCAGAAGTCACTTAAATCATACAGTCCTGAGATTACTTAGAGTTTCCCTTTAAGGTCATTCCCTACCTTATATTACTGCTTCTATTCCTCACTCTGTCTCCAAATTTAGTAACAACTCTCTTCAGTGTTGATAATCCCATATAAGACTCCAAAATCTGGCTTTAGGAATTGCAGTGTTCATTTTGATAGCAGCTTTACCCTCTGTACTGGATTTTGCTTAGGCTCGTGTTGAAACTATAAATCTGCTCTACTTTAAGAAGCCTGTGTACAGGAATCCAGAGTCTCAACATATACAGTTAGGAGATTATTATTTGGATAACAGAGTGCTTTTTTTTTGTTAGGGCTGCTTTAAATAATAGGCTTTCTAATTTCATCTAAAAGATGTGATTCAAAAAAGACAAACAAAACCTTTTAGAGTAGAAAAATCAGTTCTGACTCTAGCACTCCCACTAATTCACTATGTCAGTTTTGTGCAGCTGTAACAGAAGATCTGCGACTGGATAGTTTATAAAGAAAGAGGTTTCTTTCCCAATTTCTGGAGGCTGGGAAATGCAAGATCGAGGCACTTGCATGTTTGGTGTCCGATGATGACTGCTCTGCTTCCTGGCTGGCTTCTTGAACCAAAGGCGGGAGGAAGGCTCTTGCTCAAAGCTTTCCTCCAGAAAAGCCAAAGGGCAAGCGAAGGAGGGGAGAGAGGCGCAGACTCCCTCTTTGATAAAGAAGCTTCTCTGAGATAAGGCATAAGAATGGAGCCCACATGGCCTGATCACCCGTTAAGGGTCCCACTTCTTAATCCAGTTACCATGGCAATTACATTTCAACATCAGTTTGAGAGGGCACAGGCATTCAAACCATAGCAGCCCCCTTAAACAAGACACTTCACACTTCTGGGCTTCACATTCCACTGTTTGAAACCTGGACCAGTGAATTGTGATCCAACTGTATGGCTTCTGAGGTGTCTTCTGGTAAGTCTGTGTTTTGTGACTTTTAGGGAAACCACCTAATGTTTTTGAATTTGCTTTTTCTTAACTACACTGGGAAATACGGTGGATTCATTCTGGTACAGTGGATCTCCACCTTAGCTGTACTTTAGAATCTCCTAGGTAGATTTTTTTTAAGTGTGCAGTCTATGTATATGAGTGTGCGTGTGTGCACACACACAGCCAGAGTTGAGACACACTAGCCTAGAAATGTCCAAGAGCCAGTGAGTATATTAAGATCAGCCCCAATTATAATTTGTTAAGAGTTGAAAAAAATGGAATGTTAGAAAAGATTTTTTATACATTTATATACAGCTATCCCCCCTTACCTGGTGGGGGATACATTCCAAGACCCCCAGTGGATGCCTGAGCCTTGGAGAGTACCAAATCTGGTTTACATTATGTTTTTTCCTATACATACCTATCTACAATAAAGTTTAATTTACAAAGTAGGCACAGTAAGAGATTATCAGTAACAGGTAATAATAAAATAGAACAATTGTGCCAATATACTATAATGAAAGTTAAGTGAATGTGATTTCTCTCTCACAGAGTATCTTGTTCTGTACCGTGGATAGCTGAAACTGCAGAAAGCAAAGCAGTGGATGAGGGGAGAGTGCTATAGATGGTTTCAGATAAAGATCTCTGGTGGCCAGGAACCCACTAGAGTAAACCATATGAAGGGGTAGTGGTTGAAAAGAAACCACATTCGTATTTGTGAGATTCCAGGGAGCCTGAAGCTCCTGCCCTGTTCCTCTCTCTCCAGCTGCCTCTCTCTGGGGTTGGCTCCTCTCATCTCCTGTCCACATGCCTGTCCCATTGCTCTTTCTACACTCAAGCCTTTTCCCTCATTCACACTCGCTGCACATCACTGTGGCCCACCCCACCTAGCCTTGTTCTGACCTGGCTGCCTGGAGCTGGGCTCCTTCATGCTAAGTTCCCATCCTTGCTTCACCTGGTTGTACCCCCGGGTTAGTGAGGGCTGCATGGCGCGTGTGTAACATATGTAACTAACCTGCACATTGTGCACATGTACTGTAAAACTTAAAGGATAATAATAATAATAATAAATACATACGGCAAAAAAAAAGAAAAGAAAAGAAATGCAGCCACCTCCTTGGAGCCTGCAGGAGGGCGCAGTCCTGAGAGAAGGGGCCTGTGGCTGGGTGAGCATGTGGACACCCCAGGATGCTGTCACTTCTGTGCCTCCTGAGTCAGGCTTCTGCCCCTCCTCTAGTTGTGGATGGAGGGTTGCATGGAATCGTCACTGCTCTCCACTGAGCTCCCTGTGTGACACAGAGCTCAGTCTGACAAGAGAGCATCGACCTTGAAGAATAGACTACAATTAATTCCTTAAACCAGGTCAGTAGAGTGGTGACGTCATTGCCTTTTTGAGACCACGTGTGTGTGGGTGCCCATTGCAAGCCTGAAAGTGAAAGGCTATGGAAAAATAGGTCTGTTCCCTTTTGTTGACTCTGCTGTCTCCTGTCCTGCAGCTGACACACCATCCACCGTTGGGCTATGGGACTGCTGATGAGAAGTGATCTGTGGTGTGGACATAATTCTGAACAGCCTGTGGGGCAGTGGAGGTCAGCCCAGGCATCAGGTGAAGAAGGCAGGAGAAAAGAGGCAAGAGAGGGAAGATGGCCAAAACTTGATGGTGCCAGTGGACTTCTGTGTGGCTTGGGTTGGAGGTTCCTGGCGTGAAATGGTTTAATGATTTAATTCTTCATTTGGAGGGTTTACAACCGGAACTGATTCTGGCTCTTATGTCAGAGTCACATGGGCAAGGTTGTCTCAAGGGTAACCTGGGGAGAAATGTTCCCTGCAGTTCTGAGCTTCCTATGATTTGTGTGTGTGTGTGTGTGTGTGTGTGTGTGTGTGGTTAGGAGCATATATTTTAGAGTTCAACAGACCTGATTTTAGGTCCTGCCTGTGATTAGCTGCTTGACCTCAGGCAAGTTTTCTACCATTTTGAGCCTCAGTTAAAATAATGATGATGGTTACCATAGCTGCAACCACCTTGTCAGTTGCTTAACACAGTGCTTTCCACATAGTAAGAGGATGGTATTGTTTAGGATTATTGATAACATTTTTAGAGCTATAATAACCAAATGCTCAGATCATGCTGAAAACTAGGTGCTTAAATCAGAAGGAGTGTTAAAGAAGTTGCTTCTTTTCCCACTGTGTATAGATACAAATACCCAGGTCAAGCCTAGCTTGGTGGATGTGGAAGTGGAGGAACGGTAAAGGTGTTTTAGTTTTATTTGTAGCTAAGGGGGAAGTCTCTTTGGAATTGTTGCTTATGGCCTCAAGAGCTTTGGAGAGTGGTATGCATTAGTATTTTAAATCTGATAGCATTTCATCTACCTAGGTGTTTATATGCCCAAGGGAGATCTTTAAAGGAGAGGAAACCCTACCTGTAATCCAACACCTGCAGTTACTTTGCAAACCATTCCTGGTTTGCCCCTCCACTTTGCACTTTTTGGAGCTGGGCAGGAATCAGAGACTTCTCTGAGCAGAGTTAGGGATGGCAAGGACCAGAAGGCAAAAGCCTGTATTGTGTGCACCATTCAAGATGTTCTGGTTGCTCTTTACTTATGAGACGATCCTTAATAGAGTTAACCTTCCCTTTTCCTAGTTGGCCAGGGGACCTGAACAGCAAGCTTCCTTTTAAAATATGAATGCTCCCATAATGCCTTGTACCTCAGATTCATGTGGCTTTTTCACAGCTCTGTGTAATGGAGCTCATTGATAACTCCCACGTTATTGATTCACTTTAGAGTGTTAAAGGACCATGGCTCCATGGTGAAATTGGAAACCTCTGTTTTCCAGGAAGTCGAGGTCATTCAGATTCAATGCTCAGACGGATAGTTAACGGTTGTACGTCAATTACTTGCTGAATTGCTGAGAGGAGCCTAACCTCAAGCTTACTTGTTAACAGAGTACTGTTTAAATTTCCAAAGGAAAAACGAGCGTAGAGAACCGCCAGTACTGATGATTAGTTTGCTCCTTCACTTTACATGTTTTAATGGTTACAGTGAAATCTGGGCAGTTATTTTGGGGGAAAAATGTAAAGGAGCCTGTGTTCAGAATATATCCACAAAAAGTGAGTTTCCAGATGTTAAGTATAAATCTACTAGCTAAAATCTCTGAGATTATGATTGATAATCAGATGAGAATTCTTACCTAATCTCAGACTGTTTTTGGAGACTGTCATGGACATAACTAAACCCTGTGCAGTGATGATTATATGGACTGCAAAGGTCTGTGATACTAGAACAAGAATTTTGTCTGCTGATCTCACTTAAATAATTTTATTTATCCCTATTGTCATAAATAACTCAAGGGTATTTCAGTTTCTCCAGTTTTGATTGTTGTCGTGATGTTTAACTATCACTGTTGTCCTTATAACATGTAAACTTTATACTATTTTAATTTTAATGTAACTATTAGGAAAGGACAATTCGCATGCTAATCACTTTGAAGCATGTTTTATAGTATACAAGAAGACTGGATAAAATAAGTTCGTTAAAAAATGAACATGCCATTGTAAAGGCCAAGGGAAAACTTCTTTGTGCGCAGAAGGTCTGCTGAAAAATCACTTGATAAAAAGCAGATTAATAGGAGAAATGGCATATAAATTTATCTGTGTGCACAGGAGAAAAATTACAGAATACCCAGTATCCCAATGGGGTGCATATTCTTATATATCTACTTCTTAGGGGAAAGGGAAATGGGAAAGTGTGGATGATTTTAGAGGGATGGAAATGATTTTTAGGGGAATTCAATGGACTTGAAGAACATACAGTGGCCTGAGATAAAGTCTGTTGGATCTGCAGGGCAGACAGTGGTTTGTGACAAAAGTCTGTCTAGGTGTGTTGACATACTGCAGTCTTTCTTCCTGCAGTAGGAGTTCAGTTAATGAAAACTTACAGAAGGCACCAGAAGTAATTGTTTTCTTCTTTGGTGGATCTAGATCAGAGCTGTCCAATCTTTTGGCTTCCCTGGGCCACATTGGAAGAAGAATTGTCTTGGGCCACACATGAAATATACTAATACTAGCAATAGCTGATGAGCCCCCCCTCAAAAAAAAAAACGCAAAAAATCTCACAATGTTTTAAGAAAGTTTACGAATTTGTGTTGGGCCACACCATCCAAAGCCATCCTGGGCCGAGGGTTGGACAAGCTTAATCTGGACTTAAGGCAGATAAGGGAACTTTAGAGAACAACTTCATGCTGTGGTTTGGGAGGGTCAGGGTTTTGGTGGGGAGGGGCAGAGAGGCTTCCTGAGGCTTCTACAGCTCGGCGTGTCAAAGTACTGTATTTGGGGATATCCATTTTTGAGCCCCAATACCATCATATATTTAATTGGAATAAATTAGTTTTTCCTACTAAAAATTCCAAGAAAACCCTAAAAAGGCTAAGAAGGTATTAAACTAAAAATATAAATGGTTTCCAATTCCTGTTTCCATCCCTGAAGCTCAGTGGGAGCTTGCAGTGCAAGGGTTCCAGCTGCCTCTGGCTGCGGCCACGGGACAGTCCTTCCACACCTGGGCCCCGGGCACTGTCAGCGCAGCTCTTCATGCCCCTGTCACTCTCTTCCTTTTATCCAGGCTCCAAGTCACAGAGTCCTCTGTGGTCCCTTTCTCTTCTTCATCTGAATATCTGGTCAGCCACACGTTTCTATTACTATTTCCTCTGTTTTCCATCTTTTCCTTCTCCTTCTTTCTTTATTCTAGGCTCTTGATAGCTTGTCCCGGAATTACTACACTAGCCCGTTCTCCCCACCTCACATTCTTCTCTATTTTTTTGTTTTGTTTTGTTTTGTTTTGTTTTGTTTGTTTTTCCAGACAGAGTCTTGCTCTGTCGCCCAGGCTGGAGTACAGTGGCATGATCTCAGCTCACTGCAGCCTCTGCCTCCTAGGTTCAAGTGATTCTCATGCCTCAGCCTCCCAAATAGCTGGGATCACAGGCATGTGCCACCACGCCCAGCTAATTTTTGTATTTTTAGTAGAGACAGTGTTTTCGCCATGTTGGCCAGACTGGTCTCGAACTCCTAAGCTCAAGCAATCCTCCCGCCTCAGCCTCCGAAAGTGCTGGGATTATAGGAGTGAATGGTACATATGTTTTGTGAGTTAAGCCTGAATACTCCAGTACAGGGGGCAGGCTTAACTCTGCGTGGTCAGCTTCACTCACTCCTTCCTATCAGGCACCTGGACCAGTGCAGCCTGGCGGGTAATGGGTACTCATCGGATATTGGTTGAGTAAATAAACAGGTAAGTTGGTAATAACAGAGTTCACAAACTTTAGTGTAAGAATTACTGGGAGGCCTTGTTAAAATAGATGCCAGACCCCGTCCTCAAAGACTCTGAGAGAATAGTTGTGGAGCAGGCCCAGATGCAATCATTTTAAACCCGCAGGCCTGCAAGGGAGGGTGAGTTGTCTGTATTTTAGGAACCTGGGGACATGAAGTTCCTGAGGGAGGCAGTTGGAGACCCCACATAGTGACCATGCTTGTACAATATTACCTGCTCCTGGGAAGTTTCTGCGAATCTCCTTTGCTGAATCTCCTTTGCCGGAGCAGTAATAGTCACTGGGCAACTTGCAGTTTGTATCATACCAGGGGTTTCAACATTTTTTAAGCAGTAAATATATACTTTTATAAATATATGTATATATTGTAAATATAAATATATAGTTTTTTAAAAAAAAGCTATTGGGGCCTGGCGTAGTGGCTCACGCCTATAATCCCAGCACTTTGGGAGGCCGAGGCGGACAGACCACTTGAGGTCAGGAGTTTGAGACCAACCTGGCCAACATGGTGATACCCCATCTCTACCCAAAGTACAAAAATTAGCCAGGTGTCGTAGTGCACACCTGTAGTCCCAGCTACTTGGGAGGCTGAGGCATGAGAATCACTTGAACCCAGGAGGCAGAGATTGCAGTGAGCTGGGATTACGCCACTGCACTTCAGCCTGGGCAACAAAGCGAGACTCTGTCTCAAAAAAAAAAAAACAAAAAAACACACACATGAAAAAGCTATTGGTAGCTGTTGTTGGCCTCCAGGATATAGTTGCATACTCCTCGAAGACTCGCACATCTGGATCACCATTTTCTTTACCCCTGGATCTCCTGCTTTCATCCCGTGTAGTGTGAATATCCTGGGCTGTTGAGAGCCTGTTCAGCAGCCCCGCCTCACACTTCCCGGCCTCTCCCTCATTGTTCTCCTCCTCCACCCTGCACCACTCTGCAGCAGCCCACACCTGTGGCCACACCTTGTACCTCGTGATCACCTGGAATGCTTTGCTTCCAGGATTTTGAATTCTGAAATACTCCTTTCTGACACACCTAATATCCTGTTGGATCTGCCTGTTTAACAAACATATTAAGTGTCCACTGTGGGCCAGGCTTTCTTCCAGAACAAAACAAGCAAAACCCCTGCTCTTGTGAAGCTTTGTTTCATAAGTGCCCATGAAAAACAGTAATCATAATGAGTATGTGAATGATAGTTTATTATTCAAATATGATAAGTGCTAGAGGAAAACATAGAACAGGGCAAGGGCATTGGAGTACTAGAGAATGGATGGGTTGGCTGCAACTTTTAAAGGATGATTAGGGTATGCTTCATTCAGAGACTGACACATGGCCCCAAGCAGTGAGGGGTTAGCTATGTGCAGAAATGGGCTGAGGGACCAGGGTCCTAAGATGGGGCATGGTTGGCAGATGTAGAGATCATCAAGGAAGCCAGCGGGGGGCTAGAGCAGGGCAAGTAAGGGGTGCAGGGGTAAGAGGAGTAGTAGGAGATGAGGACTGGGAGTAACTGGGGAGGGGTGAGGGCATTAGTCACATAGGGCCTTGCAGACCATTGCAGGGACTTTGGCTTTGACAGCAGGAAATGGGAGCCATTGGAGGGCTTTGGGTAGAGGTATGACATGATTTGACTTAGGTTTTGGAAGGATCACTCTGTGTTAATGACAAATTGGAGGAGCTGATATGTCGAGGGAGGAAGGTGAGAGACCAATTAGGATGCAAATGCAGTATTTTAGATGAGAGATGCTGGTGGCTTGGGCCAGAGTGTTAGCAACAGCGGTGGTGAGATTTTGGATGTATTTGAAAGGCGGAACCAACAACAGTATTTGCTGATGCAGAGTGGTGAAGGGGAGTGTCAAGGATAACGCCAAGGATTTTGGCTTGAGAAACAGGAAAACTAGAAACTGAGACTGATTTTTTTTCTTTTTTTTCTTTCAGTTTCATTAGCTTTTTTCTTTTTGTGGAGATGGGGTCTCACTATGTTGTCCAGGCTGGAACTCCTGGGCTCAAGCAATCTTCCTGCCCCTGCCTCTGCCTCCCTAAGTGCTGGGATTACAGGCATGAGCCACCGTGCCCAGCAGAATTGCTGTTGATTGAGATGGGGAGGGCTGTGAGTGGCTCAGGATTGTGGGGCAGGGCATAGATCAGGAGTATTGTTGAGCTGTAGGCGCTCATCAGACCTTTAAGTGGAGATGTAGAGTAAGCAATAGAATTTAAGTCTAGAGTTCAGGAGTGAGGTCTGGGCTAGAAATAAATTTGGGAATTCTCCCTTCAGAGAAGGAAAGGCAATTAAGCCAAAAACAAACCTGAAAGAATTGGCAGTTTTTCCTGGGGTGGACCTACCTCTGCTTCTGTGCCAAAATCACCCTGTAGGCGCTCTGCTCATCTGGCTCCGTAGCATCTTTGATCAGTGTTGCCACCAGGCCTTTAAAAGAACCCAGTGTTGAGGATCGGATGCTCGCATGAATCACTGAGTGACAGGTCTCTGTAGGAGAGAGCATCCTGACATCAGAGTGTGACATCAGCTTGTGGGTTGTGGCTCTTTGGTCACTTTCTGTGGCTGGAGAGTGATCGCTCATTTCCCCCAAGATTTCTTTCCAGCACCCAGAAGAGCAGCAGGACAGCTCCATGCTTGCTGTAGCAGCCCCAGGCAGCCCGCAGGTGATTTCCCATAGGAGGCTCTATGCACTGCAGTTTTGCCAGAGGTCTTGTCATTACTGCATGCTGCCTGGCTTCCACTAGATTATTTCCAAAAAAAACCCTCCTACTGACTCGGTGTGGACTAGTGTTTCTTGATTTGTAAAATGTGAGAGAACCATAATTACTTTGGCAGGATTAAGTGTGGTGAAGATTACAGTTTTAATTTGCATAATGCCTCCTGCCTGTCTATTTTCCTGTATTTCCTCTCTGAACTGAAAATGGGACCAGTTTCTTGGGGACTTTTGCAGGCATTGGATCTTCTGAAACCCATTCTTGTATTATTTTTGAGTTTTCCTCTTATTTACATTTGCTAAAGAACTGCAAAGCTAACTAACTAACACACCAAACAATTGGAGTCTGTATTTCTCAGGACTTGTCCCTTCATTTGCAACTCTTTTTTGAAAAGTTCTAGGTAGAATGAAAGACTGCTGCCTGTATATTTATGAAGGAAGAAAAATGCCGTGGCCTTTCTTTGCTCTTAACCTGCTTTTCTGCAGTCGTCAGATGCTGGTGTCCATTAGCCCTCCTGCACCATTCATATCTCTTCCTTGCCAGCAAGACAGACTTCCCGTTCTCTGTCCCCATAGTTCTAAGATTATGCCTTTGTTCTAGCCCTTATCCCCTGGTCCTTTGGTTACTGATGACTGTACCTGGACTCCTCCGTTGGAATGTGATCTCCTTGAGGACAGAGGTAGTATCTAACTCTTTAGACTCACCCGGAGCCCAGTACAATAGTTCTTGTGTCGAAGGACTGGGTTGAATCACTGTAAGAGGTAGGATTTGTATTGAGAGCTCTTTCTTTTCAGGTTCAGGATGTGGGGCCTTCATCTCCTTTGATTCTTGGAATGGAGGCATCAGTCAGGTGGCTGGTTCAGCCCCAGCTTCCTGCTGAGGTTCCTCTCTAGGCATGGATGTGAATGTGTAGCCCAGCCAAGGAGGGGTAGAAGGAGCCCTCTGGGCCCAGGAAACAGCCTGCCATCGATCCTTCAACTGCCTGGACTTCTGTATAGAAGACAAAGCTTATTTTCTTAAGAGCAGCCTCACCTGTCTATGGGTGAGGTCCAAGAAGTGTAACAGAAGTGCTCAGAGGAGAAGGGGAATGTTTGTTCTTCTTGTGGTGTGTTAGGGAGGAGTGTGTCCATCTGTCAGTGTAGTACAGCCCTCCATATGTGGATTGACAGCCAGCTCATTCTAATATGTTTTTATAATACTTGGGAAAAGTGACTGTGGTTGTTATGGTTGAAGGATATGCCTATACTTCAAGTGTCACTTGATAATGAAAATGCAGAATTCAAACAATTTTTTTCTAAATCTATAGTTTTACTGACTGCCTATCAGCTTCATCTCCTCGGATCCATGAGACCTGTGCATTTGCTGTCTTTTTGTTACTTTGCCATGTTGTTTATTAAAAACAAAACAAAACTTTATAATGGAAAAATCTCAAATTATATACAATGTACAGAAAATATTAAGCTAAATTCCATGGCGGTCTCATCACCTGCAGCAACTATTAACATTCCACCATTCTTACAGCATCTACAGTTCCACTCACACTCCACCCCCAGCCTCTTATTACTACTTTGTAAGTCTTTTTTTTTTTTTAAGGAAAAATGTACATGCATTGGAATGTACAAATCATAGCTCTCTTAACTTCCTAGCAGTGTCTTCTTGCCACCCACATCAGCTCTCAGGCGCAGTGATGAGCCAGCCACAGAGCCAGGCTCTCCTTGGTGTGCCGTGGTAACAGTGTCCTGCCATTTTTGGGATGTGGATTGCACTATGAGAGTATAGTTAAGGGAGGTTGTGGATAAATTTAATACCAAATAGTTACCGAAGGAAAGCCACTGAGGTCTTGTTCTTTTTTTTTTTTTTTTTTTTTTTTTTTTCAAAATCAGCCTTAGAAAGGAAAACAGAAAGAAAGATAGGGAACTCCAGGAGTGTGTCCCATTTGTCCAGAATTAGTGGTATGCCATAAACAGAGCCCTGGTCTGGAGCTGGGAGAACATTGGCTTTCATTAATATTGAGGTACAGGCCAGGTGCAGTGGCTCACGCCTGTAATCCCAGCACTTTGGGAGGCCAAGGTGGGTGGATCACAAGGTCAGCAGTTCGAGACCAGCCTGGCCAACATAGTGAAACTCCGTCTCTACTAAAAATACAAAAAATTAGCCGAGCGTGGTGGCAGGCGCCTGTAATCCCAACTACTCGGGAGGCTGAGGCACGAGAATGGCTTGAACCTGGGAGGCGGAGGTTGCAGTGAGCAGAGATCGTGCCATTGCACTCCAGCCTGAGTGACAGAGCGAGATTCCGTCTCAAAAAAAAGCAACAAAAAACATTGAGGTACACAGCTGTATGGCCTGGGTAGTCTTATAATATCTTTGGGTCTCATTGTCTCCATATACAGACCACACACACACACACACACACACACACACACACACACACATATATTTATTTATTTATTATTTTTCTTTTCTGAGACATGGTCTTGCTCTGTCACCCAGGCTGGAGTGCAGTGGCGCAATCATGGCTCATCACACCCCTGACCTCCTGGGCTCGGGTAGTCCTCCCACCTCAGCCTCCTGAGTAGCTGGGACTACAGGTGCAGGGCACCTCACCTGGCTAATTTTTGTATTTTTTTGTAGAGAAGAGATTTTTGCCATTTTGTCCAGGCTGGTCTTGAATTTCTGGGCTCGAGCAGTCTGCTTACCTTGGCCTCCCAAAGTGCTAGGATTACAGGCGTGAGCCATCACGCCCAGCCTGTCTCCATTTATAAAGTAGGCAGTTTGCATTAGATTGTAGTTCTGGTGTATCCGGCATTCCTTGAACGTCTGTTTTATGCTAAACACATTTCACACATTACATAATTTTAATCGCCACCCATCTGTGAGGCACAAACTGTTGTTGTCTCCATTTCACAAATGCAGAAACTTAGGACCATGATAGATGAATGATTTGTCCCAGGTCACACCATGTTAAAAGGTGAGCCAGGATTTGAACGCAGGCAGCCTGACCCTGGAGCCTATGCTCTAAAATTAGAAAATATTCACTACATGCATAGTCTTCCAAGGTGGCGGGGGGTGGACATCTAGAAAATGCTCAAGACGTACGCTAGGGGTGCAGAAAGACAAAACCAGAACTTATATTTTGGCTTAATATTTATTATTTTTCATTGTTTTTTGTGTGTTTTCAATTTCTGTGGATTTTGTAGTGTTTTAAAACACACACAGACACGCACAAATCGGGAGCACCTGCTCTCATTTTTATGGAAAAGAATGCATGATTAAAAGTTGAGACACCAGTGTTCTCAATTCATAGTGTTACTTAATATATTTTTGGATTTCTTTTCTCAGAAATACAGTATCTGAGCATGACAGTAAATTAAAATGCTTAGAAATTGCAGTCTTTCAACAAATTGAGTACTTGATATATGTCAGGTGTTGGGCTAAGTGCTAGGTATAATCTTCTGCAGTATAAAAAAATACACAGCGTTAGCCAGGATGGTCTCGATCTCCTGACCTCGTGATCCGCCCACCTCGGCCTCCCAAAGTGCTGGGATTACAGGCGTGAGCCACCGCGCCCGGCCTACACAGTTTGCATTTTAAAAGATTACTTTGTATACCCCTAGAGAGGTTCCCCCCCATGGAATTCTATATTGTCTAACTGTTTTCTGATGACATAAAATTTCTCCTGAGTCTTTGGAAATCAATTGAAAGGAAGGAAAGAATTGCAATGGCCATTCAGATTCCTCTCACCATTTGGATTGGGTGGTTCTGACCACTTTACCATTTTTTATGTTGATTCTGATCAGAGGAAGATGGCTGAGGATTAGTAAACAGAAACCTGGATAACTGTAGGTGGGCCTAGGTTAAGAGCAAGGACAGTAGAGCCAGACCACCTGAGTTTGAATCCTGCCTACACTGTTTAATCTCTGTGCCTCAGTTTCCTCTTCTGTAAAGCGGGGAAATGATAATTGTGAATATAGTAGGATTGTTATTCATAGTAAATGAGTGAGTGTTTGCAAAGTGCTTACATGTAAGTTGGATAGAATACATTTTTAAAAAACTGAAAGGAATGAGGGAAAGATATGAATGAATGAATTTATAGTAGTAGACAGCTTTCAAAGATTTGAGGAAGAGCAACCCACCTATTTCTAAATGGGTTTGTGATCTTCAAAGCGCTTTCACGTACACTCTCTTGGTTCCTAAGAACGGTTCTGTGCAGCCCACATGGCTGTTAAGTAGTGAGTGCAAGGTTTCCATGTATTTCTTTCGACTTTTACATGTTTTCAGGGTTTCAGTTGCCCAGATTAACTTGTTGCCATTAGTAGTCATTTTTGTCATTCGCTTTGTAATGCTTTTGTCAGTCTAAATAAAGCAGTGTGTCCAAATGGTCTAGCAACATAGTCTTTCCCTATTTGACCTGAAAAAAAAAATTTAGAGCAATTGAATTTTAATTCTTACAGTATGCTTGTGGACATTACTGTAATTGTTTTCTTGAGCCATGATAACCTATATTAAATAATCTGGAGCAACATTTTATTCCTGATTATTTAAACAAGGACCAGTTTTTCCTACTGACTTGCATCTTTTTAGACAGGGAGTCAAAATCTTTAAAAGTCAGTCTGATGTGTTTATGGAGTCTGCAACATGCCTAACTCTAAGAGGTAACTAAAGAAGGGGGTTCTTTTATCTTCCAAGAGCATGGCTTATTATTGCAGGTGGCTTCCTGGAGATGTGCGTACTCCAGGGAGAAAGGATGTTGATTATAACTAGCTGCTCAGGAGCCTGGTCCTTGGCAGTTCTCAGTAAAGGCTCTTTGACCTAATTCCACAGACTAAGCTCCGACATGCTTCTGTCTCAAGACCACAGGGACAGCCGCGTAAGACAAGGCCTGTGACCTTGTTGGAAACGTCTCTGCTTCATGGGTTCTTGCCAGTCTGTAGGTCCCCCACAATTTCTACAAAGTAAGAAGTTCCCTTTAACCCTAAAATGAGGGGGCCCTGGCAATAGAAGAGCTACGATCATGTCTAGAGCCTCTGTAGGTTTCTTGGTAGATTGGATCTCTAGTGTAAGATGCCATTAATAAAGGAAATCATCTTAAATCCCTAGTTCTCGGTTGTCATTCCACTTTACATCCCATCAGATACTTGGAAACTGCTGGTTTGTAAGCTCCATGAAGGCAGAAGTGGCGTCTTGTTCATATTTGAATTCCCTACAGAACCTAACGTGAAGTGGAGCCTCAATAAATCCTGGGTGAAGTAGATTAAATTATTCTCTTACTTAATCTCTTTTGCAGCCGGAATGTTCCCAGTTCCCTTGACCATTCTTTGTATAAGGTATTTCCAAATTCTTCACCATCCATGTCCTTCTCTCCGAACGCATCCCTGTTGAGCAGAATTTCTGAGACAGGCCCGTAGTGCAGGTATGGTCTGACGAGGGGCAGTGCAGTGGGTCTGTTCCCCCATGACCTCATCTCGCCAGTTAATGAGGCTTAAAGATGAACAAATAGCCTGCTATTATCTGAAAAGCATTTCTGAAAATATTGCTTTGAGCAGGATGATAGACTTGTTATAGGGAAGATTCCATTCATTGAAAGCTTACTTAAAAATATTTCCCTAGTTATATTTTTATTTTTATTAATAGTTTTTTAAATGACATTTATTTCTGGGTTTTCACACATGTGCTTTACATGTTCTTGTTTTCCTTTACAATTGAACATACACTCTATCAGCCAGAGGCCAGTGAGCATTTGATGGGGGCCAAAAAAAAAAAAAAGAGTTTTGGCATAGCTAATACTTTTCATCTTTGCCTCATCCATATTAAGTTTGAGTCTTGGGCTTATTATTAATTTGAGCACTTTCATTTTTTTCTATTTTCCACTCGTTATAAAATTACAACAAATTTTTTTTTTTTTTTTGAGACAGACTCAATTTGTTGCGCAGGCTGGAGGGCGGTGGCATAATCTTGGCTCACTGCAACCTCTGCTTCCCAGTTTCAAGCGATTCTCATGCCTCAGCCACCTGAGTAGCTGGGATTACAGATGTGCACCACCATGCCTGGCTAATTTTTGTATCTTTAGTATTTTCATCATGTTAGCCAGGCTGGTCTTGAACTCCTGACTTCAAGTGATCCACCCGCCTCGGCCTCCCAAAGTGCTGGGATTACAGGCGTGAGCCATTGTGCCCAGCTGCAAAATGCATTTTAACAGTGGTTTTAAAATCTTTATTTGGCAATCTTTATTTTTAAAAATTGGAACCATTTTTCTTCAAAAGTTGAATTAGGATTGAACCAGAGTAGGAAGCCGAACCTTCTCCCCTGGACTAGGTTCCTGGGGAGCTTAAGATGCTCTGAAACAGAATTTGAAAATGGTTGCAATAAAATATTCCCATGATTTCACAAGTACTGCTGAGTAAGGATGCTGCTGCTCGCCTAACGGAACTACTAGCTGGTAGCCCCATCATCATGGAATACAGAGGTCTGCCTGGGGAGTCTCTCTGAACCTGTTCCAGTTCAGACAGACTGCCTGATTATTGAAAAATAAATAAATAGTTAAATAAAAACAAAACAAAACAGAAGCCTACTTGAGTTGTTAGGAAGGTGGTTTAGATTAGGAGCATAGGATTGTTTGAGATTTGAACACTGCCCGTGTAAGCTTTTCTAACAGTCCCATGCTTTTGATCAATTATAAGATCCTCCCTCAAAAAATTTCCCCCCATAAACTATTGCCAAATCAGGTCTCTAGCTTGTAGTTTATTTTTTTTTTGACTGGCTTTGAAGACTTTAAAATATTTATCTATATTAAATGTCTTCTTGTAATTTTATTTTATTTTTAAATTTTATTTATTTATTTTTTTGAAATAGAGTCTTACTCTGTTGCCCAGGCTGGAGCACAGTAGCACAATCTCGGCTCACTGCAGCCTTTGCTTCCCGAGTTCAAGTGATTCTCCTGCCTCCGCCTCTGGAGTAGCTGGGATTACAAGCATGTGCCACCATGCCTGGCTAATTTTTGTATTTTTTAGTAGAGACGAGGTTTCACCATGTTGGCCAGGTTAGTCTTGAACTTCTGATCTCAAGTGATCATCCCACCTCAGCCTCCCAAAGTGCTGGGATTACAGGCATGAGCCACCCATGCCCAGCCGCTTCTTGTAATTTTAAACCCCACACTTTGCCCATCAATATCTCCTTGCCACTGACCTTAATATTCAATCTTGGTTTTTAGATCAGATTCTTAAATGTAATTACTGCAAATTAGCATCTGGTGACTTGGAGGACTGCAGCATCATTCCAATAGAGTGGCGTCATTTTGCTACAGCTGAAGAGACACGGTTGATTTATGAAGGGCAGAGTAAGGTAGAGGAGAGAGATAATAACTTTGTGTAACTTTGTCAGTCAGTCTGAATAATGCCAGCATTTCATGTCCTCATACAGTGATGATGGCGACATACAGGGTAGTAACTCCCTCTTCTATTTTTTTAAAGAAGGAATGCCTTTGGGGTATTAATGGAGAATATGCCTTGATAAGTACAGTAAGATGTGTTATTAGGTATTAGGATATACCAGCCTTCCAGTGAGAAGACTTAGTAATAAATGAGTAGCATTTTAATGATAACATTTAATGTTTCTACTTAAATAATATATGCAGACAATGTAACGAGTCAAACAGAAAAGATCACGAAGAAAAGCAAGAGCCATCCCTCTTCCTCTTGACTCCTAATAACCAGGAACAACTTTAGACAGTTATTTGTTGACTTTCTGCAAAGAAGTGAGAATTTTTCTTGGTTAACCAATTTTGCGGACTTCCTTTTACTATTTCCAGTGTTTTATAGTTATTTTTGGTTCTTCATTGAGAGTGTTTGTAATTTTTAGGTAATGTCCATGAGCTTTATTTCTTCTTCTGTCCCCTTGCATGAGCACCCGAACTCTCCTCCCTTTCCTTACCCCCAGTTCCTACTTGCTGTCAGCCTAACTTTTACTACTACAGGATTAAGGTTGCAAACATCTCCATTCTTTCTGGTAGTCACAAGTGACTTTCCATTGATTTCTATCATTTGAATTTATAAGTTTAAAAAATCAGCAAATATCATTACTATGGGGATATGTGTTATGCTAGAGTAACATTTTCATCTCTACACATGGTTTCAGGGCTTCCAGCCCATTCAAAGATCATGTTTTGTAGATCTTTCTGATTTAAGGCAAATGTGTACTCCAATCATGGCTTAAAAACTGCTATATATCTAATTTCATCTTTGAATCATGATTTCTTTATATTACATTTTACATTTCCTGAATTTTGTGATCACCTTTTCTTTTTGTTTTTTGGAAACAGAGTCTTGTTCTATCGCTCAGGATGGAGTGCAGTAGTGTGATCTCAGCTCACTGCAGCCTCCGCCTCCCAGGCTCCAACAATCCTCCCACCTCAGCCTTCTAAGTAGCTGAGACTACAAGTGCACACCACCACGCCCAACCAATTTTTTTGTATTCTTTGTTGAGGTGGGGTTTTGCCATGTTGGCCCGGCTAGTCTTGAACTCCTGGGCTCAAGAAGCCCTCCCACCTTAGCCTCCCAAAGTGCTGAGATTACAGGCGTGAGCTACCGCAACCAGCCTCCTTTTCTTTTTGTTGTTTAGAAAAGGATCGTGGGGTTTCATCATTTGCTCAGATGTTTCTGTCTTCTTTGTTACACTGTCTTTTGCATCACACTCTCCCTTGTCTTTTGGAACCTTTCACTTTCTCCCAATTTAATTTTCTGCTTCCCTGCCCAGGACTCAGGGATCACCTGAGGCCTTTCCCCTTTCTTGGTGGGCCCCCTGTTTTCCAGTTTCTACTTGTTCTTTCTTGGTTCTCTTTCTAGTTTTGCTAGAGGAAGTTTGTAATATCTTCAAAGGAATGGAAATGTAGGAGGTAAACTTTCTAGAAACCACTTGATGGATCCATGTCTGAAGGTCAGTTGACTTGAGAATGTAGAAGGCATTGTCCTGTAGGCACCTGGAATGCAGAGCCTGGTGCTGGACTGGTTCTGGTTTCTTGAAGCTGGCCTGTTTTTTCTTCTAAGGAAGCTTTTAGGATTTTTTTATATATATTCTTTGTGTTCTGAAGTTTTACAAAAATATTCCAAGGGAGGGTCTTTTAAAAATGATTATTAATGGCCGGACGCAGTGGCTCATGCCTGTAATCCCAGCTCTTTGGGAGGCCTAGGCAGGCGGATCACCTGAGGTCAGGAGTTTGTGACCAACCTGGCCAACATGGTGAAACTCCGTCTCTACTAAAAATACAAAAATTAGCCAGGCGTGGTGACGGGTGCCTGTAATCCCAGCTACTTGGGAGGCTGAGGCAGGAGAATCACTTGAACCCGGGAGGTGGAGGTTGCAGTGAGCCGAGATCACGCCACTGCACTCCAGCCTGGGCAACAGAGTGAGACTCTGTCTCAAAAAAAAAAAAAAAATATTAATTTATGTTGAACACTTAATGGGGGCCCTTACCGACTGAAGACTTGGATCCTTTGGTCTCAGAGATTTTCTTTAATATTTCTTTCAAAATTTCTTTTCCTACATTTTCATAGGTGTCTTTTATTACAACTTCTATTATACTGACCTCTGGATTTTCCTTGTCTCCCATATTCTCCATCTTTTTGTCTACTTTGTTTGATATTCTGAGAGGCCTCTTCAACTTTATTTTTGGGACTGTGAGTTAGATTTTGTGTTTACCCATCATTTTTTGTCTTTTTTTTTTTTTAACTCTTTGACTTCCCTTTTTCATAACATCCTGCTCTTGTTTTAAGGATATATTTTCATAAATCCAAGAGTATACTTATTTTTTTAAGCCCTATATGCTGGTCCCATACCTGTCTGAGTCCTCTGTGAAAGATACTTGGGTCTTTGATGCTGCTAGCTTTCCTTGTATGTTGGTAGGTTAGCTTGGTGATAAAGAGCCTGGTCACTGGCTCAGATTTGGGCTGAATCTTGGCTTTTTCATTTCCTAATTGCAAAGTACTTTAATAATAATGATATCCAACTGCTAGAGGTATTGAACATTAAATCATTTAGTACATGTACTTTTAGAATTGTGCCAGGCAAATAGCAAATGTGCCGTAAATGCTATCGTCATTGTCATCGTCATCACAGGCAAAATAGCAGATGTGCCATAAATGCTATTGTCATTGTCGTCACTTTTGTTCTTCAGTTTACACTGAGGAAGGAAAGATTGGGTAACCAGGTTGGGTTTCCTCTGTGCAGCGTAAGGTGGTATTCCTTGCCAGGCCTCTCCCGCAAGAGGAAATTTGGCTGGGGGCTTTCAGACACACGCAGCCAGTAGGGCACTGGGGGCCTCCTTCCTTGTTGTGGTAGACTTTGTTTCTGGAGGGAAGGAGGCCCCCCAGTGCCAGCATAAGGATGACTTTCCTTGAGAGCACCAACTAAAAGTCTTAGCTCACCCAGGAGGGCTTTATACTTTGTGTTGGGAAGGGAGTTGGATTTGTATAACTTTCTGTTCAGACTTCCTATAATTTACCTATTTTTAGTTGCATGCTAATTTTGAGTCGGAATCCTCTCTGGGATTCAGGTGGTTTCCATCTTCCCTGCAGCCCTGTTATAGCATGTCCTGGACAGAGTTCTCCACTCGATTTTATCCGTCAGTTTGTTTCCACACACCTTCAGTTACCGAGAAGCGCACTGGAATTCCTTCTGATTTTTCCCTGTCTTCCTATTCTCTCTGCTGTTGTAAGTTTATTTCTTTCTAATTTTTATGCTGCTTTTCCAGTGATGTTTGGATTGGTTGAAAAGTGAACAGATGGGCTCAGGTCATCATTTTGAACTAGAAGCCAAAGGAATCTTTTTTTTTTTTTTTTTTAATGTTTCCCCTTTATCTTCACTATGAGAAAGGAATCTTTTTTAAAAGAACTGCTTTGTTGCGCTGTGATTGACATACAAAAAGCTGTAGATATTTAATATATACAACTTGATGTATTTGAAGTTTACACCTATGAAACCATCAAACTGTCATCACTGTTGTTGCCATAAACTTATCCATCACTCCAGAAGTTTTCTCTTGCCCACCCTTTTTTTTTTTCCTTTTGTGGTAAGAGCACTTTACATGAGATCTTCCCTGTTGGTTAATTTTTAAGTGTACAACGCAGTATTGTTAATCATATGCTCTATACTGTACGGTAGACCTCCAGATATTTATTTCATATAACTGAAACTTGGTACCCTTTAACCAACACCTCCCCATTACTGTCTCCCCTAACGCCTGGCAACCACCATTCTACTCTGTGCTTCATGTGTTTGCCTATTTAGATTCCACATGTAAGTGAGATCACGTAGCATGTGTCTTTCTGTGTCTGGCTTATTTCATGTAGCATAAAGTTCTGCAGGACCATCCATGTTGTTGTAATTGGCAGGATTTCCATCTTTCTAAGGGCTGAGTAGTACAGTTAGCTTTCGCATCTACAGATTCAACCAACCTTGGATGGAAAATAACAGTGTTTAAGCAATGCACAACTTGTGGATACGGAGGACCAACTGTTCACATCCTTAGGTTCTGCGGGGCTGACTGTGGGACTTGAGCATCTGAGGATTGTCGTCCTGGAACCAGTCCCCCAAGGATACTGAGGGATGGCTGTATTCCATTGTTTGTGTGTGTGTATATATGTGTGTGTGTGTGTGTGTGTGTGTGTGTATCACATTTGTCTGAATGACACAAAGGAATCTTTTAAATTCCAATATTATAAACCTGTGTTTTTCATTGTGAGCTGCCAAGGCTGTTACATGTGCTGGTGATCAGGGCACCCCCTCCCATGACCCAGGGGTCACCACTGACTTCTCAGCCTGTGTGAACAGAAGTTGCTATTAATGAAGCCTGCACAGTTGCAGGTGAACTTCTCCATGGGTGAGACTGTCCTGTAATTTTAATAATGCTGACAGCCAGATTAGTTTCATTTGGTGTCCCATAAGGAAGGAACTGACTAGATCATGTTGTTAGGGCCTATGCTCATTATCTCTTGTTGAATTACCATAGTCTAAGGGGTAATTTACCATGGATAGTATTAGGGATTCCAAAACCCCATCTTATCAGTGTTCCACAGTTTATCAGACTCAGCTAGTACACACTAAATGACTCTTAATAGATAGTTTATTAACTTACAATGAGAAATATTAGGTCAAGCGGATGTTTGCGTTGTTATAAACACATTGTCTCTGTTCAGGCACAACTTAAAGTCACATTGCCACAGGTTTCCTGGGGCACACAGAATCAGTGCAGGAAGAGAGGCTGCTGCTTTGCGTGGCCGATGGCATGAGTCCTTTCTAATCCGACCAACCGCTGTGGCATCATCCTGCTGCAGCTGAGGTGAACGGGGTGCTTGCATTTGCCTGTCAGTATGGTCTGTCCTCCTGACGGCCTCTGAGCAGAATGAATTTAAAATCATTTTCAGTCCGGGTGCAGTAGCTCGCACCTGTAATTCCAGCACTTTGGGAGGCTGAGGCGGGTGGATCACTTGATGTCAGGAGTTCGAGACCAGCCTGGCCAACATGGTGAAACCCTGTCTCTACTGAAAATACAAAAATTAGCTGGGTGTGGTGGTGGACACCTGTAATCCTTGATATTTGGGAGGCTGAGGTGGGAGGGTTGCTTGAGTCCAAAAATTCAAGACCAGCCTGGGCAACAAGGCAAAACTCCACCTCTACAAAAAAAATTAAAAAAAATTAGTCAGGTGTGGTGGGGCATGCCTTTAATCCCAGAAGGTGGGAGGATTACTTGAGCCCAGGAGGTTGAGGCTGCAGTGAGCTGTGATTATGACACTGCACTCCAGCCTGGGCAACAGAGCAAGACCCTGTCTCCTCCTTCCCCGTCCCCTCCAAAAAAAACCCCTTATCATTTGTGATGAAATAGGCTTAAAATATCTTGTGTACTTCTTTTCCATCAAAGCAGAAAATCGGCAGTGTAATAATTTATTAATGACTCAGGGTCGTCACTGTGGAAGTTGGGTATTATACAGTGCAGTGATTTTTGATTGATGATTGAGTTATGTCTTGTTTAGAATGATGTATAAAATATTAAAAGGGATAAATTCTCATAAGGAAAAACATAAATAAGGCTGAAAAAATATAAAATAGAGCCACAAATAAGGTTTAGAAATGCCTCCTGTAGTCAGCTGCTGCCTGGTCTCTGGTGTCTGTACTGGGTAGAGTTGCCCCCAAGCTCTGTGGGTCTGGGAGGGTGATGGATGCTCCTGCACAAAAGTAACCTGCAGTGCTGTTTTCTCCCCCTCCTCCTCCTTCTCCTTCTCCAGTTCCCTCCTCCTATTATTCATTCTGTTCCTAGTTTTATCAGGGATGGAGTTTTCTGCTCCTGGCCCTTTCTTGGAATCTTTTTATTGGTGGTGGGTTTCAGTGGAGGAGAACAGAGTGACATGCTTTTACTTTGACAATTTTTATTACAAATCCTATCAAAGGTCTTTTAAATCCTGCACCAAGTAGTACTTCCATGTTGTCTTCATTATATAACCACTGTTGTTATGTTTTTATACCCTAGTGTCTTACAGAGTGACCAGAGTCAAACAAAGAATTGCAGGGAAGAGGCACGAAGACACCAGGGCAGTGTGCCTAACCAACACGATTTTGTCTATGGGATAGTTTCATTTCTGGATGTGACTGCCTATTGGGTATCAGGGTCCAGTCTTACAGAGAATATAACAACGAATACAACCTCATGAACCAAAATTTGCCCCAAACACTGAACCCATAAATACAGAAAAGTTTCTCCACCGTTTCTGAGTCAGCAGACCCTTGGAATGGAGATGATCTGAAGTGTCTCCTTCCTCAGGCATTCTCAGAGTGATGGGCTGTTGCAGACATGGGATAGGTGAGAATTCCTGCTCTGTGTGATTATCTGCAGGTTCTTTAAGCTCGAATTTTACATTCTGGTTTAGTAGTATTATAGCTTTGCTTATTTTGATGGTCAAGATGACTCTCATTATATCACCTCTCAATACCTGGTGTCATTTTTATAATTTTTATGTATTTCATTTATTTATTTATTTAGAGACAGGGTCTCACTCTGTTGCCCATGATGGAGTTCAGTAGCATGATCCTAACTCATTGCAGCCGTGAACTTCTGGCCTCAAGTGATCCTCCTGCTTCAGCTTCCTGAGTAGCTAGGACTACAGGTGTGCACCACCGTGACTAGCTAATTTTTATTTATTTATTTTTATAGAGATGTAGTCTTGCTATGTAGCCCAGGCTGGGTTTGAACTCCTGTGATCCTCCCACATTGGCCTCCCAAAGCTCTGGGATTACAGGTGTGAACCGCTGCACCAGCAGTTTTTTGTTTGTTTGTTTGTTTGTTTGTTTGTTTATATAGGCTATTGTTGCTGTGCTGAGACCAGCTCGGTTGGGGAGACCCTAACCCAGCGGCACTAGAGGAATTAAAGATACACACACAGAAATATAGAGGTGTGAAGTGGGAAATCAGGGGTCTCACAGCCTTCAGAGCCGAGAGCCCCGAACAGAGATTTACCCACATATTTATTAACAGCAAACCAGTCATTAGCATTGTTTCTATAGATATTAAGTTAACTAAAAGTATCCCTTATGGGAAACAAAGGGATGGGCCAAATTAAAGGAATAGATTGGGCTAGTTAACTGCAGCAGGAGCATGTCCTTAAGGCACAGATCGCTCATGCTATTGTTTGTGGCTTAAGAATGCCTTCAAGCGGTTTTCCACCCTGGGCGGGCCAGGTGTTCCTTTCCTTGCCCTCATTCCCATAAACCCACAACCTTCCAGCTTGGGTGTTAGGGCCACCATGAACATGTTACAGTGCTGCAGAGATTTTGTTTACGGCCAGTTTTGGGGCCAGTTTATGGCCAGATTTTGGGGGGCCTGCTCCCAACATTGCTGTTTTGATTTCTTCTTGACTCAGGAGTAGTTTAGAAAAGATTTTTCTGCATCTGTTTTTTTCCCTCCAGTTTCAAGGATTTTCCCTTCTCCCTTGGTTAATTGCTTCTTTTTCTGGTTTTTTTTTTTTTTTTTTTTTTTTTTTTGAGACGGAGCCTTGCTCTGTCGCCTAGGCTGGAGGGCGGTGGCGAGATCTTGGCTCACTGCAAGCTCCGCCCCCCCGCGTTCACACCATTCTCCTGCCTCAGCCTCCCGAGTAGCTGGGACTACAGGCACCCACCACCACACCCAGCGAATTTTTTGTATTTTTAGTAGAGATGGGGTTTCACCGTGTTAGTCAGGATGGTTAGTCAGGATGGTCTCGATCTCCTGACCTTGTGATCCGCCCGCCTCAGCCTCCCAAAGTGCTGGGATTACAGGCGTGAGCCGCCACACCCAACCCTTTTTCTTTTCTTAACCTTTGCATTGTAGTTAAGGAATGTGCCATAGCTTTCATTTACTTTGATTCTTAAGTTGATCCCTTTATAAACTTTATAAAATCTTTTTACATGTCTGTAGTTTTCCTCTGATTGTCTGTTCCTTCTGTGTGTCTGTAGCTGCCTAGTGCTGGGAGTTGAAATAAGTTCTGTCAGAGGTCATATATAGCTGTATTCAAATCTTGTAGTTTAAGACAGGGAGAAAGAAAGGTTTAACTTAAAGTACAAAAAGAAAATACAGTTAACTCGTCTGAAAGTGTTGTAGGGGGTGTGATGAATTCTTAAGGAGACCTGACCTTGATGTCTTTTCCGTGCCCTTGAACAGCTGAACTTTCAATCTTTCCTTCTCCCACATGGTGAGAGATCTGAATCGTCTAGGGTCACTCAGTAGTTTAGTGCATTTAAGCAGAGATTGAGGGCAGTTCAGCCAGTGGAGAGGGCGTGTTAGAGTATCTGGTTGCTTGAGAAATTTAAGATGAGAAATTCAAACTATCTGGTTGTTTGGCAGGTGGAACCGCATAGCCCCATGGTGCTTCTGTTAAAGAATGTTGTGTGTGCCCTCGCTAGCCTTGCTATCCTAGAAGGTTTGAATAGTCCAGATTCCTTTGAGCCACTCTTGATCCTTTGGCTAACAATCAGTGTCATAGCATAGCATTCTTTTCAAATTAGAATATAATCAGTCTCCAGAAATAAAGACAATTTCCTAGAGGTAACTCAGCAAGTATTGGGTGAGCAAAAGGTGGGGAAGAAAGGGAACAGTATGGGTGAGGACTGTGAACCAATGCTTGTTATTTGAGGAGCTGCATGCAGTGGGGTCTGTGAGCGTTCCCAAGGTTGAGGGGGCCAATGACCAGTCGGGTGACATGTGTGCTGTTCTTTGGCCTGATTGCTGCTGCACCATGAATTCTGAGGTTTCCGAGTAAGGTTCTGGTTCTTCATCATTTAAAAATGTGAATGTGGTATTAGGGGAAGGGCTGGGGTGACATCCATAGGGATTGTCAGGCCTCTGCACTCCAGACTTCACTTTGCCACTCAAGACACAGCATTGTTGCTGCCACTCCTCCCTGGGTGCAGCCGTCATTGGTGGCTCCGTGGAGACTTATGGCTCTGCACAGAGGGGCTTAGCTCTGGAGGCAGGCATCTGACCTGGGTTCACAGCCAGGCTCTGCTGCCTAAGAGCGTTGTGGTCTTGGGCGATTCATCTACCTGGCAGGAACCTTAGTTTCCTGGTCTGCGTAATGGAGCTGGTGGCACCACCTTGTAAACTGTTGCCAGGATTAGAGATAGGGTATGTAGAGTGCCATCATCACTTTATTATACTTTATTCTGTTGTGTGCCACGTGCCTTCTAATAATGAACAAGAGCAAGCACCTGCTGTTAAGGAGAGTGACTGTATGAACACGTGCACGCACACTCACCTACCTACAAACTCACCAGAATGGTCTCTGGCGTCTTCCTGATGTACAGGGGCCTTCTAAGAGCCAGGACTGCTATTCACACACAGATGAGACCTCAGTCCTCCCTGGGAAAAACACCTTTGGTCTGACCTGATCAAGCATGCTTTATCACCTGGTGGGGCTGAGCTTTTAGGAGAAGTGACAGTGACTAGCTGAGAAGGACCAAAGGAGGCAGATCCAGGCCTCATCCATTCCCCTCACTTGATAGATAGGAGATCTAAAGGCAGGTAAATCACCTCAATGCCTATGGGCATTTTTATTGGGCATTAGAGTCAAGACTATAGTGATTTGTGGGCTCAGAGTCCTTGACCTCACTTTCTTTAGTACATCTAAGTCGATGAAACCAGGTAAATCACTAAACTTAGGGCCTTCTGGCATGTGAATCAAATTGAGACTTTTTGAAGATAAAAGGGCATCTCCTCCCAAGTAGTCAAATTAGTTATCAAAAAGCACAGATTGGATTGATTGATTGATTGTAGAGATGTGGTTTCACTATGTTGTCCAGGCTGGTCTCGAACTCCTTCGTTCAAGGGATCCTCCTGCCTCAGCCTCCCAAAGTGCTGGGATTACAGGAATGAGCCACCACGCCCGGCCTAAAGCACAGATTTTCTAAAGTCTGTATCTTGTTCAAGAGTTGATGAGACACGTGAGTGCCAGCCACATGAAACGAATTGGCAAGACTTTAAAAGCAGCCATTCTTATTTTAGAGTAGAAATAGCATTTATCATCAGATTGTTAGACTATAAGACCCATGAGAGTAAAACTCAGGTCTTCCTTGTTTATTATCGTATCTTCAGCTTGTGGGCACCAAAGGTGCATTGTGGGTGCCTGATAACCACTGGAGGAATAAATTCTTCCTTTCTCTATTTCTGGTTCCTGGGAGGCCTCACAGAGAGAACCTAGCCAGCATGTATGCGTGTAACCAGCAGGGCAGAAAATAAGCTCAACTGAGGTATTTATTATGTAATACTCAACTCAAATACTCATTTTATTTACATAAATTCTGCCTTGTGCCCAAGAACTAGTGAATATGAAATCTTAATAAAATCTTAATATTTTCATAAATATTTTGTTCATATTGTTTCACATTTTTCAATCTGAGGAATTCTAATATGTTGTAGAAAAGGGTGAAAAACAAGCTTTTTATGATAAAAATGCATACAAATGGAGTTATGTTATGGAAAGCATTTGTTAATACTGTATAGAAGATTATATATCATTCTGATTGCTTTCAAGTTTTGGGTGAAAAAAAACAGTTCTTGACTACCTTTAAAATTATATAGTTAAAACTCTCCTTTTCCACATTGCTTTTCTTTGATGGGAACTAAAAAAGCATGGTAAATTGTCAACAGGGAGTCGGATGTATTAGAAATAATAATGCAGGAGCATACTAGGGCCGAGGAAAGGAACTTGCACGTTTGATATGTTCGAGAACCTAATGGCATCTTGGGTGGAATTTTAGAGAGACAGGACTGTTTGAGGTCCAGTGGGTTTTGAAAGAGGAGAGAACTCAGGCCGGGTGCAGTGGCTTACGCCTGTAATCCCAGCACTTTGGAAGGCTGAGGCAGGAGGATCATTTGAGGTCAGGAGTTCAAGATCAGCCTGGGGGCCAACATGGTGAAACTCCGTCTCTACTAAAAAAATACACAAAAATTAGCCAGGCTTGGTGGTGCGTGCCTATAATCCCAGCCACTCAGGAGGCTGAGACAGGAGAACCACGTGAACCCAGTTGCAGTGAGCTGAGATCGCGCCACTGCCCTCCAGCCTGGGCAACAGAGCAAGACTCCATCTCAAAAAAAAAAAGCTGGGACAAGAAGGGCTCAAAGTGAGCAACTAGGCATAGACATAATGGTGGTTATAGATAAGCCTCACCAGAGAAATGGAATAAATTTCATATGCTCAGAACAACTCCACCTTGAACCCTTTCCTTTGAACATCTTAACCCCAGTATCTGGGACCACTCAGTTGGGTTCCTGAAGTTCCCCGTCCTGCATAGCCCATGGAATCCACTTCTGGTGGCCAGGCCTCCTATGCCCTCCCTGAGTTCCTGCTGGGTGGATGGGGATGGAGATCCTCTCCACCAGGCTCCTTAGTGTGTATGATGAATACATCTAGATGTTGTCATAGTCTGAATTTTTTGCAATGACAAAACAGTTTTATTTCAGGATGAAAACGCAGTTCTACTTCTGTAGCTGTTTGAGACGTTGTTGGCATGCAGCTTGTATGAGGCCTCTCCATTTCTGAAATGATTTAAACTAGGAGACACAGTATTGTATGTTCTGCCAAAGAAAAGTCATTAGCATGACAGGATAAATGTAAGACACCAAGGTTGAGAATGTGGATTGAAACGTTGACTCGCAGGACAAAAAGCGTGTGAAGTGCTTACTTCAGAGTGCACGATTTTACAGGCTTGTGTTGCTTGCAAAAGAAACGGAATCTGCTATTTATGCTGCTTTGTCTCTGGTTATTGCATTTTACTCCAAAAACTGGGTTATAAGGATATTGTAATTGTTTATGGTGAAATGCATAGGATGGCACGTGGCTAGCTGGGTATTTTGAATTATTAATGTCATGGTGCTCGATGTTTTTAGTGGCCAATAAAGGCTTCCTGTTTATGATAAATCAGGGTGTAGGATTTGTTTCATTATGTTTGTACACTACATAGTATTTTAATTAAAATATAATGTTGAAGTTACTTCAAGGCCTTATTTTAGACTGACTTTAAAAGGAAATGGAAGAGTCCATGTGGTAAGGCTTGTGAGTCATACAGTCCCCGTCGTCTGTGTGGAGGCCGTGGGGACCAGATCTGGCACGCAGAACCCCAAATCCCATGTCCTTGACAGACGGGTGGGGGTGATATTTTAGAATGCAGCCAACCTCTTTAACAACTGCCCTTGAGTGTTCAAATATAGAAATTGGAGTTCTGTTACCATTTTGTTCAAATGAAAGGTACTGCTAAAAGAAATACTTCTGTCTGTGTTTCCGCTTACTGCACTGGCATCCTGTTAGAAGTGATGTTCCTCAGGGAATCCTTTCATCTCCAAAAAGGATGGCAGACTTATGCTTTTCCAAGGAGTCGTTTTCCTTTGTTGTACTTTTTAAAAATCCAGGCAAGGAGGAGAGGTAATGGAAGGTCTTCGTGACAGGGAAGTCATCATCATGTTTAAATAAAAGAGTTCTTACAAGATCCCAGGTTTGTCATTGCCACCAGGCTTCCCTGAACCTTCTACCTCACCAGCAAGATAGATCACGAGTAGAATGTTCCACCAGATATGTAAAAGAACACGTATATTTTTCCACCAGATATGTAAAAGTATTAGTGACACGTATATTTTTATAATCTTTTTTTTTTTTGCAAATTGTTAATGCCCTTGGATTTTAGAGATTTTACAATAAAAGACAAATTTTACTGTTTACTGTTTTTACTTTTATAATAAAATCTCATTTAGAATTCAGGAGAGCTGGAATTTTCCTTGGTACTTATGTAATAAGAAAATGATGAGCATGAGCCAGATTTAGGAGGAATGCTGACTCTTTTTTTAAAAATTGTGGTAAAAGAGACATAAAGGTTGCCATTTTAACTATTTTTAAATGTACAGTGCTGTGGCATTGAGGACATGTGCCTTGTGCAGCCATCACCACCATTCATCTCTAGAACTTCATCTTCTCAAACTGAGATTCTGCACTCATTGTATGGAATGTTCACATTTAAAGTGCCATTTACATCTGAGATGCTCAGGCTGGTGCTGGGGACAGACTCCTTCCAAATTGCTTTTCCCTGTGAGCTAAAGGAGGGGGTGGTGATAACTAATGTGACTGGGCAGCTACACACCAGCTTTGTTAGTTCAGAGCCCCATTTTACACACGAGAGAACGGACACCCAGAGCAGGGTTGGACCACTTGCCCCAGACTTTTTAGCTGCAGTGGTGGAATTCAGACAGTTGTGCCTGATGCAGAAGCTGTGCAGACTACCTCAATTCAGCGATGCTTCTGCCAGCTTCTGTAATTCACTGAGCTCACCGTGCTTCTCCACGTTTAGTCCATATCCCAGACTCTGATAGGCTTATCGCAAGCAGCTCTCTTGGCAGTTTCCATTCTGAGTTAAGTCATTAACCTCTCTCAGAGCTTTAGTTTCCTTCTCTATGAAATAAAGTGGACCATCTGTGTGATTCTCTAAGGGCCTTTTCATTTCTATCCTGTGTTTGGTATATTTCCACAAATGATGCTATGAACTTTTTAAGCTTTTAAAAAGGACGGGGTGGGGGGATAGAAGGTTTCTGGTTGCAGAATGGAAAGTAGGAAATACAAGGAAAACAGAAGGTAAGACGGGCACAAAGAGAGGATTAGGCCCAGGAGAACAGAACTGAAGATGCCATCAAGGAGGGGCCAAAGGGCTGCTTCGCTGCTTCATGGGTTCTGCCCAGCGGAAAGTGTCTGTTTAACACACTTCCATTTTGAATGTTTGCAAAACACATTTAAGGGAGTAAACAGCAAGAGTGGGCAGTGCTGAGCCAGAGCTGATGGAATAAGTGGGCCAGCATTCAGGTTTCAGTTCACATGTGGCCTTGTGGTGTCCTGGGGCTGCATTTGACTCCACTTAGGCCTCGCTGTTTATGGAAACAGGAAAGTGGCCTGGATGGGTGAAGGACTACAAGTGCAGGAGAGAGGATTAAGGCTGGCCTGCCCCAGCCTGTCAGTTTCACTCACTGCCTATTTAATTCTTGCAGCAGTCCCAGAGGCAAGCCTTACTCCACCTTTCTATGGCCGTGGAGAGGGTGCTACAGGTGCAAGGCAGAGCTGGGTTCAGACCTTGTGCTGTCTGATTGCAGAGCGTACTCTTCTTTCTATGTCCTCTACGAATCTCCACCTTCCCTCCCCTGTCCCCGACCTCCTCATGGTCATGACCACATACTCCAGGTTACTTACAGAATCCCTGTTTTAGTCCAGCATTAAGAGAGAGGACTCTAAGCTCTCATGTCTGGGTACAGGGCCTCAGACGATGGCATCAAGCAGGCTCACTTGCTCTCAGCTTTGCTTTCTTCCTTGTGTAATTCTCAAGGAGGCCCCAGGCTCAGCAGAAGAGGGTGCTGACATCCTGGGGAGGACTGGGATTGACCAGGCTTGGGTCCTAGGCTTATCCCCTAAGAAGTCACTCTGGCCAGGAGGATTCAATACTCTTATTGCCCAGACCTGGACATGTATTCACACCTAGAGTTCAAGGACTGGGAGGCAGAGGGATGCTCCAAAAAGACAGAACAGGTCATACACGTTCTCTATCCCCAGTAAGTCACTATCCAAGAACTTCCTGGCAAACATCTCAGCAGTTTTAGTGCAGGAGCTAAATGTAGCATTGCTGTCTCAGATTCACAGTCATTTGCAAGTCAGTGTCAAGCAGGCAAACTCACCAACCATCTGTGTCTCCTCCACTATAGCACTTGTATGAACTCATCCTACAAAGAGATAAAACAATTAGAAATTAGATACTTGAGTTTCTAGTTCTAAGAAATATTTTTCAGCCTTGGCAATCAAATTGATAATTAAATTCAATATTTAAAGTTTTTTTTTCCCCAACAGAGAATTCATGAAATCTGTACCTTAACTTTTGGCTGGGTTTCTTGGAAATGGAATGGTGAATTTTATTTTATTATTTATTTATTTATTTATTTATTTATTTATTTATTTTTTTAAAACAGGGTCTGGCTCTGTCACCCAGGCTGGAGTACAGTGGTGCGATCTTGGCTCATTGCAACTTCCACGTCCCGGACTCAAACCATCCTCCTACCTCAACCTCCCGAGTAGCTGGGGCTACAGATGTGCACCACCATGCCGGACTAATTTTTGTATTTTTGGTAGAGATAGGGATTCACCATGTTGCCCAGAGTGGTCTTGAACTCCTGGGCCCAAGCAATCCTCCCACCTCGGCCTCCCAGAGTGCTGGGATTACAGGTGTGAGCCACCATGTCTGGCCTAGATGTTTTATATAAGCCAGCTTGTGCAGTCTGCTCAAATGCCCTGTGGAGGAGGTAGCTTTCTAACCATTCGACAGATATTTGTGCAGTTGTAGAGAGAAGGCAGCATTTTCTGGCTTTTCCAACATGTTAAATAATTACAGAATGCCAAAAGAATCTCCATTATTATTAGAACAGTTTCATGCACAATTATACTCAGATAAGTTCAAGCAAATTATTCTATTTTACTTGTAGCAGATCCAAAGAGATTTAATTTTATATTTTTTAGGACTATAACTTTTCCTCTGAAAAATGGAAGATAAAATTTTTTAAATTTTAAAAAATTAAAATGAAGTCATCATGTCAGGTCTTGTTTATTTTTGCTTTGGCACAGAGAAAGGGTATATGGTAGGAGAGAATAGTCTTGAATGTCATAAAGTATTACATTCTTTTGAAGGTAGATTTTGACATGACACAGAGGGCCCTTCCTTGAACCACTATTTGAAAAGAATTTCAAACATCTAGGATAGAATGAAGCATCATACATTAAGGGTGGATGCTGCTTTACAAAAATTAGGTAAAGCTTGTCTTGATATGTATTGAAATGAGTGAATAGGTTTAGGAAAGGCTACATTGATTAGCAGGTATTTCACCACACCAAGCCCTTTTGTAAGTTATGTTTTCCTAAAATGCCCTTGTTACTCTGTGCATTATGGTATCATCATCTCGCATGGGACCTGGGCCTTCCAGAGCCTCTGCTGTTAGCTCTGCTCCTGTGTCCTTGCTTGAACAGATATCCCCCAGGCTGCTACTTCCGGCCACTTGTCTTCCTCTGCACTGTGGCAGGAGAAAGAATGAGGAGAGCTCAGGGACTGGTCTTTCTTAACATAGATATCCAGTTTCAGGAAGATTTTTCTTTGTAATTAACCCTGAGAGGTTAACCTTTTATGCCCTGCTTATTAGCATGTTCCAAAGTTCCCTGAAACTCAATATATTCCCAAACTAAACTTATTTCCTACTGAAACAGACAAAAATCCAACTCTACCTATTATCTCCTTCCCAACCTCCCAATTTGTGCCAATTTTCTCAACACTTACCTATAGAATTGTCTTTGAATCTCTCCCTGTGCCCCTCTACCTGCTACATGCATGTGGGATAAGAGCAACACTCTTCTGCAAAGCACTTCTTCCCACCCAGCACCCTCCTTCCCATTGCCACTCTCACCACCCACCTCCACCTTGTCGGATCTTGTGTGCGTTCCCAAGCCTTTCCACACTCTGTTTCCTCCTTGTTTTTACGCCCCTGCCGCTGCCTACCATCAAACCCTCGCTCCAGCCAGGGCGGGCTCCAGTGCCGTGTTCAAGAGAGACTCTCCCTCCCCTGCTGCTATTGCCTTTCTTCATGTTTTTAAATCTCCTCTCCTTTGACATTGGCTTTGAGCTCCACCTTCTACCTGAAGCTTTTTCCGACTTTCAGGTCCCCATTTCGATCATTCTCTTTGCTGTACCTCAATGAACTTGACCATAATATTAATTTTGCCTACATTTATACTTGGTTTTAGTGTTATTTCTTGTTTTGAATCTCATTTCCTTCATTATTTCCCCCAAAGACCTGTAACTCAAGAGCACATGGTTTACCCTCCTTACATCCAGTGTTACTTGAAGGGACTGAGCCTACTTTTAATGCTGTATTTGGTATGTTTTCTTTTATAACCACTGTTGAGAGAATACCTGGACTGTGCCCAGGTTTTAGAAACTTCCAGGGGTTATAATGAGCTGCTTATAAATGACCCTTTTAATCAAATTAGTTAAAAATTAGAAAAAGGAAAAAATATACAGCAGACATTACTAACCTTTAAATTTTTATCCACATAGCACCAAAACAGCGGATACTTTAAAATGTGTTTTCTTTGTTTTCACCATTGGAATGAACAACCAATAGAAGTCTGTTTGTGAAATTTTACTTAGTATAATGCTAAAAAATTTTCCAAATCTACAAACGTGTTTTTGTTTTTTTTGACAGTTCCTCAAAACAAAGTTGTATTTTAAGGAACAATAAGTACATTTTAGGTGATTGATGCTTTTTTCCTCCTCTTCCTCATAATTAAAATATAAAGCACGTTTGTTAAGTTTTGGCTAAAAGGTTTGCCTGGGGCAAAAGTATTCCACATGACCGAGGGACTGTGTTTTCTGGCTGGTCCTATTTACACACCTGCTTCCCTTGCATAGTCAGTCTTTTTATTCTGAGGCTTTTCTCTAAAGTTTAATTTTTATTTTTTTAATGTTTATCTAAAGTTTATAAAGTTAGTAGGATTTCTCAGTATCCTCAGACCTCATCCTTCAGTTAACATTCACGTTACCTTGTGTATTTATCTTCTTCCTATGTCTTAAGATATTTCCACTAGGAATTCTAACTCTGAAATATTTAAAATGTTGACTTCAAAGTCAGTGGAACTGTGCCAAGCGTGCTTCTCTGAAGATAAATGGGAGAGCTCCTGACAAAGGACAAAGTCAAGGCCCATTAACTTAAACAGGATGCAGTGTGTCTCAGGGAGGCCAGGCTTGTTCATGGTTGTAGAAGGAAAAGCAAGCCTTACATTAAAACAAAAACAAACAGATTTTAACTTTATAAGTGATCGTTCCCATGAGACACCATCTCCTTGGCGCTGTCAGCCTCCATTGCAGGAACTTCCTGCCTCAGTGCTTCCTCTTGCTGCTGAGATGGCTGCCAAACCCTCGGTTTCAGGGTGCTCTTGGGGGCATGTCCCATTCCCATATGCTGAGTGGGAATGGAAACCCAAATTCGTGCTGATCAACCTGTACTCAGCATAGCCTGTGACTGCAAAAGGATGGTAGACATTGGGAGAGGCTGAGAGCAAAAACTTGCAAAGGGGATTACTGCACACATCGCACTGCCCGTGACAAAGAGTAATGATTCAGGGCTGTGGCTTCCCCCGGTAAAAATTGGGAGACTTTAATTTCTTGTGCTCTGTTTTAAGAAAATCTTACATCATGCTTAAAAATGTTAATGCTTGCATGCTTACTAAATATTAGTACGGTCTTTGTTTTTGCTGCAAGAGATTCTGTTCCTGTCTAGATCCCCAAGGTGATGGTAAACTTCGAATGGATTATATGTCCACTGGAATGATGACTGTGTCTGAAATTTAATTTTAATTTGTTCAAAAACAGCTTTTGGCTAGAATCACATTCTGTTCAAAGCAAAAGGTGCCCCCCAACTCACTGATCCCTGAGCCTGGAAATTGTTAACTTGCCCAAAGGGAGATACAATTTTATCTACCCTTGTGGAGCTTACATCGTCATTGTAAGTGTAGGGCATGCCACGGTGCAGTTAAACACATCCACCTTCCTGTCATTAAGCATCTGAGTGGATGGCTCAGGAAAGAAAATTATGTCTGTAGACTGGAGGAGTCAAGAAATGTGAAAGGACGAGGTAGGACCGGAATGGACCTGTAGGACCCCAGAGTTGTCCAGGTGATGACAAGGAGGGAGAACATTCCAGGCAGGGGGTGTTTATGAGCCAGTGAGGGAAGAGCCTGAGCCACAGGAGCAGAAGGGCCACCTGGAGAGAAAAGAAAATGTTGGAATAGTCGGATGGGGCTAGATTGTGGACATGGACTTTTATCCTAAGCACAGTGATTGTCCAAAGAGTTTGATGAACAAAGCAGCATAAAAAAAGTTTGTTTTTTTTTTCTTTTTTCAAGGAAGATATATCTGTTGGGAAGGACGGATTGGAGTAGGGAGTGACATGAGTGGGACAGTTTATATAGATAGAATTGGAAGGAAAACAGGTCTGGGAGAGAAGAGAAGAAGTCAGCTGTGGGCATTGATTATGCCTGAGGGATTCTCAGGTTCTGCCTTGGGAAAAAGGGAGAAGCTGGGATGGAAGCTGGTAGGCCATCAGAGTGTATGCTGTTAGCGTGAGTCAGGGTACAGCAATGGATTGACACCAGGTCAGTAGTCAAGAACCGTAACACCTGCTTCCTTCTCAACCATAAGCTGATACACAGAAACCAACAGGATAGGACAGAACAGGTGGGAAGTTTGGGCAGCCAAGGTCCCTGTGGGGCAGTCTGAGCACCATGGAGGGGATGTACAGGCAGCAAGAGTAAGGTTTCCAGAAAGACTCTGGGTACCTGGATGGAGATGTTCATCATTGGGCAAACTGTGCGGGTTCACAAACCAAACAGAAGGCAGGCCCTGATTAATTGTCCAAAAGATGCTGCCATTTGTAGCCCACCACAAAGCAACAGAAGTGGTGTCAGAGAAACAATGGGTCTGTAAAACATCTCAAAGATAGAAATGGTGAGACTTAGTGACTACAAGTGTGTGAGAGACAAAGGGGAGAGAAAGGTGAAAAATTCATCCTAGTTCCCAAGCCCATGAGATATAGGGCATGGTGATTGATAGAAACAGAAAGATTGGGGAACGAATATGAAGTGTCAAGTTTGGGAGATGTTACATGTGAAGGGATGGGGTGCTCAGGAGGAAGCATCAAAAGAAAGGAAGGGTGGGGAGGCTAGAGTTCAGATGAAATACTGGGGGCAAATGAACAAACATTTTAGAGAGTCTGGCCACTCATTTATTCATTTAACAAATATTTATCATATAACTACTATATGTCAGCCACTGTGCTAGATGCTGGCATTGGACAAGTTCTATTAATACAAGGAAATCAATTTGAAGACAAAAGATGCCAGAAAGGGGTGAGGATTGAGCTTTGAGGGATGCCAACCTGTTGTGTGGGAGAAGAAAGAGGAGTGACCAAAGGAAACAGAAGAAGAGTGCCCAGAAAGAGCAGGGTAGATCTAGCTAATGTGGTATTAAGGGAACCAGAGGAGAACATTTTCAGAATGACATGATGTAGTCAACAGCAGATATTTATTAAGCACCTTTTGCTGATGCAGAAAATACTTTGTTCTTCACCTCATCCCTTCAAAGGTAGAGAAGCCTCCCCTGGCCCCTGAAAACACAGCCTACCTGTGAGCTCTCTTTCATCCTGACTGCCAGGTTCCACAGGCAACAACTCCATTAACCATGCCTTAGCTACTGCCCTACATGTTGAATTTTGTTTTATATGTATTTTAAATCAGAATCCTTCCTGATTTTGCCCTTGATATGGTTTAGATATTTGTCTCCTCCAAATCTCATGTTGAAATGTGACCCCCAGTGTTGGAGATGGGGTCTGTTGGGAGCTGTTTGGGTCATGTGGGTGGATCCCTCATGAATGGCTTGGTGCCCTCCCCATGGTAATGAGTTCTCTTTCTGTTATATTAGTTCATATGAGAGCTGGTTGCTTAAAAAGAACCTGACATCTCTCTTGTTCTCTCCCCCACCATGTGACACGCTGCGTCCCCCTTCACCATCCATGAGAAAGGCTTCCTGAAGCCTCACCAGAAGTGGAGCAAGTACTGGTCCCATGCTTGTACAGCCTGCAGAACCATGAGCCAAATAAACCTCTGTTCTTTATAAATTACTCAGTCTCAGGTATTCCTTTATAGCAACACAAAGTGGACCAATACAGCCCCTGTTGTTCTGTGTCATTTGGGTATTTCCTTGAATTTACAGGTGGGCTGCTGAGTTCTCCCTAACTCAAATCTTTTCCCTTTTGGCCTGTTCGTCTTTCTTTTTAAGCCTCTAGTGTCACACATCTATTCTGCAGATGCTATGTGTGTTCTGAACTTGGGGCTGCACTAGCTCCCCGTCTGACTTCCTAATCCCTACTGCCTGGTCAGTGCCTGGGTTTGTTTTCATTTGTTTTGTTTTCTTGCCCTACCCTTTCCACACATGCCGACTTCCTGATTCTATTGCTTAACTAAGCCCTTGATACTATGTCCAACAGCTTTAATCCTGCCACCTGCTCAGACCTGTGGTAGACTTGACCTCATTACTTACTTTTCTGTGACTTCTCCCTGCCGGTCTTCCACTTGCAACAGGACACTGCCTGTTGCTACCATGTTAGTATCCTTTCTTCTGAGCTATATCTTGAGTTCCTTAGAGGGAAGAAACACATGTCCCAAGAGTTTTGAGCCCTTACGATAGACTCTGATCAGAAACATCATGGATTCCATTTTCAGTGCAGCTGTACTCGCTGCACTGGTCATTTGGATGGGCCCGTGGTTTCAGTAGTAGGAGAATACATCAACTGTCTGCCTTCCTGCCTTCTCCCTCTGGCAAATCCCCTTACCTAAGCCAACTCCCGGGACTGGGAGTTGACCAAAGTAGGATGGTCAAGAGGTCAAAGGATTCTGGGGTTTATAACGCCAAGGGCTGAAGATGATGGACTGTGCTCAGGTACAGAGACATACGGATCAGAATTCTGGCCTGGAAGAAATGTGAGGGGGTACAGGTCATGATGATGGTTCTTCTACCGCCTCAGCATTCTCATCATTAATATCAAGACGTTTTGTCCCAATTCCAGTCCTTCTACATAAGTCTGAGCTCTTCAGTCAGATTTCAGTGTCAGAACCTGCCGTGGGACCCAAGGGCCAGCTGTACAGTCCTAGACTCATCTTGGCAAAATATGATGACACTCTACCTTGAGACTCTGTTGTAAAGTGAATATGTTTAGTCTCACTGGTGAGAATGACCTTTCCCTGGAGAAGAGTGTACAGAAAATACCTACTTACACATTTAAGTCAGGACCACAGATTTCATGAAGTCCAGGGAGAATCTGATGAAAACACGTGTTTAGTGGACATGGAAACAGATCAGTAGTTGACCAAGAGCAGACATTGCCGTTGCCCACATAGCTTGTACCCTGCCTGGTCTTGATCCCCTTCCTTCATCTGCCATGACATCTGTGTCCGAATTACTCACCTTACATATAGCCTTGCTTCTGCTCGTGCTCCCCTTTTATATGTATGTCTTGGCTCCCCAGTTAGACTCAGCTCCTGGAGGCCACCAAACATACTGCATTCATCTTTCTGTCCTCTAAAGGTTTCATGTCCGGTCCAAGGGAGATGCCCAGCAGCTGTTTTTTTAATGCATTAAAAAAAGATGAAGACCCCCAGTGGATACCTGAAACTGAGGATAGTCCTGAGCCCTGTACATGCAGCAAAACTAGCACAATTTTTTTTTCTTCGTAATTTCACAATTAGAAGATTTGTTCTTACTGTAGATCCTACCAACTTTGGCAGCAGTTGTCTTTTTTCTTATTAAGTTGAGAACTTCCTATTCACTTAAAGGAAGCCCTGTACATGCAGCAAAATTAGCACAGTTTTTTTTTCTTTGTAATTTCACAGGTAGAAGATTTGTTCTTACTGTAGATCTTACCAACTTCAGCAGCAGTTGTCTCTTTTCTTATTAAGTTGAGAACTTCCTATTCACTTAAAGGAAGCCCTGTACGTGCAGCAAAATTAGCACAATTTTTTTTTCTTCGTAATCTCACAGGTAGAAGATTTGTTCTTATTGTAGATCTTACCAACTTCAGCAGCAGTTGTCTGTTTTCTTATTAAGTTGGGAACTTCCTTTTCACTTAAAGGAAGCATGTTGCAACTTCTCTTTGGCATATTCGAATTGTCAGCATCGCCTCTCTTGTGCTTTGGAGCCCCCGTGAAGTAAAATAAGGGTTACTTGAACACAAGTCTACAATACTATGACAATTGATCTGATAACCCAGCCAGCTACTAAGTGACTAATGGGCAGGTAGTGTAGACTCTGTATGCTGGACAAAGGGAGGGTTCACATCCCAGGTGGGACGGAGTGGGACAATGTGAGATTTCATCATGCTGCTCAGAATTAGGAATTGTTTATTTCTGGAATTTTCTATGTAATATTTTCAGACTGCAGTTGAGCTGTAGGTAATTGAAACCGTGAAAAGCAAAACCATGAATCTGGTGGGGGGACTCTACTGTATATACATATATAAGAGGAGATTTTTTTTATGGGAGTTGCCTCACGTGATTATGGAGGCCAAGTCCATGATCTCCCATCTGCAAGCTGGAGACCCAGGAAAGGCTGTGATGTAATTCATCCCAGTCCAAAGGCCTGAGGACCAGGAGGAGCTGATGGTGCTGCATTCCCACTTGGAGGCCAAAGGCCTGAGAATCTTGCCGGGGGGTGAAAGTGGGCAGGGGAAGGATACAAGTGTATGTCCTGAAGTCTGAAGGTCTTAGAACCAGGAGTTCCAGTGTCCAAGGGCAGGAGATCGATGTCCCAGCTCAAGAAGAGAGAGATAATTTTCCTGTTGTCCACCTTTTTGTTCTATCTGGGCCCTCAATGGATTAGATGATGCTTTCTTTACCCAGTCTACTGATTTAATACTAGTCTCTTCCAGAAGCACCCTCACAGACACACCCAGAAATAATGTTTTACCAGATGTCTGGGCATCCCTTATCCCAATCTAGTTGATACGTAAAATTAGCCATCAGGCCAGCATAGAGCTGCTAGTTGAAGTCCTGGGGTTAAATGAGATTGTAGGAGAGAAAATATAAGAGTGTGATAGTAAGACTAGAGCTTGGGGAAGATGAGCCAGTGAAGTAGGCCAGGCCCATTTGTGGCAGGGGCAGGAGGAGGAACCAAGAGTGACTCCGGGTCTCAGAGGCCTAGGAATGGAATTTAAGAAGGAAGGCATCGTTCTTAATGTGAACTGCCAAGGAGAAGTTGAACTGGATGAGAAGTGAGAAAAAGTGGTTGGGTTTGGTACTTCTGATAGCTGTTTGCAAGACTTCATAGGGGCAGAAGGCAGGTTTCAGAGGGCTTAGGGTTGAGTGGGTGGGAGGGTGGGGTGGTGGGGAAATGGAGGTAAGAGATGGGGCTGTGGCCTCAAGCACAGAGTGCTGATGAAAACAGGTCCTTTCTTAGATTCAGAGACTTGGATATATCTGTGGCATTGAGAGAATAAAGATTGAAATTTTACAGGGGCGGGGAGGAGATTCTTCAAGTTCTGGGAGGGGTAAGAATCTGGCGCTCAAGTGGAAGGTTAACCCTTGTTAAGAACCAACATGTCTTCAACAATGCCAGGGAGCAGGGGCAAATGGGCAGGGGAAGGAGAATGGTCTGGCCTGGTGTAGTCTGTGGAGGAGTGCCCCCAAGGCCTCTAGATCCGCACTCACCCACTACCGGCTGTGTATGTGTACTTAGGGAGCAGGAATGTTTACTTTTAAAATGCTGCCTTAGGGATAGAAAGCGCTGTGTGTAGGCCCTGCTGCGGTTCCTGTCCTCCCTGCGTCTTTCCCACAAAGGTCATGCTGACTAGCAGGAATCATTTTTAACCTTTTCCCATTGTGATACTCCCCAAAATAGCAAATCATAATTAAAAATGCTAAAAATCCTGCATGAATACATCTTTTTGTTTTATTTTGTTTTGTTTTTTTGGAGACAAGGTCTCACTCCCATCGCCCAGACTGGAGTGCAGTGGTGTGATCTCAGCCCACTGCAGCCTCAACTTCATGAGCTCAGGTGATCCTCCCACCTCAGCCTCCCTAGTAGCAGGGACGCTACTAGGCGCACAGCACCATGCCCAACTAATTTTTTGTATTTTTAGTAGAGATAAGGTTTCACTTTGTTGTCCAGGCTGGCCTCAAGGAGTTCGCACTCCTCGGCCTCAGAAAGTGCTAGGATTACAGGCGTGAGCCACCGTGCCTGGCTATGAATACATCTTCTGTGTCGCCTATATTGTTTCTGGCTGCTCCAAAAATACTGCCTTGTTCCAGACTGGTAGGGTTTAACTTCTGTTTTATTCTAAAATAAAGGCTTTAGACTTTGGAACTGTTAATGTTTTTTGAGAAAATACTTTTCACTTGATCCTGTTATGTTTTTTCTAAAGCTATGATGTTAAACTGACCTATGTTTCACACAAACTTAATTCATTGTCTCTTTTTTCCCCCCTCTGTCTTTTATGTAATTTAATCTGAGAACTAAAGGGGCCTTAGGCTGTAGTCCAACTCTTTTTGCCCAATGTCAGTCAGTATTTAGTTTGAAGAATCCGCACACCCACTGAATCAGAATTAATAAGTGTAGATAGAGCCAGGGAGTTTACATGAAAAATAAATACATAATAATAATTTCCCAAGTAATTCAGATACTTCTCATTTTGGAACCATTGGCATAGAGGTCACTAGTCTAATACTTTGATAGAAAAAAAAAATCCTAGTACTACAGTAAAAAGAGTTGTCCTCACCTGCTAAAACCGGGTGTTAGAACAGAGGCCTCTTACTGTTCTACTAAAAATCCTGATACTTTCACAGAATTATCTACCTCCTTGGTTCCTCATTTATTGTCCAACAGTATAGTAAAGACAGGAAAAAGCAATGGCAAAGTCCTTAACACAGTGCTAACAAATCTGAGCGTTTGACTTAGCACGCTCTTGTTTTCTGAGCCCTTTGAAAAACGCTGGCAGTTCGCAGCATGCCTACTGACTCTACACAAAAAGGACTAGCGATACTGCTTCCCTTTTTTCCCAACAAGTCACTGCCTAATAACTAAAGGAAATTAGGAATGAAAATTTGAAAGAAGAAAAGCTACTCAGTCTCACCACCTGAAGACAACAGTTATTACCATTTTCATGTATTGCTTTCAAGTCCCTTTTCCATGTAAAGATTTCTCTTTAGAAATGTAATTGTGGCCCTGTTTTTGTAAGCTCCTTTTCATTGCTTTTTGTTAAAATTAACATGAGTGTTTCCCCACGTTGATTCTTTATGAGACATCATTTTTAATGGTCTGATGTTGCCTCATGAGGTTTATTTTTAGCACAAAATCTACCATGAGTTGTCACAGTTTTGTGAGGGCTGTCTCCATATCTGAAGTATCTGGTGAGCTTTTAAAGAATTTTTTTGTCATGAAATATAACTGCCATACATAAAAGTTCATAAAATACAGATGTCCAGCTTAATGACTTATAAAAGGAACACTTGTGGTGTGACATAGACTATCCCCAGCATTTACAACCCCCAGGAAGGACATCCTTCTCTCCAGTGATGACCCTTTCCCTTTTTGCCTGTAATCACTATCCTAACTTTAGTGATTCACTTCCTTGCTTTTCTTTATAGGCTTACCACCCAATTAAATATCCCTAAACAATGATGTTTAATTTTGGTAGGTTTAAGTTTTTGTAAATGGTGTCACATAATGTGTGTTCTGCTGTATCTGCCTCTTTTCCCTAACAGCATTTTTTTTTTTTTAAGAGGGTCACCCAGGCTGGAGTACAGTGGCATGAACACTGTTCACCTCGACCTCCTGGGCCCAAGTGATCCTCCCACCTCAGCCTCCCAAGTAGTTTGGACTACAGGGGACGCCACTTTGCCCAGCTAATTTTTTTTATTTTGTGGAGATGGTGTCTTGCTTTTTTGCTCAGGCTGGTCTCAAACTACTGGTCTCAAGTGATCTTCCCACCTTGGCCTTCCAAAGCGCTGGGATTACAGGCGTGAGCCATCGCGCCCAGCCTTAACAGCATGACTTTAAGATTCACTGGTGGTGACGGGTGCACCAAAATCTCAGAAATTACCACTAAAGAACTTACCCACGTAACCAAAAACCGCCTGTACCCCCAAAACTATTGAAATAAAAATATGAATCTTAGTGTCCATGTACATATTCTACAGCACAACCATACCACAGTTTCTTTATCCACTCTGCTGTTGATATACCTTAGGGCTGTCTCTGTGTAGACATGCACTCAGTCTAGTAGATATTTCTGGTATATGTAAGCACTTATTTGTGTGTTGAATTTATCTCGGAGTAGAATTGCTAGGTTCCTGGGTATGTGCTAATAAATCATGTCACTTAATATTGCCAAACTTTTTCTAAACTGATTCTATCAACATAAGTCCCCATCAACAGTGAATGAGCATTCTTGTACACATCCTTGCCAACACTTAATATTGTTAGGCTTTTGAATTTTTGTCAATCTGATAAATGTGTAGAGTATCACATGATTATTTTAATTTGCATTTTCCTTTTTACTAATGAAGTTGAATAACTCTTCTCTTTTTTTCTCTTTCTCTGTCTTTCCCTCCCCTCTTTTTTTCTTATTTTGTGAAATTCTATTTTTCTTGTTTAGTCAGTTGTCTTATTGATTTGTAGTAGTTATTTGTATATGCTAGATCTAGGCTCTGTGGCAAATATATTTTCCCACTTGGTGGCTTGTCCTTTCACTTTCTTATGGGTGTCTTCTGATGACCGGAAGTTCTTGATTTTAATGTAATACTTTCTGTCTTTTTTTTTTCTTTATGACTAGTGCTTTTTTGTGTTTTACCTGGTGACATTTTTCAGTGAAACTTTGAGTTGGTTGTCACGAAGGATGTGAGTCCATTGGAATCAAAGGTGGGCTTTGTAGACACTGGTACTGGGTGTGTCCTAGTGCTGAGAACCGAAGGCTAGGAACTGAGAATCCTCAAGCACAATAGCTCTAGCTTCTCCAGAAGGCATTTAAAGAAGGTCATGATCTCTGAGGATGGCTGGTCCAGGACATTGGCAGGAGAAAGAGCTGCCTGCCTGATGGCCAGGGCGCTTCCCTCTGCCTTGTCTCCTGGGCTGTGCCTCTTGGGTCGGTGCCTGTTCCTTCCTTTATTCAGTGCAACCTCTGAGCTTATAAAGTCCCATGGCGTGTTATATAGAAGACAGGATTTTGAAAACATATGTTGGACTCGTCATAAGAAGTAAAATGAACACTTCCTCATAACTATGATAATGTTATCCTATATAATCCTCTCAGACCAGATTTTATCAAAGAAGGTGAGGGCTAGTCTGGTTGCCATTTTTACCTGGAAGTCTTTTACTTTATTTTTGATATTCAGTATTAATCATCTCTTAATCTTCTGTGCGTCATTCATTAACTGCCTTCAGTTTTCACTTCTCTCCTCCTCTTATATTTTCTTTGATTTATGATTTTTAAAAATAATTGATAGGAAAATGAATGGCCTGTCCACAAGAGTGGTCATTGTGGAAAGAACTCATCCCCAAATGTGGAAATTGGAGGCTCTCTCTCTCCAGGTGCCTGCAGACTCCCTGTAATGCCACATCTCATGGTCCATATGCTTTTTGGGGTCGTAGACTGCTTTGAAAATCTGATGAAAATTGTGGAGGGAGGAGGAGACCCCTGATGTTATTTATGCTCTCCCCAAAGACTCCCTGGACTTGAGGTTAAGAACTCCTGCTGAAACGGCCCTCCCAGTCCGTGAAAGAAGGATCTTGGTGGCAGTTGCTGCTGGGGAGATCCCTGGGACAGCTTACCTTCAGCATTGAGACATGAGAACAGTGTTCCTTTCTAACCCCTCTCCCCATTTAGTCCTCGTGGAGGGTGCTTTGTGTTTGAAAATCCGTGGTCTCTGATGTGGATTTGGGCACAGGATGCTGCTGTATCAGTTGTTTCCTCAAACCTCCCCACCAAAACTGCCCATGCTGACCATTTTTTAGTAACCTGTTACGCCAACGGGAATGAAGCCCCAGGCAAGAACGCCAGGCAAAACCTGCATCTGGGGGCCTCTTCCATAGGCACAGTTTTATTGGATGGTGTCAAGTTGCAGGGCCACACAGACACTTCACTTTAGAAATGGAGGACGGATGCTGTTTTTGTTATAATCTTTTATTTCCTCTCTTCTGCATGATTCTTAATAGTCCCCTGCCGGATCTCCCAGCTTCCTTTTCATGCTGTCATCTCCTGCCTGCCATTGTCACCTCACCCTTGGACACTCCAGTGGCCGTCATCTCCAGGACAGCCCGTAACCCTTTAGCTTCCAATTCACGCTATCCTAGCACATCCCCTGCCGGCCGGCCCAGTGCTTTCCTGCTGCTGCATTGGGTATGCGTTGCACGTCTCCCATAGAAAGTCCTCACCTCCATGTGTTTAATTCCTGTCTCCATGGCACAGCCCAGGTGTGGTGCTCTCCATAAAGCATGTTCCAATGCCCTGAATTCTTTCTTTAGGGCCTCCATTCTTCCATGGAGTTTCGTGGAGCTTGGAGGGGAGGAAGTTGGGCTGAAATCCTGCCATTTCCATCAGCTGTGGATTGATAGTTCTTTTCACTGAACGCCGTTATCAGAAAGCATTTCATATTGTCCTGTAAGCTGCAATACGTATTTATTCCGAAAAGGAGAATTGTTGGCTCACGGGCTTCAACTTTTCCAGATAATGTTGAATTGTTTTCCCAAGTGCTTGTACTAATTTACAAAGTAACAGCGTTCCACTTTTCCATGTCCTTGCCGTCTTTCAACACTGTCTGGCTTCTTCATTTTTGCCTATCGTTTGGGTATAAAATAGTAACTCATGGATTTAATTTGCATCTTCATGTTCTAGTGAAATTATCACATCTTTCTATGTGTGTATTAGACATTCGTCTTCATTTCTTTCGCCTATTTGTCTTTTTCTTTTTCTTTTCTAAGCACTCTTTAGATATTCTGGACATCCTTTGTAGGATAATAAGAGAGCATGTATTTTCCCGGGTTCCTTCTATTTTGTTCCACCATCATATCTAGGGTGCCGCATCCTTCTGCATGGGCTGAGGTGGCTCACTGTGATCTACTTGCCACCACCAGGAAGGCGGAAGGCATGGGGAATGCACACCATTCACTTTAAAGCATGACCTGGAGGTTGCTCGTGTCACTTCTGCTGACATGCGGTTGGCTGGAACTTAGGTCTCTGCACGCACCAGGCTGCAAGGGAGGCTGGGAAATGAAGCCTGTATTCCACACAGCCCTTTACTTAACTAACAATTTGAAGAGAATGGATTGGAACCCACTGATGGATTGAAAGACTTGGAAGGGTTTAACCCTGAGGGAGACTAAAGAAAATATAATTGTCTTCAAACTAATTGTCTCCCAGTAAAACTTTTTCTGATAAATGTTAATATATTTTGTATCATGATAACTTTGCTTCGAGTTTTTAATATTGCAATTTGCCAAACTTGCTTTTGTTTTTACTTCAGAAGTGTGTTTATGATTAGCAAAGAAAATATAAAGGGGGAATAATAGGAAATGAGATGACCATCTTTGTAGCTACTGAAATGAAATTTATAAAGCATATATTTAATTAGCCAGAAAAATAATATCATGTTTATTGTTTTTTGCAAATGTTGTGGAAGGCAGAATCATAGTCACTTAGTACCAAAACAGGCCCCTAACAATTGTTTTTGTCAAGCTCACATTCATCTTAAACTAAAGTGTACAAGTTAGATGATATGGTTTTAAGCTGGTGGATGTGGGAATTTTATGGGTTTAAGAGGCGGGTTTCTCTGTCCCTTTCTCTCTTTCTTCATACCTTAGCTAATGGCATACAACCTCTGATTTCTCCAGGTATGGCGTGAGTCCCGAGAACATTATCCTCTATGGTCAGAGCATTGGGACTGTCCCCACGGTAGACTTGGCCTCGAGGTATGAATGCGCAGCGGTAATTCTCCATTCCCCTCTGATGTCTGGTTTGCGTGTGGCTTTTCCGGATACCAGGAAAACATACTGCTTTGATGCTTTCCCCAGGTAAGTTCATGCTTGTCCAACAAGTGGTAAGTCAGCCAATGACTGTGTTTATATCTGATGCTCCCATAAATATCTGTGTAAATATTTATTGAATGCAGCCATACGTCAGACCCTGTGCTGGGTGCCACAGGGCATGTGGGAGCAAATATGACACACACTGTCCAGAGATTTTATCCTCCCAGGCCTGACTCACTTGTGAAAATCTCCCAGATGATGTATAAGGACCTTGAGTATACTGACGCCTAGGGTTAATTGATTGAGCTCTAATATACAGGATTTTTAACAGCACCCATACATCCTAAAGGAACTTACAGTTCAGCACTCGCTCATTCATTCAGAGACACTTCTTGTTAAATCTTGAGCTGTATACAATATGTGTGATGGGGCAACTAGTGGTGTAGACACTCAAAAACTTCAAGCAAGCACAGTTTGGAAATTTCTCTTACTTTTTCAGTTGGACAGTACAGGTAAGGGAAAAGGTACCATGCTCAGTTAATCTTTGTAAATAGAAGAATAAAGGCAAAGTGAGTTACTCGACAAGCCAGGCTTTGATCTTCGGTAAATAGCCACAGGAATGGTATAAATGAACAAACTCACCTGCCACCCCCTATTCTGCTCTACCACTTTGACCGGAAGATCTCACCCCTGCAGAGGTGCCTGCATGAGGAAAGTATTTTTAATACAAAATATTTTGCCCCTTATGCTTTTCCCACAGTCCTTGCTGGAGGGGCCTAGGATTGTTACCCCAGGACTGGCCCAGCTCATGTTGCCATTTTATAAAAAAACCTCAGCAGAAAGAAGACACGGTTTTAGGGTTTTTGATTGACCCATTAATTGCTTTCATCCTGCTATTGCTGGAAAAAAAATAAAAGATCATCGTTTGGTTACATAAACATCTATTATACAGACTGTCTTATTTCACAGAAAGGAACCTTCTGTTAACACCTTGGGTGAACTTCAGTTTTGTGCAGTTTGTACCAGGATTCAATGAGATTCGGCTTCATGGGAAAGTTGCACTGCAGATTTATAGTGGCGTGGCTGGGAATGCTAAGTAGGGCTAATGTGCCTCTCAAATGTGGCCTTATTTGTGCTGAATTGGTAATGAGAGGCCAGTTTGCTGAAAGACGGATACTTAGCATGTTTGTGGGAAGCAATGCGGGGAGTTACCCTGGCAACAAAACTAATAGTTTTTTTTTTTTCCTGGCTCTTAAATTAGCATATACCTTAAAATACAGCCATCTCAACAAATTGCAAATGATTAACAACAAATTAGCAACTAATCTTATCTGAGTTTATCTGGTATGGCAGGTATCGGGCTATGCATTTCATGTTCATGGTCCCCCTTCATCTTTACAAGAGTCTTATGAAGTTTGTCAGCTGGGCGTGATTGCTCACGCCTGTAATCCCAGTACTTTGGGAGGCCAAGGAGGGTGGATTGCCAGAATTCAGGAGTTCAAAACCAGCCTGGGTAACATGGTGAAACCCCGTCTCTACTAAAAATACAAAAAAAAAAAATAATTAGACGAGCGTGGTGGTGCACACCTGTAATCCCAGCTACTGGGGAGGCTGAGGCATAAGAATTGCTTGAACCCAGGAGGCGGAGGTTGCAGTGAGCCGAGATCGCACCACTTCACTCCAGCCTAGGTGACAGAGCAAGATTCTGTCTCCAAAGGAAAAAAAAAAGATGTTTGTTCAATTACTGTGCTCATTTTACAGATGAGGAAATGAGAGGTTAAGTAATTTATTGAATTAAGGTCGGTAATTAGAGGACAGGCACAGTGGCTTACACCTGTAATGCCAGCACTTTTTGAGGCCAAGGCTGGAGTATCACTTGAGGCCAGGAGTACAAGACCAACCTGGGCAACACCACAGCAAGATCCTGTCACTACAGAAAAAGATTAACAAGTTAGCCAGCCATAGTGGTACACATCTGTAGTCCCAGCTCCTCAGGAGGCTGGGGTGGGAAGATTCCTTAAGCCCAGCTTTATCTCTTTGAGGTGGCAGTGAGCTAGGATTACACTATTGCACTCCAGCTTGGGCAACAGAGCAAGACCCTGTCTCTTAAAAAAATTTTTTAAAAGGCTGGTGATTGGAGACAACAAAGGAGACAAATCCTCATATTTAATGCCATAAATTATTAATATGATAGATTTCAAACCATTAATGGTTGCATTGACTTTCATCATGAATTTGAATTTGGTAAACATTTTCTTAATATGTCCGTTGTTGCCAGATGGCAGAATCATCTGTGTCCCTCTCCTTAAAGGAGGATACTTGCACATTTCCTTTTAATATTAAAACAAATTTAAACAAAAGGAAAAGGAATCCAGATTATTATTTCATTTATAGTTTATTTTCTTTTACCTCCTTTACACTTGGGATCGGATGATGGAAGTCAACTTTAAATACACCCTCCAGGCAGTAGAGATTCTCCTAAACTGTGCAGCGTGGAGCATAGTCCCAGGCCCATTGTAACTGTTGAGTAAATATCTTTTTAATTGTGTATAATTGAACTCTCTTAAAGGAAGTCACTTTAAAATTAAATATAGGGGGAAAGCAGGTTTCCAAATAAGATTTCTAAAGTGCATAATTGAATACTGCCACAGTGGCTCTGATGTTTGCAAATTACATGGCTGATGAGGTTTTGCAATCTTTCTGGGATGTCTTGAAGTGGTCCGCGGCTTCCTGAGTTTTTAATAAAGGCTAGATGACAGTTGTTTGTAGATCTTTGGAATGTGTAATTGATGTTAGAGCTCTTTATTATCTCCACGACCTCATTCCTGTTATTTAATAATCTCTCTGAGCTTCAGTTTCCTCCTTGATAAAACAGAGGTGGTCATTCCTCTCTCACTGTGTTTCATTAAATATTAAAAGAGATTTTGTGGGTTAAGTGCAAAGCACCCGGCTATGGTAAATGTTTAAAAAATGTTAGCTGTTACTTTTAACAAAAAGATTCCCACAAATAGTACTAATTGGTATCCTTTTGTAACTTCGACTAGGATCAAATATGGAAAGAGAAGTAAACTACAAGAGGCTCTTTGGCAGGACAGAATGGAGAGAGAGCCATTTCTCTTGATTTATTTGTGGATGAAATGACTGTTATCCCGATCAGAGAAGTCGCCTACACACCCAGCTCAACCAATGCTTAAAGTCTTTTGGATTCCTCTTTTGGATATGCTTTCAGAGCCTGAAGCATATTGTTTTAAAGATCCTCAAATATTCATCCTTTGAGAGTAGATTTGATTTTTGCAGAGAAGTCATTTGGAATAAAATCTAGGCATTACATTAAGTTTTCAAGCTAAATAGTACAGTTTTTATTTTTTAAAACAAGGCACTTGCTTTTATGAAATGGGGTGTGTATCTTTGAGTCAATTCTGATGGTAGCTTTCAGAATTCTGAAGACTTGAGTGGCAGCAAATTAAGTGTCCAGCTTTCCAAATAGACATTCATTTGATATGTTAAGTTCTGGCCCTTTTTAAAATTCTCTTGAAAAATAATATATAAATATAAAAAAATCTAAAAGTAATATAAAGATAATATATAAAAAATAGTAGTTGCTAGTTTGCTAGTCTGATGCTCTGAAGAGGTCTGTCTTTAATAAAATACTTCAACAAACACAACAGCCAATTGCAGTGTGGTATTCTTGTTTGGATCCTGGAACAGGAAAAGGACATTAGTGGAAAAACTAGTGAAATCCAAATAAAGTCTGGAGTTTAGTTCATAGTAATGCACCAACGTTGGTGTTTTAGTTTTGACAGATGTATCACGGTAATGTACAATGTTAACCTTACAGGAAATGGGTCAGGAGTATGTCAGGGCACTGTATTATCTTTTTGTTTTGTTTTCTTTTCTTTTCTTTTTTTTCTTGAGACAGAGTCTCACTCTGTTGCCCAGGCTGGAGTGCAGTGGCACGATCTCAGCTCACTGCAACCTCCCACTCCTAGTTCAAGCAATTCTCCTGCCTCGGTCTTCCGAGTAGCTGAGATTACAGGCATGCACCACCATGCCTGGCTGATTTTTGTATACACTGTATTATCTTTACACCTTTCCTGCAAATTCAAAATTATTCTAAAATGCAAAGTTGATTTAAGAAAAAAAACTAAATTACCAGAAAAAAATAAAGCAAGAAAAAGCCAAACTGTTATGATATGTTAATGTAGGTTCATCAAAGGTACTGCTGTGGTAGGGGATATTGATAATTGGGGAGACTGTGCATGTGTGGGGACAAGGAGGTATCTGGGAAATCTCTGTACCTTCCTCTCAGTTATGCTGTGAACCTAAAACTGCTTTAAAAGATAAAGTCCTTAATTTAAAAACAAAACAAAACAAACAAAAAAAACCCACGGTGTTATTTCCCTGCCTGTGGAGATTATTAACTTATCATTAAATGTGATGTGTATTATCTGTGAGCATAACTAATGGAGTCCTCTTTCTGCCTCCCCCCTTTCTGTTTTGCAGCATTGACAAGATATCTAAAGTCACCTCTCCTGTGTTGGTCATTCATGGTACAGAGGATGAGGTCATCGATTTCTCCCATGGCCTAGCGATGTACGAGCGCTGTCCCCGAGCCGTGGAGCCCCTTTGGGTTGAAGGGGCTGGGCATAATGACATAGAGCTTTATGCACAATACCTAGAAAGACTAAAACAGTTCATATCTCACGAACTTCCTAATTCCTGAAGACAACAACTTGATCTTACCTCATTTACTGTGAACAGAAGAGTCCTCTGTTTTGCACATGCTTTAACTGGGTAGCTGTAAAGGCTTGATAACCATGAAGAAGTGCCCAACCTTTAGGGTGTTCTAATCAAAGAGCTGATGAAATCTCAGTCTTTTGTATCTAGAGGTGGTTCTGCTAATTCACACAACACGTTAAACTGAACAGTCGTGATTCCCAGCTTCATTACCTTGCAGGAATGGGAATGAGAGCTGAATGTAGGGACAATTTTCTAGTGCTGTATAAAGTAGCCTCGCATCTGTTTCTCAACCTTATCCATCATTTCTGACATTCATGCAGGACTTGCCCTGTTGCCACCAATGTTCTCGGTATTTCACATGCAGCTCTCTTTCTGCCACTGGATACATGGGTTCAATCCATTTGTGAAGCTGTGATAGTGTAACTGGAAAGCTAGTGTGGTGAAAATTCCTTTATTATTTTTTGTTAACATGCTGATCTTTCCCGGACAAATGAACTGAAGGGTAATTTACTGGAACTCTCGTGTACAGCTTCATCAACTGTAACCATATAAATATAACTGGAATATTCTTAAACAAAAAGAAACTAGGGGTTTTTTTAAGTGTAAATTTATTACTAGCCAACAGAGTTTTACTATTTTGATTGTCTGGTTGGTTTAACAAAGAGCCTAGCTGACTTTCCTTCTGTAAAGTCCTCCTTGTAGGCTTTTTTAAAGTACTGTACATATTTGCAATCACATTGTGCATAGATTCTTAATGGTAGATATGATTTCTTTTGTCAGGCTACAACAATGAACTGCAGATTCCTTGTTTGTAATGTAAATGATTGAATACATTTTGTTAATATGTTTTTATTCCTATGTTTTGCTATTAAAAATTTTATAACATTTCCAAGACAAAAATTCCAAGTTTATGCTTTGAAGAATTTATGTAATTAAAATTTCACTAAACTAATCTTTTTAGTTTAGGAATTATTTGGGTTTTGACACTGGAAGTTGCGCCAAATAAGCATCAGAAATAGGAGATGCTTAACATTGCTATACTACTTGTGTTGGTTAGGGGTTTGGATTTGGGGGTTCTTTGGTTTTAATTTTTTTTTCCACATTTAAAAGCCTTAAATGTACTGTAAGCCTCAGATCGTTGTACAACTGGACTGCGGTTGATTGCCAGTTTGTGTACTGTTGCTTGGATGCGGCACAGTGGTTGGTAATGGAATAAAGGATGCATGGATCAGAATGTGTGGGCTTGTGCAGTTTTTTTCTTCATCTCTCCATCAAAGAAAATAGTGAATAAGAAAACAACTTTTTGTCGTAATGTAGGAAGAAAACCTTGAGGCTTTCAAACTGCACCATCTTTCTCAAGGTATATGGTTTTGTTCTATAAAAGGCCTTGGATTACTTTTGGAAGAAGCCAAGATATAAAGCATATAGCAGTAAAGTGCAGATGATATCTAAATAGAGGATGCAGTGGATTCTGGCTATGAAACAAAATTGATGAAGGTGACCTCATTGTGACCTGGCTCAGAGGAAGGACAGTGCCTCTTTTGTTGGGAAGCCTGAAACAGGTGTGTTCCATAGTTTTCAGCCCTTTGACCAGCTGAGCAGAAAAGAGCAGCTGAGGGATGCTAGTTTTCAACTCTTGGAACGCACTCTCCTAAGGGTGCATTAGGAGGAAGTGGTGGTCAGGAAGGTGTGAAGACATGAGTATGCACATGTGAATGCATGCATATGCCAGCTACTTCCTGATCTTGAATCAGGTGGGTGGGGCTGGCTTACCCGAGGGGGCATCAGCAAAGCTCCAGTGGTGATGCCTGTCCCAAAAGTCTGGGAGACCTAGGTAGGAAAAAGCACAAGCAATGACCTGCCTTTGGGGCCAGAGACCAGCGGGTCAGGGTTGCCAGAGACCTGATTTCTGATTCTATTTGTGTGCTGCTTGCATCTTCTGTAATCCTTACCCCCCTTTTTTCTCCTAAACTATTTAGTAAATTTCTTTTCATCAGCCAAATATCGGGAAATGATAAGATTGACAATAACAGAAACTAAGGTGGCAAAGCCTTTTGCTTCATTGGTTTTGTCACTTGATGTGGATGGTTTGTATCCACTGGAAGCAGCTCGTGCTTTGCCAAAACTGAGGAGGGAAGTTTCTCCAACTTTTGCCAGGGTTTGGCATGGGAACGGCATTCCTCTGAGAATTGCATGTGTGGTAACAGTGGGAACCCCAGGGAGAAATCCTCTATTGGTTTCTGAGAGACACCCCTCCTGAGCTGCAGGCTTTTTCTAGAGCTGTTCTCCATTCAGACCTGGGGCCGGATTCCAGGTGTTTGGTTTCCACTAAGTGAGGATGCGTCTCCTTTCTGAGTGCCTTACTATTTCTTTCTCCCTAGTCAAGAAGGAAAAATTAAGTGGCTACCTGAAGTCCTTGCAAAGTATAGAGAAGGTATATGTATTGTTTCTAATATATGAATTCGTGCCTTACGCTTGTGGAAATCCGTTTATAACTATTAAAAGCCTAGAAGTAACATTCAGAGCAAGATATTGTGACCGTATTATTATTCATTCTGTTGATGATTATTATGCTTTATGATCCCTAAAATTAAGCAGAGTAATACAGATTTGGATCACTCATTATAATCGCATGAGAATCTCAAATCCTAATTTAAATGATTGTAGCATCCTTTGAAAACAAGAATGGAATGATTGCTACTGTCTCAAAATAGAATGAGTCTATAGTTTAAAAAACAAAAAAAAAACCTGTTAGCACTCTTGTTCAAGACTGAATTTTGAATGTGAAAATCAAAGGTTTGAAAGGGCAAATGAATTGTCAAAATACTCTTTTTGGGAACATTTCTGTGACTCTTGGTGTGTGGAGGAGAAATATAGAATCTATAGACTTCGGGGCCTTGATCACTTCAGGAAATGATCACAAGTGTATTAGCCTGCACAGAACAAGAAGGATCCCTTCTTAATGTGAGGGATCACCTTGGGTTCCAGTTGAAAACTGAATGCCCCCTCTCTCAGTGCTCCCCTTTCTATAGGTACCTGCTACTGCCCTATCTTAGAACTAGGACTTGAAAGTGCAAACACATGAAGAGGGTCTGTCTGTTCTAGTCTTTTTCAGGTGAGCCTTTTCAGAGGGAGGATTAGGACCATATCTAATCTGTCTTTGTATCCAAGCTGAGTGATTTTGACCTCGTTCCCTAATTTCTCTGGGCCTCTGATGCTTTTTTTACCCCTTGTTGACCACACGTAGGGCACATAGTCATTAAATGAAATCATGGCTATGCAAATACTGTCCATTTTTTGCTTTATTTTCGACACAGAGTCTCACTCTGTTGCCCAGGCTGGAATGCAGTGATGTGATTATGGCTCACTGCAGCCTCAACCTCCCAATCCTCCCATCTCAGCCTCCCAAATTAGCCACCGTGCCTGGCTAATTTTTATGTTTTCTTGTAGAGGCAGGGTTTCGCCATGTTGCCCAGGCTGGTCTCAAACTCCTGGCCTCAAGCGATCCTCCTACCTCGGCCTCAAAGTGCTGGGATTACAGGTGTGAGCCTCCACGCCCGGCATTTTGTGCTTTGTAAAGCACTGTAAATTGTATTACTGGCAGCAGAGCTACTTAAGATGAAGCTCTCAAAAGAGAATAAAATGATAACATTTGAAGAACTAGGGGAAAGCAAGCACCAGATTATCTTCCAAAAAGTATACTAGGCCCAGGCAGTTATAAGAATAAATTCCTTCAAACTATTAAGAAATAATTCCATAGTATATTAACAGTTCTAAAGGTGCGTGCATGCGCACATCCATTCATACTCAAGAGACTAAAGTGGAGCTCACATACAGAGGCAAAAGTGCTAAACAAAATACTGCAAAATCAATCCTCTATCAAAAGAACAAACAGCATGATCAAATTCGAGTTATACAAACACAGCATTAGGAGATAATGTTACTTTCTGTTTGCTAGTAGTAACTAGTTAGGAAATATCATGGCCAAAAGACCTCACTTACAATAGTACCTCACTTAGAATAGTAACACAGAAAACATACTCAGTGCAATAATGAACCTAGAAGATCTCGTGACTTCTGTTTTCTGCTTTGTGATGGTCCTGGGATGTGAACCACCCCTTCCACTGAAAACAGTTACTGAATGAAATGGTAAAAATCTAAACAGATGCATGAACTGTCAAGAAAATAAGACCTGTGTGCAGGCCAAATGCAAAATAAAGATAAGAACTGACAGGAAGGAGAAGCACTGAAACTAGTTTTCTCTTTGAAGGAATTTGCTGGACTCGTTTAATCTGAACACTGGTTTTCCAGTCTGGTGAATCTCAGAGCAGTGAACAAAACCTAGAGCGCCCTCCAAGGCAGGAGATCTACTTGGAAACTATCTTCTTTTAGGGCAAATTCGTAGGATCATTTCAATAGACACAGAGAAAACATTTTCTGGAACTCAATGTCCCATTTAAGTTAAAAAAACCAAAACACTTATTAAACAAGGAATAGGGGGAAACTTTTATATAGAGAGATTATCCCAAAACATAATAAGCATTATACCAAGAGGCAAAACATCAGAAGCCTTATGCTACTTTAGATTGGAAATTAAAGATAATATCCACTACCCTCACTCTCTTCAAAGTTACACGAAAAATTCTAGCAAGTTCAGTAGGGTCAAAAAGGTAAAAAGATATAAGACATGGAAAAGAAGAGGCAGTGAATATGCTCTAAATCCAAACTATTGTGATGGTTGCACAACTCACTAAACTTGTCAAAAATCATTCAAATGTACATATAAAATGGATAGATTTTATATGTAAAGTATACCTTAATAAAAATTATAAAAATAAATGAAAAAAACTATTCAGGTTATGATTGTCTATGTAGAAAACCTGAAAGTATCTATAAATTATTAGATTTAATAAGAGTTTAGGTTGCTAGACACAAAATCAATATACAAAAATCTACCTTATTTCCATAAATCAGGAAAAATATTTAATAAGCCATAGAAAAGAAAAATGCCACTTACAATAGTATTAAAAAACATTAAATACCTGAGACTAACACACCATGCACAAGACACATTCAGGAGAAAAAGTTATTTTTGAAAGACATTAAAGAAGACCTAAATTAGAGATATACCATGTTTATGGATAAGAGGTCTCACTACTTAAATATATCAGTGCTTCCAAAATAGATCTGTGGGGTTAATATGATTCAATCAACATCCCAACAGGTTTGTTTCTGGATTCTGACTCTAGAAATGTGTGATTCTGAAATTTGTATGGAAGAACAAAGGGCCAAAAATAGCCAGAATAATTGAAGATGAAAAAGGTGGAGTATATACCTTACCAGAATAAAGAATTCCACGTGAGAAATTTCAAGATTCAAAAGCCTCCATCCTTCCAATTCTGTAGTGTAGAAAGCCTTGCCTGACACCCGACTCTAGGTTAATGCCCCTCCCAAGAGCTGTCTTCATATTCTGTACTCCCCTGCACATCGCAGTTATCATTAATATACTTAATAATTATTATATTATTAATATAAATAGTTTCTTTGTGGTTCATATAATTCCAGAAGTTATAGCCATGTATTAAGACAAGAAAAATTTAGCTGGGCATGATGGCACATGCCTATAATCCCAGCTACTTGGGAGGATGGCTTGAACCTGGGAGGTTGCAGTGAGCCAAAATTGCACCACTGCACTCCAGCCTGGGTGACAGAGGCTGACCCTGTCTCAAAAAATAAATAAAGTAAAATCAAATGGTTTAAAAAAAGAAAAAAAGAATGAGATATGTATATCTCATGCAGTAACACCCAAGAGAAACAATTGAACGATGATTTAGAATTAATAACAGATTAATAAAATAATTGGTGACAAAATGAATCTTGAAACCTCAAAGGAATAAATTTTTAGATTTGGTTTATTTAAAATATAAAACTTTCATAGTAAAAATAGCATACTCTAATGACAAATTTGGGGTAAAACATTACAAAGCATATGATAGATAATGTAAAAATATACTTAGTTATCCAATGATTGAGACACTCCATGTGTAAAAGAGCATAGGACATGAAGAGATTGTTCATAAGAGATTGTTGTCTGTAATAATCATATAGATTTAATTAAATAATCAAATATAGCAAACAACTACAGATTTAAATAGTAAAATTCCATTTTAAATTATGAACTTGGTATAAATATTTAAATTATAATACCCATTGGTGATGAGGGTGTAGATAAATGGGTTCTCTAAAATGATGCTGCTAACTTTATATATCACATAGGTACAAACTTTCTAAAGTACACCTTGACTCAAAATCCTAACAATGTCCATTTAATCTAACTAATTGTTTCTAGGAATTTAGCCTTAGGAAATAATCAAGATGAGATAGAATTATATGGGATAATTACTGCTCTACTCTTAGCAACAGTGAAAGCTCGCAAACAATCTGTTTTCAGCCATAGGGATTTAATTATTATGTTTATACAACGAATTACTCTGCAACCATAGAAGAGAATGCCATAGAATAGTATTTAGTGGCATGGAAATATTTTCAAGAGCTAGGCGTGGTGGCTTGCACCTGTAATCCCAGCTACTCAGGAGGCTGAGGCCAGAGGATCACTTGAGCCCAGGAGTTTGAGACTGCAGTGAGCTATGATCATGCCACTGCACTACAGCCTGGGCGACAGAGTGAGACTCTGCCTCTTAAAAGAGAAAAAAAAAAAAAGAGAGAGAGGCAGTTGAATCTCATCAACAGAAATGTGCATCTGTTAACATTTTGGTGCGTAGCCAGCTGTTTGTCCAAGTTTGGGGGTGTGGAGGAGGTGCAGGAAGCAGTGACGGGAAGTCATACACACGAACTATTTGGTATTCACTTTTATCACATAACAATGTATCTTGAAAATCTTAAAATTTTTTTTTTTTTTTTTTAGAAATAGGGTCTTGCTCTGTCACCCAGGCTGAAGCACAGTGGTGCAATCACAGTTCACTGCAGCCTCAAAATCTTGGGCTCAAGCAATCCTCCTGCCCCAGCCTCACATGCAGCTGGGACCACAGGTGCGTGCCATCACACCCAGCTAATTTTTTTATTTTTCGTTAGAGGTGGGGATCTCACTATGTTGCCCAGACTGGTCTCAAACTCCTGGCCTCAAGTGATCCTCCCACCTCGGCCTCCCAAAGTGCTGTGATTACAGGCATGAGCCACCACACCTGGCCTTCTAAGTGTCTCCTTAATATGCCTTTATAAAGAGGAATGCCCAAACCCATTCTTCAGGATTCATGTGAAGTAGTTGTTATATAAAATGGTGTCAGTAAGAGCCTTTGTTATCATAAGTTGTTCTGGAACACCACTGGATGGCACTATCTAACTCCCCCAGAAAATGTTGCTTTTACTAAAGAGAACAAATATTCGGGGTAAATCGCCTCCCGCTGTGTGTAAGGGTTATGCAGCCAATAAATGAAGTGCATATAAATACGGCATTTCACTCTGTCCAGCTCTAATACTTCCACCTGAGGCTTTGCCCATTGGGATTTCAACAGGAGACACAGGCATTTCCCATTGGAACTTGCCCGGAGCTTGCCCTGCTGGATGGGTTCCAGGCAGAGGGCCAGGAAGCAGCCCTGGTGCAGGAGGCCCGCCTGTTCCTGACCCTGTTCCTTTTCAGCCAGAGACCCTGGCCACTGCCTGGACCTCAGAATCCTCATGTGTGAAGTAAGGGGTCCATTCCATCTGCAGTTCTTTTATGTGTGTATGGTAAGACATACATAACATACAATTTACCTTTTAAACCTTTTTTAGGTGTGCCAGTTCAGGGGCATTAAGTACATTCACATTGTTGTGCAACCATCACCACTCTCCATCTCTAGAACTTTTTCATCATCCCAAACTGAAACTCTGTACCCACTAAGCACTAACTCCCCATTCCCCTGTCACCCAAGCCCCTGGCATCCACCATTCTGCTGTCTCTATAAATTTGACCACTCTAGGTATCTCATGTATGTGGAATCATTAAGTGTATTTGCCCTTTTGTGTCTGGCCTATTTCACTTAGCATAATGTCCTCGAGGTTCTTTCATGTGATAGATTTTGTTCCTTTTTAAGGCTGAATAAGTTTCCATTGTATGTATATACCACTGTATTAGTCCATTTTCATGCTGCTGATAAATACATAACAGAGACTGGGCAATTTACAAAAGAAAGAGGTTTATTGGACTTAGAGTTCCACATGGCTGGGGAGGCCTCACAATCATGGCGAAAGGCAAGAGCAAGTCACATCGTTGGCAGCAGGCAAAGAGAGAGCTTGGGCAGAGTAACTCCTGTTTTTAAAACCATCGGATCTTGTGAGACCCATTCACTATCACGAGAACAGCATGGGAAAGACCCACCCCCATGAGTCAATCATCTCCCACTGGGTCCCTCCCACAAAATGTGGGAATTATGGGAGCCACAAGATGAGATTTGGGTGGGGACACAGAGCCAAACCATATCAACCATATTTTCTTTATCCTTTCATCCATTGATGAACATTCGGGTTATTTACACCTTTTGGCTGTTATGAATAGTGCTGCTATGAACATGGGTGTGCAAATATGTCTGAGACTCTGCTTTCAATTCTTTGGGGTATATACCCAGAAATAGAATTGCTGGATCATATGGTAATTCTATGTTTAATTTTTGAGGAACCACCATATTTTATCTGTAATTCTTAAACAATTTTTTTTTCGTTTTTTAAGTTCTGGGGTACATGCGCAGAATGTGCAGGTGTGTTACACAGGTAAACCTGTGTCATGGTGGTTTGCTGCACCTATCAGCCCATCACCTAGGTATTAAGCCCAGCATGCATTAGCTCTTTTTTCCAATGCTCCCCCTTCCCCACCACCCTCCCCTGGTAGGCCCCAGTATGTGTTGTTCCCCTCTTTGTGTCTATGTGTTCTCATTGTTCAGCTACCACTTATAAGTAAGAATGTGCAGTGTCTGGTTTTCTGTTCCTGCATTAGTTTGCTGAGGATAATGGCTTCCAGCTTCATCCATGTCCCTGCAAAGAATATGATTGTGTTCCTTTTTATGGCTGCATAGTATTCCATGGTGTACACGTATCACGTTTTCTTTATCCAGTCTGTCATTGACAAGCTAATCTGCAATTCTTTTTTTTTTTTTTTTTGAGATGGAGTCTCACTCTATCACCCAGGCTGGAGTACAGTGGGGCAATCTTGGCTCACTGTAACCTCCGCCCTCTGAGTTCAAGCAATTCTCCTGCCTCAGCCTCCCAAGTAGCTGGGATTACAGGTGCCTGCCACCGCACCTGGCTAATTTTTTTTTTTTTTTTTTTTTTTTTTTTTGTATTTTAGTAGAGTCGGGGTTTCAGCATCTTGGCCAGGCTGGTCTTGAACTCCTGAGCTCGGGCCCACACGCCTCGGCCTCCCATAGTGCTGGGATTACAGGCGTGAGCCACTGCGCCTGGCCTAATCTGCAATTCTTAACAGGAGTCTTGGGATCTATGACCCCCTTTGAAACTGCATGCCATACTTTGGATGCCTGTACCTATGGGCATTTTTCTGGGGAGAAAATCCACAGTTCCAGCAGAAGGTATCAATGATTCTGAAAGATTAAGAACACAGAACTAGACGGTATTTACAGGTTCTTTAAAAATCAATATTTTTGGCCTCTGAGAACTGTGAGAGAAGATTATGGAGAGGTTAAGGAGCTCGGATTTATCCCACAGTCAATCCCAGAGAGAGGCATGAGTTTGTCAGAGCTCTTTGAGTAAGGAGGGGGTCTCTGGATGTACCAGAGTGGAGTGTAGAAGTGTTTATAAGCCCAGAAGAAGACAAGACAGTGATGGAGTCCTGGATGCAGAGACAGCAGGTGTAGCTGGGAGTTTTTGTGCCATGGGAACTGTGTGACCTTGGGCAAATCTCTTAACAGCTCTGGGCCTGTCCCTTATCTCTGAAATGGTAGTAATTCCTTGACTACACAGTCAAGTAAGGATCAGGTGAAATTCTGTAGGCAGAAATAAATGCCTTGCAAGAGGTAATGGAGGCTTGGACCCTCTCATTAAATGGATGGGCGAGGTCTGGGTTTAGAACAAAACAGAAAACCTTTGAAAACTCTTGGGTAAGACAGTTTACCCTGTCTGTGCCCTCACTAGGTTGTTACTTAAAATCATTACTCTGCTGCTAAATGATTTACCATTTGGCTGGCCCCAGCTTGTTCATACCTGGCCCTGTCTGATTCTGTCTGGGTGTGGGTGGAGATGGGCCCAGGGCCTCCAGACCTACACAGATACTGTCTTCTGTCTGAATCCCACTCCCCCAGACCTCCCTTCTTCAGGCTCCCACGTGCCCTGCAGATAGGTCTGTGAGACACACGTGGCTTCTGAGCCCCTCCAGCACATTCCAGGATGGGACCTGGAGAGGACCAGGGTCCCTAAAATAAAAAGCCAGTTTGGGAAAGAAGTGGACCCTCTCTATGCTGGTATCAAAGCAAGGGCCGGGGGAGCCAGCTCAGAAGAGAGCAGAGAAGGATGTTTGATGAAGCCTGAGTTACATTTAAGAAGGGGGCTCAGAAGAACTTACAGGAAAGATGCCCTTTAAACAACTTTTTTTTAAATTTAAAATTTTAACATTTTATCTAAAGAAGTGGATAACAGATATTTTTACAGTTTAAGCGGGGGGGAACCCATATTCCTACTATTGAACCTGAAATAGAATATTACCAGGACTTTAGAAACTCACTTTCTCCCGTTCTCCCCAATCACATTCTCTTTCCTCCTGTATTCCAGAATAACCTCTATCTTGAATTTCCTCTCACTCATTTTCTTTTCTATATAGTAAAAATGTATGTGATATATGTATATGTATATATGTGCATATGCATATATCACATATGTATGTGTATGTATGCATGTTATATAATCTGCTCTTTAAGATTTTGTACAAGTATAATCCTACTGCTGTACTCTTCATTTGCTTCCTTCTTCTTTTTTTTTTTTTGAGACACAGTCTCACTCAGTCCACCAAGCTGGAGTGCAGTGGCATGATCTCCGCTCACTGCAACCTCCGCCTCCCGGGTTCAAGTGATCCTCCTGCCTCAGCGTCCCGAGTAGCTGGGACTAAAACATGTGCCACCACGCCCGGCTAATTTTTGTATTTTTAGTGAGACAGGTTTTCACCATCTTGGCCAGGCTGCTCTTGAACTCCTGACCTTGTGATCCAGCCACCTCGGCCTCCCAAAGTGCTGGGATTACAGGCGTGAGCCACCGCGCCTGGCCTTTTTGCTTTCTTCTTTTACTCCACATGATGCCTTTTAGATTTGTCGATGTTAATCCATACAGCTGTAGTTTAGTTTATTTATATTCATAGCTGTGTAGCATTGTATAAATATACTCTATGCAATCTGTTTTTTTTTTTTCTTTTTGAGAAACCATCTCTTTCTATTGTCCAGGCTGGAGTGCAGTGGCACCATCTCAGCTCACTACAGCCTTGACCTCCCAGGCTTAATCAATCCTCCCACCTCAGCCTCCCAAGTAGCTAGGACTACAGGCCCATGCCACCATGCCCGGCTAATTTTTTTGTATTATTTGTAGAGACGGGTTTCACCATATTGCCCAGGCTGATTGCAAACTCCTGGGCTCAAGCGATCTGACCCCCTAGGCCTCCCAAAGTGCGGGGGTTACAGGTGTGAGCCACCCCACCCAGTCTATGCAATCTCTTGTTGGTGGACATTTAGGTTGTCTTCCAGGCTTTCGCTATTAAAGAGTTTTGTACATCTTACAATGTGAGCGACTTCTGGTTGAAGGTTCTTAATGTTGGCAACATACTGAAATTACCTGAGAGGCATTTGCAAGTGCTGATGCCTGGGGTGCCACCCTCAGAGATTCCAATTTAATCAGTCTGGAGGGGGTTCCAATGGGCACTTAGGGATTGAAAGCCACTGCTCCAGAAAGGGCTTCTCAATCTCCAGTGCGTACACAAATCACCCGGGGATGCAGGTTTTGACTCAGTAGCTTCATGGTAGGACCTGAGATTCTGCATTTGTGAGAAGCTCCCAGCTGCTGCTGGTCCATGGCCCCATCTGAGTATTGCTGAGTCACTGGGGATCTGCCTGTTCAGCTTCACCAGGTAATGCCAAGTCATTTTCCAAAGGAGGGGCACCAATTTACCCTCCCACCAACAGAGGATGGGCGTTCTAGTTATCCACACATGGCATCCTCTAACTTTGTAAATTTTTGCCCAAATAGTGGATGTGAAATGTTATGCTCTTGATTACACATGAGAATAAGCAACTTTTCAGAAACATATGGTCATTTGTAAGTTCTACGTTGCAAAATGTCTGTACATGACTCTTGACTACTTATCTGATAGAGTTCTATATTTTTCTTTTTTGAAGAAATTATTTATATATTCTGGACACAAATCCTTTATATACGATCAATATATTCTCTCCATTTGTCCTTTGAAGAGAATTTTATTTACTGATTCTTCCTCCCAGTGATATCCCAGTTGACATATTAGTTTCTAATTAGGAAGCTTCTAATCAGTTTCTAATTTCTTGCCACTCCCATATGAGCCATTTCAGCACCATCAACTTCTCAGAATCATTTAAGAAAAGATATATGTAAAGAGTAGACAGAGGCCAGGCACGGTGCCTCATGCCTGTAATCCCAGCACTTTGGAAGGCCGAGGTGCATGGATAACTGAGGTCAGGAGTTTGAGACCAGCCTGGCCAACATGGTGAAACCCTGTCTCTACTGAAAAACCACAAAAAGTAGCCGGGTGTGGTGGTGGGTGCCTGTAGTCCCAGCTACTCCGGAGGCTGAGCCAGGAGAATCACTTGAACCTGGGAGGCAGAAGTTGCAGTGAGCTGTGATCACGCTACTGCACTCCAGCCTGGGCAACAGAGCGAGACTCTGTCTCAAGAAAAAAATAAAAAATAAAATAAAATAAAAACCATTAAAAAAGAGAAGACTGAGGTCACTGGGCAATCGCCTGAGGCCAGGAGTTCAAGACCAGCCAGCACAACATATTGAGACCGTGTCTTTCGGCGGGGGGGGGAAAAGGACCATTTGGTGCATAAGGAATGATAAAAAATATAATATAATACACATTCTTTTTTTTTTTTTTTCTTGAGACGGAGTCGCGCGCTATTGCCCAGGCTGGAGTGCAGTGGCATGATCTCAGCTCACTGCAACCTCCACCTCCCTGGTTCAAGCGATTCTTCTGGCTCAGGTCCCCAAGTAGCTGGGATTGCAGGCACCTACCACCATGCCCAGGTAATTTTTGTGTTCTTAGTAGAGACCGGGTTTCACCATGTTGGCCAGGCTGGTCTCAAACTCCTGACCTCAGGTGATCCACCTGGCTCGGCCTCCCAAAATGCTGGGGTTACAGGCGTGAGCCACCGCGCCTGGCCCACATTCTTTTAATCAGACCTTATTTGCCAGGCTGACTGATGGATAGAATTTACTCATGCATTCATTAATTCAATAAATGTTTCTGGTTCTAAACACTCAGTTTGGTTCTGGGGATGCAGCAGTGAACAGACAAAGCTCCTGTCCTCTTGGAGCTTATATTCTAGTAGAGGAAACAGACAATAAACAAGTGAGCAAATAAAAAAATTAAATTGTAGTACACACTTTATAGTGTGTATTACACACATTTTGTTTTTCTCAACAAAAAAACATGCTGAGAAAGTGATTAAGGGCATCAAATCTTTAGGCGTTTGGGAGGATGAGGGTATGGTGGTTCGACATGTATCTATGGCATTTGTTTACCTGAGCTTGAATTTTAGCTCCACCTGCTACTAGCTGTGTCACAGGGACATTGTTTAACCTCTCTGTGCTTCCTCACCTGTAAAGTAAGGATGATTTATTACTTACCTCATAATATTAATGTGAGGATTATATGAGCCTAGAACATACTGAGATCTCAATAAATACTAGCTATTATCATCTGGAGAAACAGAACATTTTATTCTTTACTGAAGGGATTTTCCACATGAGCACATTAATAAAAAGCCTCTTGGAAATGTATGGGAAATGGCATCATTCATTCAATGTGTACTGAAACTTGATTCGTTCCAGGCCCTGAATCATGCATAAGAATGGCTTTTGTGTATAACAGTATGCCTTGGCTTTTAACTTTTTTTTTTTTAGTAAGTATTTTCTTTGTAAAAATTGTTATCTTTAGAAACACAGGAAGTGTTTTCATTTCTCTTCCACATATTTAGAACCAGTGGCCTCCCCTCAGAATGTTGCAATGCAAACACAAGCGTGCACAGCTTTTCTTCTGAAGACAGCGTATATTTCTCCAGCAAAATGGTTTATTTTAAAAGAACTAGAATGGCCTGACAGTATCCAACACTTCAACTGATGTAAAGGGGAACACTTTTAGGGTAATTTCACAAGTCAGTCTTTCTCACACACACAGAGACATACAGAAACACAAACACTACAAACCAATTGTTTTATAAACTTGCTTGCCTCCTGTATTTGCAAATTACATCAGCTTATTGACGTGGCTTATACTTTGACTAGAAGAGTTCATGTGCCCAGGCAGGACCTGCAACAAATACAGAATCACAAAACTAGGAGATTCCTTGACAAATATCTGGTATGAGATTACCCAAGATGGAGTGGGCCACAAATTTCTGGGAAGTAGGCAGGTGGTAGGGAAAAGGAGAGGAGGAGAAGAGAGGAAGAATTACTGCAATATATCCTGGAATTTATACTTTCTAACCATTATCTGTAAATGAAATAAATATATTTCACCTACATATTGATGGTTCTTTTCTAATGTAAATGATTAATAAGCCATTCTATAAATTCATTTTACAGCATTTTTGTACTCATTAGGATCCTATTTTTGTAAGTATTTTCTTAACCAATAATTAAGTACCAATCCTATCATGCTGGATTCTAGTGGTTCTCAGAGTGTGGTCATTAGACCAGCAGCATCATCTGGAAACTCGTTAGAAATGCATATTCTAAGGCTGGGTGCAGTGGCTCATGCTTGTAATCCCAGCACTTTTGTTACTGGAAAGGGATCCTGATCCAGAACCCAAGAAGAGACAGTTACTGAATCTTGTGCAATTAAGAATTCGGAGTGAATCCATAGAGTAAAGTGAAAGCAAGTTTATTAGAGAAGTAAGGTAACAAAAGAATGACTACTCCATAGGCAGAGCAGCGACATGGGCTGCTCGACTGAATATGCTTATGGTTATTTCATCATTGCATGCTCAACAACGGGTGGATTATTCATGAGTTTTCTGGGAAAGGGTAGGCAATTCCTGGAACTGAGGGTTTCTCCCCCTTTTAGACTATGTAGGATGACTTTCCGATGTTGCCATGGCATTTGTAAACTGTATTGGTGCTGGTGGGAGTGGCTTTCAGCATGCTAATGCATTATAATTAGCATAAAATGAGGAGTGAGCAGTGAGGACGACTAGAGGTCACTTTCACCGCCATCTTGGTTTTGAGGGTTTTGATCGGCTTCTTTACCACATCCTGTTTTATTAGCAGGGTCTTTGTGACCTTTATCTTGTGATACCAGTCTTGACGACCTTCTATCTCATCCTGTGACTAAGAATGCTTAACCTCTTGAGAATGTAGCCCAGCAGGTCTCAGCCTTATTTTACCCAGCCCCTGTTCAAGATGGAGTCGCTGTGGTTTGAATGCTCTGACACTCCTGAGGTGGGAGGATCTCTTGAGCCTGGGATTTTAAGGAACCTAGTGAGACCCTGTCTCTACAAAAAATAAAAAAATTAGTTGGGCATGGTGGTGCATGCCTGTGGTCCCAGCTACTGGGGAGGCTGAGGTAGGAGGATTGCTTGGCCATGGGAGGTCAAGGCTGCAGTGAGCTGTGACAACAAGCCTTTCCAGTGATTTGATCTGATTCATGCTATATTTAAATAAGTAAGGCATCCTACTGAGAATGAATTGCTCTAGAAATAGTTTTTAGAAGTAGTTCCTAGAAAGGAAAAGACTTACTGTTCCTTTGTCCTAGTAATAAGTGAGAACTGCTTTTAAAGCTACCCCAGTCCTTTGGTGACAACTTCCTTCTGTCAGTACACATGCTTCTGAAGGCCAGCCAATCAGCAACAGCCTCCCTCAGGGACCATGCTTCTAAAGGTTTTTTAATCCCTAAAAACTCCCACCGCTGAGTCAGCCAACCTCCAAGTCCTGCACTCCCCGAAGCTGTACAGAGATCAGCAGCATGCTGTGTTCACTTCTCCCATTGCTGAACTGCTATAGAGCAGCGGCCTCTTCCTTCCACAACTCCATGGAAAAGCTGGATTCAGTCCAGAGATCACCTGTCTGGCACTTACAGGGGTATACATTGCAAACACATGAGGTGAGCCAGGTGCGAGGCAACACTGAGTAAATGTGGCGACTTGGAGAGGCCGTCACATTGCTGTGACACATATACACACCACATGGGCCAAACCATGCACATCAGCAGTCCTGTGGTCTACAGGCCATCAGTCTGCAACATCCAAATTAGCGCAATCCTTCATTTCATACATTTAATTCATTTTAGGCAGTCCAGGAAGTATTAGGATTCTCCGGAGAGACAGAAAATTAAACATGTATATAAAATACTTATATATACAGTCATGTGCCTCATAATGATGTTTTAATCAATGATGAACCACAGTAGTGGTCCCAAAAGATTATATTATTATTATTATTATTATTATTATTATTATTATTATTATTTTCTTTTTGAGATGGAGTCTCACTCTGTCTCCCAGGCTGGAGTGCAGTGGTGCAATCTCGGCTCACCGCAACCTCTGCCTTCCGGATTCAAGCGATTCTTCTGCCTCAGCCTCCAGAGTAGCTGAGATTACAGGCACACCCCACCAGGCCCAGCTAATTCTTTTGTATTTTTAGTAGAGATGGGGTTTCGCCATGTTGGCCAGGCTGGTCTTGAACTCTAGACCTCAAGTGATCTGCCCACCTCAGCCTCCCAAAGTGCTGGGATTACAGGCGTGAGCCACTGCACCCAGCCAGATTATAATATTATAATTTTACTGGACCTCTTCTATGTTTAGATACATTGCCTACAGTATTCAGTACAGTAATGTGCTGTACAGGTTTGTAGCTTAGGAGAAATAGACTATACCATATAGCCTAGGTGTGTAGTAGGCTGGACCCTCTAGGCTTGTGTAAGTACGCATGCTATGATATCCACACAATGATGAAATGGCCTAACAATGCATTTCCCAGAACGTATTCCCCTCATGAAGTGATGCATGACTGGGTATAGATACACGAGAGGGGATTTATGAGGGGGATTGGCTCACACAATTATGGAGGCTGAGAAGTTCCACCACAGGCTGTCTGCACGCTGGTGACCCAGTGGGGCCGGTAGGGTGCCCCAGTCCAAGTTCAAAAGCCTCAGAACCGCGGAAACTGATGGTGTAACTCTCAGTTGGAGACCGAAGGCCTGAGAACCAAGGGGCCAATAGTGCAAGTCCTGGAGTCCCAAGACTGGAGAGGCTGAAGTTCGCATCTGCAAGGACAGGAGGAGGTGAATGTTCTAGGTCCTGGAGAGAGAGAGAGAAAGAGAGAAGGAAAAAAAATCCTTTTCTCTCCTTTTCTGTTTTATCCATGCTGTCAGCTGTTTAGATGATGCCCACCCACTCCGAGGGTGGATCTTCCCCACTCAGTCCACCAACTCATATGCCAATCTCCTCTGGAAACAGCCTCACAGACGCATTCAGAAGGGATGCTCTACCAACTCCATAGGTTTTTTGTTTGTTTGTTTGTTTGTTTTTGAGATGGAGTCTCACTCTGTTGCCCAGGCTGGAGTGCAGTGGCGCAATCTCAGCTCACTGCAAACTCCACCTCCCGGGTTCAAGTGATTCTTCTGCCTCAGCCTCCTGAGTAGCTAGGATTACAGGCGCCTGCCACCACATCTGGCTAATTTTTGTATTTTTAGTAGAGACAGGGTTTCACCATATTGGCCAGGCTGGTCTTGAACTCCTGACCTGGTGATTCGCCTGCCTCAGCCTCCCAAAGTTCTGGGATTGTAGGCGTGAGCCACTGCACCCAGCCCTCCCTAGGTATTTTTTAATCCAGGCAAGTTGACACTTAAAATTAAGCATCACACAGGGGAAGGAAATTGCCTGAGAGCAGAAACTGATCTAGTGACAGTTTGAACACAGCCCATTCCCATGCTGCTGCACTTTGTGTGCTTTGAAAAGAAGGTAAAGGATTTCGTGGCATTATAAAAAAATAACAATTATGCTTATGTTGTCATTGAAACCATGAGGCATGCGAGTTCCAGCTAAAGGTATTGGCAAGTCTACTCCTTAGTTGTCTGTGGATGAGCTAGAGTACCTAAACAGCATTTTACCTATCCACGTGGCCCCTGAACAACCTGAGTTTGAACTACATGGGTCCATTTATACATGGATTTTTTTCAATAAATACATTAGAACACTTTTTGGAGATTTGCGTCAATTTGAAAATACTTTCAGATGAACCTTGTAGACTAGAAATAATAAAAAAAATTAAGAAAAAGTTAGGCATGTCATGAATGCATAAAATATGTGTAGATACTAATCTATTTTATCATTTACTACTATAAAATATACACATATCTAGTATAGAAAGTTAAAATGTATCAAAACTTAGGCACACACTTATAGACCATACATGGCACTATTGGAAGTCCAAAGAAATGCAAATACAAAGATGCAATATTAAACCATAACTGCATAAAGTTACCTGTAGTACATGCTGTGCTACTGTAATGATTTCATAGCCACCTCCTGCTGCTGTTGCGGTGAGCTCAAGTGTTGTGAGTATCCGCTTAAAACGCCCTGTGACGCTAATCATCTCCACATGAGCAATTGTTTCTCCGGTAAATTGCAGATCTCAATGGAAAGTGATCTCTTGTGGTTCTTGCATACTTTTCATCCTCTTTAGTGCAATACCGTAAACCTTGAATAACACCATGCCTCTACTGAAGCTGGAAAGGGTCCCAAGGAGCAGAGAAAAGTCATGACATTACAAGAAACAGTTGAATTGCTTGATATGTGTCATAGATTGCAGTCTGCAGCTGCAGTCTCCTGACATTTCAGACAGAGGATTCGTCTTGTAAACAGACGTGTAAACTGATGGTATTGATACAGCACAGTACTGTAAATGTATTTTGTCATCCTGTGGCTTTCTTAATAACATTTTCTTTTCTGTAGCTTCTTTTATTGTAAGAATGAAGTATATAATACATATAACATAAAAAATATGTTTATGTTATTGGTGAGGATTCTGGTCAACAGTAGGTTATTGGTAGTTCAGTGTATGAGGAGTCAAAAGTTATACTTGGATTTTCTACTGTGCTGGGAGTTGGTGCCCCTAACTCCGCATTGTTCATGGCTCAACTGTATTTTTATTTTTTAAGCCAGGAGTTTCTTCTTGGGATTAGTGTATGAATTATAGTGAAGAAATGTTTATTTATTTGTGTGTCTACTGAGCATCTACTCAGGTTGTCATTGTGCTAGTCTGGGAACAGAAAGATAGGGAAGATGCATCCCTATTCTCCAGTGCTCACAGCTGGAGGTAGGGAGGCAATGGAAGACAAGCAGGGTTGGGGAGATCAGAAAACGTTTCCCAGAGACAGTGACATTTGAGTTAGGTCTTGAAGCGTACCTTCGCATGAGCCATGCAAAAAGAAATAAGAACTCTTGAGAAGTGCCCAAATTTTCCTGAAATGCACACATGGGAGTGTTCAGAATGCTGAAACCAGTAACACGGGAGTGATTATATAAATTATGTCCATATTAGGAAATGGCATAACACTGTAAAATAATATTGAAAGAAATTTAAGGCTGGGCCTGGTGGCTCAGCCTGTAATCCCAGCACACTGGGAGGTGGAGGCAGGTGGATTGCTTGAGCCCAGGACTTCGAGACCAGACTGGGCAACATGGGAAACCCTGTCTCTTCCAAAAATACAAAAATTAGCCAGTCTCATAGCCTGGTTTCAAAATATATAAATAAATAAATAGATTAAAATTTAAAAACAAAGAAATAAACAAATTTATTAAAAATGCTAAAAAATGAATAAAAGTTTTAAAAAATTTTTAGAAAGAGATTTAAAATGCAGGGAAATGTGTTTGATATATTATTAGTTGAAAAAACAGGCTTATTATTATATATAATTTTGTCATTTAAAAATTATTTATGTTTTCCTTTTTTTTTTAGAGACAGACAGGGTCTGTGTTGCTCAGGCTGGAGTGCAGTGGCTATTTACAGCCCTGATCACAGTACACCACAACCTTGAATGATTTTTCTGCCACAGCTTCCTGAGTAGCTGGGGCTACAGGCTCTGGCCACCACACCCGGTTTTAAATTTTTGACTAGGTAATAATTCACTTAGTTCAAAGAGAAAAAAATTACAAAAAAGCACATAAGGAAAAGTTGACATCCCACCCCTCTTCCATCTTCCCAGCCCTCACCAGAACTATCAATTGCCAAACAGGAAACCATATTATTTGTTTCTTGTGTGTCATTCTAGATAATTTCCTATGCATCCATAAATAATTGCAAATACAGAGTATTTTTCCGCCCCTTCCCTTTTGCACAAGTGGTAGTGTGCAAATGTATCATATATACATTGCTCTATGCTTTAGTTTTTTATTTTACTATATAAAATTTACCCTATTCCTGGCCAGGCACAGTGGCTCACGCCTGTAATCCCAGCACTTTGGGAGGCCAAGGTGGACAGATCACTTGAGGTCAGGAGTTCGAGACCAGCCTGGCCAACACGGTGAAACCCCATCTCTACTAAAAATACAAAAATTAGCTGGGTGTGGTGGCGCACGACTACAGTTCCAGCTACTCCAGAGGCTGAGGCAGGAGAATCACTTCAACCCAGGAGGCGGAGGTTGCAGTGAGCTGAGTTGGCACCACCACACTCCAGCCACAGCGACAGAGTGAGACTCCGTCTCAAAAAAAAGAATTCTATTCAGCTTTTAAACAGCTGTATAATACTCCATCATATAGATGCAACACTATTTAATTAGCCCTACTACTGGGCACTTAGGCTAGTTTGTTGTTGTTGTTGTTGTTTTACTATTAAAAATAGGGCTACAGTGTATAACCTGGTGCTATTTGTTTCACACATTATAGCTGTAAGATAAATTCCTGGAATTGCTGAGTCAAACATTATGTATATTTTCATAAATCTTGTCAAACTGCCCTCCCAAGTTGTACCAACGTAAGTTTTCATCAGTGATGTATGCAAAGGTTGATTCTCCACCCTTACTGGCCTCCTCCGCAGCAGAGGTAGGGTCAAACTTTTGGATTTTTGCCAGCCTGACAGGTATTTCGGCCTAGTATTAATTTGTATTTCTTCATTTATGTGTTAAGTTGAGCATCTTTTCAAATGTTTGTAAACTACTTGGGTCTCCTTTTCCATCGCATGTATGTTATCTTTATAGGAAATGCTCATTCGTGTATTCATTCATTGACGGTGGACTACACGTGGACTTCATGTTGGCCACTATAGGAGCTACTACAGGGTAGATGGGTAAACTTGAGAGACACAGCCCTTGCCCTCTCAGAACATGCAATCTGATGGAAGAGAATAATTTTGAGCTAGCTATTGAAGATTTATGGAACACTTACATACATTTATCTATTTGTGAAACTATATATGTAACTTATACATGGAAAAATGCTTGGCTATATACTGAAATTAACAGAAATAATTTTTGAGTGGAAGTGATTTTTTTTTCTTTCCTTTGTGTTTTTCTGTATTTTTCAAGCTTTTGTAATGTATACACATTATGTTTGATGTTAGGTAATTTCTTTTCTCTTTGTTCATTGTTTAAGTTTTTCAAGGTTGGTTGGTTGGTTGATTTTTTTACAGGGAACATGTGTGATTTTTTGCAATTAGAACAAAAGGAAATAAATAAGAAGAAGACATCATACATACACCGTTTACCTATGTTTTAGACATAAATAAAACACAGGAAAGAAGAGTTCTTTCTCTAGAGTGACGGTGAGTTTGAAGAGGAAGATATAGAAATCCACTTTCAGAGCTGGGATTTGCTGTCATAAGTTCCAGCACAGGCCTTCACTCACCAGAAAAGCTGAGGACATGTCTCTCTTCAGCTGGGCAGCCTCTTCTGTGTCCAACAAGACAGGAATCAACAGCTCTGAGAGCTGGAAATCTGGCCTCCGGATCCAGGCCTGGGAATTTCCCTTTTCTGATGCCAGCTTCAGGCCCAGTGTCTAAGGGCGACCCCTGTTGGTGGGACTTAAGTATGCTCATTATTCGTGAGCTGCTTCTCCAAGGGTGGAGATGCCCAATTCAGTTTTAATTTTTTGTGGGTCTGCTGGAAACCTTGAGGCCCACAGCCCACTCACACACTACCCTAACTACATCCTGCTTCCCTTTTCTCCTTGTCCTCCACCCGTCTACTCCAGGTTTTCCTGGACAACTGGGTCTGGAGGCTTGGCGTATGGAGCCACAGGTGTGGCCAACCTTT